>NC_000006.12:107570790-108820790 GCF_000001405.40 Homo sapiens | reverse complement strand
AGCCAGACATGGTGGCTCATACCTGTAATCTCAACATTTTGGGAGGCCGAAGTGGGAGGATGGCTTGAGCCTAGGTGTTCAAGACCAGCCTAAGCAACACAGGGAGACCTCATCTCTGCAAAAAATTTTTTAAATTAGCTGGGTGTGGTGGCACATGCCTATAGTCCCAGCTATTCAAAAGGCTGAGCTGGGAGGATGGCTTGAACCCAGAGGTTGAGGCTGCAGTGGCAGCTACAGTGAGCTACAATCACGCCACCACACTCCAGCCTGGGCAAAAGAGCAAGACCCTGTTTCAGAAAACGAAACAAAACAAAACAAACAAAACAAAACAAAAAAACACAAAGGAAAAAAAGAAAAGAAAAGAAAGAATTAAAATAAAAACAAGAAATCAAATGAAAAGTCTAAGTCCCAACTTACATTCCTGCAAACTGAAAATGAGCCAGTCTATTATTGGGCCATCGTGGCCTTGTTTTGATTCTACAAAGTCCATAAATAACTTGAATTATGGAGAGAAGTAACCAGAAGTCAAGTAGCACGTTTGGGAGGGCAGTTCCCTTTAGCAGAGCAATGTGACATTTTAACCTCCCTGCTTTCATCTGGACTGCCTGGGTCCACCTTCAAGAAGCGTGCTGACAATTTAATAGTATTGTTACACAACAAGCTTCCTTTTATTTTACTGAATTTTCCCTCAGACTTGCAGCTTTTCTGACACTACCAAATTCCCTGACAGAAATAGCCCTCAAATTAAATTGCTTCCTTGACTTCTTCAGAGTTTAAAGTTAAGGAAACAATATGTTTCTGATTCTCTTTCGAGTTCTTATGCTTAAGTCAGACCTTTTGCTCTGGTTATGTTACTGATGCTGCATTTTATGTCTCAAAATGCCTGCGATGGCTTTCCTACAAAGTCAAAAAGGATGATTTCAATGACACATTTCCTTGGCAGACATTTTATTAGTAGAGGTAAAAATAACAGAGGGTGCCGGGCGTGGTGCCTCACACCTGTAATCCCGGCACTTTGGGAGGCCGAGACAGGCGGATCACTTGAGGTCGGGAGTTTGAACCCAGCCTGGCCAACGTGGTGAAACCCTGTCTCTACTAAAAATATAAAAATTAGCTGGGCGTGGTGGCAGGCACCTGTGATCCCACCTACTTGGGAGGCTGAGACAGGAGAATTGCTTGAATCCAGGAGGCAGAGGCTGCAATGAGCTGAGATCGTGCCACTGCACTCACTCCAGCCTAGGTGACACAGTGAGACCTGGAAAAGAAAGAAAAGAAAAGGAAAGGAAAGAAAAGAAAAGAAAAGGAAAGAAAAGAAATGAAATGAAAAGGGAAAGGGAAAGGGCAAAGAAAACATAGGGTTAGAGGGGAGGTAAGAGATAGGAAATAAGGCCAGCGTATTAGTCCATTCTGCATTGCTATAAAGGAATACCTGAGGCTGGGTAATTTATAAAGAAAAGAGGTTTATTTGGCTCATGGTTCTGCAGGCGGTACAAGCATGCCACCAGCATCTGCTCAGCTTCTGGTGAGACCTCAGGGAGCTTTTACTCATGGCAGTGGGTGAAGGGGGAGCAGATGCGTCACATGGTGAGAAAAGAAGCAATAGAGAGAAGGGTGAGGTCCCAGACTCTTTTTTTTTTTTTTGAGACAGAGTTGCTGTGGCGCCCAGGATAGAGTGCAGTGATGGCCCGATCTCAGCTCACTGAAACCTCTGCCTCCAGGGTTCAAATGATTCTCCTGCCTCAGCCTCTCAAGTAGCTGAGATTACAGGCATGCACCACCACGCCCAGCTAATTTTTGTATTTTTAGTAGAGATGGGGTTTCACCATGTTGACCAGGCTGGTCTTGAACTCCTGACCTCAGGTGATCTGCCCACCTCAGCCTCCCAAAGTGCTGAGATTGTTTTAACAATTAGATCTCCCATAAACTTGTTACCATTGGGAGGGCACCAAGCCATTCATGAGGGATCCACCCCCGTGACCCAAACACCCCTCACTAGGCCCCACCTCCCACACTGGGGATCACATTTCAACATGAGACTTGGATGGGACAAATATCCAGACCATATCAGCCAGGAAGTTTGGTACCAAGAAATGATTAAACATGATTTAAAATACTGTGGTATGATAATACATGTAGCTAAGAGTCTTGGGGTCAAGGACAGGCAAGGCAAGGACTCATTTAAGGAGACAGGAAGCAGATGGATCTGTCTTTAGGTAGGGAAGTGAATATGAACGACTGGCAAAAAAAAGGCAGGAGTTCCTCCTCCCACAGGCTCTTTTGGTACCAGGCCCAATCCTGCTTGGTTACCCCCGTTGGAAGAAGCAGGGAACCATTAGGCTTCTGGCTCCCTACCCCAGGGTTCCCTAAAAACCCCAACATCAGCAGATAGGCCTGGGACAATTCCAGGTGCACTCACTGACCCAGAGCCCTTGTCCTGAAAATGGAACATCTCCAGCTTTTCCTACTGAGGCCTGAAACTCCTTTAAGCAATTGATGATAAAAGACACATTCCAGTTAAAGATAGAAGCCAGAAGATTGGCTAGGTAGCACTTTGTGTAAATAAGTTGGTTACCTTATCCTTTCATAGAGCCAAAGACTACATGGCTGGCGGGGACTGGAGGCTCCCTCCTTCAAGAGAGGAAGGAGGGTTTGGAAAGTGGAGAGTCTGTGACAGAAGAAGGACCTGGGAGGCACAGCTTTGGGGAGTTGCTGTGTTCACCTTCAGTGGACCCAAGGCAGAAGAAGCTGTGCCCTGGGGCATCCTGGCCCAAGGAAGGCAGTGCTGGGTCACATGATCCCTTAAAAACAATCACATAAGTTAACCTATTTATTACAGGCCAGTAATGTTTGAAATGGAGCCTCTACTAGTCTTCCAATTCCTTCAGTCTTCTGATAGCTGACTTTACTTTGGGGTTGTAAGTCCAGGCACCACTGCTACCATTTTCATGCTGGAGCCACAGTGCCACATCACCCCTTCATTTTGGTTTTGCCACAGAAGGAGCAAAATGTTACTTGCAGGCTGATTCCAATTTTCTTCATTTTCCTGAGAAAGGCACCATATTGGGTCCCATATTTACTGACGACTCCTACCTTCTTGGTGCATTTAGCCATGTCTCTGCCAGCCACCTGATATGGTTTGGCTGTGTCCCCACCCAAATCTCGTCTTGAATTGTAACTCCCACAATTCCCACATGTCGTGGGAGGAACCCAGTGGGAGGTGATTGAATTATGGGGGCAGGCCTTTACTGCGCTGTTGTTGCAATAGTGAATGAGTCTCATGAGATCTGATGGTTTTTAAAACAGGCGTTTCTCCACACAAGCTCTCTTTGCCTGCTGCCATCCATGTAAGATGTTATTTGCTCCTTCTTGCCTTCTGCCATGATTGTGAGGCCTCCCCAGCCATGTAGAACTGTGAGTCTGATTAAACCTCTTCTTTTGTAAATTGCCCGGTCTCGGGTATGTCTTTATCAGTAACATGAAAACAGATTAATACACCACCTCCGAGCCCAGCAAGGAAGCCACTTCCTTTATTTTAATGTCCACTAATTACTGTATAAATGAACCTCATCACCAGAAGATTTGTTAATTGAGGTAAAATTTGCTGTTTTTCTGCATCAACTAATGGGCAAAATAACAAGCGAGCATCATAATGACGGATCAAATTCACACATAACAATATTAACCTTAAATGTAAACAGGCTAAATGCCCCAGTTAAAAGGCTGGCAAATTGGATAAAGAGTCAAGACCCATCGGTGTGCTGTATTCAAGAGACCCATCTCATGTGCAAAGACACACACAGGCTCAAAATAAAGGGATGGAGGAATATTTACCAAGGAAATGGAAAGCAAAAAAAAAAAGCAGGAGTCGCAATCCTACTCTCTGATAAAACAGACTTTAAACCAACAAAGATCAAAAGAGACAAAGAAGGCTATTACATAATGGTAAAGGGATCATTGCAACAAGAAGAGCTAACTGTCCTAAATATATATGCACCCAATACAGGAGCACCCAGATTCATAAAGCAAGTCCTTAGAGACCTACAAAGAGACTTAGACTCCCACACAATAATAGTGGGAGACTTTAACACCCCACTGTCAATATTAGACAGATCAACGAGATAGAAAATGAACAAGGATATCCAGGACTTGAACTCAGCTCTGCACCAAGCAGACCTAATAGACACCTACAGAACTCCTCACCCCAAATCAACACAATATACATTCTTCTTAGCACCTCATCACAATTGTTCTAAAACTGACCACATAATTGGAAGTAAAACACTCCTCAGCAAATGCAAAAGAATGGAAGTCATAACAAACAGTCTCTCAGACTACAGTGCAATCAAATTAGAACTCAGGATTAAGAAACTCACTCAAAACCGCACAACTACATGGAAACTGAACAATCTGCTCCTGAATGACTACTGGGTACATAACGAAATGAAGGCAGAAACAAAGATGTTCTTTGAAACCAATGAGGACAAAGACACAACGTACCAGAATCTCTGGGACACATTTAAAGCAGTGTGTAGAGGAAAATTTATAGCACTAAATGCCCACAAGAGAAAGCAGGAAAGATCTAAAATCGACACCCTAACATCACAATTAAAAGCACTAGACAAGCAAGAGCAAACAAATTCAAAAGCTAGCAGAAGGCAAGAAATAACTAAGATCAGAGCAGAAGTGAAAGAGATAGAGACATGAAAAACCCTTCAAAAAAATCAATGAATCCAGAAGCTGGTTTGTTGAAAAGATCAACAAAATAGATAGACCACTAGCCAGACTAATAAAGAATAAAAGACAGAGGAATCAAATAGATGCAATGAAAAATGATAAAGGGAATATCACCACTGATCCCACAGAAATAAAACTACCATAAGAGAAAACTATAAACACCCCTATGCAAATAAACTAGAAAATCTAGAAGAAATGGATAAATTCCTGGACACATACACCCTCCCAAGACTAAACCAGGAAGAAGTTGAATCCCTGAATAGACCAATGACAAGTTCTGAAATTGAGGCAGTAATTAATAGCCTACCAACAACAACAACAACAACAACAACAAAAGCCCAGGACCAGATAGATTCACAGCCAAATTATACAGAGGTACAAAGAGGAGCTGGTACCATTCCTTCTGAAACTACTCCAAACAACAGAAAAAGAGGGAATCCTCCCTAACTCATTTTATGAGGCCAGCATCATCCTGATACCAAAACCTGGCAGAGACACAACAAAAAAAGAAAATTTCAGGCCAATATCCCTGATGAACATTGATGGGAAAATCCTCAATAAAATACTGTCAAACCTAATCCAGCAGCACATCAAAAAGCTTATCCACCATGATCAAGTCAGCTTCATCCCTGGGATGCAAGGCTGGTTCAACATACACAAATTAATAAATGTAATCCATCACATAAACAGAACCAATGACAAAAAACACATGATTATCTTAATAGATGCAGAAAAGGCCTGTGACAAAATTCAACAGTGCTTCATGCTAAAAACTCACAATAAACTAGGTATTGATGGAACGTATCTCAAAATAATAAGAGCTATTTATGACAAATCTATAGCCAATATCATACTGAATGGGCAAAAATTGGAAGCATTCCCTTTGAAAACCAGCACAAGATAAGGATGCCCTCTCTCACCACTCCTATTCAACATAGTGTTGGAAGTTCTGGCCAGGGCAATCAGGCAAGAGAAAGAAATAAAGGGTATTCAGTTAGGAAAAGAAGAAGTCAAATTGTCCCTGTTTGCAGATGAAAAGATTGTATATTTAGAAAACCCCATCGTCTCAGCCCAAAATCTCCTTAAGCTGATGAAAAACTTCAGCAAAGTCTCAGGATACAAAATCGGTGCACAAGAATCACAAGCATTCCTATGCACCAATATTAGACAGAGAGCCAAATCATGAGTGAACTCCCATTCACAATTGCTACAAAGAGAATAAAATACCTAGGGATACAACTTACAAGGGATGTGAAGGACCTCTTCAAGGAGAACTACAAACCACTGCTCAAGGAAATAAGAGAGGACACAAATAAATGGAAAAGGATTCCATGCTCATAGATAGGAAGAATCAATACCATGAAAATGGCCACACTGCCCAAAGTAATTTATAGACTCAATGCTATCCCCATCAAGCTACCACTGACTTTCTTCACAGAATTGGAGAAAACTATTTTAAACTTCATATGGAACCAAAAAGGAGCCCACATAGCTAAGACAATCCTAAGCAAAAAGAACAAAGCTGGAGGCATCATGCTACCTGACTTCAAACTATACTACAAGCCTGCAGTAAGAAAAACAGCATGGTACTGGTATCAAAACAGATATATAGACCAATGGAACAGAACAGAGACCTCAGAAATAACATCACACATCTACAACCATCTGATCTTTGACAAACCTGACAAAAACAAGCAATGGGGAAAGGATTCCCTATTTAATAAATGGTGTTGAGCAAACTGGCTAGCCATATGAAGAAAACTGAAACTGGACCCCTTGCTTATACCTTATACAAAAATTAACTTAAGATGGATTAAAGACTTAAATGTAGGACCTAAAACCATAAAAATCATAGAAGAAAACCCAGGCAATACCATTCAGGACATAGGCATGGGCAAAGACTTCATGTCTAAAACACGAAAAGCAATGGCAACAGAAGCCAAAATTGACAAATGGGATCTAATTAAACTAAAGAGCTTCTGCACAGCAAAAGAAACTATCATCAGAGTGAACAGGCAACCTACAGAATGGGAGAAAATTTTTGCAATCTATCCATCTGACAAAGGGCTAATATCCAGAATCTACAAATAGCTTAAATAAATTTACAAGAAAAAAAAAACCCATCAAAAAGTGAGTGAAGGATATGAACAGACACTTTTCAAAAGAAGACATTTATGCAGCCAACAAACATATGAAAAATAGCTCATCATCACTGGTCATCAAAGAAATGCAAATCAAAACCACAATGAGATAACATCTCACGCCAATTAGAATGGCAATTATTAAAAAGTCAGAAAACAACAGATGCTGGAGAGGATGTGGAGAAATCGGATGCTTTTACACTGTTGGTGGGAGTGTAAATTAGTTCAACCATTGTGGAAGACAGTGTAGTGATTCCTCAATGATCTAGAACTAGAAATACCATTTGACCCAGCAATCCCATTACTGGGTATATACCCAAAGGATTATAAATCATTCTGCTATAAAGACACATGCACACGTATGTTTACTGTGGCACTATTTACAATAGCAAAGACTTGGAACCAACCCAAATGTCCATCAATGATAGACTGGATAAGGAAAATGTGGCACATATACACCATGGAATACTACGCAGCCATGAAAAGGGATAAGTTCATGTTCTTTGCAGGGACATGGAAACCATCATTCTCAGCAAGCTAACACAAGAAAAACCAAACACCACATGTTCTCACTCTTAAGTGGGAGTTGAACAATAAGAACACATGGACACAGGGTGGGGAACATCACATACCAGGGCCTGTCTGGGAATGGGGGGCGAGGGGAGGGATATCATTAGGATAAATACCTAATGTAGGTGACGGGTTGATGGGTGCAACAAACCACCATGGCACGTGTATACCTATGTAACAAAACTGCATGTTCTGCATGTATACCCCAGAACTTAAAGTATAATAAAAAACATTTTAGGTATCATAAAAAAATTTGCTGTTTTTCAAAAGAAACCACCATCAGAGTGAACAGGCAACCTACAGAATGGGAGAAAATTTTTGCAACCTACTCATCTGACAAAGGGCTTATATCCAGAATCTACAATGAACTCAAACAAATTTACAAGAAAAAAACAAACAACCCCATCAAAAAGTGGGCGAAGGATATGAACAGACACTTCTCAAAAGAAGACATTTTATGCAGCCAACAGACACATGAACAAATGCTCATCATCACTGGCCATCAGAGAAATGCAAATCAAAACCACAATGAGATACCATCTCACACCAGTCAGAATGGCGATCATTAAAAAGTCAGGAAACAACAGGTGCTGGAGAGGATGTGGAGAAATAGGAACACTTTTACACTGTTGGCGGAACTGTAAACTAGTTCAACCATTGTGGAAGACAGTGTGGCGATTCCTCAAGGATCTAGAACTAGAAATACCATTTGACCCAGCCATCCCATTACTGGGTATATACCCAAAGGATTATAAATCATACTGCTATAAAGACACATGTACACGTATGTTTATTGTGGCACTATTCACAATAGCAAAGACTTGGAACCAACCCAAATGTCCATCAATGATAGACTGGATGAAGAAAATGTGGCACATATACACCATGGAATACTATGCAGCCATTAAAAAGGATGAGTTCATGAGGGACATGGATGAAGCTGGAAACCATCATTCTCAGCAAACTATCGCAAGGACAAAAAACCAAACACCGCATGTTCTCACTCATAGGTGGAAATTGAACAATGAGAACATTTGGACACAGGAAGGGGAACATCACACACGAGGGACTGTTGTGGGGTGGGGGGAGGGGGGAGGGATAGTATTAGGAGATATTCCTAATGCTAAATGACGAGTTAATGGGTGCAGCACACCAACATGGTACATGTATACATATGTAACAAACCTGCACGTTGTGCACATGTACCCTAAAACTTAAAGTATAATAAAAAAAATTGCTGTTTTTAAAATGACTTATTGAGCTAATCAGAGAGTGGTATTTCAACCATGGAAACATTAATAGACTCAGAAAAAGCAAAACCTTGGCACACCTCAGTGCAGGGAGCTGCATAGGGGCAGGGTCTAGGTCAAGATGAGGATTGCTAGGATGCAATCCCACAGACCCTGCTTTGCTAGCCAGAAATAACATTTTCCTCTATGCACTAGCTTCCCTGCCTCAAAACAGGAGCTACTGCTTTATAGAAAACGTCCCATTGACTCTCGCTGCATTTGTCCTCATGAGGGGCATATTATTCTCTCATTGGGCAGCCGTTAAGGCCCACACTTGAAGCCACAGCATTGGCAAGTCCAAAGCTGGGGTTGAAGGGTGGCCTGGGTGTGGAGCCTGCACTCCTGAGCACAGTGTGCACGGCCTCCAGGGGCTCCCCCGCTCACCCAGGGCCTGGGAGGCAGCCACACAGCCACTTCCACGATGCATAGGGCAAAGGCAGAGACCTATCCACAGCACGGGCACTCTGCAAATATTTCCAAAAGTGCCCCTTAGTTCACTGGAGATTAGTCAGGATGAAGAAAGGGGCTTTCTGCCCTGCCTTTCCTCCCATCCAAGGGCAGCTCAGATTAATAAAGGCTGTAAGAAGAAAATTCTCTCTAGCTGGGCGTGGTAGCTCACACCTGTGGTCCCAGTGACTTGGGAGGCTGAGGAAGGAGGATCACTTGAACCTAGGAAGTGGAGGTTGCAGTGAGCTGAGATCGTGCCACTGCACCTCAGCCTGGGCAACAGAGTAAGACCCTGTCTCTAACTTAATTAATTAATTAATTAAAATAAAATAAAAAGAAAATCCTTGACCTGGAGCTTACTCAGACGCTCTAGCATGATGATTTTCCTTCTTTCTAGAGGTGTGGAAATCACCTCCTAGATCTGGTCTTATTTTTCTTTACAATGTGTTTGAATCGAACGACTGCCTAGAATTGTCAGAACAAAATCTTAAAGCAAGTCATACAGTTTGCCGCTGTTCCTAGCGGTCATTTGTAGTCTCTATCTTGGTCCCCGTGCCATTTTCTTGGGGACAGTGCCACTCAAACAGTGGTAGAAAGGCCAACATCAATCATCATGGGCACCTGGGAGTTTGTAACAGATGCGGATCCTCAGGTCTCACCCGAGACTTACTGAATCAGAGACTGGGGGAGTCAGGCCTGGTCGGTTTCAGCAAGCCTTCCAGGTGATTCTGATGCAGCTAGGAGCTGGGAAGCACTGTTTCAGGAGACTATACATGGCAAATTAACTAGTGTTCTACTTAAACCCTCATATTGATAGACTCAGACCCTATGCGAGTTTTGGACTCCTGGATGGATAAATCTAAGTGTCTTGTCAGCTGCTAGACCTGCGCCCTCTCCCCGTCACGCCTCTGCCCTGGAATTTTCCCTTGTCAACACTTTGCTGTCCTATGTTCCTTAGGGCCCCAATTTATGAGACCAATTTATTAAAGTGTTGTCCCTCCATCCCCACCTCAGGTAATATGCTTTTCAATGAGGGAGACATTGATTAAATAAGTATACAAAAATTTAATGCAGGATACTATTTTGAAAATTATTACCAGGCATTACTTTTTGTTTGCTTTTTATGAGCTCATGATCTTCTCCCTGGTCTTACTGGAGCAGAGGATTAAGATTATTTCAGAAATAATGCAAACAGAAAAAAAGTTAATATTCAGCTTCTGGTATCTAAAATAAGATTTGAAGCAAAACAGCAACCTTGAAAGTTGGGCCTTCAATTTAAAAAAAAAAAAGGTTTTCTAAAAAATTAGTTCTTGTGTAACATATTAAAGGCTCTGTGTGGTGAAGTATTAGATCATGGAAATTTTTACAAGATGGAAATTGCATGGCCGAGCACAGAAATTGCATGGCCAAGCACAGTTCAAGACTGTAACCCCAGCACTTTGGGAGGCCAGGGTAGGAGGATTGCTTGAGCTCAGGAGTTTGAGACCAGCCTGGGCAACATAGTGAGACCTTGTCTCTACAAAAATGTTTAAAATCAGCCAGGTGTGGTGGTGCATGCCCATAGTACCAACTATTCAGGAGGCTGAGGTGGGAGGATCACTTGAGCCCGGGAGGTTGAGGCTGCAGTGAGCCATGATCATGCCACTGCACTCCAGCCTGGGCAACAGAGAGAGACCCTATGTCAGAAAAGGAAGGAAGGAAGGCAAGAAGGAAGGCAGGAAGGCAGGAAGACAGGAAGGAAGGGAGGGAAATTGCAGGTAGACAGGAATGGGAATTTTTGTTTTCAGTCCCATCCCTCGGGCCCTAAATAGCGCTGGGCAGTGAAAGGTGCTCTGTCAGTCAGCTCTGGGGCCTGCTCACCACTCTCTGGTCTAGGCCTGAAGGAGGAGACATTTAGATTAGGTTGAAGGAAACATCGAGAGTGGCAGGGCTGTGCCCCATTTCCCATCTGGGATCTTGGTGGGGACTGCTGTGAAGGTCAAGATAGGCAGCCTTGCATTGCTAGGAGGGCAGAGAGGGGTCTAGTGTGTACTCTTGAACACATTTTCTCCCATAAGCCTGGAGATTTGCCAGGGCCCTAATGTGGCTGGGAGCAAAATAACCCTACAGCCCACACTGTGGGTGGCAGCCTGGGCCAGGACCCAGAAGGACAGTGTGACAGGGACTCAGAAATGTCTGTGATGACAGAGTGAAGCAAGGGGAGGCCGTATCCGCAGGGAGGGCCAGTGGGCTGAGAAAGACCACAGCAAGAGTTTGCAGACAGCTGAGACTAGTAGCACACCAAACCAGCCCACACACAGCATGGGGGTCACCAAGAGTGTTCTCACACACAGGCCTGCCATGACATCCTGAAAGCCTGCTCATCACACCCCACACAAATACCTTCTAAGAAAGGAGCAGGGGCAGGACAAGAATCTGGAAGACAACAATTCAACGGTGGAAACCAAAGTCACCCTACAGGCACAGTATTTAAATCATGGCATCCAAGTCTGGAACTGCTTGGACTCAGTCTAGTTTATTTCTGTTGCTACCCAGTGGGTGGGGGACTCATGAGAACCCCAGTAGACATTTTCTTCACACATGTGAGCATGGTCAGTCAGAAGTCCCGCTATTCCCCGGGTACCACCTGGGCTAAATGGGGCATCCTCGTCCTGTTTATTTTCAGTAAACTACGTCCCAGGCCTCTCTGACGGAGCCCAGATGATGCCTGTGATGCTGTGTGGGTTGTCAGGCTTTCCACGGTGCCACCTTCAGGCTCAGGGGAGATGCCAGACACTCCCAGCTCCCTCGTGTTCCTCCCTTACCAAGTTATTAACATATTGTCAACGCGTGGTCTCACCCTGAGGCACCAAGACCACCACTTGGGTTTGGAGGGGGCTACGGGTGGGGTGTAAAGCACCCCCAGGTTGTAGGAGGAGCCTCAAAGAACCAAGGGGCTCCAGGCAGTTGTAGGAGACATAAGAAAATGAAAACTGCAGACCTGGAGGGTTGGGGCTCAGAGCGCATCTAGTCCAACCACCTTACTTGACCAAACCAGGAAACTGAGGCTAACCAAGTCGTAATATCAAGACATGAGCCTGTGTTTGGGGGTCTCTGTCCTTTGCAGCCCTCCCCTGGAGAAGGGGGTGGTGCATGGGTAAGGGGGTCCCATGAAGGCTCCATGTGGGAGACCGGTCCTACTTGCCTTTCATTTCCCTGCAAGCCAGCCCTGAGAGTGGGACCCACTTCTAGTTCCAATTTGTTCTATTCTTTTTTAAAAATTGTTTTAAAATAATATTACAATTTTAATTAACCGCTTTCACTGTCTGGCATCATCCTAGTCCTTGTGCTCTCTATACCCCTAACAACAAATCATGCTGCTTGCCTATTGACTGCCTGTAAATCAAACCTTTCACAGCCTATTAAATCACAGCAGATTGACTAGGTGGTTTTTGCAAAGTCAGCCTTTTAGGCCAACATTGTTGTTTCTTCTTGTCTCCCAACTTGGGAGACGGGGCCCAAGTCCTCTGTGGGGGGGTTGTGGGCATTAGGGCTGACCGTGTTTAAGGCTCCAAGCTAAATTTAGTCCTCCCAGCTGGTTGTTATTCCAGCAACTAAGTGTAGGCTTGCCCAGCTGTATTTTAAGCTGAGCCCCAAATTTCCCTCTGTTTGGTTTTGTTGTGTTCTGCAGGATTTTGCTTTAGCTACCAAAAATATACAGGATTTTCTTGTGGATGTTTAAATAAGTAAGTTCAACAGGAGTGGGCAAGAATACACCATCTAACCATGATGTGGGAATTTGTGATTTGAAGGCACCTGTCCGGCAAGTGGAGGACATTTTTTTGACCACCGAGTTCATTGTCTGAGACTAAGGAAAAAAGGAAGGCCTTGATTGCTAATTTGCACATTCAGAAAGCTTACTGTTAAGAAGCATTTGCAAAATTTCCAAAACCCTATGCTAAGGTACAAAACAGTATACATCGTATGCTACCATCTGTGTAGGAAAATAGAGAATACATGTTTGTATATGCAAATGATATTTCTGGAAACATTTGCAAGGAACTGGCAATGCTGGTTGCCCCTGGAGAGAAAAATTGAAAGACTGAAGGCCAGGGAGTCGGGTTAGAATTTTTTTTTTTTTACTGTGTGTGTGCATTCCTTATAGCTTTTATACTTTAAAAATGTATAATTCGGATTATGCATCTGTACACTGATATGTAAAATCATGGCTTCATTATTCCACTATTGCCATAGCAGTGTGCAATATAGCACCTACCAGTGCAGAAACCCTGGGGAAGAGCAAGCAAGAGGTCACAGATGTGTGAGCAGAGACATGTGAGTTCATAGTATACACACATATGCACATGCACAGACACATTCATATTTTTCAGCACATAATTGCACTAGTAAAGGTTTTAAAAATAGAGTACTAACTAAAAAGGTTGGAAGCAAATATTCCAAAATGTTAATAGTACTTAATTCTGCATGGTGGGAATGTGGGTGATTGCTATTTTCTCCTCTAGATGTCTGTGCATTGAAAACATTTCGACCCAAAGCTTTCTTTTAAAAATAGTTCTGGACCTTGTGTTTTTAAAAAGTGTATTATGCAGGAAGACTAAAGGAGTCCGCATAGGAGTGAGTCTCCAAGTGTTCATATTCGGTATCCTATTAGAAGCACCTGAATTTCTTCTAATTTTCACTTCATATCATTCAGGGATGACTCATATTTGCTAATGTCTCACCCTTGGATCCACTCATTTCAGTTCAACAAATGTTTATCCAACAAGTATTATGGACTCACAATGGGCTGGGTCTGAGATGAGTGAGACACGACATAGCTCAATTCGTGTGGGAAATAATTATCCTTTCTCTAAGAATTTTCTAAAACAAGAAAACATTTGCATTGACTCTAAGCTTTAAACAAAATACTTCTCAGTCATCATAATTCCATGCAGCTAAGGCCTTATGTCTTCCTTCTGAACTCTTCCCACAGGGATTATTATTTCAGGTACCATCCTTGCTCGAAGGCAGGAGGCTGCACAGGATGACCTTCAAAGGCCATTGGATTCTTGTCATTTGTTGGTCCTGCCCTATTCAACAGCACAATAACAAGACTGAAGTGGTGACATGGTAAAGAAAACAGTTTATCCTGGAAACTGAGAATCAAATTTCTTAACAAACTCATCACAGTGTGTTCTACTTACTTCAGCATTTTAACCTCCTGGACCAGCTGTGAACTCGAGGTCAGTGTATTGACTGCATCAATAACTCACTCGAAGCTCTTTCTGGAAAGGAGCTAAACACCAGGATGAGCTTGATAAACACTGTGTCTGAGGCAGAGGAGGAGGGTAATGGAGGTGCAGATGAGGAAGATCTGGTCCTAGGGAGAGGATTGGTGAGAGCCAGTGGAAATGCCAGGAAGTGCCTGGAGACAGGGAGAGACACTGAAGTCTCCAGCGGGGATCCTTGCTCCACGGAAACAGCTTCTGTTCTGCAAGGTCCCCAGTGGGGTCGTCTGGAATTCCTGCCAGAGCCTGTCTGCATCATGACGGATTGCTACCTTCACAGAGCCAGGCCAGCCTGGGGCTCACACTTAGTTTAGAATCACTGGTGAAGTAGAAATGAGGAAGTGGGAAGTAGAAAAATGACTCTGAGTCACTTGTTTTTTGTTGTTGTTGTTGTTTTTTAAACCAGCACCGCAGAGTCTCTTGACCTTGGCCTTCTGTTTAATCTTTTTTTTTCATTGTTTCACAGACAGGGTTTCCCTCTGTGGTCCAGTGCTGTGCAGTGGTGTGATCCTAGCTCACTACAGCTTTGAACTCCTGGCCTTCAGCAATCTTCTTGCCTCAGCCTCCCAAAGTGCTGGGATGACAGGCGTGGGCCACCACACCTGACCTGACCCTGACCTTTAAACACACTCAGCCTTGGGCCAATCCCTCCATCCATTTGTTCTCTGGCTGAAAACAGAGTGCCATCTGTTGTTGGAGCAAATCACTTAACTGTCTGCTGGCTCTGCAGCAAATCCATGCTTTCTATAAGAATTTTGTGGGCCCTCCTTGTTGCTCAGAAATCTCCTACTTACCCCCTGGGCTCCCTCTCCTCACTGCAAACATTTTTTTTCCCTACACCCGCCATACATCCCCCATCACGGCCCTTTCTTTCTCAAGGGGTAAGTCCGTCCCCCTTTTCATTAGGAGACAGGCTGTCTGCTGTGTTTCAGCTCCCTCAGTTTCCCTTCTCCCTATGCAAAATCTGCCATGTTGTGCATTTCTCCCTGTGGCAGGCAGACTCCAGGATGGCTCCCGATGATCCCTGCCTCCTGGTGTTTGCACGCTTGTGGATCTCCTCCTCTTGGAGTATGAGGGCACCTGTGACTGTCTCCAGCAACAGAATAGGGCAAGGTGATGTCGGTCCTGTGATGACATTACATAAGACGTAGCTTCCATCTGGCTAGCAGACTGACTCCATCGACTTTCCCCCTTGCTAGCTTTGTTGAAGTAACACCATATGGAGAGGCCCACATGGCAAGAACTGAGAGCAGCCTTCAGCTAACAGCAGCAGGGAATTAAGGCCCTTTGAGAGTCCACAAGAAACTGCAACATGCCAACAACCACATAAGCTTGGAAGGGAATCCTTCCCTAGTCAAGCCTCAGATGAGACCCCAGCCCGGGCTGACGCCTTGATTGCAGCCTTCTGAGAGACTCCGAAACAGGACTGAGCTAAGCTGTTCCCAGGTTCCTGACTCACAGAAACTATCAGAAAATTAATGTGTGTTTCAAGTTGCCAAGTTTGTAAAGATTTTGTTACATAGCAGTAGATAACTAACACAGTCCTATTTTCCTCCTTTCTCAAACTAATAGATGCTTCCCCAGTTCCTTTCCAACTCCCTAGGCCATCCGCATCTGCTCTTGATCCCATTCCTTTCTCTCTCTTTCAGGTTATTTCCTCAGCTTCTGAGTTAGTTAAATCCACCTGTCTACCCATGCTGTAACTGCATATCCACAGTGGAAACTAATGCATACCCCTGATGACCATTTCACTTGACTTTGGGGCCACTGAACTTGGGGGTCCTTAAGGGCTGGCCTGATACTCCCTAGACCACCCAGGACTGTCTCCCTCCTAGGTCACCAGATTATACCTTTGCCTCCATTCTCAAATCTCCAACACCCCTTTACTTATCTTGTCGTTAAGCTGCTGACTTTGCTTGCCATTTCCCAGAGAAAAAAGGAGCAATCAATAGAGAACATGCACCCTTGCCACCCCCACACTGCCACCACTGCATCTGCCAACTTACCTGTACCTGTGTCCAGCCACCCTACCTCCACCTTCTGTTTCTCTGAACTGTGAGCTGGAACCTCGCCTAAGTCCAGTCTCTCCATCTGTGCGATAGATCCTGCCTCCTTTCACCTATCCAAGTCCATAGCACAAAACGTCCTCTTTATTTCTTCTGCATCAGCAATTTGTCCCTGTCTAATGGAGTCTTTCCATGAGTATACCGACCACTGTGATTTCTCCCATCTTAAGAAAAAAAAAAAAAAGAAGACAGAAAATACTTTCTTGGGCTCATATCTATCTTTCCCTCTCGCTACCACTCCATTTTCCTACTCTCCTTTGCAGCAAAATTCCTCCAAAGAGTTGTTTAAACTTTCTGCTCTCTGATTCCTCTCTTCGAATTCTCTTTCAAATCTTCTTCTGCCAGGCTTCTCCACTCACTCCCCTCCACCCATGCTCCACCCATGCCCTTGCTCTTGCTGGGTCACCAGGGACCTCCATCTGGCTTAACCCAATGGACAATGCTGAGTCCCCATCTCAGCTGGCCTGGCAGTAGCATGCCCACCTCCCTCAAACACTTTCTTCACGTATCTCTGGGACACTACTCACCTCTGATTCTCCTCTGCCCTCACTGACTACTCACTCAGTCTTCCTGGCTGGTTGCTTCTTCTCTCCTGCTCTAAATGTTGGGGGACCCAGAGCTTGGTCCCCAGACTCCTTTTCTCCCTGCGCTTACTCCCTAAGGGATCTCACCCTTCTCACAGCGTAAATACCGCCTGTACACCAAGAACCTCAAATGTCCTGAGCCAGCACAGAGCCCTCCCCTGGGCTGAAGGCTCACATGTCCATCCACCTATTTCTCCACTTGGATGTCGAAGGGCATCTCAAAATGAGCGTGTCTAAAACTGAACTCCTAACTTCCCATCAATACTGCACCTCTTGAAGTCTTCCCATTTCAGCAACCCCATCTTCCCAATTGCTACTGCCAAAAACCGTGCGCTTATCCTTGATTCCTCTCTTCCTTTCATGTGCCACATTAAATCCATGAGCATATCACACTGGCCGCGCTTGCAACATGTATCCAGGATCCAACCTCTTCTCATCACCTCCACTTTAGCCCAAGCTACCCATCACCTATGACTGCAATAACTTCCTTACTGTTCTCCCAGCTTCTACCCTTCCCCTCCATCAGTGTGTTCTCAATATATTCACCAGCCTGGTCAGTTTAGAACATAAGCCAGATTATTCCTCTAATGAAACTTCATTAGCTTCCCCTCCATATTGCTTAGAATAAAAGTCAAAGTGCCTTCAGTAGCCTGCAGATAAGGTCTTCCGTGATCTATCCACGGCTCCATCCCCACTCCCACCCCTCACTATTTCTCTGAACTCTTTTACCACTGACCCCTTTACTCATTCTGCTCCAGCCACACCGACCTCCTTGCTATTCCTCTGAGCACGGGCATGTTTCCACCTCAAGGCCTCTGTCCTTTCTGCTCTATCTGGATCATTCTCTCAGGATTCACAGATATCTTGTGCTTTTTTAAAGCTTTATGCTCCAATGTCATGTCTTCAGCAAGGCCTACCTTGACTTATCCTGTTGAAAATGGCAACACTCCCCACCCAGCATTCCCTTTCCCTCTTCCCTGTTTTATCATTCTCTCTATCACTACAGAATACACTCTATATCTTACTCATTTAGTTGTTGGTTATTTTCTGCCCCCACTGTAAAACAGAAACTGGTTGAGGGCAGAGACATTTGATTTTATAGTTCACCTCTGTAGCATCAGTGCCTGGCATGTGGTAGGTGCTCAATAAAAATGATAGGCTGAATATTGTTGTTAAAAATTCCTTGGACTAGGTCTTGAGAGGACAATTAGGGTGATGGGGCTAGAGCAGAGCAGAGAGCTCATGCTCCCACTCTACATCCACAGATTCGACTACAGGCTGAGTATCCCTTATCCCAAATGCTTGCAACTGGAAGTGTTTTGGATTTTGGAATATTTGCATTATACTTGCTGATTGAGCATCCCAAATCTGAAAACCCGAACCCCAAAAAGGTCCAATGAGCATTTTCTTTGTGCATCATGTCAGTGCTCAGAAAATTTCAGATCTTGGAGCATTTTAGATTTTGGATTTGGGATGCTCAACCTGTAATCGCCTCTATTTGATAAACCCCACCTTTACATCTCTGATATTCAAATTCCTATTTCTAGCTGCCTGATTATTGTTTCTATGAGAAACTCAGAATGTGGACATTCTGAGTTCATACCTCATGTAGTACTCTTTTTGTGTTTCTCTTCTCAGAGCAGGTCATTACCTGCCATTCACCCAGTAATCCAGATGAGAAGCTGATCAATTACGCTTGTGTAAACATCTACTGAGTATATAATCTCTGCCACCCAGCCACTAGCAGCACAGGGCAATGCACACAGCTCCCTCTTTCAAGGAGCTGAGTTTGGTGCAGTAGGCATTGTGATAGAGAAATGTACAGGGTGCTTTTGTTCATTTTTCCAAAGCGAAACTACCTAATTTTTATGATGATTAAAATAATATATGCCTCTTATAAACAATTTGATTGCAGAACTAAAATAGAAAATGAAAGTCACCTGTAATCTCACATTCAAGAGGGCACTGCTGTTAACAGGTTGGTATACGATACAGTTTGGGTATCTGTCCCCTCCAGATCTCAATGTTGAAATGTGATCCCCAGTGTTGGAAGTGGGGCCTAGCAGGTGTTTGGGTCCTAGAGGCAGATCCCTTATGAATGGCGTGGTGCCCTCTCTCTGGTTAGGAGTGAGTTCTTGCTCAATTAGTCCACATGGAAGCTGGTTATTTAAAAGAGCATGGCACCCCTCCCCTATCTTTCTTCCTTCTTTCTTCTCCTAGCATGTGATGCCTGTTCCCCTTTCCCTTCCACCATGAGTGGAAGCTTCCTACAGCCTCAGCAGAAGCAGTTGCTGGTGCTATGCTTCTTGTGCAGCCTGCAGAAACATGAGCCAAATAAATCTCTTTTCTTTGTAAATTACCCAGCCTCAGGTGTTTCTTTATAGCAACACAAATGGACTAAGACAGCATATATCCCTCCAGACATTTTTCTATGCGTATTTAAAGGTAGCTAAGACTTACTGAATTCTTAGTATGGATTACAAACCTCTATGCTGTGCATTTTAACATCACAGTGATCCTCCGAGGTAGGTATTTTGTTATCCCCATTTTATGTACAAGGAAACTGAGGTTTAATGAGGTCAAATAAGATCCCATAGGTGGTAAAGTGACTGTCAGTCAACTTAGGCTGAGTTATGTTCTGGTAACAAGCATTTTCTTTTTTTCTTTTTTTTGAGACAGTGCAGTGGCATGATCTCAGCTCACTGCAACCTCTGCCCCCACCAGTTAAAGCGATTCTCCTGCCTCAGCCTCCCGAGTAGCTGGGATTACAGGCATATGCCACCACACCCAGCTAATTTTTGTATTTTTTAAGGAGAGACAGGGTTTCACCATGTTGGCCAAGCTGGTCTCAAATTCCTGACCTCGTGATCGGCCCGCCTCAGACTCCCAAAGGGCTGGGTTTACAGGCATGAGCCACCGTGACCAGCCAACAAGAATCTTCAAAATCTCAGTGGCTGACAATAACAAAGGTTTATTTCTTGCTTATGCTAATGAATCATGTCGACCAGGAGTCAGCTGTGGCTCTGCTCCATGCTGTCTTTGTTCCAGGACCCAGGCTGAAGCTGAAGGAGCACCCTCTATCTGGGACTTAGCTGTTCATCATAAAACAGCAGAAGCAAACAGTGGCTCCTAAACCATCTACTTAGAAGGGGCATATATCACTTCTGCTCTCATTTCATTAGCCAAAGGAGGTTCTAGGACCAGCCTGCTATTAATGAACAGGAACGAATAACCTTCCCCCAGGGAGAGACAGTAAATATTTTTCAGCAGTAACACAATCCACTGAAAGTCCTGAGCTGGGATTTTAACCAGCCTGTCTTTAGAGCTTAAAAGCTTAACTACTCTTCATATACTGTGTATATTTTAACCCTAAAAGTAGGAGTTCTACACATATTGCTGGGTAAACTCCTTTATCATGTAATCTATCTCAGACATCTTGCTATATTTGTTCATATAGACTTTGCATATTCTTTTTTCAAGGATATAGAGTTTCAGATACGGTATCCCCCATTCTGCCTGTTGAGGTCCTCCTCATTCATCCAAGTTCAACTGAGGGGCCTCACCCACCAGAACAAGTCATACTTTTTCAGCATGCGTGCAGTGTTGGGTTTACACTTCACTTTGGTCACATGTGTGCCTTGTCTTAGAGTTCTTTGTATACATGTCTGTTTCTCTCACTTGATTTTAAGCACCTGGAAGCAAGAATCATCTCTATACCTAGATAAAGATTGCTATCTTCCTATGCCTGGCTGTGCTCAACAGAGATGAGATGCTATCTGTTGGTTTTGCAATACTGTGGAATTATCCTCCATGCTATCCCTGTCACTTCATTGCCTGTGCTGGTCCTTTTGTATCATTTAAATTTGGTGACCCCTTCAGAACTCACACAGTTTGAATAGTTCTGCTTTCCAGTATTCATCAAAGTTACACCAGCAATGACAACTTTAAAGAAACAATGGCAAATAGGCATCAATCTCTCCCTTCTGACTCTTTGAAAGAAGAATATAGTGCAGGAGAAACACAAACCTAGTAAAATAATTGTTGTAAATCCATATCATCAAGTTTTCCCCTCTGGTCTCTACAGCAAGTTACTGGGTGCATGGGAGTTCATCTTTAAGAACAGAGCTGTCGGAATGACGCCAGGGCTGAAGCCCGAATAAAGCCGCAGAGCCAGGCGCACTTGCTAATGATCTAGGAGAGGGTCCCGCCGCACGCAATCAAACACACAGCACACTCTTGGGGTTCAAAAGCTCCCTTTCATGCGCCCAGAATGTTTATTTTTTTTAAGAGTGGCAAATGAAAATGAATTTCTAATCTGCATCACAACCAGAGTGCACCATGCATGGAAAAAAAAGCCCTTCCCTGACACAAAGGCCACGGCCATCTGGAAGAAAAGCCACCCTCCTAAGCAGATCAGCTGCAGGTTCCATCGCACTGGGGCGGATTTGCCCGGAAACAGGCATCTTGCCTTTATTAACTTACCCCGTCATTAACAGTAATCAGCATTGTCCGCTCCATCTAATTCTTACTGAGCACCTGTGTATGTGGTGTTGCGTGGCCTGTCCCTGAGAGACCCTAAGGACAAATGCATCCTCTCTTGTCCCAAAGCCAGCTTCGTCAACAGGAGGTGCTTTGGAAAAGTAGTGTGAGCAGGGCCAAAACCAACCAAAGCCAACACGATTTTTAAAAGTGCGGTGTGTGTGCAGGTGAATGTCAAGCCCTCACTGGTAAGAAGGTGCTCTCGGGGCCCTCTCCTGCTTCTTCAGGCCTCCCCCAACCCAGGCCCCTAGGAGCACAGCCAGATTTCCTCCCTCATTCTGCAGTGCAACAAGGCTCTCGCCTCAGTGCACTGAGCCCGCTCCTGCTGCGGGAACCCAGGCTGGAGTGTGAAACCAGCTCTCTGCCTGCCGCAGGGACTGTTATCACCGCTCCCCACGCTGCTTCCTGTCACGTATCCTGTGCCAATGCTGTGTCAAGCCCATCTTACATTTTTCAAAGTGTCTTTAGCATCATTTCCTGAGCCTGAACATTTGCTCGTCCTGCAAAACAAGAACTCATTTTACAAAGTTTCACTCAGGATTATTAGGACCACAGAGGCAAGAGTAAACACTATTCTCTTATCAGCAAGAGAGACAGAGAGCCCAGCTTTGCTGTGACACTCCAGTAATTTGCAAACCAGAGCAGGTCTGTGTGTTTTTATCTAAGTAGAGAGACCTGCTCTTCCAGTTAAAAAAATCATATTAAAAATTACACCATTCCCTCTCCCCACATAATTTAGCATCAGATAATTTTCTGCAGTGATTCCTCCTTTCTCGAGGGCTGCGAGGAGGCAGCATGGAGGTGCCAGGAGTTTGGCTCAGTGTACAGGTGGCCGGCATGTTAGTCTCAGCCCAGCTCACTGTAAATAATGCAGCCTGACAAGATTTCTCCTTTCCTTTCACCTTTCGCCTAACTCTTTCAGCCCGCTCGCTTACATCATCCTGGTTGGATTTAAATAGCTAACTGTGCCATGTTCTCCTGGACACAAACCACCGGACTGGCCACCTCCGTAGCTAGCCTCTACCTAGTAGAGCTCTGGGGCCAATGGCTGCCAGAGCTCAGCGCTTGCTGGAGTCCAGTGAATTTTCTGTCACTAAGGGAGGGAAAAACGTAGAGGCACAGGAGGTCTGTTCATGCATGGGAATACTTGCATGCCTGGGCAATGAGTTGTGTTGTGTGAATCTTACTATGTCCTGGGTATAAAGGGAAAAGATAATGTGCATCCTTTGTTCCCTCCTATTAAACTATAACTAGATGATACATTCAAACTCAGTGGTTAACTTATGAAATGATTTCAGCTCAAAAGATGGGTAGAAAATCTCTGGGAACTGCAACCTTTCCCTTTTCATTTTAAGGATATGTTAGCTACATTCTTGCGGCAGTGCAATGTTGCATGAATATCAAGCTGAGTTTAACTCCACTATGCTCCACAACAAACGCTTTTAATTATTTTAACTTTTAAGTAATGAATTATGAGTTGAGAAGTCTGCTAAGCTGTTGTCTTCAATAAGAACTCTTGCAAAGAAAAAGGCTAGAAGACAAAAATGACTGAAGAAGTTAAGGGTGAGACTAATGTAACCCACTGGAATCACATCATTCTAGAATTTTAATTAAGTAAATCTAAAAGCACTAGAGAGCCATTTACACAAATAATAGGCTGAAAGTTACCAAGCTGTGTTTAATACAGCAATCATTGTTCAAAGGAAAACCAGAAATCCTTAACCCTATGTGCAACCCCCAAAGAGAATGAATGCAGTGGGAGCAGGGGTTGAGGCACAGAGAGAACTCCTGGCTTCCCACTCAGAAAAACATTATGAAAATCCTTGCAGAAGGTATGAGGCCTGAGATAAAGCATAATGGAAACAATACATGTGCATAGATACACGGTATGCCTTTACAAATACATTAAACCACAATCCACTTAAATGATAAGAATGAAACTGAAAGCTCATTCCATCTAATAAGGAGTAAAACAAATCCCTGTAAAGTCACTTGTATGACAGGATACTTGGGATAGGCTACATGATCTTAGCAGTCACCTTTGAGCTAATTCGGGCCTTTTGCCAGGCCAGGCCTGCATATCTCATTGATTAGGGCAAAACACACCAAAGAACTAAATTTAGGAACACGCAGGTGATTGGTTAGAAAAACCAGTCCACTCTGGACACAGCTGAGCCCACTAGATGGAATACATTTACAATCCTAGCAGCATTTGAGTACAGGCTTCCAGATTTCAAAGCAAAATTAGATAACTCCCTTATTCCAAATAAATTAGCAATAACTCATGACTTCAGTGACCTCGCACTTCAGTGCTTCCTAAATGAAATGTGATTTTCCTTGTTGAGATGTAATAATGCTGGGTACGTTGTTAGTTACATTATTTTTTATACTTTTTTGTGTATTTAAACTATTTTATAAAGTCTATATACCATTTGACCTAGTAGTTCTACTCACAGGAGTTTATTCTATAGATATGCTTATACATAAGCATTGTTCGTAATAACAAAGGATTTTAAATAGCTTAAAAGTTATCGAAAAGAACTGGTATGGATATTAGGCTATAGCCTTGCCGGGGGGAACTGTGTTGCCCATCAAAAGAATGAAGCAGCACTGACTGTGCTGATATGGAACCGTCTCCATTATACAGTAGTAGGAGACAAAAGCAAGAACTGAGTGTACAAAATGCTGCCATGTGCAGGTTGTTAAAAAAGATTACAAATGCGGCCGGGCACGGTGGCTCATGCCTGTAATCCCAGCACTTTGGGAGGCTAAGGCAGGTGGATCACCTGAGGTGAGGAGTTCTAGACCATCCTGGCCAACATGGTGAAACCCCATCTCTACTAAAAGTACAAAAATTAGCCGGGCGTGGTGGCAGGCATCTGTAATCCCAGCTACTTGGGAAGCTGAGGCAGGAGAATTGCTTGAACCTGGGAGGCGGAGGTTGCAGTGAGCTGAGATTGCGCCATCACACTCCAGCCTGGGGGACAAGAGCGAGACTTCGTCTCAAACAAAAACAAACAAACAACAAACAACAACAACAACAAAGATTATAAATGCATACACGCAGGGAACATCTCTAGAAGTCAATATGCCACCCTCTTCAAAAAATATCACGGCAGTAATCCAGTAATCTCTGGGGAGGGGTAGGGTGGCTAGGGGACAGGGAAGTGAGAAAAACTAGGTTTTAATGTTATGACTGGGTTTTTTTTTCACATTTAAATCAACTTTGTTGATATATATTATTCAATGAGTTTTTGACAAATAAATGTTATGTTCTTTTATGCTCTGACTTTGTGCATGTATTACAAAAAATAATTTTAAGGAAAAATATCTGTTTAAGCTAGATTCTTCAGAAGTTTTATAGAATAAATACTTATCTCAGATACCTTCTTTGGTCTATAAATTAGCAGTAGGAGGTGGTCACTTTGGAAAGATCAATTATTCTGATCTTAAAGGTAAATATCCTTTATGGCATTGACTCACCTGATATAGGTGGTGGGCGAGAGGAAAGGTGACCAAGAGAAGAACCAGGTGGCTCCTCTTGCTTCTAAAAGCTAAAAGCACCTCTCCCTGGACAGAAGATGGACTAGAAATATTTTTATTTTATAATCACTATATCAAAATATAAGGAGGTCTTTCTGAAACACTTGCTTATAAGCAAACGTTTCCAGACCTCTCAAAATATATAAGAATTATTCTATGTGCTAAAGCCAATTTAATGTTCTGACTGTGCCTTCTGTCAACTTAGGAGGTGGAATTTCATTTCACCTCAAATTTACTCTGCAAACTTGGTCAGAGGACTTTGGCCTCCTGCTCTATCAGGAAGGCCCTATGAGGTGGCAAAGTAAGGAGGACTGTGACAGAGGTAGGGTAATGGGCTGGGAAGGCCACAGAGTAGGGACATAGTGAATTAACCCCATCAGGGAGAGGTGAGGCAGAGGCCAAATGTGTGGGGAAGAGTCTGGAGATGTTCACCTGGTCCCGCCTGAGCTATCTAAGGAGGGAACGACTTGCTACCAAACCCTGTCATGTCACTCTCCAGTTCTTTCACAGTTACAGAGCCCATTGCCAGGGCTGGAATGCAGACTTCCCAAGCAAAGAGAATTGTTTCTCCTCTGCTTCCTCCTCTTTCTCCCCTTCCTCCTTTTGTCCCCAAAGCACCCAGCAAATGTGAAGACAGAGAAAGGAAGGAATGGTGAGCAAGAAGAATCCCTAATGCCAGTGGAGTTGGTAAGGTAAGTATACAATTTAAAGTAAAGATAAGCTAAATGTTCTGAATTGTATGTAGCCTTTTGGACAGTCTATCTAGAGGGGTTACACTCGACTGGGGAGTCGAAGCATGGCTTTCACACATCAGCTGAGTCCAGGTATCTCTGAGCATAGAGAGGGCGGCCCTCTGAAACTTCCAGGCCTCATGTTCATGTGGTGAAGGTAAGGCCACTTTCCTCTTGGTGCCAGCCCACCCGGGTATGGATCGAGCTCCCCAACTCCTTCACTGTACCATCCTGAGCAAGGTAACTCCATGCCTCATGCTTCATTTTCCTCATCTAGAACATGCGGCTAATCACAGTACCCCTCTCACAAGGCTATTGCGAAGACTAACTTAAACACATATAAATATAAACATAGATAAATAGAGGGGTGCACTTAGCATAGTATCAGGCACACAGAGACTATATGATAACTATTAACTATTGCAATTATTAATATCACTAAATTATTGAAGGTTTTCCCCACCTTAAATAGCCTAGTGACGTTAACAATGTCATCACCATTCTCCTAGTGGTTCACATGTTCTCTGTGCTCTGGGTAATGATGGCACGTGCAATATTACATTGCAGGGTAAGGTTAATTGATGTTGTCTAATAAAAGTGGACATTCAGGTGGCTATACAATCAAGAAGCCCACCCAAGGAAAAGACCTGAATGTACTGCACATGTAGGAATGTTAGTCATTAAACTGTGCTTACAGAAAAATCCCGTTTCCTGTCATAAATCTCACAACAGAAATAATTCATGAGCAGCCTACTGGAGGCAATATTTGCCATCATAACCCAAGCATGAGGCAGCTTCACCCCAAGCATGAGGCAGTCAGGAAACACTGACTGCCCCCACCAAAGGCAGAATAATTCCTGCATCAGTATATTATATTCTTCCAATGGTCTCATCTGTCTCACGTGGATTCAATTTAGAGGATGCTGCCAGACAGAATTAAATATATTAGTTTGAAAAATTACAGGGAAAGCGTATTTATAACAGTTCCATTTTGATTGGATCAATTTTCTAAGCATTTATCTTTTAAGAGTCCTAGAGGTCTTTCTTATAGGGTGTGCCTCCCAGATGGACTTTGCATTACATCATCTGCTGCAAGAAAGAACCCCAGAATGTTTTACTTGGGGCCTTCGAGAGCTGTCTAAGGGGACTGCTGCAGAAGAAAAGTGTGGGAAATATCAACACAGACATTTCCACAAGCAACGATTCCATCTCTTACTTGGATTAATTATTAATCTGTGTATCCTAGGAAGGTCAGATCACAGCAAACAGGTTACAATGGGACATGACTAATGAGAAGGTCTCAAATACTAAATGAGGATAACCCACATGATGGCACCAATTCTAATTAAGAGTCTTCTACCAGAAATAATGATAATCTTGCATGAAACACCTGCTGTTGGCCAGGCTTTGCACAAGGCACTTTATATCTGCCATATCATTAGTTCTTCATAACAACATTGATGGGTTTATTTTACAGATGATGAAGTTAAGATTCAGAAAAACTCAGTGAGGTTAAAATAAGCTGCCCAATCCCATAACTGGCTATTAGCAAAGCTGGCACCTGAACCCAAGTCTGGTTGACCTCAAAGCACATGCTGTTTTGCATCCTGCCACACTGTCAGATTCAACAGGTAAAACCTGGACAGTAAATCATAATCATGATGGTCCTTTCCCACCACAATTTCAGACATATTTCCTTAGCATGAATCTAATCATCTCACAAATACTTATGTTAAAAAAATATAGCCACCTTAGGGCCATTCGCTATTTTTAGGGAGTATGATTGGAAGAGGTATAATGTCTTTTATGAAAATTGTTTTCTCCCCTGGATGAAACTCCTGTCCTCCTCCTTTTAAAGTCTGGTTTTTTTTGAGAAGAGTTAACTCCCTTACTTTGTATTAAAAAGAACTAGAATATAGAATTGAGAAGTACTAAAAATACAGTTCAGAATAATATATATATCCCATATATATTTTATATATATATATTTATATATATTATATATATATATTTTTTTTTCATTGCAACCTCGACCTCCTGGGCTCAGGTGACCCTCCCACCTCAGCCTCCCAAGTAGCTGGACTATAGGCACACACCACCATGCCTGGCTAATTTTTGTATTTTTTGGTAGACACACGGTTTCAGCATGTTACACAGGCTGTTCTTGAACTCCTGGGCTCCAGTGATCTGCCCACCTCAGCATCTCAAAGTATTGGGATTACAGGTGTGAGCCACCACATCCAACCAGAATGAGATATTTTTAATGACAAAAATAGACACTGGGAGAATAAAATGAGAAAGTATATCCCTGAAAGTTCTAGAAAGAGATACTAGAGAGAATGCAATATTCAAAAAATTAATCACTGAGAATGTTCTAGAATTAAAACACAAATCCTTAGGTTGAAGAGGTACAACAAACATTGAATAGAATAAATAAAATAAGCTCCATTTTGATATATATATAATAAAACTGTCGAACATCAAAAATAAACTAAGACAAGTTAAAAACAACCAGGAAAAAAAGGCACTTTGTCTGCAGAGAAACAATTAGACTGAGAGTTGACATCTCAGTAACAAGAAGTAAGGCCAAAATAAAATAGAAAAATATCTTCTAAACTACTGACCTAGAATTCTATACCTAATTAAATTATCATTCAAGAGTGAGGGTGAAATAAAGACACTTTCAGATGGAAAGTAAGAGAATTGTATTTGCAGATTTATTTTATGAATTATTTGAGGATATACTTCAGGGAGTAGGAAATATGAACCCATGAGAAAAGGATCAAGAAGCAATAAATTATCCATGAGCAATCTGAAAAAGAAATTAAGAAAGCAATTCCATTTATAAGAGAATTAAAAAGAACAAACTACTTAGGAATAAATTTAACAAAAGAAGTATAAAACTTGTACTCTGTGAACTATGACATTGTTAAAAGAAATTAAAGAATTCCAAAATAAATGGAAAGACATCCCATGTTCATGGATTCAAAGATTTAATATTGTTAAAATGGCCATACTCCCATATTCATCTACAGAGTTAAACTCTATCAAAATCCTACTTGGCTTTCCTTTGCAGAAAATGATACTAAAATTAATATGTAAATGCAAGTGACCCAAAATAGTCAAAACAATTTTTTAAAAGAAGAACCATGTTGGAGGACTCACATTTCCCACTGATTTCAAAATGTATTACAAAGTTACAGTAGTGAACACACTGTGGTACTTGCTTAAGAATAGACATGGATGAATAAAATAGACTTAGTCCAAAATATTTTATTTTGAAATAATATTTTTATTTAAGAAATATAAAAATACAGGTTGGGTGTGGGGACTCATTCATGCAATCCCAGCATTTTAGGAGACTGAGATGCAAGGATCATTTGAAGCCAGGAGTTCAAAACCAGCCTGGGCAATGTAGGGAGACCCTTTCTCTACAAAAATCTTTTTAAAAATTAGCTGGGTGTGGTGGTGCATTTCTGT
Organism: Homo sapiens; assembly: GCF_000001405.40. Lineage (NCBI taxonomy): Eukaryota > Metazoa > Chordata > Mammalia > Primates > Hominidae > Homo > Homo sapiens. The sequence goes on along the minus strand of NC_000006.12, from coordinate 108,791,399 downwards.
GATCCTAGCTACTTGAGAGGCTGAGGTAGGAGGATTGCTTGGGCCTGGGAGGTCAAGGCTGCAAAGAGCTATGATTGAACCACTGCACTTCAGCCTTCAGCCTAAGTGACAGAGCGAGACCTTGTCTCAAAAGGAAAAATATATATATACATATATGTAAATGTATGTGTATATATATATGGGTATATACGTATATACAAAAAATTTAAATAAAATTTAATTTTAATTTTATTATTTTAATAAAATAAGTTCATTTTTATTACGTATATTTTCTTTTATTTGCCCCACATTTACTCTCAATATAACAAGGGTACAAGACATTAAATGAGGAAAGATGACTCTTTTTCAACAAATGATATTGAGATAACTGGATAGGCATATGCAAAAAATGAAGTTGCACCCCCTCTTCACTTCATTTATAAAATTAACTAAAAATGGATCACAGACCTAAATGTAAGACCTACAACTACACACTTCTTTTTTTTTTTTTTTTTTTTTTTGAGACGGAATCTCGCTCTGTTGCCCAGGCTGGAGTGCAATGGTGTGATCTTGGCTCACTGCAACCTCCGCCTCCCAAGTTCAAGTGATTTTCCTGCCGCAGCCTCCAGAGTAGCTGGGACTACAGGTGCACCACGCCTGGCTAAGTTTTGTATATTAGTGGAGATGCAGTTTCACCATATTGGCCAGGCTGGTCTTGAACTCCTGACCTCATGATCTGCCCACCTCGGCCTCCCAAAGTGCTGGGATTACAGGTGTGAGCCACTGCACCCGGCTCCTACAACTATATACTTCTTAGAAGAAACATGGGCCTAAATCTTCATGGCCTTGGTTAGGTAAAGCCTTCTTAGGTATGACACCAAAAGCATAAGCAACAAAATAAAAATATATGTAAATTGAACTTCATCAAAATTGAAAAATTTTGTGGTTCAAAGAACATCATGAAGAAAATGAAAAGACAACTCACAGTATGGAAAAAAATATTTGCAAACATATATCAGATAAAATACTTGTATTTACTTACTATTATTATTGAGTTGTAATTCTTACAACTCAATAAAAAATAATTATTACAACTCAATAATAAAAAGGCAAATAACACAATTTAAAAATGGACAAAGGTGGGCATGGTGGCACATGCCTGTAGTCCCAGCTATTTGTTGGGCTGAGGCAGGAGGATCGTTTGAGCACAGGAGTTTGAGGCTGCAGTAAGCCATGATTGTGCCACTGCACTCCAGCCTGGGTGACAAAGTGAGACCCTGTCTCAACAAAAAGCAAGGGAGGCAAAGGATATGAATCTCCAAATAAAATATGCCAATGGCCAATAAACACATGAAAAGATGCTAAACATCATTAGTCATTAGAGAAATGGAAACCAAAACCTCAGTGAGATACCACTTACACACACTTGAGAGGCTATAATGAAAAAGGCAGATAGCGTTTTGGCAAGGATATAGAGAAAGTAGAACCCTCATACATTGCTGGTGGGAATATAAAATGTCACAGCCCCTTTGGAAAACAGTTTGGCAGTTTTTCAAAAAGCTAAATTGAAAGTTACCCTTTGACCCTCTAATTCCACTCCTAGATATATATCCAAGAGAAATGAAATACATATGTCCACACAAAAACTTGCACATGAATGTTCATAGCAGCATTATTCACAGTAGCCCAAAAGTAGAAACAATACAAATGTCCATTAATTGATGAATGGATAAATAAAATGTGGTATATCCATACAGTGGAATATTATTTAGCCATAAAAATAATGAAGTATTGATACATACTACAACATGGATGAACTTTGAAAATATGCTATGTGATGTTCTCACTCATAGGTGGGAATTGAACAATGAGAACACTTGGACACAGAGGGGGAACATCACACACCAGGGCCTGTCGTGGGGTTGAGGGAGGGGGAAGGGATAGCATTAGGAGATATACCTAATGTAAATGATGAGTTAACGGGTGCAGCAAACCAACATGGCACATGTATACATATGTAACAAACCTGCACGTTGTGCACATGTACCCTAGAACTTAAAGTATAATAAAAAAAAGAAAATATGCTGTGTGAAAGAAGCCAGTCACAAAAGACCATATAGTGTATGATTCCATTGCTCCGAAATATCTAGAATAGGCAAATCTATAGAGACAGAAAGCAGATTAGTGGTTGCCTAGGGCTGGTTGGGTTGGAGGGAAATTGGAGAGTGACTGCTAATGGGTATGAGGTTTCTTTTGAGGTTCATAAAAATGTACTAAGGTTGATTGTGCTAATAGTTGTACAACTGTCAATATACTAAAAACCATTGAATTGTATACTTTAAATGGAGGAATTATATCTATATTATACCTCAAAAATGTTTTTAGAAAAGCAGTGGAGAATTAAAAAGTTGAAAAATACATAGTCAAATCTAAACAAGCATTGACTGTATGAAACAATAGTAACAAAAGCACTAATGGAGGTTCCATAAAAAGATGGAATTAAAATACTAGAAACAATGTGTGAGAGAAAAAGAAGAATAAGAGAGAAAACCACCTAAGGTCCTTATTTTGTTTGAAAGGAAACCAAGGGATATTGATTAACCTACAAGATTGTTGAGCAGTATGTTTGTTCAATTTTAAAGTAAATATGAAAAAAACAGAAATATAATCATTTGAAAGATAATATTGATCAGTTCTATAAAAGGCAAAAAAAGGAGAAAAAGAAAAAAATGTACAGAAAGCACAAAGCAAGGTTAAAGAATAAATCCACCACAGTATATAATCACAATAATGTAAATGAACTAACTTCATAGGTTAAAGGGCTGAGACTTAATTTAAATAAATCCAGCTATATGTCATGGTTTTTAAAAATTGCATCTTGTTTGTTCCTGATAATTAGGATGATGTTGCATTCCAGTATTTCCCGTGTCTTATTCCTGAATTCAAATGGGATGTTTTTAGGATTTCACCACTGAGAATAATATTTGCTTTAGGGTTTGGTAGATGCCATTTTCAGGTTAAAGAATGTTCCTTTTTTGTTGTTGTTTTTTGAGACTGGATCTTGCTCTGTCACCCAGGCTGCAGGGCAGTGGTGTGACCATGGCTCACTGCAGCCTCAACCTCCTGGGCTCAAGCAATCCTCCCATCTCAGTCTCCCGAGTAGCTAGGACTACGGGCACACATCACTATGCCCAGCTAAGTTTTTAAAGTTTTTTTAGAAATGGGATCTCATTATGTTGCCCAGGCTTGTCTCGAACTCCTGGGCTCAAGCAATCTTTCGGCTTTGGTCTCCCAAAGTGCTGGAATTACAGGTGTGAGCTGCTGTGCTCAGCAAGGAATGTTCCTTCTATACCTAGTTATCTGAGAGAAGTTCTATTTAGAGTGTTGAGGGAAAATAGCTAACTTAGAATTCTATACACAGCTAAACTATCATTCAAGAATGAGGATGAAATAAAAAGACATGCCATTTACATTTATAGTTTTTAAAAAACTATGTTATTCATAAATCTAATAAATGACATGAAACTTTTACAAAGAAAGCTCTAAAACCTCACTGAAAGATAGAAAACCTGAAGAAATGATGAGATACACCCTGTTTATGTATGGAAAGACAACAGCTTAACAGTAGCAGCTTTCCTAAATTTATACTATTAATAAATTCTATTCAAAATCCGTGGAGAATTGTTTTCACTGACCTCGATAAGCATATCAGAATATCCATCCAGAAAAATAAAGGGGTTAAGAACAGCCAAAACAATTTTTTTTTAAGCGACGGGATCTCACTGTGTTGCCCAGGCTGGAGTGCAGTGGCACAATCATAGCTCACTGCAGCCTCTAACTCCTGGGCCCAAGTGATCCTCCTGCCTCAGCCTCCCAAAGTGTTGGGCTTCCAGGTATGAACCATGGTGCCTGGCCACAATTTTGAGACAGCATAAAGAGAAAGGATTCACCCTAACAGATAGCAAAACTTGTTTTTAGTTAATTTTATAAATGAAGTGAAGAGGGGGTGCAACTTCATTCTTTTGCATATGCCTATCCAGTTATCTCAATATCATTTGTTGAAAAAGAGTCATCTTTTGTCGTTTAATATCTTGTACCCTTGTTATATTGAGAGTAAATGTGGGGCAAATAAAATATACTTAACAAAAATGAACTTATTTTATGAATAAAATTAAAATTAAATTTTATTTAATTTTTTGTATATACATATATACATATATATACACATACACATACATTTACATATATGTATATATATATTTTTTTCCTTTTGAGACAAGGTCTCGCTCTGTCACTCAGGCTGAAGGCTGAAGTGCAGTGGTTAAATAATTAAATAAGTAATTAAAATATTTGGATGCAGGGTGGTGATGGCGGCCACCGGGGCTGTGGAAGTGGGGTCCCCGGGGTCAGCCGTTGCCCCCTCGCCCGCCCTGGACTTGCTGCCTGCCCTGGGTCATCTGTTCTGGCCCATCAGCGCCGAGGACAAGGAGCAGCAGCCCACCCAGATCAAGTCACTGTGCATGAACTGTTACCGCAATGGCATGACGCGCCTCCTGCTCACCAAGATTCCCTTCTTCAGAGAAATAATCGTGAGCTCCTTTTCCTGCCACCACTGTGGCTGGAACAACACGGAGATCCAATCGGCAGGCAGGATCCAGGACCAGGGAGTGCGCTACACTTTGAGCATCAGGGCTCTGGAGGACATGAACAGAGAAGTGGTGAAGACTGACTCTGCTACCACAAGGATTCCTGAGCTAGATTTTCAAATTCCTGCCTTTAGCCAGAAAGGAGGTCTGAACACTGTTGAAGGATTGATCACCCGTGCTATCTCTGGCCGGGAGCAGGACTAGCCTGCGCGAAGGGCAACAAAGATGCCACAGCTGAAAGAATTGATGAGTTCATTGTCAAACTGAAGGAGCTAAAGCAATCAGCCTCCCCTTTCACTCTGATCATTGATGATCCCTCAGGGAACAGCTTTGTGGAAAACCCACAGGCTGCTCAGAAAGATGATGCCCTGGTGATCACACACTACAACCAGACCCGACAGCAGGAAGAGATGCTGGGGCTCCAAGCAGAAGCACCAACAGAGAAGCCAGAAGAGGAAGATCTCAGAAATGAAGTGCTCCAGTTTAACACAAACGGCCCAGAATGCAATGCCCCCACTCAGACCAACATGAAGCTAGTACAAATCCCTCACTTTAAGGAGGGACCAAGTACAAGAACTGCGTGCATCAGACCAATGAGGTGAAATCTGGAGAAGCAGTAGAACCCTTGGGCACCAGGATCACCCTCCACATCACAGGTCCCTCAGATATGACCAGAGACCTCCTCAAGTCTGAGACTTGTAGTGTGGAAATCCCAGAGCCAGAATTTGACTGGGAATGGCCATCCTCAGGTGCAAGTTCACCACACTAGAAGGGCTGCTGAAAGATATCTGGGAACTGGTGACCAAAAACCCTTTCACACTGGGCGACAGTTCCAATCCTGGCCAGACGGAGAGACTGCAGGAGTTTAGCCAGAAGATGGACCAGATCATCGAAGGTAACATGAAGACCGACTTTATTATGGATGATTCAGCAGGAAACAGTTACTTGCAGAATGTGTATGCAACTGAAGATGATCCTGAGATGAAGGCGGAGCATTATAAGCACACCTTTGACTAAAATGAGGAGCTAGAGCTCAATGACATGAAGACAGAGGGCTATGAGGCAGGCCTGGCTCCACAACGGTAGCAGTGGGTGGGTCAAGGGCCAGCTCTCCAGCGCTGCTCATTCTGCAGGTTATTTATTAGTATTGGAAGAAGGCTGGGAGTGTCTTGCCCACCAGCCCTTGCCCATGGTGGGGAGGACATCTTGTCTGAGTCAGAGATCTAGGCACATTTTCTAAACAGCTTGTAATGCAAGTGTGAGCCTATTGTGTTACTTGACCTTATTTTGAGGCTTTGAATTGGCCTAGGAAGAAACCCAGAAATGAACCAGGGGTATGTCATTATCACTTTTTTCATATCAAGTCTTTACCCTCCCTCCACATAATGCTCTGTCCTCTAAGGTTGGAACTCTGAAGTTGGAGAAAGTGGAATAAAATTACACCTGGAAAATGAAATAAAATATTCTGGTATCAGCATTTAGCTAAATAGATCAATGGGGCAAATTTTCTGAAAAAGTTAGAAACACACATAAGTAGGAACTTAGGATATAAGAGGTGACACTGCAAATCAGCAGGGAAAGGATGACTATTCAATAAATGGCACTGTGACTATTGGCTAATAATATTTTCTAAGAGAAAAATTAGATTCGTACCTCACTGTGTGAACAAAAATAAATTTCAGATGTGTTAAGGAAAAGCAGTAAACATTTAGACAGAACTACAGGAAAATATTTCAATGACATCCAAGGAGGGTAGGGTTTCTTAAACAATACAAAACCAAAAATTATCATGGAAAAGTGAGAAGTTGAAGTAGATAATTTTTTTAAACTTCTTAATGACAAATGGCACTAACAGCAAAGCAAGAAGACAAACACAGACTTGGAGAAAATAGTTATATCCCACATTTCCAACCAAAGATTACTATCCAAAATGTACAACTAGTTCCTACAAATAAGCAAGAAAAAGAGCAACAACCGAACATCAAAAAAGCTTAAGGATGTTAACAAGCAATCGGCAAAAGAGGACATTTAATGGTCTATAGACGCATGAAAATGTGCTCGCCTTTATTAGTAGTCAAGGAGATGCAAATTAAAACAAATAGATACTATTTCATGCCTATTAGAGTGGGAATTTCTTGAAAAAACTCTGACAATACCAAAAGTTGATGAGAATGGAGAAATGGATACTTACATCCACTGCTAGTGGGCATGTAAAAATGACAGACCCACTGTAGAGAGCGATTTGGCAACACCTGGTAAAGTTAATGCATAACCTATGACCAAAAATTCTGCCACTATATGTCTAGAAGTTCCCAAGAGACACGTGGGTCCAAGGAGATATGAACAAAAGCACATTCTTTCAGCACTCTGGGTAATAGCTTAAAAGTGGAAACAAGCTACCTGACCTTCAGGAGCAAAATGGGCAAATCAAATGTGGATTATTCATGCAATGCAATGCTGCACAGCCATTAAAATGAGTGAACTAGATCCTTATCACCTACATGGATACATCTAAAATGTGTAATGATAAACTAGAAAGATGCAACATAAATATTTATACAATATAATTTACATAAAATGTAAAGTACATGAAACGATAGTATATATAATTTACTAATATACGTTAAAGATACTCAGATCTTCCTGGTTATGGTTCACATATATGAAGGGGGGAGAGAGAGGCCTCCTAAACCAGGTGTCCGAATATTACAACATCTAGAAAGACTCTTGAACTTACACTTCATAAAAGATAAAAGGAGTGTTTTTTTAAAGAGCAACTGAGCTACTAATGAGAATTTGGCACTATTTATGTTTTTATGTATAAAGAACCCTAAAGGACATTCGATGGATTCTGGTATCGGTTGCCAGTTCTTCTTCACTTAGGAACTGATGCTACTAACCCTTAGTTGGTGGGGCTAAGAGAACAGTTCTGGCCTAGCTCCTGTCTCCTACAGGTCCTTCAGGAGCAAAATGGGCAAACAAAATGTGGATTATACATAGAGTGCAACACTGGGTTATTCTCCCTCACCCAGCCTACTAGTCTGCCCAGAAAATCCCCATCCTGCTTCTGTTGGATTCTTTCCTGTGTTTCCTTTGCCACTTGCTGAAAGTACAGTACCATTCTAGCATCCCAAGTTTTACTTGCTGATTTCTGTTGAAGACTCTACAGCCCAACTCTGCCTTTCTGATGGGTCTGGAAGGCAGTGTGCCTATTCAGTACATGTGCCTATTCAGGGGAGATGCCTCCCTGGACAGGGTTAGCTTTTCTCTAGGTGCTACAATGCTGGGCAGAGGACCTTAAATCTCCTTTGGTTTGGAGTGACAGAACCATAATCCTTCCTGAGCTCCTTTTTTAAACACTCATACATACACACATGCTTTCATATACATGCACATGTACACACACTCAGACAAAAAAATGCACACACAAATACCTACACCACTCCCTTCTCTGCAACAGGAGTCGGGACTGCTTGGTTACTCTAAATCCAGTATCGTATAGGTGTTGTGTGGCAGATCTGATTTTATAATGGAAGACAATGGGAATAATAGGATTTGCTATTCACGAACACATAGATCTCAAATATCAAAGGACAACTGTATGATACCATTGGAACCATTATAACACAGTAGCCGTCTCCCACTTGCCAAGCTCAAAGCATATAACTTTTCTTTTTCACGTTGGGAGCAGAGGTGATTGAATTATACTCCTCAGTTCTTATCCCATTACCGTGACTGTATGTGAGGTCCCTCTCTAGTTTTACAACTGTGCTTCCTTTTATATTCCCCTTTGTGTCTGATTCCACTTTCATTTCCCTTGCCCCCACCCACAGGCATCTGCTGGAATGGGTTTGATATTTGCCCAATTGTTATTTATCCTGTTGCTTTTCTACTGGGACGGCACGGCAAGAGGATGTTTATCTCTGATTCATTATGCTGATTCATTTTTGTTAAGCAGCCACACAATTTCAGGTATAGTGCTGGAGTGGATCCCACTGTGGAACCTAGCAGCCAAACTGAACTGAACATCTGTTTAATTTAAATGGTGGGTCCTGGGGTGTCAGTTCCATTATTTTGTTTGTATTACAAAACTTGGCTTACAAGATCACACTCTTGTTTAAAAAAAAAAAAAAGTGTCCTTTAAATTGGGAAAATGCTCATCTGTCCTGAATGAGTTAAGAGTGCTTCTGCCTGCAAGCAGAGTGTGCGGTGACTCACTGTCCCATGAAGACGCCTTCCCTTCTACCTTAAGACTGCGTCTGTCCCGCAGAACGCCACGTGCGGGCGTCCCTGGAACCTGGCCCATAGGTGGCAGTCTCCCTTCATCGTTCCCGGACTACGAACCTCCGAAGGGCAGCCTGAGAAAGCAGTTGCTTTTGCTTTTTCTTCGGGTTTCCTAATATTTAATGTTCCCTCCACTCACCTTCCCCCTCCATCCCACAGAGAGTGTAGAGATTGCATCCCTGGAGGCTAGCAAACGACAAAAGAAACTTCGTCTGGAACCAGTCAAAGTCGGGAGACCTGCGTTGTGCCGACTCTCGATGCGATTGTTTTGGAATTTTGCTGAAGCTCTCTTGCAGAATTGCTCTGTAAATGGCAAGAAGAAATGCCTTTCACTATAAACAGAAAATAAAGCTTTCACAAGTTGTCATATTTTTAAAAAGCAATCATGCGGATGCAAGTTTTTATCCCCTCTGTTTAGTCTTGCCTCCCCTCCTTGCCAACACACCCCCACAGAATTTGGGATGAATCTTTGCGAGTGAAGTAAAAGTAGGCATTCTCTCCAACATGTGCCCCTCCCCCAGCCCTTCACAGAGCCTATTCAACAAGATATCGAACAGTCATAGGCAGAGACGAGTGTGCGTGTGCATATGAGTGTGCATGTGTGTGCGCGTGTGTGTGTGCGAGTGTGTGTGTATGCAGAGAATACTAGATGGAGAGTCAAAGGGAAACCAAGAGATCCAGAAAAGGGGCACCACCTTCTCACCTTCCTTCCACCCCACTCCTCCTCACCCAAGGAGGGAAGCCAGGTAGAGCGCTCACCCAGCCCCAGGCCCTTTTGGGCGAGCCTGCCCAGTGGGTTTCTAATCAGCCAACACTTTGGGCCGGCCTCCACTGTTTATGGAGCCAAAGGGACTTTAAATCATTAGCCGGTGTCAAAATGCTTGAGGAATGTGCTTGCCTAGGAAGCCACATGGAGTGGTTCATCAGCATTTGTAAAAACCGCCTTGGCAAAAAGATGTTGAACCCAGCACTGGGGGCGGATTGTGTGTATTTCAGTTGAATTAGCAAACAGAATACCTTTTAAATCTTAGCAACACCTGGTTCTGAAAAGGACACCCACTAAAGAAAGGGCTGCCTTGTCTGTGCTGGAAGAGGCTTTCCCTGGCTCAAGGTGCTTCTCCTCTCCAGATCAGAGACCTCATTAGATGCTTGGTCCCTCTTCCTTCCTAAGATGTGCAGAGGCCCGGGAGATTTTCACCTGGACTTTGGGACACAGCCAACACAGGATGTCCTGAGTTACAGCAAGCATTTCTGAATGGAGGTAGCCATTGGTCAGCCTGCTCTAAAGAAGGCCAAGTTCATGTTCCCCCCAAAGGACTAGACCCCGGGGTAGGTGGGGGTTTAGGGGCAGGGGTGAAGAGGGTGTGGGAGGTGGTGAAGGGGAGGGGGTAGAGGAGGGGGTGGGTGGAGAGGGCAGGCATGGAGTGGGTGGAGGGCGCCTGGCAGAAGCCTGGTTCAAGCACGAGCAGAGCCTCCCTGGCCACGGCAGGTGGGCCCCTGACACACAGAAGTCTTCTTCAGAACAGACTTATTGCCTTAGCTGTTTGGCCACTCTCCTGCACACACCTGGAATCACTGGGCATGTCTCTGAGGAACTAAAGCTGATCTCTCCTTGGTAGGCTGACCTCAGCGGAAGAGCTGAGGATACGCCACCTTTTCTCTCTTTAGGCCCTTTCCCTTGAAAAGCTCTGTGAATTAGGATTTTCTCTTCTCAAAGGAAAAATAAAACAGCTTAAAAGCACCATCAAGTCCTCAAAATTCTTTTTTTTTTTTTTGAAATAGTCTTACTCTGTCGCCCAGGCTGGAGTGCAGTGGCACAATCTTGGCTCACTGCAACCTCCACCTCCTGGGCTCAAGGGATTCTCCTGCTTCAGCCTCCCAAGTTGCTGGGATTACAGGTGTGCACCACCAAGCCCAGCTAATTTTGCATTTTTAGTAGAGACGGGGTTTCACCATGTTGGCCAGGCTGGTCTCGAACTCCTGACCTCAAGTGTCCCACCCACCTCAGCTTCCCAAAGTGCTGAGATTAGAGGCATGAGCCACCACGCCTGGCCAGGTTCTCAAAATCTATAAAATAAAGCCTCAGGGGGTTATTTAAATTCTGCTAGAACAGGGGCCCAGCAGACCTTCCTGCTTTGTCTCCCACATCTGCTATTAGACACCACTACGTTCCAGCCCAGCCCTCGGCTCCTCTCATCCCACCCTGCTCGCGGAGATCCTTCTCCCCCAGATCTGTTTCAAATCTCACTGCTTCCATGAACCTGATCCCTCCAGAGTCAGCTACCCAGCCCCACTCTTGCTCTCGTGGGCACCCAGACGTCCCATGGTACCTGAGTGTGCACAGCCTCATGGTTCAGCTGCTGTGCCCGGCCTGCTGTTTTCCTCCAGGACTTGTATGCTTCCTGTGAGCACCCTCCAGCTCTCAGTGTATTTCCCCTAATACTCAGCACTGCATCTCCCAGTCGGCAAAGCTTAACCATTGTTGGTGAGATTTGAAATCAAACCATGTTAGCATATGAAAATAAATACAAGTATCAGGCTTCATCTGACTCCATTCAATGTAAGAGGCACCATTCATTCACTTCTAAAAGAAGAAAATTAGTAATGTAAAACTAGAAATGAATTAGCTAATGAGCAGAGGGACAAAGAATGTTCAGCCTCTCTAGAATGCAAAGACTTCGGAATTGTTTGTGAAAATAAGGAAATGCCAAATTTGACAAATCAAATTAACAAATTTAGAGGAAATTACATTGGTCACCACTGCCAGAGTCACAGTGAGACATGCACTCTGGGGACTGCCAGCAATGCAAATGAGAACAGCACTTCTCCAAAAATTTTATAAAATGTCTCAAGAGTCTTAAAAATTTTTAATTACATATGTGGCTCACATTCCGTTCTATTGAACAATGCTGTATTAGACAACTGCATTTTTTGTAAAAGACAAAGAAAGCTGCCAGGTGATGTTATTTCTGGTTCTAGAATTATGAGTGATTTTAGTTTTGTTCTTTTTTTAGTTTTTGTTTTTTTGATACATGGTCTCACTCTGTCACCCTGGCTGGAGTGCTGAGGCACAATCTCAGCTCACTGCACCCTTGACCTTCTGGTTCAAGAGATCCTCCCACCAAAGCCTCCTGAGTAGCTGGGACTATGGGAGGCACGTGCCACCACACCTGGCTCATTTTTTGATCTTTTGTGGAAACAGGATCTTGTTATGTTGCCCAGGCTGGTCTTGAACTCCTGAGCTCAAGCAATTCTCCTGCCTCAGCCTCCCAAAGTGCTGGGATTACAGGCGTGAGCCACCACCTGGCCTGGTTTTGTACTTTACACTCTTCTGCACACTGTTTTCTCAATAAGCATTTATTTCTAATATTTCACATCTTTTGTGGAGCCTTCCCCAAACTCCAACTGGTGTCAGATGCATCATGACTTTCTACACTTTTTCTCTGCAGCATTCACTAGAGTTGGAAGTTATATGCTGGCTGATCGTTTGATTCATTTCTGCCTGCTCAGCAGATCCTCAAGTCCATGAATCTGGGACCCAGGTCTGTTTTATTCACTTTTGTGTCCCCAGCACTTAGCTCAGTACATAACATGTGGTAAGTATTTAATAAAGACTGGTTAAATGAATGGATGAATAAATGATTAAAGAAAAAAGTTACTTCCTAGAATCAGAAGAATCCAAGTCACTGTAACTATAAAATCAAGGAAGTCATCACATAAGAGCAATATTTGCAAACTTCAGTGAAGAGGTGATCAGCACAGATTTTGGAGGGGCCACAGCCATGAGATCTGCTGCAGGGAGTGCAGCTGATCGAGGGCCCCAGCTGCTGTGCTCTGAATCCATCAACACATCTGAGGCTGCGCTTCCCAGGGGCTGCCCTCAGCCAACCTCTCAGTGTAGCAGGAATAGGAAGGCACGCCTTCTCCTGGGAGAGGTGGGACTTCTGATGGGCAATTTTGGCTCAAGGACGTTCACTGACCTTGTCCAAATTTCCTTCCCTCTCTCCTGTCTTCTCCAGGGTCAGACCTTCATCACACTCTGAGCGTCCTCCCCATCGCCTCTGGCTCCATCCCCATTTTCCATTACAGGTGTGTTCCCCAATAAATTACTTGCATCTCAGAGGACACAAATAACACAAAGAAGGGCATTGCTTCCAAAATTTAAATATATATTATCTACTTTTAAAAATGGCCAATACATGCACATTGTAGAAAATTTGAACAGCAAAAAGTTTTTGAAGTGGATATACTATAAAAGGAAAGTTGTTTTTTTTTTTTTTTTTTTTTTTTGAGACAGAGTCTCGCTCTGTCGCTCAGTCTGGAGTGCAGTGGCACAATCTTGGCTCACTGCAACCTCCACCTCCTGGGTTCAAGTGATTCTTCTGCCTCAGCCCCCCGAGTAGCTTGGACTACAGGCACGTGCCACCATGGCCAGCTAATTTTTGTACTTTTATTAGAGACAGGGTCTCACCGTGTTGGCCAGGCTGGTCTCGAACTCCTAACCTCAGGTGATCCGCTCACCTCAGCCTCCCAAAGTGCTGGGATTACAGGTGTGAGCCACCATGCCCGGCTGGAAAGTTGCCCTCTCATCTCTTTCCTCCGGCCCCTGATTACCTTCTAAATATTCTCCTTCCTCTCTCAGAAGTCAATCTCTGTCTACCCTTCCGCACTATGCACTATTTTTATGTTGCTTTTGTGACTAAGAGTAGAGTATGGAATACTAGTCATGACCATACATACCACACATATATATTAGGCCTCGTTCTTTATATGGCTCCACGGTATTCCATTGCATTTAACTGTTTCCACATTGACAAACATTTAAGTATGTCAAATCTTCACCATGACTACTGTATTACTGTACATTGTCTTTTCATCATGTACATCTGCAAGATAAACTGCTAGAAGTGGGTTTACTGGATCAAAGAGCAAGGATATGCTGAATTTAACTGTCAAATTGCTTTTCACAGAGGTTAGAGCAATTTATACCCCACCAACCTGACTTCACACCATCACCAACACAACGTGTTACCCATCTTTTAATCTTTGCCAGTTTGACAGGTTAAACATATAGCTTTGTGTTTTTCTAGTTATAGGTGAAGTCAAGAATCATTCTTTCATACTTTTAGAAACTGTTTTTATTCCTTTTCAGTGAATTATCTCTTTACACGTTCTGCTCACTACTCTATAGGGTTTTATTGCTCTTTTAAAATTGATTTGTAAGAGGTCTTTATACTTTAGGAAATTTATACTTTGGTTGAGATATCAATGTGTCAGATTTTTCCCAGTTAGAATTTGACTTGTTTTTACTTTGTTTGTGGTGTTTTCTTTTGTCAGGTAGAATTTTTTTTAATTTCAAGATTGTTTAAATTGATCTTTTCTTTTTTCTTTTATAGCTCTACATTCTGAGTCATACTTGGACCTTTTATATTCTGAGATTTTTTTTTAATTCTAAAAATATTTCTAAAAATTATTTTTAAAATTAAAAATTTTCCCATTTCTTCTGGCTCCCTCCCTTCCTCTCTTTTTTCCTTCCTTCCTCTTTACCACATTTTAATCTCATTCCTTTACTGTTTGTTTTGGTGCAAGGTGTGAGTGAGGGATCTGTGGAAGAGGTGCCTAGTTGTTCATCAAATCCATCTCCCCTTCCTCTTGGCACACAGCTGGACAACATTTTCTCCCCTTCCCGTGCAGTTGCGTATGACCATGTGACTGAGTTCTGGCCAGTGGAATGTGAGGGACAGTCATGGGACCCTCTCATTTTCCCTATCTGCCATCTCAAGTCACCATGGGGAAGGCTCTGGAGAAGATTCCAGAGCAGTGGTGTTCAATAGAAATAAGTGTGAGCCATACGTGCAAGACATAAATGGAATTTTACATTTTCTAGTAGCCATATTAAGAAAAATTAGGCCAGGTGTGGTGGCTTACGCCTGTCATCCCAGCACTTTGGGAGGCTGAGGCAGGCAGATCACCTGAGGTCAGGAGTTCAACACCAGCCTGGCCAACATGGTGAAACCCCTTCTTTACAAAAATACAAAAATTAGCCGAGCATGGTGGCAGGTGCCTGTAATCCCATCTACTTGGGAAGCTGAGGTGGGAGAATTGCTTGAACCTGGGAGGCGGGTGTTGTAGTGAGCCAAGATCGCACCACTGCGCTCCAGCCTGGGTGACAGAGCTAGACTCCATTTCAAAAAAAACCAAAAAAACAAAAAGTGGAATTGTCAAAATATATTTTATTAAGCCCAATATATCAAAAATATTACCATTTCAACAAGTAATCAGTACAAAATGTATCAATGGGATATTTTACATTCTTTTCTTCATATTATATCTTCAAAATCTGATGTGTATTTTATACTCACAGCACATCTCACTTTGGACTGGGGCTAGTAACCAAAACAATGGACAGCACAGCTCTAGAGAGTGTCCAGATGAATAGAGCTTGGCTCCCTGAATGACCATAAGAGAGACTACACAACCTGGTAACAGCCAACCGTACATGACATACATAAGGATGAACTTTAATTATGTGAAACCATTGAGAACCTGGGGTTTGTTATAGCAGTTATGTGATTTTTATATAATTAATATAAGATCTTACTCTACTTTTTCCAGATGGCTGTCATTTACGAAATAATTGATCTTTTTCACCAAAAATTTGAAAATCGTCTTTCTCATGTTCTATATCTCTATATGCTTTTGGATTTATTCCTTGACTTCAATTTAGACCTACTTATCTATAGAAACTATTATTATTATTATTATTATTTTGAGACAAGGTCTCACTCTGTTGCCCAGGCAGGAGTGTAGTGGTGTGATCTTGGCTCACTGCAACCTCCGCCTCCTGGGTTCAAGCGATTCTCCTGCCTCAGCCTCCCAAGTGTCTGGGACTACAGGCACCTGCCACCATGCGCAGCTAATTTTTTTGTTCTGTTTTTAGTAGAGATAGGGATTCAACATGTTGGCCAGGCTGGTCTCGAACTCCTATAGATGTGAGCCACTGTGCCCAGCCCTGAATCTATTATTTATTGATCAATAAATATTGACCTATTTGTTCATCAGTGTCATACTGGTTTTGTTTTGTTTTTTTGAGACAGGGTCTTACTCTGTCACCCAGGTTGGAGTGCAGTGGCACGATCAGAGCTCATTGTAGCCTCAACTTCCCTGGGATCAAGTGATCCTCCTGCCTCAGCCTCACAAGTAGCTGAGACTATGGGCATGCACCACCATGCCCAGCTAATTTTTAATTTTTTTTATTTTTAGTAGAGATGGGGGTTTCTCTATGTCGCCCAGACTGGTCTCGAACTCCTGGGCTCAAGCGATCCGCCCACCTTGGAGTGTCATACTGTTTAACTGTTACCTTCTAGTATGTTTTTATATTAGTAATAGCAATAGTAATAGTAATAGTAAGGCTATTACCCCCTGTGGTAGGCAGAATTCTAAGTTGATCCCCAAGATTCCTGCTCCCAGGTATAAACATCTTTTATAACCCCTGGAATTTGTGAATGATGGGATCGTTACTCCATGATTAAGTTATGTTATTTAGCACAGCTGACTTTAAAAAAGAGCGATTATGCTGAGTAGACCTGACCCAGGTGAGACCTTAAAATAGAATGGGCTTTTCCTGGAGACTAGATTCAAAACAAGAAGGAAATCAATATGAGGGAGATTCTTCCTGGCTGGCTTTAAAAATGGAGGGGGCTGTGTGGCCAGGAATGAGGGAGGCCTCTGGGGAGCTGAGAGGCCCTGGCTGACAGTCAGCGAGGAAACTGGGTCCTCAATCCTAGAACCACAAGGAATTAAATTTGTCCAACACACTCAATGAAATTGGAGGCTGATTCTCCCACAGTCCCTCCTCCAGATCAGAATGCAGCCTGGCTGACACCTGGATTTCAGCCTCATTAGACCTTGAGTTGAGAACCCGTTCTTGCTGTGCTGGGACTTCTTACCCACAGAACTGAGAGCTAATACATAGGTATTGTGTTAATACACTAAATTTATGATAATTTGTTATGCAGTAATAGAAAACTAATACACCTCCTTGTATCCTTTTTCAGATTTGTTTCTGGTTAGTAATTATTTATTTTTATAATAGACTATACAATCAGCTTATTTAATTCCAAAAGAATATTCTGATAGTATTTTTATTGTCATTGTTTTACATTTATATATTACTTTAGGGAGAATTGACATATTTACAGTGTTGAATATTCCTACCCAAGAACATCATGTCTTTCTATTTTTTAAAATCTTCATTTGCATTTTCAAGTTTTCTCTACATAGTCCTTGCACAATTTCCTTTTAAATTTATTCTGGCTGTGGGCAGTAGTAGCACCTGCCTGTAGTCTCAGCTACTCTTAAGGCTGAAGTGAGAGGAGCACTTGAAGCCAAGAGTTTGAATCCAGTCTGGGCAACATAACGAAGACTCTGTCTCAAAACAAACACACAAAACAATTTGTTCTGGACAACTTATTTTTTTGTTCCTATTATACATGAGTTTTTTCTTCTGTCACATTTTAACTGGCTATTGTTTCTACATAATTAGACTATTGATTTCCTAATGTTAACTCTGTAACATGCTTCTTAAATATTCTTATTATTTATAACATATTTTTAGTTGATTGTCTTGAATTCTAAAGTAAATATTATCTACACAAAATGGTAATTTTACTTCCTACGTTCAAGTTTTCAAACCTCTATTTTTCTCTTGTTTAATTATGTTGACTAGCATTTCCAGTTCATTGTTAAATAATAATACATATTTTCATCTATTTTCTGACTTTAATGGGTCTGTTTCTTTTATTCTAGATTTTTACAGCAATATTCATTAGGTGAGATTGGGCTATAATTTTATTTATTTTTGTTGCCATTTTGTTGGGTTTTCATATCAATGTTATACTGCCTTCATAAGAAGAATTTGCACCTTTGATTCTCCTCCTTTGTTCTGAAACATCTTAAATAGCATTGAAATTACCAGTTCCTTAAAAGTTTTATAGAATTTGCTTAATAAACTATACGAGCCTATTGCTATTTAGTTATTAATATTATTAATAACATTTTCTAATTTCTCCATGTTAATTTGTCTGTTTAGCTTTCTGTTCTGACCAATTTTGGAAATTTATGTTTCCTCGAAAAACATCCATTTAGCCATTTATTTACATATAGTTAAACAAAGTAGCCTTTTATGATTTCTTCACTTCATTTATTAAAATTTTATATATTTGTGCTTTCTCCCTATTTTCTTGATTAGATTAATTAACATCTACATAGTTTTTTATTTTTCCCCTAAAGAATCAGTTATTGGATTGATTTTTTTTTAGTTAGTATTCTTTCCATCTGTTTGCCTTAGTGTTATTGTTCTTTTAAACTTCTAGAACTGGATACTTCATTTATTTTCTTTCTTGTTTATCGATTTAGCAATATCCCATAGATTCTGATTATATATGTGTTGCTGTTACTTTGTAGATTTCCTATACTTTTAAATTTCCTATTTGATCAGAAAGTTAATGAAGAGTTTAAATGCTCTAAATGATAAGGTTTTTAGATTTAAAATTATTTAAAAACTAATTTCCATTTTGTGGAAATGCTGTCTGAGAGTTTTACCTGCACTATTTCTCCATTTTGCAAATTAGTGAAGCATTATTTCAATCTAATGTAAGAGTAACATTTTGTGATTATTGCATGAGTACTTTAAAGAAGATATATTCTGATATAGCATTTGAATATATGTTCATAAAGTCTATCTTTTAAATTACATTATTTTAGTCTTCAATATTCTTATTTTTTTGTACCTGTCAAAGTCTCAGGTAAAAGAATTAAAATCTTCTACGATTAGTATTTTTCTATTTCTCTTTGAATTTCTGTAGTTTATGTCTTATGAATTTATCACTATTATAATTTACTATATATCTATTTGTAACTAGATATATAGCTAGGGTTTCATTGTGGTTTACACTTTTATCATTACAAAACATCATGCTTTGTCTTGCTTAATACTTCTTCTGATAATTTAATAATACTTCTCTAAATTCAAACTTGTTTGATTTTAGAGGTGCCAATCCCTATTTTTTATTTGCCTTTGCTTCGTATGATTTTGTCAATCCTTTGTTTTTAGGCTTTCAGTAACACATAGTTTTACATGGAGTCTTATGTATAGCCCATGAGGCATTTTTACGTTGAAGTCTAGTTTGAGTTTTTTCTTTTATCTAAACAGAAAGACTGGCCACTTCCAACCAGATTACCAGGACGTTCTCCTCCCTGCCTCCAACACCAGCTCCCCATCGTCATTTCTGTTCTGCCTTCAGGTGAACTAGAGTGTCAGCCTCCCTCACCAGGCTTCCTACCAGACCGTGAGAAACACCTTCTGAGCCCAAGTCAAAATGCAGGACACTTACTCGAGAATTGAGTATAAAAGTGCTATGTATTTACTCCTCCCTCAGTCTCATGAGCGTGTTATAGAAACCACACAATATCAACGTGTTCACACGTCTGTTTTGGGTGGAAGGACATTGTATTTGGGGCTTTTAATTTGTAGACGCCACTGAAATTGACATCATTGACTGTTAGAGTAAATAGAAACTGTTAGATACTATATAGATGTATATTTGAAACATAAGACACAAGCAACTGTTTTTTCATAACAGCAGTTACTGCAAACTGTGTGTTCTGATGAAAGTACATCATGACTGATAGTCCAAATATCTGCTGCTGTGTAACAAACTATTACAGAACTTAGCAGTAAAAGATAATCATTGTATTATGTTCACAGATTCTGTGGGTTGGAAATTTGGCAAAGGCAAAGTGGGGACAGCTTGCCATGGCTTTGTAATGTCTAGAGTCTTGATTGGCAAGACTTGGAGGCTGGGAGCAACTCAGTCATGAGGGACAGGAGTCATCTGGAGGCAGCCTTACTCATGTGTCTGGTAATTGATGGCATCTGTTGGCTGGGATTTCAACTGGGCCCATTATCCAGAAAACCCTCATCTGGCCTTCGATGTGGCTGAGACTTGCTCAAAGCTTGGCAACCTTGGACTTCTTACATGACAGCTTGGGGCTGCAAAGGCAAGTATCCCAAGAGAACCAGTTACAGCGGTGTTGCTTTTTATAACCTAACATTGTAGACATTTAGGATAATTTTTGCCTTATTCCATGGCTAACCAGTCACTAAAGTGGGTCAACAAATAACTAAGGCCCAGATTGAAGCGGAAGGATACATAAACCTACCTCTCAATGGCAGAAGCATCAAAGAATTTGCAGACATGTTTTATTTTTTATTTTATTTTTGAGACAGGGTCTCACCCTGTCACCCAGGCTGGAGTGCAATGGTGTAACCACAGCCCACTACAGCCTCGACCTCCCAAGCTCAAGGGATCCTCCCACCTTAGCCTCCCGAGTAGCTGGGACTACAGGCATGCACCACCACACCTGGCTAATTTTTTTTAAACTTTTTTTTTTTTTTTAAGAGACAGGGTCTCACGATGTTGCCCAGGCTCGTCTCAAACTCTTGGGATCAAGCAATCCTCCTACCTCGGCCTCCCAAAGTGTTGAGATTATAGGCATCAGCCACAAGACCTGGCCAGCTGTGGCACTTTGTAAGCAGCAACGCCAAAATTTAACAAGTGAAATATGTAAGTTATTAACTAATAATATATAGTTATTCCGATTCTTAAAACAACTACGAAATACAAGGACAGAAATTTTGAATGAAGTGCCACAAGCTAAAAGCCTGGAGTCCTCAGGAGAGTACAAATGTTTGACTTTCTGTGGGCTTGGCTGGCTTAGAGCCTTCCTGGCCTGCTCCTCCAACCTGCCATGGCTTCCACCTTCCTTGATGGAGGGATTATGTATCTTTTGCTAAAAATTACCCCAGAATGATGAAGTGTGTCCTTTCTCCCTGATCCTATGACTGCTACCTTTGCTGCTCTCACACCAGCCTCCCATCCATTGCTCTCACTTTATTTCCCCTACTCCATAATTCATGTAATGGACAATTATCAAACACTGACCACGTACCAAACTCTTGAGGAAATACCAGAATGAACAAGGCCATGAAGATATTCTTTAATGCTATCTTTTAGAAGCTTTACTGTTTATCTTTCACATTTAGGTCTGTAATCAATCTGAAAGTGATTTTTGTGTATAGTGTGAGGTAGGGGTCAAGTTCATTTTTTCTCAAGTATATATCCAATTGACTCAGCACATTGTTTATTGAAAAGCTCATCTTTTCTTCACTGCATTGCAGTGGCACCTTTGCTGAAAATAAAAGACTGTATATTTCTGGGTCTGGATTTTTTATTTTGTTCCAATAATCTATTTATCTATACTTGAGGTCATATCATTCTGTTTTAGTTACTGTAACCAGATAATAAGTTTTCATATTTAGTCATGTTAAGAAAATGTTTTTTCTTTTTCCTGAGAATCTTTGCTATTCTTGGACTTTTACCTTTCCATATAAATTTTGAAATTAGCTTGTCACTTTCCACAAAATCTGGGCTTTCTTTTCTATTGGAACTGTACTTCATTCTGTCAGGGATCCTATCTACTCCTTCCAATCCCAGCTGCCTTGACATTTCTCCATGCTATCAAAAAGCTGGGTGAAGTATAGCTTTTATGGTTGTTCCTGACAAGAGGGCCATCTGATACCAGTCACTCCATCGTAGTCAGAAGCAGAAGCCCTTTGTAAGCTTTCCACAATTCTATAAAAAAGAAGTTCCATGATAAGAAATCTGTATGACAAACTTTTATTCTGCATACTGTTTATGTTTAAAATCCTACTTTATGAAACAAGTAAACTGCAGTCACCTGCAGTTGAGAGAAGACATGACCCATATTGGGTTAAACAAACAAAATGTATTGGTTCATATAACTGAAAAAAATTCAGGAGAAAAATCAACATATACAAGATTCCAAACAAATTTTACCAGGATCCAATTTATCTCCATCTGTTCCACTTCCTGCTTGTTGAAGCCAATCTCAAATCAGCTCATGACCATAAGATGGTTGTCAGCAACTCCCAGAACTATACTGTCTCAGGTCCACATCCATGAGAAAAAGACTGTCTGTTTCAGGATACCTGGGAAAAGTCCTATTGGCTCTAGTTGGGTCACTGCCCATTCCTGAGGCAATCACTTTGCCAAGGTAAATTTGATGGATTCATTAGCTTAGGCCCAGGTCAGGTTCCTGTTCCTGAGCCAGCGGTAGATTCAGCTCCTCTAGAAGTCCATGGACTGACAGCGTTAGTGGAAGTTCCCAAGCAGGAAGCTGGGGCGTGATTAAATGGATGCCGGACAACCAAAAAAGCAAAAGCCCGCTTCACAGCCACATCCAGTGTCTAAATCCACATCACCTAAAAGTACCTGGAAGATCATAGGCTTCCTCGTCAGGTCCTCCAAGGCCACTTCCATGATCCTGCTTCTAGGACTGGGACCCCACCCCCTTCACACGGCCATGGGCTCCACACTCGTGGTCTGTGGGACATGCACAGCTCTTCCGGGCCCAGCATGTGCCCATCCATGTGTTCTCTTCCTTCTGTTACCTGAAGTCTTGGCAAGGGTTGGGCATGAGGAACAGGGGGACGAGCTGGGTTTTATTCCTTCATTGTTGCCACTTTCCTTTGCTCTCACTATCTCCTCAACAGGACAAGAACAGGATGATCAGGCTTAGCTTCCTAATGCTACCATTTACTGCTATGATTCTGAAAAAGTCACTTTGCCACTCTGAGTCTCATTTCCTCAGCTGCAAATGGGGCTGACCATGTCTATGCATACTTTACCTCTTTCCAGGCAATCTCTCTAAGAATAAGAGTTCTATAATACAATGGAGGGACGATAAGAGGTAACAAGCCTGCAGACGATATCTTTTTGAATGGCTGTTGAGGCTGCTGGTGATGCTTCTGCTATGGAAATCTCAAATGTGGAGGTTTTTTTCCCCCCCAAGCATTTCAATAACTGTTAAGGTTAAATGAAATAGTCTGAAAATGTTTGATAGACTGAAGCTCTAAAGAGATGCTGAATTGTATTATGGGTCCCAGACAGATCATTGTAAACCTCTTGTTCCACCCCAAGTGTTGTTTGTGTGTAACACGTGTCAAGGGTTTCCACTCTAGGGAACAAAAGCACAAAAGTTTCACTGAAGTCCTTTGGCCTAATCCTCTTAAGAGCTGTTGAAGCCTCCCTGAATTGATCAGAGGCAGTCAAGTGCCTTCTTAAGACAGGAGGCTCTTTCAAGTTTTCTTACTGCTCCTAGTTCTGACAAACCCACTCAAGTTTCCTTGCTACCCCTTCACCACCACCCATGCAACACTTGGAGCCAGAGATTTTGCTCAAGGTCACAGTGGGCAGGAAGTGGCTGGGCAGGGATCTTTCTAGAATCCACTCTCCTTCCACAAGGCCAAAAGGAGCTAAGACTGCACAATCACAATGGGTGCAGGCTGCAGAGGCCTCTGAAAAACGCAGGTTTTGACTGTACCTTACAGGAAGTACAGGACAGTGTCTGAGCAAGAGTTGTGTGTATGAGAAGGAGTGGCACGTCTGGAAGCATAATCAGGAAAATCAGCTGCACCTCCTAGCACAGGTGCATAACCCAGGACTGAAGTAATAAGACCAAATGCCCTAATGATCTTTGCAATTCAGAGCTTAGCACAGTGCCTCATTTAGTGGCTATTCAGTTGAGTTGATAGTTGGGGTGGAAAGGAACAGATAGATTTAAGAGAAGTCTGGACAGCAGGCACGTAAGATGTAGGGCTGGTTGAAGGATGAGGATAAAAAAGAGTAAACTATGGCTTTAGACACAGATACATCGGCAGACGTTAGGGGTGGGGAGGGAGTCCAGATGAAACCCAACTGTGGGTTATGAGGAACAACCACGTGGCTGTGTTGTCACAGGTCTTTTCCTCCCCAAATGCAAATACGCCCATTAGTAAGGTACCCTTGGCCAGAAGCCAATCTGGTTTCACCCCTGAAACTTTGAGCATCATTTCCACAGTGCTGTCAGCCTAAGAGGTGAGCTTCATTTTGCCAATAGCTTCTATTGAGATAGAGTTTGTTACTCAGGCATCTAAATAGCTCTACTTTAAAGATAAATTTATTTTCTGCAGATTAGTTCAGCTGATGTATTAGGTAGCCAAAAAACCTCTAAAGAGAATAAGAAAAACCTCAACCCTTAATTCTACAGCTCCCCTTTAAAAAGAAAAAAAAAAAGATACAAAATAAATCCAAGCTCACCGATCTTCCAGCTCACTTGATTTACTTGGAACAGACTCACACTCAAGGGTGACCCCTTTCAGGAGCAGCCTCTGGATTTCTTCCCCACCCTGGAAGTCACTGGTACTTCAGTGTTCTCAATTGTGTAGTGGAAACAGAACACATTCAAAAGTCTCAGCAGGCTGGGCGCGGTGGCTCACGCCTGTAATTCCAACACTTTGGGAGGCTTAGGTGGGAGGACTGCTTGAGCCCAGGAGTCCCAGACCAGCCTGGACAACATGGCGAAACTCCATCTCTACAAAAAAATTAAAAAATTAGCTTGGCGTGGTGGCACATGCCTATAGTCCCAGCTGCTTAGGAACACTCCAGCCTGGGCAACAGAGTGAGACCTTGTCTAAAACAAACGAACAAACACTTCTTAGCAAACTGTGTGACTGTGTGCAGGCATATGCAGAGGGATGGGCAGAGCTTAGAGACTGGCTGTAGATAGTAAGGAGTGACTATAGACAGAGACTTCTCGCCCTACCTGGGAATGGTGGAAAGTCTGAGTTGAGGGGAATGCTCAGGGCCTTCCTCCTCAGCGCCTAACAGTACAACCTCACATTTACAGAGCGTTTCCAGTTTTCATCTCACTCATTGTCCCATTTCCTAGATTGCTGCTGTCAGTCAAGAGCCCTTCCTTAGCTCCAATCCCACATGGTGCTGGAACCTCCGCGCCAGTCCCCACAAGGAGGTCAGGCTGCCACTGCCTGCACATCTGACAAGAAGCTCACCACCTGGCAAGGCCTCCTGCTTCCATTTTTACAGGTAAACTCTGCCTCCCTTTAGTTTCATTTGCTGGATTAGCTTTGGCCCTGCAGATACCCACATGGATTATGCACTTCCTCATCCTCCTTGCCATTTATTTCTGTGCAAACCACCATCATGTCAGCCCACTAAGTGTTCTCCTTACAGGCCTTAAAACCCCTGACATAGACCATGATTTCCCAACCATTTACGCTAGTTCCAGTTTGTCAATAACCTTATTAAGCACATGCTTACAGAACCCAATGCTCTCCTGGCCGTGCATGCAAGCCCAATGTGGTTCCTTGTCCTAGATTCTACACTTGTGTTGGGAGTGCCCATGGTTGTGCTAACTTCTTTGTCAATCCCCATTCATATTGAGATTTGAGTCAATTAAAACTCTTAAATCTTCTCGAGCCCAAACCTGTGTATTCCCTTTCAACAAATCCTTTCAACAAGTAAACAAGATGTGCATCAAGAACAAATGCTGTCACTGGTGCAATTTTTGTTAAACCTAAATACAATTCTGTGCATTTACCTTAGACGTTTCATCTAAATGTTCCTACAAGTCTCAAGGTCTTCAAGAAAACTTATCTGTCATTTGTCATTATTAGCTACACTCTAGCTTCATGGCATTCACAAACTTGATGGGCGAGCTTTTTATTTCTTTATTCCAGCCACTGGTACATTGCAATAAAACTTGGCTGTGTATACCAGGGGGATGAACAGATGTGATCAAATCTGTTTTTACAGATTATAGACCTTGTTTGCTCAAAGTCACACAATGGACCTATGTACTGTGGAGCTGGCACTAGAACTCTGATCTCTTAAAAACCAGAGTAGAGATTTTCCCACAGTGCCACAGGCTGCTGCCTGGGATGTTTGCCTCCCCAGGCCTGGCCACACTTGAGTGGATACTCATCATCCACTCGGCAGGTAGGGGCTTCACACCATTTTCAAGGTGAGCAACTGTATTTATTACCATGTGTTGGCTGACAGAGGGCTATAGCTAGTAACAAAATTATTCTTCACTCACATTCACCTCGACACTTCAAGCATCTCTGTCCAAACCCAGCTAGATCCTTCCCCTCTACACCTGCCCAGCTCACCATGATGGGCTGGACACGGTCAAACCTGGGCATGAAGAGACGTGGGTCACAATGCTGGTTCCACTGTGTTAATTCTTTGACCTTGTTTGACAAAAGCCATTTAATTTCCCTGAGCCTCAGTTTTCTCACCTAAAATAGGGGACCACACCACCCTACCTTACAGGATTGATTTGAGCATCAAAGGAGACAATGAATACAAGGGTTTGTTGTTGTTGTTGTTGTTGTTGGCAAACTCCCCAGTACTTTGCAAAGGTAGGTATACTATTATTATCAGATGGGTATGGAGAACTCTAAAATGAGTCAGTACCACTTAAAATTCCTTTTTAAAGCAGTTCATTGCATCCTAACCTATTTATTCATTTCTCTTTTTTTTTCTTAAAGTCCCAACAAAAACTTAATATGAAGACTGTATGCAGGGATAGCACTGAATACAAATTAACCATTCAACGTTCTTTAGTCCCTCTGGCAGGGAAATGATCCACCTATTAAAACACCCAGTCAGAGCTGGCACACACAGTGCTGATAACCCCAGCAGGCAATGACCTTGGCACCATTACAAGGGCAATATTTTCAAATGGATGAACTATTCCTGAACAAAGTGTCCAGTGTACTAGGAATAAACAGGCTTTTCATCAACCAAGGCTGTGTGTTTTCTGGTTCCAACAACCTTTCCCAGAGACAGTGCTGGAAAGGAGGGGGCACCAGGAAGCAGCACCTCCTCAGCAGCCTGCCCAGCGCACTCATCCCTCCTCCAGAATCCTATGACTGGGCAGGCCTCCACACCTCCATCCTCTCCTCTGATGGTTTCATGATTGCTTTTCTGCACTTTTGCAAAAGGAGAACCCGGTGCTGCCCTTGGTGACCCTGGTCAGACCTCAGCAGGTGGAGGATCAGCCCTCCCCATGGTGTAAAACGGAGTTCTGGAGCCTCATGAACAAGAACCTGTGGTAGAGAGTCACGTACGATGTCACCAGGTATCTGCGAGGCCAATTCTTTGAGAAGATGGGTGAATCGCCCAGGACAGTCCAAAAGAGGTCACACAAGAGGCAAACAAGATCCTTGAGACAAAATTCACAAGGAGAGGAAGGACGGACTCTGGATCCACTAGAATGAAGCACACGTGCAAAATGCAACGGGAAAAACTTGCTTCTTCACCTAAGCCAAGGAGGCTGTAGCTGGCCCTTTCAGCTGTTTGTTCTTTCATTCATTCTACAAATGTTTATTGAGCACCTACTGTGTACCCAACACTGTTCTGTGTTCTGGAGACACAGAATAAACAAGACAAAGTCCCTGCCTACCTTACATTCTGGTGCCAGTAGACAAACAATAAAGTAACTGTCTAGGTAGTGATAAGTGCTAAGAGGCACAGGGAGTGTAGAGCACGAGCTGACATCAGGGAAGGCCCCTCTGTTAAGGTAAATTTGACCAAAGCTTTGAAGGCAGTGAGGGAGCAAGTGATGATTTTCTGGGCCAGCATATTCCAGGCAAGAGCGGGATTCAAACAGCAAAGAAGAGGGTGTTACAGGAATGGATTGAGCCAAGGAGAGTCCAGAGAGATGAAGGCAGAGGGGCAACAGGGAGCCTGTGAGCCACCTTCAGCACTTTTAATTCCAAGTGATCTGAGAAAATACTGGCGGAGGGGGAGGGTTGAAACAGAAAAGTGAGACAATTTGATTTTTGTGTATGAAGCTCATGCAGGGTGCTCAATTAAGACTATAAAGAAGGCAGAAAAGAATGTGAACAGCGAGACCGTGAGGAGGAGAGCAGAACAACCCAAGGAGGAGACGGTGGCGGTGGCTCAGACCACGACAGCAGCGTAAGAATGAGCTGAGAGTCTGGATGTTGTTAGGGTAAGACCTGCAGAATCTAATAACAGGATATGAGAAATGAGCGAGACTCAAGGATTAGTCCACAGTTTCTTTTGCTGAAGCAATTGGAAGGAGAGAGTTAACATTTACTGGGAAGAGGAAGGTTATGGGTGAAGTAGGGTGAAAGGCATCAGGATATGGTTTTGGGTATGGTTTGGGATACGTTAAGTTTGAGGTAGCTATTAGACACCAAGGGGAGATGTCTAGTAGCCTGTGGATCAAGCAAGTCTTAGGTTCAGGCTAGAGATGTAAGCTTGGAAATCATCACTGTAGAGAAGATATTCAAAGCCAAGAATGAGATTGATATTAACAAAGGAGTGAGTACTGAGAGAGAAGAGATCCAAGGACTAAGTCCTGGGGCAATCTTACACAAAGAGGACTTAGCAAAGGATACTAAAGTGAGTTAAATAATTTTTTCTTAAAAAAACAACCTAGAGAATATATAAAGAAAATTTCTCAAAAAGTAACCATTGATCAACTTTGCCAAATGCTGCTATTTGGTCACAAGTGACAATAACTAAGAATTGACTATTGGATTTAGAAATTTGGAGGTCCCTCGTGACTTTATTAGGGCAATCTTATTTCTCCAATGAATAACCCCTGAATCAATAACTTAGTACAATAAAAAGCTTCTATCTCACTCATCTCACAGTCCAGTCAAGTATTTGGCAGGTGGCCTTCTTTGTGATTTGGGTACCAGGTTCTTTCCATCTTCAGTGCACACCTGCCATGGTTCCCTTGGAAAGGGAAGGAGTGGTCCATATAGAAGCACACCTGAGCTCTGGTGCTTCAGCCTGAAGCTGGCACGTTGACCCACTGGAGTTCCCATGACAAGAACTAGTCACACAGCCTCATTTAGAGGCAAAGTAACTGGGAAACATCATTTGGTTGTGTGCCCTGGAAGAGGAAGTGGTTTGGTGACCATCTAGCCAGTTTCTCTCACAATGACCTTGGCAAGAGCACTTTTAGAGGAGGGTGGAAACCAAAGACTGATTGAAGGGAGTTCAAGAGAAAAAAGGGAAGTAGAGAAATAGGGTGGTAGCTAAGGCAGGTTTGGGATCTAGAGAGGTGTTTTGTTTCTGGTTTGTTTGTATGATATTGGAAATGATCCTGTAGAGAAGAGACAACTGCTGGAGGGATGTCCTTGAGTAGGTGACAGAGAAAGGGACCTAGCTCAGTGTCATGCATAAGAATGCCTTGGAGAGCCCATTGAAACAAGTTCTGGGGCCCCAACTCAGACATTCTTTTTTTTTTTTTTTTTTTGACAGAGTCTTGCTCTGTTGCCCAGGCTGGAATGCAGTGGCACAATCTTGGCTCACTGCAACTTCTGCCTCACAGATTCAAGCGATTCTCATGCCTCAGCCTCTCAAGCAGATGGGATTACAGGTGCATACCACCACGCCTGGCTAATCTTTGCATTTGTAGTAGAGATGGGGTTTCACATGTTCATCTCTAACTCCTGGCCTCAAATGATTCACCTGCCTTGGCCTCCCAAAGTGCTGGGATTACAGGCATGAGCCACTGCACCTGGCCCCGCCCCAGACATTTTGATTCAGCAGGTCTGGACTGGGGGTGGACAAGCTGCATTTTCTGACCATCCCCCAGGTGATACTGATGCAGTCAAGATTCAGGCCCACACTGAGTATTGCTGACAGGCGCTTGGGAAATTCATTCCTTGTCCAAGGCGGGAAGGCAGAGCGGGTAGGCACAGATGGAGGTGGGAGTACAGGCGAGGGTGGGAAGATGGGAACTTGGCAGCCACTTATTTTACTATCTCAGTGAATTTGGAAGCAAGGTCATCAGGTGAGGGTGAGGATAGGGGAGGACATGTTGTGAATTTGAGCGGGGAGAAAATATGAAATCACTGTCTTGGAGAGTATGAGAATAAGTGGTGCAGGGAAATGAAATAGAAGGGCCAGCCAAACACCAGGACCCACCTGCAGCTAGTGAGGCTGAACTTAGAGTGAGACCAGTCAGCTGGGCAGGTACACACAGTGGGCAGACAGTAGGATTCAGCCAGGACTGTGGTCTTACCAGGCAGGTACAACAAAGGAGAGGGGGTCAAGGGAGTTGACTGTGTATTGATGGGAGGGATGAAGGCCCCAGATCGCAGCATCTAAGTGGGTACAGAGGGCAGGGAGGACTTGCAGGTAGCAGCGAGGAACAGTGAAAAGATGGCAGATCAGTCAGTTGTGGGTCCCAGTAAAGCTGAAGAATCACTGGAGAGGGAAGACTGAGTGGGATGGGAACTGTGTTAGGAGAGTGGGATGTTTGAAGTCAAGATAGTACAGATAGCACAACTGGGAGTAATGACACAGTCAAGGGAACGGCCATAGGGGTGAGTGGCCGCAATGCCATAAAGGACAAGATTGGTGGAGAAGAGCAAGGAGAGGAACCAGGAGGCTGAGTATTGGAAGGATTGTGTCTGTGGATAATGAAATTGCCAAGGATCATTATCAAGAGTATTATTGGAAAGAACGCTGAGAGCTGTTGTTTCCAAACCCTCCTTCCAGAACCTAGTGCTCTAAGGAGGGGAAGAATTTCTGAAATATCAGCTCTCAGCCCACAAGCAAAAATATCCCCAGAGTCTCCTTCAAGTGCTAATTGCAAAATAAACAGAAAGCCAGCAGGGGCTGCCTAGGGAGAAGTGGAAACAGCAGAGGAGCATCCCCTAGTTGGCCAGTGTTTGCCTCCAAAGAGCCCAGCTTCCCCAGCTGCTCTCCCTGCTTAATGTGAAGAATTAAGAGTGGTGGCAAGTGGCTGGGGGCCCTAAGGTGACTCATCACAGCCAGCCAGGCCTCAGTACATTTCTGCATGCATTTTATGTGGAATCCTAGGCTGCTGGTTGATGACATCTTAGATTTCATATTTAACTGCCGTGCGTGTTCTAGTGCAGAAAAGACTAAGTATAGACTTGGAATTGGGAAATCTAAAAGGAATAGCAAAGCAGCCTCAGTGGCCAGTGCTGGAGGGGGTGTGAAGAGCTAAGGACGTGGACGCATGGCCAAGAGGAGATTATCTCTGTCCACTCCTGCCGAGGACCTTGCCCCGGGATGGGGGTGCCAGGAGAGAAAATAGCAGCCCCAGTGCACTATTGAAGATAAACAGCTTCCCTCCCTTCACTTACCAGAGTGGGACTGCGGTTCCCCTGGTCTTCTCTGTGTGGGAGCAGCAGTGGATTCTGCCCAGAGCTGTGGAGCCAGTTCCTCTTTGCCAGATCAGACCCAGCCTTGAGACAGAGAGAGGGCCAGGCTCCCTTTTAGCCTCTCCCTTTACCCTCCAGGCCCAAGAAGCCCAACAGAAAAACTGGCCCCTTCCCCTAAGTCAGTCATGGCTGCCGATCAGTGTCTGAGAGGTAGGGCAGTGCAATGCTTGGATCACACGTGAATCCCATCAGCAGCATATGTAATGAGAGTTAGAGGTGGGAAGCACGGGCAGGAGCGACTTACATCCAAAGTCACCTGTGGTTATCTCTGGGTGATAGGATTATGACGACTTTTCCATTTTCTTATCTGTATTTTCTAAATTTTCTATAATTAGTATGCGTTACTAACACATGTACAAAAACGACTAATAAGCTTGTTTTGTTTTTTGTTTTTGTTTTTGAGACAGAGTCTTTTTCTGTCGCCCAGGCTGGAGTGCAGTGGCGTGATCTTGGCTCACTGCAACCTCCACCTCCTAAGTTTAAGTAATTCTCCTGCCTCAGCCTCCTGAGTAGCTGAGACTACAGGCACCTGCCACCACACCCGGCTAATTTTCGTATTTTTAGTAGAGATGGGGTTTTACCATGTTGGCCAGGCTGGTCTCAAACTCCTGACCTCAGGTGATCCACCTGCCTTGGCTTCCCAAAATGCTGGGATTGCAGATGTGAGCCACTGTGCCCAGACTGTTTTGTTGTTTAGAAAACACTTAGCTGGATGGGTTACCCTTGAAAAGGGGCACACCAGCCTTAAAAGATCATTCAGCCAAACACCCAAAGACTCACCTAGCACACAGCTGGAACCGAAATTCAGCATATGGTGCATAACACAGGCACCAAGGATTCGGGGTTAGCATTACCTGGCAGTCACATCCTCTTCACTTCACAATTACAGATAGCTGGATCCCCCAACCCTGTGAAGACAGAACAAAGAAGCATGGGAGACGGTGGGCTTCTCAGGGAAGAGAACCCTTAGCATCCCCTCCAGTCTGTAATTCTCTCTCTCACCTCAGCGGTGTTGACTGCAGCATCTTGTGTGGTTTATGTGCCTTGCGAGCCAAGGCCAGTGTTACCTTGTTGCTGGCCAGTGTAACAAGGGGGACCTTGGGCCACCAGCCTGAACTAGACTTCATTTTCCCCACCTGGTCTGGGTTGTCATATTTGGGTGCAGTACTGCAGATGCTGCATTAGCTTTGACATGAGGTTTGAAATCAGGTTCAAAGACCTGCAGTCTAATATAAACACAAAATGACCTCAGATAAGGGCAGGCCGTAGATAAAACTGTTAAAGAGGTCAGGTGTAGTGCCTCATGCCTTAATCCCAGCACTTTGGGAGGCAAAGGCTGGTGGATTGCTTGAGGTCAGGAGTTTAAGACCAGACTGCCCAACATGGTGAAACCCCATTTCTACTTTAATACAAAAAAATTAGCCAGGCGTGGTGGCGCACGCCTATAGTCCCAGCTACTTGGGAGGCTAAGGC
The DNA here is from genome assembly GCF_000001405.40 of Homo sapiens. Lineage (NCBI taxonomy): Eukaryota > Metazoa > Chordata > Mammalia > Primates > Hominidae > Homo > Homo sapiens. Next base: position 108,758,852 of record NC_000006.12, on the reverse strand, counting down.
AGGAGAATCGCTTGAACCTAGGAGGTGGAGGTTGCAGTGATCAGAAATCGCGCCACTGCACTCCAGCCTGGGTGACAGAGCAAGACTCTGTCTCAAAAGAAAAAAAAAGAAGCAAACCTGTTAAAGAAATAAGACGTATCTTTGGACATTTCCCTAAAAAGGAAAGAGTGACTTCTTAGCAGGGCACCTCACTTTCTAGGGCTGCATGCAAGTGCCCACTGCAGTACTTTCCCATCCTGGGTCCCTGTCCTTAGGGGTCTCTTCCTGGATGAGTGCCCTAATCTGAGAGACACATTCCCATGTGGCAGTAGCCATGTGTGTTCACACCTAGCCGTATAATGAAACTATATCTTAACCCAAGGCCTCTTTCTAGAAAGACATGGCCTTACCCCAATAAACAAAATGCTAAGGACAGAAAATTTAGGTTGACCTGTAGGATGATAATAGGGAATTTTTAGGATAGAGTGAAGGGTTAGGAGTCCCCCTAAAATAATGACCCTTTACTTAAATATGTCTCTGTCAACAGGAACATTGACTCACTGGAAGATTAAACTACCTTAAATCTTTATGGAGCAACAAGAGATTTTTTAAATGAAAAAAAAAAAGGAGGAAAGAGAATAAAAAAGGAAAAAAGAAAGAACTAGTAGGACAGGGGACTGATTTTTATTATTTTTATTTTTTATTTATATGGACATAGAGTGTGAAATGAAAGGGGACTGTTTTAAAAACACACATCCACATTCTTTCATTCGCTTTTCTCCTTCATCCTATGCATGGGGCAGTATGATATGGTATTTAGCCTTCCTTGAAGATGAGCTTCAAGTCTTATATTTTAAATAGTATTTTCTAGACAGCTGTTGTTAAAGTGTGGACCAGGGAACCCTGGGGGTGCTTGAATTAATCTTATTTGTTTTTTCATTTTTTTAAAAAGCCTTTTAAAAAATATAGAGATGGCGGGGGGCGGGGGGGGGTCTTCCTATGTTGGCCAGGCTGGTCTTGAACTCCTGGGCTCAAGGGATCCTTCTGCCTCAGCCTCCCAAAGTGTTGGGATTACAAGTGTGCGCCACTATGCCTGGCTCTCGAATCCATCTTAGGACATTCTTGAGGTCAAAACTCTTTTTGTAATAATACACAATTTGCCTTTTTTACTCAATTGAGTTTTCCACAGGGCACATGATATGTCATGACATCATTGCATCAAAAAGGCTTCTATGGTCCCAGAAGTTGGGGAAATGTTTTAGACTCTTTAGAGAATTTATAATGTCTATTAGCATATTAAAGGCTCTGAGAAGTTCCGTAATATAAAACCTGTTTAACTTGGTTTAATGTAACTGCAAATTTATTTGGTCATAGCATTTATTTTTGTTTTGGTTAGTTTGTTCAACACCTGTTGCTATCATATTTTGGGAAATGCTCCTCCAGGGGTAAGATATTAAGCCAATATTCCTCTGACCAAGGAGTTTTATTAGAGATCTCTCATCTGGACCTGATGTAAACAAGTCAAAGAATGGGCTACGTTAGTGTATTGGTATATTGGAGTGGTCAAGAATAGAGCCGGACTGCCTGGGATCAAATCCCAACTCTGCCACTTACTATCTGAGACTTTGGGCAAGTTATTCAACCTTTCTTTGCCTTACGTTCTTCGTGCATAACATGGGAAGATTTTAGGTATACATTAGAATGGTGTCCTGCACATAGTAAATGCTATTTTAGAATCAGCTCCGCCAGGCACGTGGCTCACACCTGTAATCCCAGCACTTTGGGAGGCTGAGGCGGGCGGGTCATGAGGTCAGGAGATAGAGACCATCCTGGCTAATACGGTGAAACCCTGTCTCTACTAAAAATATAAAAAATTAGCCAGGCGTGGTGGCGGGTGCCTGTAGTCCCAGCTACTCTAGAGGCTGAGGCAGGAGAATGGCGTGAACCCGGGAGGTGGAGCCTGCAGTGAGCTGAGAACACGCCACTGCACTCCAGCCTGGGTGACAGAGAAAGACTCTGTCTGGAAAAAAAAAAAATCAGCTTTAATCTATTACTAATCTATTATTGTGACAGGCATGCTGGTTTAGGATCAGGACTAAAAGCTGGGCCACTAGCTAGCGATATGACCTGAGCCAGGTCTCCAAACTGCCATCGACGTCAGTTTGCCCATACTTTGAACTAGAAGGTAAGACAGGCCAGGGCGTGGTGGCTCACACCTGTAATTCCAGCACTTTGGAAGGCTGAGGCAGGCAGATTACTTGAGGTCAGGACTTTGAGAGTAGCCTGGCCAACAGAGTGAAACCCTGTCTCTACTAAAAATACAAAAATTAGCTGGGCGTGATGGCGGGCACCTGTAGTCCCAGTTACTCAGGAGACTGAGGCAGGAGAATCATTTAAACTTGGGAGGTGTAGGTTGCAGTGAGCCGAGATCACGCCACTGCTCTCCAGCCTCTGTCTCAAAAAAAAAGTGAGATGAGACAAGCTTGAAGCCCCTTAGTGCCGATATTCCCTGACTGCACAGGCTCCCTACAGAAGGCAGCACTAAACTGCAGCATGACAGGAGAAAAAAACACAGGGAGGGATCAGGCGGCCTAGGAGCACTCAGGTCCTGAACAGCATCAGCAAGAGATGAAGGGGCTCACAAAATGGGATGCTTAGCCCTTGAGAATGGAGTTTATTGACTCCAGAGTTCAGCCTCCCACCAACCAGCTTCTCAAACTGCCCAGATGTGAAGGAGAAAAAAGGCGGGGTTAGCTTTCCCCACCAACACCATACCACCCCCTCCATGGCACAAGTTAAACTGGCTGCTTGCAATGAGGGCCTGGCTACAGAGAGGAACTGGCTTTTCAAGAGGGCCACCTTTTGAGGACACTCCCACCTCCACCTCAGCCCCAGAGAAACCTTTTGGACACCTAACCTTGGTAAGACACAAGAGTGGCTGCCTCTAGAAAAATTCCTCCAGTGTGACTTCATCACAGTTGGGGATGAAGGGAATGCATGCAGGGAAGAAAAACTGAACATATCTGTATAAGAGAGAGCTTTGAATTGCTGGCAGCTGTGGGCCAAGGTAGAGGAGCCCAGCATAATGCTTATGAGGCTAAATTGGGAACATTTGAATGCTTGGTTTTGTGCTTAAAAAAGCAAGTAGCAGCTCAGCTGCCAGATGTTGGATAACTTGGACATGTAGCTCGTGGGCTTTGGTATCAGCAACACTTTGGCAGGTGACCACATGTCAAAGACAGATGATGACTTGCTTTCCCAAAACTGCTTCTAGGGAGGGAGCCTGGTGGCTTTCGTGTTTCACTTTCACTGAAGAAGTTATATTTGGGAACACCAAAAAGAATCTCTTAACTCAGAGAAGATTGGCTCTAGGGCTTGTCAGCAAAGGAAGAACTCCTAAGAACTGGCTTCATAAGAGCTCAGCTCCCTGTTACTCAAGCCTGTGAATAATCACTGAACTACTCTCTCTCTAACACAGTATATCAGTTAGGAATTGCTTTCAGTTGCTAGCAACAGAGAACTGACTATAGTGGCATAAATGCATGAAGGTGTTATTTTTGTCATGTCATGAGAAATGCAGACATGAGTAATTACTGGCATTGGTTTGGTGGCTTGAGAAAATCAGGGACAGGTATTTGTAATTTTTTTATTTTTATATTTTGAGACAGAATCTCACTCTGTCGCCAGGCTGGAGTGCAGTGGCACGACCTCGGCTCACTACAACCTCCGCCTCCCGAGTTCAAGTGATTCTCCTGCCTTAGCCTCCCAGGTAGCTGGGACTACAGGGGCACGCCACCACACCCAGCTAATTTTTGTATTTTTAGTAGAGATGGGGTTTCACTATGTTGGCCAGGATGGTCTCGATCTCTTGAACTCATGATCCACCCGCCTCAGCCTCCCAAAGTGTTGGGATTACAGGCATAAGCCACTGCATCTGGCCTGTGATTCTTTTAATCTTTTCTTCATAGCCTCAATGTGTCTGTTGCAGCTCCAGCCATCACATCCACATTTCAAACAAAAGGAATTAGGAAGGATGAAATGGCAAACAAGGCTTTCCTAGAAGTCCCACCCAACAACTTCTGCTTTTATCTTCTGCAAGAGAACTCATCTTTTCACTGGATACGTGCTAACCAGGATAACACTGGGGCTCTCTAAGAGAGAAGGTGAGGATGGATATCGGGTAGGAAGCTAGCACTCTCTGCATGGGGCTTTCCAGAGAGATGTGTTTAGAAAAGAAGTTGCTGTCTGAACTGGTCCTTCTGGGAGAGCTTGTTATGTGAAAGAGCAGGTATCTGAGGAAGCCTCAGTTTACCCATGAAACTGACCTCTAGGTCTCTCTCACTCTGAGAGAGGTGAACTGGCTTCTGTTCTATGAGTGCCCCTAGTTCCCAAGTCAATTTGATTAGGAAAGGAGAGGATTGGGAAATGGAAATCTCTGTAAAGCAGTGGATTCATTCCTTGATCAAAGGCATGGTGGTTGGCAGCAAGCATAAAAATATGAATGTGTATGTTGACAGAGGAGGCACCCGGCTACTACTTGTCAATGTAGTGAGGCAGGGGATGGATAAAGAAGACATGCTTCTGAACCTTCAGAATCTTACAAATTAGAAGAGAGAAACACAAAACATGAAAACTAGAAAGTAGGCCAGGTGCTGTAATCCCAGCACTTTGGGAGGCCGAGGCGGGTGGATAATGAGGTCAGGAGTTCGAGACCAGCCTGGCTAACATGGTGAAACCCCGTCTCTACCATAAAAACAATACAAAAATTAGCTGGGCATGGTGGCAGGCACCTAAAATCCCAGCTGCTCGGGAGGCTGAGGCAGGAGAATCGCTTGAAACCAGAAGGTGGAGGTTGTGGTGAGCCAAGATCATGCCACTGCACTCCATCCTGGGCAACAAGAGCGAAACTCCGTCTCAAAAAAAAAAAAAAAGAAAGAAAACTAGAAAGTTATACAGGCTAAGTGGAAGTCAGCGCCTGGCACAGAGAAGGGGGCAGTCATTGCCACTAGGATGCTCCCAAAGGATTTCAAGAGGAAGGGGAAGATGTGAGGCTTGCTGGATGACCAGGGGGATTATTGAGGGGCCAGGGAGTGGTGGTATCACCTAGCCACACAGCGGGGCTCCCTCAACTGGCAATTGAAGCAGCCGTTGGCCTGAATTTCCAAGGACCACCATGGATTCCCAAACAAAATGTCATCCCAATGTTTCCAGCTCTCTATCCAGCCTTGTAAAACAAAGATGTGGAATTTAACAAGATCCAACAAAAACTGTGGAAGGGCACAATATATAAAAATACCATAGCCAAGAATCAAAACACTAACTTCTGTCACAGGAGGGGGAAAAGCTCTTGCAGATGCATGGGGGGATGGGGCTGAAGAAAAGGGGACATTTGTTCCAGGGCTTTCTTCAGATTTGGGAGCGAAAAAGGCTAGCAAGACAACAGCATTCTACAGAGAAGCCAAGTGGGGAGGTATAAGGGTGGCTGGTTTTTCCTTAAGTCTACACGTTTCCAACTGCTATTTCATGCTTCCAGCCGTTACCATATGTTCTCAGATTTTAAAGTCACAATAAACGTCAGGGTGAGCAGCTGTGGAATAATTCACACTTTTGTTCATTTTCCAGCACCCCCCATCAGATCCCATTGCTTAAATAATGCCCCACCCTCCCACCACCTGTACATCAAGGTCATGGTCCTCCTCTATTAACAGCAGTGAGAACAGCCAGTTTTACTCTTGCGGGAAGTTGGCAGAATTGCAAACTTGACTGCTGAGCTTCGGATGGGTCATGAAATTTTTAGTCTCTAAATCTTGCTTTTCCAGGGGTTAGATATTTAAAACATTTCTTCTTCCTAATGGTATCTTTCAATCACGCAAATTACCACAAGTACACAAGAGCAAAGACGATCGCATTCTGTGTCAGTGTTTTGTTTGCATTGTGAGAGGCTGATAATGTGGGAGGAAGTTTGTGTAGTGACTGTCTGGGTTCAGATCCTGGCTCTGTCACTTATTTGCTGTGTGAATTGACAAATGTAAACTGATTAGTATGGTGCCAGGAACAGATGCTATTATTATTCAGCAACTAGCCTGAATGTAATCATGTACTTGTTTACCTTTGTAGCTTCTTAAGGGCTAATCCTTAAGGGTTAAATGCTGCAGGGATCTGTTATGTGTTTGCCCAGTTAAGTTCTGGGCAAGGAAAAGGCCTGGGTGTTCTGCATGGCTCCCTTCCCTCTTCCACCTATACATCCCATAACCAGCATCTTCTACAGTGCAGGGGACAGGCCTACTGGCCCATGGTTAGTTGCTGGCCCACCTGTGAGAACGCAGGAAAGTCTGAAAGACGGCAGAATTGAGAGGCCTCAGTTTGGAGCTTTTCTTTTTACTTCTCTGCAGGGCTGGTAGGATTGCAACCTTACAGAACTGCAGTCTATCAGAGGCATCCAATTGTTTGTACATCTGCTCAAAAAGCAGCTTGCTCTTGGGGAAAGAGATGAACAGGCCTGGCCTGGCCCTTTGTGACACCAAAGAGGCTAGCACTGCTCTTGGGAGCCCTGCCCAGTGGTCTGGCCTTGGGAGCTGCCAGCTACACGGAGAGAGTTGGATCCTCTCCACGTAATGAAATTGACTCAAAAAGAACAAAGTTGCTCTCAACACCTGCTCACCCTCGCACAGCTCTGAAGGCCAAGAGGGGAATGGGTAATTGCAGACCACAGGCAATGACAGAAAAAGAAGGGGGAAAAATCAGCAGCCACTAGTTTAGCATATTCTCCTTCATTTCATGGGGGGAGATCAATGCAGACCTCACCATGCCTGTCTCCAGAGAGCTGGAAACAGTGGAATGGCTCAAAGGGCAGCAGGAGAGAAAGGACTGAGGGATCTGGAAAAGCAGCCCCAGAATGGTCTCCTTTTTATGTAAGCTAGCTTGGAATGGGTTTCTATGACTTGTACCCACTCTTATTTGCAATACATTTTGTGAGAAAGGCAACATGGACACCTTGGCACAAGAAGAACAGCAGTCCACTCACCATTTCAGAAGAGCTGCAAGGTGGCTTCAGGGTTCTTGGGGCACCAGAGGCAGCCTAGCCCCAGTCACCCACGGAGCCCTCCAGCCTACTTTTGCTCACTTTGTTTGGCTGCATTGCCCAGCAGTGGCCAACCTCCATGGAGTCCACATGATCAAACTCACAGAAGGCAGCAAAGATGGGGACACTAGGAAAGGAGGTCCTCAAAATTGAATCTTCCTCTTTCGCTGACTATTGTAATCACACCACTAGATGTTGCCAAATGTTTGTAGAAGGCACTTCTCCTGGTACCTGCCCAGCTCACACCCACAGGATGGACAAAGAATGGTCAAGTTTATTCTGTGTGACCCCTATCCATATTCATGACTCACTGGACAACACGTGTCCACACCCAGCCCAGTTGAACCAACTGAATTAGGACCTGGCGTAGACGTCTGGGCTCATGGCTTGAATGAAGGCTATGTAGTCACAGGAGCCATGGGGTATCCCTGCTTGGCCCTGCAAGCCAGAACAATGGAAGCCACTCTGGAGAGAGAGAGACAGAGATGAAAACAGATGGAAAAGCAGCGAGAAGCCACGGGAGTGAGCTGCCTGCATTCCCCGCTCTCCAGACCCGGGTTCTGGATCCAGCCTCACCTCCTGCCATAGTTTCCGAGAGGTATCCCAGTCTCCTTTCAACTCAGTGTCTTCCTTTTTGCTTACTTGATTGGGTTTCTATTACGTGCATCCAGAATAGTTTCCACTAAGGCAGTGATTCACAGTTTACTGAACGCTTTCACATGTTATCCTGTTTGGATTTTGCTTCGCACGCTACTCCAGGGAGAAGGCAAGGGAGGCATCATCATCATCTGCATTTTATGGTCAAAGACGTCCAGGCAATGACTGCTCAAGGTCTCCTAGGCAGGGAGGCAGGTCTTTGACCCAGACACAGCATCATCTCCACTGCACCACACCCTCTTGACATTGGAGGTGTACTTCCAGGAAAAGGGACTCTGGCGCCAAGGTATAATTGGAAGAGAGATGCTGCATTCCTAAGCACAAGCGCATATTTCAAGGGGAAAATAGGAGCTTCAGCTTGATAATTCATGCCACAGCTTTCATGAGACTGACTCTGTAAACAAAGTGTATTGAGAACGGGAAACCAGGCGTGGAATTTGTGGTGGAGAATACTCCCCCTTATAAAAATATGTGAAGCTTATAATATCATATTATTTTAGCATTTGTCATACTTCTTTCTCTCTTTCTCGAGGGCACCAGTGAACAATGGACAGGTAGGTTACATTTCTCTTCTCCACCTTTGCCTAGTCATCACTGACAGTTTCCACCCAAAGTAGATTAGCTAGGAAACTGACACTCTTGCCACACACACATGTGCATGTGAATGTACTCCAACACACGTGCACACACACATGCTTGCTTGTGGATACCACCTTCTAAAAACAGCTCTATTGAGATATAAATTCAGATACCATATAATTCCTTCATTTAAAATGCACACTGTGATTTTTGGCATATTACATCATTTAAAATGGTTACATAACATACAACTTGCCATTTTAACTATTTTTAGTGGTATTAATTACATTCACAATGTCGTGCATGACATTGCAATACAATCATTAAAACCATCTATTTCAAATGGATGCTATTTTTTTTGGTCCCTCTCTTTTTCCCTTTCTCTCTTCCTCCTTCCTTTCTCTTATGTTTATTTTTCAGTTTTTTAGGAGACAGGGAAAGTCCATCTCGCCTCCAGCCCTGGCCTTCCCCATGCATGCAAATCCCCACTGCTCTTCTTGACACTCCTCTACTTATCCAACCTAGGCTCAAACTGGAAGGCAAGACCTGATCATATGACCTGATCATATGTGAGTTTCTGTCTGCACCCAAGTCTCTAGGACACAGAGGGAACATCTTGCTTCTGGGACATTCCTCAGGTGCTGAGCTCCCCTGCCTGAAGGGAGCTGCTTGAGGACTGAGCTGTGCATCTTCATTCTGGACCCTGGTCTTTGCTACAGGGGCTCAGTGATGTCTGCAGAGTGGCCTTGGGGGCCCCTACATTGTCTGGCCCAGATGCAAGCGCCTGCTGATGTTCCACAAGGAATCTCTCCCCAGACCAATGTTAGGTTTGGATGTTTTCTTCTTTCTCGTCATCTCCTTTGCTTCCTGTTACTTTTTACCCTCCTAAAAAGTGTGAAGAAAGAACCTGCTGAAAATTCCATCTGATTGGGTCTAATAAGAGCTCAGCATTTGATGCTTTCCCCCATGGCTGGTGGGGGAAAGTTTGCTCCTGAACAGTGTTAAGTTCTGGACCCTTACTTCTGTGTTCTAGGAGGGCAACCCCCTTCCCCACCCACCCAGTAATCCACTCAGAGGGAAGAGAAGGAAGGATGAATGGCTTTTCAGAAGAGAAAGCACAGTTCTCAAGTGGAGCCTTGGGTCTCTCTGCATAGGACTGACTGACGAGCCTATCTGGAGAGCTCCTACTAAGCCCAGTCTCCTGTCTCCTCCACCACCAAAAGGCATCCTTTGGTGATGTCATTACTGTCATTCACCGTGAATATGGACAATCAACAGCCAAGGATCTTTTGTGTAATTAAATGTACTAGCTTGACAGCTCCCAAATGAGGGGGTAATAGTTACTGGATGTAAAGTGGCTTTTCTCTAATCCTGAGTGACGGCATGCTGTTGCTAGGTGCCTGTTTTTCTGCCTTTCAAATACAAAGTGACTAATGGGGTATATTTCATAACACATCTGCAAGTATGTAGTTCTTCTTATACTTCGATGCCCTTTAAAATATTATTATCTGCCAACATTTGGACTATGTGCTTATATGCAAATTAGACATAATAAAGGAAGAAGGGAGAAGTTCTTTGCTCTTGAAAAATCATATTTATAAGGTTAACGAGATTTATATATTACATCAGGGAACTGGGGTTAGAATGCAAAACTTTATCAATGTAACTTGGCAACAATAAAGATCCTCTGGTGTTTTCCCCTGTATGAGATCAAAACTTTTTATCTACACTGAGGTTTAATTAGATTTTTTAAATTCTCACAAAATCAAAATACATAGGATCCAACTTCAGGAACAAATCAGATATTCTAAGTTGAATGTTTTTGATTGGCAGTGCCAAGAACAGGAATAGTGTTTTAAAAACATATCTCTTTGCATTTAAAAAATCAAGTTAAACCTTTCAATGAATTATCCATTTAAGCCAGGAAGGCGGGTACTCCTATTTTCTGGATAAAAAGGAAAATACCAGGAGAATTCAATCTAATAAAAGAAAATTCACCAAGAAAGGAAGGATTTACAAACACACACACAAATGTACACATGAACTACTTTACAAACAAACAAGAAAATATTCTGGATCCAGTTTGCTCAAATAATGGGATATGATCTAGCAAATATTCTGTTTATAGGGAATTCTGTCTTGATCTTAGAGCATGTATCTAGTACTAAAATAGAAGCTTAATTAAGTTTGTACTTGCTGAACAATCAGATATCAGCAAAATCTACTCAACACGAAAGCAATTCTGATGAGTAAGTTATTGGTGATGACTCAAAGGCACTTCAGGATCTTGCAGCATTGGGGATCATTATTATAAACATGAAGTCAGAACTATCTTTGTAGTCATGCACCAAGTGACAGAGTAACAGTTCCAGTTGATAGGAGGTTGAGTTCATCAAATTTAGATGTTCTTGAAAGGTTTCAAGCAGCCAGCAGTTGGTAGATTCACCCAGCATATCTAGGAAAGGGCAGAGTCTGTGTCAGTTTTGCTTCTTACTGGGTGCACCTTGGCATAGTCCTGGGCATATAGTACACATTGGATAAATGTTTGCTGAATAATATGAATGAATGAGTGAATAGCAGAAAGTTAAGCTGAAATTTTTCTGTTTGAGAATTTCTCCTCATGACCAAAGCTGAGATGTGAAACAAGTGGCCCCATATTCTAAAGAGAGATGCAGCTTACCAACCATGCAGGACTGGTTAAGAGTTGGCCAAAACAATAGATAGATACAGATAGAAGTATAGAGATGTGGTTTTGGATTGATTGTAAGGGATTTATAGTCAAAAGCACTGTGCATTTATTTTCCTTTTCCTCTCATTGAGTGAGGTGGTAGAGGTGGGCTGCTTCTCCGCCCCTTGAGCCAAGTAAAGATAGCTTCAGGAGAGTATGGGAGTCGGAGCAGAGTTTAAAATCTCCCTTTCTGGTAGATGTTTTCTGAGTTGCAGGGTTTTGGCCTGCCCTGGTTGCCACCATCTTGGGGAGCAAAAAGCTCTCGGCAAGCCTTGCTTTTCAGAGTTTAATAGGGGGAACATATTTTCATGGGCCACGTGAACTCTGAAGATGGGAGTTGAGCTTGAGTCCTCTTAATAGGTCCCCAGCCATGGGCCCTGACTGCCAGGGCCAGGTGAACCCGACATGAGACGGCCATGTGGGGTGTCCCAATGACCCTTGGGTTGAAGGGGAATCCTAAGAATCTGCCAGGGAGGGTACTCTTCCAAGTCCAGGCACTGCAAGGCACAGGACCTGGGGCAGGGGGATGGGGTCGCTCCAAAGTACCTAACTAAAGTACCTTATAAGAACCAGTATTTCAGCATCTGTATTCAAAGAATGCCAATGGCTAGACAACAGCACCTAGGAGCAAAGGAAAAAGACATTTTTGCTTCTTTCCCTCTCCCCCGACTCTCTGCCCTACCCTGGGAGCAAAAATCAGCTAGCGAGTGACAAGAGACAGAGCAATAATAAAAGACAGACTATGCAATCTTTACGAGCTTGGGTCAGGCCTGAGCTCGGGGGAAGGGAAAGAGCATGGAACTTGATGGGAAACAGTTTTAAACTGTTTTAACACTAGGCTTTTTAAAACACTCTAACATGAAAACAGCTCAACATAAAAGGGACTGAATTGTGTGGGATCTGCCTGAGATGTTTACTAGTGGAAGAAGATCTGACAGAGAAGGTTGGAAGGGCAGTGATGGGAGTTGAGGGAGGAGTAGAAGCTGCTATTTCCTGGTTATGCCATATCGAGTTCAGCCCATGTGATATATTCGATTCCATTCAATAAGTGAATGAAAGAATGAATAAAAGAATGAATTTCTGTATAATTTGGTGCTATGGCCACCTGTCCAGTGGCCCCCGCCCACCCTACATACGACAAGAGTCCAGATGATGTCTTCACATCAGCACAGGCAGAGGGCAGGATAAGGCCTGTCCACCAGCTTTGGAGGTGAAGCTGTGAAGCCACCAAGTCAGTGAGTCAGGGAAGGCTGACCTCAGGGCAATCCAGACTTCTCCCAGGTGTGCTGTGGATTCACTCTCACCTTATCAAATCTCGCAACTGCTGAGTGTTACTTCGGCCCCAATAAGAAATGACTTTCGGGGGCAAATTAGCAAAGTATCCAGGTGTGAGATCACCCTCTGTTTGGTACTGAGGTAAGGACATCTCCACTTTGGACACTCTCTGGACAATAAGCCTGAGATTACTGTAAGAAGTATAGACACTTCTCCCCCTGTGGCTCTCTGTGTTACGGGGGACCAACACTGTGCAAGATGGGTGAATGTTCCCAATTTAACCATTTCTCCCTAGATGAGCACAGCACAGGTTCTTTCCTGGAGACATTAGTGAAATTAAGTTGGCAAGAAGGTCTCTTCTAATCCTGCTGTTTTAGCACAAGGCTTCTGGTGGGCCCCATGTCATCATCCTTGTTTTTCTTTTGTAACCTGATTTTATTGCCTTGGAACTGACTGATCACTTGTCTGTCTCTTCTTCTAGGGCAGGAGCTTTATTTTATTCATGATTCTACCCTAAAGGTGCCAGGCACAGAGTAGACCCTTGATAAATGCTGGTTAAGTGAATGAACTTGATTTGCTTTGATGGGTCTCCCTGAGACAAATGGAGCTATATACCAGACCCATTTTCCAGAAGGAGTCACTGAGGCACAGACAGGTGGGGTGGTTTGGCCAACATCCCATGGTGAAGTAGTTGGACAGATGAGACTAGAGTAGGCTGACGGACTGCAAAAAATAACTATGAAGCCAAATGTCTCAGTCAACTCAAGCCAAAGCTAGTTGCCTAGAGGCCAGAATACATTCTCCAAGCATAGACTCTTAGCACAGAGCCCAGACAGTCATAATGCCACCATTGCTGGCATTTTGCAGGTTACTGAATGGTTTCATAGCCATTAACTTGCTTACTCTTCACAGGGACATAGACAGAACCATAACAGACATTACTGTCCACATTGTACAGGTCCAGAGAGGTTACGGTAGAGGATGTGCCTGAGGATGCACAGCTATTAAAGGAGGAAGGCATCATGAACTCCAATCATGTGATCTCAAATCTGTGAGCTTCCCACCGAACCTAGTCAAACCCAACCAAACAAGAGCACACGGAGCATCTTCAGGATCCACCCAGATGCCCCCTGTTAGTTACGGATCAATGTCAGGAGCAACGTCTTTTGATTTTCATGTATCTTTTTGAGGTCCTTCCACTTCGCCCCATATGAGTTCACCTTGGCTAGGCAGCACTTTCGTTCCCAGGAAGAGTGATGACACAGTCCCTCCTCCTGGTTCCCTGGTTGTATCCTGGGAGCCTGTCTGCAGAATCCAGTTCTGACTTGGGCCACCACAGCAGTGCTGCGCCTGGGCAGGGCAGATTGCTGGGATGTAGAAGTGGCTCTGGAGTGAACACACTTGCCTCTGGGAGAGGCTACTGTGCCAGCTGTCATTTACCACTCAATATGTCAGGCAAGAAGTGAGACCGACAGCATTCTTCCCTTTGTGTCTCAAATACACATGCTTTTGTTTCTACTGGCAACATTCTATATAGTTAGTTCTCTTTGGAGGAGTATCTCCGCATTAAGATAAAGGAGCTCCTGAAATTTGGCAGATTCAAGGGTCTAATTTACGAAGTTGAGACCAGAAGACGAAATGGCTTTCGAGGTTTTGTTCAAATTGTTAAAACAGACGCCAAAAGATGTCTTTTTATGTACAGCTGGCTTCATTTTTTAATGTCAATACCAGCTTACTGTTGAAGGTAACAAATGACACATTGTAATATCTTGCCCAGTTAATTTTTAAAAGGAAATTCAGGAGGAGAGCCTAAAACTACTTTTTTTGTTTTGTAATGACAAAGCATATTTAGACAGACTAAATTTGGCAAAATAAATAAGCAAATATAAGCTCAGCGACTTCAATTTACCAAAACTTATTTTAAAAGCAAGAGGAGACATGAAAGGCAAAAATTCTACTCAAATCCAAACAGCTTCCAAGGAAAATTCCTGTAACCTTGAAGAATAATAAAGGCTCACGGATATATTTGGAATTTCTGAATGGGAGAACTGTTTCCCGAGAGCATTTTTAACATCCCAAGTGAAAAATGAGAACAAGGCTTAAATTGTTTGGTAAAGAGCAAAGAACCCTTTGGTTTCAGAAAAAAGAGAGGGAGACGGCAAGAGTCACAATGCTGTGAGGGGCTGGAGTCCTCTATGAAACAGGAACACTGGTAGCTATTGCCAGAAAACTTTCTCATGCAAAGAGTATACTTTGCCACATGCAAAGAGTGTACATTACAATTATCTTTCCTTTCTTCCTTTCTTTCTTCCTTCCTTCCCTTGCTTCCCTTGCTTTCTGCCCTCCCTGCCGCCCTCCCTCTCTCCCTCTCTCTCTCTTTCTTTTTTTGACAGTCTTGCTTTGGCTCAGGCTGGAGTTTTTGTGCCCCAGTCTCAGCTCACTGCAACCTCCATCTCCTGGGTTCAAGCAATTCTCCCGCCTCAGCCTTCTGAGTAGCTGGAATTACAAGCATGCGCCACCATGCCCAGCTAATTTTTGTATTTTTAGTAGAGATTGGGTTTTGCTACGTTGGCCAGGCTGGTCTTGACCGCCTGACCTCAGGTGATCCGCCCATCTCGGTCTCCCAAACTGCTGGGATTACAGGCGTGAGCCACGGCGCCCAGCCTACACCACACTTTAATGTCAAATAAATGAAGGGAGAAGTGCCAAATAACTTCTACAATAGGTTCAGATTTTGAACTTTTCCCTTTTGGCAACGTCATCTCAGTTGTTTGAAACAAAGCAGTGACCTCTACCAGCGATTTCTGGCTCCTCTTGTGACTTCAAAACAGACCCTAGCCTTGTATCCGTCTGTTCTCTCCCTTGCCACCACTGCCAGCAAGCAGCAATCAACAGAACTTGGTTGGGCCTTTTCAGATTTTACTTAGTGAGAGTAAATGTGGCCTCCTCCCCTTCACCCTACCCCACTGGAGTTTTTCCTCAGTGGCCAGGCTGCAAATCTTGCCCCCAGTCCCTTTGTTCCACCGACCTGAGGTTGCCTGAGCAAAGCCGATACTTCACCAGAGACTAATTTTAGGTGTTTTACTACGACCACTAACCAACTAACCAGCATCACAAATGGGATCAGTTTGCTAATTAGAAGCCCTTGGCTTCTAGAGCCCTAGGCTGCAATCATCCCCCCATGGCCTCAGGAAATGGGAAAGAGGTGCCACAGACCCTGGATGAGGGCGAGGGGACCATTTGTTGGACCCCATTCAAGGCTCCTTCAAAGACTGGAAAGAGAAAGGCTGCACCAAAGTGCAGCTTCAAGAGCGGGCTGGAGGCTGGAAACCTGAAACACCACTCATATAGTATGTCTTGGGGCCGGGCGCGGTGGCTCACGCCCGTAATCCCAGCACTTTGGGAGGCCACGGCGGGCGGATCACGAAGTCAGGAGATCGAGACCATCCTGGCTAACACGGTGAAACCCTGTGTCTACTAAAAATACAAAAAAATTAGCTGGGCATGGTGGCAGGTGCCTGTAGTCCCAGCTACTCGGGAGGCTGAGGCAGGAGAATGGCGTGAACCCGGGAGGCGGAGCTTGCAGTGAGCCGAGATCGCGCCACTGCACTCCAGCCTGGGTGACAGAGGGAGACTCCGTCTCAAAAAAAAAAAAAAAAAAAAAAAAAAAAAAAAAAAGATCGCGCCACTGTACTCCAGCCTGGGCGACAGAGCGAAAGAGCGAGACTCTGTCTCAAAAAAAAAAAAAAAGAAAGAAAGAAATAGTATGTCTTGGATTTAAAATATTTAAACTTAGTATTTCTTGGATTTAGAACATTTAAACATAACCAACAAGCATGTATTACTATGTGCTAAGCACCGGGTTCAATTTAGAGACTCGATAATGTGTGTATGTGTGCATCTCCTAGCGGGCACTGAGTGTTGTTTCTGCCTGGCACCACAGTAGATTATGTCCTCTCCCTTCCCTGAAGTTAGGATCTTGCAAACTGCAGGTGCCTGAGTCACCTTTGGAATCCCACAACCCCAATACACACAGACACATACTCAAGTGCTGGAATATGGGTCTCACACATAGATGTCATTCAGATGTTTGTAGAACTCTTAATTATATGCCAGCCCCAAAGAGAGACTTAGATAAATGAATTCTAGCCCCTACACTCCAGAAGGCTGTATAATAATGGTGGACATGAAGAGAAGAGCTAACATTTAGGTAATAGGACCTACAACCTAAGCAAAGGAGGAAGTAAACAAATGCACAGTCATGCAATGGGTTTGGCAAAACTTTGCTTCGATGGGCAGGGCAAAACTGCTCACAGGACCCTAGACTGAGGGCAAGGACTTCTTTTACATACTTCCTCCCCTTCTGGCAAAGTGGAAGAGAAAGGAGAATCCGCCTCTTAGCCTGCAGCAGAAGTAGATGCACTTGGACACTAGCTCTTTCCTCTCTCCTGCCCCATCTCTGTGGCTCTGGCAACAGGGACATCCACCCTCATAGTTCTGCTTAGAAACATGGAAAAGTCAGGACACTGGAGTGTCCTGGGGACAGGTACACTGGGAAGAATATGACAGGAGGAGATTGACTTTCAGGGACAGTTCAGAGGTAAAACTGCAAGTTTTCAGAACTTGCCCAACATTACACACACATACGCACACATACAATCTATCCATCCATCTATTGCCCTTTCCACTTTGATTTTAGAAGTAAAAATTTAAAAAACAAACAAACAGAGGCCAGAGTATTGTGGACTGGAAGAGGGCTTCCTGTTTGAATACAAACCGTCAACCCAGGATCACCGTTCTCTCCTCACACTCCCTGGAACATATCCCCCCTCCCCTCCTCAATGTTCAAAAGACCCTGGTTTCATGGAAAATAAAGTACACATTACATACGATAATGCCATCTAATTTGAGTTTTTGAGTAAGTACAGTCAGTCCAACACTCCTCGCCCCTACTCGACTCCCCCACCCAAGACTTTCTAATTTTAGAGCTAAGAGCAGAGAACTTGACACTGGGTATGTTTCCATTTACCATGAAAGGCATGTTTCTCCACAAACAACTGGAGGGCAGGCTTGGAAAACAGGTTTAAAGACCAGACTTGTAGAACTTTGGCACGGCAATTCTCTGGAAATGTCTACTATCCCATCGAGAGGCAGGAAGTATTGAGAATGAATGTGCGTTCTGGCTTCTTTCAAACAAAATGATTTAATTTTAAGAGTCTCAATTCATAAAATAGCCCAGCTAATCTTCCAAGGAAAATGGGCATATTTTGTTTTTCTTCATTCTTCAAAGAGTATTTGGGCCGTGAAAAGAATTTGTACTGAATTTCCTTAGAAGACTTAATTTGGCAATGTGCCTTATGAGGGAATATAGAATGGTTACAAAAAGAAAAAGTTTAATGGGAATATAAATGTTTTATGGTTTAGAAATTAGAACCAGTTTAACTTCTATGATAGCCACAAATAAAACACACACACACACACACACACACACACACACCAGTTTCTTCCAGTTCCTTCAGCAAGCTATAGTCCATTTCTATAAGCGTGTAGATTTATAGATTTAGGAGCTACTTCTGCAGAAGGAAAAGCAAAGTCTTCATTTGTGAAGCTGACATTTTTGGGGGTTGTTTGTTTGGTTGGTTTGTTTTTGTTTTGTTTTTGAGATGGAGTCTCGCACTGTCACACAGGCTGGAGTGCAGTGGTGTGATCTCCACTCACTGCAACTTCCGCCTCCTGGGTTCAAGCGATTCTCCGGCCTCAGCCTCCCAAGTAGCTGGGATTACAGGCGTCCACCACCATGCTCAGCTAATTTTTTGTATTTTTAGTAGAGATGGGGTTTCACTATGTTGGCCAGGCTGGTCCTGAACTCCTGACCTCATGATCCGCCTGCCTCGGCCTCCCAAAGTGCTGGAATTACAGGCGTGCACCACTGCGCCTGGCCTAAAGCTGACATTTTCAAACCTACATGTAGGTCCTCTTTGCCCAAACTATAGGTCAGGTCCTTTTATTGCCACATATACAACCAAGTTATCAATATTTCCCTTGAATCATCATCTTATAACAGGAAAAGCCAGAAAGCATTCTCGATGTTTTAAAAAAATCACACAGGACTCCCACCTGTTCATTCTCCCCATGGCCTCCCTCTCACCTGCCCACCCCTCTCTCACCTGTCCTCTAGGTGCACCTCATGTCTCCTGGTACCCAGACACCAGGCACTTGACCTGCTTTTCTTTCCATTCTAATGCTGCTACCCCCAACAAAGAGCATTTTTTTTCCCCTCATGACCTGTTCTTGGGCTAGGCACAATCTCCCCAACTCCACATTCCTCAAAACAAGCAAATGAGCAATTGGTTTCCCTGGAATTCAAAAGACTTACTGCCAATTCCTTTGTGAAAATCAATGGCGGGTGCCAAAAATAACAAGTACGAGGAAGCTAGGAAAGTTCGAGGAATCTCCCCAAGGTCTCCAAGGTATACCCTAGATTGGACCCTGATGTTTTCTTTCTTATGTGACCTCAAGTAGCTTCTCCCAGTTGGTGTTGGATTTTGGGCCAACGTGTAGAGACTGGAGGCCATATTACATCTGATGTGGGTTCTGTGCTGGAAAAATTGATCTCTGAATTCTTGGCTATTGTCTAAGGTACACAGACCTATGATGCCAGGCACTGCTGCTCCTCCAGCCTGTGCCTGCTGCAGACGTGGCTGAACAATCACAGATCTGTCTCCTGGAGCCTGGATGCTGCCCCAGCATCCTTCTCAGCAAGGTGCTGTCAGTAGCCATGAACAGCTCTTTGGATTCGGCAGGTGAGACGGACTTGTCATTCCTGTTCTCCCTGTCCCGTATCCTACGGTCTGAGTGAGATACATGCATCAGCCAGTGGCAAAGGCTGTATCCAGCTTCCAGCAAACACTGGCTGCTTTGCCTCTGGCTTCAGGAAGGATCAGCCAACAGATAGGCATTTGGCCAACTTGCCCCAACTCCCTACCAGGTGCGTCAGGACTGAG
Source organism: Homo sapiens (assembly GCF_000001405.40). Lineage (NCBI taxonomy): Eukaryota > Metazoa > Chordata > Mammalia > Primates > Hominidae > Homo > Homo sapiens. Next base: position 108,739,549 of record NC_000006.12, on the reverse strand, counting down.
GCTTTTTGTTTGTTTTTAGCAAAATTTAACCTCTACCCAATTAGTGCATACAAATTAGGCAGGGGCTAACTACTTCCCTATGAGGAATTTGAGACATTTGGTCTCAGCATGGAAAAGTGAGTTTACCTGATGCAGATGGAACAGTTTATTCAAGTTAACAGGGAAGGTAGATGTGCCCACTTTCTATGGAATCCTCTTCAGAAGACTTGGTGGACTTGGCGAGTCAGGCTCCTAGCAGATATGAAGTGGTGGAGGAAGTGACTGAGGTGGTGAGTTTCCTTCACGCTCACGCCCTGTGCTGTGGCCAGTTTATGGGGCACTTGGAAGAAGTTAAAGCAGAGTGCGCACATCCCGTTTATTTTCATGCAGGCAAAGGGCTGGGCTGTCAAAACCTGGAGAGATACACTAAGCAGCGTCCTCAGACCCAGGTCTTGTCAGAATTTATTCTGACGTGGCTCACAAAGCTGTGATACAGGAGTGAAGATGCAATTACTTAGGCAGATAGTGAGGGTATGGAAGTCCTTGGTAAGGTTTTCCTTTTAATGAAAAGCAGCCCCAAATCATTTTCCTTTCCAGCAAAGAGCAGCCTATAAAATCGAGCTGCAGACATACATGCAGGCAGTTGTGCCAGCCATGTTCAAAATGGCGGCTCCATCGTCCCTTCTTTGCCAGCCACCTGTACAGTAAGGAGCAGAGAAGATGGCACCAGCTAAGGGGAAAGTTGATTTGCCTTATAAGATTAGGGTGGGGCGGCCATCCTTCCCTGCGCGCTATGTAAACATCGTACCTGATCGAACCAATCTGTGAGCCCTATATAAATTAGATACCACCTCCTCAAGCCTGACTATGAAATCCGGCACATCCATGGCCAACTGGCTCTTCTCTGGTTCTTTTTCCTCTCGGAAGCCCTCTCTTTCTAACTAGAGAGAGCTGTTTTCCTTTCTCTTTCTCTTTCTTTTGCCTATTAAACCTCCTTTCCTAAACTCCTCATGTGTGTCCGTGTGTCTGTGTCCTAAATTTTCTTGGTGCCAGACTGGGAACCTCGGGTATTTACCCCAGACAACTTAGAGGCTTCAGTTGTACCTTCTTGCTGTGATACAAATTGTCTGAATGTATCGAATTGAGGCTGCTGGGGAGAGGAGAGCCTTTCTAACGTGAACACAGAAGTGTGGGTGTCCAGATTCACATGGGCATGAGGTTTGAAAATGAACCTGAGACAGCCTTTCTGTCCCATTCCTGAACTGCCCTGGGTGCCACAGAGTCCCAGATTTGAAACACTGCAGAGCCATTTGGAGAAAATGAAGTCACAATTTAAGAAGGAGTCACAGATGAAGCAATATGAATCATGCATAAGTTTCTCTAGCTGCCTCTGGAGTTTGAGTGTGGGGGCGTGGCTGTGTTATCAAGCATCTGTCCCATGAGGGTGACTCAGTTTCAGTGGATTGACCACCTAGAAGACACGGTACTTCCGGAATTGGAGATACGTTTCAGAATCAGTACTGAATTGTCTGCTATGAGCCAGACTCCATGCCTCACTCATCACAAATCGGCTGGAATGAAGTTAAGTCATCTCCAGTAAACCTACATCCAAAAACGAGGCATGTTTTTGATTTACTTAAATCCAATAATTGAGGATAGTTCCGACTTCTAAATATCAATAATTTTCTTTTGTTTTTCTTCTTCTTTTTTTTTTTTTTTTTTGAGACAGAGTTTTTTGCTCTTGTTGCCCAGGCTGGAGTGCAATGGCGCGATCTCAGCTCACCGCAACCTCTGCCTCCCGGGTTCAAGCAATTCTCCTGCCTCAGCCTCCAGAGTAGCTGGAATTACAGGCAAGTGCCACAACAGCAGCTAATTTTTGTATTTTTAGTAGAGTCGGGGTTTCTCCATGTTGGTCAGGCTGGTCTCGAATTCCCGACCTCAGGTGATCCACCTGCCTCGGCCTCCCAAAGTGCTGGGATTACAGGTGTGAGCCACCGCGCCCGGCCCAATATCAATAATTTTCTTGGCCCGACCACAACTGATTATAAACTAATTCTAGGCCAGTAAACTGTATACTATGATCTGAAAAGAATTATTTGGACTGCTTTTGTGTTACGGATACACATCTACATGCCTGAATAGTGAAACCTTTGCCATAGAAAATGCCATGCATGTCTTGCCACTGAGCTTAAAAAAAATTAATAAATAAAAAACAAAAATATCATGCAGCAGCATGCACAGATAAGGATTTCTGATAGAATGGCTCACAGATGAAAAAGAAACACTCCTCTCTTAGACCCTTGCCTGGCCCTAACCTCTCTGGAGTCTACATATTCCTGAGGTTAACGTATTTCTTTCTAACTTACCTTTCTTTTAATTTCCAGTCAAATAATTTTTATTTAAATTCAATACGTCCTCAGGCTCAGGGTCCTGATTCCAGTGGAAAAAGTCCCTCTGGGTTCCCTGCCATTTGCCAAGCTGGAATGATTGACACATCCTATGAGTAACAGAGGGCCCAGCCTTTCCTGTTTCAGATCCTGAACCCCTTCTCTGCCCCGCTCAAGTTTTCTGCAATGACTCACTCCACTTCTCTCAGCACTCCCGGCCCCCACCCCTCTCCCTGCAAGTGATCTTTTGGAATTACCATCATAATGGGTAAAAAGAGAAGGAAAAAAAAATAGAACTTCTCTACTCCCAAGGAGAGTATTCTGAGAATTTTTTTTTTTTTTTTGAGACAGAGTCTCGCTTTGTCACCCAGGCTGGAGTGCAGTGGCGCGATCTCGGCTCACTGCAAGCTCCACCTCCTGGATTCATGCCATTCTCCTGCCTCAGCCTCCCCGAGTAGCTGGGACTACAGGCGCCCACCACCACGCCCGACTAATTTTTTTTTTTTTTGTATTTTTAGTAAAGAAGGGGTTTCACCATATTAGCCAGGATGGTCTCGATCTCCTGACCTCGTGATCCACCCGCCTCGGCCTCCCAAAGTGCTGGGATTACAGGCGTGAGCCACGGCACCGGGCCGAGAATATTCCTAACAGGAATATCTCAGCTTTCCTTCTGAATCCTCCCAGGGACTGGAACTCTCCAGTAGCTCTCTTTTTTTGTCCCCTGCCACCATGCCCTCTGTTCCCAGGCATTTGACTCCTGACCTGCTTCTCCCACCCAGACGGGGTTCTCTGGCTTTTCTCTGTGTGTCACTCTCTCTGCCAAATGGGCCTCAAGCCTCCAGAAAATCTGGCCCCTTTTCCATCCTTGTATATAAGAGGAAGAATGGGGAAAAGAGAGAACTTATTGAAAAAGAATCCGAGAGTACATTCCTCGATCTTTGTCCAGGTGATGCATTAAGAAGGTCACATCCACCGTGTCTGGTTTCACTTCCTTATCTCTCCAAGAGGGGTGGGACCAGAAGACTTCCAGGGCCCGCCCAGGTTTAGCAAGATTAGAATCGACCCTCCCTTGGCATGCCCTGGAAATTGGCCTCCGTGGAGCCGAACCCTCCTGCCAATGGGGACTGAGAGGCTGGTAATGCCTTGAGGATGGGGTAGGAGGAGCAGTGAGATAGAAGAGCAGAGTTACAGAATTGGTGGGGGAGACAGACAGCACTTGGAAAAAGGACAGATGAAACAATAAGGGCAAATGTGTCTGGAGCTTCCCAGTGTAGACAGGCTCCTGCTTGATCTCCTTTAAAAGCGGGAAGCACTCTGAGCACAGTTCCCATTTTACAGACAGTAAAAATGAGGCTCAGAAGCTAAATAAGCTGTCTAAAGTCACATGACTTGGAAATGCTAGAGCAGAGCCTACAGTCTGCCTTTATTTTTATTTTGTAATTTTTTTTCTTTTTTTCTTTAAGAGACAGAGTCTTGCTCTGTTACCCAAGCTGGAATGCAGTGGAGTGATCATAGCTCACTGCATCCTCCATCCTCCCACTCCTGGGCTCAAGTGATCCTCCTGTTTCAGCCTCCAGAGTAGCTGGGACTACAAGCTTGTACAACATCACCCATACAGACTGCCTTTAAATCCAATGCCCTTTCCACTGCACCAGGATGACTAAGTTCCTCCTGACTACCTGGCTGTAAAACTCCTGATACTGGTTGCCCTGGGGCAATGGTGTGACCAGGTCCCCATGACCCTTACCCTGCCACACTACCATTCAGGCCACAGAATGCTTTGTGGGGACATCTCTCTCTCTTCCTTTTTTTTTTTATACCGTTTTACTTTAATTTACTATTATGTTCTTTAGTTCCATTTATCAAAACTTTTCATCATATTCTTATAACTCAATTTCACTTTTGTAAGAGAAGTCACGGCAGCACTTGGGGGTTGGGGAAGGAGAGGCATCACGTACGGTGGGATTTGCCTTCTGCATCCCGGGGTATCCCAAGGTGATACCTTGGGATTTATTAGGATCTCAAGCCAGGGCAACATAGATACAGCAGCATTTCTGAAACTTAAGAAGTATGGCTGTCTGTTTAAAAAAACAAACAACAAAACCCCTCAAACCTCTTAGTATGGATTTAAATTATTTTCGCCATGTTTGTTTCTTGAATATGTCCAAATTAAATATAAGCTAGATATGACATTTAATAAAAACTCCTTAATCCTATGGCTCTCAGGTAAGTGTCTGGTTTTGCTGAAACTAAATTGCCAACACTGAATTAAGTGGTCAAGTTAGCATGAGTCTGCATCTGTTTCTGCACTGGACTTTAATAATGCCATTAGCAGAGGATGCCTTTGCACCCAGGTACATTGTGGAAGTTAGTAACTGCAGGGCTATTTTTCCTTCAGGGATGTCGTACTCATACTTAACCAAAGCTCTGCTAGGAGCAATCCTTGAGAGCCAGCTCTGGCTCCAGCCTTTGGAGACCTCTGCCTTTTCCACTTGAAGACAGAATTTGGGTCCTGTTGGCCAATTCTCGCTGCAAACTGTTAGATGAAAGTAAAGTAAAACGGGTCTGTGTGCGACACGTCTGCATACACGTGAATGAGGCCTTTGAGTCTGGCAGGCTTCCCTGCCACGTGCTCTCACTTCACTGGGGTAATGCCTTTGCATACACAAATGCAGCCATGTGCCCTGAAGAGCAGGCAGCATTCAGGTCTCCATAGCCACCTGGGTGATCTAGTAGAGGCTCATATAATTTTTTTGAATCATCTTTGCAGTAATCTCAGTACTGCCCAGACCTGTTGAGAAATAATGGTATAGAAGAGTCCTATCTTGGGTCAAAGTCCTTCGCCTGCTTTTTGATAACTCCATCACTCAACCACAAGTCATCTAATGTCCCTGCACTTCAATTTCTTTGTCTAAAAAATGGAAACAATAATGCTTGCTATTCTAATTTTATTGGATTGCTACAATGCAATAGTTCCCAAAATGTAGTTCCCAGGCCAGCATTACCAGCATCACCTGGAACTTGTTGAAAAGGCAAATTCTCAGGCCCTTCCAAACCTGCAGAATCAGAAACTCTGGGTGAGGCCCAGTAATCTGTGATTGCACAAGTCTCCAGGTGATTCCGATGCCCTCTAAAGTTTGAGAAGCACTGCTATAAAACAATGGGATAATGAATGCAAACAGTGTCTACAAACTGTAATGCCTACATCATCACTTTGAGAGCCACTGCTCTACGCAAGTGTTGGTTACTATCTTGTCACCCAGGTTTCCATTAAAATGCAAATACCCCCAGGGTGGGTGACACCTTAAGCTTTAACAGGTGTTGGTTATTCTCAACAAGCATAGCAGGTGGTTAGCTAAAAATAAACCCTTTCTAGAATAGAAAATTAGGAAGGTTAAGAGTTTCTGTAGGGTGAACAAGGGACAGAGAGAGAAAAAGGAAAGGAGCATGGAGTCACACAGACTTGCATTCATGTTCTAGTTCTGTGTTTACTAGCTACATGACCTTAAGCAAGTTACTTACAGGACATCGTAACCCTATGATGATGACCTCCATAGAGTTATTGGGAGGATTAAGTGGCACAACACGTGCAAAGCACGTAGTGCAACCCATGGTTCATATAGGTATTCAATAAGTGATGCCTATCATTAGCAGCAGGGTGTCCAGACTGCTTAAGACTACCACCTGGGACTCATCCTCACTCCCACGCCACTCACCATCCCTCCAGCCACCCTATCTATTATTATTATCATTATCACCATCAACATCATTGCCTCTTCTGCCAGAGCTTCCTGACCTTAGGCTTAAAACTGCCACCCTAAGATTAACCACTGAGGAAGGAAAGGGGAAAATTCCCAGAATGGCACAGCTGCCTCAAGGTACAGGCTGGCTCATGCTCTGGTCCCCAGAGGTGTCACTGGAGTGTGCCACATTTTGACACCTGAGAGATGGTAGGCAACCAGAGGGACAGGTTCTTCCTCTCCATCCATTCTTGGACTGAAAACCCCCAGAGGGTGGGCCCAAGGGAAGTGCTGGAGCAGAGAAGCCTCTGGAAGGCAGAGAGAGGAGGCACGTAGGGCCAGGACCAAGCCCTCACAGAGGTACAACAGGGCAACCCCTGCAGGGGCAAGGAGGGTAGCCTTTCCTCTAGGGACAGGTGACATGGGTAGAATGGAAACCTGGGCTCCAGTGAGAAGCTCCATTTCATTAGAATCGCATGCTCTAGAAGAGGGGGTGAGGCCAGAAGTCTTTCCTGAGAGGAGAAGCAGGTTCCACAGTGTAGACCTTTGGGGGCTGATCTGGAGGCCTCCCTGAGTACTGCTGCCTGCCTGCTAACTTCCTGGATCTGGAGGTGTGGCAGGCACGGCCTTAGGTGCGCAGAGTGGACAGGTGGATCCAGCCCCAGGCCCGCCCAGATGTTATCTCTCGGGTGGCTCCAGGTCCCTTTCTGTCCAGGGCAAGGCCTCTGAGATGGGTCATGCAGGCTTGGCCTTTCTTCCCTCAATGACTCAGGGCCGGCTGGCCAAGAGTCACCCTCAGCTACCCTCCCACTAATGAGAGGAGGCCGGATTCCTTTGGATTTAGTAAGGTCACTCCTTGAGGGTTGCCTTTTGTTACCCATCCACAGTGGGAATGCTTCCTTAATGAGCAGAGAGCCACACCCTTTCCCAGCGTCGGGGGTGGGGGTGGGGGGGGAGGGTAGGGTAGCCTTTTCAGGTGGCACATGAACAGGGCTGATTTCACAATGGCCAGCCCACAGGTGAGGCACCTAGGGCAGGCCTGCTTCGTCAGTCCTCCCCAGCTCTCCTATCCAGGTGGCTACTCCTCCAGACCCCACCTGCCCCAACAGCTGGAGGGCGAAGCTGCTGCAGGCATGGGAGGCAGAGGAATGGTGGAGGAGCTGGGGTGCTGGGCGTGCAGTAGTGCTTGACTGGAAACCGGACGAAGCTGCAGATGGGAGAGGCACTGCTTGAACACTCCTGCCGCATCCATCACTCCGGGCACCTCCTGCAGTGCACACGGTCTCACTTTGATTTTAATCCCACCAATAGCAGGAAGGAGGTATGAGCCTCATCTGCAGCTCAGGATGATTAGGGGACAAGTCTGGGGTCATGTGCTGGTAAGGGAAAGAATGTGGACTCAATCTCACGTGGCCTGGCTCCAAAACCCGTCCATTTGCTAATTTAGTTTAAACCACCGGTTTTTTAACTTAAAAATTTTGTTTCTGAACGTTGAAAATGAATATAAAATTCAATGTGCTTCTCTGTACTCTCTTAGCAACTTCCTGTGAATCTATAATTATTTCAAAATAAAAAGTTTAAAACAATCCTATGTGGAGCCTGAATGTATAAAATGTATCACTGAGATGCTGTGAGAGTCCAGGGCAGTGGTTTCTTTCTGGGGTGGTGTTGAAAGGCAGCAGTGAGGGGTGGCCCTGTTTCTGGATCTGGGCTGGTTCTGCAGATGTGTTCTGTTTGTAAAAGTTCATCGAGCTGTGCATTTGTGATTGGTGCACTTTTCTGTATAAATGTAAAACTTTAAAAGTTGAAAATATATCAAAATGGAGATGCTCTAGTTGAACAGGAAGAGGGGTTCGATGTGCTCAGCTTCTTCCCCCACACCCCTCCACTTAACCCTCTCAGGACCCCAGGGTTCTGGGAGCACGCTCTGGAGTCTGGGTTCTGATTTCTCTTATATAATACAGGTGGCTGGGTCAGAGGACCTCAGCTCTCCAGTCCCCGCCCCAAGTGTTCTATTGTCATTTCCCATTATTCAGTTACAAACCATAGCCCATTGACGGTGAAAACCACCATTCAAATGTCCAAAAAGAAGAACATTAATCCTGGGTGTGGAGGACCCCACACAGGTCGCTGTGTGTAAAAGAGACAGCAGGCTCTCGGTCTCCCACTTGGGCAGGGCAGCCTTATACTGAAAGAATAAACTTCAAGTGAAGAATTCCCAAAGACAACTCGGCAAGAAAAGGCTTTTATGCCTTGAAAGGAATTGAATCAGACTTATAATCACAGAGAGCTGGAAATCACATCCATTCAGCATGTTCTGCAAATGAAAGGCAACTGACAATGTAAAACAAACAAACAAAACTCACTCGCATTCTCAGTTGACATGTCCTGTTTTCACCTCATTTGGCTTCTTGGAAGATTTCTGGGTTGAATGTGCACTTTGGAGCAGCATGCCTGAGCCAGGTCGTTTTTCCCCTCCTGCTTGGAGGATGTGGCGAACATATTTTCCTTTCATTCGCCGAGTTAGTTTCTGGTGTTACCTGCCCACTACTGTACCTGGAGTCAGCAGTAGCTGCCAACCCATAGCTAAGGGCAGAAGTTAGCCCAGTGTGAGGTTAATTGGACCAAATTAAAGCCATTACGGTTTAACAGGCTCTCTATTGGAGGAATGCTTAAGTGGGCTCCCCCGGGACTTGGGAAATTTGGAAGTGAAGTGGTTTTTGCTATTTGCAGTAGCTGCATCTCCCGTTTTATTTGTCAAACTGCTACTCTGCAGACTGCTGTGGGGTGAAGTTGTTAGACAAAGGAGAATCTTTTCTTTCTTTCTTTCTTTTTTTTTTTTTTTTGAGACGGAGTGTCACTCAGGCTGGAGTGCAATGGCACAATCTCAGCTCACTGCACCCTCTGTCTCCTGGGTTCAAGTGATTCTCCTGCCTCAGCCTCCCGAGTACCTGGGATTACAGGTGCGCACCATCACACCTTGCTAATTTTTGTATTTGTTTATTAGTAGAGACAGTGTTTTGCCATATTGACCAGGCTGGTCTCGAACTTCTGACCTCAGGTGATCCACCCGTCTTGGTCTCCCAAAATGCTGGGATTACAGGCTCAAGCCACCACGCTCGGCCAGGAGAATCTTTTATATGATCCTGTTTCCAGAAGAGGCTATCCTCTGAGGAGTTTAGGAAATGATAGAGTGAATCAGACTAATAACCCCACTGAGGAGATGAGGCGAAAGAGGAATAAGGCATGCAAGGGTCAGGGTCTCCTGCTTGGTGACATAGCTTTTCTGGGAGGATCTTTTCAGTTCAATGCTACCCTACCTAATCCCAAGGAAAGCAGAGTTTTAGTTCACTGAATTTTCAGGCTGAGTAGAAAATTCCTTTTTGATACAGCACTTGTTGCTGGAGAGCCACGTACTCTGTGATGTCCTCTCAGGACCCTTTCCACCCTGGGGCTCCTCCTCTGCTGAAGCAGGGCTGGCAGTTTCCAATTGATCAAAGTATAAGTAGCCAACGGCAGCTCACAACTCTCATGACAAATGCCAACCCCATCTTAGATAACATTCACCAGAGGGTTGCATCGGGTTAGGAAGGTGATAGTGTGGTGGTCCCTCTGTGCTTTCAGGACACTGGGCTTGTGGGGTACAATCTAGGGTGGCTTTTTTTTTTCTGAGATGGAGTCTCACTCTATTGCCAGGCTGGAGTGCAATGGTGCAATCTCGGCTCACTGCAACCTCCACCTCCCGGGTTCAAGCAATTCTCCTGCCTGAGCCTCCTGAATAGCTGGGACTACAGATGCCCGCCACCACGCCCAGCTAATTTTTGTATTTTTAGTAGAGACAGGGTTTCACCATGTTGGCCAGGATGGTCTCGATCTCTTGACCTTGTGATTAGGGTGGCTTTTTAAAAAAGTAACTCTGACAGAATCCTTCCAGAAAACAGAACAGCATGGTAAAGCCTCTGGGCACTGTGTCAGCTGAAAAGAATGGGGATGTGTAGCCTAGGGAAGAGAGAAACTCTCTGGGAGGGAGGCAAGGATGTGGCCCCTGGGGGAAGAGCTATGACCCCAGGTGGCATCTCCAATGGGAGATGGTTCAATTCCCAGCTCCTACATAGGGTTTTCCTATGTCCTAGTCAGTAATTTAAACACAATCCCTACTGTAAACTCATTGGATGCTCACAACCACCTTATGACGGTACTGTGATTATCATCCTCATTTTACAGATGTAGAAACCAGCACACAGAAGTTAAATACCTTCCCAAAGTAACAATGCTATTAATGAGAGAGTTGGAATTTGGACCCGGCTTTCTTACTAGCCCGGAGTTTCTCAACCTCAGTACTATTGACATTGGAGGCTGGAGAATTCTTTGTTGTAGGGGGACCCTGTCCTCCCTCTCCTTGCATTATAGGATGTTCAGTGGCATCCCTGGCTTCCACCCACCAGATGCCAGTAGTACTCCCCTGTTGTGACAGTCGGATGTCTCCAGACGTTGCCAATGCTCCCTGGAGGGCAGAATCGCCTTTAGTTAAGAAGCACTAAGTGCCTCCCGAGATGGGCCAGCCTGTCTCCTGTAGGAGCAGGAACGCCTGCTGCTGCCTTCCTAGTGCAGGGGCCACTGAGGCCCCCTACACTCTCAACACTTTCTGACGTGCCTCCTAACTGAATGGGGGAGGGGAGATTTTACCGGACCCTCCTTCTGCCTAGAGACGTTCTGGCCCCTAGAGATTGTTTGATTTTTAACATTTCCAACATTTCCTAATGTTATTGTCATTTGCCTCTCTGTCCCCAAATTAAAGGCCAAAGAATCATTCTGATTTTGTGGGGCAAAACCTGAGGGAAAGCCTAAAGTTTACCTAGCACTTTACATATTTATTCAGTTTAATCCTCACAGTCATCGTACTGAGGGAGATATCCCCATTGTAAAGATGAGAAAACTGAGGCTTAGAAAGCTTAGTTAGTTGCCCAAGGTCATAGCTATAAGTAATGGAGCCAAGGTTTGCAGCCAGATCTGTCCACACCAAAATCGGTATGCTTTTATGAGGGGCGAGGATTAGGGCAGACACTCAGAGCTGAGCTCAGAAACACGATGCTCACAGTGACACACCAAGACAAGAAGAGCCTGAGCTGGAGAAGCAGGGATAGGGGACAAGAGGTGTGAGACAGCTTAGGGTCACAGCACGTGACAAGGGAGGCCAGGGTTGAGGAGTGCATTTGGGGGCCGTGTATGCAGGCCACTCCCTTGTGCCCCTGAGGCCCTGCCTTCCCTCCCCTGGGCTGCCATCCCCTTCTGCCTCCAAGTCCCCCTCCAGCTCCCAGAGCAATCTAGTAAAACCACAAATCCGACCACAACCCTCGCTGCTCTAAATCCTCCATCGCTGCCCTTCTCTCAGACCAAACGCCCAAATCGTGCAAGGCCAGACTCACCCAGCCCTCTGGGCTCCCTGGCCGTGTGCTCGCCTGTCCCTGTACACACTCCTCCTCCTTGCAATCCTTGGAACCCCACACTCCTTCTCTAAGCACAGCTCTGTGTGTCAAATCAAGACTTTGAACGGGATATTTGTGAGTATATAAGTCTCACAGCCTTTCTTTATTGTTTAAGCTCCAGGTGGCCAAGTCATCTCCTCCCATCATCTATCCCTTGTGGGACCGACATGGTGCCTGTCACATTGTAGGACTCAATAGATATTTGCTGAATATATATTTAACAAGCTTGTAATTTATGTTGTCATCTAAGTCACAGTTGAAAATGCCAAGCAGAAGTAGGCCAAAGCGGAAGGGTGGCTGCCAGCAGATAGCACCCTCTGGGTGATGTCAGGCCCCTCATCTGTACCACCTGGGTCATTCAACCCCCAGCGCCATCCTCCTGTATCTTCACGTGGCCTATGCACCTTGGCACCTCCAAGTCTTGTTCACCAGGGCACCACACAAGTGCCCCAAATGCCTACTAACCTCCCTTCAGCCTATGTCTACACACCCCTTTTCTTTCCCAAGCCAAGAAGCTTTAGGAGAGGAGAATGCACCTAGTCTTGATGGCCCCTCTTAGCTTTTAGTAGTTCCTCTTCCTTAGGTTCTCAAAAGCCTCTCATGATTTTACTGCTTGATGATTTGGCCCTTAGGAAACCAGGAGCAGGCTCTGAAAAAATGGGCCCAGGACAGGTGGAGTTTTTTTCAGTGTTATTAAGGCATGATTGACATTCAACAAGCTGCAAAAAGTAAAATTGTACAATTTGATGAGTTTTAGCAAATTACCATGATCAATATAGTGAAAATTTCCATCACCTCCAAAAGTTTCCCTGTGCCTTGTGTAATCTATCCCTGTCTGCACTGCATACTCAGCAGCCACTCATCTGCTTTCTATCACTACAGATTAGTGTAGATTTAAAAAAACTGTAAATAAATGGAAACATACTGTGTGTGTACTTGGGGGTAGTGTCTCATATCTTTGACTCAACATGATGCTTTTAGGATTGATCCACGCTGTTGCATGCAGTGACAGTTTGTTCCTTGTTATCACTAGTCACATTCGGTTATAGGTTATATTGATACGCAGCCGTCCCCTCTTATCCACGGTCTCACCTTCCCTGGTTTCAGTTACCAGCAGTACGGTACTATAAGCTACTTGGAGAGAGAGAGAGAGAGAAGAGGCCACATTCACATAATTTTATTTATTTATTTATTTGAGACAGAGTTTCGTTCCTGTTGCCCAGGCTGGAGTGCAATGGTGGGATCTTGGCTCACTGCAACCTCTGCTTCCGTGGTTCAAGCGATTCTCTTGCCTCAGCCTCCCGAGTAGCTGGGAATACAGGTACCCACCACCGTGCCTGGCTAATTTTTTTTTTTTTTTTTTTTTTTTTTTTTTTGTATTTTTAGTAGAGATGGGGTTTCCCAATGTTGGCCAGGCTGGTCTCAAACTCCTGACCTCAGTTGATCTGCCTGCCTTGGCCTCCCAAAGTGCTGGGATTACAGGCGTGAGCCACCATGCCTGGCCCATATATCTTTTATTATGATATATTGTTATCATTGTTCTATTTTATTAGTAGTTATTGTTGTTCATCTCTTACTGTGCCTAATTTATAAATTAAACTTTATCATAGGTATGTGTGTATAGGAAAAAAACACAGTAATACACAGGGTTCAGTACTATCTGTGGTTTCAGGCATCCGCTGGGGGTCTTGGAATGTAGTTCCTGAGAGAGCAACTGTGGCACAATTTGGCATCCATTCACCTACTGATGGGCATTTTGGGTTGTTTCCCATTTGGGACTATTTCAAATAAGGCTGCTATGAGCATTTATGAACAGTTCTTCTGTGGACATGTTTTCATTTTTCTTAGGTAAATATCCATCTACCAAGTGACCCAGTAGAATGGCTGGGTCACTTGGTAGATGAGTATTTAACTTTTTAAGAAACTACCAAACTGTTTTTCAAAGTAGTTGCACCATTTGGTTTTCCCAACAAGGTACAATAACTCCATTTGCCTCACATTCTTACCAATACTTAGCATGACATGCTTTAATTTTAGCCATTCCAGTAGGGTAATAGTGGTATCTTCCTGTGGTTTTTAATTTTTTTTATTTTTTTTGAGACGGGAGTTTCACTCTGTGGCCCAGGCAGGAGTGCAGTGGTGCCACCTCAGCTCACTGCAAGCTCTGCCTCCTAGGTTCACGCCATTCTCCTGCCTCAGCCTCCCGAGTAGCTGGGACTACAGCCACCACGCCCAGCTAATTTTTTGTATTTTTAGTAGAAATGGGGTTTCACCATGTTAGCCAGGATGGTCTCAATCCCCTGACCTCGTGATCCCCCCACCTTGGCCTCCCAAAGTGCTGGGATTACAGGCATAAGCCACTGTGCCTGGCTTCCTCCTGTGGTTTTAATTGCATTTCTGTGATGACTAATGATGTTCGATATCTTTTCATGTGTTTATTGGCTATTGTTATGTCTTCATGAAATGTCTGTTCAAATACTTCAACAAGTTTTAATTGTTTTTTTATTTCGTTGTAAGCATTCTTTATATAGTATAGAAACAAATTCTTTATCTGATATATGTGTAATAAATAGTTTTTTTTTTCCAGTTTGTGGTTTGCTTTTACATTTTCTTATCAGTGTCTTTTGAAGATAAAAGTTTTAAATGTTAACCTGGGCAACATAGAGGCCCCATCTCTACAAAAAATACAAAACTTAGCTGGGTGTGGTGGCATGCACCTGTGGTCCCAACTACTTGGGAGGCTGGAGAAGAAGAATCATTTGAGTCTAGGAGGTCAAGGCTGCAGTGAGCTGTGACCACACCACTGCACTCCAGCCTGGGTGACAGAGTAAGACCCTGTCTCGAAAAAAGGTTTTTTTTAATTTTGATGAAGCCACTTTGTCATTTATGTGACATATCTAAAAAAATCTTTGGCTATTCCAAGGTTACAAATATTTTCTTCTATATATATTTTTAGCTTTAGGTGTTACTAAAACTAGGAAGGTCTATAGGCCATTTCAAGTTAATTTTTGTATGTGGTGGGAAGTAAGAATTGATGTTCATTATTCTTCTGTATAGTATTCAGTTATTTTATACCGCTTGTTGAAAACTTTTCTTTCTCTGATGAATTGCTTCAGCACTTTTATCAAACATCTCCTATCACTATGTGTGGGTATATTTCCAGACTCCATTTTGTTCCATTGATCTGAACGTTAATCTTTTTGCCAATACTAAAACTGTCTTGATTACTCTAACTTTTCAGTAAAAGTATTGAAATCAGGTAGGAAAAGTTCTTCTACACTGTTCTCTTTAAAGTTAGCTTTGGTTAGCCTATGTCTTTTGCATGGCCATACATTTTAGAATCAGCTTCTCACTTTCTACAAAAGATCTTCTTGAGATTTTGATGGAGAATATGTTGAACTTATAGGCCAATTTGGGAAGCACTGTCATTTAAACAATATTGAGTCTTTCAATCAATGAACACAGTATAGCTTTCCAGTTAAGTATGTCTTTTACATTTTTATCCACAATAATGTATAGTTCTCAGTGTAGAAGCTTTGGACATCTTTTATTAGATCTATTTTTAACTATTTTGTGTTTTGTGGTACTATTATAAATGGAATTGCTTTTTTAAAACTTTATTTTTGACCAGGCGCAGTGGCTCACACTTGTAGTCCCAGCATTTTGGGAGACTGACTGAGGTAAGCAGATCACTTGAGATCAGGAGTTCCAGACCAGCCCGGCCAACATGGTGAAACCCCGACTGTATTAAAGAAAAAAAAAAAAAGTATTAAAATGAGCCAGGCATGGTGGCTGGTGCCTGTAGTCCCAGCTACTCGAGAGGCTGAGGCAGGAGAATTGCTTGAACCTGGGAGGTGGAGGTTGCAGTGAGCTGAGATCGTGCCACTGCACTCCAGCCTGGGTGACAGAGTAAGACTCTGTCTCAAAAAAAAAAAAAAAGCAAAAGACAACTTTATTTTCCAATTGTTGCTGCTGGCATATAAGAATACAATTGATTTTCTTATAATAACCGTGTATCCTGCAACCTTACTAAATTCATTTATTACTTTTAGTATTTATTTTGTAGATTCTCTGGGATTTTATATATGAACAATTATAATATCTGCAAACAGGAACAGTTTTATTTGCTCCTCTTTGATCTTTATGCCTTTCATTTCTTTTTCCTGCCTTATGGCAATGGCCAGGCCCTCCAGTACAATGTTGAATAGAAGTGAAAGCAGGCATCCTTGCTTTGTTCCTGATTTTAGGGAGAAAGCTTTCAATCTTTCACCATTAAGTATGATGTTAGATGTTTGTTTTTTAAAGATGTCCTTTATCAGCTAAGGAAGTTTTTAGTTGCTGAGAGTTTTCATCATATGGGTACTGAATTTTGTCAATGCTTTTTCTGCATTGATTGAAATGATCAGATGGTTTTCCTCTTTTACTAAAACAGGTGTAATTTTACAAAGATAAGAGAAGGTGTGGAATATGAGATCCTGCCAGGATGGGAAGCCCCAAACATCTTGGGGAATAGGAGTGAAGGTGATGTGAAGATTAGAAAGAGCACCAGCTTTGCAGCCAGTCGACCTTGCCTTGGAGTCCTAGTTCTACATCTTATTATAAGCAAGTTAACTTAACCACTGTGAGCCTCCATCTTCTTCTCCTCTGTAAGATGAAGGAAAAAATACCTAACATAAAAAGTTGTGGCAAGGATTAAATTAGAAAAATACACGCACGGTGCATAGCACATACATACATAGCACATGTAAATAACAGACACCATTGCATCTGGCACTGAATGTGAAACTCTGGAGGCATTGGTCCTTGAGGATGAAGATAAAGTGGTAGGTACAACTGTGATGGCAAAGACAAACATCCCAACCCACTGCCAGCAGAAAGTGGTGAAAGCTACTTGTGGGAATATGTGGATAAAACCTTTGTTTCCACTTCTTTCCTGGATGTCTTGATGATCCTAAGTACCAGACAGATACTAGGTAAAAAGCCTTATACATCCAAAAATAATTTTTTTTTTGTAAAACAAAATGCTCAAATGATGAATCCAGAAGATATAAAATTCCTCTTTTGCAAGAAGAGTTTAGGCCATGAATCTAAAAACTATTCAATCATAGGATAAAAAAGACTTCCTGATGACTAAATGCAGTCATGGAACACCCCACTTTGGATTTCTAATTCAATTTTAAAACAATCTTTAAAATTATCACAGCAAGTGGGTCATCCAATCCTTGGAATAGCCTACACTGAGAGTAGGGTAGTTTAGCATAACTCAAAGTGTGTTATGTCAAATCAGGGATATTAACAGTGTGACATGAATAAAAGTTTTCCAAGGTCAAACAAATGTGCAAACACTGGTTTAGTTATAGTTAAAGTTTTTTTGAAGTCACAGGACTTGAAGATACTAATGTGCAATGTGAACCTACAAGGAGAATATATGTATATATTTTATATATATAAATATAATCATCTTAAAACTCAAGGGGGCTAGGGCTAGTGAAGAATATTCATGTGAACAGCCGATGAAGGATTTCTGCCTACTTCCTTCCTAAATACCCTAGTCATATGTGAGCAGTAAGGTCAACAAGGGCTGGGTAAAAAGCTTCACAAATATGAAAGCTGTCAGGTTTGTGATCCAAGAATTTCAGTTCTGAGGACTGGGGAAAAAAATATATATATATACACATATATATACATATATATATATACACATATATATACATATATATATATACACACACACATATACATATATATATATATATATATATATATATAGAAAGAGACAGCAGAATTTCCCAAACATATCTGATTTCAGAATTCTTTCATAATTCACTGTCTCTTGGTTCCAAAAGGACACATTCTAGGAAAGCCTGATGTAGTTCTTACTCGTGTTTCGGTGACATCATCTTTCAGAAGTTTTAACCTCCAAATCAGACATTTTTAGAAGAATTCAGGTATATTCAATCCTTGCAGCCTTCCACAGAGCCCTTAGTAGGCTATGGATAAGTAGGATTATATTATTGTCAGGTATTATTACCCCATTCTACAGATAAGGAAGAAATCTAACATGGAATGCTAGCCACTTTATGTATTTCATCTAAATTAATCTTCTTAACATCGCGGATATGTAGGCATCTTTATCTCCATTTGACGGCAGTAGAAGGAACTTAAGTAACTTGTTCAGGGTCACACAGCTTGTGGAGGAATAAGAAGAGTGTCCTGTCCTCGGGCACCAGGGCAGGAGTTTATCATAGTTGCCTCCATCCACGTGAGGTGAGCTGGTCACTGGGGCAAAAATGGACAGAGATGCAAGTGCAAGTTCCTCCTGGAGGACACCAGCGTGCAGGTGCAGATGGTCACCCCCACCTAACCTTCCTCACAGGTGGGGCTTCGGAAGAGGGAATGAATGTGTGGGCGTTTAAAAACTTTGAGCTCCCTGAACAAAAGGGCTTTGTTTTCTGGAGACACCAGATATTTTCCATAGCCAATCATCACTCAGAACTGAAATTCTGGGCTCACAAACATGACAGCTTTCGTATTTGTGAGGCTTTTTACCCAGCCCTTGTTGACCTTATTGCTTATTTAGGAAGGAAGTAGGCAGAAGTCCATCGGATATTCATGTGCATATTCTTCACTAGCCCTAGCCTTGCAGAGTTTTAAGATGATTGAGAGGGAGGATGGGGGAAAGCTCAAGCCTTGAAAATTCAAGAAATCGTGGGTGGAGGAGAGTGAGGAAAAATGTTAACCTGACATTCAAAGTTAAAAGTTGTTCAAAGTGGTTACTTGATTGTATTAATTGGCAAGTAATTGGCAGGGTGTGGAGAGGAAAAGATCTCATCGGAGGAAGCTAGGTGTAATTTAGCAATTCTACTGAGACAGGAAACAGACACTGTCCTCAGATGTTTGGAAATCTGACTTTGAAGGGAGAACTCAGGTTTGCCTTTATTTTGAAATCACTGAACCTTGCCACGCTATTCCCAGGTTTAGAATGGAATGTTTTAACATTGGGCAGGGGTGGGGAATGGGGAGGAATGGGCAGTGAGGTGTTAGATTCCCAAATAAATGATGCCATCTCTTTCTTACTGCAAAAACAGTTTGATAAATCATCCAGCAGTTTTCTTGGGTTCAGTGGTCCATATATTAATACAAAGACTACCTAGAGGAAGGGGATAAAAAGAGAATCAGCTGGGCGCAGTGCCTCACACCTGTAATCCCAGCACTTTGGGAGGCCAGGATGGGTGGATCACCTGAGGTCAGGAGTTCGAGACCAGCCTGGTCAACATGGCGAAAACCCGTCTCTACTAAAAATACAAAAATTAGCCTGGCGTGGTGGTGCACACCTGTAATCGCAGCTACTTGGGAGGCTGAGGCACGAGAATCACTTGAACCCGGGAGGCTGAGGTTGCAGTGAGAGATTGCCCCGCTGCACTCCAGCCTGGGCGACAGACTGAGACTCTGTCTCAGAAAAAAAAAAAAAGACAAATCAAAATGAAAAATTAACCAGATTGTAGAAATAGACCAGTAAAATAAATGGCATCAATAATCCAAGTCAGTAGTTTTACTTCTGTAGTCATAGGTTCATCTGGGAATCTGATGAAAAATGGATAAAAATGCACATAATTTTATACACACCTAAGGTGCTCACTGTCCCTCTGTTGCCCCACCTTGGACTTTCGGAGCATGTAGAGCCTAAATTAAGAAGCTCTACTCTTGTCAGAAACCAGATTTAAACTGGCAAGTGGCATTGCAATTTTCCTCTTTAGTTCTGAGATAATTAGCTGAGACAACTTTTAGAGCCATCTCTGGGACTGCTCCAAGAAATCATTTCACTTAATCATCTGAGGTAGTCTATTAAATATTGGCTGTTCTGAAAAATTGGCCTGCAAGCTGCCAATTCTTGTGACTTATTAGAATTTATAAAAGACTCTCACCTCCAAGATGAATCTGGATCCCATTAACTCCTCCCTGGCTGTGGTGCAAATATTGAATAAAATGGCCTGGTTTAATGAGATGGGGTTTGGGATGAGATCTTCAAACGCCACCAACTATTGATTCCTGGAAAATTGTTTTCGTCCTTGGCAAAACACACAGAGACAGGCTGGGTCTTTGCTATGCTCTATTTGACAAGAGTCTTCTTTTCCAGCAAACAGTTAGGGATTGGGGAGGGGAGGGAGGAAGTGAGGTCCTGGGGGCTGGAGGACTGAGGACCTCGGGCTCCAGGGGAAATGTTTAGGGGAGTGTCTACCCTGAACTGGAGCTGCCGTTCTCCCTGCACTCCCAGGCTGGGAAGGTCAAACTGATGGCTTTCACAATCCACCTGTAGGTCTTGGCTGCCTTTGAGATAGTCCAAGTTCAAGGAGTGATGGTCACCAAGTCTCTTTCTCCCCCAACCAGAGCAGAGAAGGCACCTCCTAAATCCTCTAGATGCTGCCGGGTCACTCCAGAACAACACCATCTGAGATGTGTGCAGCTCATCCTAACTCCAAGGGGTTCCTCTGACTGAAACAACAATGTTTTCTTAACCAAAATGGGGCTGGGGCACTTGTGGTCTGGAGTGCCATTGTGTATGCAGAGGAAGAGAAGAGCTGGGGCTGGGTGAGTTCAGGAAGCTGAGGGCTAACATCACCACTCCTAGAATGGATTCTGGGATGGGATCCACACAGCATGCACAGGAGGGCGTCCCGGCATACACAGGCAGCAGTTCCCAAGTTTGTTTTCAGGGCAGAGCCACTGGAGTCCTGCCACTCTGTGGCACACCATCAATTATTAATAAGAAAACTTATGAAGCCGGGCGCGGTGGCTCACGCCTGTAATCCCAGCACTTTGGGAGGCCGAGGCGGGCGGATCACGAGGTCAGGAGATCGAGACCATCCCGGCTAATACGGTGAAACCCCGTCTCTACTAAAAATACAAAAAATTAGCCGGGCGTAGTGGCGGGCGCCTGTAGTCCCAGCTACTCGGGAGGCTGAGGCAGGAGAATGGCGTGAACCCGGGAGGCGGAGCTTGCAATGAGCCGAGATCCCGCCACTGCTCTCCAGCCTGGGCGACAGAGCGAGACTCCGTCTCAAAAAAAAAAAAAAAAGAAAAGAAAACTTATGATAAGTCAGATGCATCTTATACTATAGATGCTAGTCCACGCAAGTGTTTCTGGTGATATTTAAGAAAAACAAAACAAAAAATTTTAAAATTAAGGAAAATTATACCATTAACCTAATTTCCTTCCCTCTTCTTCCTCTCTTACTTCCCCCTCAACACCCCTCCCTAGCCCCTACCATGAACTGAGACAAGACCAAGTTCTTTGCCTTGGGAACAACTCACTCCAGTCTAAGATGTGATGCAAGGGTATTCACTAGGAGCCACTGGTTTAAAGTTTTAAAAGAGAAATGAAAGAAATACACACACACACACACACACACGAGAGAGAGAGAGAGAGAGAGAGAGAGAGAGAGAGAAGGGAAGAATTGTTTGCATTGGTATTTACTGGATTAAATCTTAATTTTCTCTAATTATAGCAGGCATTTCCTTTCAGCCTGACTTCTTGTTTCTCAAAAAAATCATAGTATCTTACCCAGCTTTCCATTAAGCCTAACGATTTCAATCTATTTCCAGCAGTCTAAATAACAGTCTACTGTGGATACAGTGAGATTTCTTTCTATTCAGATTTTCTGAAAATATTTAAAATGAGAATTTAAAAATGATATTTATTCCTGGCTTCCTAGCAATGAGAGTGCTGGGGTGATTTTAGAAGGCTATAGCCATCCTCAGCCCATCAGCTCTCCTTCCTCTGGCTTCTCACACTGCGTCACATATTCCCCAATACAGTTGACCAAGATGTATTCCCAGAGGCAGTAAGGCCTATTGGAAAGAGAATAGGCTAGGAAGTGAAGCAAATTTAGATTCAAATCCTGTTTGCTCTATCATTTATTAGTTGGTAACCTTAGAAAATTATTTAGCGTCTCTAAAACCCAATTTCTTCACTATATAAATGAGTGTAACAATATGCATTGGTTTTGATCTAAATCCTAAAATTGCCCATAAGTGTAACAGAAGATATAAAACAGGAGGAATTTAATGTGGGGAATTGATTGCACAGGTGATTAAAAAAAACCAAAAAGGTCAGGAAATCAACCAGGGGTCAGTAAGGCAACCCAGGGACCAGCAACAGCAGGAAGCCACCACTGCCTGAGGCTGAGGGACAAGGGAGGAGGCCGCTGACCAAGGCCACGCATCAAGGTCACTGCAAAGAAACTGCAGCCACAGTGGGAGCGGGGTCATGAGAGAAATGCAGCTCCTGCCAGAGAAGGCACCCAAGACGGAGAAGGAGCGGGGAGAAGGTGCCTCCTCCTGCCCCACCCAGCCTCCAATCTCTGATCAAAGCCTCCGTCCATGGTCCATACCTAGCCGGCAGCCTGCTGGCCCGGCATCCTGAGAGGAGCATTCTTTAGGGCCTCTTCCCTGCCATACAGAGCAGAGGGGCGGCTAGGAACGGATCTGAGGCAGGTCCAGGGTCCGCACCGAAGACCCGAAGTCCAGCAGCTGCCCCGGCCTCAGCACACCGAAGCCTCGGGCACCCTCTTCGGGTCAGGGCAGCCTTCTCCCTGCTGCCTGCAGACCTCAGACACCGCCCCTGCTCTCCTTCTCTTTACCCTGTCACCACCCTCGGTCTCTCTGTCAACCCGCCCTGGGGTAAATAGACCTGCCACTCTCTTCCTATGCAGTCTTCCTCGAGGGTGAACACACGGCCCTCACTCCAAGCACACGCGTCAGGCAGGGTGGCCCGGGCCACAGCCAGAGCAGAGACCTGCAGGCTTTCGAGGGTTACCAGGAATAGAATTGCCCGTGGGCCCGGGCGGAGGAGCCCCTGCTCTGAGCCCCACCTTTAAACGGCCAGGATTCCAAGAACCAAGGAGACCTGGCCGCTACCCCTTCCTCTGAGTGTCCCTGCCCGGACAGCCCTGAGTCTGTTCACAGCCCCGGCTGGCCTTTTCCCCCTTGCCGGACCTTCTGAGCGCGCACCACTCCACACAGGGCGCATCCTCAGACCTGAGGGCTGACCTCTGCCGGGAGTACGGAGGGAAGAGAAAGTTATGGTTGCAAATTTAGCTCACTCAGCACACAGGCTGGGGTGTGAGCATACCTGCATGTGAACCCTCTCATGGCAAGGGATGTCTCTAGGGGTGTAAAAAAAAAAGAAGAGGGCAGCTCTCCCCACGCTAGGATATTACGAAGGAGTAACTGTCGACATGTTGTATTTACCGGTTGTCAGCTTGATTTGTTTTCCCGCCCCAGCCCCCACGACTCTGCCTGGGTCACAGTGGGCTGGTTCTTTTAAAAGCAGAGGTTGGAAAATGTATCGTATATTTCAAAATCGCTAAAAGAATAGATTTTAAACATTCTCACCACACACAAAAACAGTAAGTTGGTAAAGTGATTGATATATTAATTAGCTTGATTTAATCTTTCTACGATGTATACATATATCAAAACATCACATTGTACCCTATAAATATATACAATTATTACTTGTAAAATTAAAAATAAATAAAATTTTTATAAAGTTGAGTTGGGCCCTGAGAGGATGAGGCTCAGGCAGAGAAGAAAGACAGACGGCTGAGAACCACAGATGCTCAGGGATCAGGGATGTGTGGGAATCTGGAAAAGCACCTTTGAGAAGCTGAGTCCCGAGGTTCTGAATCTGGTGTCTGCAGCCTCTGAAGGGAACTCCTTTAGGCTTTGAGGGATGACACACTCTCTGATTTTTTTTTAAGCTAACATTTATTGAATATGGCCAACTTTGTTCTAAACATATTTCAAGTATTATCACATTTGATCTTTTTATGAAGTGGGTAGTACATTTATCTCAATTTCACAGATAAGGGAACAGTCAAGGAGGTTACAAAACATGCCCAAGGCCACTCAGCTAGTGCGCGGCTCAGCCAGTGTCAGATGCGTGAGCCTGTGTCTCAGGCCAGGCTGTTACTCACCACTTTATCCTGCCTCCCACTCTGTGACAATTGTTTGTGTGTGTAGTTGTGTGTCCAGGGCTCCATCCTGTTCTGGAAGAAGTCCCTGAGCCTTAGACGGTGAGGGAACACAGGACATTCTCCCAGATGTTTGAAGACAGCTCTCGTATCCCCACCTAAGCCTTCTTTTTTCCTGTTCCTCTTGTGATAGAGCGCCTAAATCCTTTAGCACCCAGCTTGCCCTGGCGTGGGATCACTCTGCCCTGCATCATTTGAAGTATAAGACCCAGAACTAAAACCCACATCCAAGTTGTCTGACCTACCCCATGCAAGCAGAATTAGGAAATCATTTCTGCCCATTGTTCCAATGCAAACACAGCAAAAGATAGAATCAGCTTTGGGGCAGCGAAACCCATTCCACAGACATGTGTTGAACCTCCACGTGAATGAGACAGCCCCTGCCCTCAAGCAGCACACAACCCTGTCAAGGAGGGCGATTGGTCATTTTAACAAAACGTGGTGAGTGCCACAAAGGAGCACAGACAAGTGTTCTGTGGCATCTCCAGAAGCTCAGGGGTGCAGCAGAGCTGGATTGTAAAGAGTGAATAGGAATCCTGAGGCAGGCAGACCGCTTGAGCCCAGGAATTCAAGACCAGCCTGGGCAACATGGCAAAACCCTGTCTCTTCAAAAAATAAAAAAATTAGCCGGGTGTGGTCGCACAAGCCTCTGGTTTCGACTACTCTGGAGGCTGAGGTGGGAGGATCACTTGAGCCTGGAAGTTTGAGGCCACAGTGAACCATGATCACGGCATTGCACTGCAGCCTGGGGGACAGGGATTCTGACTCAGAAAGAAAGAAAGTGTGAATAGGACCTCAGCTGGCGAGCTACAGGAGAAAGAGATGAGACCATGTGCAGAGGTGCAAAGGTGTTCAAGGACATGGCAAGTCTGCAGCCTGACACAGGATTGGTAGCCAGCTCACATCTGGAGGACCCCCTGCTGGACACTAAGGAGGGATCTGGCATCCTGAAGGCAAAGGGGAAACATGAGCTGCTTAACGTGGCTTGGTTCCTATGAACTCATATTGAGCATTTAGTCAGCTAAAATCTTTCAGCTGTGTCACGGGTTTGTTAAACCAAAGTCCAGAACTTTCCATTTATTCCACTTAAATTTCTGGATCCTATTTCTGGCATCCAAGCTGTTAATAATCCCCCCCACCACCCCCACCCCCGGCAAGCTGTGTCATCTGCCCTTTAAGTTATTGATTAAAAATGTCCAAAACACAGGGCTCAGAGCTGAGCCTTGTTGCCTACCACTAGAGACTTCCTCCGAGTTACTCTCTATCTGCATGTCTCAGGTTTATGCTTTCAATGGGTTGTGAGTTCTACTTAAAAGCACCTCTAGCTCACAATTAACCAATTTTGTCTACAAGGAAGTCACAAGAGACCTTATCAGCTGTCTTGCTGAAATCCAGATGTACCACATCCTCAACGTCTCCCTGATCTACCCGCCCTGCCACACCATTAGAAGAAGAAATGAGGTGACACTGACATGACTTGTTTCCAGCAGTCCCATGAAGCTCTTCGAAGATCTGTGCTCCTATTTGTAAGGGGCACAAACCGTTTAACAGCATGCACTACAATTTTATTGGGGCTCCCCTTCCCACTTATTGGTTTGTAGTTTGCAGTATCTAAAGTGTTCTCCCTTTTAAAAACTGGGACTTTTGCCCACTCCATCCTTGGGGACTGTCTCACATTTGTTATGGTTTGTGAAAGATTAACAATAGCTGTTGAGCAATCTCGACATGCTGCAGCTGAGGCTGAGCAGTCACTGGTCAGGGTGAGGAGACCTGGACTCCCTTCAAACTCTGTCATGTTTGTTGGGCGCTTTCTCACCAATCTTGGACCCCAATTCCAACTCAGTAGGGTTATTTTTCCCTTCCCAGACTGGACATCATTCTTGAAAGAGAAAAGGGAAACATGAGTTTGGCATTTGGTCATAGTCTCTTTAGTGTTTTGTCTTGTACGCTAAAGAGTTTGAACTTGATCTGGTGAGTAGAGAAGTCAATGAAGATTTTTTTGAAAAAGGAAGTGATGTGATCGTATTTTAGGTGGAGAGGATTAAGGTTTTGACTGGTTCACATCATTACTACATTGCTGTTTATCAACATCTAACACTCGCAATTACCTCTAAGCAGGAGAAGCAGTGCAAGATAGACTAGCTCAGGTTGATCATTTTATCAACCTGAAAGGGGAAGCAGCTACGTGTAGGATTTGGAGTCTGAGAGACCTGGTTTTAGATACCAGTTCAATTGCTCAAAGGCAGGAGAGCTTAAACAAGCACCTTACCACCTCTGAGCCTCAGTTTCCACATTGAAAAAAATGGGAATCATAATTGTATGACAGGGTGGTTGTGAGGCTGGAAACAATGAATGTAATGGGCCTAGTACCACAGACAAAGTGCTCAATAAATGCTCCTTTGTCCAAATCCTTCATCTTTAGGTGTTGTGATTACACAGCAATCACGGTGCAGGATTCCCCAGCACCCCTAGACTGGGGACTTATTCCTGAAGCAGCCTGAAGAGAGTGGGGCCCTGATTAGACAGATGTGGGCTCTCAGCTGTCTGCAGCAGGCCCATCAAGGCCCCACTCCTGAGTGACCTGCAGGGGAGGCTGGCACTGAATTCCTAGAGTCCCAATCTCTCATCCCACCCTAATTAGCTCCACCTGGGTGTGTGTTCTCTCAGGAACTGCAGGGTTAATAGCTGGAAGAACCAGTTTTAAAATGCACCCTAAGGAGTTGGTCTGGAGCCTGGATGGGAGGCACCAGCCCCAGAAATGGAATGTGTCCCAGGGCCCCAGCCCAGGGCACCTGTAACTTCCTGCAGATGTGGCTGGTCACCTCCCACACACTTGAGCACCTCCTCCCATCCAGCTGTGGGCGTGCAGAGAAGGAAAATGCAGCATGCATAGGGGAGCGTGGTTAGGGAGGCACTGGCCATCCCATCATCCTACTGTCATCCCACCTGCTCTTAGGTTAGCCTTCCATGGCTGAGCAAAATGCCCTCTGGCCAGAGAAAGGCCAGTTCAGGCTGTCAGCTTCTCCTGGCCAGAAGAAGCCACGTTTTCACTGAACACATTGCCACCCAGATGCCCAGTTTTTTTTGGGGGGGGGGGGACAGGGTCTTGCCCTGTTGTCCAGGCTAGAGTGCAGTGGTACAACCATGGCTCACTGCAGCCCCCATCTCCTGAACTCAAGCAATCCTCCTGCCTCAGCTTCCCAAGTAGCTAGGACTACAGATGTGCATCACCACACCCAGCTAATTTTTGTATTTTTAGTAGAGATGGAGTTTCACCATTGGCCAGGCTGGTCTTGAACTCCTGACCTGCCCGCCTCAGCCTCCCAAAGTGTTGGGATTACAGGTGTGAGCCACTATGCCCGGCCTGATTCCCATTTCTTAAATGTGACATGAATTCTCCCACACATACATGCTTCAATCCTATCAAGAATCCCTGAACTCCCTAAACACAAACATAGCATGGGGCAAAATGCCAAGGGCTTTCATAGGATGGCTCTGTGCCTATGGTGTGGGTACTATTACTACCCCTCCCTCCCCCATTTTACAGATGAGGAGGCTGAGGCACTTGAGAAATCAGGTACTTCACCTGAGGCCACATAGCTAAGTCAGTGGCACAGACGGGATTTGAACTCTTGTAAGCTTGCTCTGCACTATGTTCTAGTTCCTCTCTTGTGATAGAAAGTCAGGGACTTGGAGACCTGGCGGAGATAACTGCCAACCACTGAGCCTCAATTCACTTTCTCTGGAGGCCCAGTGGCGGGGCCTATTATTCTCCAAGAAAAAATAACCGCAGACTCTCTAGTGACTGTTTAATCTGGGCTTCTAGGACCTCTGAAACGGAGGGGAGGCAGAGCAGAACTTCCCCCACCCCCACCCTGCCCCACACACGCACAGACACCCAGACACACATACCTCCCATTCCTCCCTTTGGGTCTGGGCAGCAGCCACAGCCTTTGGACACTGCATCCTTAACTATGTTTTTTTTTTTCATTTTTTTTTTATTGTGGTAAAAAATGTAAGTAGCATAAAATTTACAATCTTAACAATTTTAAAGTATACAGTTCCATAGTGTTTATTGTGCATCCAATATCTAGAACTTTCTCATCTTGCAAAACTGAAACTCAACACCCACCGAACAACTCCGCATTCTCCCTCCCCACTGCCCTTGGCAAACACTATTCTACTTTCTGTGTCTTAAATTTGATTTGAACCTGGGTTTAAGGGTTTCATTCAGAGAAACGCTTCCTGCGTGAGTCGTGTTTTCAGTGGGTGGTGAGTGGAGACGTTAGTGATGGCAGAATGTAAGCATCCTGTGGGCAGAGACTTTTGTCTTGGTCACCTTTTCCCCAACACTTGGCACACAGTAAGTGCTCAATAAAAATGTGTTGCCTCAACAAATGAAGAATTGAACAGCTTGCTAAGCCCGTGGAAAGCAGCCCCTCCAGGTAAACTGATCTGTAACTATAGCCATTTGCAGACTTCAGGGTCCTAGATTTGGTGGTGAGCAGGCTTTTCCGCTAGAGCCCCAGCCGCCCCTCCCTCCCTGCTAATGCTCTCAGCCACCCCTCTATTCCTGTCACCCCTCTCTCTTGAGAATGACTCTGGATTTTGTCATTCTGACTGGGCTGACAGGGAGAATGCTTTAAAAGTTTGAGAAGTGATGCCTTAGAGGAAGGTTTTGGCAGCTGGTGATAAATTGTCGACCTTGCTTCCAGAAAAAAAAAAAAAAAAGCATTATCTCTTTTCGCTCCTCACAAGGGAGATTTTTAAGAATATCAGCACTTTTTTTGTGTGCAAACAGTGAGATCCAGCAGTTTGCAAACCACACCTCCAGGTAAAAAGCCCTTCGAGATAGGAATGAGAATGAAGGGATCTCACACAAATACAGACACAACAAAGGTCGTTTCTTCCAGTGTGGAATTAGCAGAAGGAAGCAACTTTGAGGAGACAGCGTGTTAGCCCAATGCCACACTTTGATGTCCCAGTCAATAAAGACTCAGGGAGGCAGCACGTGCTGTGTGCCCAAGCTCTGAGTATTTTGTACATAATAACTCAGTTCATCCTCCCATCAGTCTCGAGGGAGGTAGTGTCACACCCATTGTACGGAGGGGAAAACCAAGCTACTAAGAAGTTAAGTTGCCTGCCTGTGGTCACATGCCTGGCTGGGATTTGAATCCAAGTGTTTGGTTCCAGAGGCTGGGCTCTTAATAGCAAACGATGCTGACTATCTTTACTCATTTACTAAATTGTTTATTAATTGGTAACAACCATACACAGAGAGCCCACTGCGTGACAGGCCTTACTGCCAGCAGTAAACAGAACAGTCCTCACCCGCCCAGAGCTTGCAGTCTGGGACGTTAATTCCATGAGGGGACGTGTCTTGTCTGTGAGGGCAGCCCAGGGAAAGGGGCAACCCAGACCCACAAATCACCAAGCCAAATTCAACTTCACCTCATGATGAAGACAGTCCTGACAAACAACTTCTTGGAGCCAAAATGTAATCTTCTTATTTGAGAAAAACAGCTCTAAGTGAAGGTGTGTTTTAATGATGGCTCTGGCCTCAGGAGGAGGTTTGGAACACCAACCTGCTGTGAGGCTGTTGACTCTGTATACAGTATACAGTATACAGTGTGCTTCCTGGCACTGGCCCCACCTGCCAGCCCGGGAACCAAGTAAAGCCAAGATTTCCTCATGAAAATGTCAAATGAAACCATCGTAATACCAAATATTAATATCAGCTGGATTCCTGTATTGGAGGAGGATCAAAGGAGCTTTGGGTCTTGCTCCTGGCCTCTTTGAGGAGGCTAGCCAAGTAGCAGTTTCTTGTCAGCTTAAATACACCATGGGCTCTGTGCGTGCAAGCTTAAAAATCCGAATGGCAAATGCCCTGCCTGCCACAGACATCCCACTTCCTCAGCTGGGGAAGGAGATGGACCACTTCTGTCTCCCTGCTGGAGGTTCAGCGGGCGGCTGAGAGCACAGGCCTGCGTTTCATCCTGGCTCTGCAGCTCACACAGGTGGATCAGTTTCTATCCTTCAGTTTCCACATTTGTAAAATGGGATGACGGACTAATAGTCGTACATTCTGCATAAGGTAGTTGTAAGAAGGAAAGGAGAGAACCACGTAGGGTACTTCGCAGAGGTCATGGCCAGAGGGATGCATGGGGAGTGTTAGCTATCGTCATATGCAGTGGTGTTATACTATTATATGACACACTATTTGCAAGTAACTTCATTGTTTTTAAAATTCATCACATTTAAGTAAACGTGCAAGAAGCACTTTGGGACAGTATTTCTCCTACACTGTCAGAGTTTAAAGCATTATCATCTTATCAGATACCTGGGAAGGCAGAGACCCATTTTTTTGGTTTTTAGTGAGGTAGAAACAGGGGCAGGATCCTCGGTTTGCAGTTCAAGGTCTAGTCAGTAGCTCTGACTTCCTCCCTTCAGCCCCGGCCGTGCTCAATCTTATGTTCAAAGCTGGAGTGCTTGGCCCGCCCGACTCCTCATGGCTTCCAGCTCTGTCTTAGGTTGGCTTCTCCAGAAAGCAGACTTTAGGTACAAGTAACTGATTAAGGAAGGGATCCCAGGGGTAACCAGTAAGGGAGTGGGGGAAGCAGCACAGAGAAGGGGACAAAGCCAAGCAAGGGCAAAGTCACAGCAGAGGCTCTGAGTGCAGCTTTAGGCTGATCCTGCAAAGGACCCCTGAATGGACACACCTGAGTCGTCCCCACGAGAGGGGGAGGAAGCAATGGGATGAGGGTGGTCCTGCTCCCCACCATTCCCAGGGACCTACTTGGAGGAAGTTGTGCTTCCTGCTGCCACAACTTTAGGTTCGGTGGTCTAGAAGTCCTAATTCCTAGAAGGGAAGGGAGACACTTCTACCAGGGACAGAGTCCCACGAAACCGAAATCGATGGCAACCACCTTGTCATTTGAGGTTGGTCCCCTCATCCTGGCAGACCATCAGGCAAAGAAAGGAGTTACCATACTGGCAGGCATGATTGGCCCCAGTCAGTAGGAGGAGGCTCTGTCCCTGTTACAATGGAGCCGGGGGGAGGATGTGTGGAACGCAGGGCATCTCTAGGTCACTCCCATGCCCAGGGTTAACTGTGACCAGGTCATTATAGCAACCACAGCCATGGTAACCAGGAGCTTAGACTCCTCAAGGATGACGGGCTGGGT
Organism: Homo sapiens; assembly: GCF_000001405.40. Taxonomy (NCBI): domain Eukaryota; kingdom Metazoa; phylum Chordata; class Mammalia; order Primates; family Hominidae; genus Homo; species Homo sapiens. Next base: position 108,708,738 of record NC_000006.12, on the reverse strand, counting down.
CACCCCATTAGGAAACAACCAGTGGAAGTGCCAGCCAGCTGAGGATGGGGGGCCCAGGAGGGTTGTAATGAATATCTGTTTTGCCTCCAGACAAGCTATAAAAGGTGAGAATGGTGGATCATCCAACTAACTCTCCTCTTGTAAGGCTCCCCCCATAAATTGTGGCCCATCACCAAGATGAAGACTCCGTGATAGGAAGGTGTGAACTTGAATGTGAGATGTAAGTGGACAGTGTCTGTGCTCCGCCCAGGCGCTCCTGGACCCCTTCTTGTGGTTCTTGTTCACCCTGGCTTCAGTGTGCTTTTGCTTCCCAGCCCCACTCCTGATGTCTAGTGTCTCAGGTTGGGATCCCGCTAAACAGGCCCCTAGCTGAGGCTTTGTGTGGATGTGATGTAAGGACACTAGGAGAGGAGTGGTGGCGGGGGGGCGGGGCAGAGCAGGATCTCAGGCCAACATTCTCAGGGCCTAATCCAGGGAGCTGGGGGGCAAGTCAGTTTCCAGACTCTTCATCCACGCACACAAAGTGGCTCCAGAGCCCCTGAGGGCTGTCTGCCAAAAAGCCACAGTGCTGGCTTTGGAAGAGAATGCACACCAAAACCCAGGGTACACAGAAAATGGTAAACTGGGGGGAATATGGGTGGACCACTAACATTTTCTGCTGCAAGCTTTACTGCAAAAATGGCTTTGGCATTGCATTGCTCCAAGTGAGAATGAATTCAGGTAAAAAACATGGAACCAAGAAGGCACAGGACGTCTGTTTCAGCAGAACCAAAAGACCACATGTACCCGAGCTTGGGCACCGAAAGCCCAGCCTTCCCTCTGAGGACTGGCGGGGCGAGGGGAGGGGGTGCAGAAAGGGAGGGACACACAATCCTGCCCTCCCTTTCCAGCCAGCCTAGCTGGAGAGAGGAGAAGCCACCTGCGGACTTTTTAAACCATAGCCCAGTGAGCCCCAGGCAGCCTATTATTACAGGGCAGAAGGAAGTATGTGCCCCAGGAGATGAAGGCCTGGCAAGGTCACTCTGAACCCAAGGGGTGAAAAAACAAATCAAAATACACAGAGAATTGGCATTGACAAGTTCAAGACACAAATTATTTCTTCAAATTACACTTCCTTAAGTTTTGCTTGGGCTTAGAGTTGTTTTCAAGCCGGGCAGATTTCCAAGGGTCAAATGGTGTTTCAAGAGCAAGCACATTCATTGGTCCATTCATTGCTTCTTCCTTGAGGTACACATTGACGGAGTGCCTGCTGTGTAAACAGGCATTGTGCTGCACGTGGGATTGGTGAAAAAATAGACACTGGCCCTACCCTTATGTAGTTTATGGTTTAGTAAAGAGAAAATCATTAAGCAAATAAGTACACACATAAATATAGAAATACAAATTGCAATGGATGTCTAGATGGACTAGCATGAAATAGGAGAGAATAGCAGGGTAACCGAAACTTTAAGTTGATTTGTCAGGAGAGATTCCTTTGCAGAAGTGGCACCTAAACTGAGGCCTGAAGGATGAGTAGGACTAAACCAAGCAGGGGAAGAAGGTGGGATGTGGAGTAACCTTCCTGGGCAGAGAGAACAGCCTGTCCTAAGCCCTAGACTTGTGAAAGGTAGGGGCTGACTTGGGACCCAACTGAAACCAGAACAAGCAAGCAAACCAAGGCTCTCATTTCGCCCCAAGGATCGAAGCAAAAGCGTCAGCAAGTTTCTGTATGTGGGCAGGGGGCTTGGGGTTTCAGCAGGGGAACAGGGACCTGGAATAGTGGTACGAATTAGCCTCCAAAACTGCTCTGGGTCAGATACTTAAATCAGACAGAAATTGCCCTTTTGATTAAAGATGAGGCAGAGTGGCCTCGGGCTGTAGCTCCGCACAGTGCAGGGGTGCCGTGCACAGTGTGATGGATGTGGATGGAGCCCTGCAGCAGGCAGTGGGCAGCCTGGGTGGCAGCCGGAATGTGAACTTGGAAACAGACGAGCAGGAAAGAGGCTCTTTGGAGAAGTCAGTAAGATGGCTTAATCTTTGGAGAGAAAAGAGGAGCTTAGCCTAACAGTTGAGTTTTTGTTTTCTGAAAAAGCTGGAGACCAGAGAGGCGGGAGAGCAGAAACGGAGGTGTGGAATGTGTGGTGAAGAAGAGGAGATTTTTTTTCTACAGCAAAAATTACTTGTGGGGGCTTTCTGATAGAAAATATTGAGTTAAATAGGCAAGGTCCTACCCTGATGAGGTGCATTACAATCTAGTCTGGGAGAAAAGACATTAATTTAAATAATACAAAAGCAAATGTGGCCCGTTGCAGTGGCTCAGGCCTGTAATCCCAGCACTTTGGGAGGCCGAGGCAGGCAGATCACACGAGGTCAGGAGCTCAAGACCAGCCTGGCCAACATGATGAAACCCTGTGTCTACTAAAAACATAAAATTTTATTAATGCCCGGCATGGTGGCGGGCACCTCAGGAGTTCAAGACCAGCCTGGCCAACATGGTAAAACCCCGTCTCTACTAAAAACACAAAATTTTATTAATGCCTGGCGTGGTGGTAGGCACCTGTAATTCCCAGCTACTTGGGAGGCTGAGGCAGGAGAATTGCTTGAACCCGGGAAGCAGAAGTTGCAGTGTGCAGAGATTACACCACTACACTCCAGCCTAGGAGACAGAGTGAGACTCTGTCTCAAAAAAAACAACAAAAAAAAGGAAATGTGCAGTTGTAAGTTGAGAGGCAACTTACAAATGAAGCAGAGGCCCATGGTGGGGTGGGCGACCAGGGTCCTGACTAAGTCTGGGGGACAGCTTCCCTGAGGAAGTTGTATCTGGGTTGAGAGCTACAGGAGGGAGCAAGTTAATTAGGAAAGGGACTGGACTGGGGCACTGAGAGTATCCTAGCATCAGGAAGGGCATAAGCAAAGGCCCTGTCTTGGGGACATCTGAAGAAATAGAAAAATCCTGGTGATTGGGACACAGAGAACCTAAGAGCAAGAAGAAATTATTAGAAGGTTTAAGACGGATTTGACAGGGATTTTGAAGCCTTATCCTACTCCTTCATAGAAGATGGTTTAGGGGGATGAGATAGTGGGGAGACTAGTTGGAAAGCTCTGGTACTGGTCCCGGGGATAGCTCTGGGTAGACTGGACCAGGATGGTGGCAATGGGGCTGGAGAGAAGAGGATAGGTATGAAACATGTGTAGAACATAAGTTGGGTAGGAAATTGTGATAGAATATATGTGTGGGATGTGAGGGAAGAGGGGAAGAGATGTGGCAAGGTTTTGGGCTTTGTGGAGCTGGAAGGATGCTGGGGCCATTCATTAAGCTGGGGAATCCTGGAAAAGATCCAGGTTTGGGATGGAGGGTACTGATTCTGATTTTAGACATTTGGATAGATTGAATTTGAGTTGTCCTCAGACAACCAAGTGGAAGCAATTGGGTGAATCGGCCTGAACTTCACAGGAGCAGTCCAGACTAGAAATATCAGCTGGGCAGACACCGGTGTATGAGTGTGGGTATGGATGAGGCCACAGAGGGAGAGAATGAAAGTATGAATGTATATAGAGATGTGGTGAGATGTTACACAAAGAAGCTTTATTTGTCAAATTATGTTGGAAAACACCAGATAAAACACACTTCAACTGATGTCTTTGCTGCTGGACTTCTCAGGGCCTTTCAAAGGCTAATGAGTGTTTGTATTTCTGGAGGAGAAAAAGGGGTTGTGAGCGCTGGGGATCACCGAAGGCAGAAAGGCATCTGGGGATTCCTAGGCTTCTTTGACCATGAAATCCTTCTATCACAGGGCATCTTACTGCACTAAACAAATATTTCTGACCATAAAATATGGTAACCAGGACACTATTTTTTTTCTTTGAGGGTAAAATAGCAATACCTCACATTCAAACAGCGCATCATATTTAACCAAGTGCTTTCATGCCACTTCTCATTCAACTCCCAAAACAACTTTGCAGAAGTAGACTTTGTATCCCTATTCATGAATGAGACCCAGATACAATGAGTGGCATGCCTAATGCCCAATATCTCCCAGCTGGTTAGGCATAGACCTTGAGCTAAAGCCAGGGACAATCAGGTCACCAACTCCAAAATCATATTAAGTTGTATGATCTTGACTGCTTCCACATGCAAACACACAGTTGTTAACGTTATTATAATAATAATTATTATTATTAGAGACAGGGTCTCTCTCTGTCACCCAGGCTAGAGCACAGTGGCACAATGATGGCCCACTGAAGCCTTGACATCCTGAGCTCCATTGATCCTCGCACCTCAGCTTCCCAAGTAGCTGGGAATACAGGCGTGTGCCACCAAGCTTGGCTAATTTTTGTATTTTTTGTAGAGATGGGGTTTTGCCATGTTCCTAGACTGGTCTCAAACTCCTGGGCTCAAGTGATTCTCCCGCCTCAGCCTCCCAAAATGCTGGGATTACGGGCATGAGCCACATTCAATATTAATAATTTACTAGTAGTGAGGCCAGTGCTTGAATCCTCAGAGTCTTCATCCTGGTAGCTAAAAAGCCTGTGTTTCTGAACCAAGCAGCTGGCCTGCTTATTTTCTTTTCTTTCTTTTTTTTTTTTTGGAGACAGAGTCTTGCTGTGTCACCCAGGCTGGAGTGCAGTGGTGCGATCTCAGCTCACTGCAACCTCCGCGCCTACGGGTTCAAGTGATTCTCCTGCCTCAGCCTCCTGAGTAGCTGGGACTACAAGGGTGCAGCACCACCACGCCCAGCTAATTTTTGTATTTTAGTAGAGACGGGTTTTCACCATGTTAGCCAGGATGGTCTCAATCTCCTGACCTCATGATCCGCCCACCTCGGCCTCCCACCGTGTTGGGATTACAGGCGTGAGCCACCGCGCCTGGCCCTGGCCTGCTTATTCTTAATAAGATGGCTGCACTGAGTCAAACCCAAAGTCCATCCACGGTGGAAGCATATGGTTTTCCTCAGTGAAGTCAACTTTAAAGGTTGGAGCTACACTCAAGCAGCATCCAGTTTCTCTTTCAGAGTCAATTATGGATCTCACATCCAGGAATTTATCCAAAACTTTAAAAAAAGCTCTATTTATTATTTTTATCTTGTGTCATTACTTGGGATAATGAGATCTATGGGTTAATCCTTTCCGCTACAAAATCTTTCATTAATCTTTTTTTAACATTGATTGACAATTAGGCTGTTGGAAGAAATAAATTTCTCAAAGAGGAAGGTAGACAAATCAAGACTACCTTCTAACATGAGCACAAGACTTCTCTTTCTGTGGAATTAAATATATGCTTCTAGACTTAAAGATGACAATATGCATCCTTGACTTATTAAAGTTCAATATAAATTAGTACTTTTTTCAATTCCTGGACTATGTTAAGGACATTGGAATGTGTCAACTCCCTTTTCCTCCTTCTTATTTTTTGTGTATTATTTTAATTCTACATATATTCTCTCTCAAGATATTATTTTATACAGTCAGTATTAATTTTGATTTTCCCATGTGTTTACCCTTTACAATGCTCTTCATTCCTTTCTGCAACTCCTTGCTTCCATCTGAAATTCTTTTCCTTTTACCTGAAAAACTATTTAGTTTTTCCTTTAGTGTCTGTCAGCTACTTATAAACCATCTCAGTTTTTGTCTGTCTGGAAATCTCTTTATTTCACTTTCATTTTTGAGTGATATTTTTTCTGGGTGTAGAATTTTAGGTTGTTTAGCTGTCTTTTTGTTTGGGTTTTTTTGTTTCCTTTTTTGCCTTTACAGACATAATTTTGTTCTTTGGCTTCCATTGTTTTTGTTGAAAAAATAGCTGAATATTGTGTCTGCGTATAATGTATTTTTTATTTTCTTTTACACTAGCTACTTTTGCAATTTTTCCTTTGTTTTTCAGCTGTTTTACTATGATGTATATTGTAGTTTCATTTGTTTCTGGGGTTATTTCCCTGCTTGGAGTTTGTAACACTTCTTGAATCTGTGGCTTTATGTTTTTGTTAGTTTTTAAATCCTCGGTCATTTTCTTTTCAAATATTGTTTATGCTACATTGTTTCTCTCCTTCCAGATCTCTAATTACACAAATGTTTACATTGGGTCCTGTATATCTCTTAGACTCTTTTCTGTATTTCATAAATTTTTTATCTTGTTATAATTATAGTCATCTGAATAAATATTTTCTTCTGACCTATATTCAAGTTCATGAATATTCTCTTCACTTGTGTCTAATCTGCTTTTAAGCCCTTCTACCAAGTTCTTAATTTCAGTCCTACAGTTTTCCTAGAATTTGGTTCTTCTTAAGGCAGACTCTACATATCTTTTAAAATCATAACATTTTTTTTTTCTCTTGGTATTCAGTCATTTGGTCCTATCTCCTGGTATGCCTGGTAGTTTTTGAAAAGTTCATGCCAGAAACTATGCATGAAAAACTGTAGTGATAATTTAAGGTTCTAGCAGATATCTTCCTCTAGAGTGAATTTACTTTTGTTTCTAGCAGGCAGTTTGCTAGGAGAATATCTCTTTAATCTAATCTGAAATCAAAATGATTCAGATCTGGGTTTCAGTCTTTGTTAGTGCTAGTCTATTACCAGACTAGCTTTATTACCAGTATATAGCCTTTCAAGGCTCCCATCTGAAAGACTGGGATGTTTATTAGGACCCTTCCCCTTGACAATTCTTGAATCCCAACTTTTGTCCCATCAGGCCTGTAAGGCTGCCACGAGTTCTGCTCAGCTGCTCAGCAACTGCTAGTGCTTCAAAATCAGAAAATGCCTCATGGGAAAGCAGTTGCAGTTGTCAAACCATTCACCTCTCTGTTTCCCTTCTCTATAGCTCATTAGACATTATCCGGGATCTCAGATTACAGGGAATGCAGAGGCAAAAAGGTAATCTCCAAGCCTCAAACTACTTCCCCACTAGTCTTTTTCCAGTGGCACTATTAGCAAAATTAGTTACCAGCATAAGGCTCACAATAAACATGGTTTCCTTCCACTGTGTGCTTCCTAGTGGTGGTGATGAAATGTCTAAAGTAAATAACAGAGAAGTAACAGGAGAGTGAAGAGGAGGAGGATTTGAAATCAACAACAACAACAACAAAGAGCTTGTGTCAACTGTTCCTCGGTGTCAAGAATCAGCTTTATTTGCATTCAGTAGACATCAAAAAATTGCAGGTTTAAGCCACTGAAATGAGCTAAGTGACAGATTTGAGGCAAGAACGGAATGGGGGCAGTATGGCATTTTTGGCCTAAGACCCTATCCAAGAGAAGTAAAGAGGAGATTTAGGCTATTTGCCCAGAAAAGCAGAAATATATGCCAAACACCAGCCATGGAACATGGAAATCCCACGCCAACTTCAGCTCTCAGCCAAACACTCTCCAAGGCCTGACACTCCTCACACTCTGACTCCTCTAGCCCAGGCAATAAACAGTGTGTTCCTCATTCTTGCTACTGGACAAAATTCTATTATTTCCCTCTATACTTCCCAAAACTTCATTTCTGCCAGTGGAAGCAGTATGAGGTATGTGAAGCATAGTCTCTAGAATAAGCCTACCTTGGTTCAAATCTTGGCCCTGACACCTGGGTGATCTTAGGCAAATCATTTAACGTTTCTGAGCTTCATTCTCCTCATTGTGAAATGGGGATGATGATAATAATAGTTTTCAAGATGACATAAGATAATGCTAGTATAGTGCTTGAAAAAAAAAAAAAAGCAAAATAAATACAGGCTATGGCTATTCCTTAACTTAATTCAGGGTTCAGGAGTATATACGAAGATCTTACATGGTTCTCACCTATTGGTTCCTACATTTGAGAGGCAGCCTCAGGAGTGTTATAGGAGGGAAAAGGAGAGATAAAAAACAGGAGAGGTTCCTTGGCTTATAGATGCATGGGTAGGCATAAGTTTAATCCAACAATAATGAGGTTCCCCTAAGGCTGGTATCTAGACCTTTCTGGAGAAATGCTGTAAATTGATAAATATGAGATGTCATTAGTCAGGTGTCCTGTTTTCACTCTTCCCTGGGAGGGAGCAGGTTCTGTTTCAGGTACATCCCAGGTCTCAACTTCCCCCACCTGCCCCCTCCAGAAACCCTGAGGCCAGATGGCCTTAGGTTGATTATGAAGTCAATGATGCCTCACCACCCTTACGGTCAGAAGGACACCTCCACGGAGCACAGGGGCCTTCTGCTCATCAAAATCTCTACTCAGTAACAGTGCTAAATATCAATTATTTAGCTCTTAGTGTGAATTGACTGTATGTCATTTTACTTACATACATCTGCATTTTATATCTTACCTTTACTCTGGAATGAAAAGTTTGTGCCCCCAAGAAAGCCAAGAGACAGCAATAAGAAGGGGAGAGAGCCAGTGCACAGCCATCGTGTCCTAGGTCAAAAGTCCCATCCCCACTTCCAGTTCTCATAAGGTATGTGGCTTTGGGTAATTTATTTTCCCTCTCTTGTCCTCAAAACCCTAATTACAGGGTCTCTGAAGTCTCTTCCAGTCCTAAAAGCTGTTCCACCGATGGTGGTTTTAGTTGGAGGATCTGAAGGGGCCCAGAAATAACACGAGGGCAGATACAGTCAGCCCATACCCTAGCTGACCCAGACAACTCTGAACACCCACCAGTGTGCCTCACCCCCAGCCCCAAGTGAGGCCCCCTTCACCCCACCTTCAGGGCAGGGCCTCACCTGAGCCAGGCTGCGAGGGTGGTGGTATCCCAGGCCCCAGTCCAGCCTCACTGTACAGCCCCCTCCTCTACCCTCCCAATCCCATTTCCTGTCTAGCAGATTTATAGTGCAGTTCAAAGAAGGAAGGACGATATAACAGCTTTCCTGCTCCCTCCCTCTCCCAACTGATTTAGTCTAACTGGCTCAGTGCCAAGCATTTTGCTCTCCACAGCCTCTCATATGTAAAAATACCCCAGGCCCCAGCCCTCCTGCCAGGAACATGGCGTCAGCTTCCAAACCCACCGGTCAGGCCTTCACTGGTGGGCGGGAAGGAGGCTGCCCTGTGAGGCGCTGGAGTCTAATTAAGTGCTGAGGAAGCAAACCATGGGCTTTAATTTTAGCTCTGAAAATAGCAAGGGCCTAGGACTCCTCTCTCTGGCCTGAGCTGTGATGAGAGTTGCCTCCCTCTGCCTGCTCGGTGGGGAGGAGAAGAAAGGATTCAGAGGGTGACGACAGCGGGAGGCCAAGGAGCCAGGAAGCAAGTGGGAGGAACGGGCTTCAGGGAGAAGGGGACGCAAGGCCAAGCCTGGGTCCATGGGACATGCCACACCCGCCACATCTGCTTTATCCCTACTTCGCATCCTAGCCCGAGTCTAGAGTGCATGGACACTCAGGAGTTCCGAGTTGCGCCAAAAATACCTCCAGAGCCCCGTGTGGCTAAGAATGCTAAGCTCTGGCCAACGTTGAGGTAATTCCCTGGGAAGATAATAGAATATGCATCACAGTTCCATACACTAACAGCCTCTGAGGCAATGAGGGTGAGGAAAAGCATTGACAAATGGACAGGTGATCATCAAAACTGCTGCGAACCCACCGAATGGCTCACTGGCCCAGCTGGATGTCACACGGGCTCCTGGCATCCTCCTGCCCACCTCCCTGTGTGGAAGGAGAGAAGTCAGCCTGCCCAAGGCAACAGGCAAGGACACAACAAATCAAGGGGCAAGATGGGAGAGGGTGCTCATGCCCAGGGGGTGGAACGTGGAGGGGGCCATTGGCTTTGCCCGTTGGGTCACTTGTCAGTCACTCACCGTGTCCTAGCTCTTCTCACACTATATTATCATTACCGTCCCCCTCCCACATTAGACCAGGGGGCATAAGCTGCATCCTTGGGACAGGGGCTTTATGTTATCCCCTCCCTTCCCCACTCCCCAGCACATTCTGGGCATTTACTTGGCTGAAATGCTTTTGTTTCTTTGCAGCCTCCCCTTTGTAACAGCCGGCACCCAATTTGCTTTATATGGTCATGAGCCCTCTTACCTGCAGCATCAAATGGGAGGCATGAAGCCACGATAAAGAACAAGCAAAGTGAGCTCCGTGAACGGGCTTTCCCAGGCTGCCTTCTGCACACATGAGCCTACCCAGAGGGGACACAGAACAGGGATGAGGCCTCTTGCATCTGTGGGGGCTATGAAGACAAATGTTATGTGTACCTAAAACTAAACCAGCACTCACTGCTTCCAGGAAGAGTTGGAATAAAAAGGAAGGAGAAACTCACCGGAAATGAAACTCAAAGGCCAGGAGTGAGGGCGGTTACCCGCCACACTCCTGTGAGAGCCTACCCATCATGGCGAAGCTGGAGAGTGGGCAGATCCTTTCCCAGAGCCCCTCCAAGTCACCTTGGAGATACCATCAGACTTCCCTCTTTTCTTCAGATTTCTTCAACCACTCCACAGACATATTTAAAGCACCTGCCACAGCTGTCTGGTAGGCACAATGTGGAAATAGCCAACCACCTGGGGTGCTGGAGGGGAGACCACCGAGGGCTGAGGGGGACAGGGCTGACCCTGGGGGTCACGGAAGCCTCTGCCTCTAGAGGGGGTGGAGGTTACTGGGGCCTGCTCCAGGTAGAGCTACCTCTCCCTCTCCCTCTTCTCAGCCTGGCATCTCTACCCCCCATGGGTGCTGTCACTCTGAGCACCTCTCACTCTCCAGAGTGCCCCTGGCACCCTGGTCTCCCTGCTTTTTGGCTCTCAGGAGTCTGCTCAGGGCCCAGCTGGCCCTAACACAGCGCGTTTCTCTCAGCAGAGTCTGAAGCCAGAATACAGGCGACATGTAAGAATAATGCCAAGGACAGGAGAGGATGGGGCGGCCGAGGAGAAGCACCACGTTACCCTCAAGCCCTACCCTGTGGGCAGCTGTCCCCACCCCGGCTGTGCTTGTGGAGATATCTCCGTGTGGCCAAACCACAAGGCCCCCATTTGGAGGATCCCATTTTCTAACCACCTTGGCCCAACATCAATAACAACATTGCCCCATAAGAAGCCGCGAGGCATTTCCTCAGGGAACCACCAGCGCCAGGGCTCAAAGACCAAGTCCAGACACTAGGAACTCCCCTCAGGAGTGTAAAACCGAGTTCAGAAATAAGAAAAACAAAGTTTCCAGCCCAAGTCTCCTCCATGGGAGACACCCTCAGCGCCCCTCCTCACAGCTGCTAGGCCTCCTCCTCGGGCCGGCCCCTCATTAGGAACTAACAGTCCCAGCCATGCCAGCCTCCAGGCCTCCTTGTTAACTCCTTGGTTTCCCTTAGTGCTGCCAGGAGAAAATTAGGCCTCAGAAATCCTGAGCAGTACTGAGAGGCAGAGAGCACCTACCACAGATGGTTAATGGTGTGTACATTCTATGGTTTCTCTTAATAAACCAAATTAATAATAATTGCTGCCATTTATAGAGTGCCTCTTATGCTTTACCCACTTGCATTATGAACTCTTCTGCAGCCTCTCATGTTTGCAACAACACTAGAAGGTAGGAATTTCTTCGCCTATCCTATAAATGAGAGCATGGAGGCTGTGTAGCTGGCAAGCAGATGTGTGGTTTAAACTCAGCTCTGTTCTGTTTTTCGCCCACCTTATTACTTACTTTGAGCAAAACTGGATTCTAAAATGTGCAGATTAAAGAGCTGACCACTACCCTTGCATCGTCCATCTGCAGAAGTTTTACATCTTTTTCTTTTCCTTTTTTTTTTTTGAGATGGAGTCTCACTCTGTCTTCCAGGCTGGAGTGCAGTGGTGTGATCTCAGCTCACTGCAACCTCCACCTCCTAGGTTCAAGTGATTCTCCTGCCTCAGCCTCCAGAGTAGCTGGGATGACAGGTGCCTGCCACCATGCCCGACTGATTTTTGTATTTTTAGTAGAGACGGGGTTTCACCATGTTGGCCAGGCTGGTCTCAAACTCCTGACCTCAGGTGATCCACCCACCTCGGCCTCCCAAAGCGCTGGGATTACAGGCATGAGCCACCGCGCCCGGCCAGAAGTTTTACATCTTTAAAACCAGAAAACACTGGGTTGAGAATGGGAAGAGTCAGGGGGTCTCCCCAGCCAAAGGGGCTTGTTGACTTTGAATAAGTACCAGCTGCCTTGAGCTTTTGAGCTTTGGCAACCTGATTTCAAAATGGTGCAAGTAAAAATAAAAATGTCTGCCTTTCTTCCTTCTTGGGCTTGTTGGAAGATCAAATAGATCCAGTCCGGCAAAAACATTGTAAGCTGAAGAGAGCTGTGAAGAAGGATGATGCCACCGGATGACTCCCCTGTGGGGGACGCCACAATGGAAGGCGTGGGGCACACCACAGTGGAAGGCTAAGGTGCTCACTCAGATGGCTTCCCAGTGAGTTTTGGGGCCTGGTGTTCCAAGGGCCCTTTGTTTTATTTGTAAAAGATAGGCGCTGCAGCATTGTGAAGACCTGGTTGTTTTATGATTTTTGGAAGACCAGCAAGTTTGTCATAAGGTCAAATATGGGTCCTCCATGGCTGACCCTGGACTGTTAAATAGGTGGCCCATGGCAGAAACCATGTGTAGGCCATTTTCTTTGACCCACCACCTACTCCTTTTATCACATGGCCAATATACGAGATTCTCCTCTCCCAGAGAAAGGAATCAGTTCATTAAATTTGGATCATTGAGTTTATCACCAAAACCCAGAAACAACACAAATGTCCCTTGGTTGGGGAATGGATAAACAACCATGGTACATTTATACAACAGAATATCAACAATAAAAAGGAATTAAATACTCCTACATGCACTAACATGGATGAATCTCGAATGCCTTATGCTAAGTGAAAGGAGTCAGATTCGAAAGGCTATGGACTGTGTGATTCCATTTATATTACATTCTGGAACCCTCAAAACTCCAGGGTTGGAGAACAGATCAGTGGTTACCAGAGGTAAGTGTGCAGGAAGGGAGTGACCAGAACCGGGGAGCACAAAGGAATCTGGAAGACGGGATGGAACTGTTCTGTATCTTGGCTGTGGTGGCAGTTACACAACTCTATGCATTTGTTAAACCTCATGCAACTGGATACCAAAAGGTGTGAAGTTCACTGTATGTAAATTAAAACACTTTAAAAAAAAAATTAAAAAATAAACTACTTTTAGAAAATTAAAAAAAAATGGATCAATGAGAAAGTAGAGCATTTAACTGAGGAGGAAGCCCAGTCGTATCGCATAGTGTGGTAGGGGACAGCATGACACTGTGTAGCACAGGGAGCTGTGGTGTAGTGTACAGTGTTATGTGCAGCGTAGTATATACAGTAATGTGGTGTGTAGTGTAGTGTAGTGCACAGTCGTGTCATGTTGTGTCATGTGTATTAGTATAGGAATTTGGCTACTAGTCCTCTACCTAGAGTTGGCAACCATTACCTGGGGAAGGTGTTAAGAGTCCAGGGCCCCATGCCCCAGTGATCTGGTTCACTGGATCTGGGGTAAACCCAGGAGTCTGCATTTTAAACAAGCTTTCCAGGTTATTTTGATGCAGGTGGTTAATGGCCCACATTTTGAGGCCCACCATGAGGCCTTTCTTCATTATTTTGGGATTTATGCTTCATGAGCAGGCTTCTTTTATTCCTTGGTGTTTCTCCAAGGGCCCCTTAGACTCTCGTGCTTCATAGTGATCCCAGATGGGAGACATTCAGGTACGTGCTGGGAGCCCCAAGGGGTTGCCTGCATTCTAGCGGCAATAGGCTTGGCAGCTTTAACCGTCTGTTCCTCTGGGCCCACATCCTGAACATCTTTCTCCACTAACCTGTAATCTTGGAATTCACCCAGCTTCTTGGGAAGTGGTAGCTTTGGCCTCAGGGGATATTGCTGAAAGGAAATTTTGTTTCTCTGAAATGCTTTCAGTTTTCTCGAAGAAGAGAAAAAAAATCCCAAGCTAGAAGCAACGCCACTCTGGGATACCCCTAATTCTGAGCTCTAGAACCACTTTAGAGAAGGCAGGATACCAACCTGGGTTCAAATCTCAGTTCCATCACTTACCACTTGTGTGATGCTGGGCGAGTAATGTCATTTCTTAGAATCTCAAATATTTACACTCAAATTCTTACATTCAAATTTTTGACGTGTAAAATGGGACTGGTATCTATACTTGTTTTGCAGGGATCCCATGGGGCTTGAGAGATGCATGCTGAGGTCTTGGGAGGGGACTTGTTATAATGGCTGAACTTTCTAAAGATTCAGCAAAACAAAAACATATGTACATATACATACATACATCAATCTATAAAGTAAATATGGCATCATGTTAAGAGCTGTTGAATCTGGCCGGGCGCGGTGGCTCACTCCTGTAATCCCAGCACTTTGGGAGGCCGAGGCGGGTGGATCACGAGGTCAGGAGTTCAAGATCAGCCTGGCCAACATGGTGAAACCCAGTCTCTACTAAAAATACAAAAATTAGCCGGGCGCGGTGGCAGGTGCCTGTAATCCCAGCTACTTGGGAGGCTGAGGTGGGAGAATCACTTGAGCCCGGGGGGCAGAGGTTGCAGTGAGCTGAGATCACACCACTGCACTCCAACCTGGGCAAACAGGGCAAGACTCCGTCTCAAAAAAAAAAAAAAAGAGTTGTTGAATCTAGGTGATGGGTGTATGGCTAGTCATTCTTTCAACTTTCCTATATGTTTGAAATTTTTCATAATAAAATCAGAATAAAGAGATGATGAATATAAGCCATCAGCCCAGTGCCTGTCACTTGATAGGTCTCAGTTGGCTGGGGACCGGGGGAGGTAAGGATGGCAAGGCAGGCAATGGAAGGGGACAGACAGGAGAGGAGGAGGAGGAAGGGCTGCAGGCTGGCCCAGAGCTGGAGGAGCACTGAGGAGACAAGGAAGGGGCCCAGGAGTCCCAGCAATGCCCACCCTTGGGACAGTGTGGGTGTGAGAGCTGCCCTTCCTGTTCCCATCTTAAGGGAATCCAGGGGTGAGGGAGGGAGAGCCCCACTCTGGTTAGGAGGCTCTTGGTACGGTTCTTTCCTTTTCCTCAGGATTCTGGGAAGAGCAATCAGGCCATCTTCAGGTGTTCCAGGCCCTCTTGGTTGAGATGAGAACATGACAGAGATGACAGAGATCCTTTGGGCCTGGGACTGTTTACAATTTACAGACACTCTGAGCCCCCTGATGCATGAGTCTTGCTCAACAGCTGTCTAAGTACTGGAGTGTAAATGAACAAGGAACAAATGGCAGAGGGAGGTCAGCAAAGCTGTGAGGACAATGCATGAGCTGTGCACCTGCTCCAACCCTCTCCCAACTCTGAGAGTGCCCCTCAGCCAAGGGCTCCCACCCAAGCCCAGGCCTGGATCTCAGGGCATCTTCCACATCCAGTGCATGAATCCAGCCTGGTTTGAAAGGACAGAGTAGGCCGGGCACAGTGGCTCACGCCTGTAATCCCAGCACTTTGGGAGGCCGAGGTGGGCAGATCACCTGAGGTCAGGAGTTCGAGACCAGCCTGGCCAACATGGTGAAACCCCATCTCTACTAAAAATACAAAAATTAGCCAGGCGTGGTGGCGGGCACCTATAGTCCCAGCTACTCAGGAGACTGAGGCAGGAGAATCGCTTGAAGCTGGGAGGTGGAGGTTGCAGTGAGCCGAGATTGCACCACTGCCCTCCAGCCTGGGGGACAAGAGTGAGACTCCATCTCAAAAAATAAAATAAAATAAAATAAAATAAAGAGAAACGACAGAGTAGTTTTCTTTTGCTGCTGTAACACATCACCACAAACTTAGAGGCTTAAAACCAGCAAACATTTATAATCTTACAACTCTAGAGGTCAGAAGCCCAGAATGGGTCTTGCTGGGCTAAAATTAGGTATCTGATGTTGGTGGGCTGTGTTCCTTCTGGAGGCTCCAGGCGTTCTAGGCTCTGTGTTCCTTCTGGAGGCTCACCTAGGGGATCACACGGGAGCATGCCCTGGAAGTATCTAGTAGCGTCTGTGCCACAGATACTTCCGGGGCATGCTCCCGTGTGATCCCCTAGGTGAGCAGCCGTTTCCTTGCATTTTCCCCCTTCTAGAGGCCGCCCTCCCTCCATGACGTGTGGCCCTCCCTCCGTCTTCAAGGCCGGCAGTGGCTGTTTGAGCTTCTGTGACCATGCCATGTCTCTGGTTCTGACTCTTCTGCCTCCCTCTCCCCCATCTAAGGACCTCTGTGATTACACCGGGCCCACCTACATAATCTCCTTATTTTTCACAAGTGTCTGTTGATTAGCAATTTCAACTCCTCCTTGCTATGCAGCCCAACACATTCACAGGCTCCGGGGACTAGGATATGGACATCCTTGCAGGGTGGGGGCATTATTCTGCCTACACGGGGGATATTCTCAAATGGATGGGCATTTTTACCTTTGACCCTCAGGGATTCCAAAACTTGAGTGTACTTCAGAATCATGGGAGACAGTGTTTGAAAAGGCAGAATTTTAGGCCCTGTCAGATTCAGACTCAGTACTTCTAGGATGGGCCCAAGGAATCTGAATTTTTAACAAGCTCCCTCAGGCTTTCCTGATACACATGATCTAAAGACCACATTTTGAAAAATCTGCTTTCCTTTGGCTTTGGATAGGGCATAGTGGCTACATTTTAGAAACCTAATTACAAAATCTATGGTCTATAATTTATTGAGCAATTCCAATGTCCTAATAAATATAGCTAAGCTTATCAAGCACTTGCTATGTGCCAGATTCTGCCTCAAGGGCTGTCCATGCATCATCTCACTTAATCCTCTCAATAACACAACAAGGTAGGGTTATTATTGTCCCTATTTTGCAGATAAGAAAACAGAAACTCAAGGGGTTAGGTAACTTACCTGCGGTTGCACAGGCAAAGTCAGAAAGAAGCCTATCCATCACCTTCCTTTTCTTTTTCTAAAGCTTGAGTTTAACCATTAATTCTAGCACAGTGCTGGCACACAGTAGACCCTCAATAAATACATGTTGAATTACAGGGTGAATAAACAGATAGGGGCTTTGCATGCACTAATTCTAATCCTCAAGGGAGATACTATCATTATCCTCTATGAAACATCAAGGACCCCGAAACTCAGAGAGATAAGACCCTATAACTACGTCTTAGCATATGTCTAAAGTCCATATGCTTCTTACCATATCAGGGGGGCTACAAGCCACAATCCACATGCCCTCTCAAAAGATTGCTTTTTCACTGTGCATTTATACTATACAAAAAACTTCAATTGCTTTGAGTTCTGCACTTAACAACTGGCTTCCATCAAAAAGAACCTAATTGTACTAAATCAGGCCAAGTGGTGGCTCCACCACTCAGGGAAGATGTTTTTACTCCCCCAGAGGTGGAGCAAGCCCTGGGCATGGCCAAGCTGAGGAGGGGTGGCTTGAACCTTTACACTCAGGGAGGCACAAGCATAGCAATTAAGCTTCAGACCACCCTGGTAGGTTCTTAATTAAACTCTTATCCAAACACCTGGGAGGGCCACAACAGTGCCCTGGGCAGGAGGGGTTTGCTGTGGAAATGCCATCTGCACTGATCAAGAGACGGCAACATCAGAGGCCTCCTCTCCTCTCCCCTCCCCTCCCCTCCCCTCCCCTCCTCTCTCTCTCTCTCTCTCTCTCTCTCTCTCTCTCTCGCTCTCACACACACACATACACACACCCCAGGGGACAGTTTCCCTGCCTCACACAGGTGGATTCCAGGCTGTCACTACTTCCTGCCCCCTTCAAACTAGCAGCAAATCACTCTGGCCTCCTGTCTTCATCAGAAAGACCTTCCAGCTGGGCCACCACAGGCCCCTGTATCATTTCACTTCTTTAGGAAGAAACTGGAGAGACTCAATGTAACACCAGCGGGTTCTAGCGCAAACATCTGTGTAGGGTGCACCACCTCCTCTGAAATGCTGTTTTCTCTCCAATCCCTTGCCACACCCATCCTCCCCACTCCTCCTCCATCTCCAAGTCCTCTTCCTCTTTTCCATCCTTTCCCCTTTCTCCATTTCTTTCCCTATCCTATCAGATGCATCCTCTACCCTAACTCTCCCAACAGGGTTCCATGGCCATAAGTGTCAGCTTTGGAGGCCTGGGGCAGGCTGAAGGGCAGGTTACAGCAAGTAACAATGAACCTTTGAGTCCACTTTGGATCCGAGTTTCCCCTCTGGAAAATGAATATATTCACATTTGCCAACTTACTGACTCAAAGCAGTGTCTGTGGTTCTGTTTCTGTTTCTTGCTTTGTAGTTCGTAAAGTGTGTGCTCCCTTTCTGGGCTCATGCATCATGACCCCTTAAAAAGTATGGAATGTTCATGAAGTGGACCAGGGAGAGGGAAATGACTCACTCAAGGACACACAGCTTTCAGTGGCAGAGTCAGGACTAGAAACAAGTCTTCCCACCCTCTCTTGCCGTTTGAGTTCTTGGTGTTCATGACAGTGATTCTACAGGACATAGAATGGAAGCAGCTGACCATGAGCACGGTTGCTGTCAACAGGTCCTGAAGAACATCAAGGAAAATAGTAAGAGCAGAAAAACCTTACAAGTTGGTTACCTTTCATTTTTTTAATTACTTTGCAATCTAATTATACTGATGAGGTTCATTAATGTCAGATTAATTTTGTATGTTTTACAAGACTAAAAAAAAAAACAACCCATGGAGTGTGGGCCAATGAGATGTGTTTAAAGAGAAGAGGACGTTGATGAAGGGCTTGCTCCTGACCTGCTTGAAGTATGCTACAGATACTTCCGGGGCGTGTTCTCATGGGAGCCTCCCAACCCTGCAAGACAGGCAGCCCTGTTTCCATTTCATAAACGAGAAGACAGAGGCCCAGAGAAGGCAACTGACTCACATGTCACCATTCTACTAATGCACTGCAGGGCTGGGTTCAAATTGAGGTCTGTCCCATTCCCAAGTTGAGTCTCCTTTCCCCGCTCCATGGCACTGCTCCCCACAGAGACGTAAAGAGTGTCTTCTGTGACATAGCTTCCTCTTCTGTAACAGTCTGCCTTCTGGCTTCTGTGTGCACTAATGAGAGTGAGCCCTCCAACCAGGTGTCAACCTGCACAGTGGGGCAGTGGGCGGGTGGCGTGAGCGCTTCTCCTTTGGAGAAGCAAGTTCTCCCACTTGGGAGGAGGAGCCAATCAGACCCTTGAGGCCCCCCACTATAGGAACAGCTCTGCTCTGAAAGCTGGCACAGGCTCACCCAGGGGCACCCGAGGGCCAGGGCCTGGCACAGGAGGAGGGCTGCTCTCCCATGCCCGGCTGGGCTGTCCTCCAGCAGGTTGTGCAATCTCGCTATGAATAGGTCTGGGTGTGTGGTTTGGGGCCAAGAAGACCAGACTTGTTTCCTTCGGGGTGACAGCTCCCCTCTGGAATTGTGGGAGGTGAAGGAGCGCAGCTGTGAGGTCAGGCTTCTGACCCTGAAGCTGGGCGGTCCAAGCTGGTGGTGTGAGGGGTGGAGTCTGTGGCCAGACTGGATGGACAAGTTGTTGGCATGACTCTTCTGTGTGTGGAAATCACCTGAGGCCTTCTGCCTCCCCAAACCTCCTGAGCCTCCCTCCCATCCTCCACCCCTCCTTCTCAGCAGTTCAGGCCCTCCTTACCTTAGGAACAGGCTTAAAACAAAAAAGTTTGGAGGGAGAGAGGAAAAACAGATTTGCAATTTTATTTCATTTGCAAGGAAAAAGCCTGGTCTGATTCCTAAGCCTGGGCTCTTCATTAAAAAAAAATTTTTTTTAGACACCGGGTCTTGCTCTGTTGTCCAGGCTGGAGTGCAGCAGCGTGATCATAGCTCACTGTAAGTCCTGGCCTCAAGCTATCCTCCCACTGGGCCTCCCAAAGAGCTGGGATTACAAAGGTGAGCCACTGTGCTACAACTGCATTTTTAAAATATCAAAAATATGAGATTTTCCTACATGATTGGTGTGAGTGGTGAACTGGCACACTGGAGGACAATTTGGTCAACCTTGATCAAATGTATATACCCTTTGTGACAGATGCACCAAAATCTCAGAAATCACCACTAAAGAACTTCATGTAACCAAAAACCACCTGTTCCCCAAAAACGACTGAAATAAAGTTTTAAAAATGTATATACCCTTTGACCCAGCAATTCCATGTTTGGGCATTAATTCTACAAAGATTCTTGCACATGTATGAAATAACAAATGTATAAGGTTACTAGTTGTAGTGTGGCCGGTAATAGCAAACATCTGCAAACAATCCAATGTCCAGTATCTATCAACAGGGGACTACTGGTTAAATCAATTATGACAAATTAATACAATGGAATACTATGTAACTATAAAAAGAATGAGGAAGCTTTCTATGTATTAAAATCTCCTCCATCTTGGGGAAAATCATTTAAAAAGCAAGATGCCTGTGTATATACAGCGTGTATGATGTACATTTTGTGTAATAAGAGGGGAAAATAAGAATCTGTGTTTTTATTACTTGTAGGTACATAAGACATTCTGGAAGGAAACGTAAGGAATTCTGGGGTGGGAGGAACTAAGCAGATAAGAGGACAAAGATGGGAGGAAAACATTCCCAGTGTGTGTCTTTTCATGCTTTCTGGCTTTTGAATCGTGTGAATGCACTACCTTTCAAGATATTAATTTTAAAACAAAGTGCAACAAAATGAAAACAATTTTGTGACAAAATGCCATGACTCAATTGTCCTCCTACAATGGACATGTGTCATTTTGAGGGCATGTCCCAGCATGAGAACTCCCTTCCTACTTGGAGTTATCCACTGGGTGCACCTTAGTGGGAGGAAGAGTCCCTCCCTCCTCCCCTACTGAGGGGGCCATGTCTTCCTGATCCCTCACTGCTGGGGCTCAGGTGTAGCTCATACACTATCCAACTCTGGTGGCAATACCAAGGGCCTGAGTCCAGTAGTGAGGACCACAGAGTCCAGGACACAAGAATTATTTTTACATTTTACCTTTTAGCACTTCTCCCAGCCAGTTTTATACTACTACGTATTACTTGTATTTTGCTTTTATTCTTATATATCAACATACAAGGTTACAATATAAAAGCAATAATTACCCTTCTAAGCATGTGTCCAAAATGAGTGTTTTTTTACATATATGCATAGTTTTCATAATTATTGTTTTGATAGATGCATAATATTCCTTTCTTCTGATTAGGTACTTCCTATACTATGATATCCAAGATGTTGATAGGAGGAAGTTAAGGAAACCCAAGGTGATGGAGATACAAATTTGTAACAATACTATTCGTCAGTGAGATTCCTTCAACAGTATAGTCACCTCATCACTTCTACTTCTACTCCCCAATACCCTTCTCCCATCTTACTCCTTACTCCCTCCAGTCTGAGTCAAAGCCAGCCTCTCCCAATAGGTTTTTAGAAGCTATATTTATCTAAGTATAATACACTCCCACTTTGATAAAATGGTACACCAGGTGAAGAGTTGAAATCCAAACGCCCTTGCCTCCCTCCTCTAGACTTAACCCATTACCAAATTTATCATTTCTTCCAGATCAGAGCTTCCCAACTTGGTTGGAAAGTTGCAGGGGTGTGAGCTATGGCTCCCTTAGCCCTTAGGGCGATCTCCAGGGCCTGTGGCTGGGAGAGCTGAGTTGGTCACCTGAAACCTGAAGCAGTTTTCTCCGCCTTTCCAGTGGGGCACATAAACATCTCTCTGTGGGTGCCTGGTTGAGAGAACAGTTCTAGAATTACCATGCTTTCTCATTTCTTCATCTTCCTTCTAGAATCCATTCCTACAGTGTGCCCTGGGGCCCTTCCCAAAGGCCAGCTCTGACTAGGCCACCACCCTGCTAGTTTCCCATGCTCAATCGCAAACTCCAAGCTCCTTGGTCTCGAGTTTCCGGGCAGCCTTCTTTTCTTGCCTGACTTCTCGCCTTCTTTGAGCTCTTTAAATCCCAAACAAGCTCACCTCTCAGTTTCCTGAGCATGTTCCAATCCTTCCTGTCTTTGGAATTCATCACTTCAGCCAGAAAGCCTGATTCATTTCTGCCTTTTAGCTCAAATGTTAACTTCCTCTGTCCCTCCATCCTATCCTTAGCAGCATTCAAGGGACTCAGGTGCTCAAGTTCATGCCAACAGGCCTACACACTTCAGCTCAGCCCCTTCAACTCATCTCACCAACACAAGCACAGCGCCTGGCACACACGAGTGCTGGTGGAGGAATGATCATAGGATGCACAGAAGAGATCCTGTGCCAATACTAGCAGGGCATTGGGATTTCTCCTCCCAAAGTGTGAGTGGAGATGTTTGTCATGTGTTTCTAGCAAGTCCTCAGAGAAGGTAGGCAAACCCCAACAGTTCTGAGCCATTACTATGTGATGGTTGGTAGGCAGAACTACACACACACATGCGTGCACACACATAATCTAATTTTCTTCCAGTCTTAAACATTGCTGACAGTCTTCCTCTTTCGGCTTTTGAATTAGGAAAATCCGGGGGAAAGGACTCTTCCTCCTGCTCCAAATGTGTCTGTTCCTCTGGGCCCAGCGCCACTGCTTTTCTTTGATGGAGAGGAAAGCAGAGCTGGAGTGGGCCCCTTTTCTGAGTGCCTCTCTCTCACTTCCACCCCTCAAATACTCTCCCCTGCTGGCTCCCACCACAGGGCTGCAAGCAGCTCAGGGCACCGCAGACTGCACCCCACCACCAACCCACAGCCGTCTACTTCCCATGTCTCAGGGTTGGGGTTGTGGGTGCTGTGGGTGTGTGTGTGCCAGTGTCTGGCAGAATGGTGGCTATGAATTCTCTGCCTGGGACCCCTATATCCCAGCTGTGGTATGGGTGACTTGGCTGATACACATCAAAGTAACATCTGCCGGCCTAAAGCTTTGCCCTCATTATTGAATAAACTGCAAAATCAAATCCCTCATATGTTTGAGATTAACTAGTCCAAACTCTTCCTCTTTTAAACAAGAAGCTGAAGCAGGAGAGTAAGCAGCTGGCCCTTTATCCCTCCAGGTGGAGTAGACAGATCACTCCTAGACCACATACCCTTACGGGGCAGGCACAGATCCTCGTTCTCCTGGTGCCCGCCCATCACAAAGGCTAGCCCACTGCCACACTGGAGGTTGGCTTCGTAACTGTCGATCATTAAATTAACTTACTAGTTTTTGGTTGCATTTTTACCTGGTTGTGGAGAACTCTCTACTAAGAATCTTGTCATAACTGGTATTAGAGTTCCATCTTTAATCCTCTGGAAGACAGAATAAAAATTGGGAAGTAATCTCAAGTGAAATACCCATCCCCAGTAGGCTTTGGCATTAGGAGACGGTGAAGTTTTACCTTTGTAAGTAATTAAAACAATGGTGAAGAAAAACTTACACACCACCAATACAGAATTTATCCCAAATTCCCAACTTTAAAACCTTTCACCTCCTTGATCTGAAGTAAGAACCTATCATGTGGGACCTTAAAATAGATCCTGCTTATTCTGAATCATCTGAATAATTTTATATGGCTATTAAAATGAAAAAACACAATCCAGACTACTAAGAATAGTTTTACAACAGGTGGAGTTCCCTCTCACTTAACTGAGGAGGCCCTAAAGGTACACACAGAGGAAATGTTTACGCTGTTGCCACCAGAAGCCTGAAGTGTCATGTCTGACTTTCAGTATGCAGGTCGGGCAGGAGGGCACTGTTGCCAACCAACGTTCATGTGTTGGACTCAGGTGAGGAAGACCTCATCCAGGTCAAGCAACCGACAAGTTAAAACCTCAGACGCTCAGTGAGGGCCGTCTCTAAGTCCCAACTCCCCACTTATTCAAAGCTCCCTGGGCAACATGACTCAGAACACACCAAAAGTGGCTATCAGCCACCATGAACTATGCCATAAATCTTCCTTTATTAAGTTGTCTGTTGTCTGTGGAGGTCAGAAGCGGGCCAGAGAAAACGTTTACTAGGTTCATTTAAAGATTTTGTGATAAGAGTCTCTCAGCTTTGTGGCTCTCCCAGCCTGTGGGGGAATTCCACAGGAAGACCTTGAGAGAAACTGCCATTTTATTCCTAGGGTTCAAGAAAGGGGGAGGGAGAACAAAGAGACTTCTTGGAGTAAGATAGAGTGTCACTGATGCTTTATTTACATGCGTCACCATCTCTTTTACAAACTAGATTACGGTTTTAAGTGGAATACACAAGGCAATATCTACAAACACCAAGGAAAGTTAAGTACTGCATCTCTATTTCATTTGGAAAGGGGAAGATTCCCAAATCAAACTGGTTTTGATCCTTAAGAAAGGCGGCAGAGTTAATTCATGGCAACATATGGTTAGACAAAATCCTCAGTAAGAATGCCATATGATAGTGTTCGCATTGAAAGAAGGATGAGGTGCTTCAAATCAAAGTCTCAACTGCTTGACTCTCAGGTGTTTAAATATGGCCACACACCATATTTAGTTCTAGATTATATGGGATATGAGCAAGGAATTGAAACAGATAAGATAGTTTTTACAGATACTGTATACAGATTTTTTTTTCCATTCATGCAACTTTTTTCTTAAAAAAAGTTAAACATGTGAAGCCAAAATGCACAATACATTTTTTTAAATATTAACTAATTTTTCTGGTCCTCCTTCACATTTGTTTACATTTCCCATGTACATAATGTGCTAGGACAAGTATACAAGAGAAGACTGATTGCCAGGCAATGAGATAATTTTAGAGAAATAAGTGACCAGACACATAGTTCTTAAAAGCAGCCGCACACGTATTTCTGGAGTGTGGCAAGAGGCCTCATGACCAATCATTCATCAAAGAAAAATACAAACAGATACAACTAAACAAGAGGAAAATATTCCATTCATTTAAACTGCATAAAATGTTACCCACTTAAGATTTAGATAAAATATACTCTTTTATTTGGGCATCCGCTTCAAGACCTCATTTGACAGGCATGATTCCATCAGAACTTCACTTCCTCTAGTAGTACTCTGCCTCCCCGGTCTCTGAGAGAGGCTAGCTTTTTCGTACCTCTTTACTGGTGATTGCATTTCTACCAAAAAAAAATTTTTTTTTTTAACATTATGCCTAATCATACAATGTTCACCCAAATACAGCAAGAAAAATAAAACCAGAGTTCAGAGCTGTTAGGGTTTCCTTTTTGCTTTCAGAGAGGATGAGTAACATTTTTTTTTTTTTTTTGACACGGAGTTTCACTCTTGTTACCCAGGCTGGAGTGCACTGGCATGATCTCGGCTCACTGCGACCTCCGCCTCCTGGGTTCAAGCGATTCTCCTGCCTCAGCCTCCAGAGTAGCTGGGATTACAGGCATGCGCCACCATGCCAGGCTAATTTTGTATTTTTAATGGAGACGGGGTTTCTCCATGTTGGTCAGGCTGGATAACATTTTTATTTCCCCTCGCAAGTCCTTGGCACCAACATGGAGGACTTCTTTTTGACTGCTTTATTCTTCATGGCCTTTTCCAAGAGATTCAAATGCTCCTTATTCTTTAAGTGGGGTTCACTAGGTAGAGGCAAAGTCTGTCCCCACCATCTTTAAACTGCGTACAAGTTTGGAAGCCACCTGAAATCACACCCTGAGCGGGGCATACTTGTCCTGAGTAGTAAGCCATGGTGTCCTCTCCTCAGGGTGGGGAAGCAACACACACAATGCTAAAAATTAACACCAAAAACAAACACAAAGTCCGCCTTGTACTACACATGTGTGACTGATCCTCCCATTAACAGGAGTGACAAGCTTCTGAATTTTTAAAATGTGTTTCAGCAATCATATTGCAGAGGAAGCAATAAAGGAAACCAAGCTCAGATTCATTCACAGTTAATGGGGTACACTGAGCCTGGCAGCCAGTTCTCATGCCAGGACAGTGAAGGCTTGTGATAAAGCTCTTTCCTAGCTTTGGTAACAGGTATCAGGTTCTGGAGCCCTGGAGAGAACAGCAGATCCCAAGAGCGCATGTCATGTTTTCAACATTAGGTACTCTTCTAATTTCTCATCAAAAAGTAGGCGGCTCCCTAGAGCAGCTTATTTAGAGGCCAAGGGTGGCCTCGGATAGTTCTCATCATAAATCAAACATTACAGCTGCCAGGCCCCTTGAGGCTAAGCATTCTGCTGATATGCTCCAGATCAGAAAATTATTGTTAGGGACCTGTGACACTCACTCAGAATGTGACATGGTGGCCAACGGCTGGCCTGTCCTGAAAGCAGGGTCTCAACATAAGGGGCAGAGGGCTCTGGCAGCACCCCTGCCCACTTCAGAACCAGGCTAGTCTCTGGGGCCCTGGCCTCTCTGCAGGTGGCTGAGGGTGAGGGTGCCGGGACCCTAGACAGGCTTCACTACCAGATTCTCGGCTGACCCTCTCCAGGGGCTGGTGGGTCTCGCAGTACTGATGCTGCACTTGACTTTACCCTGGTCTCAGCTCTCCACAACACTCTACATGTAGATGCTGTTTTAGTTACTTGAAAAAGAAAAAACAAAACAAAACAAAAAACCAAAGCATTCCCTCTTCATTCTCCTGATCTGTTTTGTGCTGCCTTGCCCTTGTACCTTCTCTGTCCCTTCCTCAGCTGTTTCAGATTAAATGATAATCTGGTTCTAGGACATTCTGTAAGACATTCTGCCTGAAATTCAACAAACGCTAGAAAAGGAGAATAAATGAGATACCATGTCTGAAAAGAATTCAACATTTTAAAGTTGAAACACATTGGAGGGTTGCCTTTCTCACTCCCAAAGCAGCTCCCAGGGTCTGTAAAACTGCAAAGGTAAGTAGCTATTTTGTTAGTCACTTTGCATGTTTCTCTGAACTCAGAAGTTCTCAGGACCCTAATGCTGGAAGCACTCTGGAATTCTCCTATCCCCCCACCCTTTTACATCTCGCTCCCCACTCTAGCCCCCATGCTACTAGTGCCTCTGCAATGCATCCCCACACAGGGCAGCATCCCTTAGGAAGCTTGGAGAGGCAACCCTCCTTCACTGCTACTGGAAAGTTCTTGCATACAGCACATTACTAAAGAATCCAGGAAGTGGCTAGCATTATTATAAAGGAATATAGTAAGCAAGTCTGGCTCACTGACAAGCAGACCATATGAATAGAATACATACTTAAAAAAATTACACATACTTTAAAAATGAAGATTATAAACATGTAGCAGTTTAGAAAAGGCAATGTGCTACAGTCTACTATAACCACAATTGCACAACAATTTACAGATTCAGTAAAAGGCAGGGTGAAATCAACAGGGCCATCGCTCAAACATGGCAACCCAAGCGAGGCAGGAGACGTGTGACAATACCAAATGGAACTCTCATTATGCTAGGAGCTGTGATCACCACCAATATCACCCCCAGAGGAGTTATAAAGCCAAGGCGCACAAGGGGGCCCCTGGTGGCCGGTGGTGTGTGCAGGGGGTTGGGTGGCACGTCTGTGTTGGTGCCCACTGTCACGGTGCAAGCATCAGCAAGAACTCAAGCAGGGAAGTCTGTGCTGAAATACTAGCCTGTATTCCTAAGGCCCATGCATAAGGTTCCATTTTTGTACTGTACATGATAAAATATATTTATACATTTATATGCCTAATGCTTTTTATGCAAAGAAAAGAGTCTTCATATATCACTTTGGAGAAGTATGCATATACTGTGCTAATCAGAGCATCGTTATACCAATTTCTTATGTACCAAAGGTGGTCCCAACTATTCCGTCTACCAAAGAAGGTAACGAATATAATCACACTTTCCAGGTTAAACAGAAAGCACCTATACAGCACCATAACTTTTTGAAAACACAACAAAATGAAATCCATAGAAGCAGAAAAAAAAGTTAAAACTGCCCTATTTTGTACTTCCATTGAGTCACTTGTACAATTACAACCTAAGCTTATATTTAAAAAATCAGTTTGTATGCTATTGCCTCTCACTCATACACTTCTAGCAGATCAGATTATATAGCAAGGCTGAAAATAATCAAGGATGTGTATTTAGGAAAACAGTGAAGTTAGAACTGCCTCAGCATTGACTTGGGTTTTTACTCTTCGCACATTTCTCACTGCAAGCTTAATGCTCACCTGTAAGTTCATTTGTTCTGCAAAGCAAAACAGGACTTTTTTGTTTTTTTTTTTTTTCCTTTTCTTTCTCCTTAAAACTAAACCCTTTAGTGACATTTGGCAATGAGTGGAGAGCTGAGCTGATTTCTTTCCTGAAAATATCAATATTCTAGTTTCTAACCAGCAGACCAACACTGTTCACATTAGCTGAGGACACTGACAGGAAATCACAGGCCCTACTGATCTGGCACCCGTAGACTTGGTGCTGGGGTCCCGTCCACAGATCACCCTGACTCAGAACCGGAAACACACTGGGCCGGACGCTGTGCTCCACTCCTTTTGCCTATGCACGGTTCTGTCCTGGACGGGTGCACATAGCAAACAATTGTGCCATTGTTCAGTTTTTAGAAAAGGATAATTTTCTACCAAACAAAAGAAGAAAGAAAATCCCCCTTTAGTTTATGTAATTTGTTAGTTTATGGAGTTCCATGCGCTCAAAAGCTTGTGATGCTCGAACCCGGAATGGTAACTGGTACAACATTTTCTTTCTGTTTTTAAATTTGCTAGGGGAAGGACGGTTAACATTTTAACAGAAAAATACCGCAAGTTAATGCATGTGAAAAACTCAGAAAGTCAAAGGAAAACAAACACAAGAACAACACTTAAAACGTCCCATAAACCATCGCAATATTAAAACACCACAGAATGGCCGACGGGGGCTCACGGTGTGCTCTGAATGAGGGTGGGTGGTGCTGAGGGGTGCTGTCCTCCACTGGCAGGCGGCTCACCACCCTGTACAAGGAAGATTTTGCATACTTTTTAGAGTTCTGTTCCAAGGGTAAGTGCTTCACCCAGGGTAAGGGGCCATTAACAGTCTCTGCTGGGTTAGGAAAATGGCGTGGGATTCACAAAGGTGTTAAGCTGTAAACGGTATCACTGTCCACTTGCTGAGAGCAGATTTGGCAAAGGGTTTTCTCTGTAGGTCTTGTGTCAGTTTGAGGGTCTAAAGGAGGAGAAAAGAAAACCAGAGATCATTAAGGGCACTGCAACAGCAATAGTGGGCACCTGAGGGCCACCTGTCAAGGCCTTCCATCTCCCTCACCCACCTCAGAGCCCAGGGCTAGCACAGCAAAGCTGCTCTGCTACACCAGTTTCAAAGGTCTGAAATCCTAAGGACAAAGCACAAAGATTACTTACCTTATTTCTCATGTTGTCCTTATTACAAAATGCTCTGAAGTTGAAAAGCCCAAAGGGAATGGGATCATTCACTTTGGGAGATAAAGAAAGCCATATTAGGGGTGTTTTGGTGGGTCCTTTTTAGTTAGATGTTCAAGGTGCAGATAAGATTCTGTTCTAGACTTCCGGACTGAGGGATTTCCTAGGACATGGGACTTTCCATGCTAAAACAAGGAGAGCCGCTCATCCTAAGTAGATGAGTTATACTTTTCTGGTTCTTCCCTACTGGCTATGTGGACTAACTGAATTGCTTACCACCCTTTTCCACGAATACCCCAACACCAGTGGAGATGAAATGGCCACTTTCTATAAAGGCCTTAATAAGTCTGCAGTGCTGGGTGTGGGTAATCTTGACTCCCCTATTCCCCACCATAAAAAGAGTAAGTAATTACTAAGCGGGCCATCTTAAGAATTTAAGAAATGGGCCGGGCGCAGTGGCTCACGCCTGTAATCCCAGCACTTTCGAAGGCTGAGGAGGGCAGATCACGAGGTCAGGAGATCGAGACCATCCTGGCTAACATGGTGAAACCCCGTCTCTACTAAAAATACAAAAAATTAGCCGGGCGCGGTGGCGGGCACCTGTAGTCCCAGCTACTCGGGAGGCTGAGGCAGGAGAATGGCGTGAACCTGAGAGGCAGAGCTTGCAGTGAGCCAAGATCGCACCACTGCACTCCAGCCTGAGCGACAGCGAGA
The DNA here is from genome assembly GCF_000001405.40 of Homo sapiens. Taxonomy (NCBI): domain Eukaryota; kingdom Metazoa; phylum Chordata; class Mammalia; order Primates; family Hominidae; genus Homo; species Homo sapiens. The sequence continues at coordinate 108,678,900 of NC_000006.12, read as the reverse complement.
CTCCGTCTCAAAAAAAAAAAAAAAAAAAAAAGAATTTAAGAAATGGGGTCTTGCTATGTTGCCCAGGCTGGACTTGAACTCCTGGGCTCAAGAGATCCTTCCGTCTCAGCCTCCTGAGTAGCTAGGACTACAGGCACGCCAATGCACCTGGCTTAGGAATTTGATTTTTGTATTACAAATTTGGAGAAAAAAAATTACATAACACATATATGGACAAGAAATCCCCCATAAAACACCCCATTAACAATCAACAACATTATTATTATTCTGCCTCCAATTATTATTTTGTCTTCAATGGAAAGGCACAAAAAAGGTGCTCTTAGAGCATCTGAATTTATACAAGTCTTATCAGATGTCATGTGACCACTGGGCCCAGAAAAGTTAAGGGATTAAAAAAAAAAAAAAAAGTATATTCATAGAGCTGTCTTAATAGCAAAAGGACGTGACATGACAGACCTCCAGACATAAGATTCTTTGTTTATGGAGATAGTGTTGGCAGTTATGGTAGTAAAGAAACGGCTCTAGGCCAAGAAATGGATAGAAAAGTGGTAGTGAAACAACATGAACTCGTGCTTTTCTCTCCAGACAAGGTAAATAAGTAATGAAAAAAGCATCAAAAAACTCACACACAAAATCACATTATATACATCTGCTTCTCCCACCTTTAGAGGTTGTACCGTAGGGTCATCAGGAATTCTCATGAGTGTACTGTAACTTCAATCTCTTCTGTGACTCTGCACTTGCTGGCAATCTTACCTTTCACTCTCAATGTTTGCAAACACAGCAGGACTTAGTATTTACAATGTTACATGCCCATGGTCATATTTACTTATCCTTGTTAAAGCTCCAAATTGAAGAATTTAGGTTGTTTTACTGGAGGTAGGGACAATAAAGTATAAAAAGAAGCCTCTTTCTTCTTCCTGTCTATCCCTAGGTTTTAGTTTCCCTGGCTGATGGTTTTTTGGGGCATTCTTTGCTTTGTAAAGCTACTAGATAATATTACCTTGGACTATAAAATAATGGCTTGTTGATTCTAGAGGGAGTAAAAGCTGAAGTAAATACTAGATCTCAGCATCTGTGAAGACCGTAGCTTGCTAAAGTCAGTGCTATTCTAACTACTCTACCTTGCCCTGCAAAGTATGAATGATTAGATAGCGTTTCACAGGCACAGTCCTCTGGAAGAGGATTTGGTTTTTTCCCCTCACAATAACACTTAATAAACCACCATCCAACATCACTATGTGATCAGTCATCAGGGGACTCCCATCCCCAAGTCCCCATCCTGACTTACTGTAAGCGCCGAGGGAGAAGCTGTAAAGTACTACCTAATTCAGATCTCTCTCCAGTTCCCTTGGGTATTAATTATGCAGCCACAGAAGCCAGTGCATAATGGGAAGGTGACACACTTCATTCCCCAAGTACAGAGACAGGGAGTGTGGCTTGCTCCAATGTGGGCTGGGCCAACACAGCAGGAAAGAGGACAGAGGACACCCATGAGCCCCTAACAGAGCACAATTTTGAGCAGAACAGGCCATCACCCCAAAGCCAGGAGTAGGAGGCCCATGTGGGACAGTCTAAAGCACTAACCAACCACAGTCCCCAGGCTTAATATCCATTCCTTCATCAAAAGGCCCCAATCTTCAGAGAACTCCATTATTAAAAACGAGATGTGTGAATCACCACTTTCCCTTTCTGCAGATTGGGGTTGGGGTCACCTGTGAAGCTATGTTCTACAGCTTCCGCTGAGGTCCCCCAGGCAATGCCCTCCCAGGGAGGCCTGCTCAGGAAACCACCTTGGTGCTTATAGGCTGAATTGGTAGAGGATTTGGCCCAGGTATAGAGGCAACTCTTGCAGAGGACAAATTTAATACAGAAACTCCCACTCCAGAGAACAGAAAGGCCTTTGGTTTCCTCTGTGACAGAAGGAAAACAGATTGTAAAACACTGAAAATATAGAAGATAAATGTTGAACAGAAATACAATTAACCTTCTCAGAGGAACACCAGAATCACCATTTACAATGAAAACTGGGGTAATAAAAATAATCAAAAGGAAAGCAGCAGCTCATCTGTCTTAGATTTTTAATGGCTCTCCTGTGGCTCAATGTTTGTACATGCTTATCTGATTCAATCAAGGACAGAAAGAGTAGAGGGAGCATATTAAGTGATGAAACCCAGCTACTGAGCTGGGAAAGTCAATGATACTTAGCTTGGGTACAAGTTTCATGGGTTTTAAGAAAGCTCATGTCATTCTTAAATAGTTTAAAGTATGACATTTTAGTTATACGGTTATTTAGTTAACCGTGAGATTTATGTGTATGTGTCGATGCTCTTCTAGTTTAAAAACACATCGGATTAAGGGGCCAGGCATGGCGGCTCATGCCTGTAGTCTCAGCACTTTGGGAGGCTGAGGGGGGCGGTCCCTTGAGACCAGGAGTTGGAGACCACCCTGGGCAACATGGCAAAACCCCGTCCCTACCAAAAATACAAAAACTAGTCTCATAACCCGGTCTCAAAATAAATAAATAAAATTTTAAAATGCTGTAAGAAAACACATCAGATTAAGCAAAACTTTTGAAAAGAAAATGAAGCTACAGCTGATGGAATTGTAGTTTACTCTGCAAGTACTAGGCAATATGCCAATTAACAATAAATACAAAGATGCTGTTCTGTCCCATCAGTGACTTTCATTAATAAGGGAAGACGCCCTCTCTCCCCTCCCTGCCCAATAAACAAGTTTGAAATCAATTGCTGATACAAAGAAAATGAAATGGGGAGACCAAATAAATGATGAGGTCCATTCTAAAAATATCTACGGATGCTGTCATCTGGTCTCTGGTGAGAGCAAGTCCCTCTATAATCTTGGCATCTGTAGGGAAGACAAGTTTCTGCCTAATTATCACCATAAATCACATGATACTCTAAGAAAGGGAAATGCCTCCAAAAACTACACAAAACATAACAACCCCAATCAACTTTAATCTGGGAATAAAACATAAATGTTCCTACTGCTGTCCTCCCACAACTTAATCCACTGTGAAACATTTTTCAGTAGTGTTTTTATCTTCTGGGCAGAGAAGAACAGAACAGGACCCTAATACTAAATAGGACATGGAAGGAAAAAGAGATCATAAGTTGAAACCTTCACATTCACAAATCCATGAAGGTTATCAACTGTTTTCCTAGTTAGACAGAACTAGATGATTTGAGGAAAGTTTGCCCCACAAGCAAAAATAAAGTGAAACACCACTTTCCTCACTCTTTAAAAAGAAAGATAATTTTAGCCAAACTTTCAACCCCTAGAGCAAGCTGGGGACTAAATATGGAACACTTAGGAGAGATAAGGAATTGATATTAATGCAATCTGACAAGGAAGTCTCACATGGACTCCAGGAAGACAGGGTGTAAAACACAAGCTTGACTTGTGTAAAGGCTGCCTTGCACTGCCTCCCAGTAATTCCTGGGCTTGGTCAAGGCAGCAGGTGAACCAGTCTGGGAAGGCTGGTGACAAGGTCCTCCAGAGTCTTCGCCTCCAGGACACCTCAGAGCCTAGACCTGGAGTGGACTGCCCTTCCAGCCAGCCTTTGTGCTGTGCTGATAAAACCCAAGGGAGACACAGGGAGAGAGGTAGCCATCCTCATACTTCATAGCTGAGGGACAAAGGGCTGGGGGCCACCTGCTGGGAGGCACCAGCTTTTCTGTTGCTTAAATTTAGCGATTATTAATGGCTAAAATAAGTTTAAGAATGCCCTATCTTAAACTATCTGATCTATCCCTATCAGAGATAGGGACAGATAAATCCCTATCTCTGACTTTATGTTGAGGCAGGGATTATGTTAACCAATATTTTTCACATATCCAGAGTCGACTATGAATACTAATGTGGCAGAAATATGACAGGTATTGATTTACTGTCAATAGCAAAGTTGCAGAGATTTAGTATTTTCTTAAGATTCTCAGATTTGCAAACCACGTATAATAGTATGTACACTTTTAGATTATGTTCTTTTTAAAGGCCCAGTTTTTAGGCAAAAAGCCTTTAAAGGGTGTCTGGATCCTCTCTGAATTCATGGTTATTTAACTTTATTATAATATCCAAAACCCTTAGCTGGTAAAGGCCTGTGGGATCAGGTTCCACTGTCCTCATCCATGCTTTAAGGCCCACTACTGCTTCTGGGAACAAACCCTCCGCTTGTCCGATGGGTCAGGTTCAAAGACACTTTGCCTGGACGGCTCTTCTTACCACCCAGCAAATCACCTACATGTTCAGATGGCTCCTGCAGCCCCACCTTCCCTACGCTATCCTTGACTCAATTCTTAAGTCACTCACCTAGTATCTAATCATAATGTGCCTGAAATGGCAACTTTTTCAGGGACTTTGAGCTCCTAACATGTTGAACTCCTTGAAAGCTAAGCAAAGTCTTCAAATCAAATCAAACACTTATGGAGCACCTACTACTTTAAGAGCACTGTCTGGTATCTTCCCTCGTGCAGCACATATTCCAGTGAAAGAAACAACAGTTTTCTTGATGTCCCAAGGAACCTGGTAAGTTGAAAGTACTAAATGGATGCACTATAAATGTTGGCTGAATCAATCAAAGAACCATCCTCCTGGAAGAACCCTCTCTTCCTCTTTGCCAACTCAAACACTCAGCATCCTTTCATTGCAACTGCTTCCATGACCTACTCATATTTGCCAAGAGTTAGTCTGAGTCCAGGCAGAACCTACTGCCTGGTGGGATATGACCTAGGATTTGCAGTACTTTATGTGAAAAGGATGGTTTCCAATCATTCAATTTCTAAAACTCCTATTTCTTACAGATGAAATCAATACAAGGCACGATTTTAACATTCAACTAATTCTCAAGTATTTAATAAAAGGTTTATCTTCTCCTATCCTTTCTGTACATCCCACCATAGATATCCTTACCACCAGCCCCCAAATTAAGAGTCTTGCTACTCTAAGTTTCAAGCTGCTGTCAATAAAGTGATTCACCTTTTAAAAACAATAGGGAATTGTAGTACAGGAGGAAATGTTCAGTCATCAAACATGACCTGCATATCACAATGTTTATGTTTGCTGGGTGTGACCCTATCCTGTATGACTCTTCACTGCATTTACTGGGGTGTGTGTATGTGGGGGGCGGGGCAGGGATGAATGATAGGAGTGTGCAGGCTGGGATGCCCTAGATCCCTGGAGGGTGGGTGGAAATGCAGGTGTAATTGCCAGTCCATCTCAGGGTTTAGCTACCAAATACTGAAGGGAGGATCTCTAAAGCGCTCTTTTCCTGCTTTAGATACACAGGATTCTGAGAGACAATCTAATTTTTCCAAGTGATTCTGAAACTGAAAACACAGAATCAGCTAGTTGAGTTCTACAAATAGTCCAAACCACCTGTAAGGTATGACCAGGACACACAGGTGACACAGATGGTGGCCATGTAACAACCATCACACCAGTGCCACAGAGGAACTGAGAGGAACTCCAGGGTGGCTCCACAACTGAGGGAGACAAAGGAGTGCCCTGGCCAGGTGTGCAGATTCCGGTAGTGAGGGGAATCTGCGTGTGTGGCCCCGGTGGCCCTCTTCTTACAGCTTGGCCTGCACCTGCACCTTGGTGTAAGTGCCGGCTGGGGCTGCCTCCCATGGGGCACCCCACTCCAGCCAGCAGGGCAGTCTGAGTAGAACCTGACGAGTGGGGCAGGGAGTGCTTTGGCTTTTGTTACTCGGTGGGCAGGCAGCATTTTCAGGTAAACATTAGGGTCACCTTCCAACAGGTCTATCAGTCAAGACACTTTCTGATTACTTATAACTACGTTGGGCGGTATTGCTGTCTGATCTTTTTTGAACATACAAATGACCAATGAAAGCCCCAATTAATTACAGTGGCATATACAGAAATGAAGGCCTACTGGAAATTAACTGAAAATTTCGACCTCAGAATTCTTGGACTTCTACCTCTGGCCTTCTCTTCTTAGTCACTGATTTCCCCTGAAGAATCAAGTCAAACACTCCACACAAACAGAAACACATTTAAAAAAAAAGGAAACAAAAAAATCCCACAACCTTATGGCTCAGACTTCTTGCATCAGAGACAAAGCAGGAAAAGAAGAGGGAAGGGAGACGGAGAGAAAGAAGAAGAAAGAGGATGAGAGAGGAAGAGACAGGGAGAGGGAGAGGGAGGGAGAGAGAGGAGACGTACTGACATCCAAACCTTCAATCAAACCAAGACTGTCAATTACAGTTTTAGCCTTCAGAAACACTGGAATTACCCTCTGAGACTTCGTGACTAAGTGATACTATTCTTTAATAAACGAATGCCATGGATTTTAGCAAAAAATAGGTTATTAAAAAACAAAGCCGACCTAAAATTACAAACTAAGGTCCACATCTATTACTGAGCAGGAAAGACACAAAAGACCTGCATCCCAGTGTCCAGTGGCTCTACAGGGCGATGTATTTTAGTCCCTGGCCTGGCTGCTGCTTATTTAGAAGCGCTTAGAGAAGAACAGCCTATTTTTTTTCTGGGTTTTCACTCAACTTAGAATTCGAAGAGATGTTAAGGGTACAGTGACTGTCTTTTCTGAACCTCAAATTGTATCACAGTAACTAATAAGCGATAAACCACCAGCTCTGGGGAGACCCAAGGCCAGACTACTGCCAACACCATGCTATCATGTGCCAGTCTTTCTGCTCCAAGACAGCCCTAAGAGGGACTGCAATGGCTCTTTATCTCTCTGAGTGGCTTGGGATGACCGGCATTGGGAAGACAAAGATGGCATTGCCAGGTTCCTCCCAACAGCAGGAGAGGCTCAGGCTTGAGGCTCTAAGGCAGCTGAAAAGAGCAGGGTGGGGCATCTCCTTCAGCAGGACTTGCTGCTAGCCCCTGTGGACACCGATGGGTACCCATGCTAAGCAGAGCTGAAGCCAGACAGCTGGGACTTCTCAGGCGATCCTTTAAAGATGCTAATGGAGCACTTTGGATACCACAAACAGCTCTCCTCAACACCATTTGTAGCATTAGTTTCGTTTAACAGCCCCTTTAATGAGCACCCCCAAACTGGCAGGCAGAACTTCTAAGGGACATTGACTCTGGAAATAAAAGTTCTCACACCAACAGGTAACTGTGATCCCTTTTTAATGAAAAACCCAGGGGAATCTAGTTCACTGAGGAAAACAGTCACTCTTTCTGCCCATAGTTTAAGACTGGCGTGGCTGCTTCTGGCTTCCACTATTAACCTCTGGAGCTGTTTTAAATCACAATAAACATTAAATAACATGTTTAAAAAGGTGTCAAAAGACATTAGCCCATATCAGAGGTAGTCCTTCTAGGAGCTCTGTGAGGCAAGTTTTAATTTTAACCTCATTTTATAAATAAGCAAACTGAAACTGAGAGATGAGGGACTTGACTGCAGGACACACAGCCATGAAAAAGGCAGCCTTCTGCTGCAAGTCCCACAGCTCCTCTGCCATCCCACAGGATCTCACTTAACTTGGAGTGGGCTGCAGGGGAGGCTTTTTTAATCCACAGCTCCCTCAGAGCTGAGCCCCAGGGACAGTGTGCTGAAGTGGGCGGCTCATGTCCAACCGTGATGAACTCACCAGCTCTAGAAATCAAACATAAAGTGCTCTGCAGAGCTTTTAAAAGAAACCAGCATCTGGATTCAGCCTGAACTCTGACCTGTTAGTATGGAGCTCCTCAAGTCTTAGGGTCTGTGTTTTTGTGGAATAGACCATGTGATAATGGAACAGAACCCCTGAATGCAGGGGTGTCCCAGAAAACCAGGCACATCAGGCTGCCACACCACATGCACCTCTGCTCCAACCTTGTGAGGAAGGCAGTCTTTGGCTCTACGACAAACTGTCATCGCCACTGCCACCACTTTCTCCACTAGGCCACGCATTCTTTAAGGGAGGGACCCTTTTTACCCACTTCTATCCCCTGTGCCCAGCAGGTACTCAACAGATGAACTGTGCTTAATGATTTCAGGCCTTTCTTGAGCACTTCTACCAACACGGGCCTACCACTTTGCCGGGCAGCTAGCCCATGCATGGATATGGCTGAGAAACACTAGATATATGACAAGGTCATACAAAAAACTCAGCAAGAAAGGGAGGAGAAGGGCAAAGAAGCCCTGTCTCCAAGGGGGTGCTGACTCCTTTCAGCAAAACTCTAGGACAGCATTTCTTAAGGGGGTTCCTTAGAACACTGGTGCTATGGTTTCTTGAAGAAAAAGGATTTGATTCAAGATATCAAACACATTTAGGAAACACTGCATAACATATCCTACCCTAAAAAGTTCATAATGTGTATTAACCTTTAAGGCTCTGAGAAGTTCTCTTGGAAATAATGCAATTTCTCTTTGTTTAACATGGTATTTCTTAAACTTATTTGACCACAGAATCCATTTTCCATTTCACTATCTTGAGGATCTATGACTATCTTGAGGATCTAGTATTCCGAGAAACATTTTGAGAAACATTGACTTACAGGACCTCTAAATACTAATTTGCAAAACACATTTTAAATTCATTTTAGTTTCTGAAACTTTAAACTTCAAAACAATTTGGAGGATTGGGGAAAGCAATACTTTGAAATTCAATGAACACATCAACAAAACCAGGGTGAAGCAGGTGGTGTCTCCTGCAAGGTGGAGAATCTCCATCTTGGGATGAAAGTCCAGTAAATATGTGTCTCCAAGTCAGGGAAGAGAAAGCAGTCAGCAAACATTCTCCCACTTGGCCCAAGACCAAGGAGGACCTCTAGGAGGCAATCTCTCCAGCAATGGCAAAGCGGATCCCAGAAAGCCCCCTTCTCCCATCTCCATATAGAAAGATAAGCCTGTGAGAAGCACAGGTGGCCCCTGGGGGAAGACTCTACTGATAGAAAATGTTGTTTACAAGATGCTGCTGAGCATTATGAACACTCTAAGTTATAAATAGTAATTCTGGTGATTTTCACCCTGTTTGTGTTCTACATGAGCTCTCTGGACAGAAGAGACCTTCCAGAAAGCTGTTTATAAATACAACTGCTTGAAGGAGGAGCCACTCAGGCTCTGTCTCCATGCTTAGCAGGCTGGCCAGAGGTGAAAACAGGTGCATTTTATAAAACCAACAGGCCCAGGAAGAGCAGCCTTCATGCTAAATGTCACTGCTTTCCAGGAAAAAACAGCGTATGTAGCCAGTGTACCAGCCTCTGCAAAGAAAACCCCTTTTTATGGCCATATCAATTTTCTCTCGCGCTCATCGACACTAAAAAGATCCCAACATTCTCTCCCTGAATGACAGTTCAGACTTTCGGCTTTTTTTAAAAGGTAAGAATAAAGATCCCTGAAGATGCAGAATTCTTCAGGCTAGCATACTATAACCGAAGACTATAGTCATAGGTACAAATAGCAGAATATATTCTCCAGGTAATTCATAACAGATTCATATTTATCAGATGTTACATTCCCTAAAACAGAAATATCTACATCAATAAAAAACACGATACAGTCTATATTACCTGTATTTGGTTAGAATTAGTCCTATCCCCAACATAAATTTTAAAGACATACTAGAATCACAGCATTCAAACATCAGTCAAACAAGCATCAAAGATTTACTCCTTTTGGGAAGTAGCCTACACGTAAATTCCAAATGGCTTCCAATACTGCAGCCTGCTGATGCCACACTAGTACACCACTATTTCTTTCTAGCTCTGTATCATAACATAGACTTCACCAGGTCCATTTCACAGACAAAATGTTAGGGTTCAAGTTTATTTAGTTTTTATTTTTTTTATTTTTTGAGACGGAGTCTTGCTCTGTCACCCAGGCTGCAGTGCAGTGGCGCAGTCTCAGCTCACTGCAAGCTCCGCCTCCTGGGTTCACGCCATTCTCCTGCCTCAGCCTCTCCGAGTAGCTGGGACTACAGGCGCCCGCCACCACGCCCGGCTAATTTTTTTGTATTTTTAGTAGAGACGGGGTTTCACCGTCTCGATCTCCTGACCTCATGATCCACCCGTCTCGGCCTCCCAAAGTGCTGGGATTACAAGCGTGAGCCACTGCGCCCGGTCTTCAAGTTTAAAATTATACATACTATGCACCTTTAAAACTTGATGAGGCTGTCTTCTTTTGACAAATGAGAAACCTAATATTCTACAAGATTGAGTGATGTGGCAGAGACAAGAAGTGAACCACCCCTCCCCTCTCCATCTGGGCTTTTGCTGGTGGATGCTTCCCAGTCTTTATGTAAAGTACTTTAAACTAAATATTGGGCTGCTCCCTAATGGTGTCTCCAAATGTCAAAAGATGAAGATGAATGAAAGTTTGTGAATGCAGGCATCTTTGATATCAAATTAAGGTGAGACTGAAGCTGGTTTCCCTCAGAGAGGACACATGTCGAACTCAAGAAGGCTTACCGGAAGCTCGAGCTTGCAGCACCACACCAGCTCATGACCATCTCTGCCACCAACTGTAAGCACATGCACCAAGCTTTATGAACACCTGAGAGAACACAGTGCCCTTCACGACCCAGCAGCCAGCCCTCCAAAAAAGTATGGCTATTTTTTCTTTTCCAGATAGACCTAAGGGTCAAAGAATTCTACACGTGGTCTAAAATGAATGACGTGTGAAACACCCAGCCCGCCAGAGAAGCATCTTGCTGCAGCTCCCCAGCAAGACTGCCTGTCAACTGAGCAGACCGCTCCATTAACACAAGGCGGCTCAGATTCAGCATCACATGACCTTCTTCTGTGAGCAAGCCAGGAATTCAGTCTGGAGAAACACTAAGAAGTTAAACCAAGAAAGTTATTAGAGAGCAACTCTTGGGAAGCTGGGACAGTTAATTTGAGAGAAGCAGGGTGTCAGAGTCTGACCTCAGCCTCGTTCTGTGAATTTAGGAGAGTCTTCAATGAAGTGACAGTCACAGTTAAGTTTTAAAGTAAAAAATACACTTCAGGTTGCATGTGCTCCTGGCTGCTGAAAGAACAATGGATTCTAAGCAAAAATGGAAATCCTAAACCAGAAACTAGATCCCCTCACAGCCCCCACTGTCCTTTGGATGGTTCTTTAAATGCTCTGTGGTCATACTGAGCTAGTCTACTTTCAGGAAAATTTGGTGACTTTTCATTTTTAGCTGAAGAAGTTATCTTCTCAAAACAACCTCCCCCAAAATATTCTGAGGCGAAGATGACCCTAAAGCTTCATTAGGATATAACAATGAAATGCATTATCCTCAATGCAGTCATTTATTATCATCACCAAAATCAGAGTTCACCAGATAAACTTTAAAAATCTAAGTATTTAGATCTCCCTTAATTTTCTGTACAATCCTTTAGAATTACACATATACGAGAAAGATCTGCTGTTCAACCAAAAGGGAAACCAACACTTGAAAAATCAGACAAAAACTGATACTACATTGTCTTCTGAACACATATTTTCCAACGAACTAGAAAGTGGCCTCCTTACAATTACACTCAAATTAAAACTTACTTGTGTCTTTAAAAGCCTATTTTTAAAGGAAGACAAACCATTTATTCTTTTAAAAGCCAAACATCTACATTTCTAAAGACAAATCTTCCATATTCTTCTCCTTAAAGGAAGACAAACTAGTCTTCTAAAGGCCAAATATCTACATTTCTGAAGTCAAATCTCCACTAGCCCAAGTTCTGGTATGGAACTGAGCTGGCTGGCATGGAAGTACTACCACCCTACTTAGCTTCCATTACAGTCTTTTCACCATCTCAAGGGCTATTAAATGACTGAAATCAGATATCTGAGTTCCATTAGGGGTCTCTTAGGCCTGAGAAAGTTGAGAGGCTTTAGCATCACAACACTCTTAACATTCCCCTTTCTGCAACCACCCGTGAGCTGGAGTGAGCTCACCATAGGAGACCCTTGTTAAGTCCTTCATCATGGCAGAGGGTTAAACAAGGCTCAAGTTTTTACAGCTTTGAATTCCCTTGCTTTTTACACCACTTAAAGAAGCCTGTAAGTAGCTTGCTGAGACTAAAACAAAACAAAGCAAAAGGGCTGGGGCACGGAACAGAACCTGTTAACATCGAGGTGGCTAGGGGTGCAAACCTGTTGGTAGAAGATCCCAGTGTTCATCTTACTTCTTGAGGAGGAGAGTTTTTAGGGAAAGCTTGTCTATCATCTGCTACTTTGACTCCAGTTCAGGGCACTTCCCTCCCCTCCCCGCTTTTTTTCTAACCAGCTAGAGAGAATAAGGAAGAACTACTATGGGGGTTCAAGCCATTTAAGAAATGAATCTAGGCCGGGCACGGTGGCTCACGCCTGTAATCCCAGCACTTTGGGAGGCTGAGGCGGGCGGATCACAAGGTCAGGAGATCGAGACCATCCTGGTGAACACAGTGAAACCCCATCTCTACTAAAAATTAAAAAAAAAAAAAAATTAGCCAGGCGTGGTGGCGGGCGCCTGTAGTCCCAGCTACTCAGGAGGCTGAGGCAGGAGAATGGCGTGAACCTGGAAGGTGGAGCTTGCAGTGAGCCGAGATCGCGCCACTGTACTCCAGCCTGGGAGACAGAGCAAGACTCCATCTCAAAAAAAAAGAAAAAGAAAAAGAAAAAAAAAGAAATCAACCTAGCTCTGTAACCTTGGGCAAACTACTTAACCTCTCTGGGCTACCTGCTTGCCCATTTGTCAGTATACCTAGTTGCATGGTACATATTTCAGCCTACTGCAGTTTCACATGCTTTAGTGCATTTGATTCTTGTAATAACCCTGTGAAGTAATGGGGGCTATTATCCTCATTTTATAAAACTGGAAGTTGAGACTCAGAGACCTAAGACACAACCATAGTGGTAGCAAGAAAGTGGTAGAAGTGGGCCTGAACCTCAATTCCTGATTTCAATCAAATGCTTTTTCTTACATCACACTGCCTGATCTTTGTGGTTCTGAGAACATTAAAATGCCACAATTGAAAAAATCTCCATCACCATTCACAACCTGTGTCACTCTATGTTTGGAAACTGCTGATATCATTTATAGTTTGGTGAACAAGCAGAAGCACACGAGTAAGTACTCCCTCATACAAACACCTGTGTTTTCAAATTAATTTTTTGGCTTTTTTTTTTTTTTTTTCTAAGAGATAGGTTCTTGCTTTACCACCCAGGATGGAGTGCAGTGGCACGATCATGACTCACTGCAGCCTCAAACTCCTGGGCACAAGGGATTCTCCTGAGAAGCAGGGGCTACAGGTATGTGTCACCACACCCAGCTAATTTTTTAAGTTTTCTGTAGAGACAGAGTCTTGCTATGTTGCCCATGCTGGTCTCTGACTCCTAGCCTCAAGCAATTCCTGCTTCAGTCTCCCATAGTTGTGGGATTATAGGCGTGAGACACTGTGCCTGGCCTCTTACTTTTTTAAAGGTTTAGCTCTTGAGTGCTAGCTAATAAAGATGCTTAGTACTAAGATAAAGAATAATTAACAGATTTTGCTTCTGTTAGAAATATTCATATATGAAAGAGTCTAGAATACATATTCTGCAGGCAAATTAGAAGTACCTGCCGATCATTACTTTACAAGGAAAAAAAGATGAAGAACATGTAACACTGAAGATTGACAAAAGCGGTGACGGACCAGAGAGTCTTTCTAGGAAAGCCCTTTGGCTGGGATCCTTAACCCTGAAGTACGACCCAAGCTTCCCATCCCTCTCCTTCTCTTCTCATCCATCCATCAAGTAGGGCAACCTGCGTCACAGGCCAGTGAGGACAACTGGATGCAAAAAAAGAATGCGATCTCTGAATGCGTACGTGTTCTCTTCACGAGCAGTAGATTTCTGAACTATCAGCAAACTGTGCGGGGGAAGGGGGGCACCTGACAGCCCTATTTGGTTTGCAGGTAAAACCCTGAGATGGAACTGGCTGGGAGCCATATTATGTGCACCACTGCTCCATGGTTTTCAGTGTGGAATAAAGTTCAAAGTAAAGAGAAGACAGGCTCCCCCAGAGATCCCCCCTCATCCCCATATTGTTATTTTTATGCCATAGCATTCGGCACTGACCTGCTTTGCCCACTTCCCCTTCCTCAGTGATCCTTCAGCCTGGCACCCAGCTCTGAGATGAGGCCTGCTTAGCACCAGTGAAGTTCCCCACGTTCAAACCAACAACATTCTGTGTGGAGATGAGGGAATCAAAGTTAAAATCCAACCCATCAGCATCCATGAGTTCACTACGGATAATGGACTCCATGTCACATTCCAAGCTCCCATTGAACATGTCCAGGTCCAAGTCGCTGGGGAACTTCTCATGGCCCATGACGGGCAGGTTTGCACTAGTTGAGTACAAGGAGGAGCCTGAGAGAGAGTCCGAGAGGGTTTGCATAGACTGGCTGACAGGAGACTGCTGCTGGTGTTTGGCTGACCCAAGGCTGCTGGACTCACTCAAGCCCATGTTGCTGACAGAATTCGACAAGGCACGGCTGCCACCAAGAGCGCCCTGGGTTTGGTGCTGGTGGTGGAGCAAGTTCTGATTGACCAAACTTCCCTGGTTAGGCTGGGCAGCAAAGGACATCATCGGATCATTGCGAAGCATCACGTTCCGGCGGGAATTCTGGGCAGACACAGCGGTGCTGGCCTGAGACATCAAGGGGTCCGACTGTGTCATCATGACATCGCTGTGGCTAAGTGAGTCCGAAGTGAGCAGGTCCTGGAGTGTCTGGTTACCATAGTGTGACATGGAAGAGAAGGTAGCTGGCTTGTTCTCTTGGATGGTCTGCATGGGAGACTGGCGTAGGGAGTTCAGAGATGAAGGTCCGAACACCGTGCTGTTAAAGGAGCTGGTTGGGGAGCCCAGGCCCGAGCCCTTGGTGGTATACGGGAAGCTAGAGCTCCGCTGCATGAGTCCCCCAGTGGGCGATGGCTGGGATGGCGGGAGCGTGATGTTATCCAGCAGGTCGTCCATGAGGTTTTCAGTCAGCCCATCATTCAGATTCATGGTGCCTGCCATATCAGTCAGCCGTGGCAGTTCCACCGTGCACGGCTTGCTTACTGAAGGTGACAGGCTGGCTGAGCTGCTGTAGAGCATGGGCGAGAGAGGCGCATCATCGTCCTGGACTTCATCCAACTCTGTGCTTGCCATGATGGGCGACAGGCGGCCACTGACTGTGCTGGCGTTAGAATTGGTGCGTGAACGGAAGTCCGTCCACGCATCCAGCTCATCACTGCTGCGTGACGTGGGGCTGCCAGGCCACTTGGAGAGCTGGGAGGGACTGTCGTCAGCTGATTCGGGGGCTGTCTGCAGGGCTGCCTTCTTCTTGGCTGCGCGGCCACGGCTCTTGGTATACTTGTTGCTATTGTCCATGGAGACAGCCCGCCGCCGGGGGGCTTTTCCGCTCTTCCCCCCATCAGGGTTGATGATCCACCAAGAGCTCTTGCCAGTTCCCTCATTCTGGACCCGCATGAATCGACTATGCAGTGACAGGTTGTGCCGGATGGAGTTCTGCAGGGAGAAAAGAAAATACAGAGTATGAACCAGAATGGTCCAAAACCGAGCACCCAGATGATATAGTAAATCAGACTCCTCATTCATTTTTTATTTTATTTTTTTGAGACAAGGTCTCACTCTGCTGCCCATGCTGGAATGCAGTGGTGCAGCCTCAACCTCCTGGGCTGAAGCGATCCTGAAGCACCTGTAACTGGGACTACAGGCGCATGCCACCAAGCCCAGTTAATTGTTGTATTTTTTGTACAGATGGGGTTTTCCACGTTACCCAGGCTGGTCTCAAACTCCTGGACTCAAGAGATCCTCCCACGTTGGCCTCCCAAAGTGCTAGGATTATAGGCATGAGCCACCGTGCTGGCCAACTCCTCATTTTTTAAAGCTGCCTCAATTTCAAAGGTTAAAAAAAATCCATCCTAATTCAAAAAGACACATATATGCATGACCCTCTTTGAGAATAAAATGACATGTTAAATGGCAGTTTTCATATCTAGGGGGAAGGGAGATGATTTCATGTCCAAGAGATGCTGGGAATAGATAAGCTCACTGATAGTAGTTTTCCTCAAATTCCTGGCCTTTCTGTAATTATATTGCCCATATTGAAAGGCCCCTAATTACTGGCCTTTCTGTAATTATATTGCCCATATTGAAGTTCACACTTGGAATTTACTACCACACTCCTCTGTCCCCTGCACTTTGCAACAAACTTCCCCGGCTCTCTAAGGGTAATTAATCACCTGGTGGAGGGCTATTTTATTTTCTCATGGTCCCCTCCTCCACTAGTATAGAGGCACAACGTCTACCTTTTCTTAACTACTTCTGTGAATGAAGAACCGATGAGAATTTTTACCTAACCTTTCTATGACTCCATCTCATCCTGCCAGATTTTACACCTTACCATGTAACTCTTGCAGACATAAGAAGTGTAGAGCAGGATTTGCCAGGTTGATTAGAGAAGTAGGCAAGTCTCCCATTCAGAAGAATTCAAATAATTTATATAGACACTTGCCTGTCAAGTTAGTGTGGGCTGAGCATAGTAACTTCCTTAGAAAGAGTACAGTATGAAAAGGGGGGAAAAGAGCAACTTTAGAGTGGAGAAACTGACAAACACTATTTCAGTAGGTGATCGGGGTCAATATCTACAAGGATAAGATGAGCTGATAATATGTACCCTTGATATGACATGATGAGAATGGCACCT
This sequence comes from Homo sapiens, assembly GCF_000001405.40. Taxonomy (NCBI): domain Eukaryota; kingdom Metazoa; phylum Chordata; class Mammalia; order Primates; family Hominidae; genus Homo; species Homo sapiens. Next base: position 108,662,253 of record NC_000006.12, on the reverse strand, counting down.
TCTGTGGTCTGCCTTCCAAAGCCCATAACCTCAGTCTAAGCATGAGAAAGACATCAGACACATTTCAATTAAGGGACATTTACAAAATGCCTAGTCAGTACTTCTCAAAATAGTCACAGCCTAGAAGAGCCTAAGGAGATATGACGGCTAAAGGTAATATGGTATGCTGGATGGAATCCTGGAACAAAAAAAAACATTAAGTGAAAATGAAAGAAATCTGAAGAAAGTAAAAACTTAAGTTAATAATAATATATCCATATTGATTCATCAGTTGTGACAAATGTCACATACTGTAAGATGTTAACCACAGGGGAAACTTGATATTGGGTGTATGGGAACTCTCTACTATCTCTGCAACTTTTCTGTAAATTTAAAAGTATCCTAAAATAAATATTTACTTAAAAAGTAGGGCAAAATACCCTCAAAACTCCATCTTGCAAGAATTCTCCTCCTGGCTTGGCAAATACACCCAGTTGACAGTGATGACCCAGATTCAGTCCTATCTCTGCCACTGACCAACCATGTGACCCTGAACAAATCTAATTTGTCTGCAACAACTGCAGTTCCCCACCTTCATTATGGCTATAATCATATCCAAACCATCTCTGTACAGGGATGATGTAAGGGTGACACATGATATATTTCAGAAGCCAGTCATGCTATGAAGTCAGGGTGTTCTTATTGCTATTATAAAACACAGAGTCCATGGTGGAGAGAGTTCATGGCCTGCAGCAGGCTCATTCTAATCTGTAAAATGCCTCCTGCAGTAAAAGGGAGGAGCTGATGAATCTGTATGCTCCACATCCGGAACAGTACCTGCAGGCCAGATGAGTTTTTATTTGCACGTTAAAGACAAAAGATACTCCTGATGCTACTGTCCATATATTAAATATGGACAATCCTAAAAGTTATATATACATATATATATATTTGTTTAAATTGGCAATCACGAACTGTATTCATGTAGAAGATACAAACACATGCTTCTACCAGAATGTTCCCCCCGCCGCCCGAGACAGAGTCCCACTCTGTCACCCAGGCTGGAGTGCAATGGCTTGATCTCGGCTCACTGCAACCTCCGCCTCCAGGGTTCAAGTGATTCTCCCACCTCAGCCTCCCGAGTAGCTGGGGTTACAGGTGCGTGCCACCACACCTGGCTAATTTTTGTATTTTCGTATTTTCTTTTTTTTATTTGAGATAGAGTCTCGCTCTGTTGCCCAGGTTGGAGTGCAGTGGCGTGATCTCGGCTCACTGCAAGCTCTGCCTCCCAGGTTCACGCCATTCTCCTGCCTCAGCCTCCCGAGTAGCTAGGACTACAGGCACCCGCCACCATGCCCAGCTAATTTTTTGTATTTTTAGTAGAGACTGGGTTTCTACTTGTTGCAAAGTGCAGGGGACAGAGAAGTGTGGTAGTAACCCTGTCTCTACATCGTGTTAGCCAGGATGGTCTCGATCTCCTGACCTCGTGACCCACCCGCCTCGGCCTCCCAAAGTGCTGGGATTACAGGCATGAGCCACCATGCCCGGCCTAATTTTTGTATTTTAACTAGAGACAGGGTTTCACTATGTTGGCCAGGCTGGTCTCAAACTCCTGACATCAAGTGATCTGCCCACCTTGGCCTCCCCACCCAAGTGCTGGGATTACAGGCATGAGCCACCACGCCCAGCCCAGAATGTTTTAAAAACACAGAATGTCAGCAGGATTTTACCATTAGTAAATAATCCAAAATACTATGCTTCACATGTAGGAAGGGCCTGTAGTTCAGGATAGGCAATAAGCATTAGCAATCATGGGTCATAAGTTGGCATTTCTACAACTGCGTTTGAGAGAAGAACATAAGCAACATGCTGAGTATCTGATAAGGCAAATGTTGCCCAGGAGACTATATATCCTGATTCCTTTTACGGTTTTTAAAAAGAATAATGGCATCTCTACTAATGGTCCGGATAGTACACTTCTTTAAAAAGTAAAACAATTTCTCTATGCAATAGGTATGAAGCATGCTCTCAACATGTACTCTGCAGTGTTCAGAAAGCAGGCAAGTACAGGTGGATCTACAATTCAGGTCACTAGATATATTAAATAAAAACAAACTCAAGCTTCTAAGTGAAAAAACACGGAGGTCCCGAGGCTAAATGGAAATGTGGACACCTACCCTAAGTACTCCCACTCTGTCCAGCCCCCTCTGCGTTAGATTCTGGAAGGAGATCACACCAACACACAGAATTAACTAGAATGACCAGTCAAGTATTCAGCTATACCCCCTTAAAAAGCATTTAGGGAACAATATTTTAAAATGTACTTTAGCATCACCAATTCCAACCCAACTGAGAAAAAGTGTGAAACATCTTATAGAACTGCAAAATGCCCCACATAAATTTTCTGATGGCCATCTATCACAATTCTAACCTCCAACAACGTATGCGTATAGTTTTATAAAATTAAAAGCTACACAGGGTTAAAATCTGGACACAGATATTAAGCTTCTACAAGGGCATGTGGTAAAAAGGGGCTGGAACACCCACATCCAGGGCCATAACCACAGGGTGTTCGGGTGGGAAAGGACAATGGAGACTGCCCACCCACCCAGGTCCCCTAATTGCAAGGATGACAGTGCCTGCCAGATTACAGCACTGTCAGTTACTGAGCCAGAGTGTTTTAGATTCATCGTCTCTAATCCTCATAATAAACCTGCAAGAATTAGTATGTCAGTGCCCTAATTTTATATAAGAAGACTCAGGCTGAGAGATATTAAATAACTTAATGCAAGGTCCCACAGCTACTGTTCACAAGAGCCAAAACTGACACTGGGTTTCCTAAACTCCAATGCACTGCTTTTTCTACAACCTTTCATATAGGCCTCTTACCAAATTATGCAGAAGTCACCATTTAATCTACTTGGGCTAACAGTTAAACAGATTATCTAAAGAATCATTTCACATTTAAGAAAGAATAGGAATATAAAAGCACAATCTTACTATTTTAATTTGTTTATGAAATAGTTACGGGTATTTGGTGGGCCCTTCCTAAAAAAAAATTTTTTTTTAAGATTTTAAAAACAAAGTCTGAGCCAGGCACAGTGCCTGACGCCTATAATTCCAGTACTTTGGGACACTGAGGCAGACGGATCGCTTGAGCTCAGGAGTTCAAGACCAGCCTGGGCAACATGGCAAAACCCTGTCTCTACAAAAAATACAAAAATTAGCTAGGTGTGGTGGCATGTACCTATAGTCACAGCTACTGGGGAGGCTGAGGTGGGAGGATCACTTGTGCCTGGGAGGCTGAGGCTGCAGTGAGCTGTGATTTCATCACTGCACTCCAGCCTGGGCGACAGAGCACAGCCCTATCTCAAAAAACAAACAAACAAAAAAACACAAAAACCCCAAAAAGCAAACAAAAAAAAGTCTTTCAGAAGAGGAAACCTCAAAGTATGAGCTTATTCTATAGGACTTACTTGTCTTTCTTTAGTAAAGTGGCCATGATCACATTCATTCTAAAGAGGACAGTGGATACCATACAAACCAATGTTGGCCAGGCACGGTGGCTCACACCTGTAATCTTAGCACTTTGGGAGGCCAAGCGGGGATAGATCACCTGAGATCAGGAGTTTGAGACCACGCTGGCCAACGTGGCGAAACCCCATCTCCACTGCACTCCAGCCTGGATGACAGAGTGAGATTCCGTCTCAAAAAAACACACAAAAAACCACAACCCTCCCACCCCCAATATTAACTACTCTTAGATTCTGAAACAAAGCCCAACTTATTAAATAGATGATTAGCTTCAATGGCCAATCTTTGCTTGACTCTCAGTTTAGAGGTTTCTTAGTGGCAGAATGCATTCCCTGGAGCCTATTACCTACAGAAAGTTCAGACAGGTTTTTCCAGTTACATTACTAAGTCAACACAAACAAAAACTGTGCCACCATCATTCTCACAGTCCCCAATCTCAGCAGCCTTCTATTCATACAGGGTGGCCAGCCTTCCATTGACAAAATCCATAATCTGAAGGTAGGGCATTGACAAAGGCCAACAAATATGGCTCATCTGTCCATTTCCAGTTCAAACGCCCAGTTACCCCTCAAAATCAGATGCCAGAAATACATTCTGTTTTCCTCACAGGTCATGATTCTGATTATAGTTAATCCTTGTTATACGCAGGGGACTGGTTCCAGGACCATCTGCATATAACTAAACCTGTGCATACTCCACTCCACAGTCAGCCCCGCAGAAGAAACTCACATGTAAGAGCCAACTCCCCCAGGCCCAGAGGGGGGTTTCACATCCTGGGAATGCTGTGTTTGGTTGAAAAAGAGCTCTATGTAAGTGGACCTGTGCAATTCAAACCTACATTGTTCAAGGCTCAACTGTACTAACTTCTCTACTTAAATGTTGGTAAAGCAGGAAAGGTAAATAAATAGATGCCAGATAAAATACCAGAACTCCAATGTTTCCCCACTTCTTCCCTGGTATCAAAAATTAATGGTGATACAATTTCTGTAATATTTCAAATGTCCCTCCTGCCACCTCAATCCCAGGAAAACTATCATTACAAATATTCTATGATTTTTCACTAATTCGTATGTCACCTTACCAAATAGTCTAAATTTCTAACATTTTACATTAGTTTTGGGATTGGGAGCTGAAGATAAAAAAGGACTGGCTTGACAGAACGAGAATGATTTTTCTAATCACATCTAAATACACATTTTGCTATACCCTTTGAGGCAGGCCAATGGTAACTGGCTGAAGAACTAGGGATGTGCCTTCCTTAAGGCTAAGATAGTAAGGTACGTAATAACCAAGACACCTACTGCTAGAGCTCAGGCAATTGTCACAGTTACTCACTAAAGAAGCTAAGAAGCTACTATGACCCCCAAACCCAAAATCATGTGATTTAAATTCAGTACTTAGAAATCAAGATTTTGATGAAATTACAAGAAAGAAAGATCTCTAGGAAAAAACTTCAGCTTCAGGGACAAATGTACCAGCTTGTCCCCAACGTGGGCCGAAAGGTTTAAAGAACCCTTAAAACACCTCTATCACAATGTGTCTAAAGAGAGTGCAGTGGTAAGAATACTCTTTATTTCATTTTTATGTCCATCTTCTCTTTTACAAAACAATTTACACTGAAGGAAGCCCTGCACTGGGGCAGAAACCCGTTAGGTGTAGTTAATCAGTTACAGAACTGGCAATCAGTGGCATAACCCTTCCAGGAGGCAGGTGCAATAGGTGTGTGAAGGAGGCAGCATGATGGAATTCACATTTCACAGTCCTGCTGCCTAGAGATTCCTTTGTTTGGTCCACCTTGAATAAATCAGCATAAAGATGACTGCACCTAGCAGAATCTGGCAATTATTTTTCTTGTTATAATGAAGACCGTTTTCTATTGCAAGATACAATTATTGCTAATACTAAAGTATCCATGATCTCTACATACATGCTAACTGGTTGTGAAGACACATGGACCCCAAACAGATCAGATTAGGTGTGAGAGAGAAGCTTCCTGAAATGAAAAGTATTCCACCAATAATTTACAAAGGGGATAATTCCCACAGGCAGGATAAAAACATTCTTTGACTATCTCTTGGCTCTTTGGGAAGATTAAATAAAGCTCTGCATGCAAACTACTCAGTGAAGTGCCAAGTACAAAAGCAGCTCCCAACAACTGTTAGATCCCACACGGAAGCAGTGACATCATAAATGTTAACTTACTGTTTTCCGAGCATCATATACTTTAAGCCAAAAGGTTCCAGGGCGGCCCCTTCCAGGAAAGGATTTCAAACTTTAAAAAAGTATTTCAGAGGTGCCGTGCCAGTCAGAAGTAACTGGTAATTTCTTAAATTTTGTACCCTACGTCCGCTTCAGCCCTTCCAAACCATGTTTACCTTGTGGAGACTGTCCACTCACCCAGACACCAGCTGCATGTGCTTCCCCTGGAACACAGAGAGGTTTTTGTCTGGAAGCAACATGTGGTATCAATTTATCTTTCTCAGCAACGACAACAAGAAATCTGCTCACTTTAAAAATAAAAAGCGAGTTGTGTAATTTAACTCTTAAAAGCCCCTGCTTTTTTTTTTTCTTTAAAGACAACCCCCTCCTCTCTCTTTTTTTTTTTGAGGTGGGGTGGGGTGGGGTGGGAGGAGGACTGTCTGGAGCAGCAAAATGAGTTATGGTTAACTCCAAAGCCAGGCCCACTACTTCCCACCAGGCCGACTGCAGGCGTCTCCTGGTCCTTACAAGGAATTTCAGGGGAAAGCACTGGAAAGGACTGTCTTTCAATACAGTGCTCACCCACTTTGTGTACAGGACCAGCATTTCAAGTGGGTCTCACTGCTTGACTTGTGGGTACTGACAATTCAGAATGAGGTTGCCAAATGCCTGAATTCTAACATACGCGTCTGCTGAACCACAGATGACAAAGGTTTTTTGAACAGCCCAATGGAACCCCAATTCACAGGGAGACCCAGAGGTCTGCGTGCCACAGGAGAGCACTGCAAACAGCTAGCTTCAGGAGCAGGCCCGGGTGGGCGCCTTCGGTGTATAATGACAGGATCTTTCAAAGGCAATTCTCTGGAAGAGGCCCTCAATTTCCCTTCAGTAGTAGTTCTTCACCCCGCCTATTAGAATCACCTGGGGAGACTTTAAACACTCACATCCCAGTCTCAGAGGTTTTGATTCAATAGATGGGGTAAGGCCTGGATATAGGTACATTTTTACAGCTCCCCAGATTATTCTAATGTGCAATTAGGGCCAAGAACCAATGGTCTTTCCTCCTTATATTTCCATTGACTGAGGATCTGATTCCAATCTAATGATTCCCAGTCTCCTTAGATCTGGTAACATAGCACAGTAACTTCCTTTAAGTCCAAGTTTCCATCATTGAGAAGATAAAGGTGAGAACTGGGATGAGAGATTAAAGCTGTGATTTTATGTGCAGAATAAGAGCTAGGGTAATTTTATTTTATTTTAGGTAACTGAGGTCCAGATCTGCTTTTCTTTTGAAAATCATGAGGTGAGGGGAAAGATCCTTGACCTTACCCTGCCTTGGGGACAGTCACCTCATTCTGCTCTGTGATGCTTCTCCACCCAGCATGCACAGGCATGGACAGAAAGAAGGCATGTGGACTTTCACAAAACTAGGAATTGATATAGCCAAAGAAGGAAGGAATGGAACACTAACTGATCCTTGTAATTTCCTTAGATATTGCTAGAATCTAGTTTTTAGCTGCCTACTCCCTTCTGCTAGATTTTATCTACTTTGGGACTAAGATGTTGTTCAAAAGCAGGTGCAGAAAGTATGACAGCATAAAAATGTATCTGAGATCAGAGAGAGTTATTACGTCATATATAATACCAGCTATAATGGCCAAAACCAATTTTCAGATTGAGAAGAAAACATAAACTTTCATGTAAAAGATTGCACAAACAACCTGATATGTAAATCTAGCTCCACTCTACTCTTGCCTAAAGCTTAAAAGTTTAAACCATTAAGGGACTTAAAAAAAAAAAAAAAGACGATGCTCTAAAGTAAACATTGTTGGGAACTTGGCTGAATAATTAAATTTCCAGTTAGAAACAAGATTTCCCGTTAAACTGCTGACGATAACCCTCTACCCACAGAGATGGCCTTTGGAAACTAACATTTAAGTTTTCAAGCAGCAAGCAAGCGACAGGTTCTGGTCCCTCATAAAAAGAATAAAATCATCATCTGGTCATCAGAATAATGAATCAATTTTCTATCCAAACAAAATGAGACATATGAGGCTTTCCCAAGGGGAGAAAGGGCTGGGTACACAATTTATCCTGCCCTCAACTGAAAAAGAAATCCTAGATAGGAAGAAAGTTCTCTTAAATAGCATGAAAAAGATGACTACCACTATACTCCACACACGGTTCTGTTGGGTTTTCTAGGGTGGATTTTATTTTCATATTAATTATTATTATTTTTTCTTTTAGTAATCTTCTTTTCAAGCTCTTCCACAGCTGTTTGTGCTCTTGGAGGGCAAGAGAGAACATTCCATTCCTCACAGCCAAACCTGCACTTCCGGCACACAGAGAACCCTGGCAGTCTTGCAACCTCTGCCCACACCCACTCCCTGCAGCATCCTGCCCCTCCCCACAAACTCTCCTATTTCTAGCCCCAGGTCCCTCTCCCCATAGACTGAGGAAGAAGCATCTAAAGGCGTGCAGTCAGCGAGATGACAGTCCCAGAAAGTAGGTTAAAGCTGCAGCATTTGGATGCCCCTGTTGTCTTTCTCCAAGCTTCTCCTGTGATGTTATTGAATCTGTTTCCCCTTCCCACAAGGTGCTCAGCAAACACATGCTACTGAAATTCTCTTTTAAGACCATGCTCAAATTAGCCACACAAAATGGTTGCCTCAAAGAGTTAACAGGCATGAAGTTATAAAAGCCATGAAGTGGAACAGAAATAGTTTTATTATTAATATTCACTTAGCTTAAACAAAATAAGGCTGCACCTTTTTCCAGTTTGAAAACTTACTGTGTGTGGAAATCGAATAAAAGGGCATAGGAAACATGCATCCAGAACTCAGGAGCACATCCAAGAATTTAGCATCACTTTCATGACATATGACAAGCAACCAGGGCAGGAAGCTCAGTAAAAATAGCAATAGCTGGGGAACATGGAGAGGGCCAGGAAACCCTCTTTCTATGAAACAGGCAGCCCCAACTTCACAGTCGCAGACCCTGAGGACCAAAGAGGCACAGTGCCACACCTGAATCCAATCAGCTCCTAAGTGTCAACAGAGCAGAGACAGACTCACACCACCTGGCCTTGAGGTGTAACCCACCACCCAGAAAGAGAACATTAGTACCAATGTCTGGATTAGCACACTAATAGCAAAGATAAAATGCAGGGTGCAGTCTGGCTCTTTAAACCAGATACCATGTTTTACTATAGCTTTAGCACCCGGCAGAGGGCCTGGTACATAGTAGGGGGTCAAAAAATTGTATCTGTTTAACCATTGAATTAATGGGAAGGGGGCAGGAGCCACAAAATAGACCTGAATTATACTTTAACATGAGATGTGATAAAACATTGAGACCAAAGAATGTCCTACATGAGTGAAGATGGAAGTAAGCTTCCACTGCAAAATGTGAAGTAGCATCTAGGTTGTTCTCAGGTTGAAAAGTCTCATCACTGGTATTAACTTCAATTAAACAGCCCAATTTCCAAAAACCTGAAAATATATACCAACAAGTAGGCTTTAAGGTCTCTAGAATAAGAGATGGAAAGAAGGGCAAACTGATAGGGTGTGTGCTACTCGGTGGAGCAAGGCCTTAGCAGGCATTTCAGGTCCATCCAGGGTGAAGAGCCGGCTCTCCACCTGTCATGGGATGCCATGGGGCCCCCATTACTTGGTAATTCAGTTGGCTCAGAGTCCCAGGCACACTCAAAACCACAAATAACACATTCTGGTTCTAAAGTCTCCTCTACACAAGCACCTAGGTAACAAGAGAAATCCCAAATCAAGTCTACTTCACCTACAATCTGAAGGAAATTCATGTATGTGGTGCCTACCAGGGCCAATGCTCTGTGCTTGACAAATTTGATCTCATTTTATTTTCTAAACAAGCCTGTCAGGAGGAAACTGAGGTGCAGAAAGGTTAAGCAATTTGTCTAGTGGGTGGTGGTGCTAGAAATCAAGCCTGAGGCTAACTTCAAAAGTGAAGCTCTCACCACTGCACTGTGTATTTCCTTCTGAAGTCACCAAACTGACCAAGGAGGGAGGCACCACTAACAAGTGACCAAGGAATAAGAAGCTTTAAAGACTACAAAATCTGTGTGATTCAATTAAATGTTCAGCATGTGGTCCCTAGGCTTATGAAAGGGATGGAAAATGTGGAAAAATGATAAGCCATGAAGCAAGCCTTGTTGGAGCCACATCTGCCCATCTGCTAACACTAATTTTTTAGAAATGACACCTTTTCTCAGACAGACCTCAAAGGGACACTACTATCATGTCCTAACCTGAACTGGGATCACTATTTTGGGGAATGCCCAAATATTACTATAGCCATAAACTGAACTTCTACATATCCAGGCTTTCCTTGGTGGCACGTCTGGAGGCTTCTGTGTTCTGGGAGAATTAGCCTGTGACTACGTCAAGCCAATATCACCTGGCTGTCCCTGGCAGGCCTATTCAGGCCCTAAAACAGCTGGCACCACGTTACGGATCCTCAAGCCAGAAACATCAAGCAAATGTCTGCTAGTGCCTGGCCCTTGCTATTATGAGGCTTAATCTGAAACAGGGACTCAGCTCTATACTATTTAAAACATGTAATTAGTTTATTATTGAGCCAGAAAAGATGAGCTTGCTCTAAAACTATGTGAATCTTAAAATATGATGCCTTTTGCCTGCCAACTGACGACGTGATCAGGATACTTCTGTTTAACCTCAATCAAAAACTCTGGTAGAAAACTGCTTTAAGGTTACATATGCCTACTATTTTATTATTTGTCTTCTGGCATCAAAACCTGCAGAAACAAATCACTGACAATGCAAGCACATTACAGGGATGGATGTGGAGGTGCTGAGTGGGTGAGTTAAACAGCTTGAGAGTTTGACATCTGAAATCCAGGAAAACTGCTTTTCTGTTCTTAGTTTACAATCCCTTCCTTCACATGAAATTTACTGGCTTTAGCGTCACACATACAAACACAACTGCTTCTAGCTCTTCAGATGTTATGGCTCAGAAAAACCGTTCCTTTTTGTCTTGTTATTTCAAGAGCAACTGATTTCTTTTTGGTAGCTCTGAAATATATGCCAGTGTGTGGGCACAGTCACACAGCTACGCACAGGCCCACACCCTGGAAAGATTGGAAGGAGTGGAGACACATTTTTCAGCTAGGAAAGGAAAAAGTTTGGGTTAGCATTTATAAAACAGACAAGTGTGCATGCATTTGGAAGCAGGCTATCTTCCAAGTGTCAATGTTAATTATCCTAATAGTCACTGTAAATCAAGGTGTTACCAGTGAAAGAAGCAGAGAAAGTAAATGCTACACACCAGAATACCCCATGTTGGCTACTGCAAACAAAACAATTGATGTATATTTTCTGTACGGAAATAAAGAGTACGATGCAGTCAATTCTGTAAAATGACTTGGGCTAATAGTATCTTCTGTCCCCTCCACACCTCACTGAAATTCAGCTCTAATGAGGAGCCTCCCGAGGGACTGCCTTCTTTAACCTATACCTCATCTGCATATTCAGTATTTCACCATAGTGGTTTTGCAAGATTTTTTTTTCTTGTTCAAAACCACAGGATGCAAAAGCGGCTGATGACCAATATAATGGTATTATGAAATGCTGACCAAGTCAACTATTTATTCCACGACACTCCTGGGTGCTAATTACACACACAGATGAGCATCAGAAAGCTCAAAAGTTCACAAAAAAAGATCAAATAAAGAAAGGACATTTCCAGTAACTAAAGAACTAGGCACTGATTGCATTTTTCTGAAAAAACATTCACTGAGCCACTCAGATACCCCTGTATTCTAACTTAAAATCTAGGGTGTTCCCAAATGTGTAAGTTAATTATTAGCACTACCCCTAAACTATGATGAATGAAGCAGACTGAATGCACATGAGATAAAATCATAGTTTTTCTAAAGGCCATAACAGAAATGCAGTATTTTATTGTAGCAGGCTCTAATCTACTTCATGTACATGCTAGGTAAACTTGAAAGCACTTAAGAAACTGGAAATACAAGCATCAGTAGTGTAATATCTATCACCCAAAGGGCAGGAGAAATAGTATTAACTGGCAAGGACAGTCATGCAAGAGACTATAAAAGCTGAACACACAGTAGAAATAGAAAATTCCTATAACTGGGTGCCTCAGGGGCTAAAAGAACGTAGGAAACAGTTCTTTTAGACCCTGCTTGTGGCTGGAGGAGACAGAAGAGTCTAAGAGGGAGGGGTCAGAATACGGTGGAGAGTTGGAGGGTGAGCCCACTCCTCAACCAGCACGTGTCCCTGTGCTCCAGGGCTCACTGGTCCCACCATATTAGCAGTCAGTGACTCTAAGGGCATTCCTGAGGATGCAGGACCCCTGACCTTATAACTACCTCCTTGGTTAAGTCTGAGTTGGCAGGGTCAGCCCTTGGATTATCTCCCCAAACTTTCTGGAACTCTTTAACTTGGTCCTCCTGAAATTTCCAGCCCTTTCCCTTTAGTCAGGTTTTTCATTTGCTAATGGGAACGATGTGTGGGCTCATAATACGATCAGGTACTAGGTCTTTCCCTAAGGATTAACAAATCATTAAATATATGGGGGCCATTGAGAGTAATCCCTTCACATCAAGACAAGGGAGGACAAATATGAAGAAACAGATGTTTCTGAGCCATTTTCAGGTTCAAAGTAACACACAACAAACGTCAAGTAACACACAACTCTCTGAGGCATTATGTGGAATGTTAGCTGTTTCTCTAGACACAAGCTCATCAGATCCTTTCAAACAGCTATAAACTAAGGAGTTTTCTGAAGAAAGACAGCTGAGTCCTGATATTAATTTGTGGATAGAAAGGGAAGTAGGGGCCAGGCACAGGGCTCACACCTGTAATCCCAGCACTTTAGGAGGCAGAGGCAGACAAACGGCTTGAGCCTGGGAAGTGGAGGTTGCCATGAGCCAAGATCATGTCACTGCATTCCAGCTTGGGCAACACAGTGAGACCCCCATCTCAAAAAAAAAAAAAAAAAAAAAAAAAAGCTGAGGGTGGTGGTGAACTAGGGATATCAGCTACTTATAAGATTAACAAATCTCCATTTGGAGAACAATTTGCCAGGGGTTTCTTGTGTTACTGAATGTCTTTGCTTTGTCAAGCAAAGTACTGACGGGTCTTTGTTCTAGACTATCTTTCAAGGTAGGACTATCTTTCATCTGCACAGTGAGCAGCCTTGAAAGGTAGTCATAGTGTCTCCCTCCAGAGCAAAGGGCAGACATACTTACTGCCTATTACAAATGATTTAAGATCCCTAAGCTCAAGGTTCCTGCACAACCCACTACATGTGCAGCCATCAACCTGGGCCTATCTATGTCACCCCTGTGGGATTCGGGGGCAAGGAAGAACCAATGCAAAATAGACTACTGCTCATGCTGGCTGCTGTGCCATGAGAGAATAACAGATCCCTTTGCCTCTGACCCAAGAGTTTGGCGTCTGGTAGGGGCAAATCTGAGACACTTGTAGTCCTTTTTTTTTTTTTTTTTTTTTTTTTAAGAGATAGGTTCCCACTCTGTTACCCAGGCTGGAACGCACTGGAGTGCAGTGGTATAACCACAGTTCACTGCAGCCTTGAGCTCCTGGGCTCAAGTGATCCTCCTACCTCAGCTTCCTGAGAAGCTGGAAACACAGGTGTGCGCCCCTACACTTCACTAATTTTTTATTTTTTTTTGTAGAGATGGGGTCTCACTATGTTTTCCAGGCTGGTCTCAAACTCCAGGCCTCAAGCGAACCTCCTACCTCAGCCTTCCAAAGTGCTGGGATTACAGGTGTGAGCCACTGTGCCTGGCCACTTTGCCATTCTTGACAGTCCACTGCTTTAGCTTGTGAACTGATTATTTCCTTAACCATGAAAGATAAAATTGGGCAATGATCATCTCTAGCCATCTTTCTTCTCTTCTCCTATGTAAAATAAGAAGGAATACAAGATAATAGGATGAGAAACAAAAAGCAAGAGAGGCAGACATACATGGCTCCAGCACTCTGAATGCTCTGACCTGGCTCTGCCAACGACCCTTAAGGCTTTACGACAATAAACCATTAATCAAAGGGAGCAGGGGTGAGAAGACCCCCAGAGAGTCATTTTCAGTGTTTCATCTACATTAGTCACCATCTTTTTCAGCTGTTACTCAATGTTGCGGTTTGCTTGTGGGAAATAGAGCTAAGTGAGCAGCAGGTTTAGGTTTATTTCTTTTTACCTTCCTCTTCCACCAATACAAGAACAGACACCTTATGTCCATTCCTACTCCCATCTCCCTGACAACTGGGCTGCCTCATCTCAAGGCAGTCCTAACAGTACTGAGTTTCTGCAGGGTCCAGACAGATTCCATTATGGAGTCCTGGGCCAGGAAACATTTCTCCTCAGTTCTTCGACTTGTCTATGGACTGCCCTCAATTTTACCTTGGCAGAGGTGCTTCCAGGTCTCTCCCCTCGCCACAGTGACTTTGCTGTTGTAAAGTGTCGTGAATGTAGACACCTAGGATTCCCTCCTCTTTCCACTTAGCTCTCCCACATAAATTTTCTTCTTTCTTCTGACAGTATTTAGTAGCTTTAGATCTCTGTGAAGGAAAATGGACTAGGCATTGCCTGTGAACCAACAGCAAACACATACGATGACATTTATAGACTCTCTCCAAGTTTCCAAAAAAAGAGTTAATTTTCTAGCTTATTAATGATGAGCCAGGAGGCTTTATCATGAAATACAGAATTTTATGACATCTCATTTGCCACAGTTTTGTAAAGAGGAAATTGGTATTTTCTTTTCCCTCCCCTTTCCTCTTGGATAACCTATTTCAATTTTGGCAAAAGGAGGGGGTATATTCACTATGGTGTTCACGGACATCTACATGTCTAGTACCTCTGAAATGATACTGGATTGTTGCCACATGGTCAAATAATGTGCTCTTTGATAATTATCAATTAGAATGCTATAAAATGGGCCAGTAGTTCCACTCTGCTCATACTGTGTGGTGTTTTGGCCACCAAACACAGGCCTTCTTTGGTTTCTCCCTACATCAATCAGAAAATTCTGTTAATTTGCTGTGATGCTATTTGTGGACATGCATGGAAAAGAATGCAGGCATCCAGGAGTAAATTAGGGTCAACTCACTCCACTTAGGCAGCAGGACACCAGCACAGCACTCCAGCTACAATAAACATTATGCAGGGACCCCAGTTTGGGCTGAGTGGCAAGGCCTGCAGAAATAAGGAACTATTAGCAACAACTTGCAAGTAATCAATTTTTAATGCTTCCAGTCTAGGGTAGCTGCCAAAGAATTTGGCCAAAGCCATCATTTTAAAAACACCAATTTAAGCTACAGTGAGGTATTCTTACTATAGTAAACAGGTTTTAGTTTGTCTGTCTAAATTCATATATGAGGTTTAAAAACAGAAAAAAGTAAGGTTTAAAATTTAAATACTACTTGGACATTTTAAAACTCCCGTGGTTTTTCTGTCCTTTTACCTGATAGCTCTCTTTTGTGCAGTACTACGCTTAGTGATGATTATTACAATTGTTATTGGGGGGAAGGTACATAAGATATGGAGAAGTCACATCAGATCATAAGAAGGAAAGTGGGAAGAGTTAGATAGCAAAAGAGATACATCTCTTTCTTTTATGTTGGAGATGCCTGGCATGTGGAAGACTCAACACATTTTCTCGAAAGCATAAATGAATTCTCCCTTTATTTTCTCTTCTGAACTAAACCATGCTGAGTAAGGTTAGCATCTGCAATAAAATGCAGGAGGAAAGAAGCAGACATTCTTCCAGCACTAAAGAAGTACACATTCTCTTTTCCCAGGTTTCCCATCTCCAAGAAAACCTACCTTTAGCAATCGAAGTCACAGGAATAAACTATCAAACTTAAATAAACTAGGTTATCTGCCTTAAACTTCAGAAGCATTTAGAAGTTTAAAATCTGAATAGAAAATTAAGTTCTATTAGAAGTTATACTCATGCTTCAAAAAGACAACACAATTCAAATACAGCAGTAGAGGACATTTTGTTTTTAATTAAGATTTGGGAAAAAAAAATTTGGATTGGTTGGTGAAAGTGTTAAAGTGGGTGCAAAGTTTTTGAAGGACTGTTTATCACTATCTGTTGATACTGCACACAACCTTTGACTTAGTAGAACAGACTACTCCATTCTTCTCTTATTCATTACTCACACAATGCCAATTTTTAGCTGGGCCCAGACAAAAAGACTACATTCCTCAGCCTTCTTCGAAGTTAGATGTGGCTATGTGACTTAGCTTTGAAAATAGAATGACATGGAAGTGGAAGAGTTCCATGCAAGACTATTTAAAGGCAGCTACTCAGGTGAGAGATGAGTCTCTTCATTCGTGCTGTTTTTCCTCCTTTTGGCCTCCATTCGGATGGACCATGAGGAGACCCTGAGGATGAAAGCCACTTGCTGAGATGAGAGGGCAGAGAATAAGAGGAGTCTGAGCATCAATCACTTCTTACAGTGGCCACACAAGCCCTAGACTTCTTTTACATGAGAATAATTCACTATTAAATTTGTTTTCCATTAGCCAAACCTAATCCTACCTGATAACTCAACAATTCTATTTTTAGGAATTAATTTTACTGACATGCCCTCCTGCATGTTATCTCTGTGTGTATACACACACTCTCTCTCAACTTTAGTATAAATTAGATTTTTTAAAAATTATAAAATTCCAAGCATTAATAATGGTAATTAGAGGTTTCTGTTCATGTTAAGATAATGCAATAGAAACACCTAACAAGAAAGACTTTTATGTGCCTATATTCTATACCTACCCTGATGTATGTGTCATCAGGCACTTTAAAAGTGCTTTTCAGTGAATGACTTGTATGTGTGCTGGGTTCTATCATCTTCTAATGTTGCCGACTGGCAGGGCTAACAGTAATCCTCCTGGCCCTGAAGTTTTAGAAGTTCTCATGTGGAGGCCATTAAGGATAGGGACTTAATACATTTATAGCTAAGAGGCTATATTATGATGAGGCTATTGACACTTCTTGTTTTGGGTCAACCTGGATTTCAAGAAAAAAAAAAAAAAAGCAATTCTGGGGATTCAAGACAAAAAAAATGAATCATGGGAAAGAAGGCTCGAAGAGAGGCTTACATATGGTCTTACCATTTACTGGGAATTAATTCAATGGTAACAGAATATATAGGGTTATTTCTACCAATCATGGGAATTTTGTCTGGGCCAATGCCTTAGCAACAATTTTCACAAAACTATCAGAAAATAACATCAACAGCCAGTGAGCACAGATTATCCACAACATACCAGGATATTGTAACTTGGTTAAGTTTATGCTTTTCTAACTTTGGAGTAACACGAAATGAACAGAAAGTAAGGCAGTCTCCACTCAAGCCCAGAGCATCAAATCTAAAAAATAAAAGTTATTTTTATTAACATTTAATATCATATAACATCAGGGCCAGAGTGGTGGTGGAAGAACTGGAGAGGCCGCAGGTTCAGTCATTCAAATTGGTATTTGCTGAGGTCCTTCCATGCACCAGGCATACAAATGTGAGTGAACAGACAGACATGGTCCCTGGTCTCATTCATAGATTTTATAATTTTGTGGAGTGAGAGGGAGGTAAGGGACAGACATTAATTAAAGCAAACAAATACATACATAATTACAAATTGTGAAAAGTGCTCTGAAGGAAAACAACAGGATACCATAAGAGAAAATAACAAGGTCAGCTGGGTGTACCTAAGACAGACTGGAAAGTCAGGAAAGACTTAAGACCTGCAGGAGGAGCAACTAAGTAATGAAAGCCACTGGGATGGGTTTACCTAGAGAGGATGGAGCGGATGGGTGTACCTAGAGAGGAAATGGAGAAGAGAAAACCTGAGAGTTTCTCATGGGAGTCATGCAACATGAGGGCAGGTAGAGAACAGGGATCAGACAAAAGAAAGAACAGAAGCCACCAGACAGGAGGGGAGTGTGGCGATCGTGCCCAGGAGAGTTTAGTGCTTCAAGGAGAAAGGAGTCACCACTGAAAGATCCAGAAAGAGAGGAGAACAGAGTGTCCATGAGCTTTGGCAACAAGAGGTTATCACTAGTTGCCTTGGCAACAGCAGTATCAAAGGAGTGGTAGGGACAGAAGCCAGGAAAGATGCCAGCAAGGGATCACTACTAATAATAAAAACGCTAACATTTATTAAGTGCATATGAGGTACTAAACACTGTTCTAAGTGTTTCATACGTACTATCTCTGTAAGTCTTCACAACAATGAGGACAATATGGTCCCCATTTTACAGATGAGAAAACTGAAGCTTGCAGAAACCTGCCCAAGACCACATGGATGAGAACTCAAAGGTTTGCACCAGGGCCTAAGCATGATGCAGTGAGGGCCGCAGTGAGGGCCTCAGAGAGGGAGAGGGAACAGGATCTGGAGCCTATAGCCAGGCACTGGCATTGTCCTGACCCTCAAGCCACATGATGGCCTTTTCCAGTGAGGGACATAAAATGGGGCAAAACAATCCTACAGGCTCTACGACTACACTGGGTAACAACGGCCACAGGAACAGTCCTTCCATCTTGCAAAAATACTTACTATCTTGGGGATGGTACATTCTAGAATACAGATTTTGATAAGTTCCCACTTGCTTCTCCACTATTCATTAATGAACCATGAAAATCATTCCATCCTAAAGATGATCTGAGGGGCAAACACAGCTGAACTCTGCACTAAGGTCAGATCTTCACTCCTCTTGAACTTTCTGCAGTTCAGCTCTGGACGATAGCACTGTTAATTAGTGGGCAACACTGCTATAGCTGGGGCAAGGACAAGGTGAAGCAAAACACACCAATCATTCTTGCTATCTGTACTCTCCTCTTACATTCTGGTCAAAAAGGAAAAGTTGACCAAAAGAGAAGAAATTGTTGGGTTGCCACTGAACAGCCCTCTCATTCCATAACCAGGAACACAAACAAACAAAAATCAAAAACAAAATAGAAGAGCAGTTGTTGATTTCTGAGTGTTGCTCATCTTGTTTTCAAAACCTAGCAATCCCATTAACTTCACATTCACTTTGGAACACTTCTTAGGTACTTGAAGGAGTGAGCACTCCTCTCTGACGTGACCTCAAGGTTCAAAACAAGCAACATTAAGTAACCTAAGGTACTTGACTAGTCCCCTCATCCTCATTCCCCAGGTCCTTTCCTGTCCCTTCTGCCTCCAGCCAGTTTTAATTTGCACTAAAGTCTGAAAAGGTCAAACTGGGCATGGGCAAAGAACTGATTGTTTACACAGTAAAATTACAAGAATGAACTAAAAATGAAAATTACAAGAATGAACTAAAAATGAAATCACCCTCTGTAGAACAGCACTATTCAAAAACTGGAGGTACCAAAAGGTGGGGAAATGAAAGTTTAGAAGTCTATTTACATTTTATGATTTAGTCTCTTTGGATTTGGAAGTAAAGAGTAACCCATAGAAATTCTTTAGCTAAGAAGCTTAAATGTACTTATCTGATCATGTGAAATACACATTATGTTCTGGATTCTTGCAAATGTGCTCAATCTGTATGCAAACACCAGAAACAAGCTGCAGCAACAAAAGCTGAAGTTACATTAGTTGACAATGAATTAGCTTTACGGAACCACTAACTGGACTTTATGGAACCACTAACTGGACAGGGATCAGACTATCCTACCTGTGACTCTCCCAGCAACTGTCCAAAACAATGCAAGTTAAGAGTTAAAATGATAGTCTCAGTGATAGTATTAAAGTAATTTAGAGGGCACCTACTGCCATACACACATCATTCTGATTTTTCAAAATCTCCTGTCGTTTGCTAGCCTTGAATTGGATGAGAGCTGCCGAACTTTTTTTATTTTCAGTCTTTACCTTTTCCTTGAGTATCAAAGTATTACATGCTTATTCTAAACATCTGGCAAGTGTGGAGAAGCAGAAAAAACATACGTAATTGACCTTCTAAACTACAACCTTTGTAGATTTTGCTACTTATTTTCTGTAGTTTCTTGTTTATATGGATATTATCCTGCATATTATCCTGATCCACGCCACTCCCCCAATTTAATGTTATGCTATCAGCAGTCCCCCTTGCCAAAAACTCTCTTAAGTATACTTCTTATAATTTCAGGACGGGCATGGTGGCTCAGACCTGTAACACCAGCACTCTGGGAGGTCAAGGATAGAGGATCACTTGAGCCCAGGAGTTTGATATCAGTCTTGGCAATATAGTGAGACCTCATTTCTACAAAAAAATTTTGAAAATTAGCCAAGCATGATAATGCGTGCCTATAGTCCCAGCTATTTGGAGGGCTGAGATGGGAGGATTGCTTGAGCCTGGGAACGGGAGGTTGCAACAAGTTGAGATCGTGCCTCTGTACTCTAGCCTGGTCCACACAGTGAAACCCTGTCTCAAAAAAAAAAAAAAAAACACCAAAAGCAAAAAACTTCAATGACCTGTACTATTCACTGTTTACCTGGGTACTGCTCTCAAAATTTGAATTAATGCTTTGTGCTTCAAGTCTCATGCATTCTTGCATTCTTCTAAATTCTATGCACAACACAGAATATGCAGAATGATCTTCCAGTTAACTCATTTATATGGACAGGTCTTAATACAATGAATAGCATTTGTATTCAAAGTACAGTCTATTTTAGGTAAAATGTTCTCCTTTACAAGCAAAATACAAGAGATTTTAACTGTACAATGTACTTTTTTTCTGTATTTTTTTTGTGGCAATTCTAGCCCTCCACATACACCACAGGCTTGAGGATGTCTCTCATATACTTATATTTTAAGGGGTGTTCAGGTATTCTGCAGTCCTCACATGCCATCCTGCTTGCTATGGGAGCAACCAAACCACCAGGGGAACGCAAAGACATATTAAAAATGGAATAAGGTGAATTATACCTTAAATATGTATCAAGTAGTCATCACGACTCTGTCTGGATAAGTTGCCTTATTATTCCATAAGTTAAATATGCAAAAGAAAAATGGCACAGAGAAGTTGAGACAGAGCTTTACAATGGTAAGAGGCTTTAGAGTTTATCTGACCCAGTGGTTTTCAAACTGTTTATGGAGCCCTAGAGGTTCTTTAGGGCTCTGAGTGGGGAGAAGCTGACCAACTTGTCAACATTCAATGTGCCAAATTTACTAAATTGATTTCTTTCAAAAGCACTAGTAAGAATGTTTGGGTTCTGTACTGATGATGAAATATTTTAAATAAAATCAGTAACTTAAGTTTAAAGGCATAGTAAGAAAATCAAAATTAGCTACAACAATCCCTTCATATTGAAATAATTGAGTTTCCAGCCAGTCAAGGTGGCTAACGCTTATAATCCCAGCACTCTGGGAGGCCAAGGTGGGCAGATCGCTTGAGGTCAGGAGTTTGAGACCAGCCTGGCCAACATGGTGAAACCCTGTCTCTACTAAAAATATAAAAATTAGCCGGGCGTAGTGGGGTGCACCTGTAACCCCAGCTATTCAGGAGGCTGAGGCATGAGAATCAAACCTAGGAGACACAGGATGCAGTGAGCCAAGATTGCGCCATTGCACTCTAGCCTGGGCGACAGAGTGGGACTCTGTCTCAAAAAGACAAAAAAGAAAGAAATACTGAGTTTCCAAATCAGTAACTGGGAGCTCAATTCCTAGAATTGTGCCCAGCACATAGTAGGGCAAAATATATATTTGTTGAATGAACTATGAATGAATAGGATCCATTAACTTTTTAAGAAAACCCAACATAAAAGGGCAAGATCAAAGCAGTACAAAGTCAGGATGCCCAGAAGGCATTACTATAATAAGCTGTATGATTAATCACCCAAATTTTCTATCTATTAATTGTACATATGAAATTGTGAAGTATCAAAAACCTCAAATTGACTAAATGTCCTAAACAAGCTATAAAACAAATGCTAAAATGTTCACACAAATGAAAACGATGCATTAAAAAAACACTTTAAACATCAAGATAATGCACATGTATTTATATGAAATGCTCACATTTTTGTCAATGATGATGTAGATCTTTGTGAATTTATTTAATACAAGTATGTGCTTAGTAAAAGTTTAGTTCATCAACTCTGATCCAAATTGTATACTGCTGTTAAAGCATTCAGTGACCTGACGTTAGTAAACTACATGGGGGATCACATGGCTAATGAGTGGGTGTGGGGATCCCCATTTCAATTCAGCCTGTATGTACTGTTGCCCCAATTACGACAACTGAAAAATTCCCCTGTCCAAGACTGTCCCTAAGGCTTACTGTGCCACAGCCCTCTTATTATCACACAATATCATCCCTACCTTTCTTATCCAATGAAAGGAATTTCTCTGGGAGCACTGCCCCTCCTTCCTCTTCCTCACACCCATCACTTCCTCCAAATTCTGATGTGAAACCTACTACCTGCAGCAAGACTGGCTCCACCCTGTTTGGACCACTGCTGTGGTCCTCTGCATCTGGGAGCAGGTGCTCCATGTTTAAAAACAGAGCTGTCTTTTATGCGATGTTTTACTGTTTTGAACTAGTCTCTGTCTCACAGGTGTATGGTTTTCTGTTAGATTCTGCCCCTCCAAGGAGACTGTAAAATCAAAGACCAAGGAGTGAGTTCTATGTTCTTTCTGAACCTCACAGTAATTGATTCAGTTTGATTCACAGAGTATTGTGTTCAATAAATATTTAGAAAGTAAAATCTACAGTGTTATGCTATAGGACCAGCCGAAACCACAATGTATTGATCATTCAAGTTTTGTCTTCTTAATTGATATGTACTTTTAGGAAGAATTAGTCCACAATTTATTGAAATTAAATAGAAAAGGAAGGTGCGTAAGTAGTTGCAGTATCTGGATTTTATTTATTTATTTTCAGCAGGGGGAGGTTTGGGCTAAGCTCAACCAGGAGCAAACCAAACCTGTTTGAGGCAGGGTCCACCTCCACTTGCTCCTTTCTGAAGGGCCACTGTCATTGCTGTCACCTTGGGTCACTGTACCCAGGCTTGAGCAGGGTTTTTCATCCCAGGGAATGCGTTCTGAGGGCAAAGCACAGAAAGAACATGGTCTTATTGGCTTTCTTTCATTTCTGTCCAATGTATTTGTGACCAACAAACTGAGCTTCTGACTTTATTTACAATGCCACACACTTTAGGTACCTGGAAATAAAAGCTTTCCCCAAAAGTCAAAAAGCTAAATGCTTGGACAGTGTGGCAGCTAGTGGAGTTCTTGTTTCAGTGCCCAAAGAGGTCCAGGAAAGAGATTATGCTTTGCATATGAAAGGAAGCAGGATTTAGCCTCACCCACCCAGTGCTCTTCTCTCACCCAGTGGGAGGCAGGGCCAGAAAGGAGAATGCTCTATTTTCAGGTCAGAGAAGCAAACTGGTGCCAGGCCTCCAGGTGTCTCCAGTGAAAAGGGATAGATCCTGAGGTTATCTTTCCTCTGGGTCCATTAACGTGAAAAGTCTCCTGTTATAGGCCTGTTTGTCCAGAGGGAGCCCAGCCTCCCAAGGACGGCCATCTAGACAGTGCTGACACCGCAGTGGAAAAGGACTCTGGATGGCCTGTGGAAAGGACACCCCGAACACCATTAGGCAGGACACGGTGCCACTTTTCTGACTGTAGATTTTATTAACAGAACTTCAGGAATAACTTGAGGATGAGAGAAATCACCATTCACTTTTTCCAAAGAATCTAGACCTCTAACCTAAAAACAGTAAATCGTCTTAAAACAGCTCTATACCTTGTTGTGTTGGGTCTTATTGCTCCTTGTCCTAACTACACAATACGAACAGAAAACAAACTGCAAGGTAAAAAAGCAAAAATTCCACAATGCGATGCTTGCCCAAGTCGTCTGTTGTCCTCCAGGTGCCTTGAAAACTGCTGGGGCAGTGGGAGAAGGCTGGGAATCACAAACTTCTTTTCCTGGAGTTACTTATTTTTTGACACCACTTGAATAGAATCCTAAAATGTCAAAGCTGTAGGGGACCTTCAGCTTATCCACTAGCTCAAGCCCATCATTTTAGAAATGAAAACACTGGTGTCCAGAGAGCTAAAGTGCCTTGGACATAGAGACACACTGCTAGTTAAAGGCTGGGTCAGGACCCACACTTCCTACCTCTGATCCCAATGTGTTCTCTTTTCTCTGTAAAGTTTTCAAACCTTGTATTTAGTAGCAGAATCCTCTTCCCAAATGAAATCTTGGACAAACCTTGATAGGCATAGCAAATGAAAAGTGGACAAGCTCTGGTTAAAGGGGGACACAAGGTCCAGGGCCCTCA
The DNA here is from genome assembly GCF_000001405.40 of Homo sapiens. NCBI lineage: Eukaryota > Metazoa > Chordata > Mammalia > Primates > Hominidae > Homo > Homo sapiens. Next base: position 108,638,250 of record NC_000006.12, on the reverse strand, counting down.
GGCCCCCCTACCAAGAGTCTGTGGGGTTTCTTAGGACTGCATCTGAAAATGACTCCTCCACACCCACTTCTTCTTTATACTCTCCTGTCCCATTCATCTCAAAATGCCATAGGGATGTATGCAGGGGAAACACGCAAGCATGCATATAATGACATTACTGAAAATGAGAAAAACAGGGTAAAAAGTTACTCATATTCTAATTACCCTAACTTAACCATTTTGACATTTTTATATTTTGTTTTCATTTTTTTCTTCTAAGTATATTTATTTCACAAATTTGGAAACACAATTTTCTTTCCTGTTCTACTGATTTAACATTGAATATATGTATTTTTAACACATTAAACTGTCATTAATACTCCTGAGGATTTCAAGATGTTCTTTTTGATAAATGGCTACCTTCTAAAATATGTCACAAAATTTGAACATTTTATCAACTGAAGGGAAAAAAATTTTAAATGAGGACAATATTAACTACAGGGGAAGAAAACCAAAAAGCTACTAGAGAAGAGACCAAAAGGGGGAAGAGGCAAAGCCAGGCCATGAGGAGAGGATGCACTGCTGACTCTGAGGCAGGGAGAAAACATCCGGGGGAAAGACAGACACTAAGGAAATTCTTGGTGGAAATAAAGTCTTCCAGAATCACGACTCTAGAAAATGAACTCATTATTCTATCATTATCAGGAGTCTGATATGTATAATAAACCTGCATAGGCTTAACTCATCTAATACTGCTTTTATATACACACCCATAAAACACTCAGAGGCTAACCATACCTTTCTATTATTGAACGAGATTTGCCCCCCAGTATTCTGGGGGAGAACCACGGGCTGGATTTCGACACTTAGCTGTAATAAGGTTAAGCAGGACTCTGGGACAAAGCCCTCTGTCTGGTTTCTAGGCTGGTTTCTGGCTTTGTGTTCTGTATTGTGTCACCGAACCCAGCAGCACCTCGAGAAACTACTGATTCACATGTTCACAAGGAGCTCATCAAACTTAAATGTAACGCAATTTTTTCAAGTGGTGCTAAACTAGACAATTAAGGAAGACAAAAACAGGTAACAGAAAAATAGCCTCTCCACTTTCTATGTGTTCTCTCAATACCTCAATTTATTTTATTTCTTTCACAGCTGCGGAAAACCTCATTAAGGGAAGATATAAAGTTGTAAACTAAAATGAAGGACAGAGGCAATGTTGCTGCTCAATGCCCAGAAACTCTCTCCCTCTGCAGAAGTCTGCATCTCTCCCAGTCCATTCCTACATGTCAGAAAGATCTGCAGGTCCATTTACACAGCCTCCTTATTCGGAACAGGGGGATTTAAATAGAGGTGCTTCAGTGGGACCACCTGGGAGGATGTTGCAGAGCTGCCCAGGTGCCAGGGTCCTGTAACCTCTCAAATTCTTCCAGGGATGCAAATCAGGCTGGATGGACACAGAACATGAAGTCCTTCTCCAGAACACAGCACTTGTGAGTGGCTGCTAGGCTGGGTGGTCTTTGCTTCCTGTGGTTTCTCACCTGGCATATGTCAAAGGAAGGTCCCTTATTCTCTGATCCTCATCCTCACAAACTTCCAGAGCACACCCTGGAGACCTCCATCCCTATTTAAAGGAGGAGGCCACTTCCCAGGATGCACAGTGGTGAAGTGGTGAAGGGCTGGTCTGGTCTAGTCACCGCCTTCCTGAGAATCTAGGATACTAGCATGTGAGTGCTGAAAAAACACTCTAAGATGCTTGGTCTCTTGCCTCATGCACCCCCCACCCCAGCCCAGTTCCACTGGGCTCAACACACAGGGTTTGTTCTATTCCCGAAGGTTTAACCTGTAAGGATGCTGGGTTTACCCTTCCCCTCAGCTAAATGAGCTCTCTAGAGCATACGAAACAGTGATCTCCTGTTTAGAGATCTAGTGAATAAATGCCAAAGAAGTGGACATCTGACATCTGTATTCTCTGTGAGATCAAACTAACACTTGATGTGTGCATACTGCACAAGCTCACCACCCCCAACATCTATGAACAACATCGATACACTAGGTAACACACAGACTGGGACCTGGGCACAAGGATCACTTCAATCTCCAGGTCTTCCTCCCCAGAAGCAGGCAGAGGCACAGAGGTGCTAGTCACATTTCAGAAGCAGCCCATGAACCCAGCCCTCAGAACAATCTGTCTTCTCACTCCCCAGATGGAGGGCTTGCTTCCCTAGCTGAGGAGTGACAAGCTTAATCCCGCTTTGTGCGGGAAGACTGACAAGATTACCACACAACCAATCCAGAGTAGAAACAGCTTTCTTTTTTTCTGAGAAGTCTTATCAAGGAAACTAGTTCTTATACACAAAAGCTGTGCTTTCTAAAAATCTTCCTCCAGTCATCGTAACCAACTCATCATTCATAACCCAGCCCAATCCCTCTGACAGAGGCAGTAGGTCAGCATGGTCCAGAAAACATGAATTCTGCTGTATCTAACTGCCTGTAATTCACACAGCCTTACTTACCACCATCCACCTCTACTAACCACGAGGGCTTCCCCCATTATGCAACTGTACAAGTGGCCAATCGTTTCGCCACCCCTGCTGCAAGGTGCAATGCTATGACAGGATGTGCCTCTCTAGCAGAAAGGCAAGGCACCTCCCAGCACCTCCTGCAGCTCAGCTCCTGACATGTCTAAAGACACTTCTTGTTATAGAATCATGACATTTTATTCTTTTTGTGACACATTTAAAACAAACAAAATTACACAGAATATAACAAACACCTGTGTACCCACTGCTCGACTTTAGCAAATCTTAGTATTGTGCCGTATTTGCTTCAAAAAATTTTAACGAAGCAAAATATTCCAGATACAGGTGAAATACCCTTCGTATTCCCTCTCCTCATTCCATCTCTTTTCTACCTTTCTCAGAAGCAACCACGACCACTATCCCAAAGCTAGTATTTATTATTATTATTATTTTTTTTTGAGATGGAGTCTTGCTCTGTTGCCCAGGCCACAGTACAGTGGTGTGATCTCCGCTCACTGCAACCTCCCGGGTTCAAGAAATTCTCATGCCTCAGCCTTCCAAGTAACTGGGATTACAGGCGCCTGCCACCACACCCAGCTAATTTTTGTATTTTTAGTAGAGATGAGGTTTTGCCATGTTGGCCAGACTGGTCTTGAACTTCTGGCCTCAAGTGTTATCTGCCTGCCTCAGCCTCCCAAAGTGCTGGGATTACAGGTGTGAGCCACCATGCCCGCCATATTTATTATTTTATAAAATTTTAAATTCTTATATGAATATATATATACATGCACACAATGTATATATCAATACCTTATATATAAAATACAAAAACATTATATATAAAATACATAATACTGCTCGCATATTTTTAAACTTTATATAAAAGGTATACCATCCATATTGTTATATACTTGCATTTTTTGCTTAACTTTAAAAAATATTTATTCTTAAGTTTCAAATATATGCAGAAGTAGAAAGACTGTTATAATAAACCCACCCCCATGTACTCATCATCCAGCCTCATGATCCATCTTATCTGTATTAAGATTCACATCTATCCCCTACCCACTCATTCCCCTCCTGACCCTCTAATCACTCTGAAACAAATCCCATACGTGCAAAAAGTTTAAAGGTCTCATGCCTGTTGGAGTTGGCTTTCTAAAGAGAAGCCAAGGCAGAAGGGGGAAGGAAGGACCCAAGTACACAACCTCAAGCACCCTAGATATTATGGCTCAAATCATTAGCAGATGGATCAAACAGGCAAAGAGGAATGCCAGCTGTAGTCAGGCCCAGTAGTCTGAGTGTGAGTTTCTCCTTTCCCAGTGAATTTGGAGCAGGGAAGGGGGTCATCATCCCTGACCCTTTCCATTGCCCACTACCTTCAATCCCAGGTCAGATTCTTATCTCTGAAACCTTGCGCCACCCAAGATAATATCCTCATCACATAGAAACCCCATCTTCACCCTCCTTTATATACTCAATACCTGAACTGCATCTCTTGATAAATTCACACGCACACACGTCAGCAGTTGCTGATGTTTACCAAGTGCTTTGTTTATGCCAGGCATTTTTCTTTCATGCCTCCTGTTGCAAATTAACTCATTTTACAGATGAGGAAACTGTGGCACAGTGGAGTTAAATAATTCCTCCAAGGCCAATAGCCAATAAATGAAACCACATATTGGACCCAGATGAACTGGCTCCAAGGCCCATATAATAACTCACAAGGCCTCCTTAACAAAAGGACCAGTTCCATGTAAAGAAGCCACACATTCATTTGAGGTTTGGCGGCAATCAAAACTCTGCTAGCAAGTATGTGATATAAATCTGGGTAACTGAGCCAGACTGAAGGTTGCCTGTGGATTGCTCTGGGCAATTGGTTCTCAGCTTTTTAACTTTTTTTTTTTTTTAATTGACTTCTGTGCAAGAAAAGTAAAAAATAGTACAAAGGTAGACAAAAGCCATTCATTAGTCCAGTTTCTCCCCTCAACTTTACCCTCAACAGCCACTTATAACAGGGAACCAAAAAAGAGTAGATCATGCTCTTAATGCCTGAAAACACGTGACCTTCCTTCATCTTGAGAATGTGCTAGCACCATGTCAAAGAGCTTCATTGTACTGCATGCACAAAAGGGGGCAGAATTATAATGACCTAAGTATTTGACCTTCATGTAGTAAATGCATCAAAGCTTGGCTCCCTAACAATTTTTTGTCATTTATAATAGAAACTGTTTTTCATGCAGGAAATGCCACTTTTCTTTCAAGGACAAAACCCAGAATTTTACTCAGTAGTTTTTTTAAGTTGCATATATCTTAAGTGCTACATTCTTGATAATAAACATAAAATCTTTTTTTTTAAATCAGCAGATAAGACAAATCCTTCTCTTCTATTTGCCAATGCCACAAACACACACACATACACACACACACTTTCATACCCACATTCCCTCTCTCTCTAGTGCACGAGTGAAAGTTCTTATCCAAAGCAGGCTAAGGATTTTTCACTGTGATCACATTGTTTACTTCTAATTTATAAATGAGAATAAACACTACTGCCTCTACATCTCATTTTATTTATCCAATCAGTATTTATGGAGCACTGAGTATCAAGCACTATGCTCAATGCTAAAATATACCAGTCAACAAGATGCTCCTTAGAGTTTTTGTATTTTGAATATTGAGAAGAATTTCCTCTTTTGCTTAAATTCCTGGCTTTTGAACCCTCAATTAAGAAGATATCTTCCAGCTGAACTTTTACTTGCTTATGGAAAAAAAAAATTTACAAGTGGTGGCAACTGGGCAGACAAGACACAAGTAAAAACTGTAATATACTAACATATGATTTTGCAAGTTTTTAAAAAGTTTTATAAAACACACATAAACCATTTAAAGTTCCAGCTTCATTCTTGGTAAAGTAGAAATCTCTCCATATACCCCTCCAAAAGAAGGGGAAAAAAATACTTAGGTGACCACCAGGAAGTTGACGTTTTCTACACTGTACTTGGCTTCTCTACATCTATAAGGGTCAAGCAGGATGACCTGAAAAAACACTGCCAGTTGACACCAGCAGATCACTAGCTCAAACGTAGTGCCAGCTTTCTCTATTACCATGTGCTTCACTTGCCTTTGGTATGTCTCACTGTCTAAATATGGGAAGGAGGAGGGATTTCCGCAGGTCCCATCCTGACCCAGGTGCACGAAAAGGCATCTGCAGCCATATCATGGTGCCTCAAATAATGCAACGCACAGTGGGTTAGGGGAGAAAGAGAAATTACTCAAGAATTATGTGAGATAAAACTAGTTTTAGAAAAGAGCATAGTTGCTATTATATGGTAAAGTATTACATTTCTGTATTAATTTTTTCAGACTGCTAAAATGCCACAGGCTTCGTGGGCAGTCTCTCAGATACAGAGAAACTGGCTGTTGACCTCTCCTGTTCCCCAGCTACCCCTTACTTATCCTCTGTCATGCTGTTGTTCATGGTCTGCTTCCAAAAACAAATTTAAGGCAGCTGGGATTACACTTTGCTAATCTCTGTAGACCCCATAGCGCCTAGCACCGCATCTAAAACAAACTCAGTGCTCACTAATATTTTTTATTTTTACTTAAATTAAGGAGGTTTTCCCTGGTGTGATACAATGTGAAGCACACAGCACTACCCAACTAAGAAGGCTGAACCTGAGTTTAATCAAGCCTCTAGAGTTAATTTCCAGTTTCAGGAAATTCAGGCGATAGAGGAACCAGATAATGACAACACAAGAAAACAGATATATCCAGAATGTGGGACATTCTGCAGGACAACTGACCCAGTTTCTGCAACAAGTCATTGGCATGGAAAAAGGGGGGAGGGGTGGAGCAGGGAATGGCCCTTGATTAAGAGACATAATATCCAAATGTCACATGTGAATCCTGATTCTAACAAAACCATAAAGAACAGTTATTTTGTACAAGGGAGAAATTTTTAAAATTATACAATGGGCATTAGGTTATACAACAAAATACAGTACCTACAGTTAGGTGTGATAATGACCCTGGTCAGGTAAGCATATGCCCATGTTATTCTGTGCACACTGAAGTATACAGAAGTGAAATATCTGAAGCCTGGGATTTGCTTTAAAGTCCTCACGAGAGGAAAGGGGGGAAAAATGTCAAGAGAGAAAAAAAAACCAATGTGTTTTCAAAGATTATAGGATAATTGAGAAAGCAGAAAAAACCTGGACCAACACTAGCTTGTCTTCACGCAAATCCTCACCTCTTTTCCTCCCTCCACCTCCTAGAAAATAAAGCCATATGCAGAATTGCATATGGATTGCGGGGTAGGCAACTGTAGACCAGAGGTGGAAATGACCAAGTGTATAAGTCAGGGCCCTAAACAGCAATACTCCATTTATCTGGAGATGGCATGGTAACCTAAATCATCCAGAACACAGACCAGTACCTTCCACACTATGCTGGTCCAGATCATCACCATTCAGACTTTACAGACTAAATTCCAACATGCAGAGACAGTGTCTGTCTTGCTTGCCACTATTTCCCCAGGTGCCCATCTACATAAAACACACTCAAATGAATATGAGTAAATGTACTCACAATCCTAACCACCTCAGTCTTCTGAAAACCAGTTGATTTGGAAAACACTGATGGTTCATGATGATAAAGTAAGTTCCAGACTTAGTTTAAGAAAGCAGTATAATTTAATACATTTTAGAAAAACTACTATAAAATGTCTACAATAAATAGGCTTAGACATTTATACATGTTAAACAAAAAGAAAAAACTCCCTATGGAATGAAAGGCAATAAAGGAACCCAAAGCCCAAGATTATTTTTTGCATTCTAATCAATTAATTAATAGCCTTTCGGTAATGACTGGTTGAGAAGGAGTACAACAACCCTTGGTGGCAAAGAGAGAAAATAGGAAGAAAGGGCAGCAGAGTTTGAGAAGGTCTAATATAGTTTTTCCTTCTTCCCTTAAAAAGCTTTTTTTTAAAAATACTTAAAGCAAAACATGTTGCAAAGAGTTAGTTATAGAGAGAAGTGGTAAGACTTATGCACGAGTTGAGACAACTTAGAGAAAGGAGGTAGACTGGTAGAACTAAATGACTCAACAAGGACAGGCCTCCTCACAAGATCACAAGAAAGTTAACATAAAAGGATAGGCAAAGCTTCCTTCTACTACTTCCTCCCACTCCAAAGCACAAAAGTTCAGGTGATATCACTACATACAAATGTTCAACAGCTCCCTTGAGCAGCCAGGTCCGCAATACTACCCTAGCCACCTCAAATGTTCAAATTCCCTTGAAAGTCTCACAGCCACAAAGACATACCTCAGGCACTGCCTCCTCACTCACCAGTCTAACGCAGTCTCTCTTTACCACTTATCCCCCTCTACTCCTACCTAACACCCTCTCTGTCCTCTCAAGATTGCTCCTTATTCCCCATTTTCAACATTCTGCCTTCTTCCCTTCTCTCTCTTCCGGCCTGCTCTTCCCTGTTTCTGCCTTCCTTGTACCCTCCTCTTCATACCTTTCTCACTCTTTGTTCCACAGTTGTCCCCAGTATTACTTGTGTCATCTAAAACCTTCCTTATCCACCAGATCTTCCCCTTTCCATGCTATACCTAGAAGCCTGTTTCTCTGAAGCCACTTGTGGTCTAGACAAAACCAGAGGAAACTATCTTCTCTCAGGAAGGAGCAACATAGAGTTTAGACCAATATAGTAGAAAAGAACTGGTCATGTTTAAAAACATTTTAAGACCTTCGAGGATGACCTGGAAGTAGTAAGAAGGTCCCCAAAGCTTCAAGTAGGCTTTTTCTATTTCAGGGCCAAAAGTACAGAATTTATATAACCAAGCAAATGTATCTGAATCAATTTCAGAGTCAGTATTTCTAATATTTTGATCACAGGTTCACCATCAAGGCCACAGGAATTTATGGAGGAAAAATATTTCACTGGCTTATTATCTAAATTCCTATCAGAGATGCTTAAAGACAAGTAATACTTTATTCATAAAAAGCCAGAGAACAACACATACAAAGTAGATACCTTTCTTACTTAATATCTCCTGTCAGAAAAAAAAAGGTGTTAAAAAAAAGATTATAAAATAATTCTGCCGGAGAGGTTTTACTATAAAGCAAAAATATCAGCTAACTAAAGTTTTTACCTGCTCCTAATCCTTTCTGAAAAGAGAATATTTGCTTACAATATTATCATCCTTTGACTTCACAACTCCAAAAAAGTTCAACATAGTGTCTAAGACAAAAAGAAAAAAATAGCAAACAAAAAACCTCCCGCTAAACTGACACCCCTAACTACCAGACCTCTCCCTACTGGTAGTCTTTCCTTACCTTACTTGAATCCACTGTGCTCAGATCTTAAGAGCCCCAGAGGAAGAAGGCACCCGAAAATTACACAACCCTTATTCTCAATCTTACCTGCCTTTCCTACAGAACTGAACTGGGAGATGGTCTCAGATGGGTCCTCTATAATGTAGAGGGCAATTTCCATCTCTCTTAAGAATGCTGTCTGCTTCCTCCTTGGTCCACCACCCTCTGACTGTTGCTGGTGATCACCACACCGCCACCACCACTAATAGTAACAGATCATTTTAAATTTACTTTTTGCTAGGAACTATGCTAAGCACTTAATATACATAGCTTCAACTTAATCCTCGACTAGGATTTACCTGTGAAAAATGGAGGCAGAGAGAGGTTACAGAACTTGCTCGATTTCAGCCAGTAAGCTCCTAAGGAGGTTTCCCTAGAGCCCAGGTCTGTCAGATTCTAAAGCCCAAACTCTGTTGCTACATGACACTTCGCAAAAAAAGACTGTCCATGCCTTCATCTTAACTCCAGAAGTTCAGAGGTCCCTAGAGGTCAGGAGACCACCAAGAACTTATTGTGTAAAGTGTTTTCACCCACCCAAGATTCTTCCCATTTTTTGTCTTGGGCTGTCAGTGCCTAATGGGAAAGGATGTCCTCTCCACACTATCCCAGGGTAGAGTACTGTCTAGCTATAACCCGGCTGCAGAGTGGGTTTAAATTCTTTCAACACTGCTGAACTTGCTTAGAACTTTGATGGCACCTCCTACCCACTCCCTGTCTCCACTCCATGTCCTGGATTCAGCAACTGGACCTGGAAAAGAGGCATCCACCAAACAAAAAACTCAATGGTGAGACACCACTCTTCCTCCCCCAAATACCCGAGTGACACTTCTTTCAAACAACCACCAAAATGTCCTTTCCCTACTAGTTCTTTTTCTTGTGTGGAGAAAAAGATTTTTTAAATGGGTTACTGTGGATTAGCCATTAGAAAGCCCCTGCTGAGCTCATGCTTTATCTCAGTTAATACTTAAATATGCGCAGCCAGAGACACACTCATACAGGGCTTTTGGGGGAGGAGAGAAGAGTACATGGAGGTAATTTTGTCATTTTTCTTGGCAAAGGAGCAGCCTGTTAACAAACACATTTTGTTTTCAAAACTGGATTCTGAAACCAAAAGCAAAAATCGATGGCTAAAATACATTATTTCTTCCCCTATCTCTGTGGAGGGAGAACCAAATAAACTCACACCAATGGGTAAGTATTAAATGATAAGAATGATAACAACTACTGGTTATTGAGCACTTGGTCTCTGCCAGGCTTTTTTCCAGATGCTTTTACCAACATTACTTCACTAAACCTGCACAATGCTATGAAGTTCTTATTTCAAAGACAAAACAGGCTTAGGGACTCTATCTCCAAAATAATAATTATATATAATTATCTGGCACTTACTACATGCCAAACTCTGCTCTAAGTACCTTAAATATGCATATACTGACTCATTTAATTCTCACAACAGCCCTATAAAGTACGTGATACTCTAACAGACCAGCAAACCAATGGAAGAAGTCACTGAGTCACCTGCCCAGGGTCACACAGCTGTTAAGCAGAGGATTTAAACCAAGCTTGTCCAACCCGCAGCCTAGGATGGCTTTGAATGTGGCCCAAGACAAATTTGTAAAGTTTCTTAAAGCATTATGGGATTTTTTTTTTTACTATTTCTTTCTTTTTAGCTCATCAGCTACTGTTAGTGTTAGTGTATTTTATGTGTGCCCCAAGACAATTCTTCCAGTGTGGCCCAGGGAAGCCAAAATACTGAACACCTCTGCAAGGTACTCTGCCCTTAGTCACTGAGCTCTACTGCAAAATGACTACCTGGGCTTTTGTTTCTTTTATTTTACCTTTTTTTCTGTGTTACTTCTCCAAGAAGACTGGAAAATTTACCACCTGGGCTTTTGTTTCTTTTATTTTATCCTTTTTTGTTTGTTTGTTTTTGCATTATTCCTCCAATAAGACTGGATACTCTTGAGGACCAGTTTTCATACCCCCATTCAGCCATCAGTATTATGAGCCAGCTAGGCAGTCATCAATAAATGAGTCTCGTGTGATACGCAAGAGATCCAAGTGTAGGGGGCTTCTCACTCTCAGTTCCACTACCCTGCCCAGGCCTCCAGCTTCTCCCACCTCAGTGCCCCAAGAAAGCCCTGACCAGCCTGTATGTGTCCATTCCAGGGATATGTGAGGGCAGACTAGGACAGTCTGAAAATGGTCTCACATAAGATCAGAATCCTTAACTTCCCATTTCCAAGCCACTGGAGAGCAAACTCACAGCAGCTGCGCTGCCAAATCTTGCTTCATTCCCCTACCTGCCTGCCTGGTGTCCATGACAGTTAGGAAGCCTGCCTCCTACTAGACTCAGGAGAGACCTTAGAAGCCACCATCAATCAGTATGTCAGCACATGAGAGGGCATCTACAACCACTCCTGCCCTACAGGATAAAAAACAAGCCCTTTAGCTAGCTCATCCAACCTTTTCGTGTCAAAAAACTTGGTGTCACCCTTCAAGGCTCAGCTCACATACCACTTCCAATGTTAAACCTTAGGAAAATACCCTGGTTTTAAGTATCTGGTTAATGGTAAGTTATATCCAAGTTTACAGTGGATATAAAAATCACCTAAAACCCTAACCAAAATACTGGCATGGCCAACTAGGGAACATAAAATTTCAGATTAGTGATTTAATAAGATTGTCCCGAAAGGACATTTCACTCTGAAATATGCAGAATGGGTATGGGCTTAAACTTAAAAAAAAAAGCTATATAATCAGTGATTCTTGGAAACAAAATAATCTGAGAAGGCAGAGCACTCTGTACCATTCTAACTTATAAGCCGATTTTCTCTTTCTCTCCCTGGCCAGATAGTTGTTCTTCATCTCAAAAATCAACAACCTGCCTGTCTCTCTCTGATACATGGCTCAAGACATTAGCCTAAGAATAAAGATTAAAATAATGAGGATTGCCTCAAGGTAGTGACAGATATTTCAGAAAACAGCGTCCACTTGCTAGGAAAGGGTGTCATAGGTATCTGGGCTGGCAACACAACCTGCGTCCTCTGAGATCAGACCCTCAACTCTGAGTCCGGCAGTCAGTCATTGAGGACCAATGAGTCTGGGCCAACTGATATGCCTTACCTGTCTTGTTACCATAGAGAAATAAAAGGATTACTCGTAAGTGAAATTTTCAACTAACACATTTCCCAGTACCAAAACATTAAAATGGTAGCTGTTTAAAAAGTGTATACTGGACATAATCTAGCCTTTTCTAGACATCCCAGGATCACACTGAAGTATGCTTCTACACTAAATAGCCTCAGACTATTTCCTCTGCATGAAGCTCCCCCGCTCACCCTCACCTCTACCTAGGAAGAACTGAGAGGAAAAGCAGATAACCAAGCTTATGCAACACACCAGCTGAATTCAGACACAATTCTAAGTCAAAGTGCTCTGGCTTTCCTTGCAAGGAGGCAGGAGGCAGGGAAAGAAACCTCAATGTACTGAGGACCTGTGGTGGGAGGCACCCTACTAATACTACATAATCTCACTTAAACAACCCAGGACATGGTAGTGATCTTTTATTTTAAAGATAAGGCAAATGACTCCTGGCAAAGTTGTTGGCTCACTCAAGGCCACACAGCTGGCAGGTGGTAGGGAGGGTAGGGCTGGGTCCTGACCTCCTGACTCCACATCACAGCATCCTTCCAAGAGAGGTCTTTCCAGAGAACACTGACACAGGCAGCAGAGCTTAGAACTCTTCTCAACACAGCTTCCCAGAGCAAGGATTTCCTTAGTTTTAGAGAAATAATTCCTTCCATCATCTTTTTAACCATCAAATCTTTTAAAAGTTAAAATTTATTGATTAATGCAAATGATTAATACAGTGAAAATAGGTATCTTATATGAGATATGTGAATGCACCTTTAACTGTGGTCCTGTGATCAAACTAGAATTTGCACTAGTTTTCAATCTTAAACAATGAAATTAAATTTGACTATACAAAAGGGGAGATCACCAATCTAATGACCTAACAAAACTATTACTTCAATCACTCTTTTAAGGTTAAATAAAGCAAACACAAAAAAGCATGGAAATGTTAAGTAACTGAACTTTTCATAGAAACTACATAACAATTATTAAGATAAAAACATAATGGCAAGTATATGCTAATTCATTTTACACAGTTTTATCAACACTCCTGTTTAAATTATAACAAACGTCAGATAAATTTAACCCTATGCACACAGTACTCATTCAATGAATAAACTTTTTAGTATGAGTCTATAAAAATGTCAAGCAGCCAGGTGCAGTGGCTTGCACCTATAATTCCGGCTGCTTGGGAGGCTGAGACAAGAGGATCATTTGAGCCCATGAATTCAAGACCAGCCTGGGAAACAAAGCAATATCCCATCTCTTTAAAAAACAAAACAAAACAAAACAAAAAACACTGAGCGTGGTGGCTTGTATCTCCAATTCCAGCTACTCCAGAGGCTCAGGTAAAGTTCACAGTTGCAGTAAGCTATGCTTGTGCCACTACACTCCAACCTGGGCAACAGAGCAAGACTCTTTATAAAAAAAAAGTTAAACAACTGCAAAAAAAATTTATATGTATATATGAAACACCAGCACCCATTTCCACTCAGTTAAGAATGCACTTGTAATTCATCTGACCTCCACTTTTATGCATAGAAAAAAAGTTTATTTTAAGAAATATAAAATATATCTAAAGCTTCACCAAAGTACAATACGAACTTTAACTTTTTATATTTGGATTATTTCCTGCAAAAATAAGGTGGTGATTTAATTTCTTATTTCAAAGTCCACATGCAAGGATGTGCCCAACAACTACAAATAATCTTTTCTAAAAACTGCACCCATTCCAGCTGGGCCCATAGCTTTCTTCTTGCCACTATTTATTAAGCAAAAAACCTACTGGCCTGATAAAACAGGTTTCTCCTTTCACATATTAAAATATAATTATAAAACCTGATCCTCTTTGGACTTCCTTGGATTTGTACCAAAAATGCTGTATCTTTCTAGAGTAAACTGAGAGGTTTTTTTTTTTTTAACCATTATTCTACCTTAAGAAATGTCTCATCTGAAGAAGCAAAGAGATACACCCTAAAATTCCAGCAACCACAGGCTTCAAAAGCCTTTGGCTCAGATGCAGGATAAATCTTTGGAAAGCCCAGGGTACAATGTGACCTGGGTGTACAAACTTAGACCTTGCTCACTAGGCAGGTCAAAGAATTTTTCTCTCAGGACATCCCGAAAACATCAAACAGATTCATGAGATGAAATTTCCTTGTCCCTGCAGCCTCAACATGATTTTATGATATTCCTGACACAGTTTATATATACAATTCAGATGCAAAATCTTGGTGGCAACAAGGACTGCTACTTGTCCATTAACTTAATACTTATTTTCGCTGAGAAATACGAATTTCTCAATCATTTCGAAGTCCATTTAACAAACAACTAAGAAAACTTGCAGATTGTTCTGTATTTCTTAGATGAAAGGAGAAAACTCTTATATCAACTGTTCATTAAGAAGGAAATATTAAGAGCAGTTAGCATTATAAGAGGAGGAAGGCTCTTCTTAAGTCCAGTTTATGAATGCATAGCTAAAGACCTGAATTTCCTTCCCTTCCCCTTTATTTTACTAGCTGAGATGAATTACTCCTTGACAGACAGCACAAACTGGTATATACTTCATTTGTTATGACTGTCATTTATACAAAGGGGTGTATTCCTTTGCCTTCCCATGTGGCTTTGTATAGTACAGACATCAAAACATCAAACACCCAGGAGCAAAACGTCTGACAAGGCCTGCCCAAGGAGAAAACAAGCTTTCCCAAAGCTGAAGCCTAGCCTGGGGGCCCTCAATGGGGCTGAGCTAGTGTCTGTTAGTCCTGAGCCTACCACAATGCTTAGGGATGAACCTGGGGGTGGCAAGCTTCTCCACCCAAACTGAAGAGGTGACACATTAAAAAGGAAAGATTTACATGTGCAGGTGGGTTCAGTAAAACCTATCTGCCACAGTATCTTCTACTCACCCACAAAGGATCCTATAACTCCTATCCACTCACCAATGACCCAGAAATCATGAAAAGAGGCCAACTTATAAGCTAATCAGAGTAGGCTCCTGAGACGACTACGGCTCCTGCTGTCTCTGCCCCACCCCTTCCAGATGGCTATCCCTAGCGCATCACCACAGTCCTCCCCAAACCCAGATGCTGGAAACCATCACTAGGTTCTGGCAGGCTTCTGAGGCATGCTGTAGCCCCATGATATGTCCAAGATGAGATGGAAAACAGTGCCACACACTGGAGGTGGACACAGAGGGTCCATCCTTGCTCTCCCACTGTCCTGGACGTGGCCCACCCTCCTGTTGCTTCCACTGAAGCTCAGGAAGGGGAACTCTTCCAGCTTTTTTTTTTTTTTTTTTCTAAAAGGCCCTCTTATGCACAATTCCAGAAGAATCAAGTTTCTGAAGCAATGCCTGAACGAGAGCCACAGCACACGGGAGGCCCGGCTCTCTTGCAGACATCATGCAAAATGAGTCACTGCATCTACGTCTTCTGCTATTGCTGCTGCCACCCTTGCTCAGAGTAAATGAGGAAGACAACTGATTCACATGGGATCCGTGGAAACTGATGTGTAAGATCAGCACAGCAACAGGGAAGGGGGCGTCCAGTAAGAGTTCCTCACACGGGCCCCTTCCCTAGAGGGGCAGAAAGGCTCCTGTCAGGATTTGTGTGGTAGTTGGAGTGGGAGGAGGAAGGAGCAACAACAGAAAGGGGAAGGAAACAGAGATGTTAAAACAAAACAAAACAAATAAAACAAAACAAAAAAACACCAAAAACAATACTGGTGGGGGAAACAAATTCTCAACTCAACCAGATCCTTGCAGTAATTCTCCAAGGGGCAAGGACTCCTTCCTCTCATTTGACCCCAAAAGGAAATGTCTGAACAGATCCCTTCTCTCTCCCTGCCCACCCTGATTCAAGGAGATCTCAGGTACAAAGCAAGATAGAAAGCTTCGCTCTCCTGACCCTCCAGCTCTCCAAGAGGAACTTAAGTCTCAGATATCCCTGCCTTTTTTTTTTTTTTTTTTTTTTTTGAGACAGTCTTGCTCTGTCGCCCAGGCTGGAGTGCAGTGGCATGATTTGGGCTCACTGCAACCTCCACTTCCTGGGTTCAAGCGACTCTCCTGCCTCAGCCTCGCAAGTGGCTGGGATGACAGGCATGCGCCACCACACCCAGCTAATTTTTTTGTATTGTTAGTAGAGATGGGCTTTCATCATATTGGCCAGGCTAGGATGGTCTCAAACGCCTGATCTCAAGTGATCCACCCGCCTTGGCCTCACAAAGTACTGGGATTACTAGGTAAGCCACCACTCCCGGCTGCCCCTGCTTCTGTCTTCCCGACTCTCCATACAAAACTTGCCAGTTACTCCTTAGCTGCCTGAGGCCCACAGCCTCCCCTAATGTCACATGAACATGTCTGCACGAGACCCAAGGCCAAGCTCAAGAGGAATTCTTTCTAGTACATCCCTGTCACTAGGCACTACCTACCTGGCAAAGTACTTATGTGGCCTGACTTCAGGAGAGCTACAGACCTCTCACCTTCAATTTTCTCTCCCACATACTTCTGAAACGGACCATGCCACTGTGAGGCTTCAGGTAGGTTTCTCAGCCCTGGCACTACTGGCATTTTGAGCTGGACACATCTGCTGTGGGCCTCTCCTATGCACTGCAGGATATTTAGCACTGCACACCAGCCTGGGTGACAGAGGAAGACTCTGTCTCAAAAAACAAAACAAAACAAAAAAAAACACTAACATGGTGAAAGACTCATCCCAACAATTTTTCACTACAGTAGCTGAGGTACATCATGCACTACACACATACTTGATTCTTTCTTCCAGACGTTGCCTTGTGAATTGGATTTTGAACTGTGCTCCTGCCATGGCCTTAAGAATGACCAAGAAGTCCTTGTGGCTTGATGACATCTGATGTCTTTGAGACTCACACAGCAGGCAGTTGGCAAGGCAGCGGGCTTACTCACACAGGCAGGGGTTCCACGAGTCACCCCAATGACTACAGCCTGAATGAACTGCTGTTCCTCGTGGGCACTCCTAGCTCTGCAGGCAGAGCGAGGACATACAAGCATAGCTTTTAAAGTGCTTAATGGTGATTACACTCGTTTGGTGATTCACTAAGCAGTACAGAATGTGCCCAATTATACACTCTATTTTTTTCCAATCTTATTTCATAAACCCCAATTTCACAGGAACATAGATTTTCCATCCAAACAAAATTATCTAACTTTAACAATTAAAATACTAATTATCCTCAAAATCCTCCTTTGAAATGGGGCTTTAAATAAGATATGACTTAAATAGGCATTTTAATATTTTTGGTTGTATCATTCATTGAAACATCTAAGAAGTGCCTTCATTTTGGATAACGTGGGAGGCTACAGGCAAAGAGAGTATTGAATGTCAGCAATAAAACACTATTCAATAAAAACACCAGTATAGGCTCTGTATCAAATAAAACTTTTATCAAGTAAAAACATTTACGATATTAATTTTCTTCTCCCCTACTCCCACCCCAGGTTAAAAACTACAACTTGAAATCTTTTCATAATAAGCTGCCAACAGCAGCAGCTATTGACTAAGAGAAAGAAAAATAAAAGAAAATTGTTATTACTATAAACAAATTATTCGTTCTTTCCAAGATAAATAATGACTTGATGTTCTCATTCTCACAATCAGAAGCGTGGCTTCATAATACTAATTATCTCAGCTCCACCAGAAAACCATCATGCATTCAAACCCATTTGCTGTGTACAGCCCTACCATCTACCAGCTATAAAGTAATATGGGAGAAATACAGGGGTCCTATCTGCAAAAAGCAGGTCACTTCAGTTTTTGGGAGAAACTTCTGCATCCCACATGGAATAAAAAGATGCCACTTACCACCAGATATTTTCCTACTAAAAAAAATTTTCTCCCTCCTATTTAAGAAAAACGATAGACAAAAATTGTATCATATTAAAGTGTTAAGGGAAAATGATCCACATGTAAAAACAAATCAAAAGGCACATGAAACCACGTTAAGACCTCAAAGACAGGAATTAGTCAATTATATTATGTATTTCTGGGCTCCTGAGTACAAGCATAGTCTGTTTTTCTGACCCAAAAATCTAATAAAAGAATTTATTAACTTAAAGATCTAACAGAGGACACTGTTAGAAATTGGTCTGGGGAAGGCACCATGCTCTTGGCCAAGGAATTATTTAACTCTTCTGCACTAAGAATGGATCTGTGATGATTCACTATGACTACAGCAAATCAAGCTTGGCCCTATCCTTTGAATTTAACCTGTAAGGACAGACAGGTTTAGGATATGAAACCTCAAGAAGATGGTGCCACATCTTAGCTTGCCATGTACAGAAGACTGATTTGCCAGGCTTTGCAACCAAGCTTAAGTGAGATTTAGGCATTAAGACACGCCAAATTAAAACTCTTAAGGACCATTAATCACATCCTCATGACTTCAGATACACCAATACAACATATGCTTATGTAGGTCTGGTCTTTATTCTTAATCAGGGGTATTAGCTTCCTACTGCAACAGTCTATAGAAGGAATTGTTTCAAAAGTGGGGCAAGCATGGTTCAGTCCATTCATTATTTTTAGTAATTAAAAAATACAGATATGACTATGAAAGTTTTGTTATTCTTAGACGCAAATAAACAGATGGCCAGTGAGGAAATGAGATCAACTTTACATCTGAGAATACACTATATTCCACTTTCAGTTTCTGAATGTCAAAGCTTGGGAGATAAATCCAAGAATCCAACCTGTAACTAGAATAGGAAAACTATTTTTATTTCATTTGTTTGGCATATTCCAACTGTTAAGAAGTAGAATAAAGAGAAGTAATGCCTAGCAGGGCACAAAGCACTTAGTTGGTATTTAATAAGTATTATTTGATGACTAAAGAATGAGAAGAGCCAATTATTCCAACAAAGACTAACATATTGAAAATTCAGGTGTCTCTTCTTCAAATCACAAATGTCCTAAGTTAGAAAGTAAAGAATGCCACGTCTGTGTTACATAAACAGAATGCTTCCTGCCTTGCCCCCACGGTTACACTGATTTCTTTTTTCCTCTTCCTATACAGTCTCTGCTTTAAAGAGTAATATAGTAGCAGATTTTGGCATTGGCATCATATTTATTATGGATTCCATCTATGATAGAGGAACAACTAGAAAACCAGGCAAAACACAAGACAACTGTTTTCAGACATTGGACAACAGGCAGTATAGGACTTAATTTCTGAGAACAGTGAAACATATGAGACAAGCCTTGAACTTATTTGCCTGAACTTACTGCCAGGAGGTAGTGTCCAAGCCACAGCAAAGAGAAGGGGGAACACAGAGCATGTCAGTCTTACTGAGTAGAGGTAACACAGATTAGTAATCAGAGAAGCCACATTCAAGGAGGCCAAAACGGCTAGAATTGGAAGGGCAGAACACCCAGGAGAAGAGAGCAGCACAAAAGGGTCGGTTCCTAGAGTCTTAGACTGATCTGCACATCTCTCAAAGGAAACTACTTAAAGTTAGGGATACGAGCACCAGAAAGCAGTTGGCCTAAGAAGTCCTACAGTTCACATAAAGCTAGCAATAGTTCATGTTTCCACCAGCAACAAAAACAAAAATAATTCACAAGACACACAACATCAGGTAAAGTCCTCAGAAGAATACTGCCTTACGGCAGATAAGTACTCGGGCTACATCATTCCTAATGGGTGCTCTGGAGCCAGCCTAACAAAGTTTACATGCTAGCTTCAAAACGATACCACTGATTCCAAGTAACTTAACTGCATGCCAGAACAAAGTCTAGCGCTTTTGAAAAGAATACAACAAAATCTAGCACTCAATGAAGTAAAATTCCCTCTCCTTCATCTGCTGCTGCTGCCTCCTTCTTCTGTGGCTCCTGGTGCTGCTCATGTGCTCGTTCAGTGTGGACCTGATATCTCTTTTGTGAAGCGGCAGCTGAGGAGAAACCGGTGCTCATCATGGCTGACAAAAAGCCCCAGGAAGGAGTCAAGACTAAGAACAATCATATTAATTTGAAGGTGGTGGGGCAGGGTGGTTCTGTGGTGCAGTTTAAGATTAAGAGGCATACACCACTTAGTAAACTAATGAAAGCCTATTGTGAATGACAGGGATTGTCCATGAGGCAGATCAGACTCTGATTTGACCGGCAACCAAATCAATGAAAAAGACACACCTGTACAGTTGGAAATGGAGAATGAAGATACGATTGACGTGTTCCAACAGCAGATGGGAGGTGTCTACTGAGAAGGGAACCTGCTTCTTCATTCCAGAACTCTGTTCTCGCAGACCACGATTACCTTCTCAAGTAGAAAACTGCAATTTGGTTCCAATACATCCCTGACTACTACAGCATAGTTTTCTCTGTTTGTTCATTTCCTCCTTCTCCATTCTTTTACTGTACATAAAAGTAACTGGTATATGTGCACAAGCACACTGCATTTTTTTTTTAACAGCCAACGGTATGTTTTGATTGACATCAAGTGGAGACGGGATGGGGAAAAACACTGATTCTGTGAAAACACCCCCACTCTCCATTAGTGGCATGCTCATCCTGCTCTTCATATTCCAGTAAGTTATTTTGCTCTGTTTTAACAACAACAAACAAACAAACAAAAAACCCATAAAAATCCTTGCATACCTTGTTCAACTGGAGAATTTTCATGTTTTTAATTGATCACTGTAAAACCAAGGACAATTTTATAACTTTTTTGTATGTAGCTGTTATATGTAGGGCAATCTGTCTTTATCTAGGGATAAACTACTCTAAAAAAAAAAGAATCCTATATAGTTTTCTCTTTAAGTCAAGCGTCTTACTGTTTAAATAAACTTCTTGTTTAATATGAAAAAAAAACTATGTAAAATTCACAATGCCTGGTATCCAAGTAAAAATTACCAGGCATAGCAAAGGAACAGGAAAATATGACCCATAAAAATGAAAATAATCAATCAATTAACAGACCCAGAAATGAGACAAGATGATGGGACTAGCAGACAAGGGCACTGAACTAGCTATTATAACAGTGCAGCTTCTTTAAAAAACAACTTGGCAGTTCCTCAAAAGGTTAAAGAGAGTTACCACATGACCCAGCAATTCCCTCCTAGGCATATACCCAAAGACATTAAAATAATATGTCCACATAAAAACTGGTAACAAATGTTCACAGCAGCATTATTCATAATAGCTAAAAACTGGAAACAATTCAAATGCCCAGCAACTGATGAATAAATAAAATGTAGTATATCCATATAATGGATTATTATTTAGCAATAAAAAGAAATTAAGTACTGATAAATGCTACCAACATGGATGAACCTGGAAAACATACTAAGTGAAAGAAGGCACTCACAAAGTACTACCTATTATATGATTCCATTGATATGAAATGTCCAGAAGAGTCCCTATAGACTGACATTTCATATCAATATAGGCTGAAAAGGAGTGGGGTACATGGGAAATGACCGCTAATGGATACAAGGTTTCTTTGTGGGGTGACGAAAGTATTCTAAAATTAGATTGTGGTTGCACAACAGATAGTTGCACAACTCTGTGAATATACTAAAAACCATCAATTTGCAAACTTTAAATTGGTAAATTATATGGCAATGTGAATTAGGTCTCAACAAAGCTGTTAAAAAGTTATAAATATGGCTGGGCGCAGTGGCTCACACCTGTAATCCCAGCACTTTGAGAAGCAGAGTTGGGAGGATTGCTTGAGGCCAGGAGTTGAGACCAGCCTGGCCAACACAGCGAAACCCCATTTCTACTAAAAAATACAAACATTGGCCGGGTGTGGTGGCTCACGCCTGTAATCCCAGCACTTTTGGGAGGCAGAGGCGGGTGGATCACAAGGTCAGGAGATCGAGACCATCTTGGCTAACATGGTGAAACCCCGTCTCTAAAAAATAAAAAAATTAGCCAGGCGTGGTGGTGGGTGCCTGTAGTCCCAGCTACTCGGGAGGCTGAGGTAGGAGAATGGTGTGAACCCACGAGGCGGAGCTTGCAGTGAGCCGAGACTGCGCCACTGCACTCAAGCCTGGGCGACAGAATGAGACTCTATCTCAAAAAAAAAAAAAAAAAAAAAAAAAACCTTAGTTGGGCGTGATGGCACATACCTGTAGTCCCAGCTACTCAAGAGGCTGAGGTGGGAGAATCGCTTGAACTGGGGAGACAGAGGTTGCAATGAGCCAAGATTGCGCCATTGCACTCCAGCCTGGGTGACAGAGTGAGACTCATTCTCAAAGGAAAAAAAAAAATTATAAATATACTCTATGTAGTAAGAAGGTAGAGGGAAAAAAGGCAGGAAATTGGAAGATACAAAAGAAATAAACCCAGTGGTACTTCTAGTAAAGAAAAATAAATTTAAAAATACACTGGATGGGATTAACAGCAAATTAAACATTGCAGAAAGATCAGTAAATTATAAGACACAACAACAGCAACTAACCAACTAACCCAAATGAAGCACAGGGAAAGACTGAAAATGAAATTGAGAGTATCCAGTGATCTATGGGGACAATACTAAATTGTCTAACATATGTGTAATTGAGATCATAAAAGAAGAGGAAAGAGGGAGAGGATGGAAAAAAAATCTGAAGAAATAATGGCTGGATTTTAAATTTTTTTTATAAAAAACTATAAACACTCAGATCCAAGAAAAACTCAACAAACTCCAAAAAGAACAGATGTAATTAAAGAGGGCACATCACAATAATAAAAACCAGTGATACAAAAAAAAAATACTTAAAAGCGGCAGAAGAAAAAAGACATTAAGAGAAATATAGAATGAGCAAATCACTTTTCAGAGACTATGTGAGACAATGGAGGAACATCCTTACTAAGAGAGGGAAAAAGCTACCAATCTAGAAATTTATACCTATTAAAAGTGTCTTTCAAAAACGAAGATAAAATAAAGACTCTTTCAGGCAAACAAAAATGAGAATCAATGCCAGCAGTGGTACATTCAAAGAGATATTTTAAAAAGTAGTTTCATCAAGCAGAGAGAAAATGATACCAGATGGGCATCTGAACTTAAAGGAATGAAGAGCGGGGAATGATCAATATATGAGTAAATATAGACAATATTTTCTTATCTTCAATCTCTTTAAAAGATAATGACTATCTAAGGCAAAAATAACAATATATTCTGGGGCTTATAACATACATGTAGAAGAAAATAGCACTAAGAATAATAAGGGAGAAGTGGCTGTATATTGTTTCAAGGATTTTATACTCCATGTAAAGTGGCAGAAGATTGACTATCATCAGTTAAAGATGTGTAAATCCTAGCGCAACCATTAAAAAATAACAAAGAGATGTACCTAATAAGCCAAGAGTGGAGATAACACGGGTTCATTAAAACCAAACAAAACCACCTAACTCAAGAGAAGGCAAGAAAAGGGGGAATAGGACACAAAGAACAAATGGGACAAATAGAAAACTAATAGCAAGATAACAGATTTAAACCCAAATATAATTACATTAAACAAAATGGTCTTTGAAAAAAACGCAAAAAATAAAAAACAAAAAAAAACCAAAACATCAACAAAAAACCCTCCAAATAAAAGCCAGAGATTGTCAGATTGGATTAAAAAACACCCAACAATTTGCTATCTGCATGGAATCCACTTTAAATATAAAGACACAGATAGATTAGAAGTACAAGGAAAAAAGATCTGCCATACAAACAGTAGTCAAAAGAAAGCTGGAGTAACTATATTATTAACAGTTATTAATGAACAGATTTCAACAACAAATACTGCCAAGGATGAAGAGAGACAATTCATAATAGAAGAGTCAATGTATCAGGAGGATATAACAACCTTAAATGTTAATCTGCCTAATAATAGATTTTCAAAATACATAAAGCAGTATACAATTATTATTTTTCAATTAAAGTTTGTTAAAAACATGAAGCAAAATCTAATAGAATTGAAGTAGACAAATCCACAATTACAGCTGGATATTTCAACATTCCTTTCACAGTAATTGATAGAACATGTAGTGAGAAAATGAACTTGACTAACTTGACCTAATTCACATTTATAGAACAAATCACCCAAAACAGCAGAAAACACATTCTTTTTAAGTACATGGAAAACATTCAATAAGATAGACAATATTCTTGGCTCATAAAACAAGTCTCAACAAATTTAAAACAACACAAAACAGATTCTCCAACCACAAAAGAATTTAGTTAGAAAACAGTAATAGAAAAATATCCAGAAAATCCTCCAAATACTTGGAAATTTAAAAATTAACTTCTAAACAAACTGCAGACCAAAGTAATTACAGGTAAAATAGAAACAATTTTGAATTGAATGCAAAAACAAACTTCACTGGATGCATCTATAGCAGTTGTAGCAAGGAATGTATAGCTTTCAACATTTATATTAGGAAGGAAGGTCTCAAGTAAATGATCTAAGGTTTCACCTTAAGATGCCAGAAAAAGAGCAAATTAAACCCACAACATGCAGAAGAAAAGAAATAAAAGATTAAAAGAGAAAAAAAAAATCAATGGAAGTAAAAACATAAAAGTAACGGGGGAAAAGTCAGTGGAAGCAAATGTTAATTCGTTTAAAAGATCAATGAAATTGCAAGGCACTAAACAGATAAGGAATGAGGGGGAAAGGGAGTTAAGACAAATTATCAACATCAGGAATGAAAATGAAATCACTACAGATGATATATCTATTAAAAGGATAATAAGAGAACATTATAAATGACTTTATGCCCATAAATTAGACAACTTAAATAAAATGGGCAAATTCCTTAAAAGACACAGACTACCAAAACTCATTCAAGAAGAAACAGACAAGCCAACAGCATTGTATCTATGAAATAAATTGAATTAGCAGTTAAACATTTCCTCACACACAAAAAAACTCCAGGCTCTGATGGCTTAACTGCCGTTGAATTCTACCAAACATTTAAGGAAGAGATACTACAGTGCTACCAGAGCAGAACAGGGAACACTTTCCAACTCATGTTATAAGACCACCATTACCCTGGTACCAAAAACAGGCAAAGATATTATAAGAAATGTATAGATCAATATTCCTCATGAAGACAGACACAAAAATCCTTAACAAAATTTTAGCTACTTGAATCTCATGGTAACATATCAAGACCAGGTGGGATTTATCCCAGGAATGTAAGGTTGGTTTAACATTGCAAATCAGTCAATGTATTTCATCATATTAAAAGACTGAAAAAGAAAAACCATCTGATCTTCTCAACAGGTGAGGAAAAAGCATCTGACAAAATTCAATATCCACTCATAATTTAAAAAACAAAAACTACTCAACACATAGGAATAGAGAAAACTACCTCAGCCTGATAAAGGAAATATGTGACAAACTTACACCTAACATGATACTTAACAGTGAAAGACTGAATGCTTTCCCCTTAAGATGAGAAAAATGGTAAGGATCTCTGCTTTCACCACTGCTATTCAACAATGTATTGGAGGTCCTGGCCAGTGAAATAAGGCAAGAAAAAGAAATAAAGTGTATACAGTATATATTAGAAAGGAAGAAAAAAAATTTTTTTTTTATTTTTTTTTTGAGACAGAGTTTCGCTATTGTCACCCAGGCTGGAGTGCAATGGCACAATCTTGGCTCACTGCAACCTCTGCCTCCCGGGTTCAAGCAATTCTTCTGCCACAGCCTCCTGAGTAGCCGGGATTACAG
The DNA here is from genome assembly GCF_000001405.40 of Homo sapiens. Lineage (NCBI taxonomy): Eukaryota > Metazoa > Chordata > Mammalia > Primates > Hominidae > Homo > Homo sapiens. The sequence goes on along the minus strand of NC_000006.12, from coordinate 108,612,554 downwards.
GTGCCCACCACCACGCCCAGCTAATTTTTGTATTTCTAGTAGAGATGGGGTTTCACCATCTTGGCCAGGCTGGTCTCAAACTCCTTACCTCAGGTGATCTGCCCACCTCAGCCTCCCAAAGTCCTGGGATTACAGGCATGAGCCACCGCGCCTGGCCAGAAAACTCTATTTATAGACATGATCATCAATGTAAAAAAATCCTAAGAACTCTACAAAAAGGGTATTACAACTAATACATGAGTTTAGCAGTTACAACATTAAGGTCAATACACAAAACCCAATTAATTATATTTTTACATACTAAACAAATGGAAACTAATTTTTAAAATATCATTTACAATAGTATCAAAAGATGAAGCTCTTGGGGATAAATTTCACAAACAGTATGTAAGAATTGTATTTTAAAACATATAAACACTGCTGAGAGAAATTAAAGATGACTAGATCTAGAACAGTACAAATGATTTTGAAAAAGAACTAAATTGGAAGAGTTATACTACCTGACAAAATAAAGCTACAGTAATAAAGACCAATGTAGTATTAGTATAAGAAAGAAAACATGCAATCAATAGAACAGAGGGTCTAGAAATACACGAAGGTGTCAAGGAAGTTCAATGGATAAATGAATCCAGACTCATACAAAATATTAAAATTATCTCCAAATGGATCAAAGTCTTAAATTTAAGAGCTAAAACTTAGCTCTTTAGTTGTTAGGACACTGTTAACAAAATGAATAAGCAATCCACAAACAAGAAAAAGTACTGGCAATACTTATTTCTGATAAAAGACATGTATTCAGAATACATAAGAAATTCCTAACTAAATGGTGTGAATACAATCCTTTAAAAAAAAAAAAAAGGCAAAAGATTTCAATAGACACGTCACCAAAGAAGATATACAATTTACAAATAAGCACATGAAAAGATGCATAACATTATTAATCATTAAGCAAATGCAAATTAAAATTACAATGAGGTATCTACCACTACATTATACAATGGAGAAAAGTAAAAATACTGGCAATTACATGTGTTGGAGAGGAGGTGAAACAACTAGAACTCTCATACATTGCTGGCAGAAATGCAAAACAGTACATTCACTCTGGAAAACAGTTTGGCAGTTTCTTATAAAGTTAAACATACACTGCACTTACCACCCAGCAGTCCTACTCCTAGGCATTTATCACAAATACATGAATAAATACATCCCCAAAAGTCCTGAACATAGATATTAATAGCAGTTTTATTCATAACTGTAAAAAACTGGAAACAACCCAAATGTCTATCCCCTGGTGAATGGATAAAATATTCCGGTATATTTCTATAACAGAATATCCATACAACAATGGCATACTTCTCAGCAATTAAAAGAATGAGCCACTGACAAAAGGCATGGATGAATCTCAAATGCACTCTACTAAGTGAAAGATGCTAACACAAAGGGCTACATACAGTAATGACTCTACATTTATACGAAATTCTAGAAAAGGCAAAAAGTAGCTCAGCAGTTGTGGGTGGGTAGGGGGAGGGAGAGGGACTGATGAAAATAAGCCATGAGGGAATTTTTTGTGGCGATGAAATGTTTGAAATGTTTTATCGTAATTGTGGTGTTATACAACTGTACACATTCACTAAAACTCAAATTTTATACTTAAATTGGTAAATTTCAGTGTTTTCAAATTACAACTCAATAACTACGATTGTTTTCCACAGGTAATTTTCAAAATAAATCACCAGTTTCAAAACAGGGAGGCAATTTTATGTCACTGTAAAATTATCCAAATGCCACAAAAACAGCAGGATTATAGGAAAAGAGTTTTTATCCTTTCTGGGTTACAAGATGTGGAGGGAGGAAAAGGAACAAAAGGTGTGGGCGATAGGAAAATGGGGAGGGCTGCTCTCTGCACTGTTTTACACTGTATTTAAATGCCTCAGACTTCACCCAGTCCCTGTCCTATCACTTCTATCTACTTGCAAAGACAACAGAGTATGAATGCGTTCTCTCTCTTAAAAACCAAAACACAGGGGCACACACAAAACTCAGAAAGCTCCACTGTTTTTTCCTCTTAGAGCACAAAGGTGAAGAGGCTCAGCCCATGAAGCTAAGCGGTCCAGTCCCATGACTTTCACTTGTACTTAAGAACACTGAATCCTCTCCTTTTAATTCTATTGAGTTTCTTGTGAGGCAAATTTTCCTGTGGCCAGTTTACTCTGAGTTCCTGATAAGGAGTCCAGTTATTAACAGAATCTAAGCAATTTACAGGACTCTTAGACTCAGTCCTTTTATTTTAAAATTACAAAAACAATACCTATAATATTGAAGAATATTAAAATAAAGAGGAAAAAAATCAAGGGCTCTCCAGTGAGGAAATAATTAAATAAATTATAAATCCATTCAACCCTTGTCCTATTAAAGCAACGATTTTAAATAGCCATTGTAAAGCCTGTATATGGGGAGGGGAAGGGGAAACAAAGCAAAGTGCAAAAAAAATCTCTTACTGCAGCCAAGCAAACAATGCATGCATATATGGCCAAATCTGCAAGGAACTCAGATAAGAGGAGTGGTGACAGGTTTCCCCCAACTGTTTTCTTTTCAAAAATGTACATATGTGTGCATGTATGTGTACATTTAAAAAAAATTCAACAGGCACATCTCCTGAATTTAATGAAAAAACTCTAGTCTAGGCAAAAGGAGCCCTGTTGTCAACAGTTAAGTCCTCCAGGCGTGTTAGCAGCATATTCATACGTGTAAAGTCCTAACTACAACTCAAAGACCTGTAATGATATGTCCTGAAGAAATGAGTGAGAACACCAAACTGCTTTCCAGTTAAAGAGAGGTCGCTTTGTTGGCACAAGTGGCTAACCCAGAAACACAAATACCTTAGCCTTAAAAGCGATCCACAGCGTTATATACAAAGAGAGATGCAGCGAGAAACAAACTCACAGGCCTATCTGATGCTCAGTCTTCCTGCTTCCCTTCTTAACAATACCACCTGCAACCTCAATAGTGTCTTTTCATCACCACCTGGAAAGCTAATAGGCCAAATCGTATTTTGGCTGATTTTAAAGCTAAAGAGATCAAGAGCACAGCTTTACAACTTTGCTCTAGGTGACTCAGATACTAAACATCTAAACCTGGCCTAGAACCCAGGCCCATCAGCAACCAAGTGTGTAACATCTTGGTGCCTCTCCCACAATAGCAGACAATGCCCTCAGTCACCACAACCATGACTTCTCCAGGAACAAAGTGAAATCTGTCTAGTCTCTAAACACTCACTGAAATAAAACCTTTTGGAAGTGACGTGACAATTCACCATTTATTTGGGGAGTAAGGTTAAAAATAGTAAGGCTTAGAGATAATCCATTTACTCAGCTTACCAGTTATAAACCATAGCTTTACTGAATGTGAATTACAACAGGCTGATCTTAAAGACCTTTAAGAACTAACCTCCGATAACCTCTTCTACATCATGTCCTCTGGTAACTGTTCATTTGGATTAAGGCGAAACCAACCAAAGCTATTCTTAATAGCTTGAGGTCCAGCTCACAAACCTCCACAGCTGGCCAAGTACCGTAGCAACCTCAGCGTTAACAAAAGGAAACAAGTTCTATACTGCTGAGCATTAACTGCTTAAGCAACTGTCCTGAGGTTGAAACAAATCTGTCCTGGGAATTTAGGGCCCGTTTTCTGGACTCTGGGAGGGGAGGGATAGAGAAAAATAAAGTTAAGCTTTCCCCTACCCTCTCTCTGAGAATAGGATATTTCTTCAAACTTTCTGAAGCGTTTACTATTAGAAATGTGAAACCCTGTAAAAGTACCAAAGCCAAAGAAGAGCCTTTAAATTGTTTTCCACTTGTAACCACAATGGAGTAGTTTTCCAATAAACCCAAAGGTAGCTAAACAGGATCCTAAATGGTACACTCTGTTCAGAAACCATAGAGTTGGCTCTTTGGTTTCTGATATTTGGTTTCCTGGTTTCTGCCAGAGTATTTTTGTTCCTGGATTTTGTTTTTGATAGAAAAACTGCAGTAGCACCAGAAAAGAGTAGTTGTTTTTTTTAACCCAAAAAGTTCTGCAAAGTTCTCTGAGTATCCCTCTCTTTAGGACTGTGCCTCCAATCCAGTTCATGTTCCATTTCCCTCTGGGGACAAAAGACAATTCCCAGTTAGAAATTAGCCTCTTTGGCAGAACTACTTGTAAGACCAGAAAATAGGCCAGTGATAGCCAATTCTCAATCATCTTTAAATAAAGTGAGAGCGTCACTTAATTTATCCAAGCATCAGTTTTTCAAAGGGCTGAACTAGAGATCTCACTCAAGTGTTCTAAAGATGATTCTGAGTATAGAACAGACACTTCAGTTTGAAACAGAGAGAAACTTGAGGTGATCTTAAGGCCCACTGGGAGTATGCATATGAATTTGCACATTACTTCTGATGAATAAAATGAGGGAACTGGACTAGAATTTCCACCTGTCTTTCAACTCTACCATTATATGATCCCAAGGTCCTTGGAAATGGCAGTAAATAGGGCAGGACTGAAGGTTAGACCTGCCACCAACTCCCCAAATGCCACTGCTCTGAAGTAAGAATCTGGTAATTATAAAGATTAGTTCTTCCAGGATAATAATCTACTGTTAAAGAACATACATTTCTATTAGGATGGGATCTCCTTTAGGCAGGGGGATTTTATCTTTTGTTCACTGATGTATTTATTCCCCAACCCTCTAACAGGAGCTGGCACACAGTAAGCATCAATAAATATTTATTGAGTGAATGAATAAATTTTGTCCTTAGCATCTGAAGTAAGCCATCCAAAGAATATAATCTGCAAGTCCCTAAAGGCAGAAGGATGCTTATATTCTACTACATGTCAGCTGGCAGAAAAATTAGGATACAGGGACTCCCTCAGACTTTAGAGACTGAAAAGAATGTATCCATAATCATCTAGACATCTAAACAGAGCAAGAAAAACAGGGTTAGAAACAAGCACATTTTACAATTCCATTTTCAAAACATGTAACCTTTCCAGGATCAGAAAAGAAAATATCAGTGAAGCAAGTTTCTGAAGGGAGTACAGAAACTCCTTCTTCTTTTTTTTTTTTTTTTTTGAGATAGTCTCGCTCTGTCACCCAGGCTGGAGTGCAGTGGCAGGATCTCAGCTCACTGCAACCTCCGCCTCCCAGGTTCAAGCAATTCTCCTGCCTCAGCCTCCCAAGTAGCTGCGATCCAAAGGTGCACGCCACCACACCCAGCTAATTTTTGTTTTAGTAGAGATGGGGCTTTGCCATGTTGCCCAGGCTGGTCTTGAACTCCTGAGCTCAAGTGATCTGCCCTCCTTGGCCTTCCAAAGTGCTGGGATTACAGGCTTGAGCCACTGCGCCCAGCTGAAATATTATTCTTCTAAGACATTTCAATTTGGGATAAAAATTCTTTCATCTCCTAAGTACGACCTTTCAGGTATGAAAGACAAAACATACAAGTTAATAATTAAAAAGTCTATGAGTTCTAAATTCCCCAAGTCTGAGAAACAGTGACAACACCTTGCTCCGAAATATCCTAATATCCCAAGGGTTCATTTGTTTTTACACATAACAAAACAAAAACAAAAATAAAAACAAGAGACATCTGGTGGCAGGACAAGCATTGTCTTCTTCAACTTACTCTGCATCTTTATGGGACCCCCATCCTCACCCCCTCCTGTCACATCAGGCATCAAAAATGAAAATCACACACAACAGTGGTCAAATAGCTAGAATACATAAGGCTTTAAAAAGAGCTGTGCAAGGTAGCATGTGCTAAAGGTGATCAAAATATACATTTTAACTATTGAAAACAGGTAGTCCTGTCACTAAACTCTTGGTAAAAGCAGAACAGGCTGGCAAAAGGACTAGAAAAGTTTGTCAGTTCCTGGCTTTCTGAACCTGCTTGTTCACAAGGCTGCTTGCTTCCTGGGAAGAGAAGAAGAAAGTTTTTCATGCAGTCTCCTGTAGATAAGCCTTAATCATAGTCTGGCAAGGCTGTGCAGACACTTGGAACTCGAGAAGACATTTTCTCTTTTTCTCCTTCTGACTTTCTGTTATACCAGTGGCATTGCCATGTGTGTCAAGAACCCAAAGAGTTTAGGGGGAAGGGGAGGAATATCACAATTGCAGAGGCCTGATTACTATGCAGAAAACACCGCCCTACCAGACAGACTTGCCAACAAACCGCCCTTGGGAAGGGTACAGTCTATGGGGTGAACAAAGGGGCTGATATACTGTGGAACTGGATTCAGAGAGACCTCCTTATCTCCAAAGCTTCTGGATTTCTAGGCAAGAGCAGCAATTAGGCATTAACTGACAAGAACATTATTTACAACAGGGAAGAGGTTCTGATGAGTCTCCCAGCATACTGTACAGAATTCCAGTCTTCAAACCTTTAATACCAAATTAGTTGCTTTCTCATACTGCCCCACCTCTTTTAAATTATAATTGTTCTGTTTCGCACCAAAGTTTCTTTGTGGCACAAACTATTTTAATTTACTTGTAACTCTTACATAAAAACCTCCAAAGCATTTTACCAATGACAATTTGCAAAGCAATTAACTATCCAGGATCACATGCTCACATGACAAAATAAAACTTTTTTTGGTCTTTTGAGTGATTTGAAAGCACTACATTGAACAAAATAATTGGATCTTGTGACTTCTCCCTTCAACCTAATTTTCATCTAATTTGCTGTCCTACATGCGAATTTGCCTCATGCTGCATTTCCATGCCTCCCTCTCAGAACTGTTCAGCCTCCTGGCCTGTTCCCTTGCTTTATCTAAGCAGGTAATCAAAACAAGAAACATCTTGATATTCCCTGTGCTAACACAAAACAAAACAAACAAATCTTTCCCTTCTAGGATAATTCTAATCATCCCTGAACCATTTCTGAAATCAGACCTGTAATCCCACTCTTTATTTACCAGAAGTGTCATTTGAGGCAAGCTTTTAATTGATCTAGGCCTGTTTCTTTTTCTGAGAAATGAGCAACTTCCAAGGTATAGATTAGAAATACTGTATGTAAAAGACACAGTAGTGTCAGACACATAGTGAATGCTCAGAAATTATTAATAGTTTTCAAAATCGCAAAAATAAAATGAAAAAAAATAGTAGGACTGGGCGCGGTGGCTCACACCTGTAATCCCAGCACTTTGGGAGGTCAAGGCAGGCAGATCACAAGGTCAGGAGTTCGAGACCAGCCTGGCCAATATGGTGAAACCCCATCTCTACTAAACATACAAAAATTATCCAGGTGTGGTGGTGGGCGTCTGTAGTTCCAGTTACTCGGGAGGCTGAGGCAGAAAAACTGCTTGAACCTGGGAGGCGGAGGTTGCAGTGAGCTGAGATTGTGCCACTGCACTCCAGCCTGGGTGACAGAATGAGACTCCGTCTCAGGGAAAAAAAAAGAAAAGTTAGTATTAGATATAAGGATACCCATGATAAAGAGTGTGACTATGAACTTCATTTATCTCAACTAAAAAGTTTATTTTGGCCTAAGCAACATCTTAAGCTTAAAAATAAAAATTAATAAAGCCAAGAGGCCACATCCTGTGGTGGAACAGTATAAAGTAAATTTGCAAAACAGAAACATTTGACTTCAAATACCTTTTTCTCTCTTCTTATAGGGCCTTTACACTCCATAAGTGAGCCAAGTCACAAAACGGGAAGGCTTAGAATCACCAAACTCATGACATTCAGATGCCCCACGTGAAGGCATCTCCATAAGGATAAACTTAAGCTTAGACAATCCTTCAAATACTTAAAAAAGGGTCCAAACCAAACAAACTGAAAAGCAAAAAGCAACAAGGAAAAAAAAAACCCAACCTTCAAAAAGTTGAGGGGGCCTGAAACATCCAAACTGGCTGTTTTCTTTGGCTGCATTCACTGGTTGTTGTTCAAATTCAGTTCTAGTAGAGACTCTAACACTGTAACACTTATTTCTTGTTAAAACATAATAATGAACAAGAAAGCAAACTGATTATTCCTTGTTCACAAATGTCAGTGTCAGAAGTAATATTACATACTAATAAGTCATATAACATTTCTACTCATTTCAGGCAAAGGCACGTCGCTGTTAAATTACCTTTAAATTCGAAAAGAAAAAAAATATATCAGGAAGTTCTTCTACACAATCATCCAAAGGTATAATAAGCCATAAAAACTTAACCTGCCACTGAAGAGGGCAAAGGAACCCAATGACTTTCACCTCATTTAGTCACCAAGAAATGTATTAACAGTGCGTACTGTCGTTTTCCAGTTTTTCTTTATTACTTATTTCATTCACCATAATTCCAAATTTTAATGACCATATCTTTCCTAAAATATCTACATAAAAATCTTGATTATTTAAGAGTAAAAAGTTGGTTTCTCCTCTAGCTACTTCTGACCTCTTCAATAAATTGTGCCTGATGCTGCCTCCTTTCCTTCCAACCACTCACATTAGAATCCTTTTAGTCAAAGTAGTCTGAGGCTGCAGTTGTTTGCAGGATGTGATCATCCTCAATACCATATTATTTCAGAGTAGCTTAAGTCACCATTCCTAGGCAATTTCATAGTAAAAAAATTATTCTAGGAATTCCTGGACCTATAGATATTTCCAAGATCATTACAAAAATACTTCTTTTTAAATAAAAAAAAATTGTCTAATGTACCATGCTGGGAAATTTTTATTTAAAAAATAGAACTAAACTCTTGAGCTTCAATAATGCTGTCAGATAGATTCTCAGGGCCTTCTACTGCCCTCAAGGAAATGATGGCACACCCTCAGTTTGGGAAAGGCTGTCCAGGATTAGTTCAAAGAAGATGCTCTACCCAAAACCCCAACAATGATTCCCTCCTCTCCCCATTAGCAGAGTCCTATCCTCTTTATATCAAGTTCCTCTGGAAATCAGGTTATATTTAATACCTGGAGATCCTCAACTTGTTCTTCAATACTGTATTTTCTTTCCTAGGCCAAAATGTGCGTAAATTTTCTAGACACTTAAAGTTAAAATCACCAATACCATAAGAATCATGATAAACTGGAAAATATGACAAGGAAAAAAAGGAGGGTCCTTTATCATCCCCGAGAAAGTGAAAAGTTTTCATGGCTGATGCTTTACTTGATCCACTTGTTTAATTACACTCATTAGTCTTTAGCTGCAAACATGTAGAAGGTACTTGAATGACTGAATGAATAATTGATTATAAACTTTTAAAAAGAGAAATGCCAGATTCTGCTAGTCTCCTTTATTCATTTATTTGTAAGAATGGGATCCTTCTTTGTCACAGGACACTAATTCAGCACCAGAGAAGTTACTGAGCACAACCTCATCGAAGTCATCCTACCTTCTACTGAAGTGATGAACAGTACAACCATTTTTTGCTGAAACTGGCCTGATTCACCTTAAAAATGGTACCACAGGTAAAAAAGAAAAAAAAAAACTACAGATGAAAACACAAAAAGTGAGGGAAAAAAAGTCTTACATTGAATGAATGTCAGTTTGCCATATTCCACCAGAAAGTAATTTTCAATCCAAAGATTTTTATCTCAGAAAATATAGTATATTTTCCAAGTTTTAGTAGATATGTTATTAACCCTATCTTATTCCTTTCAAAGTTACTGCCTAGTCACAGACAGAAACACTAAAACACTTCAGCATAAAGAGGGAAGAAAAGTATCTCCTACTCTACCTTGTCTTAGCAGTTCCATTAAAAGACCACTTAACTCTCAGCTCTAAGAGCTTCAAAATAGGTTCCTATAATACAAAACACACAGAAAGACACATGTACACAATCATCTATATTGCTTATATTAATCGGCCTTTATAAAAAGTTATCCACATCTATTATAAAAAAATAACCTTTGTTAATAATAAAAGGTTTTTTTTTTTGGTTTGGTTTTAATGCTATTGCTTATGACAGCACACTTGCCTCCTTCTGGATAAATATGAGGGACAAATAACAGACAGCAGCAACATACAAAAACTCAGTGATTTCCTGTAATTCTTTACCCCATTCTAGACCAAATCCTCTGAGGTTCTATGAAGCTGCAGAGTCCCAAACTTCACGCAAAAAACAAGATCTTGGTGGCATCTCTGTTACTCTGAAAGATCTTCTTAGGCCAAGTGGGATTGGAAAACTTACAGTGAAGCTTTAGGTTATGCTGCTACAGGCGTATGGCAGAAATTTACAAAGATTTTTTAAAGTAATAATGCTCTGTGTTGGCAAGGGTATGAGAATGGGCACTTTCATACATTGATGGTAGGAGTTTAGGAAGATTTTAGGAAAGAAAAAAAAGAGTGACTAGAAAAAGCAAAGCTTTAAAATTCTGTATGCTCTCAGACATCAATTCCACTTCTAGAAATAAAAGTAGATATACATTAAGATTTACCTAAAATATTTTCATCAGTGATATTTATAACAGCAGAAAAACTAGGGGGAAAAACCCTTAACAACCCATTTAGAAGAAATCAGCTAAATTAATGAAATATTTATTTCATACAATGAAATATTTTGCCATCATTAAAATGAAGTCATTGGGCATTTATCCCAGAAAAATGAAAATTTACGTTCACATAAAAACCTGTAAATTAATATTCATAGCACAAGGCTTTATTCAAAATAGCCCCAAACTGAAAACAACCCAAATGTCCATTGAGTGATGAGTGAATAAATAAAATGTAACCTAGCCATACAGTGGAACACTACTGAGTAACAAACAGGAACACACTACTGAGATGTGTAACAACTTGGATCCAGGAAATCAGGCTTAATGGAAAAAGTCAATCCCAAAAATCCATATACTGTATGATATAACATGATCACTTATGTAACATTCTTGAAATGACAAAATTATAAAAATGAAGAGCAGATTAATGGTTGCCAGGGGTCAAGTTAGGCAGGGGAAAGGAGGTAGCTGTTGCTATAAGACAGCAATAGAAGGGGGGCTGGGTGCGGTGGCTCACCCCTCTAATCCCAGCCCTTTGGGAGGCCAAGGCAGGTGGATCACCTGAGATCGGGAGTTTAAGACCAGCCTGGCCAACATGGTGAAACTCCGTCTCTACTAAAAATACAAAAATTAGCCGGGCAAGGTGGTGGGCGCCTGTAATCCCAGCTACTCGGGAGGGTGAGGCAGGAGAATCACTTGAAACCAGGAGGCGGAGGCTGCAGTGAGCCGAGATTGTGCCATTGCACTCCAGCCTAGGCAACAGAGCAAGACTCTGTCTCAAAAATAAAATAATAAAAATAAAATGTTTTAAAAAGCACTAGGACACCTTGGGAGGCCGAGGTGGGTGGATCACAAGGTCAGGAGATCGAGACCATCCCGGCTAACACAGTGAAACCCCGTCTCTACTAAAAATGCAAAAAAAAAAATTAGCCGGGCATGGTGGCAGGTGCCTGTAGTCCCACCTACTGGGGAGGCTGAGGCAGGAGAATGGAGTGAACCCCAGAGGCGGAGCTTGCAGTGAGCTGAGATTGCGCCACTGCACTCCAGCCTGGCGGACAGAGCAAGACTCCGTCAGAAAAAAAAAAGACAATAGGAAGGATCCTTGCAGTGATAAGAAATGTTCTGTATCTTGACAGTATCAATGTCAGTATATCCTGGTTGTGTGAACTACAGTTTTGCAATATATTAACACAAGGGGAACTAGATAATGGTACATGGGATGTCTCTGCATTATTTCCCACAACTTCTACAATTATTTAAAAATAAGATGTTTGAAGTCATTGATGATTATTTAATGACATAAAAGTATTCATAATCCTTCTTCCCTTATAAAAATTAGCCAAGACATTCAACCACAAAGTACCTGAGGCTTAAGTGAAAACCAGATTTTAAAATCTTACTTATCATTCCAATCAACCAACCAGGAAATATGCACACAAAAAATTAACAATAATTGATTGCAGAATTATAGGTTGTTTTCATTTTGCAATCTCTGGCTTCTAAATTTTCTACAATGAACACACATACTTTTTTTTTTTTTTTTTTTTTTTTTTTGAGATGGAGACTTGCTCTGTCACCTAGACTGGAGTGCAGTGGCACAATCTTGGCTCACTGCAATCTCTGCCTCCCCAGTTCAAGCGACTCTCCTGCCTCAGTCTCCGGAGCAGCTGGGATTACAGGAGTGTACCACCACACCCGGCTAATTTTTTGTATCTTTAGTAGAGGTGGGGTTTCACCATGTTGGCCAGGCTGGTCTTGAATTCCTGACCTCGGGTGATCCGCCTTGCCTCGGCCTCCTAAAGTGCTGGGATTACAGGTGTGAGCCACCATACCTGGCCCACACATAGTTTTATAATGGGAGGAAATAAAGTTATAAAGGCTCATATCGATGGAACATCAATTTGTGTGAAGCTAGTCCTCACAGGTAATACAAACCAGGTTATGTCAGTAGTCACTAAAGTAGTCTTTTTCCTCGCGGTCAGCCACAGAAGCTTTCCCAAGTTCAGTGTTCGACTTCTAACTGCAGGCCAATGGATCTAGTTTTCTAAAATCCTCCTCCCACCCTCCTTATACATATAAAAAAAATCTTAGTCCATTAAAACCTGCTTACCCCTCAGATCTTCTCACATAGAGGACCTTCCTCACATAGAGGACCAACACAGATGCAGGTGGGTCTTGAAGAAAAGAACCAGCCACCCAATATTTTGCTGAAATGTGGTTCTATTCTGGAAGGAAATTTGAGATGAGATAATCCACCTTCAAAGTCAAAAGTAAGTGGGATGGGAGGAAGAAGATAGAATTTGTCTGAAGAAATGGGATGGCCCTTAACAGAAACGATGATATATGGTGGATGTGGGGTGGGCTTGCTTCTCAGATACTTACTCTGAAGCATTTCTAAGTTTGTGAGGCAGATTTTTAATAACTAAGATTTTTTCTTAAAGGAGAATGGGAGAAAGATTTTAGAAAATGAGATCATTTGCAGTCAGAAGTTGGCACACTGAGCCCGGGAAAGCCTCTATGGCTTACCATAATGGAAAAGACCACGAAGAAGCATGTTTGTGGAAACACAACCCTCTCACTGAGCCCCAGGGCAAGGCACATACTAAGTGAGGGGTCATTATAAGAAGCATTATGAAAATCCCATCATCTTCAACTATGCTGCTTCCTAAATACAATGTTGAGCACCGTTCAAATAAGAAATAATGTATTCAAAATATAAATCCACAAACTACACACATATACAACATTCTAGACATAGGTGAGAGCTGAGATGTATAAAAATATATTTCTTGGTCTTAGATAAGCAACAAAGTTAATACCTAGCAAGATTTTTTAATTTTAATAAATTAGCCTATCTTAAAGAAAATCCCAATAAAAAGGTTATGTTTTTAAAGAGCAGACCCAACCCTGTTTCAATTCAGAAGGGTCATTTACTTATTAACAGGAATAATAACAGAGTGAAAGGAAGGTGGAGGACAGGGAATAAAAAACAGCTTGCTCTCACAAAGTTACTCTGGTCTAGGAATAAAAACAGCTCTCATCCCATTTTCTAGAACTCTGTATACATCTCAAGTTTCCTATGTAATAAGTGTTAGCAATCTTTTTATTAGTTGCATAAAAAAAGAAAAGGGAAAGAGAAAGAATATGCCCAGACAAGAATTAGAGAAACTCCTTGCCGGCCATCATGCTAAGTCAGCATGAAGGAGGTGAGGGGTATACAGACACCCCTGCCCTGGGTGGGCAGTCTCCAATGACCACCAGGTCAAGGAGTTATCAACCATCCACATCTTGCCATACAAAGCAATGCCCTGGGTAGGCATTCCTGGAAGCCATTTGTCTGCCAAACCAATGTCATGAATGAGAGGCTTCCCAGAACACATTCAGAATTCTTCCCTAAATTTTTGTTTCCATGATGGTGAATTTCCAGTAAGTCAATCATCATAAAATGTGTAACACTCCCCTCCCCACAACAAAATCTGTACAGCCCCAGACCTTTTAAAATTTTGTTTCTGACTCATGTTGTGCGTAACTTTGTTCAAGAGAAAGCTCTAGATTTTTTTTCCCTCCATTTCCCACCAGGGCCCAGCACAGACAGCTGGTTCAGAGCAATGGGTCAGTGCGTGCCAGTGGTTCTTTTTTATGTATCCTGCTTGTGGTTGCCTCAGTTCAGTTTATCACTCAGCAACTGCTTGGTAATCCCCTGTCATCCCCACCCTACAAATGTCCCTATCAGCAGAGCTGGGTAGCAACAAGTCAGCAGAATTCAGCTAATCCATTCCTCCTCTAGGGCTGAGGTGACTCAAGTTGATGAAGAAACTACCAAGGAACAAATTCTACAAAGAACAGAAAGATGCACAGGGATTTTCCCCTCCCCAATTGAGGGAGATGGAAGAGGGGACAGTAGGGAGGAAGAAGGCAAAGATTAAAGCAGAGAGAACCCACAGTGTTGTACATTATTAACTGCATGGGAACTATATCCTTAATGGAAAACACATGACCCACTAAATCACTGGAACCTCAAACTCCGTGAGAGGAATTTTGTTTTTATTAAGTTTTTTCTTGCTTGCTTTAATCTGAATGTTCATCAATTCTAGCTTAGAATTTATGGGTTTAAAAGACACTATTTAACAAATATATATAGCTTCAACAGAGGGAAAAGAATCGCTAATTTTAAAACACCAAAAGCATGAATTCTAATTTTAGTACCTTTTAGTACTACAATAGGTGGCGTGTGATGAACTCTGTGATACATCTCAAGAGTCAGGCAGACCTAAGTGCTTATTACAAATTAGAGGAAACATGAAATAGCTCTGTTTGTTCCTGAAATAGCTCTCTGGCTACCTCACATGCTGCAGCTGGACACAGCCACATACAGGTCTACAGTATGAGTTACCAAAGCCTGCAGACGTCAGTATAAAAAAGTTATTGAAACATATTAAAACATGGAGTACCTAACCCCATGGACTCTGGAGACTGGTAACGCAATGTGTAATGGAATCAAAGTACCCTTTTGCCCTGTATTGACAGCTTAAATTTAGCCAACAGAATCCATAATTTCACATAGTCATTATCCATTTGTTAGGTACAAATACCACAAGGCAGCATGGGGATGTTCTGATCCAATTAAAAAAAAAGCACAATCATTCTGTTTAATAAGAAAGCAATTTCTCTTAAATGAGCATCCTCATAGCTGAAAAGAAAGATGCCTTCCACATTCAGAATCATAAGCAATTTCTTTGTGCTTAAGCCTATTACCCATTCTCAGCCTGGTGTGCTTCTGGATTTAATGGGGACAGAGAAGTTGAAAAGAGTAAATCTCTGGGGTGACACTGTTTCTAATGGCTCAAGGGGACACTCTTAGGTCTGGCTCTCTTTCTCATCTAGCCATGGAAACAACTTATACAACCTCTGAGCTGATGTGTCTCTAACATAGCCCAATGGCATCACCCACATTCTGGCACTTCCCTTTTGGGACAAGTTAAGACACAACTGTATGGCCAAGTTCTGTTCTCACTTAGCTGCTGCCATCTCCAGAGTAAATTTTCTCTCCAGTCCTTTGGGATTTTCTCTGCTTATTGTGGTTCAAGATACCATCCACACTTCAGACTCTAAAGAGTTAGATAAGACTCTAGTTTATTTAGTCCAACAGTTTATTTCCCAAAGTATGTTCTGCTGATAACTGTTTTCTGTTAAAAAAAAGAAAAAAGAAAAAAAAAGCATCCCTTTGAGCTGCAACTGTTTGGGATATGATGGATTAAACAATATAAAACAGGTTTCTTTACTGCAGGACTTATGGGCTTCAGTCTGCTGGTACGCATCCTGAAGTCCCTAAAGGGTGACAGTGTATATTAAGTATTTTCCAGATCCTTTTTTTAAACCACAGATCACTTTTTAAACACAGTGTGTAATTAGGCTAGTGTTCTGGATTCTCCCAAATTGCCTGTAACTTTGCCTATGGACAGGTACACATTTATTTACCTTCCACTTTCCTCTAAATGTTGCTTCTTAGTGACCCATCTCCGATTTCCATTTCCTGCTTAAACTTTCTCATTCCCTTGGCAAACAAATGTTTTCCTTCCCTACTTACAAAACATACTAGAGGAGATGTTCATTCAACAACCCATAACTTTTCAAGTAATCTGGACATTTTCCCCTCTATACCTCTGAGTCCACATTACTACTTTTACTTTGAACTTTTTTTTTTTTTTTTTTTTTTTTCATTTAGGCCATTAACCAGGAGTCCATGGATGGGACTTAGTGGGTCCATAAGCCCCTGAAATCATATCCAAATCACATGCAAAATGTCTTAGGTAACCACATTTTTCTAGAGATCAGGCAACACACATTTCCTCAAACAGGTCCATTATTCCTCAAAAACCACTGGGAAACAATAACAAAAATAGTACTATAAAAATGTTTTCAATGCTAAGGGATAATAGGATGGGGAAGAGAAAGGTAGAAAATAAAGCATTTGACCTTCATGGTAAAATAATGCACACTGACAGGTTATAAGCTTTGGGGGCATTCCTCAAAATAAAGAAACATTTCAGGAAGAAAAAAATATGAATGGAAAGTTTAAACAAAACGGACAAGAAGGAAGCAGTATCTGGGCAGTCTGACAGAATGAAGGGGACCAGGGCCTGCCACCATTAAAATATTTCTTACTGAATCTCAAAATATTCTATACTTGGCCCATTAATGTAAAAAGTCCATTTCTGGCAGAATTATCAAACTCATCACTAACAAGGTAAATTGGCAGCTTGGCATTTGAACACCATCAGGCCCCTCATAACCACGTGCAAACACAGAGGTCACTAATTTCATGTTGTGTGCAAAAAAACTCCCTTAGACAGAAGTGACTTAAAACAGGAGAGGAGATTTTATCCTAAAGTCTTAGGAATGGGAAATGTAGGAAGGCAGATTTTATATGGTTTTTGCTTTCTTTGATCCTTTCTTTTCAAGGGTAAACAATCTATCTTTAGGATTTGTATTAACAAATCGCCTTCCTTCCAGAAACATACACTTCTATGAGAGAGAACATAAAATAATAAAAGTTACAGAAACTACAAAAACTTATGTAAATGGTCTCAATGAAAGGGCAAAGGGGTCCCCTGTACCCAGTACCTTTGCCGAGTTATTAAAAAATGAAAACTTTGTTGCATTTCTTACAAAACAATGAGTATGCTTGGGAAATGAATTCAATATCATAAGCCCCAAACTTTTTCTATGTATCACTAAATTTAGCTTAAGCTGAAGAAGGGAGAGGTCACAGTTACAATGAAAAGTTTTTTCTCTCTACCTCCTCCTTCAGAAGTACTTCCCAGTATTTCCGAAAATTCAATTTGCATTCCACATCACTACCTAAAAACACAATTATGCTCATACCTCTCATAAGCTCAACAGAAATAAGAATGTTTTAGGCCTCGACAACCTGTAGCTTGATGAGTTTTTGCAAAATCCAGCTGCTTGTGGGAGGGGGAGCAGAAAGAGTAGAAGTCACACCTGGGAGGGAAAAATCTATCCTTGAATACAACATTAATATTAGGAGGATAAACTGAAATCTGAGCCTAGTGTTGTTTGGGGAACCACCATGAAAATACTTTGGATTATAAGCATCTCCACCAAAATCACACATTGTCCCTGACACGTAGGTACCAACGTGCTGAAAAGGTTGCATAAGCACATAAAGGAAGGGAGAGCTGCCTACAAAACTTTGCTTAGGTGTAGCCCATTCTTATCTCACAGCATAGGGACTGGCAGGAGTCATGTTTGGAAAGAGCTGGAGCTGTGCCACATTCAACAAGGCCCGATTTGGGGATGAATGGGCATGCCAGTGCCTAGCCATTCTGCCCTACACCTACTGGGTCACTGAGACACACCAGACCCACAGGGCCATGGGGCACAAGGGGTCCGGAAAGACCAGGGCCACTCCCTGCAAGGCAGACCTGAGATTTGCCACCTATATTTTTAGAGTTCAAAAAGCAGCAAAACAAAACAACATGGCCCAAGCAAGCCCAAAAGAAGCATTAGCGGGAGGTAAAGGTGGGAGGGAGAGGTGGCTGAGGCAGGGAAGGAGGGAAGAAAATGCTGCATGCCTCTGACCTTAGAAAAACCCTGGGAACTCTCCTCCTGCTGCCTTGGTCCATGGGGCTGGATCATACCTTTATTCTACAAATAAGAAACCAAAACTACTATGTTAACTTCACAGTTTTGTTTTCTTTATTTGGCTTCCAAACCTTAGGAGTATGAAATCAACCTTTTATTCTACAACTCTCCCTAAAAGAGGAAGGAGAAGAACAGGGACTCTCCTTTTTTTCTCTAAAGTTATTAACCCGTTTTCATCTTTTTGCAAACAAACTTCAGTTAAAACTTAAGTCAAATTTAAACATCTCAAGCTGCCCTTTTCCTTCTACTTAAAATTAATTCCACAACTTTTGGGGGAGGGAAAAACAAGAAACAGGAAAAAGAATATCAGCACACAGCTTTCTGCCATCTTCTCCTCACTGCTTTGGTAGTTTTAAGAAACCTCAAAGTTTACACAAACACAAAGCCAAAAGATGTCCAAAAGAAATACACAGCAAAGGCCGGTCACGGTGGCTCACACCTGTAATTCCAGGACTTTGGGAGGCCGAGGCGGGTAGATCACCTGAGGTCAGGCGTTCAAGACCAACCCTGCCAAGATGGTGAAACTCCATCTCTACTAAAAAGGTACAAAAATTAGCTGGTTGTGGTGGCACATGCCTGTAATCCCAGCTACTCGGGAGGCTGAGGCAGGAGAATCACTTGAACCCAGGAGACAGAGGTTGCAGTGAGCCAAGATTGAGCCACTGCACTCCAGACTGGGTGACAGGGCGAGACTACATCTCAAAAAAAAAAAAAAAAAAAAAAGAAGAAGAAAAGAAAAGAAAAATACACAGCAAGGCGGCCGGGTTCAGTGGCTCACACCTGTAATCCCAGCATTTTGGGAGGCTGAGGCAGGAGGATCACTTGAGGCCAGGAGTTAGAGACCAACCTGGCCAACATGGTGAAACCCCATCTCTACTACAAATATAAAAATGAGCTGGGTATGGTGGCAGGCACCTGTAATCCCAGCTACTCATGAGGCTGAAGCAGGAGAATCACTTGAACCCAGGTGGCAGAGGTTACAGTGAGCTAAGATCGTGCCACTGCACTCCAGCCAGAGCGAGACTCCATCTCAAAAAAAAAAAGAAAAAAGAAATACACAGCAAAGGAAAAAATTAATATTTACTTTTCCTTCTCCCACCAATTATTTAGCTTTCCTTAAGCCCAATTAACCTGACACAACCTTTTCTCACTCTTTCAAGCTCATCTATTTAAAAAATAGTACTACCTAAAATATCTGCACACCCTATTTCACAATCTTTTGATAAACTAGGAAATAAAAGAACATCTTGTTACTATAAACGTGTAATCCTCCCTTCTAAGAAAAAACACTTGTACCAAGTCCAGCTAACATGATCCATTAAGAACAACTAGTTCTTTCTTACAGGCTAACACTGACTAGACATGGAGAACTTGAACTTTAAAAATAAATACTCAACAATATTCCCAACATCTAGATGTTCAAACTGCTCACTAAATTATGCATTCCTAAGCACGCATCCATCTCTCTGTGGACACACCAGGAAAACGTCTCTCTAAATTATAACAGGATTGAGATAAAGACTGGAGAGCAATGAGTGCACTAAGAATCATCCTCCTCCCCTTAAGCACTCAATTACCACGTGCACCAACCATTCTTAGCGCCCTCCCAACCAATGGCTTCTCAGAGACTCTGAAACCACAACAAATGTGCAACCCGAAGCCACAGCTGTGGCCGACAAATGCCAGAAGCAAAATTCATGACACTTTATTTCAGTATTCGCACAGAAGCTTGGACAGGTGTGAGGAAGCATGGTACAATGATCTGAGGAACACCCAGCCTCTTCCCACACACACTCAAGCTTCCACCACACCTCCATTCCAGAAAACCACCAGAACCCCTACTTAAAAAATAATTTGAAGTGAATTTAAAATGCATTCTTGCTTATGACTAACAAGAACTGTGAGGTTCCTGAAAGCCAAGAACTTCTATTGCTCAAATCATGGAGCTAGGAGGAAGGCAGATGAGATGCAAAGTCTCCTAAGTGATGACGAATAAAGGAGTAACTGAAGAAATGTGAACACAAAGGGCATAGCTTACAATACTGTAAAAACTGGCGTAAATGGACTATTTGGCCTTAAGTTACACAAAAAATTCCAACCACAGCCTTTTCTAACCCCTTTTTTCGGTTCAAATCAACTTTATGAGGTGTAACTTACATACAAAAAACTGCACCCATTTTAAGCATATGCTTACACGAATTTGGGCAAATATATTTACACCAGTGTAAGCACCACCACAATTAAGATATAAAACATTTCATATTTCCCTGAAAAGTTCCCTTCTGCCCTTTTGCAGTCAACCTCCTCCAATCCCCATCACCCCTGGCAATCGCTGATCTGCTTCCTGTTGCCATAAGTTAGTTTTGCCTTTTCTAGAATTCCACAGAAATGGAATCAAACAATAGTTACTCTCCTGTTCAGGCATTTTTCTCTCACAATGTTTTTGACATTCATCCATGCTATGTATCTGTGGCGTGTTCCTTCTTATTGTAGAGCAGTATTCCCTTTGTACTGACATGTCACTATTTTCCAAACTTTTTTTTTTTTTTAACTAAAAAGAGGGTGGTGCTTAGCTTTAAAACAAATACATAAAACTTCCTAAGGATACTGTAATATTTTTCTCTCAAAGTAATCAGAACTTATAAGTAACTTTGCATAAAGTACAATCCCAAAATCTCGGCTTCAGAAACACGAAGTTTTGTTTTGTGTCACCTCCCTATACAATAACTGGCTCAATCAAATGGAAAGAAAAACGATAACTTGAGATGTTTTGTTTACAGCCAGCTCAAGATGTTATTTCAAGCTGCTGAAGAACTATGAGGAAACTGTATCCAAGCAAATTTTCACGTGCTGCTTCCTGAATGCCTGACCGAAAAGTGAACTTTATTTAGGACTTCAGTTTAATTTGGGTTCCAACCCTTCTGCTTTTTCCCGATGATTTAGAATTTTGGATTTCATGCTGACTCCCAGCTACCCCACCATCAGAAGGATGTAATGAGATTTCCCTTGAGGTGGGACTGCCCTGAGTTCTGTCTGGAAAAGAAAATAAATAGACCATTTAAATTTTGTGTAACCTAACTGCCCAAATGATGCACGACTGCTAGTGTTTCCAAGGGAATACAACTTGGGAAACTCTGTTCTAACAGGTAAGAAGTATAAACCTAGTAGTTTCAGGATGGCTGGCTGTCTACAACAGGCCTGGTTATTCTCAATGTCAGTGGACCATACTTATCCCAATGTGGGGTACAAAAATGAAAATAAACAGTTTCTAAAAGGTCACCCGATAAGTCCCAGCTACACCTGAGATGTGAAATGCTGTAACACTCCTGAGCCCCCATCTCCTTACTCATGCTTCAAACAGATCTTTACAAGTCACAAGGGCAGGCAGCAACATCTTCTAAAGGATGAGGCCTACCTACATGAGAAGGCTGTTGCCTGTCTACTCTGCCTCATTAACTAGTTTGGCACTCTGAGCCCACCACCAAGTGCTGGGCCTCAGTTTCGTCTGCTGTCAGGGGAGGCAGCTGAGCTAGGATGAGCTCTAACGTTATCTCCAATCTGAAAGCTGTCATATGAGGCTCAAAAAAGCGCCACAATCCCAATACTAAAATGAGAAAAGTTGCATATTTTTAAAACCATATTTGCAAGCAAGGCATCCAAAATTCTGACAAGAACATCAGTCTCAATTCTTCATTCCTAATTCTTGGCCATTGTAAACTCTAAATAAGTACTTTTCTTTTGTCTATCCATTACTTCTTTTCTTTCCTCTAATTTGAGTACAGGTTGAGTATCCCTCATCCAAATTACCTGGAAGTGTTTCAGATTTCAGATTTCTTCAGATTTTGGAATATTTGCATATACATAATAAAATATCTTAGGGATACGACCCAGGTTTAAACAGGAAATTCACTTATGTTTCATACACACCTCATACACATAGCCTGAAGATAATTTCATTTAGTATTTTAAATAATTTCGTGCACAGAACAAAGTTTTGACTGCAACCCCTTACATGAGATTGGATGTGAAATTTCCCACTTGTAGTGTCATGTCAACGCTCAAAAAGTTTCAGATTTTGGAGCATTTTGGATTTCAAATTTTCAAATTAGGGATGCTCAATCTGTATTATTTCTCAAAAAAAGGTGGGTGCTGGGTGTGGTGGCTCACGCTTGTAGTTCCAACTACTCAGGAGGCTGAGGTGGCAGGATCCTTTGAGCCCAGGAGTTCCAGTCTGCAGTGAGCATGCCACTGCACTCCAGCCTGCATGACAGAGTAAAGCCATCTCAAAAAAAAAAAAAGATTTAAATTAAATCCTATTAATGAATTCCAGTCTTCATATTTAACTTTATACAGCTATGTACCTGTGTTTGCCTGCATACTTATGTTTAAGGTTTTTCTATTAAGACATTGCACTGAACATGATATCCTTTAAGAATAACTCTCTTAATACCCATAACGTGATCGAGGATAAAAAAGTTTCTGGAAAAAAATAGCACCTGCTCTTGCAACAGTTCATCCTGGCAGCATGCTTTTGTTTTGATTATTCATGAAATTGCAGATTCACTCTTTAGCTTGACTAACATTCAGTAGGAAATAGTTGTGTGTTTTTAACATACTTACAATTGGAAGGCTCTATCTTAGAATCAGCAAAAGGCAACACTGTGTAATCCAAAAGTCCCCTAAATTTCCCATAAGGATCTGAAGAAGGCATTGGTTTCTTCAGAGACATCAGTCACAGGAACTCACATGAACAGCCAGTCACCCCTGCCTAACTCCTCCTCCTGCTCTTAATGGCAACTAAAGCTAAGGTTCCACCCCTGGGCTAGGCTGCAGGGGAGTGGACCTGCAAGTCTGCACTGGAAACCCGGAAAAGGCTGCCTGACTGGGGAATAATGCATGCACTCTAAGAACAAAAGCCTGCCTTAAACGAAGAACTTTCCAAGACAGTCAGGAATGGCAGGGCTGAGAGAATGCTGGCAGGAGTGTTTGTGCAAGCACACAGTCCTTCTTAGTACTGAATGTCCCCAGCACTTGGAGAGGAAGTAAACAAAGATTCGGGTTGTGCTTGTGTCTGTGTAGCCCAGGGCAGCCAAGGCCTGGCCCGGTCAAGACTCCCAGCTCCGGGGCAGGGGGTGCTTATGTCACAGAGCTCCAAAATGTGGGCTGCGTGTGCCCAGGAAAAATTATAAAGGCCAGTTTAAATACAGCCTATATTTCTCTCTACCACTTAGATTTTTTCTTTATTTTCAAAAACAATAATTTTCTGAAGTTAAGTAAAACTGGAACATGGAAAACAACTACTTGCGAAACAGTCCACAGGACTCCATGACAGCCTCCATTCTCCTCCTTAAGACGGATTTGCATCAAACTTCTCCATCACACTGGACCAAACACACTCTATTTTGTCTTAGGAAACCCTGAGGAACATGAATTTTTAAATGCTATACTGCAGAACCCATGCTTACCTAATAAATACTGAAGAACTAAGGTCATTACCTTCCATCAAAAAGTGTAAGTATTCCTTCAAGCCTTTCCATATTCCAGTTGCTTGAGAACAAACCATGTGGAGTTTTGTGGGTTTTTTGTCTAGTTGCAGAAAATAATCCCAGCACAGCAGAAAGCATGCTAAAGCTCTAGCATCCTGTTGAGGCTTGGAGTGAGAGGGCAAGGCCCAGTCAAGCTGTATTTTCTGTTTCTCCAGCCTACTATATTCTAGGAGGCCCAGCCCATTGTTTCCCAGTCAGCGAGGCACTGCAGCTTGACTCACCACAAAAACAGTTTAGTGTGTCTTGATATTTTAACTTTCTTCTTAACCTCTGCCTTTTGGGGAGTGAGAAGGAATCTAGGGGATATAAGGCAGAAGCAGTAGACCAGAGGAAGAAGGGAAGACCATGGTCTGTGTGTCTGCACGCATATCTCACTTTAAATAACAAATGCATTCTTTATAATTTTATAACTACAGTTGAATTTCTGAAATAGTATAACATTAATTAAAAGTTTTAAAATGTAAAAGCTCATTAAACAAATGTAATTGTGCAACTGCCTCCATTTACCTTTTTTAAGTCTTGATTTTTCATACAGTTTAGCTTTGAGAAAAAAAAAATACAACATCCAGTCAATGGTCTATGCAAATCAATCAGAAAACTAGCAAAAGGAACAAGCCCAAATGCAGAGAAAAACAAAAATTGAATTTTTCAATATACTGAATAGTTCAAAATAATTAAAAAACAACACACACTTTATGTACCTTTCTTGAACTTATCAACTTAAAGATGATAAAACACATTCGTAAATGAGATCATAAGCAATGCAACTGTTAGCAGATTATCACAGAACTTAGAGCTGTTAACTTAAAGTTGCCTTTGAAATTATGTTCATTTTTAGATGGAAGCTTACACTTAGGAAGCACGTTCCTTTTGCCTGACTGCAAACAGTGGGTATTAGGAAGGACGCTACACAGACAAGAAGCTAGAGGAGGAGGGAGGATGGGGGAGCCCTTCTCTAGTGCATGTCCCAGTTTGGAAACATGGGTCTGAGTCATCTCAAAGCGAAAGAATCCTTAAGTTTTCTATAAAAATATTTATGTGTGTCCTATGGCTGACTTAACACAATACAGGTGGGCAAAAGAAAAGTTCCAGGTTCCAGAACCAAATGTACCATCAGGGAAGTCAAGTAAGTACAGATAACCTCTGTGAGAAAAATTAAACATTTTGCCAAGGGTTTCTGATGACAATGCAAAAGCAGGAGAGTACATTGTACTTTAAACAATGCCTTGTCTGTTTGCAGGAACACAGACTGGTCTAAAACGAAGGGGAGAAAAAACAAGGCCAACACTGAGCCGGGGCTCTCACTTCAAAAGCAAGCCGTAGAACAAGTGTGTGGGGCGTGTGTGTGTGTATTTGTGTGTGCACACATACACATATATATATTTTTGCATGAATTTGCATAATACATGTGCCACAGGTGGGCACACAAAATTTCCACTGGCTGCCTGACACCTATTCCCATCAATCCCCCTAGCTGATGCTCCTCAACGAAACCACCTTACTCCCTTGAGCAATTTGGGACCGATTCTTCCCTAGAGAGCAGCAGGACCCCTTCATCTGTCACACAGAGGCTTCTCCCAGCCCTGAGCTCTTGTGAGCAACAGAGACCCTGGTAGAGGTGAGAAAACTAGGAAATGGAGTGAGCAGGCTGGGTTTATATTCACTCTGTCACTCAGAAGCTGGGTGAGCTTGGTCAACTTGGTCCACCAAATACCAACTGAACCAGTCATGGGCCAGACCCAGCTGTTAGCCTCAGTTTCTTCAGAAATTAAAAACGAATAGGCTGGGCATGGTGGCTCACACCTTTGAGAGGCACTTTGAGAGGCCAAGGTGAGAGGATTGCTTGAGCCCAGGAGTTCAAGACCAGTCTAGGCAACACAGCAAGGCCTCATCTCTACTAAAATAATAATAATAATAATAATAATAATAATAATAATAATAATAATAATAATATTTACGTTCAGGTTTATAGTGAGAATGGTGCTCAATAAATGTTAATGTAATTTCCTCACCAACTCCCATTCCCTGATGCCCTGCTTCATGAGAACAAGAGTCTTGTCTCATGCCCAGAATCACACTGGAGGGTCGAGTACACCAATACACTGCTGTTGGGGACCAACTACATACCAGCCCCCTGGTCTTCCCCTCAACCATCCCCTTCTGCTACGTCCCTGCCACTTCTCAGTATTGACAATTTCTTATGCCAGGGTTTTTGTCTTCTGCCCTTCTCTTCTGCTTCCTCAGTTTTCCTACCTGTCCAGGGTTTCCTCCCATAGGGTCCTCCAAGAACCTTCCCAAAGAAACTGATCCATACTGCTTCATCTGTAAATCCTAGTCACTCCTAAGTTTGGAGCCATTCATACTCAGTCTAGCTCATGTTACGTCAAAAAAATATTCACAAGGCCAGATAGATGAACATAGATACATCACTGAGGAAGGTACACTGAAACTAATGGACTGGCTCATTACCTCAGAGAACCAAGTTTCAAGCAGGAGAATGTCGTTTATTAGATCAGTGTTCTCTTTATGATGTCCCAAGAGAAAAAGTTTCTAAGTAACAGAAAAAGCCACGCTACTTCTGTTTTCATTTAAAGGCATAACATAAGTTTGGAAGCTAATCTTATGTCCCTTTTTGCTCCAGCTGCTATGAAACTCAAGAGTGAAATGTGTCACCTAATTCTGGTGCCTGTCAAGTACTATGTTGTCCTTCACCCTCAGGCTTCATCTCTTAATACTGCACATATTTTTATAAGCTGTCATTCCAAGGAGGAACATAAACAAGTTTGGAATTAACATCTTTGGGGAAAAGTGATCTTCGCTTTTCCAGAGGCTTGAGGCCTTCCAGGACTGGCAGGTCTGTGTCTATTTCAGAGGCAGTGAAAAAGTAGGAAGCCGGCTGAGAAAGTGGGATAGGAATGTGGTAGAAGCCGACCTTAGGCATGTGTCCCTCATCTCTCTTCCATGTACCCTTGAAGGAGACATAAGGGCAGCAGCCAGAGTGACAGCCACTGGGGCAGCACGCCCACCACTTTGCAGACGCCTCTAAGCACAGAGCGATTTTGTATGCTACTGAGCCCAGTGTGTTTTAAGTGGTTTAGAGTTTCATTCAGCTAAAATCTAGAAGGTTACAGACTAATGGAATAATAATAACGATACCTTTTCCTAAGGCACCCTAAGTAGCCTCTGAAGCACTCTAATGGGAGGTAAAAGGCATCTCTACATTGAAGGAAAGCATGGGGCACACCTTGCAGACTCCCAGCTGTCTCAGGATCAAGAGCCCAGCCCTGTTCTGCTGAAGCGCTGAGTAAGAGGGCAGAGGGCCTTCCTGGATAGTTAAGGAGCCATGGCCTCCCTGCCAACTTGGGCTCCAATCTCAATAATGCACAGCTGGTCCCCAGGCCCTGATCCACTTTGAGATCTTTCAGGCCTGGATTTTGGTGCTTTCAGCAAAATCTAAACTCCAAGTGGGAAACCTCTGCTCCCCAGGAGCTGGGAAAATAAATAAGATGGCAAAGATTCTTCATGGCTTGAAGATTTTGGAGATAGAGGCCGGGCGCGGTGGCTCACGCCTGTAATCCCAGCACTTTGGGAGGCCGAGGCGGGTGGATCACGAGGTCAGGAGATCGAGACCATCCTGGCTAACGGGGTGAAACCCCGTCTCTACTAAAAAAATACAAAAAATTAGCCGGGCGCGGTGGCGGGCGCCTGTAGTCCCAGCTACTCGGGAGGCTGAGGCAGGAGAATGGCGTGAACCCAGGAAGCGGAGCTTGCAGTGAGCCGAGATTGCGCCATTGCAGTCCGCAGTCCGGCCTGGGCAACAGAGCGAGACTCTGTCTCAAAAAAAAAAAAAAAAAAAAAAAAAAAAAAGATTTTGGAGATAGCAATTCTTGGTGGCAAAGCAAGTGCCAAAGCCATAGATCAGGAATTCAACTTCTCATTTCAAAACGGGCCAGCTCTACCACCCTGTGCAGGCTACCATGTTTCAACTGCATCACTATGAAATAAGGTAAGATTCTTGTCTTTTACCTCTCACTATAGTACTACTGAGGCTATTCAGAGCTCCTTAGGAAAGGCTATCATTATTGTTATTCTATTAGTCTACAACCTCCTAGATTTTAGCCAAATGAAAATCTAAACCATTTTAAATAAACATTGGACTCAGTATCAACCAAAATTGGCTCTACATCCTAGTAAATGCAAGTTTCCAGATGGCAAGATTCTAGGTGAAATCATCAAAATACTACATAAGTGCCACACATCATTACGTGCCTTCCACTCGTTAATTCACCCAACACTCTGCATGTTACGGATGAACCAAGTTATCTCCTTTACAAAAAGCAGACTCAGTATCCTTTCATGGTTACACAAACAAAAGCAAAGCCAACGCGAAAGGATGGACAACTCCCACCTCCCTGAAACCTGCAATCCATCATGCAGGGTCTGTTTTTTTATCACTTTTCCTTGAGGGTTGCAAAACTTCTGCAAGGAATTCTTTGATTACAGTAATACTTTTATCAACAAAAAAATGAACTCCAACAACACCCTGTATTGTCAGAAATTTCATTATCAAAGGTGAAAATAATGAATGATGGCAGAGATACATGCCAGGATGCACAGTTCAGCAAGACTTCCCTTCTTTCTAGGCAAGGTGGATTAGTGCCATCTCCCAAGAAAAACAACTTTCTGTTTGCATATCCCTATCACCCACTATACTGCAGACTCACCAGAAGCAATGCCCACTTGTATGTCCATCTTTATTCCATGCATTACCGTGCCGGCGGAATGAAACTAAATGGATGAATAACCATGGCTGTGACCTATGAAGCACGCCCCCATATGATCAAGTCACATGAGCCCTGGACATGTATACTTTTCCCTGAGTTTAGGCCTGGACCAGCACAGGCTGCAGAAGCCAGCACCACTGCCACCAACCCATACTGCTGAAGGACCAGAACTTCCAACCATCTGGGTGACCAACAAAACTCTGTCTACGAGAATTATACTCAGAAAATGTGCTGTATTTTTATTTACCTTTAAAGCACACACAGATTGCTTCACCACAGCACTGAAATCTTATTTGCCACAGACCTTTCAATAATCGGCAATGAGACTGAAATCTTGGTAACATTTAAAGTGACTAGAAGTGGCATTTTGGCTATCAGTGCCAAAGCCAAACAAATTCCTTATTCCAGAGACTGCCAAACTTCTCCAGTGCCTGAAGAAGAGCTTAGCATTATCAGACTTTAATAGTTACAGAAAGCTGCTTTGGGGGCTTAATTCCCAATAAAAGATATCCAAGTGTACCAAACATTATTTAATATATGGGTTGCCCAGCATTAAGACTGGTGAAACTGCAAATTTCTCTTGCAGCCAACTGCTGCCCATTAAAGCCACTGATCCAGCTTATGTGCCCACTCCTCTGGCACACAGTAACTAATTCTTGGAAACATTACATGCAATATACTTCTTTCCCAAAGTCACAACCATCAAAGTTACAACCACTCAGAAAACTCAGGCCCCATCACTCTGGATAA
Source organism: Homo sapiens (assembly GCF_000001405.40). Lineage (NCBI taxonomy): Eukaryota > Metazoa > Chordata > Mammalia > Primates > Hominidae > Homo > Homo sapiens. The sequence continues at coordinate 108,583,355 of NC_000006.12, read as the reverse complement.
TAGGGCTACCACCGGGCAATCCTTCTTCAAGGTTCAAAGGTTTATTAGGTAGCATTTTGGCTGCCTGTTGTCTCCCATAGCTACCTTTTCACCGAATGCCCCCACACCAGCCACAGTGAAATAAAAAGCCTAGTTCTTCCCTAGAAAATAAAGTAGTGAGTCTGAAGCGAGGACTGTATCCAGGCACATTACATATGTTCATGAGACAGCTGCAGATCTTCCTCAGCAAGAATGGTGGTGACCACGGAGTCAGTTCACAGGTAAGAGTGACCTCACTGGGTGGTTTCAAGTAACCTCCTTTACATCTTTGATCCTTAATATCCTCATCCAGAAAATAAAGGGTAAGTCAGATGACATCCAAGGCACTGCGTTTCAGGACTCAGGAGTTCCATCATCAATTTGGCATTAATTTGCATCTCAGATTAGTCCTTCCCCTAGAAAATCCCTCAGGAAGCAGTCCAGGTGAGATGAACAGGGGAACATTAGGGACATAAAGCAGGGCTGCTGAGAAGGGGGTACCGAGAGTCACATGGAAGGCAGTTACACCCAACAAGAATGTGAATAACAGACCCAGCAGGTGGACTGGCCTACCGTCCTGTTTTTCCTGGGTCAGAGTCAGCTTTCCCATCTTAATATACAGCTACACACTCAAAAACAAGAGAAAAAATACTCAAAGTCTGCCCTAAAAACTGTCTCCTTGGGGAAAAAAAAAAATAACCCCACTGCTTAACATCCCTTCAAAGCTGTCATCTACTATCTCCATGACAAAAACCTAACAAAGGGATTAAGGTAACCAGAATAAATGCATTATCTGACAAATGGTTCATTTATTTTCTTTTAGGAACATCTCTGTTTACATGGCAGGAAACACAAAATTTTTATTTTAAAAAGTCCAGCAACTGTTTAAAATGTTATTGGTCTGGACTGAGCAAAGGGATGTTACTGAGTTCTTACAACTGGATATAACTTACAACTGGATTCCCAGATGACTTCACAGATGAAAATCTGCCTCCTGGGACAACAACAACACAAGGCTGGGAACTCTTACTTCTATTCAGCCCAAGCCTGCTGGGCCTGCTTCCCACACCTAGCACATAAGATGTTTAGGATGGTCCCTAGATTTCACCTAAAAGCAGCTGGTAGGCACTTATTTAGGTGGCTAGTAAATAAATGGCCTATACCAAGCCAGTGAAGAAAGGGCCAATGTCCTTTATTCCTGTGAGGGTTAGGAGTGCAGGAAAAATACGTTGTCCCTATATGACAGTTAAAACTGTTTATATAATATTCCAAAAATAGCTGACATTGTTTGTAGGGCTTTTTTTCTTGGAGAGTATGCAGCCTATATTTTTAAACATTAAGAAAGCTTTATCTTTACCATTTATCTCAGAAAAAAAATGGAGACACTTTTTATTTTTCATGCAGATGAGAAATACCAGACAACCAAGTTTTTTTAAACAAAGTCTTGGCAGCGAGCCACAGATCATTTTTCATGAAAGGGAGATAATGGGGGAAAGATGGCATGGCAGTTTCCTATTTCTTTCCTCTCGTTCCTTTGCCCATCAAACACTGAAGACTTTGGGAGATTTAGTTCACAGACAGAATGCCTCTCTCACCTTGACAAAGAAGAAATGATTCATAATGCTGAACTCTTTGGAAGGCACTATCAAAACACAAAACTTTTTTTTTTAAACTACTCCAAAACCACAAAATAACTTTGCTTTCCTCCTTTTCCTTCCAGTATAGAAAGAACTGCAGTGGTTCACTTGCCTCCCCAAAGTGTCTCAATGGTTCCATGACTGAAACTGAAAGTAAATCTGCTTGCATTTTAAATTATAAAGCAGGCTCATTAATGATATTGCTTAATCAGCAGTACATATGTGTTGTTTGATAATGTTCTTTGAAGAAATTTTGTAACGGCTTAACTCTTCCAAACCCAGCCATCACCCCTAATATTTCATCACAATCACACAACTACAACCCTCCAGCCTCTGCCAAGGTATTCTGACTGGGCTGCCTTCCATGCTCCTCAACCCCCATTTGCCAATCCAGTTATTACCCCTGTCCTCCACAGTTTGGCCTCCTCCTACTGCTTCCATCTTTCAACATCTGCCTGTTACAGTCACCTTCTTAAACCACCATATACAATGTCCTGGGCCTAATTTAAACTGTGAAGCAGATCCAAAGAAAAGAATGAAAACTAGACCCAAATGACCCACTGGCTTCCAAGCACGATGTCGCTGTTCAACAAAAGATGATATACAATTAGTCTGCTTCAACTTCCACAGAAGGGGCAGGGGCAGGGAGAGAAAGCAATGACTACAGGAAAGTTTAAGTGCAGTTTAGAGTAAACTCATCTATGTGTCTCATTTCTGAATCTGTGAAAGATGAGCTGGGTCACCCTTGCTGGAATATCACATCTGCTCTAGAGCCTGGAGAAAAAAGGCAGTTTGAAGTGTCCCATCCCTAAGAATAACCACACTTCACAAGAGTACAAGTCTGAAAAGCCTTTTGTGTTCAATGTGAATGCTTGTCTACAACCTAACACTCAACTCTGTTCTTTCTATGGGTTCTCAAACAATGACAGCTACGTAGAACACATCTACAATTCTAACGGATCATGCAAACTCCCTTTCTCTTCTTTTAAACCAAAATGGGAAATATGATAGAAAAGAACAAGCCAGTGAGGTCTCAGTATTACAAAATCAAGATCCCTGAAGCTTGGATAAATTGACTTTGGAGTTCCCTTAGTCAAAGTGGAGACATACTGATACAGGAGTCCCACTTCTATCACTTACCAACTATGTGGCCTCAGCCAAGTCACTTAGCCGTTTCGTACCTCAGTTTCCTCATGAGTAAAGAGAAAGAGCTAAGGCTGGGCACGGTGGCTCACGCCTGTAATCCCAACACTTTGGGAGGCCAAGGTGGGTGGATCATGAGTTCAGGAGTTTGAAATGTGTAAACACCAGCCTGGCCAACATAGTGAAACCCCGCCTCTACTAATTAGCCGAGCACGATGGTGGGCACCTGTAATCCCAGCTACTTGGGAGCCTGAGGCAAGTAAATTGCTTGAACCCAGGAGGCAGAGGTTGTGGTGAGCCGAGATCACACCACTGCACTCCAGCCTGGGCAACAGAGTGAGACTCCATCTCAAAAAAAAAAAAAAAAAAAAAAATGAAGAAGAGCTAATACTCATAAAGCTCAACAGTGTCTGGCACACTGCTAATAAATGTTCAATTAACCGTAGCTTTTAGTTACAGCCATGAAAATGATAGATAAATCTAAGGTTATGACTGTATACATCACACCCATTCACACCAACACAGAAGGAAGATTTAGCCCTTTTTGCCCCTTTTGGGCAGGGAGGAATTAAGAGTTTTCAAACTTCAACTCTGTAATTCAGCAGCACACAGAAGTCAGGACACCGACCGTCTCAAAACCAGAGGCCTCCTCTATAGCCTCCTTAAGGAAATGTTCAAAGAGGGGTCAAGCAGGTGATGTCCCTCATTATCTCCAGGTCTGAGACACAGAAGCCAAGGACTGGGGGTTTCTCTGGGCTGAGAGACAAGCCTTCTGGACTGCTACTGGGCAGGCTTTATTCCTGGACTGCTACCAGATGTTTTACTCCTCTGTGAAAGTGATCCTGATGCCAGATCCTTTCAAGATACCCTCTCTCCTTGCCCCCAGAACATGCAAGCAGAGGCCCATGCTTTGGGAAAACCAAAATGGATGAGCAACTGACGTGTGTTGACACATTTCACCTGTGAGTGGTGATGGCTCTGGAAAGGATCCTACTGTCCCCAGCACTTCCAGTGCCCACCAGCTGTATCTGACTTCCAATGTGTACAAGTCCCTGGTACTCTCCTGGAGTTCAATTTGGAATGCTGTTCACAGTTAACAGCACAATATTTTGGACTTTCCTCCAAACTCTGACCCCAGACAGAAGTCCCTCAGTGCAGCTTTCCCTTCCATGTGGACCTTCTGATGTTGTTCCAACACCGAACCTGCCTTCTTGACCCTTCCCAGGAATCTTGGTGAATCTGAGGAAAGTGACTGGCCTGCCCTACCCACTCCCCCAAGAAGAAAACCCAGATCACTGTACCTCGGAGGCTTAGCACTCAAGCCATATCATCTTGGATATGGCTTCATGTACGAAAAGGAATGCCACTAACAGCAGAATGAACTGTAATCCAAAGTCATCCTGCTGGAGTTTGTTTTGTTTTGTTTTAGTGTTTATGAATCTCAGGCAACATTCTGAAACAGCTGGTAAAAGACCCTCACATGAACATCCAGAACTGGCCAACCCACTGTGTTTTGCACTATTTACATTCCTAAAGCCACCAGCTAGGTTTGATATAGCTAGCTGATCATGAGGCCCTGCTTAATGGACTACAGAGTCCAATGATACTGACAAGCAGCATACTTGTTTGGATCTGTACCTGGTTCCACCTGTGGTGCAAGAGGTCGTGCGCCTTTTAGGATCCTGAGCCGAGGTGAATGTCCCGCCTTACCTCTGACTTCATCACGAGAGCCGTGTCACTCTCCCCTTCACTGCACTGAGCCTCTCACACTGATTACACCCAGCACATTTTTATCCTATCTTTCTCTCACATGTCCCATGTCTGTCTGGGGATGAGTCAGTGCAACTACTCCCGTCTGATAGTGGTTTTAAAACTAGGAATGTCCTCAAAAGACCAAAACAAACAAGAGAAAAAGATCACACACAAAAAAAAACATGAATCCAACCTAAACACAAGTTCTGTGAACACAATATATGCACTAAGGTGAACATGTGGTTTCCTCTATACACCTGAGTGGATCCTTTATTGCTGTGATCCTGAGAGGTGAGTATCCTTGCCTTGTACAGAAGGCTACAGAGCAGCACAGATCTGTGGGAAGTCCAAAATACTCAAGGGGCTAGAGCTTTGTTATATTTCAACAGATACCACCATATTTTTTCCCCATTTTTGCCATGATTCTGAAGCCAAGATGGCAAGCGACGTTAAGATTTTTTACTCCTATCACCAGAATAATTCCACAGACTTAGCAAATGACTTTAAAAGAGTGGTTCTGAACCCTCAGCTTGCAGTAGAATCACCTGGAGGGCTTGTTAAAGAGTTTCTGATTTAGTCTGTGTGGGGTAAGCCTGAGAATCTGCGTGATGTTCCTACGTGATGTTGAAAGTTCCTATGTGATGCTGACGCTGCTGAGCTAGGGACCACTTGGAGAACCATTACCTTCAAACATCAGGATATGGTGGAATCTTCTGGTATATCAGATTAGGTTGCACAAAAGAACAGTAAGTTTATATCTCTCAGTTTTCAAGTCTTATGCAATGACTTAAAACAGCACCATCTCTTCTTAAAAATTCCTGAAAACTTCAAAATAACTTAACTAGGGTCCAGTAGAGACTAGAAAAATGAGTGGGAGTTGGAAACTAAAGACATCACATGCATTTATATTAAAGAAGAGGAGACCCCAGTTAAACACAGTTTGTTAAGTGATAATAATGCTCTTGCCCTTAGAAGCCAACCTTACTCTTTAATCCCAACTTTACAGCACTCCTTGTCATGTGGAGCTTCCTATGGAGGAGAGGGCTGAAATGCATCTAAAAGTCAGTACTAAAATAGCTGATAACTTCCACAGCCAAAATCTAATGTCTCTAAAATAGAGGCACTCAATCCTGGCTATACATTATCACCACGTGGGAAGCTTAAAAAACATAGATGCCCAGGCCCCATACCTAGAGATTCTGACCTAACTGCCTTAGGATGGTACCTAGGCACTGGTGGTTTTGAAAGCTCTCCAGGTGATTCTAAAATGCAGCCAGGGTTGAAAACCACTGATGTTGGAGTAAGGTGACCAGTGGATAGGAAAGAGAAGGGGAATAAGCCCTCTTTAGACAATGTGTAGTAGATATAAAAGGAAAAGACAAAAATGGAACAGCAGCCAGGAGTGCCCAGGACAAGTGAAACCGAGGTTACTATGTTAGATTCTGTAAAGCTGATCTAGAGATCAACTCAATGTTGGCTGTCTCAGGTTCAAAAATCAGAAATGGCTAGACGATCAAGGAAGTACCCTCGTGTGCCAAAGACTTGGTAACAGTCCAAAGAACATGCCAGGAAACCCTCTTAATAAGGTATACTATTTTTTTTTAGAAGAGTTACTAAGAACTTGGGGCAAAGAACTTTTAACTTTTCACAAATCATTTAAAGGTTCAACTTTGAAATCATATACCAAAAAAACAATAAAATTTCTCCCTCAGCAAAATTAACTGTTTTTTTAAACGGGGAAAGAAGAGGGAAGAGATTAAAGAAGTAACTCTCAGAGCACTCAATAGCTGCAATCATCCTCCCAGTAACCACACTGACAAATGGGTTTTCAAAGCTGTAAAATCATGTGATGCAAATGATAAAGTTATTTTCTTCTCTTCCTTCTTGGCCAGCACAGACACATGAGGTAACAAGCTGAAAAAAAAATTTTTGAAAGCTTTATGATCCTGTTTAAGGCAGAACAATGAACACAAAAGAAACTAGCTAGAACTACTCAGTCAATGGAAAGAGCAAGGACTCTCCAAGCAGGCAACAAAGATGTCAGGTGAAAATCATCTCTGCTCACATCAACAGGGCAAACACTGGGGGCCCAGAGATAAAAATCCAGATGTATTTCCACTGCATTATAAGCTAAACAGATTCATCCATTTAAATTTTTTTTTGGCTGATGAGAAAACTTAGATGTGGATAAAGCTGCATCTTAAAAATGAGAATTGTAATTTTTGATTGAAACATTAATCTGGTAAACAATTTATTTTAAAGCCAACTTAGAAGACACAGTTTTCACTAGCAGCACGTTACCTTTCCTAATTTAACACATGGCACCTTGCTTATTCAGCACAGGTTGCTGATAAATTAACTCAAAGCATTCACTGATTTTATGAGACTATTGGAATAAACTTCTCTTCCCAATAAGCCTCTTCCCAAGGAACACCTACTAAAAATTATGTCCACAGTCAAATGCTGAACTTGACCTTAACAAATGACATGAAGGGTAAGTATGATAAAACCTAAAATATGGCCCAAATCACCTAGTCTTTCAGTCTGAAATAAGGATCTTTCTTGTAAGGGGAGGAGACTAAATAGGACTGATTTAGATAATTCAGTTCAGCAGAGGACATGTGTCTATTCAAAAAGAAGGCTGTAAACTTATCTTTATTGGACAGGCTTGGAGAGAGAAGGGCTGATCAAGGCCACTAATTTCAAGAAACAGTATACTAGCTCACCTAGGAAATTATCTATCATGAGCTTAAGAGTCCATGTGTTCTAAAGCAAACATGCTCACACCAGCATCAGCTCGAAGATAACTTTAAAATAATCAGGCCTATGACATTTTCGTAAGTCAATTCCAGGCTTTTCAGGGTTACATAAATGATGCACCTCATCTAAGTGATCATTATTATTTTAAAGAAATTTGAAAGAATGTTTGAGTTCAGAGCTTCAGTTTTTACTTAAAATTATCTTGCTCAAAATGTTATTAGTCTGTGGGCCTCAGTCTGCATGACAGGTATATTCACACATGGCACATTAATACTGTTAATGGAACTATACTGAAAGTGAATAAAGATTTGTTCTCCTTTTCATCCTACCAACTGAAGTTTTTCTACTGCAAAAACAAAGACAACAAAAACCCGTATCCAATTCGGACTGAAATGCAAAAGTATGAAGGATGAGATAAACAAGTCCTTGGTTTGGAAATAAATGTTGGTGGGAAGCCCTAGAACAGCTATGTGTAAGATAAAAACTCTGGAAGACCCATCGCAACGCTTTTAAATTAGGTAGTTTTGTTTTGTTTTCAGTGATTTATCAACAGGAAATGTTCAAATGAAGAGATCTAAGGAAAGTGTTTTACTCTATGAAACCATCACAGTATCAGAAGAAAATAATTTACATCGAGGTTTTTTTTTCTTTTCTTTTTTTTTTTTTTAGGTATTAAGTAAAATAAAATAGGAAGAAAAGGGGGGAAGGTAAGCAGGAGGCTTTAAACATCACTCAGCCCAAGCTTAATATGAAATATGGAACCAAAGCAATTATGCTGATAATTTATGATGAAAGAAATATCATTTTTAAAAATCAATGATTAGGACACTTCAGGAAAAAAGTAGTTTTGTGATTGGAATTACCTGAATTAATGACTTAACTGTCCACTTGATCTTTTTAATGTAGTAAAAAGAGAGAACCAGTTTTCAAGGAGACAAGCTCAATTGTATTTAATTTTATGTCCTCCTTACACTTCAGGCTTGTACCCAGAGTTGTCCCTTTAAAAGTCCACAGTGGCACTGCCAACTTCTACTGCAGCTGCCTCCAGCCACACAGTCCTCCCCTGCATGCTGTTATACTCAGTTATCAGGTAGCATCCTGCTGCCTGCTCACGTTTATCACAGAGTTTCAGTCTATCCTCTGGACATTATCCAGACACTACTTACCTATCTTTACTATGAAACTGAGAGTTCTGTAATTTTTTTCCAACATACACAGAACAAAATGGGATAATTAGCATTCTATTCTGTTAACTACATTTTATCTTACGGCACTGCCTTCCTGTGGCCAATTAAAACCACCATTTTAGGTCTTATTCATACATATTTTTACCTTGAAGACAAAAGCAAGTAGGCTCTTCAGTAGAGATAAACACTAACCTGGCCAGCAACTTGCATTATGCAACATTTTCTGTCTCTATCTTGGCAGCCTGCTCTTAAACCCGTCAGTAACTGCACTGCAAAGAGACGACCACCTCACAAAATAATTTTAATATCTTTCATTATGATTTCTGATTTGGCAGCAAAACTTCTGCCAAGAACTCCTTGTAAATGTTTTTTTTTCCTGAAATCTGCTTTTCTTGATGTTGCTGCCTGCATTCATCTACGTGCTTGAAGCCTATAAAAAGCACAGATATCCTACTGTCCCAACACAGAAATTTCTGCGATAAGGCCCCATCCCAAAAGATTTCTACCTACCATGCGTCACTCTATTCTTCTAAATAATACACTGTGCCTCTGACCCATAGTAAACCATGGTCACACCTGGCAGTGACCAAAGAGAACTGCAGAATCACCAAACCAACAGGTTTCTGACAGAATTCTCAAGCCATTCCTACTCTCCCATTAAAGACCCAGGTACGCGCTAATTCTTCTTTTTTTTTTTTTTTTTTTTGAGACAGAGTCTCGCTCTGTCGCCCAGGCTGAAGTGCAGTGGCGTGATCTCAGCTCACTGCAACCTCCGCCCCTCCAGGTTTAAGCAGTTCTCTGCCTCAGCCTCCAGAGTAGCTGGGATTACAGGCATGTGCCACCACGCCCAGCTAATTTTTTGTATTTTTAGTAGAGACGGGATTTCACCATCTTGGTCAGGCTGGTCTTGAACTCCTGACCTCATGATCCACCTGCCTCGGCCTCCCAAAGTGCTGGGATTACAGGCGTGAGCCGCCGCGCCCGGCCAATATCATAAGTCTTTATTATTATCATTACTTATTTATTTTTGAGATGAAGTCTTGCTCTTGTCCCCCAGGCTGGAGTAAAATGGTGTGATCTTGGCTCACTGCAACCTCCACCTCCCGGGTTCAAGCAATTCTCCTGCTTCAGCCTCCTGAGTAGCTGGGATTACAGGCGCCAGCCACCACACCCAGCTAATTTTTTGTATTTTTAGTAGAGACGAGATTTCACCATGTTGGCCAGGCTGGTCTCAAACTCCTCACCTCAGGTGATGCTCCCGCCTCAGCCTACCAAAGTGCTGGTATTACAGGCGTGAACCACTGTGCCCAGCTAATTCTTAAAAGTTATTTAGCTCATGCAAAAATCAAGGGAAGGAGCCTAAATAACGGAGCCAAGTTCACCTCCCACCAGCACACAGAGAGGTGCTGTTACTCAGAGTCAGCACAACTCTGAAGATGAGCATTCAAGATGGAGTCAGAAGGATTAAGGTGGGGATTCCTGGGGATAGAGGTAAAGAATGCAGCATAGAGTAGAAACTTTTTAAATGGCAGCTCTTTATTTACTTACTTACTTACTTATTTATTTATTTTTGAGACAGAGTCTCTCTCTGTCACCCAGGCTGGAGTGCAGTGGCATGATCTCGGCTCACTGCAAGCTCCGCCTCCTGGGTTCACGCCATTCTACTGCCTCAGCCTCCCGAGTAGCTGGTACTACAGGTGCCCGCCACCACACCCAGCTAATTTTTTTGTATTTTTAGTAGAGATGGGGTTTCACCGTGTTAGCCAGGATGGTCTCGATCTCCTGACCTCGTGATCCGCCCACCTCAGTCTCCCAAAGTGCTGGGATTACAGGCGTGAGCCACCGCGCCGGCCAAAAGCTCTTTAATTTCTTGTACCCCACCCAAAGTCCCACCCACACTCCAGGAGACAGGAAAGTATACTAGAAAAGGCAGATGCTCCCAAGTCAGAGAGCCCTGGGTTTGGATCCCAAGCAAGTTACTTTCACCTTCCTGAACCATTTCCTTGTCTTTAAACTGAGGCTTACATTTAAATGCCTATCTTATAGAATCAATATTAGACATAAAAAACCTAGTTGAGTAACGGGCACATAATAAGGGCTCAATAAATCACAGCTACTATTATTGTCATTATTAGTATAAATAGGCTAGAAAATGTCTTGTGTAGACTCTTTTTATTGCAAAAACTACACATATCTCTAATATAACCCTGACACCCCTCCCCAAAAATATAATTTTAAAATATGAGAATAAACAGATGCAATTCTGATTCTTAAATGTCTGAACATTTCAAGCCAAACACCTACTGGGTACCTACAAGATATCTACTGCTACTGCTGCTGTTTCTGTGAGGACAACCACTCCATGTTCTATGCTTTAAAAGAAGAGCTGGTTTTTTGAATGTAAATATAAACAGAGCAGACATAAGCCTGAAGGACCAAGTGTGTGAGACTCTACAAGGCTTGAACCAACCATAGGACACACTGAGGGGACTCCAGAGAGATTTGGATTAGCCTTACTACCATCACTGATGGCAGTGAACATGGTATGCCTCCATCTTCTCAAGCCCTGACAGGGCCAAAAGGAGGCTTCTTCTTCCACACTATTCTTCCACTGAGGATCCTTGGCTTCTCCCTCCCCTCCCCTCAAAGACAGACTCTTCTACACCAAAGCCCTCAGCCAGATTTCATGGACTTACTGTAAACCTCAAGTCCACAATCAACAAGCACGGCCATACTGTCAGTTCACAAAACAGGCAGAGAAAAAGAAATTCAGTAAGGAGGGGGACTAGGGGGAAGGACACACCTTATTCAAAATGCAAAAGAGGGACATGTTCTAGTAGCTCTAACTGGGAAATCAAGGAAAATTCATGCCTCCCTCTGTCCTCACTGCAGGATTAAAAAAAGACAAAATGTAGATGACAAGAAAGTAGCCTATGAATGATTATTAACACTTTGATTTGAATCTAAATAAAGTCTTTTTATTCTTCTCCATCTGCAACTGTGCCATTCCCACTCTTCTATCCCTAGGCTCCTAGGTTACTTTCTTAGGACTGCCATAACGAATTACCATGAATTTCAGGGCTTAAAACAACAAAAATTCATTCTTTCTCAGTCCTGGAGGCTAGAAGTCCAAAATCAAGGCGTTGGCAAAGCCATGCTCCCTGGGAAGGCTCTAGGGGAGGATCTTTTCTTGCCCCTACCAGCTTCTGGCGGCTCCTGGCAATCCTTGGTGTTCTTTGGCTTATAACTGCATCACTCTAATATTTGTCCCCAACTTCCCACGGCCTTATTTGGGTCTCTATGTATTTTCTCCTCTTCTTATACACACCAGTCACTGGATTTAGGACCCACCCTAAGCCGATATGACTTCACTTTAATTTAACTAATTACTTCAGGAAAGATCCTATTTCCCAATAAGGTCACCATTCTAAAGTTCCAGGAAGACATGAATTTTAGAGGAACTCTATTTAACCCTCTCCAACTGCCATGTCAAAAATAAACCCCCACCACCAAAATATGGGGCATAGTGGAGGGAGGTGAGAAACCGATATAGCATTACAGAATTACAAAAAGTTCAAAGTTACAGTAGTCTCCTGTAGATCCATGACTATTCATTTTTGAATTGGAAATAATGTTGTTCTTACTTTTTACCTTACCTTTCTCTCTTACCTGAGAGCAATATACATACATACATTTCTCTCACCCATGAGCAACTGTGAAGCTTTGGAAAATATCAAAAGTCCCAATCAAAATAGCACTAAAACACAGAACATCCCACTGATCCAGACACGTGACTACTCTGTAAAAATTTGGTGTTAGGTATAAATGAACATGTAGTATCAGGAACTGAGTAGCAAAAAGATGAAAGGCAGGGGAGGATATTTTTCAGTTAAAAGCACTCTCATTTAATGATCTAGGAGTGGGAAGTAAATCATGGGTCTTAGAAGACCAGGGTTTCCTTTAAAACACTTGCTTTAAGTTTTTAATCTCCACACCCCCTCTCCTAAATTTTCCTTTTCTAATGATGACAATAAACTTACATGGAAACACTATATATCAGAGTTCTTTAAAAAATAATCAAGGTATTATTTTAGCTGTGTGGAGAAAAAAATACTTGACATCAGCTTAAAGACTTGTGTACTCCCTCTGCTGGCTCTGAATTTAAAGTAAATTCTCAATACCTTCAAGGGCTAACTTAACTAACTTCACTAGACATCTGAAATACAAGGAAGGCTGGTTGCAGGGGCTCATGTTTATAATCCCAGCACTTTAGGAGGCCCAAGTAAGAGGATCGCTTGAACCCAGGAGTTTGAGACCAACCTGGCAACAAAGTGAGACCTCATATCTCTACAAAAAAAACATAAAATTAGCTGGGTGTCGTGGCGCTCATTAGTAGTCCCAGCTACTAGGGCAGCTGAGGCAGGAGGATCATAGCTCTCTACAGAGAGAGCCAGGAGTTTGAAGCTGTGGAGAGCTATGATTGTGCCACCGCACTCCAGCCTAGGTGACAGAGCAAGGCCTTGTCTCAAATAAAAAATTTAAAATAAAAATACACAAGGGAGCCGGGTGCAATGGCTCATGCCTGTAATCCCAGCACTTTGGGAGGCCGAGGCAGGCAGATCATGAGGTCAGCAGATCAAGACCATCCTGGCTAACACAGTGAAGCCCCGTCTCTAATAAAAATACAAAAAATTAGCTGGGAGTGGTGGCGAACGCCTGCAGTCCCAGCTACTTGGGAGGCTGAGGCAGGAGAATGGCATGAACCCAGGAGGCGGAGCTTGCAGTGAGCCAAGATCACGCCACTGCACTCCAGCCTAGGCGACAGAGCGAGATTCTGTCTCAAAAAAAAAAAAAAAAAAAAAAAAAAAAAACCACGCAAGGGAAAACATGATGTGGATTCTTCCACCCCACCCCACCCCCTAATGGTTTTCAAACAAATTCCTAAACACGTACTGAAAACTGCCAAACACATCTCTGTTGGGTTTACTATAGGTTCACTCCAGAAGGAAGGTAATGTATGCTGTTTGTTTATTTGTTTGTTTGGGGGAGAGTTTACTTCCTGCTCCAGCCTTGCCCCCTACACATGTGCCACATGCTTTCCTTACTCTGTGCTCACCTCTCCACTGCAGTCCTAGGGCACATCTGGACACCAAGGTGTGGTGAGCCTCCAGAAGATAACCTGGCCTCCTCACCCCAGGCAATGACCCAGGAGTAGCGGAATTACTAGAAGAACCACAGCCCAGCAGAGAAGTCATCCTCTTCGCTTATTATGTTATTCCATAGTAGTAACTGAGGCACTGCAGAGAAAAAGTCTCAAGATTAAAACCTCAAAAACTCAGGAGTGAAAAGTGGAACAAGCGAATTATAGAAAAGCCTGGCTTGAAACACACTCCAATCAGACATTTCCGTTTTACCAAGAGTGGTACATCACAGTACTCTATGGATGCCAGCTACCGTAGTTCTTTTTCCTTTAGGAGAGACTAAGATACTGGGAAATGAACGTTGTTTGGTCAGGAATAAAATGGTGAAAGATACTGGGTCTGTCTGGGCAATGATGCAGTCAGAACTGGGGTGTTCTATCATCATCACTAGCCTAACCACATATTCAGAACTCTAACTTGGAAGAACTGCAGACTGGTCCTTGAAATAGTTCATCTCAAAGACTGTCTGCTATCTCCTCTCCTTTCATACATGACTTCTATTTCCCAATCCATGGACAGAAAACTTGAAGTACATTTGGGACTTCTGCCCCAAAATGCAGAACATTACAAACAACTAAGGCTTTACATAACAGCTTTGTTCCTAAAAGTGAGTAAAATAAACTTTAGGCAAAACAATTCTATGGTGACTTTCTCGACACTGCATGTTGATGATACAAATAGCGGGTTTACATACAGATGGCAAACTTCATTTCCTTTTTCTCTTAATGCAACAAGGTCATCCCAAGATCAGGCTTCCTTCAGTTTCTGTGGTAAGTAGTGATGGACACTTATGGAGTTTTCAGAGACTTATGCATTGGGTAACAAGGCACTGCAAGAAACCCCAGATAGCACAGCATCATCTCACATTTACACCACATCACATCAACATCGATGCTAGGAGGTCTAAAGCTGATGCCACCTTCAGAGCTGCAAGTATCCAAAAGACTCCACTCATGACACCAGCTCACTCCTGAGTCACATCAGCCCCTTTCAGAGTCACAGCCCCAGAACTAAGGCTATCCATATGGGTTGATTATAAAATCCAAAAAGCAGCTCCAAATATTAGAAACACTTATTTGTCTGGCAGACACATTCCCTAATTTAAAGCCTCTTATACTGTGCTTAAAAATATTCAACAGTCTTAGCAAAATGACAAAATAAACAGGTAGCAGCCATGGGGTGGGCAGGGTAAGGTGGCGTTGAAAGAAAAGGCATTTAGCAAGGTAAGTAGAGAGTGCTGATGGAGAACACAAAAGGAGAAACACAGCGACTCCAGTGCGAGCTAGCCTAGAAGAGGGGAGGAGAAGCAGAAGACAGCAAGTGAAGAGCTTGAAGAACTTGAGGCAAACAGCACTGAGATGAACAGCTGTGAAACCACAATGGTAGGCAGTAGACACTACAGTACAGTGGTATGAACACACGCTTTAAAAAAAAAAAAAAAAGAGAGAGAGAGGGTCTCACTCTGTCATCCAGGCTGGAGTGCAGTGGTGCAGTCGTGCTCACTGCAGTCTCAAACTCCTGGGATTAAGGGATCCTCCTGCCTCAGCCTCTCAAGCAGCTGGGACTACAGGCATGCACCACCACAACAGAGCTAATTTTTTTTTTTTTTGAGATGGAGTTTCGCTCTTGTTACCCAGGCTGGAGTGCAACGGCACAATCTTGGCTCACTGCAACCTCCGCCTCCCAGGTTCAAGCAATTCTCCTGCCTCAGCCTCCCTAGTAGCTGGGATTACAGGCATGCGCCACGATGCCCGGCTAGCTTTTTGTACTTTTAGTAGAGACAGGGTTTCACCATGTTGGTAAGGCTGGTCTCGAACTCCTGACCTCAGGTGATCCACCCACCTGGGCCTCCCAAAGTGCTGGGATTACAGGCATGAGCCACCGCACCTGGCCTAGTTTTCTTTTTTTCTGGTAGAGACGAGGTCTCACTTTGTTGCCCAGGCTGGTCTCAAACTCCTGGCCTCAGGCAATCCTCCTGCCTTGGCCTCCCAAAGTGTTAAAATTATAGGCATGAACCACTGCACTGACTGGACACACCCGTTACTCCACCCCTACTAGCTGTGGAACCCTGAACCCAGTCACTCACATAGTCCTAGCATGTTTCTCACCTGCAAAATAAGGTAGTTAGATGATCTTTAAGATCTCTTTTAGTTCTGAGTTTTAGGCAACAAGTAATACAGATGAGTCAGTGGCATCAAGGCTCCACATCCACTCCAGAGGAAGGCCAGATCTACATCAGGCCCTGGGAGACAGAACTGGGGATCCCAGATCAGTCCAGGGCCAAAGATGTGCTCTATCTAATCCAGGTGGAGCTTGGAAAACCAAAGCTTCTCCCAAACAGACCCAATCCACAGGAGCCATGGTACGGTGGTTTTGCATCTCCAAAGCAAGCTCAAAATGATCTGCAGAGAGTTAAAGGCTAGCTCCAAGCCATGCCCCACATCAAATTTGCCACTTCCCAGCAACTTCTTAGCAGAGTTGAAGTACTAGAGAAAGCAGAAATACAGATGTAAAAAAAAGGCAACGGGAATAGGCAGCAATGACAAATTCACAAAGCACAGATATGCTATAGCTTATTTTCTGTCTCCTCCATCAGAATATGAACTCCTGTGAGTGAACTGGAACTTTATCTGCCTTCTGCTACCACTATATCCCTAAGTCCTGGCAAATGCTCTGCAAGCAGCATGCCTTTGATAAACATTTGTTGAATACATGAAATGGGATGTGATGCAAATGGGTAAAAAGGGTTTTCTCTTTCCAATCTTTCATTCACTTACTGTATACCAGCTGTAACATCCACTGATATCAACTCGTCTTTGCATTTATGATCCCCAGCTCCTTTTATAGCACCAAAAAGGTAAAGTGGCTCTTCAGGACCCCTCAATTTGTGATGCAGGAAAAGGAGAGAAATGAGGAGTTGAGAATAGGGTCAAGTCTGTCCCTATAGGCAAAATAAGTGGGTATACAAACAAAATAAATTCCATATTCTCTCCAGCCCTGGGAATCTGGAATCTGATGCACCTGCTCTGGGTAAGTGGGGCAACCTGCCAGAATGCACAGGCCTAAACAGTCTTTAAAAAAAAAATAAGATGGGGTTTTGCTATGTGCCCAAGCTGGTCTTGAACTCCTGGGCTCAAGCCTAAACAGCCTTATCTTTGCATTTTCATGAAGATCTTTGAATGGATGGTAAACTTTTGCCAGACCAAATTAAATGACTTATTAGTGAGACAAGGCCTCTTCATTAATTTTCCAAATAAAAGTATCTTGCAGGTTTTAAGTAAGAATCACAAGCAGAGTACTAAGAAGTTTAACTAAAAGATGTTCTTGTATGGTGTCATTTTCTTAAAATAGAACACTCCTAAAATCTCCTAAAAATAAGTCTGCTGTAGTTTCATTTCATTTTCTAAGAAGGAGATAAACATATCAAAACACACACTTAGCTTCTTTTTTAAAGAGTCTCTGTTACATGGGACTCACAGATCAAAGTCTAAAAGGGCCAATTTCTTCACTTCAGAGGTCAATGACACAGCTTTGAAAAAGAGGAAAAACAGTCCCTCTAGTGTACTGGGGCTGTAGAAAGAGGAAGTATATTAGTTGAGAATCACTGACGAAGACACTATTGCCAAAGGAAATTACAAAACGACATTTTGGCAACACGGGCCAAGCAGACAGATTCTTCACACACGACCATAACTGGCCTTTTGGTGAGTTACTCCAAAAGGTGACTGAGGTCAAAATTATGAGCCAATGTGGAATGATTATGACTTAGTCATTTTCAAATTAAAAAAAAATTTAAAACAGAGTTGCAGTTAAAATAACATTTTCCTAATACAGTGTGTTGAAAAGGAACTGGATGTATTAATCTAAAGAACAGAAACAGTGAGGACACAAATAAGCATTATGTGACAGGACAGCCCTCATCTTTTTATCTTGGCAAGAAGCCATAACAATACACATTCTTACATGAAAGAAGACTCGGACTCTTGAAGAATTATCTTCTGCAGCAGCAGCAGCAGCAGAAATCTTAACACAGTATCCCCCACACTTGTGAAATTATGGGAACCACTACAGAAACTCAAGTCTGCCTAATTTGATTACACCCTGACCCATGGGAAAAGCAGATGTGTGCTGTGTATAACGAAATAAGTGATAGATAGGCCTTACCAGGTAAGCCCTGGCGTCCTTAGAGGTCTCCCCAAGACAAGAGGAACTGAGAGAACTCACTTGTTCAATCATGGGTGCAGTGCAAGCTTAATCTGAATTAAAGGAAATGTAACCTTTTCCCCTCTTAACCACATCTGATTGTTCATTTCTACTTTAATGCCCGAGGTAAGGGAACCTGTGAGATAGTCATCATCCTTCTCCCTGACACAGTATCTGACAAATGTAAGTAACCAAGGGCTTCCTCTTTTTGTTAAAATGCTATCCTTCTTACCTCTTTTATCACTTCATAGTTCCTAAGTACCCCTACTGACAGGCACTGGACAGCTATGCAAACATGATACACTCACTCAGCCTCCATCTACATTTGCCCATCCTTTTGATGCTGAAATAATAAGCAAGATGTTTTTAGATTGAGAGGCAAATAAGCCTTTCAGGAAAGCAAGCGCTACTTATGTGAGACTATCCATTACCTAGCAAATGACCTTTTAAAAAAGATCAATTTAAAGAAGAAAATGGAAAACAAAAACCTCTAGAACTGTGGCTACTAATTACCTCTCTACTAACTAGCTGTGTGATCTTAAGAAAGTCATTAGCTTTTCCAAAAATCAGGTTTTTCACCAGTAAAATAAGAGGGTTGAACTAGATCAGAAAACTTCATCCTAACTATACATTAGAATCACCTAAGAAACTTGAAAAAAAAAAACAAAACACAAAACCATCAATGCTAAGCCACACACAAGCCAAATTATATCAAATTCTCTGGGTATTTGTATTTTTCAGAAGTTCCCAGGTAATTCAAACATGCAACCAGGGCTGAGAACCACTGATTTAGATTCTGATCTCTAAGTCCTCTTTTCTAATTCTTTCATTTTATGATGTTAGGGTGATAATTTTGGTTACAAGGTCTCATAATGCAATGGCCCAAATAGCCTGAAAAGAAGTAAGGCCCTGCATACCGTGCCCTTTATGCACACATGACTAGGAGACGTTAACCTGAATTCTAGACATTTTTGGAAGTTAAAAATCCTCTTACATTACTCAGAATGAAAGTAGTGTGGTTTAAATGCACATGCGTGCTTCCAAAATGACTAATCATGACAAGAATCAACTCCTAAACTTGGACACTTGGAAATGGGTCACAATTAGCTCCTGATCTCTCCCTTTTCCCTCTTCTTCCACTAAACCACAAGCACACACAAAAAAAGGTTGCCTATTAGTCATAATCAAAATATAAAACCAGCTCCAGTTTCAAAGGGCCTTCTCCATCATCAAAGATTTGAAAGTTCCTGCATGGCTGCATCTTTTGATGAAGATCATCTTATAAAAACTCTAACAAAATTATATCCCTTTAGTCGTCAAGGATTAGTTGTCATGTGACACTCAGAAATGGAATTGGTAAAAAATTTTAAGGTAAAAGAATCATAAAATGTGTGCCCTGTATTAAGCATATTAAGCCTTGAGAATTTCAATTTACAGTATTTTCTAAGATTTTAGTTGAAGAGAAATGAGATAGCAGAGAAGGGTAAAAAAAAAAAACCATAAGACAAAAAAACGATGACATAAAACCATAAAGTTTATGACTAGTCCCAAAATCTGTATTGCAAGTCCTACAAACTATATGAAAATGTATCTAGCCCAATCTCAATTCGCGGCTACTTTTGGTAATACCATTATCTCATGTAAATCTTCCCCCCAAAAATAAAGTTCATTAAACTTATTATATTTAACTATAAACAAAATAACAAGAAATATTTGTGAAATTAAATTATTTTTGTAACCTTAAAAATCACAGGAAAGGTGAAAACGCCTTCCTACGTTAACGTTTTAACTAAGTTTAAAGTTAACTAACTTTTCACTAACGTATTCTCCTCACCAAATTCAAACATGCAAGACTAAATTTCAAGTGAGAGAAATCTGAAAAACATTTCGAACCCCCAAATCCATGTTCTCAGATCCTGTCCGCTTACGCCTTCCTGATACTATACACTGATTAACCCTTCCCATCCACTTGGAAACCCAGTTTTAAAACATATCACACTAGTGCTCTTTTCAAATGGAATTGTCTAACTTTCATCCTTTCTGTAAAGAACTCTCGTATCATACACCTGGCATTCTTTTACAAAGCAATTGAATTAAACCAAATATAAGACTCATAATGTAAGCATTTGTTAAAAGAAATGAGACACATTAGTGGATTAATATCAAAGCACACGTGTTTTGCTTTTAAAGTATCTAATACAAAGCCTCTCTGATATAAGCCGTATTTAACTTTGCAAGGGTTTTCTAGAAGCAAAATAAAACATTCTCTACATTAAGTTCTTTAACTTTTTCATCTACAGGCTCGTCTCCAGTGCTTCCATTGAATTCTCCACTAAGATTAAACTGTTCTTATTTTTATACCTCCTGAAACCCAGGAAGACAGAGGGCTCCCCAATGACAATGAAGAAAGGGAAGGAGGAAGCAACTACTTCTTTTACATAAAACAAAACAAAAAAAAATCTAAGCTAAATTGCAAATATGGGCAGCTGATAAGAGATGTATATCTCCAATCGCACAGGACTCTTTGGCCTGGTACTGACACACACTGTCTTGGGGGAAGGGGCCAGGGAGGTGCCTAGGAAGAGGAAAGCAGCTGGATATCAGCAGCCCAGCAGGGGCAGAGGAGTTAATCTCTTTGGATACCCAACTGCAGGAAGTCATTACATCATAGGCCTTTCCACACCTCTCTCCCTACCACGTGTCCCGTGCCCCAAGAGGATGATAAGGAACGGTAGAGAGTCTCTCTTCGGGTTCATTTACAGGTAGAAGCCATTACGGCCCGGCCCAGCCCCCAAACCTCCTCCCAAACGCCAGAGTGAATGAAGCGCAGGCCCCGCGTCCCCCACACCAGAGCCCTTCCCTCAAACAGTGCCTGAATCCAGGCCTCGGCGGGAGCAGCGGGTGCAGCCAGTCTGGATTGAGGTGGCCAGACCGGCCGGTTCGAGGCCCCAGAACATTTCAGAAGCAGCTAGTCAGAAGCAGGTTTACTGGAGCGACATCTCCGAGAAGAAAAGGTATCAATATAGGCAAGGAAAGGAAGCCGTCCAGGAAAAGGTTTGCAACCACTGCTTTTTCTAATCGGATCGATGTGCCTGTAGGTGTTAACACCCACAAGCTGAAACTTGGACCCGAAGGTTCTCATTCAGCTAGTGACGACGCAACATGCTCCTGCGACAGACTGGAAACCACACATCCAACCCCTCCTCCAGACACTGCGTCCCAAACACCCCCACACCTCTCACTCCAGCCACAGCGCCCGCACCAGACCCCCACTACGGTAAACTCTACTCCAAAGTTGGCTGCGGACCTACCTCCTCGGTGCTGTCCGGAGAATCCAGCAAATGTACTCCTGTCCGTTCGCCCTTCCCTCGCCGGCGTCCCCTGCCCCCTCTCCTCACCTGGCCATGCCCCAAGCTTCTGGGGAGCCTCATTCACCCCTCCGAGACCGTCCCCAGGTGCCCCGACTCCGGGGATCAAAGATAACCCCCAAAGCCTCGCAGCGGAGGCTCCCCCTGCCAACCCCTTGCCCTGGAGCCCGCAAGCGCACTCCGACGAATCCGAGACGCGTCTCGCGCTGCGCAGGAGGCCCGGCGGGTCCTGCTGCCAGCCCGGGGTGGGTACGCACCTTCCAGCCGGCAGAGCTGTTGCTGTCGCCCTTATCCTTGAAGTAGGGCACGCAACGCACCATCCACTCGTAGATCTGGGACAGAGTGAGCCGTTTGTCCGGGGAGCTCTCGATGGCGCGGGTGATCAGGTCCGCGTAGGACAGGTTTCCCCAGGCGTTCCGCCGCGACGAACATTTCCTCGGCTGCCCGGAGCCCCCAGCCGCCCCCGGCTGCGGCGGTGGCAGCGGTTGCTGAGGCTGCAGCAGCGCCTGTGTACCCCCGCTCAGCCCGCCCGCCGCGGTGGCTGGCCCAGACCCGGGGTCTTGCCCTCCGGGTGCCAGCACCCGGGCCGAGTCCTCAAGGAGCAGCCCGGAGCCCAGCGTGCCGCTCCCGCCGCCGCCGCCGATCGCCATGGCCGAGCCGGCCCGTCCCCCGCCGTCCTCGTCGTCTTCATCGTCCTCCTCCTCGGGGATCATGGAGTCGGCGGCCGTCTCCCCCGAGGGCTTGGCAGGGCTCGCTTGGAGCTCCGGCCTTTGCAGGGGCCACGTACAGGATCGCGGACGGCTCTGGGGCTCGAACTCCGGGTCCAGCTCCACTTCGAGCGGAGAGAGCGGGGCCGGGGAAGCCGGTGCCTCTGCCATCTTCGCCGCCCGCCCGCCCGCGGCTGGGGCTCTCGCGCTCTCCTCTCGCGCCGGGGCGGGGTGCAGCGGGGGAGGGACGTGGACGCCGCGAAGGCTCCGGCTCCCGGGCGCCGCCGCCGCCGCCTGGGGAAGCACCAAAGAAGAGAGAAGGAGAGTTGGTTATCCCGGGCCGGAGCCCCGTCCTCGGCGAGTCCTCGCCCGCTGCCGCCACCTCCCAGTCCTGCCGCGCCCGCCTCCCAGGAACAGGAGGACCTGAAGACGTGCGGCCAGCGAACCTGGCGCAGCAGACACCGCCCCCCGGCCAGGCCGCGATGGAGCCGCGAGCGAATCGACGGCCTCGCGCGGGGCAGCCCCCTCCCCCCGCCGCCCAGCCGCAGGTCCCTCCCGGGCTAGGCGGCGGGGCGGGGAGAAGGGGGAGGGGCGCCCGGGGGAGGGGCGGCCGCGCCTTTAAAGCGGGCAGCGGCCGGAGCTGGCGCAGCCGAGCCGCGGTCAGAGCCCGAGCTCGGGTGTGCGTGCGTTTGTTTATGTTTCGCTCGGGCCCGCTCTAGTGCCTCCCGCGGCGCCGCCGCTCAAGTCTGTGCTGTCTTCGGCTCTTCTCCCCTTTCCTAGCCTGGCCGCCTCCGCGACCCCCCGTCACCCCCCACCCGGTCGAATGGCCCGAGCCCGGGGACTGCGCGGGCAGCTCCCTCTCCCCTCTTCGCCCGCGGGCCAGAGGGCGAACGGGGGTCTGGGCGCAGATGGGCCCTTGTCACTTCCAAAAAATAAAGGAAAGACAGAAAGAAGGGGGAGCAGCAGCCCAGCGGGTGTTCGCAGAGGTTCGAGCCCGGCGGGGACGGCCACTTCGGGGTTTTGTGTGGTTTGCATTCTCGCGGACGTCGTCCCCTCCGCCCCCTTCCCAGTCGGGATCCGGGGGAGGGAGCGAGTCGGAACATAAATCTTCCAACAGGTCGGGAAGCGCCAAGTCTCCCGGGCTGCTAGAAAACCCGGACCAGCACGTTCATCACCTCCTTGCTCCCGCTGCTGCCATCTTGACAGTTTCCCCCTTCCCGAGTCCTTTAAAAACACTAGCGGGCGAGAAGGGGGGCGCGCACACCGCGGCTCAGGGAGGGGAAAGGGAAGCGCCCGGCCCAGCTCGGAAGCAGATCCGGAGTCACCGGGAAGGCGGCCGCCCGCTGCACGGCTCCGGCGCCTACCTCGCTTCCTTCCCTTCAGGGACGCGGCGGGACGACGCACGATCCCGCGCGGGCCCGGGGCACGGCGAGGAGGGGGCGCGCAACCTCGGCGAAGGAGAAGCGCTCGGGCCGTCGCCGCAGCCCGCCCGAGGAACCGCCTGTCAGCTCGCGCGCCGCCACCTTCCACATTCCTCCTCCTCCCTTCCACGAGCAGGGCGGCCGCGGCAGCAGCACAAAGTTATAGACACACGCAGGGCGCCTCAACCTAGGCTGACGGCGGGCGGGTCCCCGCCCAGGGGGAGGGCTGGGCGGCGGGCTGGGCGGCGGGCCGGGCGCGCGGCGGGCGTGCGTGTGTGAGTGCGCGTGTGTGAGCTCGCGCGCGCCTGCGCGGCCCGGCTCCGCGGGGCTGCGGGCGTGGGTGTCCGGGCGCGCGCCGTGGGCCGGGACTCGGCGGGCTCCCGCTGCTGTCCCCGCTGGGCTCCTCCTCCCTCCCGAGAGTCTCAACGACAACAAAGCGCGGCGCTGGCCCGGGAGAGGAGGGAGAAGGGGGGAGAAGGGAGGAGAGGAGGAAGAAGTGGGGAGAGGAGGGAGAAGGGGGAGCGGCAGGAGCGCACAGCCCCCGACGCTCCAAGGAGCGCAGCGGCGTGGCCTCCCTGACTCCGGGCAGGGCGCCTGGTACCAGGGGGTCCCTGGCCTGCGCGTCCGCCCGCCGGGCTCTGGGCCAGCCCCGGTGTCCGGTTCCCTGTTAGAACGCGACACCAGGTAACACCCGAGATAAGATGCTGGCCGCAAGATGGGCAGGGTTATCGCGGTGTGGAAATACTGAACGGCGAAGATGTTGGTGCCTGCACAACTTCGATAAGCTGATGCTCACAGATTCGATCAGGCACCAAAAGGTTTGCACTGAGTCTCTCACCTCGGACGGTGGACCACAGTCGTGTTTCACTTTTCATGGGTTTCATGGCAAACGGGGGAGAGGTGTAACTAACTCCGGAAGAAATGCAAATTTACCCCCGTCCTACATTCAAGAGCAGATTCCGAACAACTGAGAAGGGGAAATAATTTTAATCTAATTTGTAAATGACGACAAAACCGCTACGTGGGCATTTTTGACTTTTAAAAAAAGACGTATCCTTTAGGTTAAACGAAAAACATCTGCACAAGTCCTTATTCTACGATCCGTGCCCCAAATCGTTTATTTGTACTCTACGAATGCACCACACGCGACATGCACACCAAAAGTCTACACACTAGTTCATAAATATATTTTTTAAAAAATCCTTGTAAGTCACCGGAGATAGCTCAGAGTGTAGAAGCGGGCTCCTCAACGACCCCATACACAAAAAGGTCCAGCCCAGCGTACGCAAGAGCCAGCCCGCCCAGCCGCCTCCGGGCTCCGGGCTTTGCGCAGCGCCCGTCACTCAAGTGACGCGCGGCCCCGCCCCTGCACCAAGCTAGTTCGACGCGTACAAACAGATGATGTCATCGTATCCACACGCGCGTGACCCCGGAGCTCTCCGCCGCGTCGCCATTCGCTGCGCCGCTTACTCGTCAAGGCACGCCGCGCGCTGACTGGCCGCGGCCACCAGTCTCCAGGCCCCAGACGCCCCTCTCCGCCCCCCCGCCCCCGCCCCCCAGCAAATAATAAACAATCGAGTAAAATTCTAAGGAAGGAGAGAGAGGAGAGGGAAAAAGGGAGAGGGCGCACTAGAAACCAATCCTTCGCGCGCTGGCGGTGGGAGGGTTCAAGGGGGGACGCGAGAGGACAGCGGACGGGAGGAAGGCAGCCGACTTGGGGCGGTGGGTCTGCCAGCGAAGAGGAGGCGTCGGGGGAGGAAAGTTGCAGCGCACTCGACTGGGCGCGCCTGGCGGGGTAGGGGGCGCTAGGGCCCGGAGCGGCGGGGCTGGGGGCTCGGGGGCGGGGCGCGACCCGCCGAGGGGGCGGGGACTGAATGGCGCCGGCCGACACGTGCGGGAGGAGGGCGGGCGCGCGCCACACACACTGGGCCGGGGCGCGCGGCCCTGGTAGCCGCGCGCGCTTGTTTACCAGCGCACGTGGGTGTTATTTTTAAATGGAATGTGGCGCTGGCTGCGCTGCCGAGTGGCGGGCGCGTGGGGCCGCCCGCGCTGGCGGAGGGACGCGGCGGGGCCCGCGGCGCGGCCTCTCCGGGCGCTGCTCGCGAGACAGCTAGGCTGTCCCCACTGCGCGCCGCTGGCATAGCCGGCGGCCCGGGCCGGGGAACCTGATTGAGAGTTTCGCGCGCTGCCCGAGCCGCGGCGGAGACGACGGTTTCCCGCCGCGGAACGCCGCCGTCTTTGCGCCCAGCTCGGCTCCCTCATTCTCACATTCAGGGAACAAAGCCTCCTGTTTGTGCTTCGCCCAGGAGGCCGCGCCAGTCCGCGGCCACGGTTTCTAGAGCAGATCTCACAAGCTGCACACACTCACTGGCACACATACTTTGGCTGCGAGGTGGACCCTCAGCACCCTACGTACTCTGTGTCCTCGCTTCCTTGTACCGAATGCCCGCAGTCCACATGTGCCTGTCTCGTGGGCATGCGGCTCTGCCCACATATAAAAGCGTTTCTGCTATTTCGGGTTGCCCTTGGAAGGGGGAGTCTGGGGAAGGGGGCTCTGACTGCTTACTGCGGTGGCTCCTCCTCACGAGGCACCTCTCCTCTCCTTGTAGGCCTGTCCCACTGAGAAGCCCCAGGTTTGCATTGGGTTTACAGCCTGGGAGTGTGGATGGTGATGTATGACCACAACTCGGCTTCAAGTGCCAGTGCTTGGGGTGCGGGTTGGGTATGGTGGTGGTTAAAAGCTGGTATTCAGCTTTGCACGAAGAACTGGAAGGCTAGATCACCCAGGGCCGCGCATCGTGATGCAGCATAAAATTCCAAGAATTTTCGTTGCTGGCTTTAAATACTTGTAACACTGTAGAAGAAATCCACGCGTTTTCTTCTCTAAATCTAAGCAATCTTTTGTCATTAGAGTGCAGACCTGCAAAAGTAGAAAGAATGTGTTTACAGTGGCTGGGCTCTCGGCCATTAGATTTTCACTATAAACATGTTGAGTGTCCATTTACAGAACACATATCCCAGGGGCATTCCAAAAGAGTGGAGGAGTCAAAGATTCAGTGGATTAACAGAGCCTTGTGAGCTTCACTTCACAGTGAGGAATGGGGGGCAGGCACATGATAAAGCCATTTCCCTCAAAGAGCTTACTTGAGGGTATAAGACATGTTACTTGGGGGTATAAAACATGTTAAAAAGAAATATTGCAAGTTTAAAAATAGTAGAAGGCCGGGTGCAGTAGCTCACACCTGTAATCCCAGCACTTTGGGAGCCCAAGGCAGGAGGATGCCTTGAGCCCAGGAGTTCAAGACCAGCCTAGACAACATGACGAAACCCAGGTGTCTACAAAAATACAAGAAGTCCCAGCTATGGGAGGCCGAGGTGTAAGGACGGATCGCTTGGTCCCAGGAGGTCCAGGCTGCAATGAGCCATGATTGTACCACTGCACTGCAGCGTGGGTGACAGAGTGAGGCCCTGTCCTCCCTCCCTCACCACAAAGGAAAAAAAAAAAAAACAGTAGAAGACAAATACAAGAGGTCATACATAGAGTGTTGGGTAAGTTTCAAGTGAATTGAAGATCAAAAAGCTTCACTTGGAAGTGACTATAAACTTGCAGCTTTGTAAATGTGCACCTTACCCTTGTAATTTGTGCATATGGGCAAACCTTTGAGAACTAAGAGGTTGAATCTCAGAGACTGTTCTCTTTTAGCCACAAATTGCCTCGACCTTTGCCTTCCTCTTGTAGGCCTCCTTGTTCCTTCTCCATTTCTTCCTACCAGAAGTTATGGTTGTTAATTGAGAGGAAATGCCAGCATTCCCTTCAAGGCAGAATTTTTGGTCAAAACTTTTCCCACCTCTTATTGAACAATTTTATATCCTATTTATTTCTATTAATAATTTAAGGTGGTGATTGTTCACTCTATTTTGCAAATCCAGTCACTGGAGGGACAAAATTTAAGATGTTTACCTAAGTAAGCTGGGTAAAAATCACCATTTCAAACACCTAGTTGTGAGGGGATTCGTGGTAGAGACCAGGGCTCTCCCTCTGAGGAAACACCACTCACTCAGCACTTGTGTGCTAGCCCAGTTCTCCTTGTACCTAGGCCAGCTGGAGCCTCCCTCTGACCCCAGAGCCCACATTCTAGGAACTGAGCCTACTGCCCTTCAGCAAGTGCACATTTTCCTCTTGGGTTGGCTTCTGTGTCCATCTCAATGAAGACAGGAAACCAGTAGGATGAGGTTCCTAACGAGTATGTGACCCATCTGATATAGCTGCTCCCCAGTCTATGTCTGACACCCTCATTAGACCCTTTCTCTGCTTACCCTCTCCTCAGCAAATTACTCTCATGCAGTGTGTCTTTATTGAACACCGTGTACCAAACAGCTATGAGCTGTGGCTCGCCCTTTGGGGCATCATTCCAGACAGGTTTCATCACCACGCTCTCCACAAGTATCTGCAGCTCCTGTCCTCTCTCTTTCCCTTTCTTCCCTTGGCATGACAAACCCTGGCAAAGCGTCCCCTAGGTTGTTACGATGATGCATTTGGAGGGCAAGTATGTATGCTTGCAGGGTAAAAAAAAGCCGGGGTTCCAAAAAAGAGTGAACATTTACCTGAAATGGAATTGGATAGAAGAGAAATTGGGAAGAATTCTCTGTTTTGGTAATAGGAGATAATGATATTTGTCATTACCCAACCTTGATTTGTCAGTAAGTTGCAGGTCCTGAATTAAGCACTTTATTGGAATGCTTAGACCTCACAAAGACCATGTGAGGTACATACAATAGTGCTAAGTGGCAGGGGGTTGAGAATTCAGGCTCTGAGTTAAGTCTGATTCCTCATTTACCAGCCATGCGACCTTGGGATATTACTTAATCATGAAGCCTCATGTCTTTATCTTTAAAATGAGAATACCTTCTAAGATTGTTGGAAGGATTGGGATAATTGAAATTATGAATCTAAAGCACTTAGTATTAGAGCACTAGGGGGTGCTTTAAAAATAGTCATGCCCAGGCTCCACCTTGGACCAACTGAATTAGAAATTCTGAGGTCAGGGTCTGGCATTGACTGATTGTTGTTGTTGTTGTTTTTAAATATTTGCCAGGTGAATCTAAGGCAGTGAAGGTTGAGAACCCTGAGATAGAGGTCTCTGTGCTGCACATGCCAGCGTTTGCCTTCAGCTCTGACTCTCTGGTTCCTGCTTAGAATGAGGACAGAGCCATGAACTGACTACACACAGGGGGCAGCTTCCATACACAAAACATCTCGGTTTGTTTCTAGAACAACCTACCACAGCAGGGACCATCCCTCTCATTTTACCAGGATTTGCCTCAGGTCACACAGTGAGTGGCAGGCCTAGGATTCGAACTGAGAATTCTGAGTCCATGGTGCATTCTCCTCTTCCCCAGTACTGCACTGCCTCTCCAAAATGAGCCTAAAGAAAGGGGGCTTTATGTGAGCCTTTTGGCCTGGAGAAAAGGGGCTGGAACCAGATAAGCAAACATAACCCGAGACACTTCCCCAACCTGTCTAAAGCTAGTGGTTATCTGGCCAAATCTGCCCCAATAGGGTTAGTTTTTGGTTCTCTCTGGTGTTTTTTAAATTTTTGATCTCTTGAGGTCAGGAATTCAAGACCAGCCTGAGCAAGATAGCAAGACCCCCATCTCTAAAATCTTTTAAAATTAGCTAGGTGTGGTGGCATGCACCTGTAGTCCCCCAGGTGCTTGGGAGGCTGAGGTGGGAGGATCACTTGAGTCCAGGAATTCAAGGCTGCAGTGAAATATGATTGTGCCACTGCACTACAGCTTGGATGACAGAGAAAGACTCCATCTCTTAAAAAAAAAAAAAAAGTTTCTTAGTCTGTTGCCAACATTTAAAAGGAAGAGATTTCACCTAAAATTTGGATTTCTAGCTCTTCTTGAGAAATTGGAAGATATGGTAACACTGGCACTATACCCACAGGGTAACAGTTAGCTGGTATGTGCTCTAGTTAGTTCACCTCTTCCTCATCAGGCTCTCCCCACCAATCTCTGGGTGACTTAGCCACCCTGATTTGGATCTTTTACCTTCATAGTGGCATTGACCCGCTCCAGTTCATGAGAGAAGACTGTGCACATCTTGGTAGTTTGAAATGGACTACTATGGGAGTATTTACATCACAGAAATTGGCAAATCCATCAAGGCTTGCTTGCTTTTTTTTTTCCTTCCTTTTCTTCTTTCGGAGGGCCAGTCTGCCAGCACACCATTGCCCCTACTCCACTCAGCCACTGTCTTGCATTCTGAGGAGGAAGATTTGTTCTGAATAGAAAGTAAAGGAAACAGAAGCACTGGAGAAACTGTACGTCGATTCTGCTTAGCAACTGATTATACATTATCTAACCTTGTTTTTAAAGTACTTCAATTTAACACAATGGAGCAAATAACCAGAACAAACTTCCTGATGAAAACTAAAGCTGGATAAGATTTTTAAAAATTTTTTAAATGGATTTTATTGAGCTGGCAAAAAAGGAAGAAACCCACAGAGACCAAAAACAAAGTTAAGGTGGGAAGTGAGCACACTCCTAGAAAATCTGACAACATTTGAGCTTCTACTTTGACAGGTGTGTAGAGTCTGGGACACAGAAGATAAATCCTCAGTCTTGTCCAAGATCAGGAGAATAAGAAGACTCTACCCCCCTAAAACCAGAAGTCCAAAGGGCCAAAGTAAAGGCGAATGTGAAATTAACTGGCTTTGCAGAAGAGGATCCCAGGAAAAATCGTCTGTCTTGATCAAAGCCCTGAATA
Source organism: Homo sapiens (assembly GCF_000001405.40). NCBI lineage: Eukaryota > Metazoa > Chordata > Mammalia > Primates > Hominidae > Homo > Homo sapiens. Next base: position 108,553,183 of record NC_000006.12, on the reverse strand, counting down.
AAAGAGTATAAAAAATATTCTTCCTTGAAAATTCACAACTATGGTGTGGTCCGTATGTAATATTATGACCAAAATTCATGATACCATGGAATTATTTTAAAAACTTCATGAGCCCCAGTTTGTGGTGCTTTTAACAACTGGCAGAAGGAAAGACACATCCTCTTGGAGGGCTATCTTGAGCCTAGGCCCCAAAGAACTTCCATAATCATAATCAGAAAACACAAAACATATAATAAGCAAGGCTCCATGTAGGAGCAGACAGAAACAAAATGTAAGGTCAGATACACAAAGGCTGGGGTATGAGAATAAGCTGACACAGAAAATAAGTGTACTTAATAGGTTTAAACAAAAAGGAAGTTTGAAAATAGAAGAAAGGAACAAGAGTCTATAAAAAACAACTGAGTAGATTTGAAATCAAAATACTTCTTTGTTTTTCTTCCCAGCTAGATATTATGTCCTTGAAGACACAGGGATCAGGCTAAACACTATATGTTATCGTTTGTCAATTGAAGGAAGTTAGAAACAAAGTACTCAATTTTTTTTGAAACCCAGCAGTAAGAATGAGAGTTGTGACTACATTTTTAAAATGTAAATGTAAAAACTCCTGTTGTAAATGTTAATCAATCTCTTCTAGAGGAAAGGAAGACAAAATCAAAATTAATGCAATGCTTCCGGCTGACTGGCCTCCAGCAAATGGCATTGAGCTTTGTAAGTGGTCCATCTACTCCATTTCTCATCTTGCAAAAATTTGTGAAGTGAGCATGTGTCCATGTCCATGTGTTAGAAAATCTATTTAAAATGCTGGCTGGGCGCAGTGGCTCACCCCTATAATCCCAGCATTTTGGGAGGCAGGGGCGGGAGGTTCACTTGAGGCCAGGAGTTCGAGACCAGCCTGGCCAACATGGTGAAGCCTCATCTCTACTAAAAATACAAAAATTAGCTGGGCGTGGTAGTGCGCACCTGTAATCCCAGCTACTCGGGAGGCTGAGGCAGGAGAATCACTTGAAACCGGGAGGCAGAGGATGCAGTGAGCTGAGGTCATGCCACTGCACTCCAGCCTGGGCGACAGAGCAAGACTCTCAAAAATAAATACATAAATAAACAAAATGCTTAGTAATTGGAACTTTAAATACAAATTACTTTAAAACATTGATGTGGGACAGGCACAGTGGCTAACGCCTGTCATCCCAGCACTTTCGGAGGCCCAGGCGAGCGGATCATGAGGTCAGGAGTTCGAGACCAGCCTGGCCAACACAGTGAAACCCCGTCTCTACTTAAAATAGAAAAATTAGCCAGGTGTGGTGGCACGCGCCTATATTCCCAGCTACCCGGGAGGCTGAGGCAGGAGAATCGCTTGAACCCGGGAGTCAGAGGATGCAGTGAGCCAAGATTGTGCCACTGCACTCCAGCCTAGGCAACAGAGCGAGACTCCAACCCTACCCAAAAAAAAAAAATTGAAGTGGTACTTCAAAGAAATCAAGGCCATGTGGAATCATTCATTACTCTGCACAATACATCGCATCTCCCTGGTTTGGTTTGGCATGTCCACTTATGTGTAAAGTTTCCTGGAATAACCTGGTACTAAAGCCCCCCAAAGGATGTGATTTGGAGCTCCAGGGACATTAAATCTGATTATTGTTCCTCCCACATCCATATCTAGAAATGGAGTAAACCTGTGAAACTGGAAGACAGCAGAGGAAAAATAAAATGTTTGGCAAATTTTGCGACTCTGATGTAAACAGTCTAAAATTTTCAAGCTAGCATGAGGCCTGTGTGCATGTGACTGCACATCTTGGCATAGAAAACTGCTAAGTAAAGGAATTACCAGATAGCTGACCAGAAGGAGGTTCCTTCAGGGTAGCGTACCCAGGAGGGCACGGAACCTCCACACCCCTTCCCCTATACCTTGCCCTCTATACCTCTTCTTCTGTATCCTTTGTAATATTCTTTATAATAAATCTATAAACCTCTAGGTGAGGACACACGTAGAGTGCCCGAGGAAGGCAAAGGCTCCAGTGATGTAGAAAATACCGTAGGTCCTGATATTAGGACAGTGTAAATGACCCTGGTTGATGGTGTAATAACCCAGTAAAGAGTCAACAAGAAGATCAACTAATAGCAGGGGCACAGAATGAAGTAAAGAAACAAAGAAATGGAGCTAAATGACAGTCCTCAGCCTTGCAAGGCCTCTCCTGCCCCTGTCAGAAGACAGCGGCACACATAGAAGAGCATGAGTATGGGGGAAAGGCCAGTCCCATGGACAGATGGGGAACCCTTTCCTCTCATTTCTCCAGCTGCGTTGGGTTCTGTTTACCTGTAGACAAAGAAAGAAAAGTACCAAGTCAAGCTACCACAGCCCCTATAAAGATAGTGTATTTGAGTCTGAATGCTATCCATTAGCGATGGTTCAACTGTCTCAGAAGAAAATTTTTCCTTTGTTGGAGGAACTTTTCTCTCAGTTCAGGTCCTGGTTGAGCCCTACTTGGTGGTCTCTCAGAGTAGAGGTCCTAATGGTGTTAGTGGGACAAGCTTGTGAGGCCTTGTCTTCCCACTCCAAGAGATGGTGTCCAAGTCATCTGGCCTGAGACCATCGGAGTTTTCACCAGAGAAGTGGTTTTGGCTGGGGGTCAGATTCACTTTCCTCGGAAAGCAGCTCTGCTCCACGTGTTAGAAAGGCTTACCTCCCTTCCTTTCCCACTCCCTGGCATAGTTCACATTCCTTTAATATCCCATATCTGTGTCTCCTTAGGGGCTCCTTGTGCTCATTTCTGGAGAGACAGCTGAAGCCACCAAAATAGGTGACAGAATCACTAAGTGAGACATCTGTGAGGAGGAAGTCTCCAGGCCTTCAAACACAAGTTATTTTATGAAAGCATAACATCTGAACCTCACACATTCACACAGTATCAAGAGTCCTTTTGCAACTTCACTTCTCAAATGTATAATCTGAAGGGTTTTTTTTTTACACTTAAAATGACTTTTATAAAATCTGTATTTTGGAAACAAATAATGAAGCCAAGTGAGTAATTCCATAAACAAACACAATCCCTGTGGTTCTCATCCTATTTAGGGAACTTGACCAAATCCAGTCACTTTGGGTCAGGCCTTCCTATTTTCTATGGAAAGTGAAACCCCTCTTGGAGTTTCTGGGGATATTGCCATTCGGTAAAAAGATGAGGTTTGAGCTGGGCCCTTTCTTTTCACTTGTGCCACGAAAATATTAATATGTTATTGAAGAGGGAGTAGGTTGTCATGACAACCATGACCAGTAGGGTCCATGTGACCTATGTGGAGCCTGGGAACCAGAGAGGCTGTGGCCTGCACAGGCTCGCCTTTTTCCAGTGGATGGGCAGCAGAGTAGGGGCTATAGGAAATGTCAGTGGCCTCAAAAACCACTGTCAGCAGTCCCCCAGATCTGAAAACTCTGGGTAAAGTAGCAAAATCAGGTTTCTTTACCTGCTAAATAATCAGATCTGAAGAAAACTACTGGCAGAAGAATTCCATGAGGCCCAGTCCAAAAGAGGCAGCCATCTTGACCCATTTCCCTCTTATAAACTTGATATTATAAAAAAATTATTCTTGTCAAACTAATTGATCCCCAAGTGAACAATGAGAATTGCATTCCTTTCACAAAAGCATAAAAACTAGTTTGTCTATATCTGTTTTCAGTTAGTCCCTCTCCACTTTTTCACAATTGTTGTACATTAATATTGGAATGAGACCAGGTCAAAATTTATATGTCGTGTTGCTTAATTTCTGCATTCAAGAAATACTCAGAAGATGAGAATGTTAGATGGCTTGGAAAATTCTGTCTAGAAGTCTTTAATAGTATCCTACCTAGTGCTACTTTATTCTCTCATATGTAAAAAATGTTTATTAACCTTGCATCTTTCAACTTACCCAAAATGAAACAAAGAAATATTTTATAAAACACCTGTATTTTTTACTTGTCCCACATCTATGAGGATGGTGCTTCTGTCTCCTTCTTCAGCATACGCATTTTTTTTTCACTTTTTATCAGGAAATATGCATACAGGCCAGGCTCGGTGGCTCATGCCTATAATCCCAGCACTTTGGGAGGCCGAGGTAAGTGGATCACTTGAGGCCAAGAGTTCAAAACCAACCTGGCCAACATGGTGAAACCCCTGTCTCTACTAAAAATACAAAAATTAACTAGGCATGGTGATGGGCACCTGTAATCCCAGCTACCCGGGAGTCTGAGGTGGAAGAATTTCTTGAACCCGGGAGGCAGAGGTTGCAGTAAGCAGAGGTTGCACCACCGCACTCCAACCTGGATGACAGAGCAAGACTCCATCTCAGAAAAAAAAAAAAGAAAAAAAGAAATATAACATGCATATAGAAAACTGAAAAACATTTATGTTAACAGTACAGTTTAATGAATTATTATAAAGAGAACAACCAAGTGTAACTATCACCTAGATCAGGAAATAGAACATTACTATTCCCCTATAAATCCCTGGAGTGCCCTTCCCCATCAAAACCATCCTCTCGACTTGGTGCGGTGGCTCACACCTGTAATCCCAGCACTTTGAGAGGCCAGGTTAGGAGGATCACTTGAGCCCAAGAATTCAAGGTTGCAGTGAGCCATGATGGTGCCACTGCACTCCAGCCTGGGCAACAGAGCAAGACTCCCTGTTTCCAATTAAACAAACCCCTCTTCTCTCTCCCTAAAAGTAATCATTTTCCTAACTTTTGTGGTAATCATCTCTTTGCTTTTCTTTATAGCTTGCTGTGTTTGCATCCCTAAACACTGTAATCTCATTTTTTTCCTGTTTTTGATCTTCATATGAATTGTATCACACTGCATGTGTTCTTTTGTGTCTTGCTGCTGCTTCTCAATATTATGTTCCTGAGATTCATCTATGTTGCTGTGTGTTGCTGTATTCATTCATTTTCATGGCTGTATGACATTTCATTATATGAATAGTTATCTATCTATAATCTATAATACTTTATTGATCTATTCTAATGTTGATGGCTAATTGGGCTGTTTCCAGTTTAGAGCAATTGCAAACATTGTTGTTCTAAACATTCCTGGGCACATGTGCATGAGTTTAATATACGCTTTTACTTATTTATTTATTTTTAATTTTGTAGAGATGGAGACTCGATATGTTGCCCAGGCTGGTCTCGAACTCCTGGCTCCAAGTGATCCTCCTGCCTCAGCCTCTCAAAGTGCTGAGATTACAAATGTGAGCCACCACGCCTGACCCGAGTTTAGTATATACTTAATAGAAGAATTTCTGGGTAATAGCCCTATGCATCTTCTACATCACTCAATGCCAGATTGTTTTCCACAGTGGCTGTAGGGTTTATACTCTCCACAGCACTGTGTGAGTATCTACTTGGCCACATTCTCACTAGCACTTGGAATTGTTGGACTGTTTAAGTTTTCTTCTTTTAGTGATGATGGATTTAAACAATTCAGATTTAACTAAGATTTACTGCATACCTACTAAGAAGTAGTGCCTATAACTAGAAGCTTCTAAATGTATATATTTAATCATCATAAAAATCATAATATAAAGGATTATAAAATCATCCCTATAAAGGAGATAATTTTATCCCCATTATATAAATGAGGAGATTGAAGTTTGGCCACAGGCCTGAGATTTCCCAGCTGAGGTGCTGGCAGAGCTGAGACTTGAACCCAGGCCTGGCTGACTGTAAAGACCACACTCTCCCCATGTTGCTACAGTCTCCATCCCTGCACCCTGCTTCCCCTTATCCTCACCTGGAAGACAACTGACCGGGTTGGAGGCATGTTGCCTCTGGCCCACATGAGCCCCTCACTGGGGACCAGGCCCTGGCTCTGTCCTCACAGACACTCTGCTTTAACTAACGAAGTTTACCACCCAAGGAAATGCTGCTGGAGGGTCATGCTGCACTAGCCCAGTTGAACCACAATTCTCCTGTTAGAAATGATTTCTCTTAGATACTCCTCTAACTGTTTTTTGTTTGTTTGTTTTTTGAGACGGAGTCTCGCTCTGTCGCCCAGGCTGGAGGGCAGTGGCGTGATCTTGGCTCACTGCACCCTCCACCTCCCAGGTTCAAGCGATTCTTCTGCCTCAGCCTCCCAAGTAGCTGGAATTATATCCGTGCGCCATGACGCTGGCTACTTTTTGTATTTTTAGTAGAGACAGGGTTTCGCCATGTTGGCCAGGCTGGTCTCAAACTCCTGACCTCAGGTGACCTGCTTGCCTCGGCCTCCCAAAGGGCTGGGATTACAGGCATGAGCCACCGCGCCCAGCCACCTTTAACTGTTTATTCTGTCTTGTTGAATGCTGAGAAACCCACTTCCTTCTCTCACAGCCTCAGCCTCATTTAGTTCTGTTAAGTCCTTTTGCAGTGGGATCTTTCCTCTCTTACTCTGAGCTACTAGAGGGTAAAGTCTGTCTCCTGATCCCTTTTCAGAAAAGCACATGTTGAAGACCCAGGTTGCCCAGGTCAGGAATCAATGTGAGAGAAAGGGCACAGGAACCAGGAGATGTGGCTGCTCTACCCTGCTCCATCCTTGGCTCACCCAACACATTTGACCTCCCTGAGTCTCAGTTTCCTCTTTTATAAATGAAAGTGCTGAACTAGAGAATCTCAGACGCAGTTTCTAGGGCTAGCTTCTGTGACTATGTTAATGAATTTCTTCAACAAGCATTTACCCAACACCCTCTGTGTGCACCAATTTACAAGCAAAACTTCTGGCCTGTATCACTGACAGGTAAAATTCCACAAAGCTGTTGTGTTTTCCCTTGTTTACATGTTTGTGAATGTTCATTATTTCTTCATGGTTTAGCTATTTCTAACCTTTGAACTTAGCTGATTTTTTAGCAAGGGCTGTTTTCTCACTAGACTGGAAGCTCATTGAGGCCAGGCATTGTGTCTAACTGGTCTTTGTATATTCAGCACATAGCAGGCACTCAATAAATGTAGAACGAAGGAAGAGAGGGAGGGAGGAAGGAAGGTTTAATCCTTGAACTCTTCCCATATCTATGATATCACTGGGCACAAGAAACAGTTGGTAGTTAAGCCACAGTTCCTGACCACAGAGGGTGCCATTGGTAGCAGGTTCTGACCTTTTACCAAATCAGCAAATCATCAGAGCTATAGAAAATCAGATTATTTTTATCAAAGCTTTTTGCAGGTACCTAATGTAATCATGGCCCTGATAAAGGATGCCAAGTGCTCCTGAGTGCAAAAGAGGAGAGAAAAATATTATAATTAATTTATTGGACTCATTTGACTTCTAATCATAGAAAATCTACTGCTCTGGGAGATCCTCATTTCTGCTGAATTGGCATTGCCATAAGGCAACCGGTTCTTGTTAGTTTTTGTTAGAGGGTTTCAGAGATGTTCTTTAGGAAGACCTCATTTTCTTTACCTGCATCCAGCTGTGGGTTCAAACTTCCTGGTGATCTGTGATTTATTATAATCTGCCCCAATTAGCTTTCCTTCCCATAGTTACCACTTTACCCCTCACTTGAACATAAAATATAAAATCTTTCTTGTGTTCTTCTGTGCTTAGCCAGGGTACCTGCTTGCACTCACATGGCAACCCCTTGCCCTCCCAAAAAGAAGCCTTGGACTATAGAGCTCCTCCTGGATGGCAGGGGGTGGGAAACAGACTGCCCCCATCCCCAACCAAAATCTGATCACTGGCTGGGCTTGGAGGATCAGGTCACTGATTAATTTTTTTCTTTACCATTTCCCTCTAAGGTATCCAAGATAAGAGGACTAATTTCTAGGTAGAGAAGTGAAATCTGTTTTTCAAAGTGCTGGAATGACCCTGTAATATAGCCCAATCGATGGCTTCAGGCTAAGTTCCTATCTCACAAGGCTTGCATCTCTCTAGCCGGCTGGGCCTTGGAGAGGTTCTGAAGGAAGACCTCAGCCACGGAACCACTCACAGCCACCTGCTCCTCTCCTGTTTGAGGTTCTGGGGTCCTGAGACAGCATCTGACCACAAGTGTTCTGGCCTTTACCCTGATGTGGCGTGGGAGTGCAGGGGGTGAACTTGTCCTCAGCTCTATACCAGGCTATGCTAATGTCAGGAGTTGAGGTCCTAAGGTAAGAGAATGGGTCCATCATCTTGCTTTTGTCCAGTCTGGCTCCCCTAGGGTAGGGGGTGGGGGGCTCATTGCAGCAGCTGCTGGCCTATCAGGCTGCAGTTTTATTATGGTAATCCCCCACCTCCCCTTTCTTCCCCTCCTGTCTCCTCAGTAGTCCTCAGTTATTTAGCAGTGAACACTTCCAGAGGAACCCTGCGGAGAAGGCATTCTGTCAAGTGCCAGGTCCCTGTCTGCCCCATGCATGCCGTGCTAATGTCAAGGCTGTGGAGCTAAGCCCTATGTAGGCCCATTCTTTAAAAACCAGATGGTGGAGTTCTTCGGGGAAGGGATGTGTCTTGGCCTTTTTCCCTTCTGGGTTTCCTGGAGCTGTTACAACAGCTCTGCCAGTGGCCTCCAAACATTGCCTGAGATTGAGAAACCATACCTCACACAACCATGTGCTACTATTTTTGAATGGTATTTATATGCCTTATAAATATTTATCATTATGAATTTTTCTCAATCAGTGGGTAAAAGCAATCATGGGAGATGCCTTGAAACCGTCTGACATTAAAAAGGGCTATCTTGTGCAGAAAAGTTGGGCAAAACTATCAATGGCTCTTTTTTTTTCCTGACTGCCGATTAGTCCATGCCCATATCACTGGCTTCCTTTTCTTTGGGGATGAGGCTAAGGAAAAAAATGCCAGCACTTTTGCATCAGCAAGGGAATTCTACCCTAATAGAGAATGGACTTAATATCTTTGTAGTTCTGCCTTCCTTGACCTATAACTGTTGTCACAGGAAAGATTCACATTGGAGAAAAATATCCCTTTTAAAAAAGAGATGAGCTATATAATAAAGCTTAATATTTATTCTGAGTTTTATAACCACCACCATCACCCTATTCTAATCTTGCATAGCTTAAAAAAATTGAATAGTTGCTGAAAAGGGATTCACCTCAGGGATGAGACCCAAGGTTGGAGCATCTTTCTCCTGAAGGGATGAAGTTTCACAACAATCTTGGGAGGTGAAACTGGGTCTTGTCAATGGAGGCCTCAGTGGTATTTGCACCATTGTTTTGCCTGAGTGAACCCTACAGTTAACCAGGGTGGATTGGTCCACTTTGCAACCTGAGCCACATGTTATCCTAATACTGCTAATACCCCTGGCTACTGCTGTACTTGCTAGAATCATCTGCAGATGCTGTTTGACATCTCTCCACAGGGGTCCCTGTGGATCATCATTAATCCCTTTGCTGTGGGCTCCCCACTCCTGCTGCTACCAGCTGCCATTGTCCCCTGGATCTTTGCAAAATGGCCAGTGTCAGGGCACCCCTGTGTGCATTCAGCCACATGGCGGGAGGCAGCAAGTTGTGCTGCAAGCCAGCAGCTGGGCTGTGCATTGGACTGTAGCCTTCTTCAGGCTTCCAGTGTACTTCTAGAAGGTGCCTCCGCCAGTGCCTCCCTTGTTGCAAAGTTGTTTTGACCAATGACATGCCTTCACTTTCATTCTGTTCCTTAGGTTCCTTTCCTTTGAACCACCAAACTTTCTCCAAGTGCTCATTCCAGAAAACATTGCTGTTGAAGAAGGGCGTGTTTTCAGGTCAGGTTTTCTGGTTTTCTGGTTTTCCCAAGGGCCAGTCTGAGGCTGTCCCTGACTGCACCTGGAGAACCAGATCCCTTGACTCCCATTCGAGGCCTGAGCACTCTGCCGCCTGCTCCAAGGGCTTTCATCATAGTAACTGTAGCATCTCCTACCGTTTGTTTTTAATCTTACCTCCTATCTGCCATGTGTAAGATATTTGGAGGGACAGTATGGGAACAGAAAGACCTTTGGTGAAGTCTCAAGAATTTTCTGATTAAAATGAAAACATACATTGACTCCAGTTACATGGCTCATCTCACGGCTTAATATGCCAAGAAATAACCATGATATTTGTAAAACAGGATGAAGTTACCCACTAGAAGGAGAAAGAAGCCAAAACTGGTCAACCAGCTGGCCTGAGACAGTGCCTACTCGGCATGCTTCTAGTATGGTGAGGCACCTCTCAGCCTGTGGACTCCACCTCTCCTTAGTGCAGAGACTCAGATATCCTCAGAAAAGGGTGAAATTCAACACGAAGAATGAGGAGGAAACATCTCTAACTTCCACACATGGTATATATACCAAGTCTATTCAGGTCAGAATGAGTGCTTCCACATCATCTCTGCTAAGGGACAGGCATCACTCTCATTTGCAGGTGGGAGAGCGAGGCTGGAGGGTCAGACTTGGTTAGAGCAAGGCTGAAATCTCACCTACAGCTCCTGGCTCCAAATCTGTCCCTCCCAGAACCATTCTTACCAAGAAAATATCTTTCTCCGTTGACTCTGGTACCTGTCATGGGGCAACTTTTTCTGGTGAGTGTAACTCAGTGGGTGTCATTGTCTTACTTAGCTAAAGAATGACATCAGGATTGGAAGCATGTTTAGAGATCACCCCAAGGTTCACAGCTACCACAGTACCAGGGCACTTCATGTGTTCCTTGTGGGTGGTGGTGGTCAGACACACATGGTGCACTGATGCCATTCTTCCTAGAAAAACATCTGTCATCTGTGGCACACAGGGCACTTTGCTCATTTTATCTCTCAGCGGACTTATCACAGTGAGGCAGGTCACAACCAGAACCCCTATTTTGCAGATGCAGAAAGAAAAGGCAGAGGGAAGGAGAAGCAGAAACACACTGTCCCTTCCTATGGGTACATTCACTATCAAATTACACAGCATCTACTTGCTTTGGCCAGCACCTGGTATTGCTTTACAGAGAGTTATGGAAAACAAAAAGTATTTCTGTACATAGTCACTTACCCAGAAAAGCAAGCTGGCCAGGTGCTGGCTGGTTGTGGTTTCTTTAAGTTGGAGCAGAAGGGCTTTGCCTGAATTTCCTGATCTCCTCCCGCCATCTGGTGGCTGTGAGCTGAGCATACATGCAAATTTCAATCTTCATTTCCTGTACTCCTTACTTCAAACTCCCATGCTCCGTGATCTTCTGAGGTTTGATGAGGGAAGGAGGAAAGGGAGAAAGGTGAAGATAAAGGGAGAGGGGAGAGAGGAAAGGGAAAAGAGAGAAGGAGGGAGAGGGAGGAGAAAGAGGAGGAAAAGGAGGAGAGAAAATGTAAAAGGCATGTACCTGTGGCTTTCATTGTATGTTCTTCCTTAGGTCCCCTCACCCTCCATTCAGCTACAGAGAACCGTCAGCGTGTGGTGGAGACAAGCCATTCAGTTGCATTGACATTTTGTGGAGTGCCTATACTGGCTGTTGGACACTGCGCTAAGGGTTGGTCTGCAAAGTGGGCACTTAAAAGATCCACTGCTCTAGAGTAGTTTATCAACATTCATTTTAGACGGTATTTTATTATCGTGAAAAGCAAGGTACTGTTTCAACACACAGCAGTCTTTCACAGGGCACTTTTTCATTTTGATAAAGTCCAATTAATCAGTTTTTCCTTGTATGGGTTGTGTTTTAAATGTCAAGTCTAAGAACTCTTTGCCTAGTCATAGATCCTGAATATATTCTTCTATTTTTTCCTCAACAATTACACTTTACATTTAAGTATGTGATTGATTTTTAAGTTAAATTCTGTATGAGATATGAGTTCCAGGTAGAGATTTGTTTACTTTTTGTTGATAGCTATGTTTATCCAGTTGTCCCAGCACCACTTGTTGAAAAGCCTATCCTTCTCCTATTGAACTGCTTTTACAACTTTCTAAAAATCAGTTGGACATATCTGTGTAGGTCTATTTTCCAGTTCTCTATTCTGCTCCATTAATCTCTGTGACCATCCCTTCACCAAAACCACACAGTCTTGATTACTATAGTTATAAGTCTTAAAATTGGGTAGAGTGATTACTCTCACTTTATTTTTATTTTTCAATAGTTTTACCTTTTTTAGCTTTTTGTTTGCTTTTCTATATAATTTTTATTTTTCTTTTAAGATGGCATCTTGCTCTGTTACTCAGGCTGAAGTACAGCTTCATGATTATAGCTCAGCGCAGCCTCAAACACCCAGGCTCAAGTGATCCTCCTCCCTCAGCCTCCCGAGGAGCTGGGACTGCAGGCATGTGCCAATATGGTAGACTAATTTTAAAAAAAAATTTTGTAGAGATGGGGGTCTTACTAAGTTGTCCAAGCTAGTCTCAAACTCCTGGCTTCAAATGATCCTCCCACCTTGGCCTCCCAACTATGTAAATTTTATAATAATCTTGTCCAGATATATAAACAATCTTGCTGGGATTTTGATAGGAATTGCATTAATTTTATATATCAATTTTGGAATTGTCATCTCTGCTATATTGAGTCTTCTATTCTATTTTTTAAATTATTTTATTTTATTTTTTGAGGCAAGGACTTGTTCTGTTGCCCAGGCTGGAGTGCAGTGGCACAATAACAGCTCACTGCAGCCTTGACCTCCCAGGCTCGAGGAATCCTCCTACCTCAGCCTCCAGAGCAGCTGGGAATACAGGCACATGCCACCATGCCCAGCTAATTTAAAAAATATATTTTTTTTTGTAGAAATGGAGGTCTCTGTATGTTGTGCAGGCTGGTCTTGAACTCCTGGGCTCAAGTGATCCTCCTGCCTCAGCTCCCCATAGTACTGAGATTACAGGATTACAGATGCCCAGCCAAGTCTTCTAATCTATAAATATAAGTATGTCTTTCCATTCATTTAGATCTTTTATGATTAGTATTTTATAGTTTTCAGCATACGAATCATGTACATGTTTTGTTAGATTTGGACCAAAGTACTTTTTCTTTTTCTATTTTTGGCAATTGTAAATGGTATCATATTTTTAAGTTGAGTATCCATGTATTCATTGTCAATATATAGAAAGACACTTAACTTTTGTATGTCTATCTTGTATCCTATGACTTTGCTGAATTTATTAGTTTTAGAAACTTTTTGTAGACTTTTTTCAATTTCCTACATAGACAATAATAGCACTTGCAAATAGGGATAGGTTTTTTATTTTTGTTCTTTCTTTCTGATCTGTTTGTGTTTTCTTGCCTTATTGCACAAGCTAGGACCTCAACTCTACTATACTGAATAACAGTTAAGAGAATAGACATCCTTGCCTTCATCTGGGTCTTAGATTGGACCAGCCCTGCATCCTGAAATACACTGTTCTTGATGATGGTGTATAATTATTTTTATATATTGCTAAATTATATTTGCTAATATTTTGCTGAGGATTTTTGTATCTACACTAATGAGGGATATTGATCTTTGGCTTTATTTTTTCATACTGTCTTTGGTTTGTGTATCATAGTAATTCTAGCTTCATAAAATGAATTGAGAAGTGTTACCTCTGGAAGAGACTGAGATTTTCTGAAAGACATTGAGTAGAACTTGGTGTTACTTCTTTTTTGAACATTTGATAGGATTCTCTAGTGAGATCACCTGGGATTGGAGACTTCTTTTTTTGGAAGGTTTTTAGTTAGTGATTTAATTTCCCTAATAGTTATAGGGCTATTCAAATTATCTGTTTCATATTTGGTGAGTTTCAGTGGTTTGTGCTTTTCAAGGAATAAATCCATTTCATTTAAGTTGTGAAATTTATGTGTGTACAGATGTTCAGTCTTTTTTTTATTATCCTTTTGTGTGCAGATGTGGGAGTTTTAAAATAAATAATACCTAATATAATTTTTGGCTACAAATCACATCATGATGCAACATTTCCAGAGATGCTCAGATGTTCTCTTTCTAGCAGCAGTCACTGATGTTATAAGGGCTCTTCTTTCTCACTCTTGTTAAAAAACATCACCCGGCCAGGTGTGGTGGCTCATGCCTGTAATCCCAGCACTTTGGGAGGCCGAGGCAGGCAGATCACTTGAAGTCAGGAGTTCAAGACCAGCCTGACCAACATGAAGAAACTCCACCTCTACTAAAAATACAAAATTAGCTGGGCGTTGTGGTGCATGCCTGTAATCCCAGCTACTCAGGAGGCTGAGGCAGGAGAATCACTTGAACCTGGAAGGCGGAGGTTGCTGTGAGCCAAGATCATGCCATTGCACTCCAGCCTGAGCAAAAAGAGCACAACTCTGTCTCAAAAATAAATAAATAAATAAATAACATCACCCATACCTTGAAAGTACTAATTTTTAAAATACTTGTAGTAGCATACTAGTGAACCACTTCCTATAGGAAAGGTCGGCAAATTTAGGACAATCAAGGATTTTAAAAATTGTTTTTCAAAGAAAGTGCATAATTCATCTTTAAGTCCAACAATTCATTTATACACTGCCATGAGCAATCCAAAACCCTTTATGTGGTACAAAAGATTGTCATGGCCACCCCTACCCCCACCATTTCATTTACAAAATACTGTAAAGATTCTGCTATAAAGATCTTGTGCCTTCTGTAAAAGTTAATGGGAAAGAAAAAAGTTTAAAAAAATTTCTTAAAGTCTTGTCTTTATAAAATTACTTATGTCCATAACATCCTGTAGCACGTAAACTGTAGTGTGAGGTGACTCACTGTGGGTGAGTGCACAAGTGACAATGCCATCCTCAAGGCCTCAGCATTACGAATGCCACGTCTCCTTGGGGATGAAAGGTGTTAGACCATGGCTGGCTCACAATGGACACAGAGAGGTGCTAAGGACCATCCAGATGGCAAAAATGAGTAAAACAATTTTTATTTCTAATTTTTCAGATCACTAATACAACAAAATAGAATTTCTTGTGCTTTCTTCCCGCTGGGTACCCGTGGTCGTCAAGTGCTCTGTGGTGTGCCCCTCCTGCCTCAGTTTGGCGACCACTGCCCCACACTGGTACTGTCAGTGTGCTGGCCTTGCCTGCCTGCCTGCCCCCACCACCAGAGATTTCTAAGCTTCTTAAGAGCAACAGCTGTGCCTTATCCTTCTTATCCCTCCCAAGCGCCTAACCCAGGGTGAGCAAAGCTCAGCTGCTCCATGACACTGGCTTCACGAACTGCCTGTGAACAGCCAATAAGCTCTATAATTTGCAGATACCCATTCGGACCCAGCATAGGTGGGACACAGTGAAGAATAAAGCCCAGATCCCATTCCTGAGGCTGCCTGAGGTACTGGGATGAGGGAAGTGTTTGCAAGACATGCCATACAGTCCAGGGTAGAGAGAAGCAAGAGCTGCTGGAGAAATACTCACAGAGTGCTGTGGGAGACTGGAGTCAAAGACGCTTACTGCTGGTTCATGCTGACTAGGACTGAGAAAGGCTTCCTGGAGGAGGTGGCATTCTGCTCAGTGGTACAGGCTTTTGTATTATGGCAGCAAGAGGAAAAGGACCAAGAAAAGGTGATAAGGTGAAGTTTTGGAGATGCCATCAAAGAGGGACACCCATCAGGGGAAAGTACAGAGGGAGGAGGAAGGGTGAAGGCCTCACCAGATCGCTCTCAAGGACAAACAAAAATCCACAGGTGGTGGCCTGGGATGTGGCAGTAGCACCCGCTACAATATTCCAGATACATTGGGTTTTTAATAACACTTTTTACCCAGCTGGGGAAAAAAGCCATTAGTTGCCAACTCACAGATGTTCTTCCTGTTCCTCCCATACCCCAAACACAGCCCTGCCTTTGGGCCCTTGTGCCAGCTTCCCTCTGACTAGAATGCTCTGCCCCGAGGGTCACCCAGCTGGGCCCCATGCCCTGCAGGGCTCCACACAAAAGCTGTCTCCTCAGAGGCCTTCTCTGACCTTCTGATCCCAGGGCACCCTGGACACTTCCCAGCACAGCACCCGTCTTCATTTTTGTCTCAGTCCTAAACACACCCTGTTGTTGTCTCATTTATTTTTATGGTGATTTGTTTACTATCTGTCTCCCCCACTCCACCCACCACCTCCACACTAGACTGTAAGGGTCAGGGATGCTGTGATCACTGACCATAAAAATGGAGTGAGTGGCTTCACCCTGGTCCTCTTAAAGTACTTTGTTATAAAGTCTAGTTTGATGAAATGGCCTCACTTGAGATGACCTCAAAACCACTTAATGGAAAAAGAGAGAGGGAGAGTGAGACAGAAATATAAAAGAGTTGGATTGCTCCAGTGAAATTTGATGTGTGAGGTTACCACGCAGTTTTAGTTTAATGCCTGTTTCAATCTACTTTGCCTCATTTCTCTAGCTTCAGTTAAAAAAAACAAAACAAACAAACAAAAACTTACTGTGCTTCATGTATCTCTCAAAGCTGCCTTAAATTGTCAGAGAACAGTGATCAAACTAATAAATATATTTAAAATACTTTGGGTATATAACATCAATTATTTGATTTCTCAAACAATTTTATTAGGCCAGACTCGGTGGCTCATGCCTGTCATCCCAGCACTTTGGGAGGCCAAGGCTGGAGGATCACTTGAGCCCAGGAGTTTGAGACCAGCCTGGGCAACATAGGGAGACCCTGTCTCTACAAAATCAAAAAAAAAAAAAAAAAAAAAGTAGCCAGCCCTGCCTCCCTGTAATCCCAGCACTTTGGGAGGCTAAGGCGGGTGGATCACCTGAAGTCAGGAGTTCACGACCAGCCTGACTAACATGGTGAAACCCTGTCTCTACTAAATACAAAAAAATTAGCTGGGTGTGGTGGCACATGCATGTAATCCGAGCTAATTGGGAGGCTGAGACAAGAGAATGGCTTGGACCTGGGAGGTAGAGGTTGCAGTGAGCCGAGATGGCACCATTGCACTCCAGCTTGGGCAACAAGAGCAAAACTCCATCTCAAAAAAAAAAAAAAAAAAAATTAGCCAGGCATGGTGATGTGTATCTGTAGTCCCAGCTGCTTGAGAGGCTGAGGTGGGAGGATCACTTGAGCCCAGGAGGTTGGGCTTGAGCTTGCAACGAGTCATGATCATGCCACTGTACTCCAGCTTGGGTGACACAGTGAGACCCTGTCTCCAAAAAAAAAAAAAAAAAAAAAAAAGCCTTCTTTAGGAAGGTTAAATGTTACTCAATATTAAGTCCTTGTTTCCTAATCTTAGTTAATCATTAGGTTCACTGATGACACTTATTTTAAAAGTACAGTTTTTTGGGCCTCTCCAAAGAAGATCCAAGTTCAATAAGTTTGGCATGGGGCTGAATAGTCTGTATTAGCTTCCCAGGTGGTTCTGATGGTTCACTAGGTTTGGGGAACAATGTAGGAAGTCATCCTTAATTATCATCCAGCAAACAGTATCAATGGCGAACTCTACTTGCATGAGAGCTCAATAGTGTGAAGAAAATAGTGTTAAAGAAGTGAACATTTTTGCTGAGAATGTGCTGATTATAATGTTCTCATATGTAATATAATGACATATTTGGTCAGATTCTCCCAATGAATGATGATGTCCAGAACATGCCGGCACCTCAGGGTGCCCTCTTCAGGAGCCTCTTGGGTGGCCGAGGACCCCCAGTCCTCCCTACCTGAGAGGAGGGTCGTACAGGTCACCCTCAGTACTTCCAACCGCAGCAACTCAGCCCTTGGAAAAACCAACACCCTGACTTTGTTAATCTTCCAGAGAGCAGGCGAGCACCAAGACCCTGGGAGAGGCTGCCGCACACACACGAGGAGGGACCAGAGCTCAGGTGTCTGAACTTGTGGTCATGAGCCCCTGGAGAATCTATGCAAAACCTCAGCAGATTTTTGTGCAGAACTTGGTTACAGTGGAGATTTCTGAGCATTCATCCTCAGCTTCTTGGTGGAGCCCATGACAACAAAAGGTTAGGGCCTCAGCTTAGAGAATGAGTTCACGTCACCAAGCACAGATTATCCTCGGCCCTTTGCAGTCTGTCTCACAGGAGAAGGTTTGCACTGGGAGGAAGACCTAAAGTCCACCCTCCATTCTGCTTCATGTAGGCAGAGGGAGCAGAGGGCACACGTGCAAACATGAAGGGCCGTGAGTGCTGCGCAGAGAAGCCGGAAGGTGAAGGCCAAGCTACCCCAGGCCAGGGTCCAAGAATAGGAGTGGAGGAGTGACATCTGGCCATCATCTGTGCCTCTGAGCCCCTAGCAGGTTCCTCAGGGCTGCCTCTACTCATCTTCCAGATGGAACTGAAATGCCAGCCTGAAGAATGGGAGCCTGTGACCCAGCATCTCTCTCAGAATAGGAAGGGGGTTTGAGGACAATCGTAGATAACAATTGCTGGCTAATGAATGTCTGCGCAGTGCTGGGCACTGTGAGTAATGATCTCTGATGCCCACAGCACCCTGCAAGGTTGGTATTCTTTCCCCCATTTTACGAATGGGGAGATGAAGGTTGAGCAACTTTGGCTAACACACCAGGTCACACAGCAGGTATTTAACCCGGGTCTGAATCCAAATGAAGCTGGGTGAGTGAGGAAGCCGAGCTCCATACTAACTGGGGTTTGCCTATCATGGAGCTGAGAACCTAGCCGGCCTCTCTTGATCCCAGTCCAGACCCTTCTGCCACATGTGGAGCTTGGAAAGAATGAATGAACACAGAAAGCAGGTTCAGCACTGCAGAGGATGTAAATAGGGGCAGATGCAGGCTGTCAAGTAAAGAACAGGCTGAGGACACCCTCCCTGGCCCCTGCCCCCTGGGGCATAAATTCTAGCCTTCAGGCACAGTTGAAGGGGACTGAAACTCAGTGGCACAAACTGGGGACAAACCAGAGCCTTGGAGGAGAAAGCCTTCCCCAAACCAAGTGTCAAGGTGGGTCTAGAGAGCACACACAGGCTGCAGATTCAGTTCAGTCTGAATAAGGACGGTGCCCTGGGTCACAGCAAGAAGAGGGACCTGCCTTTAGCTGTCATCAGGTTGCCGTGGGGCCCTCTAACTTATGCTATGACAAGAGCTCTGAGTGCCAATATTCTGCCTGCTCCTTCTCCATCTCCATGAAGGAGTCCCCTCCCAACCACCACAGCAAATCCTCTCTTCCTTCCTCTTTCTTTCTCTCTCTCTCTTTTTTCTTTCTTCATCTTTTTTCTTTTCTTTCCTTTTCTTTTCTTTCTTCTTTCTTTCCTTCCATCCTTTCTTTTCCTTCCTTCCTCCCTCTTTCTTTTCCTTCCTTCCTTTCCTTTTTCTTTCTTTTTCTCTTTCTCCCTTCCCCTTCCCCTTCCTTCCTCTCTCTCTCTCTCTCTCTCCCTTTTTCTTTCTCCCTTCCCCTTCCCCTTCCTTCCTCTCTCTCTCTCTCTCTCTCTCTCTCTCTCTCTCTCTCTCCCTTTCTTTCATTGATAAAGAGTCTCGCTCTGTCACCCAGGCTGGAGTGCAGTGGTGCCATCTCAGCTCACTGCAACTTCCACCTCCCAGGCTCAAGCAATTCTCCTGCCTCAGCCTCCAGAGTAGCTGGGATTACAGGCGTGCACCAGCACACCCGGCTAATTTTTGTATTTTTTGTAGAGACAGGGTTTGACCGTGAAGCCCAGGCTGGACTCTTGAGCTCAGGTGATCCACCCGCCTTGGCCTCCCCAAGTGCTGGGATTACAGGCATGAGCCACTGCACCTGGCCCCTTCTCTTCCTTATTCCCCACATGTAACTATGGGCTACAAAGTGGTGATGGTAAGGTGGGAGTTTAGCTCATCCATACATCAGCTGTCTATTTTGCCCCAGACTTAAAGTTGCTTTGTCATGGCTTGAGCATTATTTTTGTGCTGTTAAATCTAATTATGTCAGTACCACAAAAGCATAAGCAATTATTTTTAATTCTACAAACTATGTTGCTCTAATCAATAGAAATCAACTGATACTTCTTTAGCAATTGAATTTAATATTCTGCCTTTTCAAAGTTTGGTTAAAATGTGATAGGTTATTAGTGCAAAATGAGGGACACATTTTGATGATAGCAGCAGTTTTTACACTGTGCACCCTGAATTTGGGGTTCTAAAGGGGAATTGTTATGTCTTGAAGGACCAAATTATGTCTAATTTCTCTCTGAACATTCAGAAGAATAACATTCATTATAGCTCCCTCTTCTGAATTGCCAGAGCACTTTGTAATTTCTCGTTGTATGGATGACACTCGGCCCTGCACTGGTGCTCTCTCAACTCTTTTCATCTCCTGGAGACTAGGGATGGGTTTTGTTATTCTGCATCTCTCCTCCCCAGCACAGTGTTTGTCCCTCAGTCCTTTCTATGCCTTTTACTACATTTCCTGGCTGACTTGAGTGCCCTGGTCTTCCCAGGATACCTGGGCAAGGCTCTTCCTTGACACCACATTATGTCTGTCTGTTGTCCCTAAAAGATTACAAGTCTGTCATGGTGAGGGAGTTTGTCTCATTATTCTCAGTGTGCCCGGCTCCTGGCACAGAGTAGACAGCAAGTAAATGATGAATGAATGAATGAATGAATGGTGAATATCTGTACACCTTTTTTTTTTTTTTTTTTTTTGGCCAGAGTCTCACTCTATCACCCAGACTGCAGTGCAGTGACATGATCTCGGCTCACTGCAGCCTCCACCTCCTGGGTTCAAGCAATTCTAGTGCCTCAGCCTCCCAAGTAGCTGAGATCACAGACGTGCGCCACCATGCCCAGCTAATTTTTGTATTTTGAGTAGAGACAGGGTTTTGCCATGTCAGCGAGGCTGGTCTTGAACTCCTGGCCTCAAGTGATCCGCCCGCCTCGGCCTCCCAAAGTGCTGGGATTACAGGCGTGAGTCATCGTGCCCAGCCCTGTACACTATTTTTAATAGCTTGATAATTCACATACCATAAAATCCAACCATGGAAGGCACACAGTTCAGCAATTTTTAGTCTAGTCACAGAGTTGTGCGATCACCACTACAATCTAATTTCAGATGTTTTCATTACCCCTAAAAGAAATCTTGTACCCATTAGCAATTATTCCTCATTCCTGCCCTCACCCCCAGGCCCTACTCTTTATCGCTATAGATTTGCCTACTTGACATATCATACACATGGAGCCATACATATGTGTGCCCTTCATGATTGGCTTCTTTCACTGAGAATAATGTTTTCAAGGTCCATCCTTGTAGCAGCACGTATCAGGACTTCATTTTCGTTGCTGGATACTACTACTTTGTATGTAATGCCACATCATGTTTATCCATTCATCAGGTAGTGGACATTTGGGTTTTCACTTTGGGGCTAATATAATAATCTTTTGCAAACATTCATGTACAAGTTCTTGTGCGGATATATATTTTTATTTCTCTTAGGTATCTAGGAGTAGAATTGCTAGATGCTTAATATTTTGAGGAGCTGCCAAACTGTTTTCCAAAGCTATACCATTTTACATTTTCATCAGCAGCATATGAGTTCCAATTTCTTCACATCCTTGCCAGCCTTTTTTATTCTCCATCTCTTTGATTCTAACCATCCTAGTAGTGTGAAGTGGTGTCTCACAGTGATTTTGATTTGCATTTCCCTAATGAGTCATGATACTGAGCATCTTTTCGTGTGTGTATGGGCCATCTGTATACACCGTTTGATCAAACTATAAATCATCAGAGCTTCACAGAAATAAAGGTCTTAGATGAGGCCCAAAGAGTAACATTAAGTGACTTACCCAAAGTTATGTGCATGAGATTATATATGGTTAGTAGCAGTACAGGATCTCAGATACACTCCTGACTCCTAATGGTGCTCTGTTCTTCCCACCTGCCCCTTCTCTCAGGATGCCTCTGGATCCCCACCTGCTGGAGGAATGAAAGGCTGGATTCCTTATGGGTCAGGTTAAGCATGTGCCTTGGCACTGCTTGATTTTATGCCCTGCCTATTCTTCTTTGGTTAGATTGATTTCAACTCTGAAAATGGTTTTCTATGGATGCAGACTTCATATGTGAACAAATGGTTTTTATAACTTGCATCTGCTTAGAGTTTTAAACAACTGACGGCTCAAGTCCAAGCCCTAAAGAATTGGAAGCAGCTTTCTTGGCCACTTGAGTATCAAAGTCGGGTTTAAAGTCATCGGATACATTTAAACCTGTCTACCTAATATTTTCACTGTGACCCAAAAACACAAAACCCAAGTAAGACAGTATTTAAAGTTAAGGGATGCAGGGGGGTTCTTCTTGGGGCAGTTATAGCATATGT
Source organism: Homo sapiens (assembly GCF_000001405.40). Taxonomy (NCBI): domain Eukaryota; kingdom Metazoa; phylum Chordata; class Mammalia; order Primates; family Hominidae; genus Homo; species Homo sapiens. The sequence goes on along the minus strand of NC_000006.12, from coordinate 108,531,133 downwards.
GTGAATGTTGAGGTTTGGGGCAATAGAGAGATGTGTTGCTATTGCTAAGCCCTCCAGAGACAAGCCACATGGGTCTGGAGATGAAGCCAAGGAGAGCAGCCATTCTTAGTGTCAATTCCCAAGGAAGGGTCAGGTCCTCAGACAAGAAACAGACCCTGAAGGGGCTGGCCTGCGGGCCGTCTGGTGTATAGCCAAGACAAGCTGGATTATGCTGCCATAACAAATAACGCCAAAGGTCTCCATGGTTTATTAGAATGTAATTTATTTTTATTTTTTCCCTTATTTCTCCAAGAAAAAAACAGAATGTAATTTTATTTCTTGCTCACACAGCATTTGCCATGGGTAGTTTGGCATTTTCATGTGGTGGCTCAGCCTTCCAGGCAATTTTATCTTGGGTGTCTCTGTCTCAACATGGTATTTCCAGGTTTTCCATGCAAAAGAAAAGAGATCTAAAAGTTCTCAAGCCAGCTAGTAAGAGCTTCACCTTGGAAATGACACATGTCACATCACTTCCACTCACTGCCAACTAACTGCTCAGAAATAATCACATGGCCTTGCCTAACTGCCAAGGGGGCAGAAAGTGTGACCCCACCTGTGTGCTTGGAAAGAGAGAACTGGTTATGGGCAAGTTCTAGCAATGACTGTCATGGAGAAGAGGCTTCTTTTTGGACTCTGCCCTTTCCAGGAAGCACTCAGAGGTATATGTATGTCTGTGAGTATCGTCTTGTGGAGGGGATAGAAGAGGTATCTGGAATCTGGAAGGAGAGCTAGAACAAAGTGGAGATTCATGCTGAAGATGATCACATTAAATTTTATTAGCCATATCATCTAGATTCCAAGTATTTTCTGAATTTATTATCTGTTTCCCCAAAATATATATATATTTTTGAGAGTTTCATTCTGTTGCCCAGGCTGGAGTGCAAAGGCACAGTCTCGGCTCACTACAACCTCCGCCTCCTGGATTTAAGTGATTCTCCTGCCTCAGCCTCCCAAGAAGATGGAATTACAGGCACAAACCACCATGTCTGGCTAATTTTCATATTTTTTGTGGATATGGGGTTTCACCGTGTTTGCCAGGCAGGTCTTGAACCCCTGGCCTCAAGCAATCCACCTGCCTCAGCCTCCCAAAGTGCTGGGATTACAAGTATGAGACACTGTGCCCGGCCTGTATCCTCCAAATATTAATGAAGTCTTTCTCTTAGCTGATAGTTGGAAAACTGAACAGGTGTGGCTCACGCTAGCCTGGTAGACAATGGAGAAGGTGATCTTAGGTGCAAGCGGGAGCCACATGTTCCAGATGAGGTTAGCCAGTTTTAGAGATTCAAGCTTTAATTTTGATTTAAATTGCTGACTTTTCCTTAAGGAGCAATGTAACCAATCTATAGATTCTCCTATTAAAATAATAACTCTTTTTCTTTTTCTTTTTTCTTTCTTTTCACTCCTGGCTTCAAGTGATCCCCCAACCTTGGCCTCCCAAAGTGTTGGGATTATAGGCGTGAGCCATCGTGCCTGGCCAAAATAATGACTTTTTTTTTTTAAAGCTGTAAACTTCATTATGTCCCACATAGCATCTAGCAGAGTGCCTTGTCATAAGAAGCACTTGACAGTGTTTATTCAATAAATTAAAGAGTGAATCAGAGAAATGAGAACTATCTACTGCATTCCCAAAGGCCAGCTTGTCCTAGGACTCTCTGGAGTCTTATCCCCAGCCCCCAGGTGGATAATGAGAACTGGGAGACTCCAGAACTGATCCAGTCACTGTAGACGAAACCGTAGAAACATGCAGGACAGGCTGAAAGTCCTGGGATCACCTTTGCTCAAACTGCTCCTGTCTTCAGATTGTTGGATTTGCCATTCATTCCAATAACTAACCATTCTCCAAGTCCTGTCCTGCACTGATACTTATCTTGAACCCTTTCTCCATCATGTAACATGATTCTAATGTCTATCCCTTCTTTTCTGTTCCCAACATCACTGGCTCTTGTCGACTGCCAAGGGGCCAGTGGCAGAGTATTAGAGTACTGCAGCTGTGTGAGTGCCTGAGACAGTATCACTGCAAAAGGTGTAGCACTGCCAGAAAATATTTCAGTGTGGAGGATTGGGTTGGGTAACTATTTGAGACACACTGAGTTTACGCAACATTCAAAAGGAGAGATCCAGTAGGCAATTGGAAGTACAGAACAGGAGACTGGTGGAGTCAGGGATGGGAAGACACACTTGAGAATAACTGGCATCGGCTGGTATTTGTTGCTATGGACATCAAGAAAAGAGTGTGAAAAAGACGTTATGTGTGAAAGTACTTTGTATAATATTGGGTGTTGTTTTTTATAATCGCCATTTTTATGTGGATCCAAGAAAGAACTTAGATGGTGAGAAAAGGAAAAGGAACCAGAAGCTTTCAGAGAAGGAGGAGCTGAGACACAGGAGGAGAAGCTAAAGAAGAGAGTTGCAAGGTTGGGGCTGGGCTGGCAAAGTGCTTAGGGCTCAGAGCAGTAGGCAGCAACAAGGATGACATGAGGCAGTGGCTAGGGGGTCTCAATGGGTAGACTGGCTACCATCTTCTCCTGTATTCAAATTCCCATCCAGCTTGGCCCCACCCTTCCCATGCTTAGCACCCCCTCTCCACTCCAGTTGCCAATACCAGCTCTTACCAGTGGGCTCCAGTGGGCACATGGGAATCCTTCATCCCATTAGCAATAAACTCAGCCTTGTCCAAGGGTGGTCCAGGGACCCTTGAGGGACCTGTGACTCTTAGTGAGTCCATGAGGTCAAAGTCATTTTCCATAAAACCACTAAGACATTATTTACCTTTCTCACTCATTCTCCCACATGCACACAGTTGATTTTTTCAGGAGCTACATGATGTGTGATATTCCAACAGAATCTGTCTGTATTTTACTAAACCAGACATTGGCAAAAATTTAAAACAATGCCACTTTTCTCACTAACTTGTTTTTTGTTTTGGAAATGCTGTTACTTTTCATAATGCTATTTAGGTAATATTTCATGTGCTTATTGTTATTTTTAAATGAATTAAATATCTAACAATTTCTGTTTGATTTCTAATACTGGTGATTATATATCCCACCCACATAAAAGCTCTTTGGGGTCTGCAAGCATTTTGAAAGTGGAAAGTGGGGCCAAACGTGGTGCTCATGCTTATAATTCCAGCACTTTGGGAGGCCAAGGTGGGAGGATCACTTGAGCCCAGGAGTTCGAGACCAGCCCTGCCAACATAGCCAGAGCCCATCTGTGTTTTAAAAAAAATTTTAAAAATTAGCTCAGCATGGTGGTGCATATCTGTAGTCCCAGCTACTTAGGAGGCTGAGGTGGAAGGATCACTTGAGCCTGGGAGGTCAAGGCTGCAGCGAGCCATGATTGTGCCTGGGTGACAAAGTAGGACACTCTCTCAATTATTGTGAAGATTAAATATTTCAAAGTTTGCCAACCACTGATTCCAGTTCTTTGCCATCACATATGGGGTTGTGCAAAACAACACCCTTGTGCATACCCCTACACCCACATCTTTCCTGTTCTAGCCTCAAGACCCACGATGACTTTAAAATGGGGGCTACTATTATTACTACTACCAGAAGGGCTGCAGAGCACAGGGTCGGGATCCAGAAGACATATGCTTACTCGATATGCTTGTGAAACCACTTACCCTCCGAGTGCCCCAGTTTCCTCATGGGTAGTAGGATAATTGCATCTCCCTTGCAGAATTTGCTGTGGACGACGGATATGGTAGGAGCAAACGATCCTTCCGCCTTGGCCTCCTAAAGTGCTTTCTAAACTAGGAAGTGCTGCGTGGTTAACTATTTTGACGTTGTTAGTGTGGGTGGAGAAGAAAGGCAGAGGAGCCTTGGTCCCCAGGGAGGAGAGGGGTGGGCTCTGGGAGGTGACTTTGTGTGTGCCAGTGTGCTGATGACCTGGGCTCCAGGAATCATAGCAACAGCCTCTGCTCCCTGGAAAGTGCCGTGGTCTCTGCATCAGGCGCCCAGAGTCAGGACCCAGCTGCAGGCAGGGCTCTCTGTGCGTACCGGCTGTGTAGTCACAGGCAAGAGCTCCACGGCCTGCCTGATTGGCGGTGATCAACCCTGCTGCACCTTAGAATCTTACAAGGAACATTAACAAGTGCTGATGCTGGGGCCCCACATCTGACCCACCATACCTGACCCTGGATGTGGACCTAGGCCTAGGAATGTGTAGCCTTGAGAACCACTGGCCTTTTTTTTTTCTCCTGTCAGTTCATCCTACTGACCACAAGATGGTGCCCTCTTTCTGGGAAATCTTTGATGTTCACCAAACAAGCAACAATTCATTTTCTGTATTAATCCTGAAAACATGGATTTGAATTTAACAATCTTCTCCAGCATCTCATTAAGCCAGACCCGTGTGCTCTTGGTGTCTAGCCATTTAATGCGTATCTTTTCCCTTCTGTTAGAAACCAGTGGGTTGGAATGTGTCTTCTGTTTTGCATTCCTCAAAAGGCTATAACACAAAGCAGAAAGTAGGATTTATGATCATAATCATTAGTATCAATAACAACTGATGTTCGTTTAATCCTTTGCCATTTGCAAAGCGCTTTTCACCAACAATCCTCATAGTAACTCTATGAAATGGGCATTATGATTCCCATTTATAAGATGACACAACTGAGGCTCAGAGCACTATCTTGGTCGAGGTCACAAAACAATAATTAGCAGAACTGAATTTTCCAATGCCAGATCTCAAGCCCTTTCCACTGCATCATTAGAGACCAGCAATCAACCACCGGGAACCCAGAAAGTACAGCCCTGAGACAGGAAAATTCTCGGGACGACATCCAGAAAGCCCCCTAGGCAAGCAGGTAAGACAGACTGATGGCTCCATGCAGCACAGACGAAAGGTCAGTGGACAGGCATGTTTGACTGGACCGAATGACCAGCTAGGGCAACAGATGTGAGGGTCCTAGTGAGCTGCTGGACTGAGTCAGTAGACACTCGACAAGAGGGCAGATTTTAACATTTGTAATTTTCTGTTCCAGAAAAATGAACTGCTATATGCCAATAGGGAACATTCATCTTAATTCTGACTGTAAAAGAAGTTATAAACTCATTTCCAAAGAAAATCCTTTCCTACCAGCAAGTGACTTCTTTTGAGATTAGTAAATCTAATAAAGGTAACTTACAGACTTGCTGCAAGACAGATTCCCGTAACTGATCAAGAACCCAAATGTCAGGGACCCAGGCGCCCAATCCTTCTGCATGTTTTTAATCTCAGATAAAGCAGCCGTCAAGTGTAGGTTCAAGTTACTTGGACCAGCAATACTGTTTTCAGGACAGAGGCAATGAAATGGAAAATTTAATACGTTAGCACTTTGCTAATTTTATTGACTTCGGTTATATCTTAGCAATTCATTAATCTGTTTTAGCTGTTTTCTGTGTCTCAGCTTCCCTGTCTATAAAATGATTATAATGGCACCTATCTCATAAGACTGTTATATGGATCAAAAGAGTTTATTTATAAAGCACATAGAACCATGCCCAGGACACAGAAAACATCATGTGTTTCTTAAATAAATAAATGGATATAAGCACATCCACTTATTTTACAAGTGAAATTTTAATTTTTTTCAATATTCCAACTAATTTTAAAATTATGTCATTTGCACACTTATAAGTACAGGAAATATACTTTAAGAAGATAAAAGTATTGCCTTATTATTAAAATTTGAAGTCCCACTGAAAATGCATAAATTTGATTAAAATAATACTACAGTCTTTTTGGCCTCAGAAATAGGTTAAAAATTACTTAAGTCCATCCTGTTTTTCATCTCAGGATTAGTGATATCAGCAAATAAGCTCATACACTGCCTAAAGAAATATGAGAAGTGATAAGATTTTTCTTTTTCTTCTCTAAAGAAAGTTTTCCTTTTTCTCCGCTTGACCTCTGTTAAGTCTGGGAACTAGTCATCAGTTTGGAGAGCACCCTTGGCACATGATGTTTTCTCCTGACTCTAAAGACATCCCCCCGGTCTGTGTTTTGAATTGAGCAGGAGCTTTCCACAGCAGTACTCAGCTCAAACCTCCGTCTCAAAGTATACATTTAAAGCATTTCAAAAAAAGAGCATTTGCTGAGAGACTTCTATGGAGAAAGACTGGAATGCTGAGAATGTAATAGGGGCAGGGCTCAGAAGAAAGACATATAAAGTGAAATGTTGCTCTCCAATCTAGGGGTTGTTTTTCATGTTGGCATTACTTTTCTTTTAGTAGAGCTACCATACTGTTTCCTAGTGATGGCTATTCTTGAAGACTTGGGTTTTTTTCTTGCATGCTATTTTATGAAACCAGCTTTGGAGATTTCCAGCCACCATGGAACTCCCTCCCCTCCAGAGATCCAGCCAAAGCCTTCTAGCCCCACTTTCTGCATAAACCCTTCTCCCAGCTCAAAGAGCCTCTTCCACTGCAGCCAATCCCAGCAGGCCCCTGGAACTGGGGAAGGAGATTGCGGATTGGGGGCACAGAAGTGGGCACATGCTCCAGTTACTTAGGTGGAGACTGAGCTACAGTTTTTTTCTCAGGGTTTAAGTTCTTTCGTACCAAAATGACATTATAGGGAAGCTACACTGAGAATTACATAGGCTTCTATGCGTTTGACCAGCACCCCAACTAACATTACGTGATTGTTTCGATGGAAAAATGAAACTTTATTCCCAATATCTGACCTCAGATGAACTTTTATAACATAACTTGACAGGGGGACTCTTCTACATACACTCACACTCAGGGACAGGTCTGTCTATCGGTCATACTGTCCATCTATCTGTCTGTCCATTCACATGATTTTTTTAAAAATTAAGATACAGAATAATTACCAAAGGAATGTGAAAAGTAAAAAGCTAAGATCTAAAGAATAAAGTTAAACATTTTATATTCACTGAGTTCAAATCAATGGTTCTGTTGTGAATTTATCTTCAACTTCATTCACTGAGTTAAATGAATCAATTTTTAAAACAATCTCTTTTTTTTAAATAGTAAGAGTAAGAGACAGTGTGTTATAAAATATAGTATATGAGTTTTGTAGTTGTAAACTGTGAATCTCAGGTCAAGCTACTTAACTTTCCCAAGACTCAGTTTTCTTATTTTTAAACAGGGGTTATAATATTCACTTTCTAAGACTATTTTTTTTAACTGAGCTAATGTAAATATATAGCATTCAATCCAGCACAAAGTGGTTATTTCCCATCCTTTCTCCCTATTACGTAACCTCTTTGAAATTACTGTGTTTCACTTCAATAAAAATATCTTTAAACCACATTTTATTTACAGAAGGCTTGATTTAAACTCTTCTCTCGGCTTGGGTACTCATCCATCTACCTGCTTGCCTTAATTAGGTTAATATCTAAAAGAGACTATGTGATGGATTATTGACTAAGAAATTAAATAGGGCCATGCTGTGCCACACTACCCCTGCCAGGAGATGGCTAGAGTGGCCAAGATATAAAAAATAAAAATAATAATAAATAGAAAATAAATAGGTTCAAAGAGCTTACTTATGTTGACCATTGTATTCATTGGACTGACTCACCTATGCCTTACCTTCCCCCAAATGCTTAATTTTCACAAGATTTTGTGGATTTTATATTTTTTCTGTTTTTCACACTCATCCACAGCCGAAGATCCACTTTGTGACAATAGTTAGTAAAGCCAGGTTTTACTCAAAGAAGCAAAAGATGAGCTCAGTGAAGGACAAATCAGATTTCCTGTGAAGCAGGCTTGTCAGGCTTTCTTTCCTATTTCCTATTAGGTCCATCTCACGGCAGAGTTGGCGGCAAGGGCGGGGGCAGCATGCTGCAAGGAGAGCAAGTGTCTACAACAGTGAGAAGGAGCCTGCTGTCCACTGGGGTACGGCTGGCCTCATGTGAGCGGGAGTCTCCTCTGCTGTTGGAGTGCCTACGACTCTGACACCCACCCCCCCGCCCACACTCTCTCACTGGTCCCCATTCCTGGCTGCAGAGTTTGTAGCTCTGCCTGCAGATCTGCCTGTTGGCTGGAATTTGACACTTGCTCCTTATTTGATCCCATCATAATTTTCTATTTTTTTTTAGAAAACTTTGTGACCACTTGAGATCAAGTCCTGCCTACTAAACTTGATCTCAGGGTTAAAAACATATTCTTCCATTATGTAGAAATCTGAAGGCCTGGGAGATTTACTGTAATTCATAACCAAAAAAAAAAACCACATATAAGCCCATATTCTAAAATATTATCCCTTTTAGTTTATATCAGATTGGAAAACTGTCTTTGTTTTGAATTGAAACATAGGGCATTCTTCCCCCATTATAAAAGATGTATTTCTAACATGCCACCACCATGCAGCCAAAGCTTGAAGGTATCCAGACGTCTTGCATTTACTTGTGCATTCAAGGTTCATTCAGGTGGTTTAATGTGAAGCTAAAATGTCTGGTCCTACATTCATCTTCAGGAATGAGATGATTTTAATTTCATGGTGCAGAAATAAGGCCAAATAAGAAAAAGCAGACCTAAAAAATGTTAAGTGTTTAACTTACTAATCCACTAGATCCTTGAGAGCAATTTTAGATTAAAATGGTCCAGAGGACAAAGTGCATAATTAATGATGAGAAAATGATTCCTTCAAGTCCCACAATAAGGAGTTCTGCCTGCGTTAACCATTTGTCTAGAGTTTTATTTATGCAAAAGTGGCAGTTACTTCTTGGTTCTGTCTCCTTCATTCCAGTACTGTTCAGTCTGCATTTCCGTGAGTCGGGAAATTGTGCGCTGAAATGCAAAGATTTCCTCTTCTCCGGTAAACATGGAGAGTCCTTCTGCTGAATCCTGGTTATAAAACAAAGAAATTAAAATAAAGCTATCACAAATGAAAATTTACAGAACCTAAGTATAGGTTTAAAAAAACTTTTTAGGCTTACCGGTTTAGATTATGCCTTTTTTTATAACTTTTTTTTTCCATATACAATCTCTTAAATGAGACTAGAGAGTCAACCAATTTAAACTGATAGGCAGTAAACACATCAAATTATCAGAGAGAAAACTTAAAAGGGAAAACTTTCTCCAAAAGTGTACACCAGAAATAAGTAATGGCAAAAAAAAAACCAGTAGTTCTGAGAAGCTAGAAAGAGGCTGGTGTAGGCCTCCAGACAGGGTCCCAGTGCCTAAGGGGGAGGCCCTAAGGACAAACCTCTGGAGAGCGTTTTCCAATCCAACCAATGACTAAAGGAGAGCAAATGCAAATGAGCAGTGGGTCTGGGTTCTGGAGAATGTGCCTGGGATCTAAAAGCCAGGGCTGAAAGGCAGGGCTGTTTTTAGTCTTCAGCTGCTGGGACAACTGATCCCACCATCTAGGACCAAATTGGGAAACTCTGTCTCTGTGAGGCTGGTAACCCCAGACTGGTGATACCAACACAGACTCATGGCCACTAAGTGGGCTTGGAATTTTTCTCTTTCCTTAGGGGTTTGCTAGTATGCTTTTTCAGAGAAAAATTCTAGATTCCTAAGTCCATCTTCTCCACTGATCCATTGTGAACCTTCATGACCCTGAGATCACATTCCCTGATTTCTTCATGCATGATTGGCTCTGTCTGCTGAGCTTATTTTTTCTTGATCCTAGGGGAATTTGAGATAGGGTCTCACTCTGTCACCCAGGCTGGAGTGCAGTGGTGCCATCTTGCCTCACTGCAACCTCTGCCTTTTGGGTTCAAGTGATCTTCCTGCCTCAGCCTCCCCAGTAGCTAGGATTACAGGTGTGTGCCACCACACCCAGCTAATTTTTTTTATTTTATTTTTTATTTTTTGTAGAAATGGGTGTTTCACCATGTTGCCCAGGCTGGTCTTGAACTCCTGAGCTCAAAGCAGTCTGCCCACCTCGGCCTCCCAAAGTGCTAGGATTGTAGGAATGACCCATTGCACCAGCCTAGGGGAAAAAAGTTTTAAGAGCCAATGATGTAAACTTTACCAACCTTTTGGCACCAGGGGCCAGTTTCGTGGAAGACAATTTTTCCATGGACCAGGGGCAGGGGGATGGTTTCAGGATGAAACTGTTCTAGGTTAGAGCTGAATGTTTATGTACATCCAAAATTCATATGCTGAAATCCTAACCCATAAGGTGATGGTATTGGAGGCGGAGCTTTTGGGAGATGATTAGGTCTTGTGGGTGGAGCCCTCATGAATGGGATTAATGCCTTTATAAAACATGCCCCAGAGAGATCCCTCACCCCTTCCACCATGTGAGGTTTATACAGAAAAGACAGAGGCTTAGGAACTAGGAAGTGGGCCTTCATCAGATGCCAAATCTGGCACCCTGATCTTGGACTTCCCAGCCTCCAGAACTGTTAGAAATAAATTTCTGTTGTCTGTAAGCTACCCAGTTCATGGTGTTTTGTTATAGCAGACTAAGACATACACATAGGTTTAAGTCATCATATTGGAAAGTTCACTTTTTAAATTGGCCTCGTTCTCCCAAACTCCTGAAAATGCCTCATTTCTATTCAGGTTGATAAGGAATTGTTTCCTTGTTCCAGAGGTCTTTCACCTGTGGGGCTGGAAGAATTGGGCTCCCCTCATGGGGTGAGTGTTGATAGTTGTAAACTTTTGACTAATATTTCAGTTGTCGATAGTTGAGAAACACATCTCATAACGTTCTTATAGAAGAAGAAAACGCAAAGTCACTTCTAGTTGGCCTGGGGTGAATCACCAGACTCCAAGCTCCAGGAGAACTGGACTAGCATCTGTTTGTTCCCTACAGAGTGTCCTCAGAGCCTGGCACCCACAGGTACTCCATAAATGTTTGCAGAATGGAGGTTGAGAGATTAGTTAGGGATTTCTTTTCAAGCCTGGGGCCTTGCTAGGCACTCCATGGTCCTGGACTAGCCAGCCTACATGCTTGGATACTGTATCATGCACTCTACAAATCCAGCAATCATTTAGAAAGATACCCAGAAAGGGCAGCATGGTATAGCAGAGCAAGCCCAGAACCGGGCACAGGTGGTTTGGCATCCAGCTCTGGCCTGCCATTATTCAGCAGTGTGACTGTGGGCACCTTAGTCCACCTCCGTGGGCTTCATTTTTATCACATGCAAAATGGAGCACTGAACTACATGACCACTAAGGTTCCTTCCACTGTAAGTTTATAATTTTCTATATTCAGTGATATTGAGAATGATAAATTTGCTACATGGGCTTATAGAAGAAGCGCCAATCAATGGTTAACTATACACTGCATTTCTTCTTCAAAATGTAGCCATGCATCAAACCAAAAACAATTAAGCTGTTTTATAATAAAAAGAGATTATGTTAATATCGCCTACCTGGCTCAGCCCCAAATCATCCATCAGTATTCTGCTTTGCTCCAACTCACTGTCATGATGTTGATGCAAAAATAAGCTTGATATAGGAGTCGACGCAGAGCAAATTATACGCACCTGAAATAGAAGAAAATGGGTAAATGTGTTACTCTTTACATTTCACAAGTTGAAGGTAAGAAAAATCTCACAAAATAAAAGTCTGTTTTTCACATACAGGAGCTTGGATCTTTGCTTTTAAGACGTCCATTTTTTTTCCCTAATTGTTTATCTCTTTAAAGCAGTGTTTTAAAACTGCATAGTACTTTTCAGAATATTTCCACACAACTCATACCACCCTGTGAAGTAGGGCACAAAGGTTTATTGGGAGACTTCAGGGCTGGAGAGGACTCAGCTCAAGATGTCAGCCCAGATCTTCAGTTCTTAGTCCAATGCTTTTGCCATTACTGCTCTGGTTTGAATGTTTTTGTCCCATCCAAAATTCATGCTGAAACTTACTCCACAATGCAACAGGATTAAGAGGTGTGGCCTCTAGGATATGATTGAGTCATGAGGCTCTGCCTTCATGCATGGGATTCGGTGCCTTTATACAGGATTTGATGGAGGGAGTTCACCACTTTTTGCCTTCCATTCCTTCCACCATGCGAGAACAACATTTGTGCCCTCTGGTGGCAACAAAGCAGATAGTAGCCCTCACCAAACACCCAAACCTGCTGGCTCCTTGATCTCAGACCTCACAGAACTGGAAGAAATAAATTCCTATTATTTATAAATTACCCAGACCATGGTATTTTGTTATAGCACCACATACTGACTAAGATGATTACACTGTGATGTTGACATTTATACCTGGCTGTTTGGAGCTGGTCTGTGCACCTAAGACGCTCCCCAGGGACACTGTAAAGAGGTTAGTTACGCTTTTGCTGCACAGCAGACTGCTAAGTTCAGTGCATTGCTATTCTAATTAGGCCAGTGAGTGTCCAGAACCTACATTTATTATCTTAGCATCCTGCTAGGACATTCTTCAAAAAGACTAAGATTTACATTAATATCTCTTGATTACATAAGTATTTGAATGAGTGTTCATATGTGATCATATATTGGAAACAGCTTTTATATTTTTTATATCCACTAGTTTAAATACAAAACATATTCTTTTTTTTATTATTATACTTTAAGTTTTAGGGTACATGTGCACAACGTGCAGGTTTGTTACATATGTATACATGTGCCATGTTAGTGTGCTGCACCCATTAACTCATCATTTAACATTAGGTATATCTCCTAATGCTATCCCTCCCCCCTCCCCCCACCCCACAACAAGCCCCGGTGTGTGAAGTTCCCCTTCATGTGTCCATGTGTTCTCATTGTTCAATTTCCACCTATGAGTGAGAACATGCGGTGTTTGGTTTTTTGTCCTTGCCATAGTTTGCTGAGAATGATGGTTTCCAGCTTCATCCATGTCCCTACAAAGGACATGAACTCATTTTTTATGGCTGCATAGTATTCCATGGTGTACATGTGCCACATTTTCTTAATCCAGTCTATCATTGTTGGACATTTGGGTTGGTTCCAAGTCTTTGCTATTGTGAATAGTGCCACAATAAACATACGTGTGCATGTGTCTTTATAGCAGCATGATTTATCATCCTTTGGGTGTATACCCAGTAATGGGATGCCTGGGTCAAATGGTATTTCTAGTTCTAGATCCCTGAGGAATTGCCACACTGACTTCCACAATGGTTGAACTAGTTTACAGTCCCACCAACAGTGTAAAGTGTTCCTATTTCTCCACATCCTCTCTAGCACCTGTTGTTTCCTGACTTTTTAATGACTGCCATTCTAACTGGTGTGAGATGGTATCTCATTGTGGTTTTGATTTGCATTTCTCTGATGGCCAGTGATGATGAGCATTTTTCCATGTGTCTTTTGGCTGAATAAATGTCTTCTTTTGAGAAGTGTCTGTTCATATCCTTCACCCACTTTTTGATGGGTTTGTTGTTTTTTTTCTTGTAAATTTGTTTGAGTTCATTGTAGATTCTGGATATTAGCCCTTTGTCAGATGAGTAGATTGCAAAATTTTTCTCCCATTCTGTAGGCTGCCTGTTCACTCTGATGGTAGTTTCTTTTGCTGGGCAGAAGCTCTTCAGTTTAATTAGATCCCATTTGTCAATTTTGGCTTTTGTTGCCATTGCTTTTGGTGTTTTAGACATGAAGTCCTTGCCCATGCCTATGTCCTGAATGGTATTGCCTAGGTTTTCTTCTAAGGTTTTTATGGTTTTAGGTCTGACATTTAAGTCTTTAATCCATCTTGAATTAATTTTTGCATAAGGTGTAAGGAAAGGATACAGTTTCAGCTTTCTACATATGGCTAGCCAGTTTTCCCAGCACCATTTATTAAATAGGGAATCCTTTCCCCATTTCTTGTTTTTGTCAGGTTTGTCAAAGATCACATAGTTGTAGATATGTGGCATTACTTCTGAGGGCTCTGTTCTGTTCCATTGGTCTATATCTCTGTTTTGGTACCAGTAACATGCTGTTTTGGTTACTGCAGCCTTGTAGTATAGTTTGAAGTCAGGTAGTGTGATGCCTCCAGCTTTGTTCTTTTGGCTTAGGATTGTCTTGGCAATGCGGGCTCTTTTTTGGTTCCATATGAACTTTAAAGTAGTTTTTGCCAATTCTGTGAAGAAAATCATTGGTAGCTTGATGGGGATGGCATTGAATTTATAAATTACCTTGGGCAGTATGGCCATTTTCACGATATTGATTCTTCCTACCCATGAGCATGGAATGTTCTTCCATTTGTTTGTATCCTCTTTTATTTCATTGAGCAGTGGTTTGTAGCTCTCCTTGAAGAGGTCCTTCACATCCCTTGTAAGTTGGATTCCTAGGTATTTTTTTCTCTTTGAAGCAATTGTGAATGGGAGTTCACTCATGATTTGGCTCTCTGTTTCTCTGTTATTGGTGTATAAGAATGCTTGTCATTTTTGCACATTGATTTTGTATCCTGAGACTTTGCTGAAGTTGCTTATCGGCTTAAGGAGATTTTGGGCTGAGACGATGGGGTTTTCTAGATATACAATCATGTCATCTGCAAACAGGGACAATTTGACTTCCTCTTTTCCGAATTGAATACCCTTTATTTCTGTCTCCTGCCCGATTGCCCTGGCCAGAACTTCCAACACTATGTTGAATAGGAGTGGTGAGAGAGGGCATCCCTGTCTTTTGCCAGTTTTCGAAGGGAATGCTTCCAGTTTTTGCCCATTCAGTATGATATTGGCTGTGGGTTTGTCATAGATAGCTCTTATTATTTTGAGATACATCCCATCAATACCTAATTTATTGAGAGTTTTTAGCATGAAGGGCTGTTGAATTTTGTCAAAGGCCTTTTCTGCATCTATTGAGATAATCATGTGGTTTTTGTCTTTGGTTCTGTAGATATGCTGGATTACGTTTATTGATTTGTGTATGTTGAACCAGCCTTGCATCCCAGGGATGAAGCCCACTTGATCATGGTGGATAAGCTTTTTGATGTGCTGCTGGATTCGGTTTGCCAGTATTTTATTGAGGATTTTTGCATTGATGTTCATCAGGGATATTGGTCTAAAATTCTGTTTTTTTGTTGTGTCTCTGCCAGTCTTTGGTATCAGGATGATGCTGGCCTCATAAAATGAGTTAGGGAGGATTCCCTCTTTTTCTATTGATTGGAATAGTTTCAGAAGGAATGGTACCAGCTCCTCCTTGTACCTCTGGTAGAATTCGGCTGTGAATCCATCTGGTCCTGGACTCGTTTTGGTTGGCAAGCTATTAATTATTGCCTCAATTTCAGAGCCTGTTATTGGTCTATTCAGAGATTCAACTTCTTCCTGGTTTAGTCTTGGGAGGGTGTATGTGTCCAGGAACTTATCCATTTCTTCTAGATTTTCTAGTTTATTTGCATAGAGGTGTTTATAGTATTCTCTGATGGTAGTTTGTATTTCTGTGGGATCAGTGGTGATATCCCCTTTATCATTTTTTATTGTGTCTATTTGATTCTTCTCTCTTTTCTTCTTTATTAGTCTTGCTAGTGGTCTATCAATTTTGGTGATCTTTTCAAAAAACCAGCTCCTGGATTCATTGATTTTTTGAAGGGTTTTTTGTGTCTCTATTTTCTTCCGTTCTATTCTGATCTTAGTTACTTCTTGCCTTCTGCTAGCTTTTGAATGTGTTTGCTCTTGCTTCTCTAGTTCTTTTAATTGTGATGTTAGGGTGTCAATTTTAGATCTTTCCTGCTTTCTCTTGTGGGCATTTAGTGCTATACATTTCCCTCTACACACTGCTTTGAATGTGTCCCAGAGATTCTGGTATGCTGTGTCTTTGTTCTCGTTGGTTTCAAAGAACATCTTTATTTCTGCCTTCATTTTGTTATGTACCCAGTAGTTCATTCAGGAGCAGGCTGTTCAGTTTCCATGTAGTTGAGTGGTTTTGAGTGAGTTTCTTAATCCTGAGTTCTAGTTTGATTGCACTGTGGTCTGAGAGACAGTTTGTTATATAATTTCTGTTCTTTTACATTTGCTGAGGAGTGCTTTACTTCCAACTATGTGGTCAATTTTGGATTGGTGTGGTGTGGTGCTGAAAAGAATGTATATTCTGTTGATCTGGGGTGGAGAGTTCTGTAGATGTCTATTAGGTCCGCTTGGTGCAGAGCTGAGTTCAATTCCTGGATATCCTTGTTGACTTTCTGTCTTGTTGATCTGTCTAATGTTAACAGTGGGGTGTTAGAGTCTCCCATTATTATTGTGTGGGAGTCTAAGTCTCTTTGTAGGTCTCTAAGGACTTGCTTTATTAATCTGGGTGCTCCTGTATTGGGTGCATATATATTTAGAAGAGTTAGCTCTTCTTGTTGAATTGATCCCTTTACCATTATGTAATGGCCTTCTTTGTCTCTTTTGATCTTTGTTGGTTTAAAGTCTGTTTTATGAGAGACTAGGATTGCAACCCCTGCCTTTTTTTGTTTTCCATTTGCTTGGTAGATCTTCCTCCATCCTTTTATTTTGAGTCCATGTGTGTCTCTGCATGTGAGATGGGTTTCCTGAATACAGCACACTGATGGGTCTTGAATCTTTATCCAATTTGCCAGTCTGTGTCTTTTAATTGGAGCATTTAGCCCATTTACATTTAAGGTTAATATTGTTATGTGTGAATTTGATCCTGTCATTATGATGTTAGCTGGTTATTTTGCTCGTTAGTGGATGCAGTTTCTTCCTAGGCTCGATGGTCTTTACAATTTGACATGTTTTTGCAGTGGCTGGTACCGGTTGTTCCTTTCCATGTTTAGTGCTTCCTTCAGGAGCTCTTTTAGGGCAGGCCTGGTGGTGACAAAATCTCTCAGCATTTGCTTGTCTGTAAAGGATTTTATTTCTCCTTCACTTATGAAGCTTAGTTTGGCTGGATATGAAATTCTGGGTTGAAAATTCTTTTCTTTAAGAATGTTGAATATTGGCCCCCACTCTCTTCTGGCTTGTAGTTTCTGCCAAGAGATCCACTGTTAGTCTGATGGGCTTCCCTTTGTGGATAACCCGATCTTTGTTCCGTTGCTAGCGAGGAGCTGCCTTCCTTTGGAGGAGGAGAGGCGCTCTGATTTTTAGAATTTTGAGTTTTTCTGCTCTGTTTTTTCCCCGTCTTTGTGGTTTTATCTGCCTTTGGTCTTTGATGATGGTGACGTACAGATGGGGTTTTGGTGTGGATGTCCTTTCTGTTTGTCAGTTTTCTTTCTAACAGTCAGGACTCTCAGCTGCAGGTCTGTTGGAGTTTGCTGGAGGTCCACTCCAGACCCTGTTTGCCTGGGTATCAGCAGTGGAGGCTGCAGAACAGCAGATACTGGTGAACAGCAAATTTTGCTGCCTGATCGTTCCTCTGGAAGTTTTGTCTCAGAGGAGTACCCGGCCATGTGAGGTGTCAGTCTGCCCCTACTGGGGCGTGCCTCCCAGTTAGGCTACTTGGGGGTCAGGGACCCACTTGAGGAGACAGTCTGTCCGTTCTCAGATCTCAAGCTGTGTGCTGGAAGAACCTCTACTCTCTTCAAAGCTGTTAGACAGGAACATTTAGGTCTGCAGAGGTTTCTGCTGCCTTTTTTTTGGCTATGCCCTGCCCCCAGAGGTGGAGTCTACTGAGACAGGCAAGCCTCCTTGAGCTGCAGTGGGCTCCACCCAGTTGGAGCTTCCCAGCCGCTTTGTTTACCTACTCAAGCCTTGGCAGTGGTAGGCGCCCCTCCACCATCCTCGCTGCCGCCTTGCAGTTTGATCTCAGACTGCTATGCTAGCAATGAGCGAGGCTCTGTGGGTGTAGAACCCTCCAAGCCATGCGCGGGATATAATCTCCTGGTGTGCCGTTTGCTAAGACTGTTGGAAAAGCGCAGTATTAGGGTGGGAGTGATCCGATTTTCCAGGTGCCATCTGTCACCCCTTTCCTTCGCTAGGAAAGGGAATTCCCTGATGCCTTGTGCTTCCCGGGTGAGGCGATGCCTCGCCCTGCTTCAGCTCATGCTCGGTGCGCTGCACCCACTGTCCTGCACCCACTGTCTGACAATCCCCAGTGAGATGAACCCAGTACCTCAGTTAGAAATGCAGAAATCATTCATCTTCTGCGTCGCTCATGCTGGGAGCTGTAGACTGGAGCTGTCCCTATTTGGCCATCTTGGCTCCACCATACAAAACATATTCTTCTTGATGTTTTAAAAGTCCTGAATTTGTCTTCAGGATTCATAGCTATCTTTAAAAATCATTATTTAAATAATAATACACCAGTACTTAAAAATCATGTGTTGACATTCGACACTAGATTTTCCATATCCAAATGGCCTTCTACCTCCTCTTATAAGTTATTTTAATCAAAGACAATTTTTCATTATTTACATGGGTATATCCTTCTGTCACAAATCTCCATGAATACATTCTAGAATAATGTCTGTTTAATGCTACCAATTTTTGAAATAAAATGGTTTTGACTACACTTTAATAAAAAGTATAATCTCTAAATGTGTGATTTAGTTAAAGGGAATGTTAGGAGGGTAGTTTGAATATTCTATCATATTGCCAGAAAAATTCTTTTTTCCTTCGATTAAGAAGTGAAAAGGTGGGGGTGAGGTAGGGTTAGGGGGTGGGACTGAGGGATGGGGACCATAAGCTTTCTGTAAGGCATTCCTAGCTGAAATATCAAAATAACGAGTCTCTCCATCCTCCACTATGAGCCATCCTATTCATGCCCCTCTGTTGTCTTCTTCTTGAAGCCTAGTCCTGTAAAAACAGCAGCCTCCAGGCCCCTGCCCTTCATTCCACCCCTGCCCTCCCCACCATTACTGTAGAGTCGAGTCTGTGGAAGGCCACCACTCACAGCTGATGGGCCTCCATCCCCCAGCTCTGTGTCCTCAGCCTTCTGCCTCTCCAGATTACCCATCACATGTGTGTGGGCTCCGCGGGGATGCACAGCAGCTTTTGATAGCACTCCCTTAGGTGGGCTTCCCTCAGCTTCTGCATCAGAGCCACACTTGCTGCCTTTCACATTCGGCCCATCCCAGAGAGGTTGCTGCAAACTCCCCATGCTGGTTACCCATTTTCATTCTGTGCATAGAGTTTAGCCCTCACTCTTCTCAGCATTTATAAGAAGCACCTGAGAAACATGAGAACATGCAGTTCCTGGCCCCATGCCTGGTACTCATTTGCTGGGGTGGGAATGGGTGAGCTCTGGAATCTGGATTTTTAAGTAGGCCACATGGTTCTGCCATAGGTGGCCCTCAGAGGATTTCCCACCCCATAGATCAGTGCACTCTCCCCTGCTAGACTCTCACAGCACCATATGCCTCCTTCTCTGTCTAACAGGTCATCCCACAGTGGTGATTTTACATCGAGTTCTGTGGACATCTGATTCACGTTTCTCTGATATCAGGCTATCTAAGCTCTTTGAAGGCAAGCACCATCTAGTTTCACTTGCCACTGAATTTCTAGCGCTTGGCATGATGAAGTTTACAGAATGAATGAGCAAATGAAACATTAAATTGTCACCTCTCCCTCCCAGCAGATTCTGTTGCTTATCTTCTTCCCACAAAGCCCCTTCAATTTAGAATCACTGGTCTATCTAATTCTGTGCAAAGAATAGGGAGAAAAAAGTATATCTAATGGTAAAATAATATTTAAATTAACTCTAATTTCAAATTGTACTTTTGCTATGAATCTATATTTACAGATATATTCTACTAATAGCTCACTTTTACTGAGAGCGTACCATAGGCCAGACAACATTCTTTGTGCTTTACATGCTTGTTTAATACAACAACTTTATAAGTACCATTATTATCTGTTTTTTCTAGAAAAGGCAGTTGAAGCTCAGAGAGATTAAGATGGCCTTTAGGATAGACAGCCTGACCCCAGGGCCCACTCTTGAACCAGTAGGCCATGCTGCCTTTGATGAATGGGCAGTGACTTGGCAATTCACACTAAAACATGCGGATTAAAAACAAACAAACAACAAGATGGTATAATGCTAGCTACTGGGGTTTCTGGGTCATAGGGAGAGAGAGAGCTTCAATATTCAGAAGGGTCCTCTAGTCATTCACTCATTTGTTTTCTTCTCCTTCTCCTTCTCCTCCTTCTCCTTCTCTTCCTTCTTCCTTCTTCCTTCCTCCTACCTCCCTCCTCCTCCTCCTCCTCCTCCTCCTTCTACTTCTTCTTCTTCTTCTTTTTTTTTTTTTTTGAGAGATAGGGCCTCACTCTGTCACCCAGGCTGGAAGGCTGCAGTGCAGTGGGGTGATCATGACTCACTACTGTAACCTTGAACTCCTGGGCTTAAGCAATCCTCCCACCTTAGCCTCCCAAGTAGGCAGGATGACAGGCCCTCATCACCACACCCAGCTAATTTTCTTATTTTTTGTAGAGCTAGGATTTTGCTATGTTGTCCAGGCTGGTCTTGAACGCCTGGCCTCAAGCGATCCTCCCTTGGCCTCCCAAAGTGCTGGGATGATAGGCATGAGCCATCACACCTGGCTTGCTCATGCATTATTCTATCAGTGCAATCATTTATTCATGCAACAAATACTTACTGAGCATTCAGTTTATGCAAGACATTGTGTTTTAGAACGTGATAGATGAAGCGCATAAGCTGTCTGGTAGAATGATGCAATCATTCATATAGCAGAGTGTCTTGTGATGGGAGCTTTACTATAGTACTACTGCTGCTTCTACTGATAGTGCTTATACAGCATTCAGCTTGTGCCAAATGTTTTAAATGCTTTACATGGATTTGCCTTTTTAGTCCTCGCAACAACCCTCAGAAGTAAATAATATTATCATCCCCAATTCACACATGAGGGAATGGAGGCACAAAGAGGTGCAGTAAGTGATAGAAGTATGTTAAGTCAGGATTTCCAGCCCAGGCAATCTGGCTTCACAATACAAAGTGTTTAGTTTTAAGAAAATGTACTACATCCTTACCTTGAGATCATAAAAGTTATCGATGAGAGTTATGAATCTTCGACCTTGAGTCCTGTTTGCCAGAGTAAATTGCGGAATGTTTCGTAAAAATATTGTATCAAAATTCTTTGATAGTTCCAAATAGTCACTGGCTCCAAGTGGCTATGATAAAATGAAATAAAAGAAAACTTAAAAATAAACCAATTCTGGTTGCCTTTGGAGTGGTTTAGTGTAAAAACACCTCTTTCTTGTCATGGTGTGATCTAGGTGGTAGCTGTGGGTAACTTGACCAAGTTACCCATAGGCAGTTGCCCTAGGCACTTCAGTGCACTTCTGATAATGATTTTCCTTGAGCATGTAGTTATTCTGATAGAAATCACATCCATGCATAACGAGTGAGCTTAATTATACATAACTACATACCTAATATGAGGTTTTACATTTTTTTACATATACTTTCCGGTTTACAAAAGATGAGACACTAAATCCTAACTGAGCTCCAAAAAAGTAGTGTACCCTCAGAGCATGAGAGTCCTAATGTATGAGTTTTCCTTTTTACAAAAAGACACTGTATTTTGCCCTCCCCTCTCTCCCTTTTGGGGATTGTTTTCACTATTTGGTGAAACCAAGGGCAGTGTTTTCAGAGTAGGCTAAGGACACAGATAACATACACTGTGTTGCCTTAATAGTGATGTGAAAAAGGGGCAAGAGAGAAGACAAGAGTGCGGTGGGGAGTTAAAGAATATCTCTAGCCACAGCCTTAGTTTGTAATCTTTAGGTCCCTGTCCATATTTTTATTTCTATGACATCACTTTAAACATGTCCTAATAAACCCTTCCCGTGACTCAACTGCAAACTGCCACTATTGGTCAATGGAGCTATTTGATAATGGCATGCTGAAGATTATGCCACCATTTTGAAATAAAGACTGTGCTTCAGTATGAAAATCATCAGAAATTATTTTTAGTTTAATTTAAGGTACAATTATTCAAGTCCAACACTGCTAACCTCTGTAGGAAATACTGAAGGGCTTAAATAAGCAGGAGCAGATGAGAGCTCCAGAATAATTGGAGGCAGTACACTGCCTCCTGATACGAGGAGAGTATGGGACTCAAGGTCCACAATATTATTCACAAAAGTGCCACCTACAGATGTAAAGTGCTTGTTTCTGAAACATGAATTTAACTCCTGAACATTAGGAACACAATCTGCAAACACATTCTTTGGGGTTAGGAACACTCCCAGGAAATGTTACCTCTGCTCATTTTAAGCTGCCTGTGGATGACTGTACTCTGTGAGCAGCAAACCATGAGCAAATGTTGGGAGAGTGTTTCTGGCCCTGCTGGAGTCGGGAGAAGGCAGAGACTGAGTGGCCCAGGAGCTGCTCTGAAGTCCCTCTGGAAGCTCCTGGGTCACCCTGATCGACCTCTAGGACACAGGTGGCTGAGCCTCCTCAGTTTCTGGCAGAATCCATCAATATTCCTCCCTGTCCAGAAATGTCTATCTCATTTGGGAAGTCCTTTGCATGAAACTTCTTTCAGAAATGTTGATATGGCGATATTCCTGGGAGAATTAGGAAACCGTGAGGAGGAGGAGAGTCATTCTCACCTTTGTCCATTCACTTAAGCCTACCACTCTCCTACCAACCAGCTGAAATCAGTTATGCTCAGGAAAGAAGAATTTGCATGGAGGTGTGGGGAGGTACAAGTAAATCCAGAGAGTTAGGTTCTGGAGAAGTGGTTCCCTAAATAGAGAGCAGTTCTAAGAAGGATGCAGCAATTATGGGACCTAGGCAATGGGCACAAAACCAGAGACAAAGAGCACCAAGAATGACCCGAGTCCTTTGGAAATGTGCTGACAGTGCCCCTTCCTCCCATCTCTTCTCACCAACCAGATAACAAATGGCAGCCAGGAGGAGGCAAGCTCCGCCCTTCCCATTTTCCTTCCCTGGCTGGAAAGCCTCTACCTCCAGACCTCGTGCCTGGCCTTAGCTGAGACAAGCCACTCACCTCAGCCATGGAGGGTTCCAGCATGCTGTGGGTTTTTCTGGGAGTGGGGTGGGGTTGGTTTAAACCTACTTCTGTTCCAAGAGAATCCTGCTGTTGAGCCCAATACAGACCAGGAGCACGTGTTAATAGAGAAGGTGGGAGTGAGGGCTCTGGAAGGCCTGGATCTGACTCCTCAGTTGCTACTTATCAACTGGGTGCCACTGGCAAATTACATCATCTTCCTGTTCCTTAGTTTTCCCATTTGTAAAATGGGGATTTGATTCCTATCTGACAGAATCGTGAGAATTAAACAAAGTAATATATGCAAAGTGTTTAGCACAGTGCCTGGGGCATACATTAGTATTCAAACCATCTTGGCTACTTTTATTTTTATTATTTTGAGCTCAAATGATTGGGATCAGTACAAATGAATTGAGTATGTCATTCTCAAGAGGAATCCAAGACCCTAAATCAGCCTTTGTGCACTTGTCTGTCTTGGGAGTCACAGCAGGCACCAGATGAGACTGTGGAATCACCAAATAGTGAAAACAATCCCCGAAAGCGAGAGAGGGGAGGGCAAAATACATGTCTTGTTGTAAAAAGGAAAACTCATACATTAAGACTCTCATGCTCTGAGGGTACACTACTTTTTTTGAGATCAGTTAGGATTTAGTGTCTCATCTTTTGTAAACCAGAAAGTATACATAAAAAAATGTAAAACCTCATATTATGTATGTAGTTATGTATAATTAAGCTCACTCGTTATGCATGGATGTGATTTCTATCAGAATAACTACATGCCCAAGGAAAATCATTATCAGAAGTGCACTGAAGTGCCTAGGGCAACTGAAAAATCAGAATTTTGCCCATTCAGCTATTTTACAAATTACATACCTTTGTCAGTAGGTTCTGCATTTGCCATTACATTAGCAACTATTCCTTCCCCTCATATCCCTAAAACAATTACATGCTCATTCACATAAAGAAAACAAAGCTCAGTAGAGTTATCTTTCTCCTTTCAAGACAACAGTCATTGGGGGAATGCGGAATTGTTGTTTAATACATTCAGTCTAGGATGAGGAAAAAGTTCTAGAGGTAGACAGTGTTGATCACTGCACAACAATATGAATGTACTTAATGTCACTGAACTGTACACTTAAAATTAGTTAAAATGGTCAATTTTATGTTATATGGTATTTTACTACAATTAAAAAAAAGTCATTCAAACAAGGAGAGGTTATTCATTGCCAAAGACATCTCTCTCAATTTAGGCCACGAGAGATAGCAATACTACTTTTTTCTTTAAAAACATGAGAAAGAAGAATGAAATGTATTTATCAAAGAAGGAAGTTTTTTCCCCCCAAAAAATCAGATCCAATAAGAATAGGACTAATTTAAAATAATGACATTTTGGTTTTCAATAAATTCATGGGTAAGCATATTTCTAAAAAGAAAAGTTCAAAAAAGTCAAAAATTAAAAAGAGAATAATAAATAGGAAAGATAAACAAGAAAAACAATTCAGTTGGCTCCCCATATCTGTGGGTTCCACATCTGCAGATCCAACCAACTGCCAATCAAAATATTTGGAAAAAAATATAACATAAAAACCAGTACAAATTAAAAAGCAATA
The DNA here is from genome assembly GCF_000001405.40 of Homo sapiens. Lineage (NCBI taxonomy): Eukaryota > Metazoa > Chordata > Mammalia > Primates > Hominidae > Homo > Homo sapiens. The sequence goes on along the minus strand of NC_000006.12, from coordinate 108,506,754 downwards.
CATTATAACAACCATTTACATAGCATTTACATTGTACTAGGTATTATAAATAATCTGGAGATAATTAAAGAATATGGAAGGAAGCCAGGCCCAGTGGCTCACGCCTGTAATCTCAGCACTTTGGGAACCTGAGGTGGGTGGATCACTCGAGCTCAGGAGTTGGAGATTATAACAACTATTTACATAGCATTTACATTGCACTAGGTATTATAAATAATCTGGAGATAATTAAAGAATACGGGAGGAAGCCAGGCCCAGTGGCTCACACCTGTAATCCCAGCACTTTGAGAAGCTGAGGTGGGTGGATCACTTGAGCTCAGGAGTTGGAGACCAGCTTGGGCAACATAGTGAAACCCCATCTCTACAAAAGATACACAAAGTTAGCCAGGTGTGGTGGTATGCGCCTGTAGTTGCAGCTACTCAGGAGGCTGAGGTAGGAGGATCGTTTGAGCCTGGGAGTCTGAGTTTGCAGTGAGCTGAGATCACCACCATTGCACTCGAGCCTGGTCGACAGAGACCTTGTCTCAAAAACAAACAAACAAAAAATATGGGAGGATGTGCATGGGTTATATGCAAATACTACTCCACTTTATATCAGGGACTTCAGGATCTGCAGATTTGGTGTCTGTGGAAGGTCCTGGAACCAATTACCCATGGATACAGAGGGGTGACTGTACTTTAAAGTAAACCAGTCAAAACCCGTGACCACAGTCCAGGTCAATATGCTCCCATTTATAGCATGTCTTAATTTTCGCAATTTTTCCCCATGTAAGCATGATGACTAGTGTGTTGTCAGTATTTTTCTCCATAAATGTCAGACAATATCAAGTACATCTACATATGTATATTGCCTCTGCTCCATTCCCTTTCTCTTCTCCTTCTGATACTTTAAATGCACCTAGGTTAAACGTCATACTCTCCTTTTATCCTTTATTTTGTATATTTCTTTATTACTTCTCCATGATTCATTTTGGATAGTTTTTCTGATCCACTGTGCTTCTCCTTAGCTGTGTTTAATCTGCTCTTAAGCTCATCCCTTGAGCCCTTAATTTTTGTTACTGCACTTTGTAGCTCTAGAATTTCCACTGATTCTTTTTCAAGGTTGAGATGTCTCTTTTTATTATCTCTAGATCCCTTCTGAAGCGTAGTTCCAAGCCCACTTTTTTTTAAAAAAAGTTCTTTGAATATGTAAGTCTAGCTGTTTAAAATATAGATTCATACTTCTAATATCTGGAGTTCCTAATTTTATTGTCTGTTGTTTTTGTTTGTTCTCATTCACAATGTCTTGTCTCCTCATATGCCTGGTTATCTTTGTACATCCTGGATTTTACCTTTGAAAAAAAATACATATAGAAAAAAATCTGGCTGGGCGCAGTGGTTCATGCCTGTAATCCCAGAACTTTGGGAGGCCGAGGCGAGTGGAACACGAGGTCAGGAGTTCAAGACCAGCCTGGCCAAGATGGTGAAACCCCATCTCTACTAAAAATACAAAAATTAGCCGGGTGCGGCGGCAGGCGCCTGCAATCCCAGCTACTCGGGAGGCTGAGGCAGGAGAATCGCTTGAACCTGGGCGCGGAGGTTGCAGGGAGCTGAGATCGTGCCATTGTACTCCAGCCTGGGTGACAGTGTGAGACTCCATCTCAAAAAAAAAAAAAGAAAAAAGAAAAAAAAAAAATCCAAGCTCAGGGCTTGAGGTTTTCTAAGTATTCAGCTGAAAATCTGGCTAAAGTCCATGAGAGGGCTGGCTTATTTCTGCTTTACACTAATTCCTAAGTGCAGTCCTTCAGGACTTCAGGATGAAATCCACTCAGGACCTTATCCAAAGTGGGGGATACAGGCAGTTAAATAGGTTCCCATCCTTGGATGGCCCTAGTCTCTGACTTTTGTCCCACTAACCCAATAAGGCTGCCAAAAGTAAGCTCAGCTCACCTCATTTTGAAAACAAGATTGCTTAGTGCATACCAATATCCATGTTTTTCTCTTCTTTCTGGGCACACAGATAGACTACAGGCACACTTCATTTTATTGTGCTTCATTTTACTGCATTCTGAAGATACTTTTGTTTTGTTTACAAATTGAAGATTTGTGGCAACTCTGCATCAAGCAAGTCTGTTGGTGACATTTTTCCAACAGCATGTGCTCACTTCATGTCTCTGTGTCACATTTTGTTAACTGCCACAATATGTCACACTTTTTCATTACTATTACATCTGGTATGGTGATCTGGGATCAGTGATCTTCCATGTTACTGTTGTAATTGCTTTGGGGTGCCACGAACCACATCCTTATAAGATGGTGGACTTGATACATTTTGTGTGTTCTGACTGCTCCACCACTGGCTGTTCCCCCATCTTTCTCCCTCTCTTCAGGCCTCCCTATTCCCTGAGATACAACAACATTAAAATTAGGTCAATTAATAACATTACAGTGGCCTCTGTGTTCAAGTGAAAGGAAGAGTTGTACATCTCTCATATAAAAGCTAAAGCTAGAAATGATTATGCTTAGTGGGGAAGGCATGTCAAAAGTCAAGACAGGCCAAAAGCTAGGCCTCTTGAGCCAAACAGTTAGCCAAGTTGTGAATGAAAAGGAAAATGTCTTGAAGGAAATAAAAAGTGCTACTCCAGTGAACACACAAACTATAAGAAAGTAAAAAAGCATTATTGTTGATTTGGAGAAAGTCTGAGTGGTCTAGATAGAAGATCAGACCAGCCACAATGCTTCCCTAAGGCAAAGCCTAACACAGAGCAAGGCCCTGACTCTCTTCAATTACATGAAGATTGAAAGAGGTGAGGAAGCTGCAGAAGAAAAATCGGAAACCAGCAGAGGTTGGTTCATGAGGTTTAAGAAAAGAAGCCATCTCCATAACGAAAGTTCAAGGTGAAACAGCAAGTGCTGATGTAGAAGCTGCAGCAAGATCTAGTTAAGATCATTTATGAAGGTGGCTACACTAAACAACAGATTTTCAATGCAGATGAATCGAAAGAAGATGCCCTCTGTGACTTTCATAGCTAGAGGGAAGTCAATGCCTGGCTTCAAAGCTTCAAAAGGATAGACTGACTCTCTTGCTAGGGGCTAATGCAGCTGGTGACTTTAAGTTGAAGCCAATGCTCATTTACCATTCTGAAAATCCTAGAGCCCTTAAGAATGATGCTAAATCTACTCTGCCTGTGCCCTAAAAATGGAACAACAAAGCCTGGATGACAGCACATCTTTTTATAGCATGGTTTACTACGTATTTTAAGCCCCCTTTAAGAGCTACTGCTCAGAAAAAAAGACTTCTTTCAAAAGATTACTGCTCATTGACAATGCACTCGGTCACCCAAGAGCTCTGGTGGAACTGTACAAAGAGATGAATGTTGTTTTCATGACTGTTAACACAACATCCATTCTGCAGCCCATGGATCAAGAAGTAATTTTGACTTTCAAGTCTAATTATTTAAGAAATACATTTTGGAAGGCCATAGCTGCCACATATAGCGATTCCTGTGATGGATCTGGGCTAAGTTAATTGAAAACTTTCCGGAAATGATTTATCATTCTAGATACCATGAAGAACATTAGTGCTTCATGGGGAGAAGGTCGAAATATCAACATTAACAGGAGTTTAGAAGAAGAGGATTCCAACCCTCATGGATGACTTGGAGAGGTTCAAGAGGAAGTAACTGCAGATGTGGTAGAGAGATATGGCAAGAGAACTAGAATTAGAAGTGGAGCCTGAAGATATGGCTGAATTGCTGCAATCTCATGATCAAACTTGAACTGATAAGGAGTTGCTTCTTATGGATGAGAAAGAAAGTGGTTTCTTGAGATGGAATCTACTCCTGGTGAAGATGGTGTGAACACTGTTGAAATGACAACAAAGGATTTAGACTATTACATAAACTTAGTTGTTAAAGCAGTGGCAGGGGTTGAGAGGACTGACTCCAATTTCAAAAGAAGTTCTGCTGTGAGTAAATGCTATCAAATAGCATCACTTGCTAGAAAGAAATCTTTTGTGAAAGCAAGAGTCCATTGTACAGCAAAGTTCATTGTCTTATTTTAAGAAATTGTCAGTCATCCTAACCTTCAGCAATCACCACCGTGATCAGTCAACAGTCATCAACATTGAGGCAAGAGGTTGGGTATGGTGGTTCATGCCTATAATCCCAGCACTTTGGGAGGCCGAGGTGGGCGGATCACTTGAGGTCAGGAGTTCAAGACCAGCCTGGCCAACATGGGGAAACCCTGTCTCTACTAAAAATACAAAACCAGGCCAGGCACGGTGGCTCATGCCTGTAATCTCAGCACTTTGGGAGGCCGAAGCGAGTGGATCACCTGAGGCAGGGAGTTCGAGACCAGCCTGACCAACATGGAGAAACACCATCTCTACTAAAAATACAAAATTAGCCAGGCATGCTGGCACATGTCTGTAATCCCAGCTACTCAGGAGGCTGAGGCAGCAGAATCACTTAAACCCAGGAGGCAGAGGTTACAGTGAGCCGAGATCACGCCATTGCACTCCAGCCTCGGCAACAAGAGCAAAACTCCAACTCAAAAAACAAACAAACAAACAAACAAAAAGCAAAACCAGGCATGGTGGCTGCACCTGTAATCTCAGCTACTCAGGAGGCTGAGCCAAGAGAATCGCTTGAACCTGGGAGGCAGAGGTTGCAGTGAGCCGAGATCACGCCACTGCACTCCAACCTGGGCAACAGAGTGAGACTCTGTCTGGGTAAAAAGAAACAAAACATTGAGGCAAGAAAAGCCTATAACAGTAAAAACACTACAACTCACTGAAGGCTCAAATAGTTGTTAGCATTTTTTAGTAATAAAGCATTTTTAAATTAAAGTATGTATTTTTTTGACATAATGCTATTGCACACTTAATAGACTACAGTATAAACATAACTTTTATATGTACCGGGAAACAAAAAAATTCCTGCGACTCATCGGTTCCAGTGGCCTGGAACCAAGCCAGCAATATCTCCAAGGTATGCCTGTATTATTGCCCAGCCTCCCTTAGATTTAAGTGTGGCTGTGTGATCAAGTTCAGACCAGGGAGTGAGAGAGACAGTAATATGATCACTTCAAGGTCTAGCCCATAAAAACACTCTACACAGAATCTTCCTTCTTTTCCTCATCTGCAGGTGAATAGAGAGGACTCTAAGGACTTAAAGGAGAGATGAAGTCTGAGTCCATGAAGGACTGCATGGAGCTACATTTCCTTGTCAGCCTGCATTGGACAGTAATATGATCAAGAAATACATGTTTGTTTATTAATCCTCTAATTTGGGGGTTATTTGTTGCAGCAGTTAGCCTATCCTACTACTAATTTCATCTAGCTTCCTTCATTGCCCTAACAAAAAATGTGGTGCAAATTACAGAGAGTCAACCATTACTGAAAATACAAAACTTCTTAATGTCTCCTTGTATGAATGAGGATTCTTGTTCACATAGATGGTAACTATCAAAAATTTCTCTTCGGCCAGGTGCGGTGGCTCACGCCTGTAATCCCAGCACTTTGGGAGGCCAAGGCAGGCGGATCATGGGGTCAGGAGTTCAAGACCAGCCTGGCCAACATGGTGAAACCCCATCTCTGCTAAAAATACAAAGTATTAGCCAGGCATGGTGGTGCGTGCCTGTAATTTCAGCTACTTGGGAGGCTGAGGTAGGAGAATTGCTTGAACCCAGGAGGCAGAGGTTGCGGTGAGCGGAGATCACACCGTTGCACTCCAGCCTGGGCGACAGAGCAAGACTCCGTCTCAAAAAAAAAAAATTATCTTCAAAGTGGGCAAAAAACATGCACAGACACCTCTTAAAACAAGAAATACAAGTGGTCAACAAAGATAGGAAAAAATGCCCAACATCATTAATCATCAGAGAAATGCAAATTAAAACCACAATGAGCTATCATCTCACACAAGTCAGAATGACTATTACTAAAAAGCCAAAAAATAGCAGATGTGGGTGAGGAATGTGGAGAAAAGGGAATGCTTATACACTGTTGGTGGGAATGCAAATTAGTTCAACCCCCATGGAAACAGTATGGAGATTTCTCAAAGAACTAAAAATAGAACTACTATTCAACCCAGCAATCCCACTACTGGGTATCTACCCAAAGGGTAGTGCAAAAGACACCTGCACTCACGTTTATCAAAAAGACACCTGCATTCACGTTTATAATAGCACTATTCACAACAAAGGCATGGAAGCAATCTAAGTGTCCATCAATGGTGGACTGGATAAAGAAAATGTATGTGTGTGTGTGTGTAAATATATATGTATATATATCAGTATTGGTCACATTGATCAAGATGTCACACATCAAAAATGATATCCTTTGTGTGATACACAGGGTTATATAAGATGATTTGGCAGCATCGATATGTAGTTTGGTGAAAACATTCATTATATTTCTGTATATTATATAATCATGAGAAGAAAAATAAACTTACAAATATATTTTGAAATATATCGGCTGGGCACGGTGGTTCATGCCTGTAGTCCCAGCACTTTGGGAGGCCGAGGCAGGCAGATCACCTGAGATCAGGTATACGTATATGTACACACACACACACACACACACACACACACACACACACACGCACGCACCATGGAATACTACACAGCCATAAAAAAGAATGAAATCATGTTCTTTGCAGCAACATGGATGCAGCTGGAGGCCATTATCCTAAGCAAATTAACAAAAAAACAGAAAACCAAATACTGCATGTTCTCACTTGTAAATGAGAGCTAAACAATGGGTACACATGGACATAAAGATGAAAAAATAGACACTAGGGACCCCAAAAGCAGGGAGCAAGAAAAGGGGGCAAGGGTTAGAAAAATTACCTATTGGTCACTATGTTCACTATTCAGATGACAAGCACCCTAGCAGCCCAAATCCCAGCATTATACAATACACCCATGTAACAAACCTGTGCATGTACCCCCTGAATCTATTATTTTTTTAAAAAAATTCCTCTTCAAATTTTCTTCAGGTTTTTTTGGGGGTGATGGGGACAGGATCTAGCTCTAGCTCTTTTGCCCAGACTGGAGTGCAGTGGCGTGATCTCAGCTCACTGCAGCCTTGACCTCCTGGGCTCAAGTGATCCTCCCACCTTAGCTCCTGAGTAGCTAGAACTACAGGTGTGCTGCACCTACCAATGGAGCCCAGCTTTTTTTTTTTTTTTTTTTTTGGTAGAGATGAGGTCTTGCTATGCTGCCAAGGCTGGTCTCAAAATGCTGGGCTCAAGCAATCCCAAACACCTTGGCCTCCCAAAGAACTGGGATTACAGGCATAAGCAACCATGCCTGGCCTGGATTAAAATTTTAAAAGTCTTAATCAGGAATTTCATTTATCCCATTTCAAGTATCAAAACTGACTTTTAGAAAGTTATGTTTATGGGCTGGGCATGGTGGCTTATACCTGTAATCCCAGCACTTTGGGAGGCTGAGGTTGGTGGATTGCTTGAGCTCAGGAGTTTGAGACCAGCCTGGGTAACATGGCAAAACCTCATCTCTACAAATAATACAAAACTTAGCCACATGTAGTGGCACGTGCCTGTAGTCCCAGCTACTTGGGAGGCTGAGGTGAGAGGATGGCTTGAACGCAGGAGGCAGAGGTTGCAGTGAACCAAGATGGCGCCACTGTACTCCAGCCTGGGCGACAGAGCAAGGACCTGTCTCAAAAAAAAAAAAAAAAGTTACATTTATGGAGGGAAGTTTCTCATTACAAATTTGAAAACATTTTATTTGATAGTTTTATTCAAATTCAATATTTCATGTATATATATATTTTTGAAATAGAGTCTCACTCTGTCACCCAAGCTAGAGTGCAGTGGCGCAATCTTGGCTCACTGCAGTCTCTGCCTCCCGGGTTCAAGTGATTCTCCTGCCCCAGCTTTCCAAGTAGCTGGGATTACAGGTGCATGCCACACGCCTGTCTAATTTTTGTATTTTTAGTAGAGACAGGGTTTCACCATGTTGGTCAGGCTGGTCTTGAACTCCTGATCTCAGGTGATCTGCCTGCCTCAGCCTCCCAAAGTGCTGGGACTACAGGCATGAACCACCGTGCCTGGCCGATATATTTCAAAATATATTTGTAAGTTTATTTTTCTTCTCATGATTATATAATATACAGAAATATAATGAATGTTTTCACCAAACTACATATCGATGCTGCCAAATCATCTTACATAACCCTGTGTATCACATAAAGGATATCATTTTTGATGTGTGAGATCTTGATCACTGTGACCAATACTGATTTAAATACAATGTTGCCACTCACCCTTTTGTTCCCAAGCATTCATTATTTAAAAATGTTTGGGTTATTTAAAGATGTTTACTTGGATTAACTAAAAAATTCTCTAGAACTAAATTATGATAATTTAAAACCCACTGGAGAATTGAAGAAGGCCTATGTGGGGTGAGGGGTCATCTGATTATAGTAATGGCTGCAATTGTTCTTGCCTCCTTGTCCATATCCTTTGGATTGCAACTTTCCAGCTCTTGCATTGTGACGTGGAGTCTATTCTTTACCATGGCTCAACTTTACCACGGCCAACAGAATGAAGCAAAAGTCACAGTTTTCAAGTTCTGAACTTAGGTCTCAAGAGGCTTTGCATGCTTCTGTTCACTCTTTTGCAATACCTCGGCTAGCCTGCTGGAGGAGGAGAGAACACAAAAAGGACAAAAGCCAAGAGAGCATCCTAGGCTGCATACAGCCAGCTGGCCCCACACAGATGAGAAGAGCCTAGCCCAGTGCAGCAAATTGACTGCAGATGCACATATGAACCCAACAGAGATCCAAAGAACTCCCCCATAGCCTGTAGACTAGAGGGTAATAACAAATGCTTATTGTTACTCAGTTTATGTCATTGAATTTTGGGGTGATTTATTATGCAGCAAGAGCTAACGAAAACACTATACTTGCTACAGAGATTTACTAGTGAAAGCTTTTAAGTCATTAGCAAGTCCAGCCCCTGCAGAAAAATATGATCCAGCTTTTATAGTTAAGAATTAGTTTTGCATAATTGATAAGTATATTTAAACACATATATCATCATTTATTTTATGTTCATTTATTTTTATAATCAATTTTGGAATTTTTATGGTGTAATATAAAACTTATTTCCAGAAATAAAACTTATGATTTACTGTATACAAGAACTAGAAGGAAAAAGTTGGTAAATTTTGTGGTATCGTTTTAGAATACAAGACATGGACCCAATCAAATACAAGCAGAGAAATGCAGGGAGAGAGCAAACTGATATGAAAAAGGAATTAAGTGAGACAAGGATTGACTACAATAAAACTAAAATTGTAACAGCATTGCAACAGAAAAAAAATGAATATAGAATTTGAATAGACAATTCATGGAGCAAAGAATATAGTAAGTAAAAGAGGCTAATAAACAAATGAAAAAATAGTCAAGCTCAGTAGTAATAAAGAAATTCTTATTTCAAAGAAATAAGAATGTTATATCATTTTTCAAATAGCAATTTGGCAAAGAAAAATAAATTATGCAATTTGATGCCGGCAAACATGTAATGCAGCATCCATCGCTGCTGGAAGAGCAAATCAGTTTAGTTGTTCCTGAAAACAGTTTGATGGGTTGTAGTAAGAGCCCTAAAAAAAAGTTATAAACTTACACCCATCATTTCACTTCTAGAAATCAATCAGGAGAAAGTGATCAGAAATTCAACCGAAGGTTATACATAAGATTATAACTATGTCACCAAAAAGCAACTTTAATATCTGATAACAGAAGAATGGTTCAATAAATTAAGGCACATTGATGTAATAAAATAATATGTTGCCAACAAATAATGGTGTCCATGAAAAATATTTTATGATATGGAAACATGCCATGATAAAAAAAACTAAGTGAAAAAGCATAATGCAAAATTATATGTTTGTTTTGCTCAAAATATATATGCAGAAAAAAGCATAAGTAAATATATTTAAAATGTTACTTGTTATTTCTAAATGGTTGGAGTGAAAGACTTAGAGGTATGTTTAATAATCTTCATTTTTTTTAGATTTGTCAGTATTTTCCAAAGGAGAAAGAAGCAAAATAATGACAGAAAAGAGTCAAACCAAAATAATGATGTAGAAAAACAACATTAAAGATTTTTATTAATTCCAAAGTATATTTACTGTGCGTTATTTTTCAGCTATTTCATCCCCTGCATCTTCCCTAATATTACAATACATCATGAATATGTAAAATATTCAACACAAAGCATATACTAAAGACCTTGAGGAGCTACAATGCCATTTACATTTGCTGTTGCCACACTCATTTACGTCATTGTACAAGACAGGGAGTTCTATTCACCTCAGTGTCCCCAGCACCTAGCACAGACTAGGGAACAGAGTTTTGCATAACACACAATTAATGAATAAATAAAGACACTATCACCAAGTCTTCAAAATCAATTATAACTATTGAATGCTTAATAAATATGAGGCACTGTATTAAATCCTACAAGAACTTTGCAAAACACAGGGAAAAGACATTTCTCTACTCCTTTGACCACACTAACAAACAACTAAATTACATGCACAGTATATCTATGGCAGTTGCAAATATTTATACTTTTGTTTTGCATTAGTTGATCCTCCTATGTAACTAAACCATAGCATAATACACTTTTTGAAACCATAATTAGTATTGTGAATTCATGCATTGTGCCCTATGAATAATTAAAGCATATGATTACTTTTGAGTACTAAATGGCACTTCAGTTAGTAGCATCCTTGAGTATGTTATTCTAACTCAAAATTCAAGTAGGATTATCTAAGGCTGATTCTTCTTATGATAGATAATGATGACATTCTCCATCTTTCCACCTGAGCAATTAAAAAGTTTAATAGTCTTTGATGTGGCTGGTTATCTGAATAATTTTCTTAACAGGAACAATTAAAATCCACTTACTCGATGGTTTGTGCATTCTCCACTATTGTTTCAAACTCTTTGTTTCTGTGGAAACCTGATGAAAACTTAAAGAACTTTAAATCTATAATGACTTTGCAAAGAGTATTTGTTTTCCTTAATTACCAAGAGTATACAGCTTGATTATATGTAGCCCAGTTTCTCTAACAAACTTAAAAATAAAGAGCTTGCTTGCTGTCTTTTTTCTCCTATATGTGAAATGGTCCAGTTGTCTGCTTTGGTATCGACCCTGGTGCCAGAAGTGGGAATTTTCTCAATGCCACACCAATGTGAAATGCACGAGCATTACCATCAGACCACCTTCTGCCCTACAATGATCCACTTCAGTATACCCAAATGAGCTGTCAGCTGGAGTTTCTTTTTCCTCTGCCTCACTAATGCTCTGCTCTGCTACCATTATTTCAGCTGAAGTAGGACGATTATGATTTCAAGCTCTATCTAGATTATACGGTCCTAAGGGTTACTCTTTATCTGTATAGACTCCTCCTTATAAACCCTTTGTAGGAATACGCTGATAGCTGTTCATTAAACAAACATGCGTGGTATCTTACTTTATTTACATGGCAATGACAATACTTCATATCTTAAAGAGAAGTACCTTTTAATAGAAAATGCTTGAATGGAATTAGGATGAATGTATCCTTTTCAAAACAAACTGAAAATATCACACGAATTGATGTTAAGACTATTTTTATGTGCCAGATTCCAAAATAATAAATATAATAATTAGAAAAACAAGGCTGGGTGTGGTGGCTCATGCTTGTAATCCCAGCACTTTGGGAGGCCGAGATGGGTGGATCACTTGAGGTCAGGAGTTGAAGACCAGCCTGGCCAACATGGTGAAACCCCATCTCTACTAAAAATACAAAAAAAATTTAGCTGGGCAGGGTGGTGCACGCCTGTAATCCTAGCTACTCAGGAGGCTGAGGCAGGAGAATCACTGGAACCTGGGAGGCGTAGGTTGCAGTGAGCTGAGATGGGACCACTGCACTCCAGCCTGGGTGACAGAGCAAGACTCTGTCTGAAAAAAAAAAAAAGAAAAGAAAAGAAAAAAAGAAAGAAAAGCAGAGCACTGAAATGTGTGTATTTGCAGAGTAAATAATTTCCCAAGATTCATATGGCACCTCAATATGAGAAATCTCACGAATATGAAGTCCAAACACCCAGCTGGGAAATATCTCACCATTCTAGAAAATATCACCAATTCTTAACACATTCTGCTTCTCAGGGTGTTCTTTGGAGTGCTGAGGGAAAGTTTTGCCATTTGATTTACACAGTCTCAATGGCAGGAGGTTGGTTCTACCTAAATCTGCCAGATTTTTGCTAAATTCTCATCCCCTTTTAATGGTTAATACAGTATTTTTTTGCGGGGTGGGGGGGGCATATTTTGCTTGTAGAAACAATGACTTAACAAAAAAATCAATGTGACAAACTAGAGGAGGGTACACTCCTCTACTCTACTCGACCAGCTTTGTGTATGTAATAAAGAGATCTCCAAATTCTGGAGATGTCTAATTCTGGGGATCCTGAAACTGACAATTTTCTCAAGACACAAGCCACATCAAGTCAGGTCTATCGAATCAGATCTACCAGGTGAAAAGCACCGTGCTGGACTCACTGGGGCAGGGGAGCAGGGGGAGCGGGGATGGAAACAATTGGCATAAAAACAGAAAACCAAAATGAAAATGTGACGCCAGGTGTGGTGACTCACACCTGTAATCCCAGCAGTTTGGGAGGCCGAGACGGGCGGATTGCTTGAGCTCGAGACTGGCCTGGCCAATATGACAAAACCCCATCTCTACTAAAATACAAAAATTAGCAAGGCATGGTGGCACAGGCCTGTAGCTACACAGGAGGCTGACGTACAAGAATCGCTTGAACCTGAAGGGCGGAGGTTGCAGTGAGCTGAGATCATGCCACTGCACTCCAGCCTGAGTGACAGTGAGACTGTGTCTCAAAAACAGAAGAAAAAGAAGATGAAGAAGTAGGAAATCGTCCTAATTAGCATCATCATCATTAATGAGCATCGCTAAATGTAAGCATCAATACAACTCCAAGACAATACATAACAACTGCAAAAGCATATCCACGACATGGTAAAAATTAGTGGAATGGGTTGTACTAACCACCTGGGACTGAATGAACCAGACTATACCTTGCTAATTACCTGGTATCTGTTGTTTGGTAGACATCTAAAATCTAGGAGAAGTCAAGTTGCTCCTTTTGGAAATGGGATAAACTGGGTTCGACCGTACAACAGAATTAACAACAGCAAATGAGCTAGTGTAGCTCAGAGCCCCCACTCAGAAAGACCCTCCATATTTCTAGAGTTAGAAAGTCTTGCCTAGCTTCTTTATTCAGCTTAAGTTTTCAGCTTAACTGTAGTGTGAGGGGCAGTCAGAAGGCAGAGGGAGTCTGTGAAGAACAAGGCTGCTGCTTTGGTTTGTGAGGCTGGAGGAAATGGGTCTTCACACACCTTGGCTCACCATGTTCTGGAAGCTATCTTCACCACCAGACGATTTAGCCTGGCTCGACTCTCCTCCTAGTTCTCACAGTATCTAAGGTTTCTGAATTAAAGAAACCAGAGGTTTAAGCTTTGGAGTTTATCAGATGCTGTGGGAACACTTCGGATCACTAGGTTTTGATTCTCACGGCTCCCTTGCTAAGATTTGTTTAGCTTCAGGCCAATCCTAAGCAAACCCTGTTCTAGAAAAACAGGAACAGCACAAGTGAGCTGGATAGTACATTACAGTAAGCATTTAGCCTAATAAAAGAACCCATACTTTCCAGATCCAGGAACACAGATAATATAACATTTTTTAAAAACATGCCGTTACAAATGTATGTCTCTCTCTGTGTGTGTGTGTGTGTGTATAATTATTTGATTGGTTAGTTTAATATTTTTGAGAAGCTTTTTGTTAAAAGGCATTTACTTTAACATGATCCTGTACTGTTAAACATGTACAATTCACCCTTTAAAGTCATAAAGAACAAAGAAAAAATTTATTGTAACTGCATTAATAGCTAGTCCTGTGAAATTACTCTGAATATTAGCAATCCAGTAGATACAAAAAAAAAATACTGGCAAGGGGAAGAAAAATAGCCCAACTGTTGCTAGAATTATTTCACAAGCTCCTTTGTTAAAATAATGTTGTAATAACTCCTTCTAATTTCCCACTGGAAAAGGTATTTTCTTAGCTAGTTCAAAACAGAAGGAAGTTTAAACATTATCATGAATGCCTCAGACATAGTGCTGTGATATCTGATTGTCCAGACTACAGAACATAATAAGTGAATGTGGCCAAGGCTGAAATATGTTTCCACCACTTTTGTATTCTCTTTCTGAATATAATGATTTTAATAAGAAAGTATATAATAATGATGAAGTAATTAGTACCAGCATTATTCTACCATAATCATTGAAATCAGTACTTAATCATTAACATAATCAAGCCATCCTGATTGTACCCTCAGTAGAGGGCAGTATTTGCTACATCTCCTTGGGAGGAAAGACTTGTACATTTGTCTGGCTTTGAGATCTACCCAGAAGAAATGGGAAAGATGAGCTGCATAGTGCAAGGTCAGGTTCTAGACTCTCTGACACCAGTCTTGCATGTGCATGTGACATGAAAGGTGAACCAGTGTTAACTTTTTCCTTTGGAAATCAGAGCTAAGTGGCACAAAAAGAGATATTTAGGATCCCAAAATGAAAAAGGAGAAAAGGCTTTAGAATAGCTAAGAAGTTATTTTAAATTTGAGAACTGTAACTTCTGAACACGTTAAAGTCTTGTAAATGCAGAGGTTTTGTTACTTTTGTTTTGCTTTTTGCTGTTGTTTTTGTTTGTTTTGCTTTCTTTGTGAGAGTCCATTGGAAAGAAATGGAACTCTCTCAGGCTTGGATATTTGAAAAGCTTAATCAGAGCTGGAAAAGAAGTGGATATTGAAGAGTTGCTTTCTTCCTCCCACTCTTCTGCTTTCCAAATCATGGAAATACTCAGTTAAAAATTCTAATTCATATTCAAAAGATATTAAAAAGTGAATCAGGGCAAGACTGAATATCTCCCCGTGCTGCTGGAATAAAGGGCCAAGCCCTTCAAACTATGAGTAAGACTAACAGAATTATTCACTTCATCTTCTTGCCAAAAGACAACCTTGAATTATCTGCTGCCCAAATTTTATTAAAAGATAAAAACATCCATGAAAGGCCGGAATAACATGCATCTATTCAATCTCTAAACATTTAGAACTATTTTTTCTGGATCAAGCCAGATAAATAAAGAGAAAAGCTCAGCTGTAAAGTACTATTTTTGCCCTTATAGCATAGTTTCATTAAACTTTACTTTGTCATTATGTTTTCAGCTTGGATATAAGAATCTATCAGATACAAGCATATGTCGGCAGCAGGAATGGTGCTGAGGAAATGTCTCCTGGCATCTTTCAGAAGTCCATTTATGAAAGGTACAAGTGCCAGTAAAAATCATCACTTCTGAGTAACTGGTTTGTTTTTATCTTCTAACTTACTGAATATCTTTTCCCCTCTTTGGCTGATAGAAGGCTGAGTGTTGACTTAATTGTTTGATTTTAAGAACTATGTAGAAGTTTATGATGTAGATTTATGTATATTAACTTTTCTGTCTTTCAGCTTAAGTATTCATTATTTTCCCTTTGTCCTGATTTTTAAAAAATTTAATTCTGTGTGTATATGGTTGTGTGTGTGTATCTGTACACACATATAAAATACTTTTTGGAATCAGATAAGACATAAATAAATCCATGCTAAAATTATTCTATTTCTGCTTAAAGCTTATTTCATCTGCTTTCAGTTAAACAGGAGGCAAAAGAGAATCAGGGAAATAAAATGTCAGTAAGAACTTCAGATAATAAACAGCAGTGCCTCTTTTGATTTTGTTAGTTACCAAGTATGTACTGAGCATCCGTCAGTAGAGAGAGATATTCTTAGAGAAGGTGGGTTTTCAACAGAGGGAAATAGCCCAGTGTAGGGAAGTAGAAATCTATTTCATGAACACGAAATTGAATGGAATTTGGCATAAAGAAGTAGCCTGAGAAAGACAAAGCATCGTTGGCTTTAATAAAGCAGTGAAGGGGGAGATTAAGAAGTGCATTGCAAAGGCTGCAGTTCGGATGATGTGACTATGTAACTATTTGGATTTATATAGGACATGATAGGGAGACAATGCAGAAAGTTCAGGAAAGAAATTGACAGTACAAACATGTATGCAAGATAATTTTTATATTCCCATGTAAATGTGTATAGTAATTTACAACTTACAGTTTTTCACATATGCTAAGGCTAAAAAGCAGTAAGATTAGGTAATTAATAAACTTATGACAGTGGCTTACTATATTAAGATTTTCTACAAAGTAACATCCAAACCCTAAGATATTACTGATCTAGTAAATTACTTCTGTTTTTTTGTTTGTTTGTTTGCTTTTGAGACGAAGTCTCTCTCTGTCGCCAGGCTGGAGTGTACTGGCGTGATTTCGGCTCACTACAACCTCCGCCTCCTGGGTTCAAGTGATTCTCCTGCTTCAGCCTCCCGAGTAGCTGTGACTAAAAGGCATGCGCCACCACACCCAGCTAATTTTTGTATTTTTAGTAGAGATGGGGTTTTACCATGTTGACCAGGATGGTCTCCATCTCTTGACCTTGTGATCCACCCACTTCAGCCTCCCAAAGTGCTGGGATTACAGGCGTAAGCCACCGCGCCTAGCCTAGTAAATTAATTCTATGTTTTAAAAGTCTTCAGTAAAATGGTGAGGAACGTGTATAGTTTCTCCTGTGCCTTTGATTAAACTATACTAGTCCTCTGGCTCTGTTTCCTTCCATTGACTCTAGTGAAAACATACTTTTCAACCCCACCCACACCCTCATCTCTTCCTTTTTCTATGTCAGTTCAGATGATGTCATTGACTCCTTTAGGCTCCAAACTAACACACCTTTATAAATGACCTCTACATCTTTATCTTCAGTCCTAAATTTCCAACTGTTTGTAAGCCCCGTTCTCCTACCTGTAGCATTTTGGTTTGTCTGTTAAGGGTCCTGCCATTTCTCTGGTTATTCAGACTGAAACCGTTGGAGCCCTAGGTGGCTTGTCCTCGTCCCTGACCTCCTCCATGCCCTATCCTCTGATTTCTCTTCTATTTATCTTGTTTCGTGCAATCTCTCAAGTATACCTGGTTCATGCCCCTCCTCGAGGCAGCAATTAGGAGCTGAAATCCAGTCCATACTCTGTCCAGCCATGTACCCTGATGAGGGGCATGGTAACTTGGGACTGTATTCTGGACACTGTATATGGTATGTCGTGGAGACTTGGGATTCTTAAGTATATTGATTTTTTGTTGTTGTTGCTATGTTAGCAGGTAATTAACTTGGTTAGCCTCAAGCTCCAAACTCTGTCTCCTCCATGATGCGTAGCAGCGAAAATCTCCGTTCAGTTATTTTAGCATTTGCTGTGTATGTATATTTCACAGGTCAGCCCAAGATTTGGGCAGAGTTTACAGGAAAAATTTCAGGCTATTCCTCTGTGGTTCTCTCCTTTCCCAGATTTCTCCTTATACTTTCCAGCTGTTATGGTCACTGATTTGCTCTTCTCTGGTTCTTCGAGCTAAAAACAGCAGGTTTCTACTGAGTTTTAGACATCCGTATAAGACTAACTGTGATCTGCCCTCAGGAGAAAAACTATAAAAATGAGAAACTCACCAGTATCAATCCTTTCTTCCAAGTGTTGGCTGTGCTCTACTTTCTCCCTGCTTTTGATAAGCAGTGCCTTCTGGATAGTTATTTTTCAGATTTTGTCCAGAGTTTGCAGAGGTGATCAATAGGTAATTTGATCAAATAGGAGCTACTCTGACATAAATGGAAGTAGAACCTTTCTGAGTCTGTAGTTCTCTGAATATACTCTGTAATTGCCAACTCCGGTTTTTTGTTTGTTTGTTTCTGGAGACAGAGTCTCGCTCTGTCACCCAGGCTGGAGTGCAATGGCGCAATCTTGGCCTCCTGGGTACAAGTGATTCTCATGCCTCAGCCTCCCGAGTAGCTGAGATTATAGATGTGCGCCATCACACTCAGCTAATTTTTTTTTTTTTTTGGTATTTCAGTAGAGATGGGGTTTCACCATGTTGGCCAGGCTGGTCTCGAACTCCTGAGCTCAGGCAATCTGCCCTGCCCACCTCGGCCTCCCAAAGTGCTAGGATTACAGGCGTGAGCCACTGCGCCCAGCCCCAACTCTTGTGTTTTCCCCAGAAACATAAAACTTCAGAGAAGGAAGAGATGATAAAGATGCCCCTCATGATTTCCTTTGCTTAGGAAAAACCAAACAGCTACTGCCTCATACTCCCCCCAACCTTTGCACCAACAGAATCTCCAACCCTCCAGCCTTCAAGGCCCAGTTCCACTCCGATCATCCATAGCATTCTGGTCATACTGATCCTGTAGTACTAATTATAATCTGCCTCACATTCTAGTGATCTATGTACTGACCTCATTTTCTCTTCTAAATTAAGACTCCATAAAAGTGGAGACTCTTACTCACATCTTGGTACCCACTACAGTTCCTAGAAATATGACAGCCTTCTATTAAGTACTCTATAAATATTTGGTGGATGATTAGGGAGAAGTGTGAGTAAAATATTAAAAGGGTAGGACTGTGTCTGTTACCCTGCATAAGGGAACAAACAAATATCTAGCATGTTAGTTTATTTAACCAAGTTTCCTTCTGGAAAGAAGGATCTTCCCAAGAGGAGACACTACTTGCTGGTCCACTGGACATGTTGGTGAAAGTTACAACCTCTCCCAGAGTATACTGACCTGTTAATCTTCCTAAAACATTACTCTAGGTACCACATTCCTGCTCAAAACCTAAAATGACTCTTTCTGGATTACAGTAAGAAGACTATTTCTCTGCCTGATTTTGATGGTAGAATCTGTCCGAGATCTGTTTCATCTTTATTTCCTTTTCCTCCCCAACATGCACTCTGCTCTCATTAGGCATCAGTCTGTCCTCCTGAAACACGTGATGCTTGGCTTCTGATTATGGTTGAAATACTTTTACTCCACTCATCTAAATTCTGCTCACCTTTCCAGGTCAAGGTCAATTTCCTCTTTAAATCTCATATCTTGTTGGAGCCTTTCCAACCCTTAGCATCCTTACTTTGAACTCCTGATACACTCATATTATGTAGTTAACTAGTGAGCACTGCTCTTTAAAGGAGACTGTTACAGCTAAAAGGAATGACAGATCAGTATTCATCAAAACTGATGGTATAAAAATAAAATGAAATAAAATAAAAGGAATGACAGAAATGTGCTGATCACATCATGCATTTCACAAGTGAGGAACTTAGACCCAGAATGGTGAAGTGGTTAAGTGATCTGCCTAAGGCAACTCAGCAAAATAGTATCTTTTTTTGGTGGGGGTAGTCAGAGTCTTGCTATGTTGCCCCGGCTGGAGTGCCTTGACTATCCTCAGACATGATCATAGCACAGGACAGCCAAGAACTCCTGTACTCAAGAGATCCTCCTGCCCCAGCCTCCCAAGTAGCTGAGACTACAAGTGTGTGCCACAGCGCCCAGTGTCAGCTAAACAGTATTTGAGTTAATGACTGGAATTGTTATCTCCTGACTCAGTTGGGCCTCTTTCTACTCTGCTTCGCTGTATAATATTTGGCTTATGTTATTTCCTTTATTAAACTGTAAACTCTTTGAGAGAAACTTCTTACTGACTTCTTTTATATTCCTCATAACATAGGCATACAGATAGAGAAGTACTTAAGAAATAGTTGCTGACTGGCTGGGCATGGTGGCTCATGCCCACAATCCCAACACTTTGGGAGGCTGAGGCAGGTGGATCACTTGAGGTCAGGAGTTCAAGACCAGCCTGGCCAACATGGTGAAACCCCATCTCTACTAAAAATACTAAAATTAGCTGGGCGTGGTGAGGTGTGCCTGTAATCCCTGCTATTTGGGAGGCTGAGGCACAGGAATTGCTTGAATCTGGGAGGCGGAGGTTGCAGTGAGCTAAGATCATGCCTGGGTGACAGAGCAAGACTCCGTCTCAAAAAAAAAGAAAAAGAAAAAGAAATAGTTGCTGACCAAAGTCAATGTAGTAATCTTGGAGGGCTGGATCTTACATAGCATATATTTCTTGATTAACAATAAAAGAGAAAAGAATGAAGTAATATTTAACCCTAAAATATGTGAAAATCTTATAATTCTTAAGATATTATGGCTCCTTTGCTCCTTTCTAGTTTTTTCTCAAAATCTTTTGCCTGACTCAATAATATCTTCACCAAGCCATTTTAAAAAACAAAAATAGCATATTCTAACAATTTCTAAACTTTTTTCCATAAAATATATTTCAAAGTGATAAAATGGAATGTACCTTATTAAATATTCTAATTGGCAATGTAATAAATAATTACTAATTTTGGGTCAACTGATCTAATCTGGGAGAAGGTACTATGGAAAATGGCAAATCATACTCTATGATAGGAAACAAACACTTAAGGACTACTTGATTAAAAAAAAATTTCTGTTTAAGAAAAACCAGGCCAGTTGACAGGTAAGCAATAGAAAAACCATCAGTGTTAAAGCTTTTTAAAAAAATCAAACAAGTACTTTTAAAGTGTTTTATATTCATATTAATTGGTTGAATTAGACTTGTTTTCTCTCAGCACTTTACCAATCTCTTCATACAGGTCTTCTGTTTAGAGAGCTATTCTTAATTATTATTTAGAGCTCTGATACATTTACTACTAAAAGTCAAATGAGATAATTTATCTTTAAATTAAAAACAAATTCTATTTTTAAAAAATTAATGACCATGGGCATGGTGGCTCATGCCTGTAATCCCAGCACTTTGGAAGGTTAAGGCAGGGTGGATTGCTTGAGGCCAGGAGTTCGAGACCAGCCTGGGCAACACGGCAAAACCCTGTCTCTACAAAAAATACTAAAATCAGTTGGGCATGGTGGTGCACGCCTGTAGTCCCAGCTACTTGGGAGGCTGAGGTGGGAAGGATTGCTTGAGCCTGGGGGGCTGAGGTTGCAGTGAGCAGTGATCACACCACTGAACTCCAGTCTGGGCAAAAGAACAAGACCCTCTCTCTCAAAAAAAAAAAAAAAAAAAAAAAAAAAAAATATATATATATATATATATATATATATATATTTAAATTCGTATTTCTTAATCTTTGCACTTCTTAATTATTGTCTCAGCAAATGAATGACATATTCCTCTCAAAGACTGAGGCAAATATTAAATATTAGTTTCTCATACTTTCCTAGAGTAGAAGTGACCTGAAAACAAACATGAGGACTTGTGTCTACTACTAGATCCAATCCTCAAAATAATATTATGGAGAACATATTGAAAGTATACAGTTTTTGGCACACTTACTCTTCCATTGAGACCCTCTGGGAATCCTTGGGCATTTTCTCCCCATTACAGGAGAGACAATATTTTTGAACCATTTCAGCTAACAACATGACATAAATATATTCACAGAAAATGAAAGCACGTTTTCTCCTGCAGAGGAGCTTCAGTCTGCTGAGTCTGAGAAGTCCATGGCTTGCAGAGCTTAAAATGTGCAGCCCTGAGTGGCATCATCTAAGAAGCTGCTCTTGCCTCAGTTTGGGAACAGAAGCTGGGCAGGATTGTCCAGCCCCACTATGTGTCCTATTACAGAAAATTTGCCAGTGAAGAAAGGAGGAAGGTGTTCTCTTCATTCCTTTAATCCTTCTTCACTCCCTTTTCATCATGGAAACGTTCACAATTATTCTAAGAGGCTACAGTTTTCAAATTTCTAATCCAGACCTTCTTTTTCAGATATTTCTTTTTCCTTTAAATAGTAAGATATAAAAAAAAATCAACAACTTTTAACCTGATATACAGTGATTTCTTTGGAAGATATAATCAATCAACAATTAGCAAAAATGGATCCCTCAGTCCAATCTCCAGTCTTACAGAGAGTTCACTTTTTCTTTTATGTATAAAATATCAGAACAAAATAAATTCATATAAGAAGTTACTTATGTACATCTTACTTTTTAAAATCAAATTATAAGTCAATTATGGGATTTTATTCCAAAAACCTTCTTTATCATTCTGAGGACTCGTGAAATAGGCTAGGTCTAGGTGTGTATGGTAAAATTTTGCACCTATCTGAACATGTCCTATATTTCTTCTCACATATTTAACTGCATTCCCCAATTTGGCATTGCAAGGCAAGTGGAGGCCTGGGGTCTTGTAGGATTCAGGGTTGGTTGAACGGTTAGATAAGGTGACCCTTGAGGTGCCTGGCAACACCAAGACTATGACTCTTTAGTTTAAGGATTGACTAGGAATGTGGATGGGGAAAGGTAGACAAAAGACTTATGGCTCATTTGTGACAATGGATTCATATTCCTCCCTACAAGAATCTGACCCATTCTCTATTAAGCTCTTTGCAATCTCATTTCTGTCCTCCCTGTCACTATGCTGTGGCCAGGCTGGCTGGCTACCTTATTTGGACACGGCAAGGCCAGAAATCAGGAAATGTGGGAAATGAGCATACACAGATCAGCAATGCTATAAAAATGGTTTTGCTTCTGGGAAGGTAAAAGGCCAAGGAGATTCCTGGGCTGCCTCAGCTCTGGTGATTAATGCCCTTATTCCTTGATGCTAATTACCACTGTTGGCATCCCAACACCATCAGCCTTGACTCTTGGCCAAGTAGTAGAGATAAAAGCTATTCATCCTTTAGTATGATATTTACTGAGAGTGAATGAAGCACAGGACACAAACCAGAAGTAGCTCCCAATCAGTGGTTTCACTTGGAATAAAGCTAAATAAAGCATAAAAAGAGCAAGAGAAGGGAAATGTCACTTAACAGCTCCCGAAGGGATACTATATGGTATACTTATAAGTCTAAGGATATATACACTAATATGATATAATCAAGATTAATAGAAAAATGGAGGCCAATACACTTATGTGATGGGCTTTCATTTCCTGAGTACTAAAAACCAAAGAAGAAAGGTAATAAACAAGAAGTTGATAGTGAGCAATGCGTACACCCATGCATATGCATCAACTGATATATTTTTCTGCCTAGACTTTTTGCAAACACACCTGGCCACCTGTCATTATTTTTAAGACACAAATAACAAACTGCTCTTGCAAACAGTTACTTTTGAGCGCAGTTATCAGTTAAGGAAAATTTTCTGCAGGTGTAAAAATTATATTTCTCAACAAGGAAAATTCAGGTCTAGTCAGTTTACTCATTAAGCCTTTAGAATTTAGCTTTGGCTTATTTTCTTTCGGTAGGATTCTTTCATTTTTGGTCCATGAAAGTTTAAGCCTAAAGCAAGGAGTTCTCAAACTTTTTGGCTCCAGGACTCCTTTATACTTTTAAAAATTATTGAGGAACCCAAGGAATGTTTGCTTATATGGGTTATTTCTCCCAGTGTTTACTGTAATAGAAATTAAAACTGAGAAAAATTTAAAATATTAATTCATTTAAAGCAACAATGATAAAGCCATTACATTAAGCCCATCAAATTAACACAAATCACATTTTTATGAAAAAATACTTCTGTTTTTTTGAAATGAAAATAACTAACAAGAATGGCATTGTCTTACATTTTTGTAAATCTCTTTAATATCTGGATTAATAGAAAATAACTGGATTCTCATATCCATTTTTACATCCAATCTATTGCAACTCAGTTATTTGGGTTGAAGTATATAAGAAAATCTAGCCTTATGTGGATATGTAGTTGAAAGAGGGAAATGTATTTTAATAGCCTTATCAGATAATTGTGGATATTCTTTGATGCTACATGAAAACTCAACAAGAAGCTACTGCCAACGAGTACACTGTGGAAAGGGGGAGAAAGAATAACTTTAGGGCAAAAAAAAACCTGACAAACATTATCTCAGACAAGTATGATGAAGGTTAGCATCAACATTTATAAGCCATGTTGACAGTATGAATCCTTGACATGATGTGATGAAAGTAGTACTTGATTTCTGTGGTCTATTCCCCAAAGACCATCATTCCAGTCTAATCATAAGGAAAACATCAGACAAATCCCAGTTGGGAGACATTTTACAAATACCTAACTAGTACTCCTCAAAACTGTCAAGATCATCAAAAACGAAAAGTCTGTGAGAAACTGCCATAGCCAAGAGAAGCCTAAGGAGACATAGCTAAGGTAATGTGGTATTGTGGAACAGAAAAAGGACATTAGGTAAAAACTAGGGAAATCTGAATAAAATATGGACTTTAGTTAATAATAATATATTAATATTGGTTCATTAATTGTAACAGATATACCATATGAATGTAAGATGTTAATAGGGGAAACTAGATTAGGAAGTATATGGAAACTCTCTGTACTAGAGTCTTGATTTTCCATAAGCCCAAAACTGTTCTAAAAAATAGAATCTATTAAAAAATTTTAACTTGAAAGGAGGTCATTTTTAAACTGTTAGTTGCAATGTAGAAACTGAAGTAGTATCAGTATACTTTTTGAATTCTGTTATATTAAAATCCATTAGTCTTTCCTGCACTTTAAGTAGATCTTTTGTCATGTATGATTTTGTAAGAGCAAGCATTGGTTATTGGAAAGTATTGGTTCATTGAGTTATGCAGATCTTCCAAATGTTGACACATTTAATTAAACAATTATCAAAACATTGCATGTGTTAATATCACCATCAATCTCATCTGAAAGATGTTTAAGAATTGGGAAGCTGTCAAGCTCATGATGGCAGAAACAAGTTTTCCAAAATTCTAATTTTCACTTGTTTGCTCAAATTTTATCACTGGCAACAAATATTGTCAGTTGTTTTCCTTGAAATGACAGTCTTATTTCATTCATTTTCAAGAAAATGTCTGTCAAACATTGTGAGAAAATGTCTGCCAAATCTGAATAACCATAGTTTGTCTGTCAAGCAGTCTTCCAAGTAAAAATGGTATTCTGTGAAAATAGTGGCTAGTTCAGCTTGCAACTCTAACAACCGTACAAGTGCTTTTCCCCAGGACAGCCTTCATATTTGATATAGTGCAGAAGTGTTTTATTACGTGTACTTTCACTTCATCACAAAGAATATTCAAAAGACATGTTCTCAAAGTTGAGATTTAACAAAATAATTGTTACTGCTTCTTTAAGGATATTCTTAAATGAAACTGGGTTATTTATTTATTTATTTATTTTTACTGTGAGTATATGATCAGTGAAAAATATAGTATTTTTTGGTGCTATTGCCTTGATTCCTGCTAAGGTGCCAGCAGTTTCACCTATCAGTGCTTTTGCATCATTACTGTAAATACTACCAGAGTGAAAAAGCCAAGAAGTGTTACAGAGAGTTTAGATTCCCAGGACCCCTAAAAGGGTCTCGGGGACCCCTAGAGGTCTATAAACCACATTTTGAGAACCACTGTCTTCAATAACCATATTTCTGACTTCTCCACTACCCTTGGATTAAACCAAGTAGCTGTATCAAGGTAAGGAAAGGAAACTTGAAAGCTCATGTCATGTCCACAGAGATGGATCTGCTTCATGTTCCTTTGCCACAGCTCTGATATGGAGGGAACGGCAGGGAACAAAGACCACCCAAACATATTCTCCTCCACCCTCCCACACTTCTCTAAGGCAGCACTTCCCAACCTTTGTCATGGCAGGAAGAGAAAGTATTTTTATTAATGGGCAAAGGGATGAGGCTGCCTAAGGCTTGGGGCCTCTTGCCTGGAGCCACAAACCCTGGAGGTACAGCCTTCAGAAGAGCAGAGGGGCTCGTAGCTGGACTTCCCAGTGGGTATGCCAACACACATGAGTTGGGCAGGTCCGTACTAAGGTTTTCAACACAGAGGGAGGCTCTCAGGACTGGAGGATGTCTGTTCCCCATTCAGCTTCATGCTCCATAAAATTCTTAAAGCTTAGCTCAGATGTGAGAATTCACAAATTATCTGATTACACTTTATTTATTTTTGTTGTTGTTATTTATTTATTTATTTATTGAGACAGAGTCTCTCACCCAGGCTGGAATGCAGTGGTGTGATCTTGGCTCACTGCAACCTCCACCTCCTGGGTTCAAATGATTCTCATGTCTCAGCCTCCTGAGTAGCTGGGATTACAGATGCTTGCCACCACGCCCGGCTAATTTCTATATTTTTAGTAGAGACGGGGTTTTGCCATGTTGTCCAGGCTGGTCTTGAACTCCTGACCTCATGTGATCCGCCTGCCTCGGCCTCCCAAATGATTACACTTTAAGATAGAGTCCAAAGTATATTAAAGATTGAGGAAAAACTTGTCCAGAACATCTTCAGATACAATGTAGTGATTAAAAGCACAGAATCTGACTCCCAAACTACCAAGAAGTTTGAGCTCTGGCTACACCACTTATTAGCTTTGTGACCTTGGGAAGGTAACTTAACATCTTGGTGTTTCAAATTCTCTACCTATAAAATGGGGACAATATTAGTGCCTACCTATTGTAAGTATCAAATGAGTTAATATATAAAAGCGCTTAGAATGATACCTGATGTGTGGCTATATTCATTATTATTATTATGTATGTGTTGCAGGGTCTCCTAACTCAGACTGCTGAACATGACGGTACTGAATTACAAATTTACGAAGAAAGAGAATCCAGGAGATACCAAGAAGCTAGATGTTAACCTGCAGGATTCTAAATCTGAGGAACTGTGCTTGGAACAGTGAGGGAAGAGGTGTGCAAACAGCAGAATGTGTCAGGCTTTTTCATTTTACTTATGGCATATGTCAAGGGCTTCCAATCTAAACCTTCTTTTACCTTATCAAGACACAGGTAAGTTTCTGTATTATTTTTTCCTTGGAAGGGGCCATGGCTCAAAAATAGTCATTATGGACTGTTAACCAATCTACTCCTTGCCAAAGACTTTTTCATGATGGTATCAGGTGACTGGGCAAGTCTTGGGCTTCAAGAGCCTTCTAGAAAATTAGGATAGATGATCCAAAGCTGGGACTGTCCCAGGCACACCAGATAGATGCCTGCTTCTTTACCTTAGGTTGGATGTGTTTTTATCTTTACTTAATGGTTTTTGGCAATTATTTAGCCTGGCTCATAAGATCATTATAACTCATTAAGAGTTTTAGGCTACATCTGAAGTTGAGGGATTTCAATTGTCCTCTTCATGCAAGAAATCAATATCTGAATTGCAGTTACAAGGTTGCAAAGCAATGCAAAATCATCATAACAAGAAAATAGTCATAAACAAACTAGCTACTTAAAAACTTAGCCCTTCCTGAAAGATCCCTCATAGCTTAACACTGCGACCTAACCCCACTTATCACGTCAATGCCTTTTGCAGGTCATTCAGTGCTTGTGTAATGTAGTAAACACCCCACAATTACAGTCTAGATAAGGGGCAAACCTGTCCATGCAAACTCACTGACAAATGAAGATCTGGCCAACTTGGAGAAAAAAAAAATCAACAAATAATAACATCACAAAAACTTCAAAAGAAAATAATTGACAAGGCTGGTCATGGTAGCTCACATCTGTAATCCCAGCACTTTGGAAGGCTGAGGTGGGTGGATCTCTTGAGGCCAGGAATTTGAGAACAGCCTGGACAACATGGTAAGACCCCCATCTCTACAAAACTTTTTAAACTAGCCAAGCATGGCGTTGTGTGCCTGCAGTCCCACCTACCAGGGAGGCTGAGGTGGGAGGATTGCCTGAGCCCAGGAGGTCAAGGCTGTAGTGAGCCATAATCATGCCACTGCACTTGTTCATTGTTTAATCTAAGAGTTTAGTTTGTAGTTGCTATTATAATCCATATTTTTTGTCAAATAAGACAAAACAATTTATTTTTATAAGTGTTATTTCATTTTTCAAGATAAAGTCTCAATCAATCTTCTTCCCCATCACCCCCGGACAGTAAATAAACTGAAGATTTTGGTTCCTGATAAGTGGCCTTTTCCTGTTACTAAAACTCCTAAAACAATGAGCATATTTTTAAAATGTGGATAAAACTCAGTGTCTGCTCCAAAAGAGACCATCTTTTCCTTCCTCCCCCAAGATTCAACAGGCCTGTCTTTTCCCGTTCCCCTCTTCTGCAGAAAGTGGAGGAGCTTCATCTTTTGGATATACAAGATTCTTCTCAAGTTTATTTTCCTTGCAAAATAAGTCAGACCTAAGTGGGAGCCTTAATAGAATTTTGTCAGGAGATGTTAGGTTATCAGGACCTTAAAGATTGATCCAGAAGAGGTCTGAAAGGTCCGTATCACCCAGAATGACTTTCACTAACAGAGATCAACATTACCACCCTGTCGGAGGATCCTCACTGATCCTAAACTATGCTGGTTCTGAAGTGCTAAATAATTGCTTTTTCGAGACGGAGTCTCGCACTGTCACCCAGACTGGAATGCAGTGGAGCGACCTCGGCTCAATGCAGGCTCCGCCTCCCGGGTTCACGCCATTCTCCTGCCTCAGCCTCCCCAGCAGCTGGGACTACAGGCGCCCGCCACAACGCCCGGCTAATTTTTTCTATTTTTAGTAGAGACGAGGTTTCACCGTGTTAGCTAGGATGGTCTCAATCTCCTGACCTCATGATCCACCCGCCTCGGCCTCCCAAAGTGCTGGGATTACAGGCGCGAGCCACCGCACCCGGCCGTCACTAGCTTTTAAGAAAAGCACTCATAAAATGGCCGCAGGTATAAGTATTTTGTCTTTTCCCTTACTGAAAAGCAACTGTTCTTTAGTTACCTAAAAGTCAAGATAAATCAGAGACCAGCTAGAATGATAAATTAAGCATGTCAATCGAAAAATTATGCTTAAAATTATATCTAATTTGGATTTGTTTTCCTCAAGATTTGCAATCAATAAATACATTGAATATCCACTGAAGTACTTAGAATTCCAGATTTTTTAAAAGACAGAATTCATATCTATAATGAATCTGCAGTCAAGATCTTTCTCAGTTATATGAATGTGTGCATATACAGCTAAACATTTTTTCTCTGTTGAACATATTATTTAATATATAATATAGATGCCACAGTTATAGAAATTCACCTTCTTTGACCCTGGCCCTAGTAGGTCCAATGTTATGGCAATATCAGATGGGCAATCAGTACAAGGAGTGGAAATTCTTTTATGTGATGCTTCCTTGGATCATGATAGCATTATTTCATCTTCCTTTTTCCTAACTCTCACCTCAAATATTTTTCCAAAATCTCTTATGTTTGACTTTTACAAAACAGCCCCAAAACTGATTTTATTTTTGCTTCTAGCAACAGTTGACAGTTCTCTCTGCATTTCTAATTTTGCATTAGAGCCCCTCTAAGTGCAAATTTTGTGCCAATATCTATAAAAAGCACATGGCAAAAATAGATGAGTATTTCCCTTAATGAGACTTTTAAATCGATTCTGACTCTGTGAATGGTATTTTAAAATCTGAAATGGGCAGAGAGGAAAACACGAAGTATTTTAACATGTGAAAAGGCCAGTGAGTCTGGACGTGCCTGGATACTTACTCTCTCACACAGCTCTTCAAATGTGCAGTCGGCAACGGTTCCACAGGCTTTATTCAGGCGCAGCTCTCTGCCTTGCACTTTTAGAATCCTTGGTCTAGTTACTATGGGAACATGAACAAAGACTCAATCTTGTCTGGATAATTACTATAAAATTCATCTCTTACAGATAGGAAATGCATAGCTTGATGAATAATAGCACATGATTCAACACATAAATTAGACAAAATGCTGATACAATGACTGCCACTTGAGCGTGGCATCAACCCATATACAGCAATGGAACTTATTAATTGGTCAGTGGAGATTGGGCATTGTGTTCTAAATGTATTCTCTTTCAAGAGAAATTAACTTACGTACAATCATTTTGTTTCTGAGCCAGCTCATCAAACAACTTATCCATGACAGCCTCCACATCAGCTTCACTTGTGCTACAGTGAAAAGAATAATAGAATATGAAATTAATAACACTTGAAGCCAACATCAAACAGCTGCCTGAGACTGCTTAGCTTTTTGCCCATAAAAAAAAAGAACAGGATGTTATGCTCTAAATACAAACATTAGATTTAGAATACACTTAAAAGCAGAGAATATTAACTCTCAGGTAGATGATTCTGCCTTATTTGCATACACTGAAAGACTTCTGTGCTTCTAGCTGTTTCCAGTAATGAGACGATACAGGCAGAGTAAATCCATTAATACCATGTGTACACAATGAGAAGAAAGCTTCTGGCTCTCTCTTGCATGCAAAACAAGAGCAAATAGACAAGGCAGTCAAGCATCCAGCAAAGTATCCTTTGAAATCTCTACTGAGAGGGTACATGTGAAATTAAATATTGAAGCTGCATTTTAAAAAAATCAAGTCAAGCCACTGACTGAGAGGATCAAACCTCCAGAATTAAATTACTACCTTCGAAATGCCAACTTGATCTGCACATCAATAACTTTGTCAGACTTCTAGTATAAGGACAATTATAGACCACACAGTTTCTCTCAAAAGTCTCCTTGTTGGAAATTGAAGAAAACTCTCTCCTTCTGTGATGCCCACTGTTACAGCTACTATGAAGTTAGTCTCATCACAGAATCTTTTGTATTCTAATTAGAAATCACCATATGGTTTAGGGAACTCATATATAAATGAGATGATGCTATGGCCTTTTTCCTCTCGCCTTTTTTTTTTAAGAGGGGTGGTAAATTAACAGTCAATAAAATAACTGGCAGAAGAAATAAACTGTTAAAAAGAGCTTCAAGTAAAAATGTAAGTTTACTTCAACTCCACATACAAACTTTTACAGGTTGACCTGCCAATATGCTTAATTTTGACACACAGATCACTCTTACGTAGTAGTGGAAGCAATTAAACTAAATTCTGGACATCCATCTTACTAAAGTCTTATTGAAAATTAGTGTGACAGGTTATCTTTTATTTAGATTAAGCTTAAACTAAACAAATTCTCCCTTGAGATAATTATCAGGTGGTAGGCATTTAATACACAAGCACCCAATTCTTCAACTGTTCTAGAGCAAATGTCTTTAAAATGCAACAAAGCATATAGTTATTATGAAAAGTTTGAAATTGTCACATTCCAAGTAATAACCACTCCACCTCAAAGGACATTAAAAACATCATTTGCAATGGTCAACTTTGCAGGAGAAATGCTATTTGACTTCCATGAGGTCTAGTGTCATATTCAAATAGAGTGGTATTAAAATAATGAAATGACACTATAGAAAGTAATTTTAGAGACAGAAACAATCTTAAAGGAAAAAGAAATCACACAAACCAATGTAAATGTCAATGGTCATGCCAAGCACATGTCTGTTTAGACATTATTCTTGAGAATTCATTTGGAACCAACACCACCTTTGGTGTATACAAGCAAAAAAAGAAAAAAAAGAGCTTAAAAGTAAGCTACTTTTGAGCCCATATAGCCAAGACAATC
This sequence comes from Homo sapiens, assembly GCF_000001405.40. Lineage (NCBI taxonomy): Eukaryota > Metazoa > Chordata > Mammalia > Primates > Hominidae > Homo > Homo sapiens. The sequence goes on along the minus strand of NC_000006.12, from coordinate 108,475,352 downwards.
TTAAGCAAAAAGAACAAAGCTGGAGGCATCACGCTAGCAAACTTCAAACTATACTGCAAGGCTACAGTAACCAAAACAGCCTGGTACTGGTACCAATACAGACACATAGACCAATGGAACAGAACAGAGATCTCAGAAATAAGACCACACATCTACAACCATCTGATCTTTAAGAAACCTGACAAAAACAAGCAATGGGGAAAGGATTTCCTGTTTAATAAATGGTGCTGGGAAAACTGGCTAGCCATATGCAGAAAACCAAAACTGGACCCCTTCCTTATGCCTTATATAAAAATTAACTCAAGATGGATTAAAGGCTTAAATGTAAAACCCAAAACCATAAAAACCCTAGAAGAAAATCTAGGCAATATCATTCAGGACATAGGCATGGGCAAAGATTTTATGATGAAATCACCAAAAGCAATTGCAATGAAGGCAAAAATTGACAAATGGGATCTAATTAAACTAAAGAGCTTCTGCACAGCAAAAGAAACTATCATCAGAGCGAAGAAACAACCTACAGAATAGGAGAAAGTTTTGTAATCTACCCATCTGACAAAGGTTTAATATCCAGAATCTACAAGGAACTTAAACAAATTTACAAGAAAAAAGAAAACAAACAACCCCATCAAAAAGTGAGCAAAGGACATGAACAGACACTTCTTGAAAGAAGACATTCATGCGGCCAACAGACATATGAAAGAAGGCTCAACACCACTGGTCATTAGGGAAATGCAAATCAAAACCACAATGAGATAACATCTCATACCAGTTAGAATGGCGATTATTAAAAAGTCAAGAAACAACAGATGCTGGTAAGGCTGTGGAGAAATAAGAATGCTTTTACATTGTTGGTGGGAATGTAAATTAGCTCAACCATTGTGGAAGACAGTATGGTGATTCCTCAAGGATCTAGAACCAGAAATACCATTTGACCCAGCAATCCCATTAGTGGATATATACCCAAAGGAATATAAATCATTCTATTATAAAGATAAATGCACACATATATTTGTTGCAGCACTATTCACAACAGCAAAGACAGGGAATCAACCCCAATGCCTATCAATGATGGACTGGATAAAGAAAATGTGTACACATAGACTATATGGAATACTCTGCAGCCAGAAAAGGAAGCAGATCACGTCCTTTGCAGGCACATGGATGGAGCTGGAAGCCATTATCCTCAGCAAACTAACACAGGAACAGAAAACCAAACACTACATGTTCTCGCTTCTAAAGTGGAAGCTGAACAATGAGAACACATGGACACATGGAGGGGAACAACACACACCAGAGCCTGTCAGGAGCCGGGGGGAGAGGGAGGAAGAGCATCAGGATAAATAGCTAATGCATGTGGGGCTTAATATCTAGGTGATGGGTTGATCGGTGCAGCAAACAACATGGCACACATTTACCTATGTAACAAATCTGCACATCCTACACATGTATCCCCAAACTTAAAATAAAATATATATTTTTAAAAAGTGAGCTGGCCGGGCATAGTGGCTCACGCCTGTAATCCTGGCACTTTGGAAGGCTGAGGTGGGCGAATCATCTGAGGTCAGGAGTTCGAGACCAGCCTGGCTAACATGGTGAAACCCCGTCTCTACTAAAAATACAAAAAATTAGCTGGGTGTGGTGGCATGCGCCTGCAATCCCAGCTACTCGGAAGGCTGAGGCAGGAGAATCGCTTGAACCCGGGAGGCGCAGGTTGCAGTGAGCCAAGATTGTGCCATTGCACTCCAGCTTGGGCAACAAGAGCAAAACTCTGTCTCAAAAAATAAAAAAAATTTTAAAAAAGTGAGCTGCTTTTTAAGGAACATAGCGAAAAGAGAGCAACACCACCCACTCAGTATGGTCTGCTGTCATTTAGAAAGTTAATCTTTCCTTAGGACAGGCACATTACTCAACATAGGAGTAAAACTGAATTCTGAAAAACAACCAAGAAAGAAGACAGGCCTCCAAAAGCATATTTGGTGAATAAATAATTCCTTGCAATCTTCCTCAGTGGTGATTTCTTTATTACTCTATGGTCTCGTATATACTATATTATCAAAATGTGACTCACTAAACTTCAATCAGGTCACCTCTCCTAAGTCACCTGTGAAATTACAATACTTGATTTTCTATATAGTGAAATTACATGTGAAATATCACAAAATTATTTTTGTTATAACAGTGTCTTATAAGAATTCTATTATAATCACTCAGAAGTTACAAAATGCAAAATAAAAAATTTTATTGGTGTAATCCAGGCGTGGGACGCATGCCTAGAATCCTGGCACTTTGGGAAGCCGAGGTGGTCAGATTACTTGAGGCCAGGAGTTGGAGACCAGCCTGGCCAACACAGCAAAACTTTATCTCTACAAAAAATACAAAAATTAGCCGGCATGGTGGTGCGTGCCTGTGATCCCAGCTACTCAGGAGGCTGAGGCATGAGAATCCTTGAACCTGGGAGGTGGAGGATGCAGTGACCCAAGATCATGCCACTGGACTCCAGCCTGGGCTACAGAGGGAGACCATGACTCAAAAAAAAAAAGAAAAGAAAAGAAAAGAAAAAGAAAGGAGGGAGGGAGGAAGGAAGGAAGGGAGGGAGGGAGAGAGATTGTGCCACTGCCCTCCAGCCTGGGCGACGGAGCGAGATTCCATCTCAAAAAAAAAAAAAAAAGATAGCTCGGTGAACAAGCAGCATATGTAAAATCATTCTGTTTTTAACAAGTAATAACAAATGCAAAGTAAAATAATAAGATGCCATTCTTCTATCCAAATTGGCAGAGAGAAGGAAAAAGATAAACTATCCTAAGCAAATGGACATTCGTTTAAAAAAATATTTTAAACTTTTTTGTTGTATATATTAAGGTGTACTACATGATGTTTTGATATATATAGTGAAATTATCACTACAGCCAATCAAATTGACATATCCATCATCTCAGTTACCTTTTGTGTGTGAGGGGTTGGGGGCGGTAAGAGCACCTAAAATCTATTCTTTTAGCAAATTTCCAGTATACAATACACTATTTTCAACTATAGTCCTCATGCTGTATATTTGATCTTTAGACTTAGTCATCCTTTGTAATTGCAACTTGCTATCTTTTGACCTACCTCTCCTCATCCCTTCCCCTTCTCCTCACTCAACCCCCATCCCTGGTAATGACTGCTCTATTCTATTTCTACTTATTTGATTTCTCTGTTTCTAAGTATTTGACTTTTTTAGAAGATCCCATATCCAAGTGAGATCTTGTAGTATCTTTCTGTCTGTATCTAGCTTATTTTACTTAATATAATGTCCTCCAGTTTTATCCATGTTGTTGCAAATTGCAGGATCTCCTTTTTTAAGGTTGAATAATATTCCATTGTGTATATAGACCACAATTTATCCATTTATCCATCAATGGACACTGCGTCCTTAGATACTTTTTAACATAATGCTTTCCCAGTATGCTCTGTTCTGTATAATGACTCCAGAGGAACTTGGGAATATGAAAAGAGAAGAGTAAGCAAGTTTCGGAATGAAGCAAGAAGGCAAGATGAAAACATGGTCCCATAATTATATTTCTTGTCGAAGTATCCTCTGGTGTAAATAGGAGGCAGCATGTTTTCAAATTTTTAATAAGAACACGATGGATTTGGGAGGCCGAGGCGGGCGGATCAAGAGGTCAGGAGTTCAAGACCAACCTGGCCAACATAGTGAAACCCCATCTCTACTAAAAATACCAAAACTTAACAGGGCATGGTGGCGGGACCTGTAATCCCAGCTACTCGGAAGGCTGAGGCAGGAGAATCACTTGAACCTGGGAGGGGGAGGTTGTAGTGAGTCAAGATCATGCCACTGCACTCCAGCCTGGGCAACAGTGTCAAAAAAAAAAAAAAAAAAAAAAGAAGAAGAACACGATAGAACATCAATTTAAATGAAACATTCTGAATTTCATTTCTATGGCCCAATACTATCTTAGGAGTGATGGGAGATCCAAGAGTATTGATAAAAACATATTTGCATCAGAGGTTTAGTCCAAGAAAAATGATCAGGTCCAGTCCTGGGGCCAGTGGTATTTAGTTCAGTCTTATACGGTGTCTCTGCCTTCGTCATAGTTATGAAGGTTGAGAATTTTATGTTCTCATTAATTATTTCCAGAGGTTTCAAATCTCACCCTCAAGAAAGATTCACTCACATTCACTACATTCCACTTAGTCACCTTTTAGGAAGATGATCAATTGAGAAGAGTTGAAACGATTCTGTCAGCATGCCCTCACATTTCTCCCTCCTCATGGTCGACCAAGATGCTGGTCGACCAAGATTCTTGTTTAATAGTTTATTACAAAGGATATCTTAAAGAAAATAAATACACAGCCAAATGAAGAGATACATACAATGAGCTCTGCAAGGGTCCTTAGCACAGGAGTATCTGTCCCCTTGGAGCTGGGCTGTGCCACCCTCCTAACATGTGAATGAGTTCTTGTTCATGTTCCTGTCGATCTCCTCCTGTTCAGTTATCTCAAACAACACTCTTATGTACAGCTGGGAGGAGTACAAAAATAGTACCAGATTTCAGGCAAACAGATAATATTTAATGAAAGTACTAAAAATGTGTATGTTTTTATGAAATATGAAACTCATAGGAATTTTACCTATGGACATAATAATGGTTAACTACTACAAGGGTGATCACTGTAATACTGTTCCTAGCATCACAAAAGTGAAAAAGAAATGTCCCACAATGGGGAATTTGGTTAAGTACATTTGGATACACTTATACAATGGAAGAGTAAGCAGTTCTGTAAGTGTAATATTTCCCTCTTGTCCTAGAATTACAATTAAGGCACAAAGTTGATGGTTAGAGTGTTAAGTATCCCCCTACTTTCTAAACAGAACTGCCAATGAGCCACCTAGTGCCAACAGCCACTAGGTCTATATAAGCCCTCATGGTTATATAAGCAGTGCCACTTCTATTGCCACCCCTCCTCCACCATCTCCTGTTATACCCCACAACACAGTGTCTTTATAAGGAGGGGGAAATGGAACAACAGTCACTAGCTTTTGGGTATAGTATGTGTGATAAGAGCCTTTCCCTGCCTTCCCCTTGGGAAAGAAGAGGATGACGACTTATCCTCCCCAAAGGCAAGTGATGAGGGAAGTGTTCTCTAAGAGAATGACTTGGAAACATTAGGGAGCCTAGAAGAAGGAATGACTGGCATTGCTCTCCTTACTTGGATGAGCAGAACCTTAATTGATGGGAAATCAGAAGGTGAGAGGTGGAATACAGAGCCAAAATGAAGCAGACCAGTTCTCACCAAAGAACTCTCCAAAGGCTTGGCACTAGCAGATACAGCTGAATGTACAGGTGAGGAGTTAGGCTGCAAACGGGTATTTGTTTGAAAATAAGATAAAGACAGTTCCTTAGATTCTCTCCTTCCACTTGGATAGCCAGATTCCTGCCCTCCTCCACTCCAGCAGAAACTGGCAAGTCTGGAATTCTAATTAAGGGAAAAAAGTCAGGCTGGCAGGACCAGAGGAAAGCAAAAAGAGAAAGCAGATAAGTCTGCCTTTCTTGATGGTCCAGGACACATACTCCTCCTGTGCAAATAACTCAAAATCCTCCTATGCCCAGCTATCACCAGCCACTCAGTTGATAGAAAAATGCAAGTTAGTTCACTGCAACCTTGGCATTATCACTGCACAAAGCCCTCTTCAGCACACAGCACAAGTACCAGCCTATAAAATCCCCAGCAAGCCTCTGTCTCCTTGCAGCCACCTTCTTTCTTGCTGACCTGCCTGTTGCACCCTTACAACGTATTTTCATACTTTCTCTAATACATTTGTCTTTCTTTACCCACAACTGTCTTCTTATCACTCACACAACCAGCCAGACAGTCATTACCCACAACAGTAAGTTTAGCAGCTGGGGTAGATTTAACAATGAAGAAAAAGGGAGAGATACCATACTGAAAGCCTACATTAAAATTTTCTTTTCTTTTTTTTTAATGTCCCTTGAGTTGTATAAAATCCTACATATTAAATAGTGTAACTAACAATCTGTACCTTTTCAGCATCCAGAACCCTACCAGCAAAACTTCTATCCCAGGAATTAGACAGAAAGATTTACCTTTGGAGGAAACTGAATAGCCAAAAGAAAGACTTACAGATATTCACATTTGGAGATCTCCAGTGAAAAACATGACCAGCCACCTTATCACCCTCCAGTGAAGCCCACCAATCAATAAAACTCTGCTTATGCACTCAGAACTTCTGATTAGCTTTTTAATGCCTTATTCTTACATGTGAATGGACAACCAAGTATTTCCAAAGGTAAAAGACAAAGACCCAAAATAAAGACATTTTTAAAAGGACCCTGGAGGAAGCAAAGAAAAAAATAAGAGAGCAGAAAGGGAAGAACACACTATAATATGCTTGGAGAGAATAAGATATTGCACCCACAAGACAAAGAAGAATGCTGCAAACCAAAAGAACAACAAAGGCATAAGGAAGAGCTCTAAATAGGACTGCTAGATCCAAAATGCAGGAAAAGGATTGAAGGAAAAAGTTGAGGTCATATCAGAAAATAGAACAAAAAGACCAAAAAAAAAAAAAAGGAAAATAGAAGAGAAAACAAAAGAACATTAGAAGATCAATTCACAAGATTCAGTTCAATTCACAAAGTTCAGGAGGAGTTCCGGAGAATATGAGGTGGGGTGGAGGGGTGGGGAGAAGAAAAGAATGAGAATAAAATTGACTTTCCTAGAACTGCAGGACATGACTTTCTAAAGCTGACAGGGTTCAATGAATACCCAGCACAAAGAATGGAAAAAAGCTCCATTCCAAGGCATATCCTTATGCAATTTCAGGAAACCAGGAACAAAGAGACTACTCTAAAAACTTCAAGAGGAAAAAACAGGTCAAATATAAAAAGTCAAGAAACAGATTCACATCCAACTTTGTAACAGCAATAATGGAAGCTTGAAGATAATGGTATAGTGTCTAAAATATTCTAAGAGAATATTATTGTGTGATAACCGTGATCATTCAAACTATTAATCAAGTAAAACAAATACATTTTTAGGACATGTGAGTTTTCAAAATATATATTTCCCATGTACCCTTCTCAGGATGATACTCAAGGGTGTGTTCTATTTAGAACAAGGAGAAGAGTTCTGCTTCTAATAGGACCAAGTTGGCTCTGCTTCAACCAACCCTCCCTGTTGATAACAACTATATGTAAACTCTGGAAAAATATAAAAACAGGCATCTGAAGGCATGGGACAGTGGACAGAAGTGAACAGATTCTGGTGGGGTGCTGACACTTGGGAGAAGGGATAAATATGGGGTTAGTTATCCAGTCTTACAGCTTTCAGACTGAAGACAGTGCAGTCAGTACTGCTCAGGTCAACTAAAACTCCAGTAGAAAACCTGCAGTCTTCTGACATGAATAACCAGAGGAAAGCTGCAAGTTGGGGAATCCCAGAAAACATGTTCCCAAATTCCCAATAGATACTAATCTTAAAAAATATCCTGAAACCATAAGTTATTCTGTATTTATTACATTTTATGTGTTTTCAAACAATAATGCATGCCCATAATAATAGTGAATCATTTCTCTACCATAGGGTTATATTCAGTAGTTTTCTGTAAAATAACAGTATAATAATAAATGCATGGCTTATCACTATTATAAATCAATGTACTGTGACAAGATTATATGTTGCAATAATATGTAAAAGTGATCTCTACCTGATACAGACATGTAAAGTGGAAAACATAAGACCATTAACACAAAATAAATGCTAAGTAAAAATTACTTTAAAATGTAAGTACCCAGTGGCTCACACCTGTAATCCCAGCACTTTGGGAGGCTGAGGTGGGTGGATCACCTGAGGTCAGGAGTTTGAGACCAGCCTAGCTAATATGGCGAAACTCCATCTCTACTAAAAATATTAAAAAACTAGCCAGGTGTGGTGGCGGGGGCCTGTAATCCCAGCTACTTGGCAGGCTGAGGCAGAATCATTTGAACCCGGAAAGCAGGAAGTTGCAGTGAGCCAAGATCGTGCCATTGCACTGCAGCTTTGGCAATAAGAGCGAAACTCCACCTCAAAAAAAAAAAAAAAGTAAGTACCTCAAATATTTAATATGTAAAAGTTATTATTTTTAAAATTAAAAACTTCTGAAACACAATGCATTAATTACCCTGACAGTCCTGATCTTTGCTGGTTGACAAATATTCCAGACACAGGAAAATTCTTTGATTTTGCACTGACATTGGTCAAATCTCTAAGAGTGCATCCTAAATCAATTTCAAGCTGGGCATAAGTACATATTGCTTCATATAAGCTCATTTCCCTTATTCACATGTATGTGACTTCTCTCACTCAATATTATGTTTGTGAGATTCATCTATATTGATGTGTGTAGAAGTAGTTTGTTTATTTTTGTCACTGTATTGTATTGCATAAAAATATCACAATTTATTATCATTTTACCGGTGATGGGTGCATTTGTCTGCTAGGGCTCCCATAACAAAATACCACAGACTGGGTGGCTTAAACAACATATATATATATAGTTTAAAATATATATATTTTTTAAAATATATATATTTTAACAAATATATTTTAAAAAATATATATATATAATTTTTTTTTCTCACACAGTTCTGGAGGCTAGAGGCCAAGATCAAGGTGCTGCCAGGATCGATTTTTGGTGAGGGCTCTCTTTCTGGCTTGCAGACGGCCGCCTTCACTATGTCCTCATGTGGCCTTTCTTTCCTCTGTGTGCACGCACTCCTGGGGTCTCTGCCTTTTCTTATGAGAACACCAGTCCTATTGGATTAAGGCCCTATCCTTATGACTTCAGTTAATCTTAGGTACCTCCTTAAAGGCCCTATCTCCAAATATAGTTCCACTGGGGTAAGGGCTTCAACCTGTGAATTTTGGGGGACACAATTCAGTCCACAACAATGAGCATTTGTGTAGTTCACATTTTGGGGATACTGTGAATAGTGCTACCATGAACATTCTAGTACATTCCTTTTGGTAAACTCATATATACATATCTGTTGGGCATATGGCTAGAATTGCTGCATATGGGGTATACCTATGTTCAGTGTAGGAGATGTTGCCAGTTTTCCAATTGGTTGTAGCAATTTATACTCCCACCAGTGATACAAAAAAGAGTTCCATTTTCTCCACATCCTTGCCAATACTTGGCATTTTCCATCTCTTCCATTTTAGTGATTATGGTGGATAAATTATAAATGACTTCAATATAAGTTGCCTCAAGTTTATTTTTTAACAAGGATTGGGCATAAAAACACAAATGTAATTTAATTTAACAAAAGACTTAATCCATAGTGTAGTGACTCATGCCTATAGTCTCAGCTACTAGGGAGGCTGAGTCAAGAGGATCACTTGAGCCCAGGAGTTTGAGGCCAGCCTGGGCAACATAGTGACACTTTAAAAAAGTGTCACTATGTTTTAAAGTGTTAAACATAACTCTTTAAAAAAGTTAAATTAAATTAAAAGAACTAATTAAAAATTAAAAATAAACAAAATAGTTAATCTAGAAACATTTTCTCAATTGTCATGATACACATAAAATTTTAAAACCCGTGCTTCAAGATATCTTCACTTTTTAAAGTAGGAAAATTTAAGAACACAACTTTATTGTAAAAACTTTAGCAGCAGCAGCAGCAGCAGCAGCAGTGACTCTATGACTCTAGGGCCCTCTTGTTAGTTCTGTAGTGAAACCATTTAAAAAGATAGTAACATTGCCTTACACTAAAAATCTCTATTCAGAAATATATCCATGCTTGTGAGGCTCTAAAGAAGGACCAGGATTATCTCATTTTTAAAAATCTGGTATTTGGGACATAAGACCTAAGGTCAGCAACAAGCCTATATGAAAAACAAATGTACAAAAAATATGCAAGGATATAGATTATATAAAAATACAAACAGTGATTAAAATTAAACTCAAACTGTAAACATAATTGAAAGATATTCCAGCCTAACCAGTAAAATTTGAGGAAGTAGAGACATCTGGTAGTCAACAGTAGTTGTATGGAAAGACCACAGCATGAAGACGGCACTAAATTTAACATGATTTTCTTTTTCAGTGTAAATAAGGAGCTAAATTTAGAGTTTTCTTTTGGGGCCACAAGAATATAATGTCACATAGCATAGAAGAAAATATCCCGTTCAGCTTTGTATAATTCCATTTTAACCACAAAGAAGAGTATCTTGACTAATAGTGACCTGGGTAGCATAAAAATGATCAGGTGGAAATAAATAAATTAAGTTCAGTTGCTATAAATCATCTCCTCTTCCTTCTCCTAAGGAGAGACAGACACTGAGTAAGGATAAAGAATTTAAGTGACTTCCTTTCATTCCTGTGAAACAGCTCCATTCTGAGTAATTGCCCCATCAGTGGGATGCTACTATAAAGTAGGCCTTTGTGCAGACAATGCAAACAAGAAAGTCTACCCACTGATAATCAAACGTTGATCACAGTAAAGAAACTGAAGTCATATCTGATGAAGAAGCAGAGTCACTCTTTTCAAGTGTTTTTTTTGTTTGTTTTTTGTTTTTTGAGGGGAGGGGGTTGGGAGGTAGGGTTGAGGAGCAAAGCTCAACAGAAGATGGGCTCTTTTTTCTTTTGTTGTGCAATGCCCTGATAAAACCCATCCATTTCATTGCTTCTGTCACCTTTTGTTAAACTCAGAAACTGCAGCGGAGGGGCAGGTTTCTATTTTCTATTGAGTAGTACCACTGTGTCTTTAAGTCAGAAAAACCCTGGAATCGACCACTGTTCAGTTGCCAGGAAATTTGGCATCGACTCCTACAGGAATCCTGTGAGTACAGTACCCTGGATGAAAAGCCTGAGTGCTTTGCGAGTATGAGAATCATGATTTATTTTTCCATATTAAATTAGTGAACAGAGAGGAAAGTAATCAAGTCATTTCCATTTTGAGAAAATTTCTACAGCTAAAATCAGGCATTCAACATAAAACTTAGACTCTCAAAGAAACAGAACATGTCAAAAAAGACCTTATTATTGCTGGATCATTTGAAATTCTCAACAAAAATTCCAAAACACTTGGGGGTTTCTGGAAGAGGGTCACGCATGAATTTAAATGGAAATTAATTTCTTCAAGAACCTCCTACTTCATTAGGATTGACTCAAGGGAACAGAATGCTACCCACACTTTGCTTCTTTATCCCTTTTCAAAAATCAACAGCTTGTTAAGGTATCAACAAGTAGAATAGGGTTGGCTTTCCTTAGTCCCTCTCTCTCCATGTTCTCTATTCCAGAGAGCCAAAGTTGATTCGACGCAGAAATTTCCCCTTCCTCTTAGAGTTCTTTGCCAAACTTCCCTGGCAGTGAGCCTTCTCACTCTACTGATTGCCTGCGCATTCATGCTGTACAGCTCTTTGTCCTTATACCAAACATAATCTGGGGCTGGAGGCAGGTCTAAAATTAAGTTGGTTTATACTTGCCTTAATATAAAACAGACTTGGTTGCATTTCAAATCCTGTAGGTTTGTTTTACATAACGAAATCAGTTGTTAGAATGGATTTTGTCTGAGTATTTATCTTCTCAATCACTCAAAGGCTTAACTGACTGTTCAGAGATCCATTTCAGTCTCTAAATTTCCCACCCTTCTCAATCACCTGGAGAGTAACTTACCTGGTTCCATTAATCTTGACCTGTACATTATGCAGAAAGTGGTATCTAGCACCCTTAGCTCTCAAATTCCAGACCTTCACCTCCTCTTCTCAGCCACAAACTCCCATATAAAATTTCTATCAAATCTATATATTGTATTTTTCCCCAAATAAATCAGTACCATGACATCTAGAATTGCAACTTGGTAGATATAAAAATACTTCTTTTTAAAATGGAATTTCAGAAAGGATATAATGATTGAAGATTTCAAAAAAAAAAAAAAAGGAGGGAGAAGAAGTTGGAGAGTAAAAAGCTCTAACCTCTCTTCAGGAGAAAAAGATGGTCACATCCACTTGGGAAAGAGAGGCCAGAGGCCAGGGATTTTTTTTTTTTTTTTTTTTTTTTTTGACAGAGTCTCACTCTGTCACCCAGGCTGGAGTGCAGTGGCGTGATCTCAGTTCACTGTAACCTCTGCCTTGCAGGTTCAGGCAATTCTCCTGCCTCAGCCTCCTGAGTAGCTGAGATTACAGGCATGCACCACCATACCTGGCTAATTTTCGTATTTTTAGTAGAGATGGGGTTTCACCATGTTGGCCAAGCTATCTTGAACTCCTGACCTCAATTGATCCACCCAGTCTCAGCCTCCCACAGTGCTGGATTACAGGCGTGAGTCACTGCACCCGGCTGAGGCCAGGGAGTTTTAATAGCTAAAAATGAACACAGCAAATAACTAAAGACCTAGGGTTTTTGCCAGATCAGCTTTTCTTATGCAGCAGATTGATCTTCAGTTATAACTGTGATCTATTTGGAGATGAAATAATGCAATGAAAATTCTAAGGAAATCTAAATACCCTCTTCCGTATTTTTATACGTGTAAGAATACATATTATCTACTAATATACACATTATATATATACACAATTATTATTTACACTCTACTAGATGACTGTGGCCATACAATTGGATATTTTGTCCATGTGTTTAGCTGGATTTAGTGGGCCAGCTCTATTCTGGTTCTCCTGCTGGAAAACAAACACTATTCAATAAAGGAATAGGAGATAAAAGGCATACTAAACTGACTGGTGGAACCTGGTACTGAAGTCTATATTAGATGGACTTCTTTTGTTGCTGTACCACTTTATAGGTGCTGTTTCAAATAGTGAAATTAATTTCTAGTTCAGTAGTTTTTGAGTTAATGCAAGATTAATTAATAAAGATTTAGAAGGACATCTAAATTATACCAAATGTACAATTTTGTGATTCGGGAGTGTTTTTTTTTGTTTGTTTTTTGAGACAAGGTCTCACTCTGTCACCCAGGCTGGAGTGCAGTGGCACAATCATGGCTCACAACATCCTCGACCTCCTGGGTTCAAGCGATTCTCCCATCTCAGCCTCTCAAGCAGCTGGGACCACAGGCACACAACACCAAGCCCAGTTAGCTTTTTTTTAACCTTTGTAGACATGAGGTCTCTACATGTTGCCCAGGTTGGTCTCAAATTCCTGGGCTCAAGCAATCCACCCATCTCAGCCTCTCAAAGTGCTGGAATTATAGGCATGAGCCACTGCACCCAGCCTTTTGTGATTTTTTTTTCTTTTTTTGAGACGGAGTCTTGCTCTGTCGCCCAGGCTAGAGTGCAGTGGTACAATCTCGGCTCACTGCAAGCTCCACCTCCCAGGTTCACGCCATTCTCCTGCCTCACCCTCCCGAGTAGCTGGGACTACAGGCTCCTGCCACCACATCTGGCTAATTTTTCTGTACTTTTAGTAGAGACAGGGTTTCAACGTGTTAGCCAGGATGGTCTTGATCTCCTGCCCTCGTGATCCGCCCACCTCGGCCTCCCAAAGTGCTGGGATTACATGTGTGAGCCACCGTGCACTGCCAGCCTTTTGTGATTTTCAATAGACATAAAACAATTTTTTAAAACAGTCTACTTGGGCTGGGCACAGTGGCTCATGCCTGTAATCCCAGCAATTTGGGAGGCTAAGGCAGGTGGATTGCTTGAGGCCAAGAATTTGAGACCAGCCTGGGCAACACAGTAAAAACCAATCTCTACCAAAATAAATACAAAAATTAGCCAGGCATAGTGGCACGTGCCTGTAGTCCCAGCTACTCAATAGGCTGAGGCGGGAAAATGGCTTGAGTCTAGGACGAGGCTGCAGTGAGCTGAGATGGCACCACTGCACTCCAGCCTGGGCTACTACTGAGCCAGACCTGGTCTCAAAAACAAACAAACAAGAAGAAACAGCCTACTGGATCATGTCCTATAAAATACAAAACAAAAAGTTGTTGTTTTGTAGTTGTTTATAATATACAGTTATAAGTGTACAACAGGGCTTTACTCATTCATAAAATATCAACAGGAGTTCTTATGACAAAGATACTACCGTGCATCTACTTTTGAGAACCAACTATATTTCCCCACCACAGAGCCCTTCCCCCTCCCAGGTGTTCTTTGAGCACAGATTCATTACCATTACTGATCAGCTACTTATCAAAAACATATGGCAACACACAATGCTTTGATTTGAATCTGAGACATCTCAGTTTGAATACTTTGTATTTCTCATAGAAATAAATAGTTCTTCACTAAGAAAGTAACAAAAATACAATGAAAAAAATTATTCAAAAAATTAAAATGTTACTAAGAAGTCAGATTTAGCCCCAGCTACATGAGAGGCTGAGACAGGAGGACTTCTTTTTGTTGTTGTCATTGTTGTTGTTGTTGTTGTCATTGTTGAGACGGAGTCTCGCTCTGTCGCCCAGGCTGGAGTGCAGTGGCGCCATCTCAGCTCACTGCAAGCTCCGCCTTCCAGGTTCACGCAATTCTCCTGCCTCATCCTCTTGAGTAGCTGGGACTACAAGCACCCGCCACCATGCCCAGCTAATTTTTTGTATTTTTAGTAGAGACAGGGTTTCACCGTGTTAGCCAGGATGGTCTCAATCTCCTGACCTCATGATCCTCCCGCCTCGGCCTCCCAAAGTGCTGGGATTACAGGCGTGAGCCACCACGCCTGGCCAGGACTTCTTGAGCCCAGGAGTTTGAGACTAGCCTTGGCAACATAGTGAGACCTTGTCTCAAAAAATCAAAAAACAGAAAACACTTAATGTAAGAGAAAGCAGTAAAGGAAGAACAGATGAGGGGAAATGAACAAGAAACATAAAGAAAACAAAAAGTAAAAAGCAAATGTAAATTTAATTCCATCTATAATAACATAATTTGCAAATGAATTAAACAATTTAATCAAAAAGCAGAGATTGTCACACTGGATAAAAAAAGACCCAACTACATGCTGTCTATAGGAGACAGGTTTTAGATTCAGAGATACAAATAGGTTCCTGATGTTTTTCTATTCTCTATTTCATTAATTTCTACTAATCTTTATTATCTACGTCTCCTTTAAACTAAAGGTTCCCTATCCATCTCTCTCTCTTTTTCTTATTTATTTATTGAAGAAGCAATTGATTTATGTCATTTAAAATTGCATCTTGATAAAGCCATAAAAATAAATTTTAAAAATAAGTATAATACCCTATCACACCTAACAAAGTTAACAATAATTCCTCAATGTCATGAAACATCCTGTAGTATTTGCATTTTTTATTGCGCTGTAGCTTTTTTTTTGTTTTGTCTTTGTTTTCATTCTTATAGTTTGTGTGATTCAGGATCCACATAAGGCCCATGCACTGTAATTTGTTGATATGTTTCTACGTCTCCTTTAAACTAAAGGTTCCCTATCCATCTCTCTCTTTCTTATTTATTTGTTGAAGAAGCAATTGATTTATGTCATTTAAAAAATCTACAGTCTACATTTTGATGGATGTATTCCTGTGATGTTATTGAACATATTCCATTGCCCCTATATTTCCTGTAAATGGATAAAATTCAGGTTTCATTTTGTAGCAATTATTATAGAATTTGTGATCATTAACTAGATCCATTAAATTATGAGTGTTTTACAAAATGGTGATATTCTAATTCTATTATAATTCTCTCAACATTTTTTCAATTGCTACCTAGAAAACTTTTATAAAGAGAAGCTTCCCCTCATCAACTATTATGTTATACTATGGATCAGTTATTTTAAAACAGGCAGGAAAAAATACTTGATTCTTTCCTTTTATTTACCAATTTTTCAGAATAATGGTCTAGACACTTCCACTTCTGGCCATGATGGGAATAAGAGGGCCCAGAGTTACCTATCTGCCTTAAACAACCGAAACAATCTAAAATATATGAAACAATGGTTTGCAGACACTGGATAACAAAAAGCACAGTACAGCGATCCCCAGGGAAAGGGAAACAAATCAGTTCAGCCTCAATTTACTGCCTAGTGAGTTTCCAGACTTCAGGAATAGGGACACAAATACACTCAGCATTTAGGAGGCTGAGAAAATAGAATTCAGCATTTGGGGAGGCTAGCACAGCTAGAATTTGCAAGGTATAATACTGGAAAAAAAGATATAGAGACAGAAGTCCAGTGATCTGCAGAGGGCTTCCCTGAGTCTTTAGTTGAGTACTAAACTGTGTATGCATAAGCAACTACTTGAAACGGGCAGGTGGGAGAGGACCCACTGGAATCACAAAGCATTACCCCTGGAGCTCATACATGGCCAGGAATAGTTCATGTTCCCTCTAGTCAGAGGAAAGTCCTACTAAAGCATAGGGTATCAGGTGGAATTCTCAGAAGGGTATTGCTTCAGGAATAATTAGCCCTAGAATAAAGGCACTCTGGTTCTGCTTTACAAAGCCTAGCCTCAAGAGGATAAAATTGTTTCCAAGTAACTTAACTGTGTCCCAGAACAAAGTCTCAAAGTACTTAAAGGAATACAAAAAACTCCAGTACCCGACAATATAAAATTCACAGTATCTGAAACACAATAAAAAAAAAGCATGAAAGGCAGGAAAATCAGCTCATAAAAAGGACAAAAACTTATCAATAGAAACAGACCCAGAAATGACATAGATGATAGTATTAGTAGACAAAGACATTAAAACTGCAATTATAAATATGCTGCATATACTCAATAAGGTAGAGGAAGGCATGAGTATAAGAACAAAGAAGATATAAAAAAGAAACCCCCGCAGCATGGTGGTGTGTGTCTATAGTCCCAACTACTGAGAGGCTAAGGGGGGAGAATCTCTTGAGTCCAGGAGTTCAAGACCAGCCTGGGCAACATAGCAAGACTTTGCCTTTTAAAAAAGAAAAGAAAAGGGAAAGAAACCCAAGTTTAGCTTTTAAAAAGGAAAAATGCCACCTCTAACATGGACAAATACACTGGATTATAATTAATAACAGATTAGACACTGCAAAAGAAACTACCCAAAATGAAACACAAACACAGGAAGAAAAAAAGAATGAAAAAAGTGAACAGAGCATCAGTGAGCTGTGGGATAATATAAAGAGGTCTAATATAAGTGTAACTGGAGTCCCAGAAATTGAAGAGGAGGGGAAGGGATGGGGAGAAATTGTAAAGAAATAAGAGAAAATTCTCCAAACTAATTGAAAACTATAAACCCACACATCCAAGAAGCACAACCAAATCCAGGCAAAAGAAACATGCTGAAAACCACACCAATGCACATCATAATAAAACTGTTTAAAACCAAGATAAAAATAAAATTGTAGAAGCAGCCAGTGATAAGACTTATATCCTTATGCAGAGAAGGACAAAGAATGCCAGTAGACTTTTCATGAGAAACAATGCAAGCCAGAAGAGAAGAAAGCAACATCGCCAAAGTACTATAGAGAAAAAGTGAAGGAAGGAAGAAAGAGAGAGGAAGGAAGGAAGAAAAGGGGGAAGGAAGAAAGGAAAGCCAGCCAGCCTATCAGCCTAGAATTCTCTAGCCAGCAAAAATCTTTCAAAAATAAAAGCAAAACAAAAACTTTAATATGAGAAAATTCATCACCAGCAGACCACTACTATAAGAAATGTTAAACCGTGTCCTTTAGGAAAAAGAGAAATTATATCGGGGGAAATTTCAATCTATATAACAGAATGAAGAATACAAGAAATAGTAAATATGTAGGTAAATTAAAAGACTTTTTCTTATTTTAAAAATCTCTTTAAAGGATTATTGACTGTTTAAGCAAAAGTAATGACAATGTATTATGGAGTTTATAACCTAAAAAGATAATAAAGTACTGCATATAATAATATTATATAATAAAATACACAATTACATAATAAAATAACAAAAAAGACAATAAAAGCACAAAGCCCGGGATAGTAAAAATGGAAGTATACTATAGGTTTTTATGTTATACATCAAGTGTTGTACTCTTACTTGAAGGCAAGCTATGATAAGTTAAAGGTGCTTACGCTATGCCCTAAAGTGACTATTAAAAGAAAAAAATCAAGGAGGTATAGCTAATAAGAAGTAAAAGGGAATCTTAAAAAAATAACTAATATGAAGTCAGAAAAAGGGGGAAATTGGAAAAAAGAACAGATGGGACAATAGAAAACAAAAAGCAAACAACATGGATTAACTTTGAAAACATTATGCTAAGTGAAAGAAGCCAGGAACAAAGACCACATCTTATAGTATTAAACTGGTAACAACAGATAACACACTTGATCTTAAACAAAAGACTGAGAAGTAATATGCATCGTATATACAGTGGCACATTACTTAACAATGGTGATATGTTTTAAGAGTGTTGTTAGGTGATTTTGTCATCATACAGACATGATAAGAGTATACTGACACAAACCTAGATGGCATAGCCTGCTACGCACTTGTGGTGTACGGTATAGCCTAATGCTCCTGGGCTATAAACCTATACAGCATTTTACTGTACTGAATATTGTAAGCAACTGTAATATAATGGCAAGTATTTGTGTATCTAAACATAGAAAAGATACAATAAAAATACAGTATTATAATCTTATGTGACCACCATCATATCTATGCTATGGTCCATCATTGGCTAAAATATTACTATGCGGTGCATGATTATATTACATCTTATGTGATTCCATTTATATGAGATGTATAAAATAGGCAAATTCCATAGAGAAGGTAGATTGGCAGAGGGTAGAGGGGTGAGAGGTATGACTGCTAACGGTTATGGGTTTCTTTCTGGGGTGATAAAAGTGTTCTGAAATTAGATAGTGGTGATGGTAGTACAACTCTAAATATACTAACAAACCACTGAGTTATAGACTTTAAAAGAGTGAATTGTATCTCAATAATTTTTTTCTAAAAAATACAAAAAAAACAAGTAGCAAGATAGTATATTTAAACCCAGCCATATCAACAATCACATCAAGTGTAAATGGTTTAAATATCCCCAATTAAAAGAAAAAGATTGTCAGATTGCATAAAAAATAAATACCCAAATATATGTTGCCAACAAGAAACCCATTTTAATATAAAGACACAGATAGGCTGAAAGTAAAAAAGATGAGAAAAGACATATCATGCAAACACTAATTTTAAAAAAGCTGAAGTGGCTACATTAATATTAAGCATAGTAGAAGGAATATTACCAGGAATAATGAGGTTCATTTCATACTTATGAAGAGGTCAATTCATCAAGAGAACATATCAATCCTAAACATTTATATACCTAATAACAGAGCTTCAAAATACATGAAGCAAAACCAGACAGAACTGTAAGAGGAAATAGAAAAATCCATAATTATACTTGGAAATTTCAGCACCTCTTTCTCAATACTTAATAGAAAAAGAAGACAAAAAATCAGTAAGAATATAGGAGACTTGAACAACCCTGTCAACCAACTTGACCCAATGGCCTTTAAAGTACACACTACTAACAATAGCAGAATACATAATCAAGTGCATGAGAAACTTGTTCCAAGATGCATCATATTCTGGGCCATAAAGCAAGCCTCAATAAATTCAAAAGGATTCAAATCATACAACATAGATTCTGTAACCATAATTAGTTAAATCTGGGAATCATTAACAGAAAGATGTATAAAAAAATCACCAAACGTTCAGAAAGTAAATAACACACTTTTAATAACCCATGGGCCAAAAAATAAATCAGGAGAGAAAACATGACATAATAAAACATGTGAGATGCAGCTAAAGTTTAGTTTGAAAGTGCTTATATGAGAGCAGAAAGGTTTAAAATCAAGGACTTAATCTTCTACCTTAAAAAACTAGAAAAGGAAGAGCAAATTAAATCCAAACTAAGCAGAAGAAAGGAAATAATGAAAGTTCAGAAATTAAGGATATAGAAAACAGAAAGTAATAATAGAGAAAATCAACACAACAAAAGCAGTTTCGTTGGGAAGATCAATAGACTTAAAACTGCAGTAAGCATGATCAGAAAAAAACAGAGAAGGCTATCTTTTTAAAAATCTTTTGATTATGAAAAATTTTACACATAAACACATGTGAAGAGAATAGTTCTATTAAAACCCCAATGTAAAATCACCCACTCAATACATGGCATGGTCAATCTTGTTTCCTCTATACCTCCCCTCAATTCTCCTACACTGGATTATTTTGAAGCAAATCCTAGACATTGTATTATTTCATCTGTAAATATTTTCATTTCTGATTATTTCTTATGTAGAAAAACCTAAATGTTCTTCTGTGCCATGATGCTAAGAAGAAGTAAAACATAATCTGTAAACATCAGAAATATCCCAAATATCTTCATCCCTTCCCCAGACTGAGGAATTAGCCAGACAACAGTCAGAACCTCAAGAAAGTAGACAGTTTCTTTGATTGCCAGAGACAGAAATTCTATCTCTTGTTCTCTGAGGAACAGACTTCAGGGTCAGGCACGGTGGCTCACTCCTGTAATCCCAGCACTTTGGGAGGCCGAGGCAGGCGGACTGCTTGAAACCAGCCTGGCCAACATGGTGAAACCCCAGCTCTACTAAAAATACAAAAATTAGCTGGGCGTGGTGGCATGCGCCTGTAATCCCAGCTACTCGGTAGGCTGAGGCACGAGAATTGCTCGAACCTGGGAGGCGGAGGTTGCAGTGAGCTGAGATCTCACCACTGCATTCCAGTCTGGGCAACAGAGTGAGATTCTGTCTCAATAATAATAATAAAAAAGAACAGACTTCAGGAAGGCCCAGTGACTGGTGCTGCTGAAGGATGGGAAACTGACCTTTGATTTACACTGACAATAAACATTCAGTCATGGCTTAGGGTTTGCACCTGGTAATTGTACCTGGCAAGCAGGCAGGCATATAGCCAGAGTCTCCACAGCAATCAAGACTTACCAGGAGGGTATAAACCCACTCACCTAAGAATGACAAAGGTGATCTAATGGGATCCTTATCTTGATCAGGTGCTATCTTTGTCACCTAATGGGCCCTCAAAGGCCAAAAAAACTTACAGCTTCATCTGGGAATATGCTCTATTATCTTCTGTTTTGTGCAAGTGTCTCCATGTGGATACATTTCTGCAACCTTGACTGCTAAATAAATTTTATAGTCTTAAACTGTGTGGTATTTTTCCACTGATACCATCACTATTCCATTGTGACACCATGCAAACTAGTGTGAGAAGTAGAAATGATAGGAATATAATGGAGTCTAAAAGACACATGAGAGAATTTAAGGAACTGGAGGAGGAGTAGAGCCAGCTCATATTTGGCATAAGACCATAAAAATTTTGTTGTAGAGGATGAAATAAATATTTCAATGGGGTGTGCATACTGCCTGCTACAGGACTCTGGGCAGTCTAGCACAACGTATTGAAACAAATGACGGCCTAAAAGGAAGGGGGCCGGACTTAAGCATTTTCAAGTTGCTTGCACTGGTGAATGTTTCAGAGGTTCTTCAGTGGGAATTGAAACAGGAAATGACTGGGCTAGCTGTCTAACTGGTAAGAAAAACTGAGACTGAAACTGCAGATTCCAGTGTCTGGGACAGAATTGTAATGGTAATGATGGGTGATGGAGAGAAGGTACCAAGCTGTCCTAGACACTCCATTAAACCAGAAGGTGGCAACCTTAGAGGCAGAAGCTGGGTCTCAGCCAAAGTTTAGGTATGGGAAGATGTGATGATCACTCTAAGAAATGTTTTTAAGTTTCATTAATCTGATTCTCACAGTTGAGAGCAGAGGAGTGTTTGTAAGTAATATCACAGGCAAGAAACATGAAGTTTTTAATTATGGGGAAGTATGTTTTAACACATAGAAGCTTCAGTCTTAGTTTTCACAGACCTTTCTTCTGAAACAGAGCTATAACCTTGAAGCTGTGTGTCTTTTTGTCAGCTAATTGTTATTCTTTTAAAAAATGGTGTTCAAAGTTATATTCTCCAAAATGATTTTCTATTTGGAATAGATATTTCCCAAGTGGAAAACCAAGAGTGCTTGAGACATAAAACTTCCACTAGTAAAAGTATTTAAGAAAAAACTTTTTTTTTGAAATCTGTTCAAAAGATGGGTAAATACATTATATTAGCCAAGCACAAATATGTGAATATTTGGGCTGTATCTAAAAATCCATAAATTAGATTTTTCACCATTTTCAGGATGATCCAAAATCCCCATATTGAAATGGTCTTGAGACAATTTAAGTTTTAAGCAACTGAACAATGTGCTTCAGATGTAGTTTTGTTGAAGTGGTGGATGACTTCAGTGGACAGAAGCCAACTGAAACAAAGGGAGGAAGCCCGGTTCTTTAAGGTCTAATGTCCGGTAAATGCCCCCTGTTGGGAGAGACAAGCCCCTCCATGGGTCTCTCCATCACATCTTGCTGAGTATGCCAAGAATGCGAGGCCCTAACCATTTCTCAAGGTTGTGTGTGTAGTGAGCAACCTTGAAAGATGAGACAATGTCTCCCTCGAGACAAAAAGCAGACTTGCTTATGTCTGGCTATAAAATGGCAGATTTCACAAGCTCAGAGCTATTTTCCTGTAACACAATTCACTGCCTGTTGCAGGAATTATCTAGGCCCTCAGCAAAACACCCTCCCCTCCACTCCATGGGACTAAGGAGCAAGGAGGGAACTGACACAACATGCTAATGCTCATACTGCTATCTGTGCCAAGGCTAATAAGATCCTGTGTCTCTGACCCAGGTCTCTGTTGTCTTCTGTCAGCACTTATGAAATAATAAAAGGCAAACCTATTTTAGGTTTAGGCTCGTAAGTGGGGTAAAATAAAATCCCAGGACCAATGCCTGCCCCCATCCCTTTTGGTTCAGTTTAAAACTTCTCTTGAGGTTACGGCATCTGTGTGGAGGGCACAGTGTTTGTATGTGAGTATGGAAAGATATGGTGTTTGAATAGAACCCTCCCTTCAACAGACTTAGTAGAGAAAAGAACCTATAGGACTCAGCCTTGGAATAAAAAAGAGACAGCAAGTGTGAGTCCAGGGTGATGTGAACTCCTCTCCCCAGGAAACCAGTAACGCTTCACAATAGGGATAGCAAAATGGCCTGGGGAAGCATATCATGGATCCTTCAGCAATGGTGCTTCCTGTTTAAAAAGATATGCATATATAAAATAATAACCTCTAGTATTACCAGCCCCCAAACAGAGAGCTAATCTGAAGCAGTTAAATTCTCTGTAAGCATGAGATGGGGTCACCCTTGATCAGTACCAGACAATTCAAAATAGATTACTGTCCAAGTCTCCATCCAGATGCAAATGGAAGCCCAGTGCTTGATTGATCTGTTTGGACTTCAGCATGGGGACCTTGTTGAGTGCTATTCACCAAGCAACTAGAAAAGAAACAAACTGGCCGGGCGTGGTGGCTCAACGCCTGTAATTCCAGCACTTGCAGAGGCTGAGGCGGATGGATCACCTAAGGTCAGGAGTTCAAGACCAGCCGGGCAAATCTGGCAAAACCCCGTCTCCACTAAAAATACAAAAATTAGCCGGGTGTGGTGGCGTGTGCCTGTAATCCCAGCTACTCAGCTGAGGCAGGAGAATTGCTTGAACCCGGGAAGCAGAGGTTGCAGTGAGCCGAGATCACGCCACTGCACTCCAGCCCTCCAGTGACAGAGCAAGACTCCGTGTCCCCCACAAAAAAAAATGAAAATAAAAAAAAAGAAACAAACTGTGCTCATCTCTGGAGTGATCATGCATTTAGTACAGAATAAAAAACTGGACAAGCATGGGGTGTTTTAATCTATGCAAAAGTTTGGATATTTGCAATCAAGGTCTCTGTTTTGTAGCTTGCTAAATTTAAATTCTCTGAATTTGCTGTATATGAGGTTGTTACAGGGCCAAAAACGTCTGAAACTTACTTACGAAGGTACTCTAGGATTCCTAAATTTAATGTGATATATATTACATACAAACATGCAATGTCTTATGTGAATTAGTTCTTGTGGGACTCAGGCAATATTATGAACTACAGAAATTGCTCCATGTCAACTTTTTGGGTAGTTTTAGAAATCTGTGGTAATTCTTGATATTATTTGGATTGTATTTTGGATATTCTTAATTGGTGTTGGGAAATCAGACTAATAAAATACTGAGTTGATGAAGATTAATATTTCTGTTTCATTAAAGATCGTATGTGGGATTTTACTTGTATGAAATTCTGAGATAGCGCTTGGTGTTCCCCTAGAAGGAAGCTAAAATTTTGTTTTTTATGTTTTTGTTTGTTTGCTTGTTTGTTTTCTGGCAGTTGGGGCTCCAGTGAAACTGACAAGGGGGTAGTCTGGACTTGCATATTCAGGAATCGATTACAGATGTCTGGCCAGATGGTAATAAACAGAAACACACGCTTTAATAGGGCAATATTTAGCATAGCACATTAAAGTCTGTTACAGGGTAAAGTTAATAAGTTTTTCTTTTTTTTTTTTTTTAATACCAGTGGAACAGAACAGAGCCCTCAGAAATAATGCCGCATATCTACGACTATCTGATCTTAAGAAATGGGGAAAGGATTCCCTATTTAATAAAAGGTTCTGGGAAAACTGGCTAGCCATATGTAGAAAGCTGAAACTGGATCCCTTCCTTACACCTTATACAACAATTAATTCAAGATGGATTTAAGACTTAAATGTTAGACCTAAAACCATAAAAACGCTAGAAGAAAACCTAGGCAATACCATTCAGGACATAGGCATGGGCAAGGACTTCATGTCTAAAATACCAAAAGCAATGGCAACAAAAGCCAAAATTGACAAATGGGATCTAATTAAACTAAAGCGCTTCTGCACAGCAAAAGAAACTACCATCAGAGTGAATAGACAACCTATAGAATGGGAGAAAATTTTTGCAATCTACTCATCTGACAAAGGGCTAATACCCAGAATCTACAATGAACTCAAACAAATTTACAAGAAAAAAAACAACCCCATCAACAAGTGGGCGAAGGATATGAACAGACACTTCTCAAAAGAAGACATTTATGCAGCCAACAGACACATGAAAAAATGCTCATCATCACTGGCCATCAGAGAAATGCAAATCAAAACCACAATGAGATACCATCTCACACCAGTTAGAATGGCGATCATTAAAAAGTCAGGAAACAACAGGTGCTGGAGAGGATGTGGAGAAATAGGAATGCTTTTACACTGTTGGTGGGAATGTAAACTAGTTCAACCATTGTGGAAGTCAGTGTGGCGACTCCTCAGGGATCTAGAACTAGAAATACCATTTGATCAAGCCATCCCATTACTGGGTATATACCCAAAGGATTATAAATCATGCTGCTATAAAGACACATGCACACGTATGTTTATTGTGGCACTATTCACAATAGTAAAGACTTGGAACCAACCCAAATGTCCAACAATGATAGACTGGATTAAGAAAATGTGGCACATGTACACCATGGAATACTATGCAGCCATAAAAAAGGATGAGTTCATGTCCTTTGTAGGGACATGGATGAAGCTGGAAACCATCATTCTCAGCAAACTATGGCAAGGACAAAAAACCAAACACTGCATATTCTCACTCATAGGTGGGAATTGAACAATGAGAACACATGGACACAGGAAGGGGAACATCACACACCAGGGCCTGTTGTTGGGTGGGGAGAGGGGGAAGGGATAGCATTAGGAGATATACCTAATGTTAAATGAGGAGTTAATGGGTGCAGCACACCAACATGGCACATGTATATATATGTAACAAACCTGCAGGTTGTGCACATGTACCCTAAAAGTTAAAGTATAATAATAAAAAAAAAGTTTTTCTACAAGAACAAGATAAAAAGAAACCTAATTAAATCAAATGTTAACATAACCTCAGAAAATCTTCATGAAAGAAGTTCTACCCAAGTCCTCATGTGAAACAATATAATACACATCTCTAGCATCCTGTCTTAGTAACTCATATTATTTTCCCACTTCTGAGATGATTTTAATTGCTAATTCTCTTCAGGGATACTTACATATCTGCCTTCTCCTCTGACTGAGGGGTGCCCCCAGGCTTTCTATTCTTGACTATGGTCAAGCCCTTTGGATGTTAAATTCAGGAACAAATTTATCTTCCTTGAGGATTAAATGAATAGATAGATAGATAGATAATAGATAGACATCTATCTATCTATATATATCTATATGTCTGTGTATATATATGTGTGTATATATGTAAGTGTATATGTATACACTTATATATATATATATATACTTTTTTTTTTTGAAACAGGGTCTTGCTCTGTCGCCCAGGCTGAAGTACAGTGGTATGATCACAGCTTACTGCAGCCTCCACCTCCTAGGCTCAAGCGATCCTCCCATCTCAGCCTCCCAAGTAGCTGGGACTACAGGCAGGTGCCACCACACCCACTATTTTTTAAATTTTTTGTAGAGACAGGGTCTCCCTATGTTGCCCAGCTGGTTTCAAACTCCTGGGCTCAAGTGATCCTCCAACCTCAGCCTCCCAAAGTGCCTGGATTATAGGCATGAGCCATTGTGCCTGGCCTTTGAATTTATATACTTCTCAGGAAAGCTGGTCCAGAGTTTCCTGGTGTCCTTTGTAGGTCTGGTTTCCTGGACTCTGGACATTGTTAGTGTTGGTTTTCCTCTAGCATATTTTTAAAGATCAAAACTGAACTTCACTGGGTTAGAATGCTATTACTTTTATCAGGAAAAGGAAGGGGTAACACAGGGTAAGTCAGAGACAAAAAATGGCTACGCTCCAAGCAAAAGTAGCCTTTTCACCTCCAGTAACTTCCAAGACCTCTTTGGCACTATGAAACAAATTTTATAATTTAGACTCAGACTACCATCTTTATTTAAGGAACTCCCCATCAGGAAAATATTTTTATTTTTCCACATGAGGATACACTTTTTGAAAAAAAACAGAGAACAAGAATTACCTCCTTTAAAAAAAGAATAAAGAGAATAATAATTAATTAATGCATTGGTACCATACATCTGGAATATCAAGACACAGGTAGCAAAAAATCAGGGAAAGGCTGTGAATATTAGAAAAATAAAATATCCAGTAAACACAAACATAAAAGAAACTGGGAAGAAAAAGTCCAAGTTAAAGCAGAAAAATGTGCTCTATGAATTTTTTAAAATTATAAAGTACTTTAAAGACAAAGTACTTGAGGACAAATGAAGAATCTCCTATAATAATCATCAGGATCTGAATAATAAACTAAAATAGTCCCCTTGGTACACTGTAAAGTATGCAATTTTAATTATGTGATTTTTCTAGCTAATTTCTGCTTCAAAAACAGTAAAGTACTTCTGCTTACAAGGTGGCAGAGACAAGAACTTTTCTCAACCTCTCAAATGCACGTTGTCATCAAAATTTAAATTACCAGAAACATGCCTTTTAGTTAAATTACAATTAGTCCTTAGACAGATCTATTTACTGAGAATTTGCTATGTGCCCAACACTGTTGGCATATACTAAACAAGTTTGCTTTTTTAAAGCACTTTTTCCTTTTCACGTTCTCACAAAGGACATTTTAAAACAAACTATATTTGTTTTTCAGTATTAACTGCACGTGCTGAATACACCTATTATTATAAATCGCTCCTACTCAGGAGCATCTTAGCTTTTAAAAGACAAAAATATATCCAGTTGTATTTGTGTATATATATTGTAGATCAGTTATATATGGAAGTCAATCAACAATGATAAATACAAACAGATTGACAAATAAAACAACAATTTTGGGGGGAACGGAAATGGCACACTTGTCAGATGATATCCACAAATAATTAATTACTTCACACATTAAAGATATTCTCGTAATAATAGAGTCTCTTATAAAAGGATACTCATTACATTCTAACCATCTGTCATCATTCCACCCCAAAAAACTAATTAGGGTTTTGTCCAATCACACATTATAAATGATGCAAATATGGATGGTAAAGACACGGGTTGAAGAAGTTAACATGAGAACATTTGCAATTTAAAAATCATGGGCTTCAGAACCAGCCTTTCACGTTCCAATAATTAAACTGCTTATTTTTATGTTCTTTTTCTGATTAACGATTAGACATTAAACTTTAAAAATTAGAAACACTTACAGGTAGTAGAGTTTTCCTGCAGCAGGAAGTTCCCTTTTCCGGTAATCTATCCCAGAATCTAGCTGGACTGTATTACAATATTCCTACAATCCAAACAAATGAAGTGCCTTTTTAAACAAGTAGTGGCTCAGAATTACAATCCTTCCCTTATACTATACATTTTTAAAATTTTTCAAATGTTTGCTCAAAAACTAATATAATGAGATGACAAGAAAACAACAGAACTCATGCAAGATTCATAAAACTAAAGTTGCAATATTAAATATATCAAGCCACTGAAATATCAGTTTAAAAAAATTAAAATTTGCATCATGTTTTCTGAAACATTGCCTAAAAAGTGCTGTCAGCAAATTCCCCAAATAACTTCATCTGGGTTTTTTTTAAAATAGCCCAATTTCTAATACCCTGGAGTGAGAAACTAGAGGCTACCAGAAAGAATAACTCATGGGTCTTAAGCACCACAGGAGGGCAGAGGCAGCATAAGAGAGCTGGGAGTGGACAATGGTGGTTCACGCCTGTAATTCCAGCACTTTGGGAGGCTGAGACAGGCAGATTGTGTTTGTCCAGGAGTTTGAGACCAGCCTGAGCAACATAGCAAAACCCATCTCTACAAAAAATACAAAAATTAGCTGGGCGTGGTGGCACACGCCTGTAGTCTCAGCTATTTGGCCGGCTAAGCTGCGAGCATTGCTTGAGCCTGGGAGGTGGAGGTTGCAATGAGCTATGATCGTGCCACTGCACTTCAGCCTGGGCAACAGAGCAAGACCTTGTCTCACACACACACAAAAAAAAAAAAAAAAAAAAAGAGAGAGAGAGAGTTGGGCCAGAACATTAGTGTCCACATTTTAAACCAAATGACCAAACTAGAATGATGTCGTAGGTATGCCCATCCTTCGCTTCTAAATGGCTGCCACTGCCCATGTCTCCCTTTTAGTTTCCTCTCTGGCCACCAACATTTCAGTGCGCTTTCCTGCTGTGGATGCCTCCTTTCAACCCGAGTCACCCTGTGCCACTAATGCCCTTCTCTTCTCCCAAGTGCTCCTTTCTTTCCATTCCCCCAGGGTGCATATGTGCACACAAGCACATACACCACACACATCCCAAATTCTTACTTTGAGAGCAAATGTACTTTTGCAACACCTATCTTCTTGGTCAGTTGGATTTTGGGGGCAATGAGAGGAATATATGTAGGGGTGTGTGTGTGTGTGTGTGTGTGTGTGTGTGTGTGTGTGTGTGTGTGTGTGTATCTCTACATAGATGAGAGGCATACTTCATTTTATTGTGTTTCCCTTTATTGTGCTTCTCAAATATTGCAATTTTTACAAAGTGAAAGTTTGTGGCAACCCTGCATGAAGCAAGTCTATTGGCCTCAATTTTCCAACAGCATGTGCTCACTTTGTGTCTCTGTATCACATTTTGGTAATTCTTGTAGTATTTCAAACTTTTAAAAATTATGTCATTAATTATATGATCGGTGATCACATATTATGTGATCAGTGATCTTTGATGCTATTACTGTAATTGTTTTAGGGTACCACAAACTGCACCCATAGAAGAGGGTGAACTTAATTTATACATGCTGTTTGCATTCTGACTGCTATACCAACTGGCTGTTTCTCTCTCTCTCTCTCTCTCTCTCTCTCTCTCTCTCTCTCTCTCTCTCACCTTAGGTGTCCCTATGCTCTGAGAAACAAGAATATTGAAATTATGTCGATTAATAGCCCTACAATGACCTCTAAGTGTTCAGGTGAAAGGAAGAGTCACACATCTCTCACTCTCAACCAAAAGCTAGAAATGATTAAGCTTAGTGAGGAAGGTATGACAAAAGCCACAACAGACAAAAACCTAGGCCTCTTGCAACAAAAAGTTAGCTAAGTTATGATTGAAAAGGAAAAGTTCTTGAAGGAAATGAAAAGTGCTACTCCAGTGAACACATGAACCACAAGAAAGCAAAACAGCCTTATTATTGATATGGAGAAAAGTTTGAGTGATCTGGATAGAAGATCAAAACAGCCACAACATTCTCTTAAGCCAAAGCCTAATCCAGAGAAAGGCCCTAACTCCCTTCAATTCTATGAAGGTTGAGAGAGGTGAGGAAGCTGCAGAAGAAAAGATGGAAGCTAGCAGAGGTTGGTTCATGAGGTTTCAATAAATAAGCCATCTCTATAACATAAAAATGCAAGGTAAAGCAGCAAGTGCTGATGCAGAAGGTGCAACAAGTTATCCAGAAGACTTAGTTAAGATCATTGATGAAGGTGACTACACTAAACAACAGATTTTCACTGGAGATGAAACAGCCTTCTGCTGGAAGAAGATGCCAACTAGGACTTTCATAGCTAGAAAGGAGAAGTCAATGCATGGCTTCAAAGCTTCAAAGGACAGGCTGACTCTCTTGTTAGAGGCTAATGCAACTGATGACTTGATGTTGAAGCAAATGTTCATTTACCAATCTGAAAATCCCAAGGCCCTTAAGAATTTTGCTACATCTACTCTGCCTGTGCTTTATAAATGAAATAACAAAGCCCTTGGATGGCAGCACATCTGTTTACAGTATGGTTTACTAAATATTTTAAGCCTACTGTTCAGAGCTACTGCTTAGAAGAAAGATTGTTTTCAAAAGATTACTGCTCATGACAATCCACTTGGTCATCAAAGAGCTCTGATGGAAGTGCACAAGGAGATAAATGTTGTTTCCCTGCCTGTTAACATAACATCCATTCTGCAGCCCATGCATGAATCAAGAAGTAATTTCAACTTGTAAGTATTATTATTTAAGAAATACATTTTGTAAGGCTATATCTGCCATAAAT
Organism: Homo sapiens; assembly: GCF_000001405.40. Lineage (NCBI taxonomy): Eukaryota > Metazoa > Chordata > Mammalia > Primates > Hominidae > Homo > Homo sapiens. Next base: position 108,444,486 of record NC_000006.12, on the reverse strand, counting down.
ACCTTTTGTGAAAGGAAGAGTCAATCTATATAGCAACCTTCAACATTATCTTAAGAAACTGCCACAGCCACTCCAACCTTTAGCAGTCACCATCCTGATTAGTCAGCAGCCATCAACATCGAGGCAAGACCAGCAAAAAGATGACCACTCACTGAAAGTTCAGATGATTATTGGCATTTTTAGCAATAAAGTATTTTTTTAATTAAGGTTTTCTTTAGACATAATACCATTGCACACTTAATAGACTATAGTATAGTATAAATATAACCTTTATATGCACTGAGAAACCAAAAGCTTCCTGCAACTCATTTTATTGCAATACTGTTGTATTGCAGTAGCCTAGAACCAAACCCTCGATATCTCTAAGGTATGCCTGTGCAGATATAGATAGATAGATAGATAGATAGATAGATAGATAGATAGATAGATGGGAGATATTCACTTCAGTAGAAGAATGGTGACTAAGGGATTTCAGGACAAGTCAAGAAACAACTATAGGCTGACATTTTGTTTGCATTCAAAATGAAAATTGTCTTAATGGCAATTCATGGGAAAAATATATTTTAACAACATCACTATTTTTATTAATGAAAAAATGCAATTTTTTTTTTTTCGACAGAGTCTTACTCTGTTGCCCAGGGTGGAGTGCAGTGGCATGATCTTGGCTCACTGCAACCTTCTCCTCTTAGGTTCAAACAATTTTCATGCCTCAGCCTCCCAAGTAGGTGGGACTACAGGCATGTGTCACCATGCCCCGGTAATTTTTGTATTTTTAGTGGAGACAGGGTTTCTCCCTGTTGGCCAAGCTGGTCTCGAACTCCTGGCCTCAAGTGATCTGCTCCCCTCAGCCTCCCAAAGTGCTGGGATTGCAGGCATGAGCTACCACGCCCAGTCAAAAACTGCATTTTTCAAACCTTCGGAACCAACGTAATTGTGGTGGGTTTTAAGACTTGTACATTGTAAAATAATCTCTCCATCCCAACATGTTCTTCTTACAATGTGATGTTGATATTCCAGTTATCAAGAAGTGAAGTCTATGTCCCACTCCTTGAATGTTGTGACTATGATGGAAATGGTCTATGCAATAATATCCTAGGTGACACTTGAGGCAGCTTCTTATTGGTTGGAATGCTTGCTCCGGAACTCTGAAGTGCCAGTTGAGCATTTAATTGCCTGGAGGCTACTATGCTGTGAGAAAGCTTAAACTATCCCATACAGAGAGAGGAGGCCCTGGAGAGGCACTGAGATGACATGAAGACAGAGGTGTTGACAGTCCCCAGCTGTTCTAGCTGTAGCCACTCTTACTGAGGGAGCCAGAATTGCCAGCTGAGCCTTTACCAAATCCTTGACCTACAGAAACCAGGAGAGAATAAAGTAATGTTTTTTAAACCTCTTTTACAGTCATTTTACAGTAATTTGTTATGCAGCAAGAGATAATCAGAACAGCAATATCTGGGCACACTTGAGAAGTAGCAATGTTCTTCCTCCCTGAAAGTGCATCCTGGGTTGTACTGTTACGCAAGGGCTGAGGGCTGTTTATCATCTGCATCCAGGGCATAGATTGCATTTCCCCTCCTCCCATGCTGCAGGTGCTAAGGGGCTCAGGAGAGTAAAATAGGTGACCAACAATCCCCTGGAAATGAGGGGTTTCCCCAAGACTAAGGGGGGTTTCTGGATATAGAACTTTCAGTGCTAACACTAGGACAATCCTAGACAATCTGGGATGCTTGGTTACCCTGAGTGAAGACCCAAAGACTGGGTTGTGGCTAGTATAGGTATAGCATTTTGATTATATATCAGCAATTCTGAATTTGATTAGCATAAAATAACACCCAAGAAGCTGGTCCTCTAGGGAGGCCTACAAACCTAGGCTTTTGAACTAACATTTGAAGAACAGCCCTGAAAAACTAGCAAAAGTCATGGCTCCCTGCAATGCTGGCATGAGCAACCTGTTGGAGTCTCTATACAGATATCCCTAGCTCATCACTCCAAGTTGTCCAAACCCAACTCCCCAGGCCTCTCCTTTAGGACCTGGGCCCTATAACCAATCCCACCAGAGGAAAATACAGCATTGCCCAAAAACATGCATTCTACTCTCTCCTTGCCTCAAGATGTCCTGTGTTTTATATATATACTACATTACTTCTTGAGAAGAAAAGAGATATATGAATATATATTTCTCCCCTTGCCTCAAGATGTTCTGTGTTTTTCTTGATGTCATAAATGTGAAAAAATACTTTCTTTCCCTTGTTCCTGCTATAATTGCGAGAGCTCAGTCACCCAGTAAAAAAAAAAAAGAAGAAGGAAAAATGTCCTTATGCAGGGAACATGTCTTACTCAATCTCCCTGAGAAAAACCTGCCCTACTATGGTAAGCAATGGTCAATTTTTCATAAGCTATCTTTACTACAGACATCAAATACAGTGTCACAATACAGTCATATAAATATATTTGCCAGGTTCTCTATTTCTTTTAAACTACAATTTATCTTATATGACTCAGTATTCCTAATTTAGTCAAAAAGTTTTCTTATTTTTTGCTATTAAAAAATAAGGCTAATGAAAGTTATACAGCTTCAATTTCTCTTTCTGGGTAACTAACTTCTCGATCATATGAGTGATTAAGACCTACGAAATGATTGCATTTGTACATTCACTAATCACCACTGAGGAATACCTAATCAGCAGCAAAAGAACTATTACCAAAGCACTTAGATGTTAGCACTTAATTGTCTGAAAAATACTAACACTCAGTTTATATATATATATATATATTTTTTTTTTTTAAATAAACCTCAGATTTTCAGATTTCATTCACTTACGCTAGATTCTTCAAAGCTCTTTGCAGAAGGGTGGAGGCGGGGGGAAGCTAAGCTGCAAGTCGACAGTGAATCTAGTCAAAAGAGCATGATCTCTAAGAAATTTCCTAATTTCCAGTGATATTTACAAGGCCTGTGACCTCTTATCACCATCCAATTCTAATATACAACACTAATCAGCCAGCAAACAAAATTTATTTTAAAATAGTTTGCATATTTATATATACAAAGGACAAATACAATTACACAATCTAAAAAAAATGCAATTAGAAAATTTGGAGAGGAAAAGGAGGGAGGTTAGCACACCCTTCTGAGCATACTCATGTGTCAAAGGCCTTTGAGTTTGGAAAGAAAAATGTATGACTAAAGGAACTGTATTAAAGCAGTTTATATTGTCCCCAAAATCTATTGTGTGTATTTTTAGCAATCCTGAATAATACCATTAGAAAAACAGCCATCTCACAAAATAACTTTATATAGCTTCTACTCCATCCCAGTTGGAACAAAGAATAAAGACATTGTGGAGAAAATCTTTTAAAACTATAACATACTAACCTCTTAAGCAAAGATTGAAATAATAAACACAGATTTGCCCATCTTAGCATTTTTTATTATAAAAGCAATTTCACTTATCATAGAAATTTGGAACATGAGGAAAAAATCCCAACTACATAAATCGAACTTCTATCCCTTATCTAAGTGACTATATTAAATAGGCATTTAAAGAATCAAAATTATTAGTGTTTTTCTTGATTAACAGTCAACTAATTTATTTTATAAATTTTTAATGAGTAAACAACAAAAAAGAAAAAATGGTTGAGACTTTTCTTTTCCTTTTTTCTTTTTTTGAGATGGAGTCTCACTCTGTTGTGCAGGCTGGAGTGCAGTGGCATGATCTCAGCTCACTGCAACCTCTGCTTCCTGCGTTCAAGCAATTCTCCCTGCCTCAGCCTCCCAAGTAGCTGGGATTGCAGGTGCCCGCCACCATGCCCGGCTAATTTTTGTATTTTTTAGTAGAGACGGGGTTTCACCATGTTGGCCAGGCTGGTCTTGAACACCTGCCTCAGCCTCCCAAATTGCTGGCATTACAGGTGTGAGCCACCACGCCCAGTCGAGACTTTTTCTTATTCCAGGAAATAAAATTTTAAATAACTAAGATATATCATTTTACTTGATTCTTTAAGAAACGTATCCTTTTTAGGCCAGGTGCTGTGGCTCACGCCTGTAATCCCAGCACTTTGGGAGGCTGAGACAGGCAGATCACCTGAGGTCAGGAGTTTGAGACCAGCCTGCCCAACATGTTGAAACCCCATCTCTACTAAAAATACAAAAAGTAGCTGGGTGTGGTGGCATACACCTGTAATCCCAGCTACTCAGGAGGCTGAGGCAGGAGAATTGCTTGAACCTGGGAGGTGGAGGTTGCAATGAACTGAGACTGCTCCAGCCTGGGCAACAGAATGAGACTCCATCTCAAAAAATAAAATAAAAATGTATCTTTTTTGAACTGAAAAAGTGATCCATGCTTATTATAAAACATTCAAACAATATTAAAAGCATAACAGTAGAAATGAATACCCCTTTCTCAGAAAAAAGTTTGTTTATAGCTTATATAAGTTTTTCCTATACATATGGAGATTACAGAGGTAGACATCTATCATATTATATATAGTTCTATGCTTAATTTTTTTGATATCTTAAAAGTTCTATGAAAGAAAATAAACACTTAAATACAGAAAAGCTTAATTGCATACTGTACTAACTTTTTTTGCTAAGAATACAATTTAAGGGTGGGAGACTGAGTGGAGACTGTCTTACTTTATTTTGAGGCAGCTATACATTCTAAGACAGCTGTTTGAGTCATATTTAAAGTAATCATGTACTACTACTTCTAAGCTTAAACAATGATATATAAGAAAATTCAATACATAAGCTGCTCCATATTTTAAGCTTTTTATAATTTAAGTATAACTTAATACAGGAAAGTATACAAATTATAAGTGTCCGGCTCAGTCATGAAATAGAATATCACCAGAATCTCTGAAGCCCCCCTAATATCACCTTCTACTCCCCAGAGGTAACTACTATTCTAAGTCTAGCACCATAGAATTTTGCCTGTTTCTGGAGCTTTTTATAAGTGAAATCATACAGTATGTATTCTTTTGTGATAGGGTTCTTTTACGTCTGTGAGATTCTTCCATCTACATGGAAGATCAGGATGATACTAAAGATGTTTCATATATTTAATAAAATATGCCACACTGTTTTATATCACAAAAATGTGCACTTATGGTTTAACAAGTCCCCTCCAAATTTAATATTTATTTTGGATCAACCTAACAAACATAATTGAATACTACAGGTTGGGCACTTCCCTGGCTACTAGAGATATAATGATGAATAAGATATAGCGTTTGCTCTGACAGTCTGGTAGTAATCAGATATTTGTTCAAGTTATCATTTTCTTCTCTCGATCATAGACGTAATTTTTCAAGTTGATAAATTGAGAAGTCCTCTGCCAATTGTCACGCTGTGTGGTTTTAGCCTGTTACGTAACCTCTCCAGATGTCAGTTTTCTCCTCTACAAAATAAAGGAATTGATTACGATCCCTTTAAGCTCTAAATTTTTAACATTATCGTGAAGTTCTCTCACTTCAGGGCTCTTCAGGGCTGAGTTCTTCCTTGGGCTTACCTCACTTTAGAGCAGACCACACGGCCTGAGTCTACCTCAAGCTATATCAGCCTCCTTTGCTTTCTTGATCATCTCATATACCAAAGTAAATCAAAAACATTTTTTTCCATATCTCCCCACTCCTCTTTCCCTAGCTACCCTACTTGTCTCACACTTCAAATACCCATACCTGATTAACTTATTAGGTAAGGCCTGTATCCCTTCTTTTTATCAAGCAGTTTCAGAATTTCTTTCTCCTTCCAAAAAGCGGGAAGGGGGATATTTAAGCATCATGAAGTGCTTATCATGTGCTTTAGATGGGCTAGGCAACTGACTTGGCTTTATCTCTTATCTTCCTCATAATATCCATCTACAGGGCAAGGCAATATTTTTTTTAAATCCCCATTTTACAGTTGAGGAAACATAGGATCAGAGAGGTAACTTAAAAAAAAAAGTAATATTATGGGCTTAATTGCATCTCCCCAAAATTCATGTTGAAACTCTCTCAGTACCTCAGAATGTGACTGTATTTGGAGACAGAGCCTTTAATTCAGTTAAAATGAAGTCTGACTGGTATCCTTATGAGAAGAGGAAATGTGGACATGTGGATACAGTTATGTGTGTACCCCACAGAAAGGCCATGTGAAAACACAGTGAGAAGGTGGCCACCTGCAAGTCACGGAGAGAGGCCTCAGGAGAGACCAAACCTGCCAACGTCTTTGTCCTTCTAGCCACCAGAACCGTGAGAAAATGAATTTCCATGGTTTAAGTCATCCAGTCTGTTGAATTTTGTTTTAGAAGTCCTAATAAACCAATACAATCACCAATATGCTACCTTGCTCCAGTAATAAGCATACAGAAAGGCATTTTCTAAAAGAGCAAAAAAAGAAAGAATAATTGCAAGATTCAAAAAAGCAAGCAAGCAAGTCAGGACAGAAGCTAAAAGCACACCTCCATACACTTGCTTGTGAGGTGAGTCACAATCTGACTCTTTCTGCAGCCACAGCCAAAAGAAAACATCTCAGTAAATTCACAATTCACAGTGCATCCAAAAAGAGGCCACATAGTTTGTAGGTGGCTGAGCTGTGATTTGACCAGGACAATCTTGCCTCCACCAAATCCATGGTCCTCCCACTATGTCACACTGAGTTATTCAACGGTAGCCACAGGATCATTTTTCTTTAGTCTTACACAACTTACATAATTCATTTTTGCTCCTCCACCTCTCCCTCCCATCTCAAATTAATTACCTCTGCACAGTGTAAATATACTAATTACTCTTCTGGGGGCCATACAATATGATTTTATATTATTTCCTTTACGTATTTAGTCCAAGACCATGTATGAGATAAATGTACCCCATACTAAATTCTATACTATAATGGGTTATATTATAGTAAATTTCCATTACGTAGGACATTTTCTATGTTTATCTAAAATGTCTGCTCATCTCATAGTCCACTGTTCCTATGGCTTTCACTTGATCATCTAAACCAAGGATGTCAGTCTTGGAAACTCCAAGACAGTGGGACTGCCTCTTAATCCTACACAACACCATATACTCACAGACCCTTCAAAGCAGAAGAGAGTCTAACAAGGATGATGATTTCCCCGCTCTCTCTCAGAGGTGCCAAAATGAAAAGTACAAAGTAATCTGGGACAATTACTCTCTTCCACAAAATACACATGATAATTCCTCTCACATTTTAATAGGTCCCATAATAAGACCTGGCATAAACTTGGTAAGGGAATTTGAGGTGTAAATAAATGAGTCCATCATTATCATCTGCTATGGTCTAAATATTTGTGTCCCCCCAGAATTCATATGTTGAAACCTAATCTCCAGTGTGATATTAGGAGGTAGGGCCTTTGGGAGGTGATTAAGTCCTGAGGGCAGATCCCTCATGAATGAGATTACTGCCTTTATAAAAAAAGGCTGAGGGAGCTTGTTTGTCCCTTCCTTCCATGATGTGAGGACACAGCTAAAAGGTAACATCTTGGAATCAGAAAGGGAGCCCTCACCCGATACCAAATCTGCTGGTGCCCTCATCTTAGATTTCTCAGCCTGGACTAAGACGCCATGGTAATAGCAAACACTGGTATAAGGGCTTACCATGTGCCAGGGACTATTCTAAGATCCTTAAATGTATTCATTTAATTCTTTCAACCACTCTATGAGGTAGAAATTATTATTATTCTATTTTACAAATGGATGAAGAAACTAAAGCACAGAGAGGCTAAGTAACTTGTCCATTGTCAAACAGCCCAAAAGTGACAGAACCAGGATTCAAACGCAGGCATTTTGGCTCTGGTGTTTCATCACAGCCCATGATATGCTCAGGCAACTATGGCTCTTGCTTGGATACACAAAAGGCAATGGAAGATTCACATGGGCTTGTTGGGAGGTTTTCACAGTACTGACAGCTTGCCTCACAAAATCCTACATCTGTTGCCCTCTGCTCCTGTGCTCACTGAGTAAGGCCCAAACTTGCTTGCTTTCCTGAGAAATAGCTACGTTGCAATAAACAGATTGGTTTATTTGTTTAAAACCTAATCTCAGCCGGGTGCGGTGGCTCACACCTGTAATCCCAGCACTTTGGGAGGCCAAGGCAGGCAGATCACAAGGTCAAGAGATCAAGATCATCCTGGCCAATATAGTGAAACCCCGTCTCTACTAAAAATACAAAAATTAGCTGACCATGGTGGTGTGCACCTGTAGTCCCAGCTACTCAGGAGGCTGAGACAGGAAAATCACTTGAACCCGGGAGGTAGATGTTGCAGTGAGCCAAGATTGTGACACTGCACTCCAGCCTGGCAACACAGCGAGACTCTGTCTAAAAAAAAACCTAATCTCATACAAAAATGATATGGGGCAGCTTTCAAGAAACTTTGTGTAGCTGTTATATATTACATTGTAACATAACAAAATGGGTCATTTTTCTATACTGAATGAGATTGTAGAGACAGATTTGGGTTTCAAGCCTGTAAGTTCTATGTGACCAGGATCATGTCTGTTTTGTCATCATTGTCTCTTCAGCAGTTACTATCTAGCACACAGTACATAGTAAATGCTCAGTAAATATTTATTAACTGAACAAACCATTAGCAGACACATATGTGTAAAGCTCTAGTGCAAGTTAGTATGTTAGGAACTACAGGAAGAAGCCAACCAGTGCAGTCCCTTTCTCAAGGAGCTTTTATGACAAAATGAAGCATTCTTCCAGCTATGTTCTGCCAGTTATAAGGTCAGCAACTGAGAAAACGGCAGGATTTTGAAAAGGCTGCACCCTGGAGTTCACAGCCCATCTCTACCTACTCATCATCAGGTCTCATTACCCACACCCTGAGTGCCACACACTCGAGTCTATATGAGGAAACATCTTCTCTCCTGGCCTCAAGCGATTCTTCCACCTCAGCCTCCTGAGTAGCTGGGACTACAGGCATGTGTCATCATGCCCAGCTAATTTTTGTAATTTTTGTTGAGACAGAGTGTGGCTTTGCTGCCCAGGTTGGTCTCAAGCTCCTGGCCTCAAGCGATCCTTCCATTTCAGCCTCCCAAAGTGCTGGATTACAGGCGTGAGCCACTGTGCCCAGCCCTGTTGTAAGACCTAAACACTCAGGTGCTACCTTGACATTTTTGAGCCTCACAGAGCCATTCCCTGCTCTTGTCAGATACACCCAGTGGTTCCCATGCCCAGAGGTAAAGTCCTCCTACCTGGCCAGTATCCCTATCAGCCAGACCAGCTGTATCCCACCTTCATCTTACTACAAAGCCTGCCTCCCATAGCCCCTTCTGGTTTATAATCGTTATGTGTGTAGTGTCCCTATCCCTCAGGCTGTGAGTTCATGTGACTAATACACTGCTGCCAATCTCGTTTGTCCAATGTCGGGCATCTTAATCACTATTTGGTTGGGGATCCCTCCTTTACTGACAGGGTAAATAGGAGGTGATCAGAACATCCGTCTAGCAAGGAAGACAGATGGTTAAGAATCAGAACAGGATGCTCTGGAACACTGAACAGTAACAACTAACCCCAAAAATGTGGCAAGTAGCCTCATTTAGCAGGTGAGGGAGAAGATGTAGGAAAGAATGTTTCAAACTCAAGAAATATCACCTATACATCTAGAGATGCAAAAGACAGCTTAGCGAATTGGGGATCTAAAATTAGTTCAGCATAGCAAGAATGCAGAGTTCAAGCATTAGGATGCTTTCAGTTGCATGTATTCTAAGAGTGGCCCAAAATGGGGCTATAGAAGCTGGCAAGAGCTCATGTCGTAAAGAGCTTTGCAAGTTAAATATCCTAAGTCCATAAAATGGAAGTAATGTAAAGATTTAGGAAGGGAGGTGACAGGATCGGATCACTGCTCCAGAGTTGGGAAAACAATGGAGGGGGGAAGAAAACTGCATAAACATTGCTGAGTTAGCAGGTGTCAGAAAAATCTAGGAAAGATGTGAAAGTAGCCTAGAAAAGCAATAGAGTAAGGAGAGAGAGAAGTGGATAGATCAACAGAGCTTGATTGCTTTAAAGGTAAAGAATGAGGAAGAAAGAGTCAAGAAGACTGTTGGGTTTCTGGCTTAGGCAACCACATGGCTATGCCATTCAACAAAGAACTGGAGTAAGAGCAAGTGGGGGAGAGGATCATTCAGTTCGGTGGCATGGTGAATTTGAGGATCTTGGGACTTCTCTAGGTGCAGATGTCCAGCCTAGATATTAGGCTTGGCACTCTAGGAGTTGGAGCCAAGACAAAAATTCTGAGTTAGGAGCCATCAGCATAGAGCTGTAATACATTTAAATGTTAAGTCTCCATCCCAAGGTGAACATGGGTACTATGTTACATGCATGTTTGTTCAATATACATGTGTCAGAACCACATTCATAAATATTCATAGCTCCTCCTATAACCTGTTCAATATGTATATTTAGACAACCCATTCAGCATAAAGCTCCTATTCCAATTCCTGTTCCCTTTAAGTGCCTGTCTTGGTCTTTGTCAAAGGCTATGCTTCCCAGCCTGCGGGATGGCCATGTTGCAGGCTGTAACCCTTTAAAAGAAATAGTCTCTTCTTCTAAAGTTACATTTCTGTGATTTTTAAAGTTAATGTATGTGGCCGGGCACAGTGGCTCACGCCTGTAATCTCAGCAATTTGGGAGGCAGAGGCGGGCAGATCACCTGAGATCAGGAGTTCCAGACCAGCCTGGCCAACATGGTGAAACCCCATCTCTACTAAAAATACAAAAATTAGCCAGACATGGTGCCTTGTGCCTGTAATCCCAGCTACTCAGAAAGCCGAGGCAGGAGAATCGCTTGAACTGGGAAGGCAGAGGTTGCAGTGAGCTGAGATCGCGCCACTGCACTCCAGCCTGGGCAACAGAGTGAGATCCATCTCAAAAAATAAAATAATAAAATAATAAGGCTGGGCGTGGTGGTTTACACATGTAATCCCAGCACTTTGGGAGGCCGAGGTGGGTGGATTACCTAAGGTCAGGAGTTCGAGACCAGCCTGGCCAACACATAGTGAAATCCCGTCTCTACCAAAAAAAAAATACAAAAATTAGCTGGGTGTGGTGGTGCATGCCTGCAGTACCAGCTACTTGGGAAGCTGAGGCAGGAGAATTGGCTGAACCCGGGAGGCGGAGGTTGCAATGAGCTGAAGTCGCGCCACTGCACTCCAGCCTGGGCGACTGAGCAAGACTCTGTCTCTCAAAAAATAATAATAATAATAATAACAATAATAAAGTTAATGTTTGTGGTTAACTTAGTCACATGTATCAGAAGACCAATTAAATAATAAAGCAGATTTATTTGTTCACATAACTGAAAAGTCTGGGGGTATAAAACAGTTTAATCAGGGCCCTGGTTCTATTCTCTTCAAATCTGTCATTTCTGCCCTCTTCAAAGTAACAATTTCATCCCACGGCAGGATTTCCTCATAACAAAGAGAGGAGACTGAGTACTTTTCTATGTCTATAAAACGAAAGTCCTGAGCTACCCTGATTATGTTGATTGTAACCACGACAACCAGTTCCTGTAGCTTGGGGAATGGCAAAAGCTAACTGGCATAGGTGTGAATTTCCTGAACCAATGCCAGTGGCAGGGAAGATGGTAGACCAGTGGTTCTCAACACTGGCTGCCCATTAGACTCACCTGGGAAGTATCTAGAAAGTGCCAACATCCAGGCCCCACTCCCAGGCATTTCAGGGAGGAGGATTTGGTTGGCTGATTTTTTTCTGTTTTGTTTTAAGCTCCTTAGGTAATCCCAATGGGCCAGGATTGAGAACCACTGGCTTAGCCTAATCAGGCCCCATCTCTGGTCAGTTCCATCCAAACCACATGGCTACTACACAGTAGCAGAGAGTGAAATGAATTTTGGGTAGACAACTACAATGTCCACCATGGGTGGCAACTAAAGCCATAGGATCATCGAGGGCTGGTGTTTGTGATCTTAGAACCATAGAGGTAGAGATTGGTGGCAATAACTTCCTTCTGGTTTATATTTGGATAAAATAAAATGAAAAGAAAATCACCATTACTCCGCAATGGGGGTAAAGGACATAAAAGTATATGAGTAGTCCAGAACTATTTGAATAAACTGAGAAGAGTAGGGTACTGTGGAAACAAAGGACTGGTAAAGCTAAGGAAGTGTTCCAAAGCTGAAGTAGTTTAAAGAGGGCTTGAGAAAACACATAAGAATGTACAGAAGGGGTAGAAGAAGTCCTGGGTGGTGAGATACTACAGATTATTCAGTTAGACATTTCAACATCTCAAACCAGATGACCGTAAGTTATACAGTTGGGTTTCCAACCCATATTGTAAATAAGGTGACATTTTTATCTTTTTGAGGACCACTATGATTTGGAACATACCAATCTCCCTCTGAAACAAAGACTTTCTGGATATGTCACTAAAAATATTTTCAAAGTACTTAGAACCAAAAATAATAATAACCAGGCAAAGCGCCGGCACCTGATGGCATACCAGATCGAACTACAAGTGTATCACTGAAGACCAGCACAGAGAGTTGTAGGGTCTCCCTGTCAGTGTCTGGAACTCTGTGGAGGACCATGGTGCTTCAAAGACACCATCACTCTAATTATAAAAAGAAAGGTGAGGGCCGGGCTGAGCGCAATGGCTCATGCCTATAATCCCAGCACTTTGGGAGGCCGAGGCAGGTGGATCACTTGAGGTCAGGAGTTCGAGACCAGCCTGGCCAACATGGTGAAACCCCGTCTCTACTAAAAATACAAAAAATTAGCCAGGTGTGGTGGCAGGCGCCTATAATCCCAGCTACACGGGCACTTGAATCTGGGAAGAGGATGTTGCAGTGAGCTGAGATCGTGCTATTGCACTCCAGCCTGGGTTACAACAGCAAAACTCAGTCTCAAAAAAAAAAAAAAAAAAAAGCAACAAAGAAAGGTGAAACATCTGACTGTGGCAACTGCTACTGTGTAACACCAGAGGTCTTGTTCAGAATGCCAATGACTTACTTTTTCTTCCATACTCTATCTTAGACATAATAATTTCTACAAATTATTCAGACTCTTGTAAAATATAGTATTTGTAATCTTTAGAATATCAGTAAGAAATTATAAAGAATAGCCAGGCGCGGTGGCTCATGCCTGTAATCCCAGCACTTTGGGAGGCTGAGGCAGGCGGATCGCCTGAGGTCAGCAGTTCGAGACCAGCATGGCCAACATGGTGAAACCCTGTCTCTACTAAAAATACAAAAATTAGCCGGGCGTGGTGGCAGGTGCCTCTAATCCCAGCTACTCAGGAGGCTGAGGCAGAAGAAGCGCTTGAACCTGGGAGGCGGAGGTTGCAGTGAGCCAAGATCACGCCACTGCACTCCAGCCTGGGTGACATGAGCAAGACTTCGCCTCCAAAAAAAAAAGAAATTATAAAGAATAAAAATCTGTACCAACATTGTCAACTTGGTCAAGACCTTGGGTCTATTAGCATATCAGGAAACTGATGTGAATGATCTAAGGTACTAGTTTGCATTCTAATAGCTATGTGCCAGGATGCCGAGCAAGTAAGAATTGATGAAGTCTTGTCCTTATACTATTCAAATTATTTGGCATGGGAGTGGAAAATGAAACAAAAAATCCTAATGTTAATATGAAGAGTTACTTCTGTTCATCCAAACAATTTACAAAATGGTAAAATTTGAGAGAAGGGGAACTATATAGTGCTTATGTGTTTTTATCTGTTAGACAGAAAATGCCCCACTGCCTTTTAAACCAGAGAATAAATGTTTAGTCACAGTTATCTTTATAACACTGTTACAGAAGAATAAAAATAACAAGGGCAATCATTTATTGTGCAGTTAATTTTATAGCTTTAAAGATAAGATTCTTTAAAGACAGGCTCATTGGCTCCAATTTGTCAATGCATTACCTGATGTTCAAAAGGATCAAGTATTTTGATCTCTATCTGTCTAGAGTTATTAAGCCTGTTCATGGGTGTGGGAAGCAGTAGCTGAAATCAGGTTTGCAGACTATGTGCTCTTAACCACTACACATACCTCCCATGTCCAGAACAAGGCACAGAATAAAAGTTCAAAACTTCCACCACCCTTAAATATTTTGGTAATGATAATTTTGCAATAGCTTGTTGTTAATTCAATAAGTATAAGCAACACCCAATAAAATGTCCAGAGTATGATACCTCAACTTAGATGATTTCTTGTCATTTATTTATATGCCCTACTGTATTCTAGAAAGGTTAATGTGGCTTCTTAAAAAATACCATCTTATGACTGGGCACAGTGGCTCACACCTGTATTTAGCACTTTAGAGGCCAAGGCGGGTGGAACATTTGAGGTCAGGAGTTTGAGATCAGCCTGGCCAACATGGTGAAATCCTATCTCTACTAAAACCACAAAAATTAGCCGGGCGTTGTGGCGGGTACCTGTAATCCCAGCCACTCAGGAGGCTGAGGCAGGAGAACTGCTTGAACCCAGGAGGTGGAGGTTGCAGTGAGCTGAGATCGTGCCACTGCATTCCAGCCTGAGCAACACAGCGAGACTCCATCTCAAAATAAATAAATAAATACATAATAACATGACACAAACAAATGAAACTACCTCCCATGCTCATTGATTGGAAGAATCTATATTGTGAAAATGACCATACTGCTCAAAAAAAACTACAGTATTTTGAAAGGAATTGCTTTGGGCAGCAAAGCAATTTTCCACAGAATTAGAAAAAAAAATCCTAAATTCATATGGAATCAAGAAAGAGCCCTAATAGCCAAAGCAATCCTAGACAAAAAGAACAAATCTGGGGGTATCACATTACTCAGATTCAAATTATACTGCAAGGCTATAGTAACCAAAACAGCATGGTACTGGTATAAAAGTAGATACACAGACCAATGGAACAGAACAGAGAACCCAAAAATAAAGCCAAATGCTTACATCTAGCTGATCTTTGACAAAGTATACTGATATGGTTTGGCTGTGTCCCCACCCAAATCTCATCTTGAATTGTAGCTCCCATAATTCCCACGTGTGGAAAGGACCTGGTGGGAGGAAATTGAGTCATGGGGATGGGTCTTTCCCGTGTTCTTCCTGTGGTAGTGAATAAGTCTCCACAAGATCTGATGGTTTTATAAAGGAGAGTTCCCCTACACAAGTTCTTCTTGCCTGGCACCATGTAAAATATGACTTTGCTCGTCATTCGCCTTCAGCCATGATTGTGAGGCCTCCCCAGTCATGTGGAAGTGTGAGTCAAACCTCTTTCCTTTATAAATTACCTAGTCTCGGGTATGTCTTTATTAGCAGCATGAGAACAGACTAATACACATATAAAAATATAAGTTGGGGAAAGGACACACTATTCAATAAATGGTGCTGGGAAAACTGGATAGCTACAGGTGGAAGAATAAAACTGGATCCCTATCCCTTACCTTATACAAAAGTCAACTCAAGATGGTTTGAAAACTTAAACCACAAACATTCTAGAAGAAAGCCTAGAAAAAACTCTTCTGGACATTGGCATAGGGAAAGAATTTATGACTAAGACCCCAAAAGCAAGTACAGCAAAAACAAAAATAAATAAATGGTACCTAAACTAAAAAGCTTCTAAACAGCAAAGGAAATAATCATTAGAGTAAACAGACAACCCATAAACTATGTGTCTAACAAGGACTAATATCCAGAATATACAAGGAAGACAAGCAAATCAGAAAGAAAAAAACAAATAATCTCATCAAAAGTTGAAAAATAACACGAATAGACACTTCTCAAAAGAAGATATACAAATGGACAACAAACATATGGAAAAATGCTCAGTATCACTAACTGCCAGGGATATGCAAATTAAAACCACAATGAGGTACCACCTTACCCCAGCCAGAATGGCCATTACTAAAAAGTCAAAAAACAATAGATGTCAGTGTAAATGTGGTAAAAAGGAAACTCTTATACACTGCTCGTGGGAATGTAAATTACTACAACATCTATGGAAAATAACATACAGATTTCAGAGAACTAAAAGTAGATCTACCGTTCTATCCAGCAATCCCACTATTGGGTATCTAGCCAAAGGAAAAGAAACCATTACATCAAAAAGACACCTCCATGCATATGTTTATCACAGCACAATTCACAATTGCAAACATGGAGAACTAATCTAAGTGCCCACTGACCAATGAGTGGATAAAGAAAATGTGGTATATATATACACCATGGAATGCTACTCAGCCATTAAAAAGAATTAAATAATGTCTTTTGCAGCAACTTGGATGGAGGTAAAGGCCATTATTCCAAGTGAAGTAACTCAGGAATAGAAAACCAAATACCACATGTTCCCACTTACAAGTGGGAGCTAAGCTATCAGCATGCAAAGCATAGACAGTGATATAATGGACATTAGAGACTCAGAAGATGGAGTGGTTATAGAGGGGTGAGTATAAAAAACTACATATTGGGTACAATGTATGCTACTCAGATGATGGGTACACTAAAATCTCAAACTTCACCACTATACAATTCATTCATGTAACCAAAAATCACTTGTACCCCAAAAGCTACTGAAATACAAATATATAATAACTTTTTAGAAATGTATTTTATAACTTAATTTTTAATGTTAGCTAATACACAAGTAAAGAGCAATATGACAAAATCCAGCAAAGTTTTAATTACAAGAGCCTTTGACCTAGAAATTCCATTTTGAGGCCGGGGTGGTGGCTCACGCCTGTAATCCCAGCACTTTGGGAGGCCAAGGTAGGTGGATCACTTGAGGTCAAGAGTTCAAGATCAGCCTTACCAACATGGTGAAACCCTGTCTCTACTAAAAATACAAAAATTAACCGGGTATGGTGGCGTTCACCTGTAGTCCCAGCTACTCAGGAGGCTGAGGCAAGGGAATTGCTTGAGTCCGGGAGGCAGAGTTTGCAGTGAGCCAAGATTATGCCACTGCACTCCAACCTGGGTGACAGAGCAAGACTCCAACTCAAAAAAAAAAAAAAAAAAAAAATTCCATTTTGAGAAATCTAACCTACAGAAATATTGGCTCGTATGCACTAAAAACACATTTGCAAACATATTTTTAAGGCATTACTTTAAAAGTAAACTAAACTAGAATAAACCTAAGTATACAAAAATAGCAGATTAGTTTTAAAATAATAATGCAGCCATTTAAAACTGAGAGTGGCAGGTAAGAGAATTATATAACGCCACGGGTTTGAGACCAGCCTGGGCAACATAGCAAGACACCATCTCTACAGAAAATAAAAAAGTTAGCCAAGTGTGTAGTCCTGGCTACTCAGAAGGCTGAGGCAGAAGGATCACTTGAGCCCAGGAGATGGAGTCTGTAGTGAGCTATGATCACACCACTGCACTCTAGCCTGGGCAATAGGGAAAGACACCGTCTCCAAAAAGATAAATAAATAAAAATTAAAAAATTAAAAATGAGATTGAATTATATCTAATATCAAAAGATCTTTAGGATATCTCTGGGGATAAAAGTATAACTCAGACTAAGGTATATATATTACCCTCATTAACTTACAACAAAACAAAACTATATGTTTGGACATATATATAGATATGTATGCACATAAATGTAAAGAAAAATGCTTGAAAAGATACAAACTAAATTTTTAATAGTGGCTACTCCTGGGGAGGGAAGTAGGAATGAGGTGGAGTAGAAGGTGGAGGAGGGATGGGAAGAGGGAAGAGTGGTGAAGGGGGAGTTTTAATATTTAGTTTATATATTTATGTGATGTTGGCATTTGTTAGCCTATCATGCATTCATTTAACTCTTATGAAAATTTACAAAAGGAAAGATCTTTGAGTATTGTCCCCAAAGACTGGTGCTGGTGCTGGGAAAAAGCTGATAGCTGTCTTATGGAAATCACATCCATTATACATTTCCAACTCTGTCATAACAAACAGAATTTTAATTAATATTCCATTCTTCTCCCACTGTTTACCTTATCCAAGAAAATCAGAGTCCTCATTCCTAGGGAGAAAAAGAAAAGAAAAGTAGAAGAGTGGCACACCACAGGCTGCAAAGAAGTTGAAATGTGCACTTTTTGAGGATCTTTTTTATAACTATACTACCAAACACACAACTGCAGCTCCTGTAAGCTTTAATTTTCTCCCACAGAAAGGAACTATGCAATACAGCTTCAAGCTAATAGGAAGTTCCCACTATACATGCAGCTTTGCAAAATTAGTTTTTCAACATCCAGTAAATTTACCCACAAGATTTTTTCTTCTTCTGTATAAATAATCATAGGTAAGCATAACTTTTCTAACTAAAAAAAAAAGTGCACTATAATTACACAAAGCCCATAAGGCATATGATTCATTTACACTGTAATTACCACTCTGGAATAACCAAGAAAAAGAATATCTCAATAAAATATTTAGCTTAAAAAATGACCCCTACCCATTTACAGAGGCTTCATTATTTAGAGTTTTAGTATCCAGGATAGCATTTATAAATATTCTAAACTTTGGTTCTGTTCTTTCTTCATTGTATTTGCTCAACTTTTTGTCATTTCACTGCTTATTAGTACCTTTATCTGAAGATGAAAAGAGACAAATTTAGTCACTCTTAACAATAGTCAATTGTTATCGCTGATAAAAGATCTGAAGAGTAAATTTTAAGCTATTATCTAAAACAGTATCTGGATATCACTATATTTAACTTACCATTGTGTATGACTAAAGCTAGATTAATAAGATAGATTATACTTTTATATAAAAGAAAGATAAAGAGTTCCTTATCAATAAGAGCAATTGGGAATATAATTAATTCCACCTAAAGACAATAAGGTATGCAATATGTAAATATAGTGAATATATGTATATATGTGTATGTATATATGTCTTCATACATACACATACACACACACATATTGTGCAACATGGTTTGGCGGAAAGAGCTCTCAATAAAAACTAGGAAATCTGGATTGTAGACCTGGCTCTGCTGCTATCCAGGCAATCTTAGGTAAGATGATCTCAGGCATGAGCCTCAGTCGCCTCCACTGTATAATAAGGTGGTGGGATAAGTGTTTCTAAAGAGCCTTCAAATTCTGTGAGTATACACATACACACACACACACACATACACTATTTATAGGTAAGGCTGGTACTCACTAGCATACACCAGTATGGGGCAACTGATCACAACCCAGCATCTGCTATGTTTGGTCTGTCAATGCTATACCAGTTTTTAAAAAGTGTGAACAACCATCCTTATTTACAAGCATTCTTAAATTATAAAATGTCTACCATGTGTAACCCTCTGTTTGTATTCTGCCTTCTACACACAGTGACATTCCAGGAGTTAAAAAGGCTCTCTTAACCTCTGGTTACAACCTAGAGTGCCATCCCTTTCCCACTGCCCACCCTCAAAAAGAGTTTCTACATATGCCTTGCTCTGTATTTCTCAGCTGTCACTATGCATAACTTATTCAGTTCTACGTCAGGTAACTTCTTCTGTATACACTGAAACATTTTTAGCTTTCTTCCTCTGCTCTTTCTGTCTCCCTTCTAAGCTTTGTCCAGTTTTCTTAGGAAATCTCCATTTCATTCCAGTATCATAAGCATGACTATTAAACCAAGAGTGATGGCAGTGATACATTTATATAAAGAAAACAAAAGGCAAAACAAAACTCCAGTTTCATCAACCTCTGAAACTTGTAAACACATACAGGAGTCCTTTCAAAATTCACAAACATTACTATCTCATCCTTTCCTCCTCCACAATTACCAGCATCACAGAGGGAGAAAACGTATTTAAAAGTTGTGCTTTTAATTTAATATATTGCAATTTACATAATTGCTAGTATTATAACCTCCCACCACACAGCTAACCACTTCTAACTCATTCTCTATTATATATATTACAATATATCTCTAACATTATAATATTTTTATATGCTATATAATAATCATTTTTTGTCTACTTCCCCTACTAGAACATCCTAATTTCCCTGATGGCAGGATTCAACTCAGTAACACATTTATCATTGTAACCCCAATGACTAAGCCCTTCGTAAATGCATGTTGAAATCTAACTATTGCTTTCTTCTACTTCATTTTACAAGAGTATAATAATATGAGCTATTTGGGGCAATTAGGCTTTTGTAGACTAGGTAGCCTAAGACTTTATTATCATATTTAGAACACTATTTGAGGGAGAAATCTATCATAGTTTAAAAGAAATAATTTATAAGTAAACTTCTGAAACTTAATCTTTTTGAAAATAAATAGCTTCATGAGAGCCTTAGCAACCTTGTAGTCCAATCCCATCATTTACAGAGGAAATGAGCTCACACAGGTTTAAGAGGCTTGCCAGTGACAGAGCAAAGTCAGTGACAGAGCCAGGTCCACAAAGATTGCCTTCTCATCCCATTGATTTTTCTGTTACATCATGGAAACCAGAAAAAAAGAAAAGTGTGATGTGATTGTGTAGTTTGTATATATACATATACTAACACACACACATACATGCATGCATATTACATATATATTCCACATTCTTCTACTTTCAGTTAATAATTATAAAGATTTAAGTTATTTTAAACAGTATGTCAGAGTTTATTCAGTTAATCAACTATGTATTTATAATACATGAATCCTATCAATCATAATTGGCTAAGGAATACATGATAAGGATTTCCACATACATTTAGAGACAAATTACAAAGTTCACATTTAATAAAAACCAAACTATCAGTAGTTAGTGTTCAAATTGTATATTCTGATGAGTATATTCTGATTACACATTAATAAGTCCTTTTATGTATTCTAACTTAAATGTTAGTACTCATTTTGTTCTTATTACTTGTATATGCTTGTGTATATATTTAGAGGTGACACTGTCCCAATAACCTATATATACTATTTAACGCAACTTAAAAATGGGAGGTGTAGATACAGTCAATAGTAAATAAATATACAATGTATTTTGTACCAAGCACCCCTAATATAATATAATTTTGATACAGAAAAACTAAATTCACTATGGCAGAAGAAGATTTCTTAGATATCTTGAAGCCCTAAAAACTTAAGCCAAACTATTGTTCAATGTGCACACAGTTTGTGTCTTCATGCTCAGATGTTGTTGAAACAGCAGACTTAAAAGAAATAATGTCAATGAATCCTACCAAGCACTATACATGACCTCTGGGGTAATTAGCAATCATTCAAAAGCAACAAGACTAAAATGTTCTATTCTTTATTACTGTCAGCTCTTATCTTGATCAGCATTTTAATAAAGATGGTTCGTTTCTAAGACAGTTTCATGAATCAGTCATAATTACATTCTGACATGCAGTGAATAGTAAAGCAAAACTAAATATCACTTCATCAACCTTTCTAACCTTTATGCAAGTATTAACTGTAAATAATTTTTACACAGTCCTACAACAGAAAATCTGCATATTTCTTAGCTTTGTGCATACTTTACCCCAAATGAATTTCCTGTGACCTATACCTGAAAAACACAATCAGCCATAATTATCCAGTTTTGTGAGATGTTCAGGTGTTGCCTTTCAGAGTTCAAATCAACTTCAAGTATAAAAGGCTACTTTATTCTACAAATGGCACAATATGCAAAATGGGTTAAGTAGCCAAAAGCATCTCAGAGCATTGTGGCTTGAAAGAAGTCTATCCAGAATCAAAACGTCATAGTAAAACTACTCTAAAGCAGGGCAATGCTTATAAAAATAGCTTCACAGATTACACATTAAGGAATGGATCATGGATGACTACTGCAGAAAGTCCTATAATTAAAATACGTTAAAAGAATAATATTAATTAGACGGAAACCTGAGCACTGAAGTATTTGAAGGGTAGATTTTTTTAAACGTAGTTTCAAAGTAGCTAATAAAGAGATTGAACATTTATCAGAATTATAAAACTTACTTAGAGATGCTATTCTGATATTGAGGATAATATACAAATTATTTCAGCACCTCCTTCCCCCAACAAAATACTTGATTTACTTTAGATTCTGAAATAGAGCATTTCTTCTTCTTTTTTTTTTTTTTTTTTTTTTGCTGAGGACTAATTTTAAAAAAATATTTTGGATAGACAAAGTGAACATAATTCAACTGCCAGAAAAAGTTGATAACTGCATTTTAGGTGACTTATTGTTTCAGTGCTTCAGAAAATTTCAAAATAAATGCAATGCTTTCTCAAACTCCTGAGCTCAAGTAATCCACCTGCCTCAGAATAAATGCAATGCTTTCTCAAGAATAATTTCTTGACTTCCCAGTAGTGGATATCGGACAAATTAACTATTCTGGACACAGGTTCTCAAACCTATGTTTTAACTATGCCTCTTGCATAAACAAAGTTTGCAGTAAAGCTACTAATATTTTTAACCAAACTGATTTCCACTTAAAAACTTAAATTCTGTGAAACAGTAACCTACTTACCATTTTACTTTGTATAATTTCAATTTGAAAACAAGTTCTTTCCAAAAACAATCTAAAATTATTCCCTATATGTTTTCTTATATTTTCTATTATAAAACAACTTTACTAGAATGTTACTGATTTAAAGGCAAAAGGGAATATAGCAAGCATCTTTTTCATGTGGGATTAAAAAATGCATACATCTTTTATGTGATAATTTTTGTTTAACTTTTCCATTTAGCTTTCTTAAGCATGATTCCCATCTCTTATTGGAGGTGCAAGCAAAGAAGAAAAAAGAAGTGTTGATTTAAGAAAACAGATTTCCCAGAAAGAAAAAAAACTGAGATTAAGGTTTAAACAAAAGCTAAAGATGGCTTCCTCTGAGCCCTGATGAGGTCCGCTACCTCATTACGAACAACTGAAAACTTGTGATGCATTTTGTTTCAAGAGAATCCAAAAGTCCTTGGTCTAAAGCAGACAGGGGGGGTGCAGGGTCCATTCACTCTGTCTGTATCACAACCATTATGTAAAAAGTATAAAACACTGCCTTTATGCTGCCAAGCCACAATGACTCTTCCTACATCAAAGGATTTTCACCACTAGGGTTTTTTTCTTCAAAATTTATTCAAGCTAAGGGCAGAGAGACAACGATTCATACACGCTAATTACGCCTAATTATCTATTCCCTTTTCTGACCAGCTTCGGCCAGTGTTATTTGGTATCTGGATTTCTCACAACCTCCCTTTGCCCTGTCCATCCAGCCCAACAGTGAAGGCTTTGAAGAAAACAGTTGTGGCTTTTTAGAGTTTCCTCAATATAGAGTTCAAGCAAATTAAATAATGATTCTGTTAGTTTTGACACATTTATGCGTTCAATATGAGGACCTCTTGGTTAATTTGGCAAATTCCTCACATCTCTTCATGGTTGGAATCATAGTAACACCCTCTCTTACAGGAGCTTCTCCTCATGCTTTCTTTTCATGATCTAAATGAAATGTTTATTGGATTAAAGTTCTTCTCTGCAGACCTCCATGGTGGCCTATGACAAAGAGCTTAAAAGTTCTATTAATTGGCTTGAGTTTTCAGGGAGGGGAAAGGGAGAATTTTATTTCACATTACATCACTAGCCAAGAAAATTGCCACGTGTAATTAAACTAATTTATCTCATCATTCAAAGAACTAGCTAATCCATATTTAAGACACACTTCCTTTAAGCCATTTTTGTCATCAAATAATTGATATCTTGTGATTTAACCAAAAATAACTATTTATTGTTCTAAGAGAAGAGAATTCAAGTCCTAAACAGTATATATTTTACATGTAAGCAATAGCTTGTTTTTTTCCAGATAACTACAAATATATAATTTACATATGTCGCGAAAAATCTTTATTTTTATTTTATATGAGATAATTAGAGAAAATATTTTAAAAGGCATACACCTAAAATTACTTTTCTATAGATAGGCCCTGACTAATACAAGGTCTACATTCTGTTATGAAGATGGAAAAGGACTGTATTTTAAATCCACATCACAACCATTTTCATCTTAGATATTTATTAATTGCAACGACACAGCACAAAAACACCATTACAAATAAAACTTTAGTGCCTGTTACTACAGCCAATTTTCTTAAATAAATTTTTCCAAACATATATGGAATATATGTTTTAATATATTTAATATTAAATATATTTTTATTTTTTAATAAAATAAAAATATATTTTTATTTAATTTAATAAATTAAATAAATTTAATAAAATATCTTGGGTAGATTTCCTAGACTTAGACTAAAACTTGATAATTTTAGAAATATTTTACCACATACAGTTTGTGGGGGAAAGCAACAACTCTTTCCAATTCAGGAGTTGTCTGCTACTTTTGTTCTGTCTTTTGTTTCTTTCAATCTTAAGTATTAAAAAGCCAACTCATAAGTAAAGACATTATCACACTAACAAAGGGTTAATCCCTGCAAGGCTGACTCAGGTGACAACGCAGTAGAGGTCATAGAGGCTGACTGACACTGACCTCAAAGGCTGATTCTGATTATTTAGCACTCTGAAAGCTCTGGTATTGAAAGTTACAATGAACAAACTGACAAATCAATTTCACCAATGAAATGAAAACTGTGGCAGGAAAAATGGCAAATATACATTTATTTAGCAAGTCTATAAATCCTAATGCAGATGGCTGGACAAAGGCTGAACACTGAAGCATTTTATCTAAGGGTTATAATCAAACAAGTTTTCTAAAGTTTGTAGCTGGAAATCACACCATGGGAATATTCTAGTTTACTATCAGGAAAAATTTTCTTATCATTGGAAAAATTTTCTCAGGAAATAAAAACATAAAAACTAATATATCACTTAATTTTTTTAAGTTTTATGTAAAGGATGCACAACAGTCAAGAAACATGAACAACCAAGTAAAAGATATGATGTCATTACCTGAACATTAAACAAATTACAAAAGTAGCAATAATAAGAACAAAATTGTTACTACCTCACATTATAAAGTATCACTTCTTTATGTTACATATTTAAACCGAACAAATAAATCAGATAGTGATGCCTTCCAAATGGGCAACTCTTTATTAGGAAAAGGAAAATTCATATTTATAAGAGTTAATGCTGGAATTATTTTTCTCTAATCGAACCATCTGAAATTCATCAAGAGAAAATTCTATTGTAGAATGCCTTGTTGGTTATTTTTCACCAGTTTAGTTATCATTCAGTAATCTAATCATCAAACATTTAATTTTAAGAAGAAATTTAAAAGTTAAGAAAGAAGATAGCATGCTAAGCTGTCATTGTGAATGAGAATCAAAGTGCTAAATTACTGATATTAAGATCTATCATTGTGTGCAAAAACACTACATACAATCTTGCACAGGAACATTTCCCCTGGGGAGATTATTTTAGATTATTTCACACTGTTAAACTGATTAAGAAAATCATAAAAAGAAAGCTAATGAAATTCACATTGAAAATTTTTTTAACCTTAAAACTTATGAATAGCATTTATCTCTTTTAGGGTTCATTATGGAATGAAACAAACTAAATGGTTTATGAAAGTGTAAGTGATGGAGTAAACAGACAGATTTTTACCCAAATGGAAAAATTTGTGTAAAATATCATGAATTGCTGGACCTTGATCAGATGAGAATAGCAATGCTTGCCAGGCAATCTAATCTTCAAGAAGGCTAGTAATAGTAAATTGAAAGTAACCTAATAAACTATTCTTCTGTTCAAAATATCAACTGGTTCCCTTTTCCTTTTAACCACACTAATTTTAAATAATGTTTACAAATGCAGTGAGATTATACTCCATAAATATTGTTCAGTGAATGTACATTTAAGATATATTATTCCTTTTAAATGTATGAAATTGAAGATATTTCTAAGAAAGTTGATCCTAACAAAGCTGATATTTCTCAAGTTACTAAATTATCTGAAATTGATACCGAATCACTATCTTTGCTTTTGGTTCACTCACCAAGCTTCCTCCCTTCGATCAACCATTTATCCAGCAAGCTCTTGGAATGCCCCTTTCTCCAAGACCTACTAATAAATCTATGCTGACACAGGATTTTCATCACATAAAACAAGTCATACTTCATAGAAAAAAAAGGTGCTATTGACATATGTCGTTTTAAGCAATTGTTTGCCCTTTGTATATTATATAGATCAGGGCCAGCAAACTTCCTGTAAAGGGTCAGATACTAAATATGTTAGGCTTTGAAAGCCGTAAGTCTCCACTGCAGCCACTCAACTCTGCAACTGTACTCCAAAAAGAGCCATAGGTAATACATAAATATATGAGCATAAAATTTTTCAATAAAACTTGATTTATAAAAACAGGCAGCAGGCCAGATTTGGCCACTGGCTATAGTTTGTCCACCCTGGTATAAACTATCACAGGCTACTTTAAAATACTTTCAGTGCAGAGGGTAAAATGAATGCCTTTAACTTTATAAAATGATGCTATATAGATACCAACAAATGCTTTAACAATTATATTTGTCTTTGGGAGGCCGAGGCAGGTGGATCTTGAAGTCAGGAAATTGAGACCATCCTGGCTAACATGATGAACCCCCGTCTCTACTAAAAATACAAAAAATTAGCTGGCGTGGTGGCAGGCACCTGTAGTCCCAGCTACCCGGGAGGCTGAGGCAGCAGAATGGCGTGAACCCGGGAGGTGGAGCTTGCAGTGAGCCGAGATTGCACCACTGCACTCCAGCCTGGGCGACAGAGTGAGACTCCATCTCAAAAAAATATAAATAAAATAAAATAAAACAATTATATTTGTTCTTATACTTTAGGAGAATTACCTAAGTTTTATTAATATTGGTAAAATAAAGATACTATGTCATATGATCAGAAGGAAATTTCAAGTTAAAGTACAGACTTATTGAAGGAGGCACAATTATTACAATTACAACCAAGAGAAAAAGAATTACCTAAATTTTTCTATTTAAATACAATACAAAACATATCTTGCTTTTATTTGGAGAAAAATCTGAGTTTTAAATAAATCTGCCAACCTCAAGTAAACAGACTAGTGACAGTTATTTTATGAAAATTATTTTTCTCAATGAACTGATTACTGAAAATAAAATTTTTAATTACAGTTCTCATACTTCTATGTCTTTTCCCTGCATGGTAAACGTCCTTTCCCACTTTTCTTGGTAACTTAATTGTCTTTTAAGTCTCAGTTTAAGCATCATCGGCTCTTTGGAAAAATACTCCTGACATGTGCTACCTCCTCCACTCAAACTGCCAGTGTGGGTCAGGGCCCCTTTTCTTTTTCTTTTTTTCCCCGTTTTTTTTTTGTGTGTGTGTGTGTGTGTGTGCGTGTCTGTGTGTGTGTGTGTGTGTGTGTGTTTAAGACAATGTCTTGCTCTGTCGCCCACGCTGGAATCCAGTGGTGCAATCGTGGCTTACTGCAGCCTGGAACTCCTGGGCTCAAGCAATCCTCCCACCTCAGCTTCCTAAGTAGCTGGGACCACAGGCATGCACCACCATGCCTGACTAAATTTTTTATTTTTTTGTAGAGATGAGGTCTTGCCATGTTGCCCAGGCTGATCTCAAACTCCTCAAGCAATCCTCCAACCTCAGTCTCCCAAAGCACTGGGATTACAGGTCTGAGCCACCACACCCAGCCCAGGCCCCTTTATTTATTTATTTATTATTATTATTATACTTTAAGTTCTAGGGTACATGTGCACAACATGCAGGTTTGTTACCTATCTATACATGTGCCAAGTTGGTGTGCTGCACCCATTAACTCGTCATTTACATTAGGTATATCTCCTAATGCTATCCCTCCCCTCTCCCCACACCGCATGACAGGCCCCAGTGTGTGATGTTCCTCACCCTGTGTCCAAGTGTTTGCATTGTTCAATTCCCACCTATGAGTGAGAACATGCAGTGTTTGGTTTTCTGTCCTTATGATAATTTGCTCAGAATGATGGTTTCCAGCTTCATCCATGTCCCTACAAAGGACATGAACTCATCCTTTTTTATGGCTGCATAGTATTCCATGGTGTATATGTGCCACATTTTCTTAATCCGGTCTATCATTGATGGACATTTGGGTTGGTTCCAAGTCTTTGCTCTTGTGAATAGTGCTGCAATAAACATATGTGTGCATGTGTCTTTATAGCAGCATGATTTATAATCCTTTGGGTATATGCCCAGTAATGGGATGGCTGTGTCAAATGGTATTTCTAGTTCTAGATCCTTGAGGAATCGCCACACTGTCTTCCACAATGGTTGAACTAGTTTACAGTCCCACCAACAGTGTAAAAGCATTCCTATTTCTCCACATCCTCTCCAGCACCTGTTGTTTCCTGACTTTTTAATGATTGCCATTCTAAAACTGGTATGAGATGGTATCTCTTTGTGGTTTGGATTTGCATTTCTCTCGTGGCCAATGATGATGAGCATTTTTTCATGTGTCTGTTGGTTGCATAAATGTCTTCTTTTGAGAAGTGTCTGTTCATATCCTTCACCCACTTTTTGATGGGGTTGTTTGACTTTTTCTTGTAAATTTGTTTGAGTTCTTTGTAGATTCTGGATATTAGCCCTTTGTCAGATGAGTAGATTGCAAAAATTTCCTCCCATTCTGTAGGTTGCCTGTTCACTCTGATGGTAGTTTCTTTTGCTGTGCAGAAGCTCTTTAAGTTTAATTAGATCCCATTTGTCAATTTTGGCTTCTGTTGCCATTGCTTTTGGTGTTTTAGACGTGAAGTCCTTGCCCATGCCTATGTCCTAAATGGTATTGCCTAGGTTTTCTTCTAGGTTTTTATGGTTTTAGGTCTAACATTTAAGTCTTTAATCCATCTTGAATTAATTGTTGTATAAGGTGTAAGGAAGGGATCCAGTTTCAGCTTTCTACATATGGCTAGCCAGTTTTCCCAGCACCATTTATTAAATAGGGAAACCTTTCCCCATTTCTTGTTTTTGTCAGGTTTCTCAAAGATCAGATGGTTGCAGATGTGTGGAATTATTCCCGGGGGCTCTATTCTGTTCCATTGGTCTGTATATCTGTTTTGGTACCAGCACCATGCTGTTTTGGTTACTGTAGCCTTGTAGTATAGTTTGAAGTCAGGTAGCGTGATGCCTCCAGCTTTGTTCTTTTGGCTTAGGGTGTCTTGGCAATGTGGGCTCTTTTTTGATTCCATATGAACTTTAAAGTAGTCTTTTCCAATTCTGTGAAGAAAGTCATTGGTAGCTTGATGGGGTGGCATTGAATCTATAAATTACCTTGGGCAGTATGGCCATTTTCACGATATTGATTCTTCCTATCCATGAGCATGGAATGTTCTTCCAATTTGTTTGTGTCCTCTTTTATTTAGTTGAGCAGTGGTTTGCAGTTCTCCTTGAAGAGGTCCTTCACATCCCTTGTCAGTTGGATTCCGAGGTATTTTATTATCTTTGAAGCAACTGTGAATGGGAGTTCACTCATAATTTGGCTCTCTGTTTGTCTGTTATTGGTGTAGAGGAATGCCTGTGATTTTTGCACATTGATTTTGTATCCTGAGACTTTGCTGAAGTTGCTTATCAGCTTAAGGAGATTTTGGGCTGAGACGATGGGGTTTTCTAAATATACAATCATGTCATCTGCAAACAGGGACAATTTGACTTCCTCTTTTCCTAATTGAATACCCTTTATTTCTTTCCCTTGCCTGATTGCCCTGGCCAGAACTTCTAACACTATGTTGAATAGAAGTGGTGAGAGAGGGCATCCCTGTCTTGTGCCAGTTTTCAAAGGGAATGCTTCCAGTTTTGCCCATTCAGTATGATATTGGCTGTGGGTTTGTCATAAATAGCTCTTATTATTTTGAGATACATCCCATCAATACCTAGTTTATTGAGAGTTTTTAGCAAGAAGAGCTATTGAATTTTGTCAAAGGCCTTTTCTGCAACTATTGAGATAATCATGTGGTTTTTGTCTTTGGTTCTATTTATGTGATGGATTACTTTTATTGATTTGTGTATGTTGAACCAGCCTTGCATCCCAGGGAAGAAGCCAACTTGATCATGGTGGATAAGCTTTTTGATGTGCTGCTGGATTCGGTTTGCCAGTATTTTATTGAGGAGTTTTGCATCGATCTTCATCAGGGATATTGGTCTAAAATTCTCTTTTTTGTTGTGTCTCTGCCGGGC
This sequence comes from Homo sapiens, assembly GCF_000001405.40. Lineage (NCBI taxonomy): Eukaryota > Metazoa > Chordata > Mammalia > Primates > Hominidae > Homo > Homo sapiens. Next base: position 108,414,448 of record NC_000006.12, on the reverse strand, counting down.
TTTGGTATCAGGATGATTTTGGCCTCATAAAATGAATTAGGGAGGATTCCCTCTTTTTCTATTAATTGGAATAGTTTCAGAAGGAATGGTACCAGATCCTCTTTGTACCTCTGGTAGAATTCGGCTGTGAATCCATCTGGTCCTGGACTTTTTTGGGTTGGTAGGCTATTAATTTTTGCCTCAATTTCAGAACCTGTTATTGGTCTATACAAGGATTCAACTTCTTCCTGGTTTAGTCTTGGTAGGGTGTATGTGTCCAGGAATTTATCCATTTCTTCTAGATTTTCTAGTTTATTTGCATAGAGGTGTCTATAGTATTCTCTGATGGTAGTTTGTATTTCTGTGGGATCGGTGGTGATGTCCCATTTATCATTTTTTATTGTGTCTATTTGATTCTTCTCTCTTTTCTTCCTTATTAGTCTTGCTAGTGGTCTATCAATTTTGTTGATCCTTTCAAAAAATAAGCTCCTGGATTCATTGATTTTTTTGAAGGGTTTTTTTTGTGTCTCTATCTCCTTCAGTTCTGCGCTGTTCTTAGTTATTTCTTGCCTTCTGCTAGCTTTTGAATGTGTTTGCTCTTGCTTCTCTAGTTCTTTTAATTGTGATGGTAGGGTGTCAATTTTAGATCTTTCCTGCTTTCTCTTGTGGGCATTTAGTGTTATAAATTTGCCTCTACACACTGCTTTGAATGTGTCCCAGAGATTCTGGTATGTTGTGTCTTTGTTCTCGTTGGTTTCAAAGAACATCTTTATTTCTGCCTTCATTTTGTTATGTACCCAGTAGTTCATTCAGGAGCAGGTTGTTCAGTTTCCATGTACTTGAGTGGTTTTGAGTGAGTTTCTTAGTCCTGAGTTCTAGTTTGATTGCACTGTGGTCTGAGAGACAGTTTGTTGTAATTTCTGTTCTTTTACATTTGCTGAGGAGTGCTTTACTTCCAACTATGTGGTCAATTTTGGAATAAGTGTGATGTGGTGCTGAGAACAATGTATATTCTGTTGATTTGGGGTGGAGAGTTCTGTAGATGTCTATTAGGTCTGCTTGGTGCAGAGCTGAGTTCAGTTCCTGGATATCCTTGCTAACTTTCTGTCTTGTTGATCTGTCTAATGTTGACAGTGGGGTGTTAGAGTCTCCCATTATTATTATGTGGGAGTCTAAGTCTCTTTGTAGGTCTCTAAGGACTTGCTTTATTAATCTGGGTGCTCCCGTATTGAGTGCATACATATTTAAGATAGTTAGCTCTTCTTTTTGAATTGATCCCTTTACCATTATGTAATGGCCTTCTTGCTCTCTTTTGATCTTTGTTGGTTTAAAGTCTGTTTTATGAGAGACTAGGATTGCAACCCCTGCTTTTTTTTTGTTTTCCATTTGCTTGGTAGATCTTCCTCCATCCTTTTATTTTGAGCCCATGTGTGTCTCTGCACCTGAGATGGGTTTCCTGAATACAACACACTGATGGGTCTTGAATCTTTATCCAATTTGCCAGTCTGTGTCTTTTAATTGGAGCATTTAGCCCATTTACATTTAAGTTTAATATTGTTGTGTGTGAAATTGATCCTGTCATTATGATGTTAGCTGGTTATTTTGCTCATTAGTTGATGCAGTTTCTTCCTAGCCTTGATGGTCTTTACAATTTGGCATGATTTTGCAGTGGCTGGTACCAGTTGTTCCTTTCCATGTTTAGTGCTTCCTTCAGGAGCTCTTTTAGGGCAGGCCTGGTGGTGACAAAACCTGTCAGCAGTTGTTTGTCTGTAAAGGATTTTATTTCTCCTTCACTTATGAAGCTTAGTTTGGCTGGATATAAAATTCTGGGTTGAAAATTCTTTTCTTTAAGAATGTTGAATATTGGCCCCCACTCTCTTCTGGCTTGAAGGATTTCTGCTGAGAGATCCGCTGTTAGTCTGATGGGCTTCCCTTTGTGGGTAACCCAACCTTTCTCTCTGGCTGCCCTTAACATTTTTTCCTTCATTTCAACTTTGGTGAATCTGACAATTACGTGTCTTGGAGTTGCTCTTCTCGAGGAGTATCTTTGTGGCGTTCTCTGTATTTCCTGAATTTGAATGTTGGCCTGCCTCACTAGGTTTGGGAAGTTCTCCTGGATAATACCCTGAAGAGTATTTTCCAACTTGGTTCCATTCTCCCCGTCACTTTCAGATACACCAATCAGATGTAGATTTGGTCTTTTCACATAGTCCCATATTTCTTGGAGGCTTTGTTTGTTGCTTTTTACTCTTTTTTCTCTAAACTTCTCTTCTGGCTTCATTTCATTCATTTGATCTTCAATCACTGATACCCTTTCTTCCACTTGATCAAATCGGCCATTGAAGCTTGTGCATGCATCACATAGTTCTCGTGCCATGGTTTTCAGCTCCATCAGGTCATTTAAGGACTTCTCTGAACTGTTTTTTCTAGTTAGACATTCATCTAATCTTTTTTCAAGGTTTTTAGCTTCTTTGAGATGGGTTCAAACATCCTCCTTTAGCTTGGAGAAGTTTTGTTATTACCGATTGTCTGAAGGCTTCTTCTCTCAAGTCATCAAAGTCATTCTCTGTCCAGCTTTGTTCCGTTGCTGGCGAGGAGCTGCGTTCCTTTGGAGGAGAAGAGGCGCTCTGATTTTTAGCATTTTCAGCTTCTCTGCTCTGGTTTCTCCCCATCTTTGTGGTTTTATCTACCTTTGGTCTTTGATGATGGCAACATACAGATGGGGTTTTGGTGTGGATGTCCTTTCTGTTTGTTAGTTTTCCTTCTAACAGTCAGGACTCTCAGCTGCAGGTCTGTTGGAGTTTGCTGGAGGTCCACTCCAGACCCTGTTTGCCTGGGTATCAGCAGCAGAGGCTGCAGAACAGCAAATATTGCAGAACGGAAAATGTTGCTGCCTGATCCTTCCTCTGGAAGCTTCGTCTCAGAGGGGCACCCAGCTGTATGAGGTGTCAGTCGGGCCCTACTGAGAGGTGTCTCCCAGTTAGGCTGGGAGTCAGAGACCCACTTGAGAGGCAGTCTGTCCATTCTCAGATCTCAAACTCCGTGCTGGGAGAACCCCTACTCTCTTGAAAGCTGTCAGACAGGGACTTTTAAATATACAGAAGTTTCTGCTGCCTTTTATTCAGCTATGCCCTGCCCCCAGAGGTGGAGTCTACAGAGGCAGGTAGGCCTCCTTGAGCTGCGATGGGCTCCACCCAGTTCGAGCTTCCAGGACGCTTTGTTTACCTACTCAAGCCTCTGCAATGGCAGATGCCCCTCCCCCAGCCTCGCTGCCACCTTGCAGTTCAATCTCAGACTGCTGTGCTAGCAGTGAGCAAGGCTCCATGGGCATGGGACCCTCCAAGCCAGGCACAGGATATAATCTGGTGTGCCGTTTGCTAAGGCCGTTGGAAAAGCGCAGTATTTGGGTGGGAGTGTCCCGATTTTCCAGGTACCGCCTGTCATGGCTTCCCTTTGCTAGGAAAGGGAATTCCCTGACCCCTTGCACTTCCTGGGTGAGGCAATGCCCCACCCTGGTCCAAGGACTGCACCCACTGTCTGACAAGCCCCAGTGAGATGAACCCGATACCTCAGTTGGAAAGGCAGAAATCACCCGTCTTCTGCATTGCTTACACTGGGAGCTGTAGACTGGATCTGTTCCTATTTGGCCATCTTCAACCTCCTAGGGCCCCTTTATTTTTTAGCATCCTTTAGTTAACTCAATTACAGAAGTTCTCACATAATATGATAAAAATTTTTATTGTCTGACTTACAGATCGGAAGAAGACAATGTTTAGTCAGATTCAATGACCACCAATATTTTCTTACCACAATATCTCCATTTATATTATTAATTTTGACTGGTGGTATAAAATCTTAAAGTTGTTTATTCAGGAAACTTCACTAAGGACTATAAATCCTAAATTATCATATATCCAAAACATATATCTGTGGGCGTAGAGGTACATGACAGCCTAGCTGACCAGATGTCACATTTTTAAAAAACTGAATTTAGTAAAAACTCTTCTCTTCTCTTCTAGTATCTACTTGCAGTTTACAAGCCTCAGACCAGCTTGACTTCTTTTCCCAATGATTTTTCTTCCATATGATTGTAAGATTCTTTTTATAATCCTTCAGGTTCAGGTTCAGTTGTGCATCAAAAAATTTATGATCTTTTTTTTTTTGGAAGACAGAGTCTCGCTCTTGCCCAGGCTGGAGTGCAGTGGCACAATCTTGGCTCACTGCAACCTCTGCCCCCCAGGTTCAAGCTATTCTCCTGCCTTAGCCTTCCAAGTAGCTGGGATTACAGGCACCCACCTCATGGCTGGCTAATTTTTTTGTATTTTTAGTAGAGATGGGGTTTCACCATGTTAGCCAGGCTGGTTTCGAAATCCTGACCTCAAGTAATCCACCTGCCTCGGCCTCCCAAAGTGCTAGGATTACAGGTGTGAGCCACTGCGCCCAGCCAAAAATGTATGATTCTTGATGGGGGGATCATACAATAGGAAATAAACAATGAACACTTTGAATCTAGACTTTCAACCTAACTTTCTTTCATGAAAGTTTTCTTCTGATTTATCTTTGTGTTTTCTTTTTTAGAAATATGAGTTATGTGAATGTATGATCTCTGCTGTCTGCTTTCCATATCTAGCATTTTTTTCTGCAGTAGTTTTCATGTCTGATTATTCCAGCATCATTTTATATGATCTTTCATAAGTTTGGGCTCTGTATCACTGATTTTATTTTCAGCAGTGTTGATTCTATCATCTGCTTTTTCTAAGATGCTTTTTCTTTTCTTAATGGTCTGCTCTCAGTTTATTTGAGAGCTGCTCTGCCAGCTCACTTATCATCTAATCTTATAATTATTTCATGTCTAATCTCTTATGTCATCAGTACCATGACTACTTTAATTTCTCTTAGAATATAGAAAATTTTACCTGAAAAATTCTCCCATTTCCTGAGGTAGTTCTTCCTCCAAAATATATCTATCACGTGCTTTTACTTGTTAGTTCATCTCTGCCTCTCCCCCCGCTCCTGCTCCTTCCTCCCTGTGCCTGCCATCCCATTTATTTTTGTAATAATGGTCTCTACAGATAGGACCCATGTTCAATCCATTTTGCTTTTTGCTGATTTCTCAACTTTGATTGTGAGTTCTCCTAGTCAGGTCTGCTGATTTCCAAAGAGGAGTGAGCAAAATTCACCTGTTCAAAAATGGTTTTCATTATAAAAATAATACAAGATCATTCCAGAAATCTTAGAAAAGTCTAAAAGAGAAAATTTAAATCACTCATAATCTTAATATCCAGAAATATATTCTATTAACATTTTGGGATATTTCTTTCCAGTATTTTTTGATGCATGTGTATTATTTCCACAGTTGAGATAGGAATAGATGTACCCTTGCATCATACTTTTCCACTCACGTTATCTGTAAGCATTATTCTACATTATCGAAAGCTTTTGAAAAATATTCCGTATAACTGTTATATCCCCTCATGTGACTGCATCATCATTTACCTAACTGTTCCTCTAAATGTGTGAGAGAAAGCTGAAACAAAATTCCTGTGCCCACAACTGTCTTTTTATTGTTATCCTATTTATTTTTTTGTTTCTATGATAAAATATGGCTCTAAGTTCCTAAATTACTAAAAAAAAAGAAAAAAGAAAAAAAACCTGATCTTCTTTTCCTTTATAACTAAAAACTAAGAAAGAGATTTATGCTTTTGGCCAAGGCAGAGTAATTGGAACTGGATTTTGCCCTTCTGTAATAAATAACTAAAACACTGGACAAAACATGTGAACCAGCTGATACCAGACATTACGTAATAGGTAGCAAAAGACAGCAATCCCTGAGATATGAGGGAAAAAAATCAGGCAAGCAAGCTGGCCATATTCCCTGGCTTTCTATCTAGAGGCAATTTCTAGACTGCAATAGAACAATCTAAATGAGTTGAAGAGACAGTCCTCAGAGTTTTGGGATGCTGAAACAGTTGGAATTTGCACAGTAGAGTTCAGCACAGGAAAATGCTATGCAAAAGAAAAGCTCCAGATATCTGCATAGGGAATGTAATCTTTGGCTGAATAACAAATTGCATATGCAGAGTTGGGCAAAGAACAATACACATAATCTGGGAGATATAAGCATTCTGATATAGTCAAAGCTGAAATACCTCAATGAATACCACAGGGATTCAGTAAAGAGCTTAGAAAGGTCCTAAAACCTAACACCTAGAAGGGCTAAAACAGACCTGGAATAATGGCTAATCTACATTCACCCTATCAAAGTTTAAAAATAAGCCTCACGCCACTGCACTCCAGCCTGGGCAACAGAGTGAGACGCCTGCACAGGGAAAAAAAAAAAAAAAGCCTCAAAAAGATCAACCTGATCTGCAAGAAACTTAACCACTTGCCAAAATAAAATTTGACACCCTTAAAGGAAGTAACAGACTCAATGTAATAATCACTAAATGCAGCATCCAATCATAACTTACTTGACTTGCAAAGAAGCAGGAAAATAGGACTCACAACCAGGGGGAAAAAATCAAACCATAGAAACATAACCAGAAATGATGGAATTAGCAGACAAGGACCTTAAATAAGCTGACTTCTGCTTCTGGGAAGATGGAGATGTACTTTTCCCTATCCCTCCTCATATGTACAATCTGGAAATTATATATAAAAGAAACATCAGGAGACCCTGAAAAGTAGAAAGAAGGAAAAACAGCTAGACCTGTTCAAGACCTGAAGAACAACAGATGGTGAGGTTCCCTCCTGTGGGATTGATTTTTTTTTTTTTTTAATTTCCAGAGACAGGGTATTGCTTTGTTGCCCAGGCTGGAGTACAGTGACACAATGATGGCTCACTGCAGCCTCTACCTCCTGGCCTTGTGTGAGCCTCCTGCCTCAGCTTCCCAAGTAGCTTGGAGGACAGGTACACACCGCAATGCCTAGCTAATTTAAAAAAAATTCTTTTTTGTAAAGATGGGCACTCACTATGTTGCTCAGGCTGGTCTCAAACTCTTGGCCTCAAGCGATTCTCCCATGTTGGCCTGCCAAAGCACTGGGATTACAAGTGTGAGCCACAGGGTTTATCTTTGACTCATATATCCCAGACTTAGAGCTAAAGAAGCCAGCAACCCAGAAATGCCGATGGAAATATACAAATGAGGCCCCCATAAAAGTCTGTTCTCTTTAGCCAAAGGAGCAGGAAAAGGGCAACTTAACAAAACGTAAAACTTTTAGACAATAACTGTTCTAACTAAAGCAAATACCACAGAGAAAAACTGTAGCTCCACCTCCCCAACCATGCCGGCAAAGGCTAAGGGAAGCCTAGAATTCCACCCTCATAAGGCTGTCATGAGGAATCCCAACACCACTGCCAGGGTGATGTCACAGAAGGCCAAGTAGGAACTGGAACTTTCATCCCAGCCAACCAGTAATGAGCATCCTCCTCCCACAATGATATCAGTGGAGATCACATGGGAGTCAGAACCCTCTTTCCAGCAGTAACAGGTAACAAGGAGCACACCCCAAACCACAGCTCAGGTGTCAATGGAGGCTGAATAGGGAACCTGGATTTCTAGCTATATCTGGTAGTAAAGGAAGCAAGCAGTGCCTCCCCTTCTCTTGACAGAATAATGTCTAAAAAAAGCTAACTAAAACAGAAAGTTCAAATAAGATCCACAAAGACAAACAGAATAACAATCTATTTTGTAGAATGAGATGTTGCCCAATTTGAAAAAAGAGAAGATAAGGCCAGGCACAGTGGCTCACACCTGTAATCTCAGCATTTTGGGAGGCTGAGGTGGGCGGATCACCTGAGGTCAGGAGTTTGAGACCAGCCTGGCCAACATGGTGAAACCCCATCTCTACCAAAAATACAAAAATTAGCTGGGTGTGGTGGCATGTGCCTGTAATCCCAGCTACTCGGGAGGCTGAGGAATGAGAATCACTTGAACCCAGGAGGCAGATGTTGCAGTGAGCCAAGATCATGCCACCGCACTCCAGCCTGTGTGACAGAGCAAGACTCCATCTCAGTCAATCAATCAGTCAATCAATAAAATAAGCACATGAAAAGTTACTCAATATCATTAATCATTTGGGAAATGCAAATCAAAGCCATAATGAGATATCACTTCACACCCACTGGGATGGTTATTATCAAAAAAAAAAAAAAAGGAAAAAGAAAATAAGTGATAAGTGTTGGGGAAAATGCAGAGAAACTGGAATGCTTGTGTATTGCTGATGGGAACGTAATATGGTACAGCCGCTATGGAAAACAGTATGGCAGTTCCTCAAGAAATTAAACATATAATTACCATAAGATGTAGCAATTTAAGTTCTGGGTATGTACACAAAAGAATTGAAAGCAGGGACTCAAACAGATATTTGTACACAAATGTTCGAAGCAGCAATATTCATAATAGCTGAAAGGTAGAAACAACCCAAATGCCCATTGGCAGGTGAACGGATAAACAAAATGTGGCATATCCTTACAATAGAATATTATTATGCCATAAAAAGGATTAGAATTCTGACACATGTTACAACATGCATAAACTTTGGAGACAATGTGCTAAGTGAAATAAGCCAGAAAGAAAAAGACAAATAGTAGGTAATTCCACTTACATGAAGTATCTAGAAAAGACAAATTCACAGAGGCAGACAGCAGAATGGTGGTAATCAGGGTTGGGAAAGGGGGACAATGGGTGGTTATCATTTAGTGAGTACAGAGTTTCATTTTGATAAGATGAAAAATGCTGGAGATGAATCATGGTGGTGCTTGTACAACAATGTGAATGCACTTAATGCCACTGAACTGTACCCTTAAAAATCATTAAAATAGGCCAGGTGTGGTGACTCTTGCCTGTAATCCCAACACTTTGGGAGGTGGAGGCAGGCAAATCACTTGAGTTCAGGAGTTTGAGACCAGCCTGGGAAACATAGTGAAACCCTGTCTCTACAAAAAATACAAAAATTAGCTGGGCATGGTGGAATACGCCTATAGTCCCAGCTACTCAGGAGGCTGGGGCAGGAGGATCACCTGAGCCTGGGGAGGTTGAGGCTGCAGTAAGCTATGATTGTGCCACTGCACTCCAGCCTAGGCAACAGCGTGAGACCCTGTCTCAAAATGTATTAAAATAGTAATTTTTGTTATGTATATTTTGCCACAATAAAAAATTTGGTTAAAACATTAAGATTCAAAGTCTCATGACAAATTATGAAAATGCCAGCTTCCATTGTAAATCACTTATACCAAAAATCAGGAAGACCTCAAACTGAATGTAAAGAAATGGCAACATCAAGATGGCAGAGACGTTAGAATTATCTGATAAAGATTTTAAAGCAGTCATGATAACAATGTTTCAAGAGACGGTTACAAATACACTTGAAAAGGAGCAATGCTACTCAATAATATTTAAAAGCTCCATTCACAAGCAGTATTTAACTACTGTAAATCTGGCCAGGTGTGGTGGCTAACACCTGTACTCCCAGCACTTTGGGAGGCCAAGGCAGGCAGATCACTTGAGGTCAGGAGTTTGAGACCAGCCTGGCCAACATGGTGAAACCCCATCTCTACTAAAAATACAAAAATTAGCCTGGTGTGGTGGTGTGTGCACTTGTAGTCCCAGCTACTCAGGAGGCTAAGGCAGGAAAATTGCTTGAACCTGGGAGGCAGAGGTTGCAGTGAGCCAATATTGTACGACTGCACTCTAGCCTGGGTGACAGAGCAAGACTCTGTCTCAAAATAAATAAATAAATAAATAAAATAATTATTATAAATCTGTATGCAACTTATAACATAGCCTCCAAATATGTAAGGCAAATGACAGAATTACAAGAAAAATAGACAAATTCACAATTATAGTGAGAGATGTATCCCCTAAGTCTCTCAGTAATTGATAGGAAAAAAAATATGAGAATAAAGATTTGAACAGCATAATTAACAAACCTACACAATAATACAAAACAACCGAAGAGTACTCACTATTTTGAAGAAATATTTTAAAGAAAATATTTACAAAAATTGTCCACATGTTGGGCCATAAAGCAGGCTTTACTAAGAGCTTATATACATTTTTGTTATTTTTCAATATCCCAAGCAACAAACCACAAGCTTCTGTGGTGAATTACAAACTTATAACTATTTGGTTTATAGAGAAGAACATTTTTTAAAATGAATTTTACAATATACTTTTTCCTCAACAAATTTCTATCTTGTTTATAATAATTTCTTTTTATTAAACTAAGATTCTCAATTTGTTTTAAGATTGACTTTTGCTATACCTTTCTCTCAGCTAGGCCAGAATGAAGAAGTAACACTAGCATCTGTGAAGAGGCAAAAAGTCACTTAAGTTAATATTAAACTACCTTTCCTTACAAAAGAAACTTTATATGCCCAAACAGAAAAGCTTCAGAGAAACCAGCTCTAGTTTTCATTTCATTGATGTTTTGTCATATACGAAAAGTCTCTTGAATAAATTAGATATTTTAGACCTTTTCTCATCTAATCTGGTATTTAGTTTCCTGGGAAGTTCAGTCCATGTTCAACTTTAAATTGTATATTATATCTCTCAGTTCATGTTCACTTTCAAATTGTTACTATTCATTTTGCCTATTAATACTGCTATTATATATTGAAGTATGACTAATTACTGGCCAAAGAAAACAACAACAAAATATTTGGAGGAAAAAAAAAAAAGTACAGCTACAAAGTTGTTCCCTCAGAACCCCTTAACTTGTTTCTTTCTGAGACTTCTCTTTTTATATTTTGTGTATTTTATGCTATATGAAGACACTATTTTTAGCACCTATTTTTCCTAGCTTCCTCTTTATATTTTGGTATCTGTGTATACCATATTACTTTGGATTCCTAGCATGGAGAAAACGTTGCAAGTCTATGTCCTCCCTAAATGCAAAGCATGAATATAAAGGGAAAAAAATTACTAACAGCATAAATCTTCCAAAAGTACTTTTCCTACATCTATAAATATCTCTGAGAAATTAAAATCCTTGGGAACCTAAAATTGGTCAAGGAAACAGATGTTTGAATTCTCCTAAGTATAGCATAGGGAATAAAGTTTGGCACGAACAGTAATTCCAACCAAAGTACACGTCAAAAAGATTGTCTGATTATGTCTTTAGCATGTCTGAAGGTAAAACATTTTAACCCTTCTTGGGTAAGAATTTTTAAGGTTTCAAGTTTTAAAAAATTCTTTATCCTTTCTTCAGATTTGTTGATGTGCATGGGGAGAAAGTATTTATCTAAAATTATGGGAATTATATTTTGGCAAATTTTGCTTTCTCTTATAGGGATTTTTTTATATATTTTACATCCTCAACTAGATTATAAATAATGTGCCAGAAAAACAGCTTAGTTCATAATTCTATTATCCATTATGCCTAATGCAACACATTGTACATAGTAGGTTCTTAATAAATATTGGCAGAATGTGAAATCATTAAATAATCATGTAAAATATTACTTAAAATTAATAGTAAAAAAGGAGGCTATTTTATTCTTAATCATATTGTAATGAAGACTATTTTAAACTCTATGCAGTGATGATACACACAAATATTTAAACAATTTATGTGCCTCAACTTGACATAATTTCATAACTTGATGGCAATCACATTTAAATATATTAGAATATTTTTGTAATAATGCTATTCTAGAATAGCAACTTTAATAGCTGGGAAAACATGTTAATAATGGCCATTAACCTGAAGGAAACAGGGAACATTAAACATTTTTTTCAGAAATAAATGTATAAGTTTAAATATTCCACTATAATATTTATGAGCATACCTCAATTTAAAATTTATAAAATGCAAACTATTCAATGTTTCAGTTAGAGAATAATTTAGACTATATTTTGTAATTTTTTCAGTGTACACATGGATGAATATTATATCAAAAGATTCTTTTCTCCTTTAGTGTCTTTGACTGTTACTATCTAGAGAAGAGGTTTTGCCGTGTTGCCCTGGCAAGTCTCCTTTTTTTTTTTTTTTTTTTTTTTATTCGAGACGGCGTCTCGCCCTGTCACCCAGGCTAGAGTGTAGTGGCGTGATCTCGGCTCACTGCAACCTCCGCCTCCAGGGTTCAAATGATTCTCCTGCCTCAGCCTCCCCAAGTAGCTGGGATTACAGGTGCATGCCACCACACCCAGCTAATTTTTGTATCTTTAATAGAGACGGGGTTTCACCATGTTGGTCAGGTTGGTCTTGAACTCCTGACCTTGTGATCCGCCCACCTTGGCCTCCCAAAGTGCTGGGATTAAAGGCATGAGCCACCGTGCCCGGCCCCTGACTATTACTATCTAAATGCCAAAATAAATTCTGCTTGAATGCCAAGACTAAGACAATCCTACTAAAGCCCTTGATTATCAATAAGTATGATCTTAGTAAACACAAATAAATGATTTGTTTTTACCTTCAAGACTGCTATGAATGGTACAAAGTTAGCTCTTTGGAGTCCATTTTTATAGAGATCTGAAAGAAAAAAATGATATTAGTTTTTTGCTTAGCCTAAATCATGATGTTAATTTATCGTTTAGCCTGGCAAATAAAGCTTTCTACTGATTAAAAAAAAAGATAAAGGAGCAAAAAGAAAAAAAGACCAAAATTGATTTCTCTTTGGGTCCTACACACATTTTATTATAATTTTAATAAAAGAAAAAAATTAACAGCCACAGAAAGAAGATCAAAAGGTATTCAATCAAATTAGTTTTAAACTGTAATGAGACAATAAAAGAATTTGGAAAGTATCACTTCCAAAATTCAAAATCAATAACCCAATATGAGAAGATTAGATATCAAGCATTTAATACTTGAATATATAGAATTCTACTATAAAAAAAATTCTCTCCTTTTCTCAATCTATAATGAAAATTCTTAGTAAAGAACTTGGACGGGCTCAGTAGCTCATGCCTGTAATCCTAGCACTTTGGGGAGGCCACTTGAGGTCAGGAGTTCGAGATCAGCCTGGCCAACACGGTGAAACCCCAACTCTACTAGAAATACAAAAATACAAAAATTAGCCAGGCGGCCGGGCGCGGTGGCTCACGCCTGTAATCCCAGCACTTTGGGAGGCCGAGGCGGGTGGATCATGAGGTCAGGAGATCGAGACCATCCTGGCTAACAAGGTGAAACCCCGTCTCTACTAAAAATACAAAAAATTAGCCGGGCGCGGTGGCGGGCGCCTCTAGTCCCAGCTACTCGGGAGGCTGAGGCAGGAGAATGGCGTGAACCCGGGAAGCGGAGCTTGCAGTGAGCCGAGATTGCGCCACTGCAGTCCGCAGTCCGGCCTGGGCGACAGAGCGAGACTCCGTCTCAAAAAAAAAAAAAAAAAAAATTAGCCAGGCATGGTGTTGGGAACTGTAAGCCCAACTACTCAGAGGGTGAGGGAGGAGAATCACTTGAACCAGGGAGGTGGAAGTTACAGTTAGCCAAGATCACACCACTGCACTTCAGCCTGGGTGACAGAGCAAGACTGTCTCAAAAAAAAAGAAAAAAAGAATTAAACATTGAGTAATAAGGTTAGCCTTTTTAGAAAATACATCAACAGAATTGCTCATGTATTTGCATTATATATATTTGCATTATATATAAATATATATTTTATATATTATATATATTTGCATTATATATAAATATATATTTTATATATTATATATATTTATTATATATTATATAATTTTATATATAACATATATTATAAATATATAACATATATAATATCATATATAATATATATTATATATAATATATATTAAATATATATAATAATATATATATAATTATATAATATATAATATATAAATTATATATATTATACATAAATTATAATTTATATAAATTATTTTATATAAATTATTATATATAAATATATAAATTATATATTATAATAATAAATATATATTTATATAAATATATAATGCAAATTATATTATATATTTGATATCAAGGTTTTAAAAAGTCACTTTAAGTGAAATTGCCTAAAAATTAAAACTCCATTCTTTGAAGGACAAAAACCATATAATAATTTCAATTGATGCCGAAAAATTATCTGATAAAGCTCAATATCCCTTCATACTAAAAACCCTCAGAAAACTAGGTATAGAAATAACGGACCTCAACATAATAAAAACTATATATGACAGACCCACAGCTAGTATCATACGAAATGGGGGAAAACTGAAAGCCTTTTCTCTTAGATCTGGAACATGACAAACTATGCCCACTTTCACCATTGTTATTCAACATAGTACTAGATGTCTGAGCTAAAGCAATCACATGAGAAAGAAATAAAGGGCTTCCAAATTGGAAAGGAAAAGGAAACAGTCAAATTATCCTTGTTTGCAGGTGACACGAGCTTATATTTGGAAAAACCTAAAGATTTCCCAAGAGGGCTGGGCATAGTGGCTCACACCTGTAATCCTAGCACTTTGGGAGGCCGAGCCAGGTGGATCCCTTGAGTCCAGGAGTTCAGGACCAGCCTGAGCAACATGGCAAAATCCCATCTCCACAAAAAATACAAAAATTAGCCAGGCGTGGTGGCATGTGCCTGTAGCCCCAGCTACTCAGGAAGTTGAGGTGGAAGGATCACTTGAGCCTGGGAGGCAGAGGCTGCAGTGGGCCAAGATCTTGCCACTGCACTCCAGCCTGGGCAACAGAATGAGACCTTATCTCAAAAAAAAAAAAAAAAAAAAAAAAAAAGAGAGATACTTCCACACCCCACCCCAGCCTCCCCAGTAGCTGGGACTATAGGCACATGACACCATGCCCAGTATTTTAAAAAAAAAAAAAAAAAAAGGAAAACTATTAGAACTGATAAACAAATTCAGTAAAGTTGCAGGACACAAAATCAACATAACAAAAATCAGTAGCATTTATATATGCCAGCAGTAAACAATATGAAAAACAAATTTAAAAAATAATCCCATTTACAACAGTCACAAATAAAATCAAATACCTAGGAATTAACCAAAGAAGTGAAAGATGGCCAGGCGCTGTGGTGCATGCCTGTAATCCCAGCACTTTGGGAGGTCGAGGCAGGCAGATCATGAGGTCAAGAGATCGAGACCATCCTGGCCAACACGGTGAAACCCTGTCTCTCCAAAAACTACAAAAATTAGTGGGGTGTGGTGGCACGCACCTGTTGTCCCAGCTACTCAGGAGGCTGAGGCAGGGAAATCGCTTGAACCCAGGAGGCGGAGGTTGCAGTGAGTTGAGATTCTGCCACTGCACTCCAGCCTGGCGACAGAGTGAGACTCCGTCTCAAAAAAAAAAAAAAAAAAAAAAAAAAAACAAACAAAAGAAGTGACAGATCTTTGCAATAGAAACTATAAAACACTGATGAAAGAAATTAAAGAGGGCACAAACACAAAAATGGAAAGCTATTCCGTATTCATAGATTGGAAGAATCAATATTGTTAAAATGCTCATACTATCCAAAGCAATCTACAGATTCAATGCAATCCCCACCAAAGTCACAATGCCATTCTTCACAGAAATAGAAAAAGCAATCCTAAAATTTATATGGAATCAGAAAAGATCCAAAATAGCCAAAGCTCTCCTGAGTAAAAATAACAAAACTGCAGAAATCACAATACCTGACTTCACACTATACTACAAAGCTATAGACAAAAACAGCATGGTACTGGCACAAAAACAGACACATAGACCAACAGAACAAAATAGAGAACCCAGAAACAAATCCACATACCTACAGTGAACACATTTTTGACAAAGGTGCCAAGAATACACACTGGGGAAAAGACCATCTCTTCATTAAACAGTGCTGGAAAAACTGGATATCCATATGCAGAAGAATGAGACTAGACCCCTATCTCACCTTATAGAAAAATAAAATAAAAATAAAGACTTAAATTTAAGACTTCAAATTATGAAACTACTGTAAGAAAACATTGGGGAAACTCTCCAGGACATTGGTCTGAGCAAAAATTTCTTGAGTCATACTTCACAAGCACAGACAACCAAAGCAAAAATGAACAAATGGGATCACATCAGGTTAAAAAGCTTCTGCACAGCAAAGGAAACAGCTGGCAAAGTGAAGAGACAACCCACAGAATGGGAGAAAATATTTGCAAACTACTCATCTGGCAAGGGATTAATAACCAGAATATATAAGAAGCTCAAATAACTCTATAGGGAAAAAATCTAATAAATCTGATTAAAAGATGGGCAAAAGATTTGAATAAACATTTCTTAAAAGAAGACATACAAATAGCAAACAGGCAAACAAAAAAGTGCTCAACATCATTGATCATAAGAGAAATGCAAATCAAAACTACAATGAAGTATCATCTCACCCCAGTTAAAATGGCTTTTAAACAGACAGGGAATAACAAACACTGCTGAGGACGCAGAGAAAAGGGAACCCTCAATACTCTATTGGTGGGAATGTAAATTAGTACAACCACTATGGAGATGAGTTTGCAGGTTCCTCAAAACACTAAAAAAAGAGCTACTACATGATCCAGCAATCTCACTGCTGGGTATATATCCAAAAGAAAGGAAATCAGTACATCAAAGATATATCAGCACACTCATGTTTGTTACAGCACTGTTCACAATAACCAAGATTTTGAAGCAACCTAAGTGTCCATCAACAGATGAATGGATAAAGAAAATGTGTTATTTATACAAAGTGGAGTACTATTCTGCCATAAAAAAGAATGGAACTTGCAACAACATGGATGAAACTGGAGGTCATTGGGTTAAGTGAAATGAGCCAGGCACAGAAAGACAAACATCGCATATTCTCACTTATTTGTAGTATCTGAAAGTCAAAACAATTAAACTCACAGAGAATAGAAGGATGGTCACCAGAGGCTGGGAAGGGTAGTGGGGGATGGGGGAAGGTGGGGATGGATAATGGGTACAAAAAAAATAGAAAGAATAAAAAAGGCGGAGCGTCATGGCTCATGCCTATAATCCCAGCACTTTGGGAGGCCGAGGTGGGCGGATCACTTGAGGTCAAGAGTTTGAGACCAGCCTGGCCAACATGGTGAAATCCCGTCTCTACTAAAAATACAAAAATCAGCCAGGGCTCACGCCTATAATCCCAGCACTTTGGGAGGCCAAGGGGGCGTGGATCACCTGAGGTCAGGAGTTCGAGACCAGCCTGGCCAACATAGTGAAATCCTGTCTTTACTAAAAATACAAAAATCAGCCAGGTGTGGTGGCACACGCCTGTTATCCCAGCTACTTGGGAGACTGAGGCAGGAGAATCGCTTGAACCCAGAAGGTGGAGATTGCAAAAAAAAATTAGCCAGGCATGGTGGTGTGCACCTGTAATCCCAGCTACTCAGGAGGCTGAGGCAGGAGAATTGCTTGAACCTGGGAGGCAGAGGTTGCAGTGAGCTGAGACCACGCCACTGCCCTCCAGCCTGGGCAACAGAGCAAGACTTTGTCTCAAAAAACAAACAAAAACAAAAAAGAATGAATGAAAAAGGCCTAGTATTTGACAGCACAACAGAATTATTATAGTTCAATAATAATTTAATTGTACATTTAAAATAACTAATAGAGTATAATGGATTGTTTGTAATACAAAGGATACGTGCTTGAGAGGATGGTATATCCAGTTTTCCATGATGTGAATATTACCAAATAATCTCATACCTGTACCAAAATATCTCACATACCTCATAAAGATATACACCTACTATGGCCTGGGTGCAGTGGCTCAAGCCTGTAATCCCAGCACTTTGGGAGGCTGAGGCAGGTGGATCATTTGAGGTCAGGAGTTCAAGACCAGCCTGGCCAACATGGTGAAACTCCATCTCAACTAAAAATACAAAAATTAGCTGGGGGTGGTGGCGAGTACCTGTAATCCCAGTTACCTGGGAGGCTGAGGTAGGAGAATAGCTTGAACCCGGGAGGTGGAGGTTGCAGTGAGCCAAGATTGCACCACTGCACTCCAGCCTGAGCGAAAGAGTGAGACTCTGCCTCAAAAAAAACAAAACAAAACAAAAAAAAGATATATACCCACTATGTATCCACAGAAAATTTTAAAACTATTTCTTAAAAACTCTTAATAAGCTGTAAATATAATGCAATTATATCATAAACAGGTAGTATTTATTGCCTTAGGAAGATGTTTTTTAATATACGTAACTGTCACAGTGTAGGTATATTTATACACACATACATGTAAACATATGTATTGTCAAGAACAAATAAATGAAAAGGGACAAGTTTTAAGCTCTTCATATTTTTCTTAAAAAAATGGAGGTTGAAATTTTATTTCATATAAACATTCCTTTTAAAAGTCATTCTATAGGTTGTGCATGGTGGCTCATGCCTGTAATCTCAGCACTTTGAGAGGCCAAGTCGGGAGGATCACTTGAGCCCAGGAGTTCAAGATCAGCCTGGGCAACATAGGGAAACCCCATCTCTACAAAAAAAAAAACAAAAAAACAAAAAACAAACAAACAAACAAAAAAAGACACCTAGCCAAGTGTGGTGGCACACACCTGTGGGCCCAACTACTTGGAAGGTGAGGTAGGAGGATTGCTTGAACCCTGTATGTCGAGGTTGCAGTGAGCTGGATAGTGCCACTGCTCTCCAGCCTGGGTGACCAGCCTGGGTGACAGAGCAAGACTCCATTCTCTCTCTCTCTATCTCTCTCCCTCTCTCTCTCCCTCTCTCTCTCCTTCCCTCCCTCCCTCCCTCTCTACCTATCTCCCTCCCTCCCTCAAGGTCATTCTATAAAGTTATGAGATTTTTAAAATTTTATGAAAATAGATACAGTAGTAGACCTAGCACGCTGGCTCACATTTGTAAATTCCAGCACTTTAGGAGGCCAAGGCGGGTGGATTGTTTGAGCCCAGGAGTTTGAGACCAGCCTGGGCAACATGGTGAAACTCTGTCTGTACAAAAAATAGAAAAATTAGCCTGGAGTGGTGGTACATGCCTGTAGCTTCAGCTACTCAGGAAGATGAGGTGGGAGGCTCACCTGAACCTGAGAGGTTGAGACTGCAGTGAGTCATGATAGTGCCACTGCACTCCAGCCTGGGTGCAGAGTGAGACACTGTCTCAAAAAAAAAAAAAAAAAGAAAAGAAAAGAAAAAAGGAATAGTAAAAAATTTTCAATAATAAAAAACACAGATTATGTGTCTCAATTTTTTTTAAAAAGTATGGCATTATGGGATTTTTTCCATATTTCCTTGTTTAGAGAAAATTCGATAACTATGATAGACTTCAAATGCCACATATACTTATGGAAATAAAATATGGTCATTAGGAAACATTTATTCTCTTTAGAAAAGATTCATCACAACATCATTATAGTAAGCAAAGTATTTGCATAAGCTCTTTGGGTAATTAAAGACTACAGGTTTCAATTTGGTTATATTTAAAAATTTTATTTAGGAATGTCATAAAAGGTAAAATAATGCTGGCCAGGCTATTTAGATTTCAAGATTCAAAATGAGATTTTTTTCTTCCCTATAATAAACACCTCTAATGAGTAAAAGGATTCAAATGCAGGAAATGGGTTTAATGTTAAATATTTTCAGTCTTTCCTAATTGCCAAGTTGCTGAGGAAGGTGGATAAAAACATTGGTGTATGTTAAGAGTTGATAGCCATGATTGTGGGAAGTGGTAAAAATGGAAAATCAGACAATTTTTAAATCATACTCGATGTTTACATCAGCTTTGTTCATAAATAAGCTAAAAACTGCAGCTTTATTTGGGATAACCAAACACATGAAGAAATCTAAATATCCATCATCAGGGGAATGGATAAACAAATTGTGCCATATCTGTACAATGAAATACCACTCAGCAATAAAAAGGATAGACTATCATACACATAGCAAAATAGATTAATCTCAAAATAAGTATGCAGAGTAAAAGAAGCCAGACCAAAAAAATGAGTACATACTATGTGACTCCATTTATATAAAACTCTAGAAAATGCAAACAAATCTATAGCAACAGAAAGCTAATCAGTAGCTGCCTGGGGAAGGGACGACAGGTTTGGTAGTGACAGATAAAAAAAACGGCAAGGCCGGGCATGGTGGCTCATGCCTGTAATTCCATCCCTTTGGGAGGCCAAGGCAGGTGGATCACCTGAGGTCAGGAGTTCAAGACCAGCCTGACCAACATGGTGAAACCCCATCTCTACTAAAAAAAAACAAGATTAGCCGGGTGTAGTAGCACATGCCTGTAATCCCAGCTACTTGGGAGGCTGAGGCAGGGGAATCACTTGAACTCAGGAGGCAAAGGTTGCAGTGAGCCAAGACTGCGCCATTGCCCTCCAGTCTGGGCAACAGAGTGAGACTCTGGAAAGAAAGGAGAGGAGAGGGGAGGGGAGGGGAGGGGAAGGGAAGGGAGGGGAGGGGGAAAGGAAAGAAAAGAGAGAAAGAGAAAAGAGAGAAAAGGAAGGAAAGGAAAGGAGGAGGGAGGGAGGGAAGGGAAGGGGAAGGCGAAAGACAGAGAGAGAAAGAAAGAAGAAGAAAAAGAGAAAAGGGCAAGAGGAAACTTTTTGGGGTGATGGAAATGTTCACTCTATTAGTTGTGGCAATGGTCTCATGAAGGTATACATATGTCAGTATTTTAAAAATTGTATCCTTTAACTATGTGCAGCCTATTATATGTCAACTATATTTCAATAAGCCCTTTAAAAATTTTATTGGGAAAAAAGCCATACATATAATTAGTGATTATTAAAGAGCACAATGTTATAGAATTAAAACTAAGATACTACACTAATGAAAGTTCATCTATGTTAAGGTAACACTTTGGTCCTACTTGTAGAATAACATCTTTTTTATGGATGTATAAGGCTCTGAGATGTAGTTTAACAAGTATGCACCTTTTAGTTCATTAATGACAATGAGAGATGTAAAGACCCACTTGTAATATTCTTGATTAAAAGATTTCCACTCATCAACAAAGTTAAAGTAGAATACCAATGCCTTTAAGTCTTACAGACTTAATTTTTTAAAGGATGAACTTTTTAAAAAATCAGCCTTTACAAGGATATATATATCATCCAAAACTATATGCTCTGAGAAATGTATTCTAAACAGAATTCTAAACAGAAATCATTTGGCTTAAGAACCTTTAGGTTTTTATAGAACACAAGTGAAAATGGACCATACGCATTAAATTGAAGAGTTTTTTGTAATTCAAATATCGTGCTAATTATCAATGCAATACATCCATCTCTTGAAATGTTATTTAGCCAACAAAATTTTTAATATTAGCTGTTTAATATTATTTTTCTTAGACATAAAGATTTCATAATACATTTATATCAACATTTGTCATTACTAAATACTATTTTAAAATTCAGGAGTTCTTGACTATGATTCCTTCATGATCTCTAAACAGAGTGAAATGAGCACTTGGTCATATAAAACAGAATGCTAGAATTATGGGACATTCATTTTGTAAAAAATGGTATAAGTACCTCTAAATTCTCAACAGTGAATAGCTATAATACCTACAGATGAAACACAAACAAAGAGGATTTTTAAAGTAATTACAAGTACCTAAATAAATATTTTGGAGATGCACATGGATACGCAGATCTTTTCCTTAAAAATCCAAGTGTCAAACCAAGAAGCTGAATAATGCTTATTTATATATATACATATCGATTTAGAGTAACAAAAACTTTTAAAACATGTTGTTAAAGGAGGTTTCCTATAAATTATCACACAATAATTTTATGGTTTCATGGAACCAATTTGATTTATCCTTCTAGGAGATTCTTATTGTATTACAGACTAAAAGAAAAGACTACCTATAGACTATTTAAGCAGCTGTTGCTGAAATAGCTTCTTTTAAAAGAACTAAAGTTCAAACAACAATTTACTAAATCTGTAGGTAGTACAGCTCATTAAATGTTCCCATTTGATAGTATATTATAGCTTGATATTCAATTCAACACACATTGATGAATTCTACTATGTCTTCACTGAAACGAGTGCTGAAGACAACAGATAAATAAAAAGAGGAACCAAGATTTACAGAATACCTACTAGAAGCTACACAATTTGCCAGGCACTGTACACAAATCATAATAAGTAAGACCCAAGTCTAAACAAGAAATTCATTTATGTTCCATATATAACTTATATACATCACCTAAAAGTAATTTTATACAATATTTTTAATAATTTTGTGCATGAAACAAAGACTGTGTACATTTAATGATCAGAAAGCGAAGGTATCACTATCTCTGCCACCCATGAGGACAATCTGTGGTTGTTAAGCATCACCATCATTCCTGTCTTTATATGCTACCAATAAGCAAACATTTTCTTTTTTAAAAAATTTTACATCTTTTAAATAAAACTTATCCTTGTGCAGAAGCCATGCTAATCTTCTCTGTATCATTCCAATTTTAATATATGTGCTTCCAAAGCAAGCACAGCAATCATTTTCTTATACTTATTCACATATAAATACTCAACAGGAAAAAATATGACATATCATTAATACAATAAAAAATAATGTGTTCATGGTAAGTAAGCAGCATGGTAGCATCATCAGAACACCTACGCTGGTTGCAAACAACATTAACAATGGCAGGCTTTCAGTCTCTACCTACAATGTTGAGCCTTGTACTGTACGCTGTATTTTTATTATTATTACTTTTTAGGTGAGAAAAGACATGAAGCAGTTGAGGGACCAAGAAATGCATCCTCTAGAAACGCATTCTGTTGCATGGCTTTTTAAAATGTTTCATCCAAAAAATTCCAGAAGATAACATCAAAAAAACCCTTCTAGACATTGGCTTAGACAAAGACTTCATGACCAAGAAACCAAAAGCATATGCAATAAAACCAAAGATAAATAGGTGGGACTTAACTACACTAAAGAGCTTCTGCCCAGCAAAAGGAACAGTCAGCAGAGTAAACAGACAACGCACAGAGTGGGAGAAAATCTTCACAATTTATACAACTGACAAAGGACTGATATCCAGAATCTACAAGGAACTCAAACAAGTTGGCAAGAAAAAAATAAATAATCCCATCAAAAAGTGGGCTAAGGACATGAATAGACAATTCTCAAAAGAAGGTACATAAATGGCCAACAAACATGAAAAAATGCTCAACATCACTAATGATCAGGGAAATGCAAATCAAAACCACAATGCAATACCACCTTACTCCTGCAAGAATGGCCATAATCAAAAAATCAAAAAATAATAGATGTTGGTGTGGATGCGGTAAAAAAGGAACACTTCTACACTGCTGGTGGGAATGTAAACTAGTACAACCACTAATGTGAAGATTCCTTAAAGAATTAACAGTAGAAATTCCATTTGATCCAGCAATCCCACTCTTGGGTATCTACCTCCCACTCTTGGATATCTACCCAGAGGAAAAGAGGTCATTATACAAAAAAGATACCTGCACATGCATGTTTATAGCAGCACAATTCGCAATTGCAAAAATACGGAACCAGCCCAAATGCCCATCAATCAACAAATACATAAAGAAATTGTGGGGTGATGGGGGTTCCAAGATGGCCGAATAGGAACACCTCCAGTCTACAGCTCCCAGCGTGAGCGACGCAGAAGACGGGTGATTTCTGCATTTCCAACTGAGCTTTGAAGAGAGTAGTGGTTCTCCCAGTATGGAGTTTGAGATTTGAGAAAGGACAGACTGCCTCCTCAAGTAGGTCCCTGACCCAGGAGCAGCCTAACTGGGAGGCACCCCCCAGCAGGGTCAGACTGACACCTCACACAGTGGGTACCCCTCTGAGACGAAGCTTCCAGAGGAATGATCATGCAGCAACATTTGCTGTTCAGCAATATTCGCTGTTTGCAGCCTCCAATGCTGATGCCCAGGCAAACAGCGTCTGGAGTGGACCTCCAGCAAACTCCAACAGACCTGCAGCTGAGGGTCCTGACAGTTAGAAGGAAAACTAACAAACAGAAAGGACATCCACACCAAAACGCCATCTGTAAGTCACCATCATCAAAGACCAAAGGTAGATAAAACCACAAAGATGGGGAAATAACAAGCAGAAAAGCTGAAAATTCTAAAAATCAGAGCACCTCTCCCCCTCCAAAGGAACGCAGCTCCTCGCTAGCAACGGTACAAAGCTGGACAGAGAATGACTTTGACAAGTTGAGAGAAGAAGGATTCAGACGATCAAACTTCTCCAAGCTAAAGGAGGAAGTTCGAACCCAACTCAAAGAAGCTAAAAACCTTGAAAAAAGATTAGACGAATGGCTAACTAGAATAACCAGTGTAGAGAAGTCCTAAAATGGCCTGATGGAGCCGAAAATCATGGCATGAGAACTACATGATGAATGCACAAGCTTCAGTAGCCGATTCAATCAACTGGAAGAAAGGATATCAGTGATGAAGCTGAAATGAAGCGAGAAGAGAAGTTTAGAGAAAAAAGAGTAAAAAGAAATGAACAAAGCCTCCAAGAAATATGGGACTATGTGAAAAGACCAAATCTACGTCTGATTGGTGTACCTGAAAGTGAAAGGGAGAATGGAACCAAGTTGGAAAACACTCTTCAGGATATTATCCAGGAGAACTTCCCCAACCTAGCGAGGCAGGTCAACATTCAAATTCAGGAAAAACAGAGAACGCCACAAAGATACTCCTCGAGAAAAACAACTCCAAGACACGTAATTGTCAGATTCATCAAAGTTGAAATGAAGGAAAAAATGTTAAAGGCACCCAGAGAGAAAGGTCGGGTTACCCACAAAGGGAAGCCCATCACACTAACAGCGGATCTCTCGGCAGAAATTCTACAAGCCAGAGGAGAGTGGGGGCCAATATTCAACATTCTTAAAGGAAAGAATTTTCAACCCAGAATTTCATATCCAGCCAAACTAAGCTTCATAAGTGAAGGAGAAATAAAATACTTTACAGACAAGCAAATGCTGAGAGATTTTGTCACCACCAGGCCTGCCCTAAAAGAGCTCCTGAAGGAAGCACTAAACATGGAAAGGAACAACTGGTACTAGCCACTGCAAAATCATGCCAAATTGTAAAGACCATCGAGGCTAGGAAGAAACTGCATCCACTAACGAGCAAAATAACCAGTTAACATCATAATGACGGGATCAAATTCACACATAACAATATTAACTTTAAATGTAAATGGACTAAATGCTCCAATTAAAAGACACAGACTGGCAAATTGGATAAAGAGTCAAGACCCATCAGTGTGCTGTATTCAGGAAACCCATCCCACGTGCAGAGACACACACAGGCTCAAAATAAAAGGATGGAGGAAGATCTACCAAGCAAATGGAAAACAAAAAAAGGCAGGGGTTGCAATCCTAGTCTCTCAAAAAACAGACTTTAAACCAACAAAGATCAAAAGAGACAAAGAAGGCCATTACATAATGGTAAAGGGATCAATTCAACAGGAAGAGCTAACTCTCCTAAATATATATGCACCCAATACAGGAGCACCCAGATTCATAAAGCAAGTCCTGAGTGACCTACAAAGAGACTTAGACTCCCACACAATAATAATGGGAGACTTTAACACCCCACTGTCAACATTAGACAGATCAACAAGACAGAAAGTTAACAAGGATACCCAGGAATTGAACTCAGCTCTGCACCAAGCAGACCTAATAGACATCTACAGAACTTTCCACCCCAAATCAACAGAATATACATTTTTTTCAGCACCACACCACACCTATTCCAAAATTGACCACATAGTTGGAAGTAAAGCTCTCCTCAGCAAATGTAAAAGAACAGAAATTATAACAAACTGTCTCTCAGACCACAGTGCAATCAAACTAGAACTCAGGATTAAGAAACTCACTCAAAACCGCTCAACTACATGGAAACTGAACAACCTGCTCCTGAATGACTACTGGGTACATAACGAAATGAAGGCAGAAATAAAGATGTTCTTTGAAACCAACAAGAACAAAGACACAGCATACCAGAATCTCTGGGACACATTCAAAGCAGTGTGCAGAGGGAAATTTATAGCACTAAATGCCCACAGGAGAAAGCAGGAAAGATCTAAAATTGACACCCTAACATCACAATTAAAAGAACTAGAAAAGCAAGAGCAAACACATTCAAAAGCTAGCAGAAGGCAAGAAATAACTAAAATCAGAGCAGAACTGAAGGAAATAGAGACACAAAAAACCCTTCAAAAAATTAATGAATCCAGGAGCTGGTTTTTTGAAAGGATCAACAAAATTGATAGAGCGCTAGCAAGACTAATAAAGAAGAAAAGAGAGAAGAATCAAATAGACGCAATAAAAAATGATAAAGAGAACAAAACTTAGACATTTCTGGGAATCCTTTGTGTGTGAAAAAGACCCAAAACCCATGTACAAACTAATGGCAGTGACCAGAATCATCCTGTTAACTTTTAAAACTATCTATTTCATTATGAAGTATGAGTGACTGAGGCTCAGCCAACAATAGCTTCCACTTTGCCTCTAGATTGTCTTTGGAGTCTAAAGGCCTTACTACCAGATGGGGTGTTAGTGTAAGTGGATGGAATTATTCAACTCATTTGTTTAAAGAGTTCATTTAAGTTCACTGTGGTCTTTTGCTTTTCTTAAACTAAAAAAAAAAATAAATAAATAAAAAAATTCTAGCTGCTAGACAATGTGAGACATTGTGGTTTTTGAACTACAGAAAAATTGTATGAATGAATTGGCGCAGTCTGTAGCATCTTTCTCTGACTTCTCCTTTGTGATAATAGCACACATTTGTCAACTATAAAATTAGATAGGGCTTGCTGTCAAAAATTTTTTAATCTATGACTTGTCCCTTGATACAAGAAAGAAAAAAAACTTAAAAATCATGTAATCAATTCCTTAATGTTGAAAATATTTCTTCTTTTTGATATCATAAATGATTATAGCTGAAGCTAACGGTTGTTGAACTGATCTTAGAGTCAAAACTGTCTTCCACAAGCCACCATACAATACTTGATTTATCTACAACCTAATCCCTAGAAGACAAACTTCAGCACTATGGCCCAGGAACAAGGGACACAGGCCTAGTTCTGCCAGAAACCAACGAGGGAAAGGCTGAGCCCTGCACAAACATCCGCTGGTGGGGCCCATAGCCCAGGTGTATGTGCAGGGCATGCAGAGGGGACAACTGCCTGTTTTCTCCACTCACCATGGCCTACCCACTGGCAGTCACATAGGCCTGCCTCAGCATCTGAGACCATGGTGTGGCCACAGCCTTCGCCACCTTGGGAAGCCACCCTGGGAAGCTGAACTCCCCATCCACCTCAGAATCCATCTTTGCTGTGAAAGAGAAGCCCAGCTTTTCCTGAAGTTTATTTAATCTGGCACTAATACATCCATGTTAGCCATCGTATCATTACTGTTTGGATGCTATATCTTTTTGCATACAATTGCTTTTGATCTATCTGTGTCTTTATTTTTAAAGTATATCTCTTGGTATTTTTTAAATTTGTTCTGATAATCTCTACCTTTTAATTGGAATGTTCATTAACATTTAATATTTAGGTCCATGATTTTATTATTTGTTTTCCTTCTGTCCCTTCTTTTACTTTTTGCCTACATTTTTTGGATTATTTGAATACATTTTAAAATTCCTTTTTAATTTAATCTATCAGCCTTTATTTTAGTTGTTGTTCTATGATTACAATATACATCCTTAGCTTTTCATGCTCTACTTAGAATATCATATCACTTCAAAAAAATGTAGAAACACTGCATTCGTATAGAACCAACTAAACATCCCCCTTTCTGCTACTGGTGTCACATGTATCACATCTACATACACTATAAACTCTATAAGACAACACTATAGTTTTATGTAAAACAATCAATTACATTTTAAAGAAACTAAGAGAAAAAACTAGTGCTTATATTTACCCCACTATTCACCATTTTCATTTCTGATGCATTTCACTTCTTCATCACTGAAGTACCCACCCATTATTTTCCTTCTACCTGAAGAACATGTTTTGGAATCTCTTGTAGTACAAGTTTGTTGGTGATAAATTCTCTTAGGTATTTTTCTTTTCTTTTCTTTTCTTTTTTTTTTTGAGATGGAGTTTTGCTCTTGTTGTCTAAGCTGGAGTGCAATGGCACTATCTTGGCTCACTGCAACCTCTGCCTCTCAAGTTCAAGCGATTCTCCTGCCCCAGCCCCCCAAATAGCTGGGATTACAGGTATGCGCCACCATGCCCAGCTAATTTTGTATTTTTGGTAGAGACAGGGTTTCACCATGTTGGCCAGGCTGGTCTCAAACTTCTGACCTCAGGTGATCCACCCGCCTTGGCCTCCCAAAGTGCTGAGATTACAGGCATAAGCCACCATGCCCAGGAGAGGCATTTTTCTTTTTAATCTTAGAATGTCTTTATTTTGCCTTCATTCTTTTATTTATTTATTTGAGAGACAGAGTCTCATTCTGTTGCCCAGGCTAGAGTGCAGTGGCACAATTATAGCTCACTGCAGCCTCAAATTTGTGGGCTCAAGTGATTCCCCAACCTCAGCCTCCTGAGAAGCTCCCACTGCAGGCATGTGCCACCACACCAGCTAATTTTTTCTAAATTTCTTGTAGAGATGGGGTCTCACTATGTTGCTCAGGTAGGTCTTAAACTCCTAGCCCCAAGCAATCCTCCTGCCTCAGCCTCCCAAAGCACTGGGATTACAGGTGTGAGCTACTGTCTTCATTCTCGCAGGAAGTTCTAGAATAAGATTCTAAGTTGATGGTTCTTCCTCTCAACATTTTAAAGATGTTCCACTGTCTCTGAGCTCCAAAGTTTCTAACAGAAGTCATCAGTTCCCAATCATCACTCCTCCATGCAGAGACCAGCTCGCTTGTGGAGACCCTAACCCAGCGGCGCTAGAGAAATTAAAGACACACGTACAGAAATATAGCGTGTGGAGTGGGAAATCAGTGGTCTCACAGCCTTCAGAGCTGAGAGCCTCGAACAGAGATTTACCCACATATTTATTGACAGCAAGCCAGTGATAAGCATTTTTTCTATGGATTATAGATTAACTACAAGTATTCCTTATGGGAAACAAAGGGATGGGCTGAAATAAAGGGATGGGCTCTGGCTAGTTATCTGCAGCAAGAACATGTCCTTAAGGCATCGATCACTCATGCTATCATTTGTGGTTTAAGAACGCCTTAAGCGGTTTTCCGCCCTGGGTGGGCCAGGTGTTCCTTGCCCTCATTCCAGTACACCCACAACCTTCAGCGTGGGCATCATGGCCATCACAAATGTGTCACAGTGCTGCAGAGATTTTGTTTATGGCCAGTTTTGGGCCAGTTTATGGCCAGATTTTGGGGGCCTGTTCCCAAAACCTCTATATTTAATGTGTCACGTTTTCTCTGGTTGCTTTCTAGATTTGCTCTTTACCTTAGGTTTTTAGCAGTTTTACTAAAGTGTGCTTAATTTATTCTGCTTTAAGTTCACTAAGTTTCTGGAATCTATAAATTTATGTGTTTCAGATTTGGAAATTTTTCAGTCACTGTTTTTTCAAAAGTTTTTCTGCCTCATTCTCTCCTCTTTGTCTTCTGGGATTCTAATTGGAAATATGTTAGAAGCTTGCACAGTTCCTCACATTCCTAATGCTCTGTTTCTTTTCTTCTAATTATTCTCTTTCTATTCTTTACATGGGATAATTTTAAGTTATTTGAACCTTTCCTCTGTTATCTCCATTCTGCTATTAAGCCCATCAAGTGAATTTTTATATAAGATATTATATTTTATAGTTCTAGAATTTAAATTTTTTATGATTTCAGTTCTCTGCTGAGATTTCTTGTCTTTTCACTCATTCTGAACATATTTTCTTTACCTCACCCTCTCCCAGCAATTGCTTCCCCAGCTGCTTTATAATAGTTGTCTGCTAATCCAGTTCATATTGGGGGATAGTCTCTGTTAACTGCTTTTTGTCTTCAGAATGGGACACATTTTCCTCATTTTCAATTTTGGATTGTATCCTGGACCTCGTGAATGTTATACTGTGAATTTCATTTTCTTCACTGAAGAATGTTGATATTTTTGCTTTAGTAGGCAATTATCTTGCTTGGATTCAAACTACAAACTCTTCTCTTGGGCAGCAACTCAAATCTCAGTTCTGGACCTACCCCTAGTTGGGTAGCTGTTAGTCTGCCCTGCATATGCATGGTTCAGAAGTCAGTCTGAGATTTGGGCAGGGGTTACACACAGAACCTCAGGCTATACCAATCTAGTTCTCTCTGGGATCCATTTCTCATTTTCCAGCAGTAGTTCTTACCGCAAACTCTGTCATCTGGTTTTTCAGGCCAGAAAGACTGGATTTTCTATGAGAATAGCAGGTATCAATGCAGCACTGACTTTACCCTGCCCTGAGGCTGGTATCATGAAAAACAGGAAACTCTCCATGCTGGACATTCTTCCAAGTGTTGTCTTTCCTCAAGAATCTGCCAGCCTTTTTTTTTTTTTTTTTTTACTCTCCAGGACCTTCACATAGTTGTGTAGAGTATTTTGCTCAGAATTTATCATTATTACCTGCAGAAAGATCATTTGGCTATGGCCTTACATATACTGAAGAGGTTTTCGTTTTTAATAGGGAACTCAACCCATTTATATTCCCTGTCAGTGAAATATCTGATCTTGTTTCACATTTTTTGTTCATACTTTTTTGCTGTTTTCTAGCTTTTGCTCTAAGAAATATTTTTTCTTTGATCTTTCATCTTTTCTACTTTTGTAGAAAAGATTTTCAAGTAATTTGAAAAGCAGAAGGCATATTTCAAATTCTAAAATGCTCGACTGTATCTGTCTCCAATTACCAGTGTTACAACTGATGACACTGCCCCTCAAGATCTGTAAACTCTCCCTGCAAAGGGAACAAAATTATCATTTATAACCAAAGGACTTTTTCCTTTCTTCATCATTCTATTATTCTATTTCTGTATTCTGGCAGAGCTTCTTATGTTAGTTTTCCTACATGACCGATTTCACTTTCTTCAGTTTTAAGTCTACAGTTCAGTGCTTCTACTGAAAATTTTAATTTATTTAATTTTAATTAATTCAATCTCTTTCTATTTCATTTTGCTTTCTTTTATCACAGCTGATCTCAGTAAATCAGTTTTCAGCTCAATCTGTTGTCTTTTCTCAGCTTGGATCATCTGTATTGCAGAGTCTATGTTTTCCTGATTTTTGAATAATATAAAACAAAAAATTCCTAAAACATACTTCTCTTTGCTCTAGTAGATCATCTGTAAAAGGATGTTATTCTTTCACCTTTTTAATTTAATTTAATTTATTTATTTATGTACTCAGACAGACTCGCTCTGTTGCCCAGGCTGGAGTGTAGTGGCCTGATCTCAGTTCACTGCAACCTCCGCCTCCTGGGTTCAAACAATTCTCATGCTTCAGCTTCCTGAGTAGCTAGAATTACAGGTGCGCACCACCACAAATTTTTTTGTATTTTTAGTGGAGACAGAGTTTTACCATGTGGGCCAAGCTGGTCTCCAACTCCTGGCCTCAAGTGATCCACCCACCTGGCCTTCCAAAGTGATGGGATTATAAGGCATAAGCCACGGCACTCAGCTTCTTTCACCTTTTAAGAATTAGATTTATTGCTGCAGTATCTTTTGTTGTTCTCATATTAGGGTATTTTCTTAAGCACGTGTATATAATCTTGAACAAGGTCTAATTCTGATGCAACTCTACAATCAAGATATGTGGCTTTTTCCTAGTTTCCCTCACTTCCCACCTAGTTGTTGTCATAATCTGTCTGTACTTTAGTTCAATATTAAAAAGTAATCATTGTCATCCTGGATGTGTTCATAACTGTGACAGAAATGCCTCCATAGTTTCCCTGCTAAGCATAATTCAGACTTTTTAACTAAGATACATACATTTGGTATTCATATTAAGGAACTATTCATTTACTTATATTTTATGAAGTGATTCTATGAAGAAATGTTGAATTTTGCCAAATGCTTTGTCGGCCTTTAAGGTGATGAACATTGTATTTTTTCCCCCTAGAAGCATTAAAATAATAAATTAAAATTAGTATGTGTGTGTACGTGCATACCCATAACTGTTAGCCAACTTTCTAGTGATATTCAGTCTTTTATTTAGTATGAATATGCTGGTCTGAGTAGGAATCACATAATGCCATTGCCTGATAATCTAAGAAAAATAGTATTATTTTGACATTCTAATGCTATCTAATGCATTTTCATTATAATAAACAGTGAATAGCCAGGCGCGGTGGCTCACACCTGTAATCCCAGCACTTTGGGAAGCCAAGGCGGGTGGATCACCTGAGGTCGGGAGTTCGAGACCAGCTTGACCAACATGGAGAAACCCCGTCTCTACTAAAAATACAAAATTAGCCAGGTGTGGTGGCGCGTGCCTGTAATCCCAGCTACTCGGGAGGCTGAGGCAGGAAAATCGCTTAAACCTGGCAGGCAGAGGTTGCAGTGAGCCGAGACTGTGCCATTGCACTCCAGCCTGGACAACAAGAGCAAAGCTCCATCTCAAAAAAAAAAAAAAAAAAAACAGTGAATAAAAACCAGAAACTCCAAAGTTCACTGCTCTTACAGTTCTAGGGTCAGTCAGCATGGGACATTTTTAGCACCTTCTGTTAATCTGCCAAAGAAGCATAGTCATTTCAATTCATGTAGTCTATTTCCCCATAAAAATGTATTTCTATTTTTGATTGAATAAATTTCTCAAGTTGAACTATTAATTTAATTTCAAATGTTTAACTAATTTAACCTACTAGTCTATTATTAATTTGTTGTCAGAGTCTTCATCCACTTAAATCAGTCGTATTATATTTCCCTATTGGAATGTCATGAAATTAACAAAATTTTATTGCAGTACCTAAAACGTGAGAATCACGTATGTGAAATTTCAAATCATGGATTTTTGTTTCTAGCTATTCTGATGACTTGACACTATAATTTTTTTTTTTCCAGAGACAAGGTCTTCCTATGTTGTCCAGGCTAGAGTCAGTGGCTATTCATAGGCATGACTGTAGCTCACTGTAGCCTTGAACTCCTGGACTCAAGCGATTCTCCTGCCTCAGCCTCCCAAGTAGCTAGGATGACAGACATGTGCAAATGCACCCAGGTCCTGACACTAGAATCTTTGAAAAGTAAAAACCATAATCCAGGTCTCTTCTGATTAAAAAAAAAAAAGAAAAGTAAAAATGTATCTACTTGTATGTAGACATTAAGATATTTACCTAAATGACAAAATTGCTGAATGAATAATTTACTTGAAGCTTTATAAAAATAAGAAATTAAATACGAACTCTCTCTGTGTATATTTTATCTGAAACTTTTCAAATAATTTCCTATTCCTATGGATCTGATCCAAGATCCTCTTTATTTCAGGTTCAAGAGCCTTAACCAGATTGTCCCATGAAATATAAAATGAGTGTTTTTGGTTGGCTTTTTTCCAAGATGGTGGATTAGCGGCTTTCAGCCTGCCTCAGACACTTGGAAATAGCAAGATAGTATATAAAGATAAACTCTGTGAGTTTTAATTCAAGGAGGAAAATGGAAATCTACCAGAATCATAAAGGACATCCCAGAACCCACGGAGGAGAATGCCAGAAAACAGCCCCCATGATAGCATCCAGCTGATAGAGATGAGTGAAGCCCCAGTATGTGAGAAAGGAAGAAGTCTCCTCTGTGACTCACCTTTCCACTGGGGATCCAAGCAACCCAGGCCAAGGGAAAGCATTTTGCTTCTCCCAAGCCCGAGAGTTAACTTGAGGAGAGGATTGGAGACACTGTGAAGGAAAGACACTGGGAAATGCTGCAGGCATTTTCCCAGATCTGAGACTGAGAGCAGGACACCATTTTTAATCTCGGCCATTCTTTGGTGACCTGCAGCATGGCTGTATGGGCATTTTAGTCTCAGGCCAGAGATTGGAACACCTGCTCCAGAGTTGGATAGGGGGCCTCCACATCCAGAACTGTGGAAAGTGCTTCAGCAGTAGGTGCTGGAATTGTGCTCTCCCCTGTCACAAGCCTGGCACGGAAGAGAGCTGCTACAGCTGCAGTTTCTCCTGGGTGGCGAGACTTGCAGCCAGGGCCAGCTTGGAAACCTGCAACTGATCTGTGTGTGCCATTATTGGGTGCCCCACTCTGCTTCCCTGAGATCATGGTGCAGCAGGGCCCTCTCTCTTCCAACCCCAGGCAGAAATCCAGGCATTTGGAATACGTACTTGCCTGAACCAGTAGCCCAAGCCACCCCACCCTTCCTGGACACAGATTGCGGTGCTGCGAGGCTCTCTCTGCTTCACACCTAGGCAGATCTCCAGGCACTTAGAACACCTGTTTGCCGGGTTCAGCAGCCTAAGCTGCCCCACCCTTCCTGAACAGAGATCCTGGTGCAGGGGGACCCTCTCTGTTACATGCCCAGGAAGATCTCCAGGCATTCAGACCACCTGCGTGCACGTTCCAGCAGCCTAAGTTGCCCCACCCCTCCTGTGTAAAGATCTTGGTGCACGGGGGCCCTCTCTGCTCCATGCCCAGGCAAATCTCCAGGCATCTGGAGCATCACTCACCTGGATCGGCAGCTTGACCTGCCCCACTCTTCCTGTGCAGAGAGTCTGGTATGGAGAGGCCCTCTCTGCCTCACAACCAGGCAGATCTCCAGGCATTCAGAGCACCCTCTCATCTGGTTCAGCAGCCTAAGCTGCCCCACGCTTCCTGGGTATAGATCATAGTGCAGCAAGACCCTCTCTGCTCCATGTCCAGGCAGTGCGCCAGGCATCTGGAGCACCCACTCTCCTGGATGAGGAGCTTAGGGCATCTCCTCATCCTCATGCAGAGAATTTGGAGCTGAGCAGGTTTCCCAGCTCCACACCTAGGAAAACCTTTGGGTACCTCATGGTCACCCACTGGATTCTCTCTTGGCACTAGTGCTTGTGCCTACCATCAGGGGACCTGCAGGCAGATTTGCCAGGTCTGCCTCTGCCCTTCACGGCTCCCATTGCCACCCTCCCAACCCCTGTCACCACCAGAGCTGAACAAGGAGTGCAGACCACTGTGCATTCTACAAATCAGCTAATCGCCTGGAGCAACAGAGAGCTTCTGCCAGTAAATAAGGATCAAGTATATACCCAAACACACTGGCTGTAGCTGGCTCTCACCTGTGCATGCCATCTACAGGCTTGTAAGACAAACTCCACAGCCCAATATAAAACATGCTGAAAGAAGTACATAGGGCAGCCGGGCGCGGTGGCTCATGCCTGTAATCCCAGCACCTTGGGAGGCTAAGGTGGACGGATCACTTGGGTCAGGAGATCAAGACCAGTATGGCAAACAAGGTGAAACCCTGTCTCTACTAAAAATACAAAACTTAGCCAGGCATGGTAGTGGGTGCCTGCAATCCCAGCTACTCAGGAGGCTGAGGCAGGAGAATTGCTCAGACCTGGGAGGAGGAGGTTGTAGTAAGCCAAGATCAGGCCACTGCACTCTGCACTCCAGTCTGGGTGACTAAGTGAGACTCTATCTCCAAAAAAAAAAAAAAAAAAAAGAAGAAGGAGAAGGAGAAGAGCAGCAGCAGCAGCATAGGGCTGTTCAAGCAAAGCCAAAAGATCTTACCAAGCATTCTCTACAGTCACATCCCCTAGGCAAGCAGGGAAAAGGGAAAGGAAAGAAGAATTAATAATAATAATAATAATAACAACAACATTACAGGGAAAAAAAAGAAAAAGAAAAAAATCCTACGTGCATGAAAATAATTACAAAAATCAGAAGTGCCAGGGTCTCCAGATGAGAAGGAACCAGCACAAGAATTCTGGCACCATGAAAAAGCTGAAGGTAGTGACACCACCAAAAAATTTCACTAGATCTCCAGCAATGGTACCTAACCAAAATAGAAACTCAGAAATAACAGATAAGGAACTCAAAGCATAGGCCGGGTGTGGTGGCTTATGCCTGTAATCCCAGCACTTTGGGAGGCCAAGGTGGCCAGATCACCTGAGGTCGGGAGTTCGAGACCAGCCTGGCCAATATGGTGAAACCCCATCTCTACTAAAAATACAAAAATTAGCTGGGCGTGGTGGCATGTGCCTGTAATCCCAGCTACTCAGGAAGCTGAGGCAGAGAATCACTTGAACCTGGGAGGTGGAGGTTGCAGTAAGCTCAGATTACATGACTGCACTCCAGCCTGGGCAGCAGAGTGAGACTCTGTATCAAAAAAACAAACAAACAAACAAACAAAAAAACAACTTCAAAGCATGGCTTGCAAGGAAGCTCATGGAGATCCAAGACAAAGTTAAAAATTGAGACAAAGAAACTTCTAAAGCAATCCAGGAAATGAAGAGATAAACATCTCAAAAAGAAATCAATCAGAGCCTCTAGAATTAAAAAGCTCACTTAAGGAATTTCAAAATAAAATTGAAAGCTTTATAAATGGACTGGACCAAGCAGAAGAAAGAATTTCAGGACTTCAAGACTGGTCTTTTGAACGAACCCAATCTGACCAAAAAAAAAAAAAAGAAGAATTTTTAAAAATAAGTAAAATAAGTAAATTATTTGAGAAATGTGGGATTATGTAATGCAACCAAACCTTCAAATTATTGGCATTCCTGAGAGAGAAGGAGAAAAAGCAAACAACTTGGAAAATATATTTGAGGCAATAATTCAAGAAAACTTCCCTAGTCCTTAGAACATGGATAAATAAATTTGTGAAAAATGTCAAAAAAAAAAAAAAGGAAACTTTCCTTATCTTGCCAGGGAGGTAGACATCCAGACACAAGAAATCCAGAGAACACCTGCAAGATACTATATACAAAATGAACATCACCAAGACATATATAGTCACCATACTGTCCAAGGTCAGTGTTAAAGAAAAAATCTTAAAGGCAGCTAGAGAAAAGGGGCAGATTATGTACAAAAGGAACCCCATCAGGCTAACAGTGGACCTGTCAGCAGAAACCTTGCAAACCAGGAGAGATTGGGAGCCAATTATCAGCATTCTTAAAGAAAAGAAACTCCAACCAAGAATTTCATATTCTGCCAAATTAAGTTTCATAGCAAAGAAGAAATAAAATCTTTTCCAGACAAGCAAGTGCCAAAGGAATGTGTTACCACTAGAGCAGCCTTACAATAGATCCCTAAGGGAGTCCTAAATATGGAAATAAAAGAATGATACCTGCTACCACAAAAACACACTTAAGTACATAGCCCACAGACCCTATAAAGAAAAAAACAATAGAAACTACAAAGCAAACAGCTAACAACTTCACAATAGGATCAAAACTTCACATATCAATATTAACCTTGAATGTAAATGGTCTAAATGCCCCACTTACAAGGCAAAGAGTGGCAAGTTGGATAAAGAAACAAGACCCATCCATCTGTTGTCTTCAAGAGACGCATCTCACATGTAATGACACCCATACGCTCCAAGTAAAGGGGTGGAGAAAGATCTACCATGCAAAAAGAAAACCAAAAAAAAAGGCAGAAAAAAAAGACCAAAAAAATCTTATTATCAGATTAAATAGACTTTAAACCAACAACGGCAAAAACATACAAAGAAGGGCATTACATAATGATAAAGGGTTATATTCAATAAAAGTTAACTATCCTAAATATATATGTATCCAACATCGGAGCATCCAGATTCATAAAACAAGTACCTATAAACTTACAAAAAGACTTAGAGAGCCACACAATAATAGTAGGGGACTTCAACGCCCCACTGACAGGAAATTAACAAAGACATTCTGGACTTAACAGTTGACCAATTGGACTAATAGATATGTACAGAATACTCTATATATCGACCACAAATATACATTCTTCTCATCTGCACACAGAACATACCCCAAGATTAACCACATGCTCAATCATAAAGCAAGTCTTGATAAATTTTTTAAAAATCAAAATCATATCAACCATACTCTTGGACCACAGTAGAATAAAAATAGAAATCAATACCAAGAAGATCTCTCAAAACCACACAATTACATGGAAATTAAACAACTTGCTCCTGAATGACTTTGGGGTAAACAATAAAATCAAGGCTGAAATCAAAAGATTCTTTGAAATAAATAAAAACAAAGACACAATATCCCAAAATCTCTGCGATATAGCAAAAGCCATATCCCAGAGATACTAATCAACAATCCAACATCACACCTAGAAGAACTAGAAAAAAACAAAAACAAACTAACCCCAAAGCTAGCAGAAGAAAACTAAAATCAGAGCACAACTGAACAAAATTGAGACTCAAAAATCCACACAAAGAATCAGCGAAACCAAAAGTTGGTTCTTTGAAAGGATAAACAAGATCTATAGACTGCTAGCTAGATTAAAAAAGAAAAAGAGAGAGAAAATCCAAATAAGCACAATCAGAAATGACAAAGGTGACATTCCAACCAATCCCACAGAAATACAAAAGATCCTCAGAGACTAATATGAACACCTCTATGCACACAAACTAGAAAATCTAGAGGAAATGGATTAATTCCTGGAAACATACAATCTCCCAAGATTGAATCAGAAAGAAATCGAAACACCAAACAGACCAATATCAAGTTCCAAAATTGAATCAATAATTAAAAACCTACTAATCCAAAAAAGCCCTAGACCAGAAATGGATTCACACAAATTCTACCAGACATACAAAGAAGAGCCGGTACCAATTCTACTGAAACTATTTCAAAAAACTGAGGAGAGACTCCTCCCTAACTCATTCTACAAAGCCAGTATCACCCTAGTACCAAAACCTGGCAAAGAGACAATAAAAAGGCTGATATCCCTGATGGGCACAGATACCAAAATCCTCAAAAAATACTAGAAAACTGAATTCAACAACACACCAAAAAAAGTTAATTCATGATAATCAAGTAGGCCTCAGTCCTGGGATGCAAGGTTGGTTCAACATACACAAATCAATAAATGTGATTCACCACATAGACAGAATTAAAAACAAAAACCATAGAATCATCTCAATAGATGCAGAAAAAGTTTTAAGTAAAATCCAACATCCTTTCATGATAAAAACCCTCAAGAAACTAGACACCGCAGGAACACACCTAAAAAATAATAAGAGCCATCTATGACATAAACACAGCCAACATCATACTAAATGGGCAAAAACTGGAAGCATTCCCTTTGAGAACTGGAATAAGAAAGGATGTCCACTCTCACCACTCCTATTCATGTACTGTAAGTGCTAGCCAGAGCAATCAGGCAAGAGGAAGAAATAAAAGGAATCCAAATTGGAAAAGGAGAAATCAAACTATTTTTCTTCACAGACAGTATGATTCTATACCTTGAAAACTCTAAAGACTCCATCAAAAGTCTCCTGGAACTAATAAATAACTTCAGGAAAGTTTCAGGATACCAAAATCAATATATAAAAATCAGTAGCATTTCTATACACCAATAACATTCAAACTGAGAGCCAAATCAAGAATGCAATCCCATTTGTAATAGCCATACACACAAAAAATGCCTACGAATACATCTAACCAAGGAGGAGAAAGATCTCTACAAGGAGAACTACAAAACACTGCTAAAAGACATAGACGACACAAAGAAATGGAGAAATATTCCAGGCTCATGGATTGGAAGAATCTATGTCATTAAAATGGCCATACTGCCCAAAGCAATCTATGAATTCAATGCTATTCCTATCAAACTACCAATGTCATTTTTCACAGATTTGGAAAAAACTATTCTAAAATTCATATGGAACCAAAAAGGAGCCAAAATAACCAAAGCAACCCTAAACAAAAGGAACAAAGCCAAAGGCATCACATTAACCAACTTCAAACTATACCATAAGGCTATGGTAACCAAAATAGCATGGTACTGGTACCAAAACAGACATATAGACCAATGGAATGAAATAAGGAACACAGAAATAAAGCTATACACCTAAAGCCATTTGATATTCAACAAAGTTGACAAAAATAAGCAATGGGGAAAGGACTCCCTATTCAATAAATGATGCTGGGATAGCTGGCTAGCCATATGCCGAAGAATGAAACTGGACCTTTCACCATATGCAAAAATTAACTCAAGATGAATCAAAGATTTAAACGTAAGACTTCAAACTATAAGAATCCTAGATGAAAATCTAGGGAACACCATTCTGAATATCAGTCTTGGGAAACAATTTATTACTAAGTCCTCAAAAACAATTGCAACAAAAACAAAAATTTGTAAGTAAGGCCTAATTAAACTAAAGAACTTCTGCACAGTAAAAGCAACTATCCACAGAGTAAAGAGACAACCTACAGAAAGGGATAAAATATTTGCAAGCTATGCATCTGACAAAGGTCTAATATCCAGAATCTATAAGCAAATTAAACAACTGAACAAGCAAAAAACAAATAACTCCATTAAAACATGGGCAAAAGAAATGAACAGACACTTCTCAAAAGAAGACACACAGTGGCCAACAAACATATAAAAAAAAATCCACATCACCAATCACGAGAGAAACACAAATGAAAACCACAATGAGATACCATCTCACACCAGTCAGAATGGCTTGTATTAAAAAGTAAAAAATAACAGATGCTGGTGAGGCTGTGGAGAAAAGGGAATGCTTATACACCATTGGTGGGAATGTAAATTAGTTCAGCCACTGTGGAAAGCAGTTTGGAGACATCTCAAAAAACTTAAAACAGAACTACCGGCCAGGCGCAGTGGCTCACGCCTGTAATCCCACCACTTTGGGAGGCCGAGGCAAGTGGATCACTTGATGTCAGGAGTTCGAGACCAGTCTGGCCAATATGGTGAAACCCCATCTTCTACTAAAACTACAAAAATTAGCCGGGCATGGTGGCGCATGCCTGTAGTCCCAGCTACTCGAGAGGCTGACGCAGGAGAATCACTTGAACCTGGGAGGCAGAGCCGAGATCATGTCACTGCATTCCAGCCTGAGTAACAAAGCTAGACTCCATCTCAAAAAAAAAAAAAAAAAATCTCAGAACTACCATTTGACCCAGCAATCCCATTACTGGGTGTCTATCCAACAGAAAACAAATCATTCTACCAAAAGACATGCATTTGCACATTCATCACAGCACTATTCACAATAGCAAAGTCATAGCATCAACCCAGGTACCCATTAATGACGACTGGATGAGGAAAATGTGGTACATATACACCAAGGAGTACTACACAGCCATAAAAAGAATGAAATCATGTCTTTTGCAGCAACATGGATGCAGCTCGAGGCCATTAGCCTAAATGAATTAATGCAGGAACAAAAAAACCATATACCACATGTTCTCACTTATGAGTGGGAGCTAGACATCGGGTACTCATGGACATAAAGATGGGAATGATAGACACGGGGGACTACTAGAGGGGAAGGGTAGAAGCGGGTAAGGGTGGAAAAACTAACTGTTAGATACTATGCTCAGTACCTAGGTGATGGGATCATTTGTACCCCAAACTTCAGCATCATGCAATATATATAGGTAACAAACCTGCACGTGTACCCCCTGAATCTAAGACAGAAGTTGAAAAATAAAAAAGTAAAAAACAAAAATAAATAAAAATAAAAATCTAGGCTGAGTTCTGGGCACAAGGCAACCACTGAGAAGAGCAGAGCATGGCATATGCTGAGTCAGACCATGATGTTCTGGATGGAGGGCCTCATGCCAAAGCTGGACCTGGAGGAGGTGAAAGAGAAGATGCATGAGGATGTGTTCTCCTCCATATAGAACTTCCTCCTGTACATGGCCCTGCTGAGAATCACTCTTTTTATCTTAAAGAAACTGGACAGCATATGAAGATTGGGCATCACATGTGAATGCATGACATGAAGAACCTGGTTACAGTTTCTACTCCTCTCTGCAAGTAAATAGGCCCAGAAAGGTTTAAGAGACTCTTTGACTTAATGGACATAACAATTTTACTTGTTAAGAACAAGTTTGGGCCAGGTACAGTGGGTCACACCTGTAATCCCAGCACTTTGGGAGGCCGAGGTGGGCGGATCACAAGGTCAGGAGTTTGAGACCAGCCTGGCCAACATAGTGAAACCCCATCTCTACTAAAAATACAAAAATTCACCAGGCATGGTAGTGCGTGCCTGTAATCCCAGCTACTCAGGAGGCTGAGGCAGGAGAGGCGCTTGAACCCAGGAGGCGGAGGTTGCAGTGAGCCAAGACTACACCACTGCACTCCAGCCTGGATGGCAGAGCAAGACTCTGTCTCAAAAAAAAAAAAAAAGAACAAGTTTGGCTCTGGTAATTGACCTTCATAGCTAAAATATAAAACTATTTGGTAAGTAAAAAAATAAAATAAAAATCTTTTCCTAGCAAAAAATAAAAATAAATTTAAAAAATAAAGAAAATAACCAAATGTTAATTTTATAGTTATGTCATCACATATTTGAAATAAATGAAAAAAAGTGAATTTACATAATTTATATAAAGTGAAATATATATATATATACATACATAATAGTACTACTACTAGAAATGTTATTTAAAATAAACTAAACAGGCTGGGCGTGATGGCTCATGCTTATAATCCCAGCCTTTTGGGAGGACTAGGAGGGAGAACTACTTGAGCCCAGGAGTCTGAGACTAGCCTGGGCAACATAATGAGACCCTAACTCTACAAAAAAAATTAAAAATTAGTTGGGCACAGTGGTACATGCCTGTAGTCCTAGCAACTCAGGAGGCTGAGGCAGGAGGATGGTTTGAGCCCACGCATTCAAAGTTACAGCAAGCCATAATCATACCCCTGCACTCCAGCCTGGGCCAGAGTAAGACTCTGTCTCTAAAAATAAATAATTAGTTAATTAAATTTAATAAACATTTTGAGACTGCCAGAAAGGAAAATCCCTAGAGACCAAAAAACAAAGAGAAAGCTAAAAACTAAAATAGTAATCATGCCAGGCACAGGGACTCAAGCCTATAATCCCAACATTTTGGGAGGCTAAGGTGGGAGAATAGTTTCAGCACAGGAGTTTGAGACCAGCCTGGGCAACATAGGGAGATCTACAAAAAATTTAAAAATTTGCTTGGCCTGGTAGTCCAAGCTACTCACAAGGCTAAGGCAGAAGGATCACTTGGGCTCAGGAGGTCGAGGATGCAGTGAGCAGTACCACTTGCCACCAGGCCCAACTCATTTTAAATTTTTTATAGAGATAGGGTCTCATTATGTTGCCCAGGCTAGTCTCAAACTCCTGCGCTCAAGCAATTTTCCTGCCTAGGCCTCCCAAAAAGCTGGGATTGTAAGCATGAGCCATTACACCCAGCCTGTTTAGTTTATTTTAAACAACATTTCTAGTGTCTTGTAGTGGTATCACACCACTACACTCCAGTCTGGGTGACAGAGTGAGACTGTCACAAAACAAAACAAAAATAAAACAAAACAAAAAATAAAGTAGTAATCACAAGCTTATACTGATTTGGGGTTTTAACAGCTGCATGGTGTACAGAGGGTGAGGCCTTGGACCCAAACAAGGCATGAACTGGAAGTTAGGGCTAGAAAAAACAGTGAAGTGCAGGAAAGCAGTCTTTGGTACCTTATTCCCTCCACCCGCCTCAAGTATGACTTCCCCTTGTCTTCCACAAGACCTTCCAAGACACTCCACTCCACAGCTATTTACTCTCTTAGGTTCCTAAACTTGGTGTTGCTTTACATGACCACCAATTACCAAAGCATTATAACTAGAAATGGAGGGAATGAGATGAATGAAGCAGAAGGAATTAATCAGAGGGGCTAAACGATTAATAGAGAGAGGAAAAAAAGAAAATGCGTGTTCTAGACTCCTAACCTCTAGTTTTCTGTCTCTGTTGAATGGCAGACACACCATTCACCCAGCTGTACAAGCCAGAAAATTAGAAAGTGTCCTTTCCTTTTTCCTCAGTATCCAACCTATATCCAAGTGCTGTCTACTTCACCCCCTAAATCTCTCTCAAATCTATCCTTCTCTCCATATCCATTGCCATCACCTTGTACCTGGGTTTCTTAACCCAGGCTACATAATTCCTTGTTGCAGGGGTTAAATTATAGGATACTTTGGCTATATTCCTGGCCTTTACCTACTAGATGCCAGTAGCAGCCCTCTTCCACCAGGTGAGACAACCAAAAATGTCTCAGATGTTACCAAATATTCCCTAGTGAGCAAAAGAGGCCCCTCACTGAAAATCACTGCCTTATACCCTTATACCAAGGTATCATCATTTCTTGTCTAGTGTGCTACAACAGCTTCCTAATATGTCTCCCTGCATGCATCATATTACTATACCCCATCTAGTAACCTATTCTCCAAACTACAGCCAGAAGGATATTTCCAACTCAGATCACATCAGTCCCTGCTTAAGATAAGCTTCAGTGGCTTAGCGTTTCTCTTAGAATAAAATCCAAAATCCTTATTACGCTAAAAGGTTTAGCTCTTTCCTCTACAGATCAACTT
Organism: Homo sapiens; assembly: GCF_000001405.40. Taxonomy (NCBI): domain Eukaryota; kingdom Metazoa; phylum Chordata; class Mammalia; order Primates; family Hominidae; genus Homo; species Homo sapiens. The sequence goes on along the minus strand of NC_000006.12, from coordinate 108,370,132 downwards.
GTACCTTACTGCATCCTTCTCCCCCTCACTCTCCACTCTAGCCCCACTGGCTACCTCAAATGGGTCATTTCTCCAGCCACTCAGCTTTGCCTCAACCCTCTGCCAGCTCTTGTAGCAGTCTAAGAAGTTGGTTCTATTTTAAAAGATAGATAGATAGATAGATAGATAGATAGATAGATAGATAGCCAGCCAGCCAGCCAGCCAGCCAGCCAGATCAATCTGGGGCTGGGTGCAGTAGCTCACGCCTGTAATCCTAGCACTTTGGGAGGCCGAGGCAGGTGTATCACCTGAGGTCAGGAGTTCAAGACCAGCCTGGCCAACATGGTGAAACCCTGTCTCTACTAAAAATACCAAAAATTAGCTGGGCATGGTGGTGGGTGCCTGTAATCCCAGCTACTTGGGAGACTGGGGCAGGAGAACTGCTTGAACCCAGGAGGCAGAGGTTGCAGTTAACCAAGATCGCGCACTGCACCCCAGTCTGGGCGACAGAGCAAGGATCCGTCTCCAAAAAAAAAAAATTGTGACCTAAAAAAAGTTGAACGCATTTTGATGGCTGGAAAAGAGGACACTCTTCTTTATTTTCTTCTCCCCCTCCCACCTTTTTTTAATACAGTACTTTGAGCTGCTGTTTTAAGAAAAGGACGTTCTTTCTCTAGGACAGGATAGACAGAGATCAGTGATGACCATAAGGCAAAAAGATAGAAAACAATGTGTAAAAAGAGTCACAAAACCTAAGTTCTAGTCTTTGTTCTGTCATTCACTATCCATGTCATTTGTTTTTAATTTACTTATAATATGTAACTTTTTTGGCCTACGGTTCTATGAGTTTTTAGCACATGTAACCACCACTACAATCTGGATGCAGCAGTTGCATCCTGAGCCTGCCCCTTTGTAGTCAAACACCTCCTCACCCTGGACCTTGGCAATCACTGCTTCATTCTTCGTCTTACAGTTTTACCTCTTCCTGATATGCTTAGTCTCTCTGAGTCTTTTTCTCCACAAATAAAATTATACACACACACACGCACACATATACATGTCATCTTCATTACTTTAAAATATTAAGTTATTTATGATGATTGTCTGCTGTGGCTAAAAAACCTGGTCTGTGACAAGCATCCCATTCCTTCCACTGTTTATATTTAGAAAAGGCTTTCTCTAAGTTTGTCCAATTTTTGCAATTCCGCATCTTGAACTTACAGTCTTCTCCAGAAGGGTGGCTCCAGCTCAGATTTCTGCAGGCTACCCTGACACACCGGTAGCTTTGTTCACTCCTACAAAGCTAGGAGCTGCAAAACATTCCTTAATCCCTCCTGGTGGCTGTCCTTCCTCAGTTAGTTAACCACACTGCCATAGTCTGAGCAGCCTAATTATCCTTTCAGCAGTCTTTGCTAAAGGGCTTCCAAAATTGTTCTAGCTCTTTGCTATTTACGAGCATAGCTTGTCACTGAATGTCTAAAGGTAATACTGATGCCACTGTCAAATCAACACATCAGCTGTAGTAGAGACAAGTTTCACTTCCACCTAGATAGAAGATCTAATATTAAAAAGCTCACTCCCTTGGCTCATAGGGTGGCTAACACTAGTTAATCACAAGAATGCTGTATATAACATTATATGGATTTTAATAAGTACATCTGCAAAATCACTCATAATTCTTTTGTAGTACAATGGATGAGGTATGACTATAATTGTTTGAATAACTGGATCCAAAAGGTGTTGATTAGTTAATTGATGTCTTCCTAAGATAAGGCCTCCAGTGGTATGCAACAAGTAACTTAATTTAGTCCTATCTGATTTACACATTTTAATTAAGGAATGGCTAAAGACATAGAAATATGATTATCAAATGTATAAATGTCATAGTAGGGATAGCCAAAAAAAAATTATATTAGAATCATACTTCAAAAATACTTCAAACATACTCCATTTGCAAAACAAAAATAAATAAATAAAAACAAAAAACAAAAATAAAAATAAAAAATACTTCAATAAAAATCAATAAAATGGAACAACATAAGACTAATAAGCTGAAATGTAATAGAAGAAAAAGAAATCCACTACACAAACATAGAATGAGAGAGACCTAGTTTCACAGCAGGCTACATAGTAAGATCTGGGTCTGTTAGCAATTTAAAATTCAATATACACCATCAATGTGGCATAGCTTACTTTAAAAAAAAAGTTCCCACTATGGCATTACTCTTTTCAGACTCACTAATGAATTCCATGTTACTAATTGCAATGGTTAATTCTCAACCTCATTTTCAGCTTGTAGCAGCACTTAACAGAAGTAATCATCAATTCTTTTTGTACTACTTTTCTTTTCCTCACTTGACACTCTCCTGGTTCTCCTCCTACCTCACCAGCTGCTCTTTCCTGCCTCCTTGAGGACTGATAACTTCCAAATGTATATCTCCAGCCCAGACTTTTCCAATGAAGTCCAAACTCTTATATGTATCCCCCTTGTCACCACAGAAACCCCTACCTCCACCTCCCTAACCAAATCTGCTTTTTCTGTAGTCTTCCCCATCTCAGTAAACAGCAACTTTATCCTTCCAATTGCTCAGGCCAAAACCTTTGAGTTACTCTTGATCCCTCTCTCTTTTTTCATACTCTAGCTCCATTCCATCAGTAAATCCTGCTGACTCTGCCTATATAGTACATCCAGAACCTGCCCTCTTCTCACCACTTTACTGCTCCATCACCTCCCCTCCCCTTGGGATTGCTGCAGTAGTCTCCTAAAAGGTCTCCTTACTTCTAACCCTGAAACCCCATACCCACACTCTATTCTCAACACTGCAGCCAGAGAGATCTTTTTAAAACATGCAATCATCCAATGTTCATTCTAAGACTATTTACTGAGAACCATCTATGTGTAAGACACTGTTATAGGTGCTGAGAACACATCTGAGAACAGGAGAGATAAAAATCACTGCCCTCATGAAGCTTTTGTATCCTGGAAGGGAACAGACAATAAACTATAAATATAATAAATAAGTAAATTATATGGTAGGTCCATAGTGCTATGGGTAAAAGAGAGAGCAGGGTAAAGGGAAGCAGCACCAAGAAGAAAGGGATGTGTTGCAGGTTCAAACAGGGAGACAAGTCTAGGCTTCACTGGCAATGTAACTTCTGAGCAAAGACAAAGGAGGTGAGGGCTTAGCCATGCAGATATCTGGAGAAACAGCACTCCAGGCAGAAAGATGTTCCCATTAAGTCTCTCATGAAATATTTGTGGTTTCTTAGACCTTTAACTGAGCACGTGATGGGCTGAAAGATGCAAGATTTTAAAGTTGTTGTTTTTAATCTAAATATTACTTGTATTTTAATTTTTAAGTACTTTCCTAATAAGCCACAAGTGCTTTTTTAGAAATGATAATTTAAGTGAAGTATTAGAAACTATTCATGCAAGCAAGTTTTCGGTCTTTTTCTAAAATTTAATTATGAGTTTCGTCTTTCATTTGGTTGAGTTTCTTTTATGGGCCATAAAAAGCAGTCCAAAAGGCCTGCATTTTTTGCTAAGCACATATGACATATCTAATATTTAGGGAAAAAAAAAAACAAAAAAACAGCAAGTGCACCAAACATGGGAATCAACTGGATTTAGCTTGCTAAGGATACAAAACTTTTCAAATGCAAATACCAACTGATTTTTCAGATTAAGCCAGTTATAAAACTAATAATAAGCAAAGTCATCAGATTTATTAACACAATACATTTAGTTCAAAATTATGGATTTTTAAAAGCTTGTTAGTTTCCACCTAATTGGATGAGACTAGCACAATGTTTGTTTTTACCTTCCGGTGGCCTGTTGGATGTTGCCACAACGACGACCCCGTTTTTGAACAGATTTTCAAAAAGCTGTTTCAGAATCATGGCATCAGCAATGTCAGTGACCTATTGACAACAACACATTTGTTTTATTTTAATTTCACTTCTGCTGTAACAAATTTGCTAGTGGATCATCTTTTTTTTTAAGATGGAAGTAAATTCCAAGAGAAAAATTCTAATTATCATCATGAAGAAAAGAGTAGATAATTAAAAGCATGAAACACTGTATAGCAGTCTTTTAAACTTGACTCTTCTTTTTTGCAAGCCTATCATTTCTACACAAATTACCAAATGGTTCTATGATAACTTCTTTTATAGAACTACAGGTGGAAAGCATAGATAATTGTCCTAAACATTTAGGAAGTCTAATTAATTAGAACTAACATGACCAACACCCTCCTCCTCTTCCCACCCGCTTCCCACACCCCCTCAAAAAAGAGAGATGAAAAAATAATAATAATAAAATACACAGGCTGTTTGAGATTTCTAATACCTTTCTGGCAAAGGTCCCTGGAAAGGTGACTTTAAATGGTCATGGGCCTTTAGAAATAAGGACAAGTAGCCAGTGAGACATAATCAGCTGCTGTTGAAAATAGAATGATATGACATAGATACTATTGTGCAATTGTTGCACAAAACAATTCAACAGATGGCCCATCACAAAAATAAGCAATTTCATTGTTCTTTTTAAGTGCCTTCTATTACTGTCCATGAATAATCAAAAGGCACTGCAGTCACTTCCAGCACAGCCAGCCTCTGCTAACCTTCACAAACACAAATATTCCTTCTACCAAAAAAAAAAAAAACAAAAAAAACCACCTTTCAAGAATGGCTAATATAGTCCCTTAAAAAAATAACTTGTGACAATACAAGAAATGCATAATACAGATGAAACTATTCCATCCAAGTTAGGTTTATTGATCTTTTCTAAAATTATTTTTTAAATTCACAATTACGAAGTAAGCTTAATGATGTAACTTTTTCTAAAGGCTTTTAAAATTCACAAAGACAACAATTAAGAAGGGAAAGAAGTTGACTCCAAAAATAAATGTGTAATGAAGATTGACATCAATCATTGCAACTTCCCCTAAGTATATAATAACATGGACTTTAGATACTCCCAATGTAAAAATGTTTTGATCTTTCTTTGATAGCACATTTCAAATAATCTCAGTACAACTTGCTTTACATATATCCACAAGATATAGTACATTGTTATTTTTAAACCCCATTAGAGGACATAAAAATTGGTGAATTCTTTCAATTAAATCAAAATACTAAAAGTTACAAACCGAATGGTTATAATGCAATTAACAATAACCTGGGTTGCACAGGTCTAAATCACTTTTCTTTTTACAGCTAATATCTTCTTTCCCACCTGAAAACAACAAAACCATGAAATAGAGATGTACTTTTTTTTTTTTTTTTTTTTTGGCTGTCTCAGGTTATAACTAAAAAACTGCTAAAGATTCCTTACATTAAAAAGACTTCAGGAACTTCAAAATGGTGATTAAATGAAAAGGAAAGTGGTGCTGATATTATTTAATTTGGAGTTTAGGATCACTGTCAAATTTGGCTTCCGCAAAAACACTGACAGAGAAAGTCCTTTTCAAATGCTTGAACACCAGTGGCATTTCTGATGAGAGGACAGAACGAGCTTGCACATTTTAATAGCAACTGCACTTTTAAATTACATTGCCAATACACTGACTTTTTAAAAGAACAGTATCAATGAAAGTTTACCCGATTTTAGAGAATAAAAATGGTCATTTGACTGTATGATTAATGTCTTTGAAAAAAATGTAAAATAGCTTTTGTGCCCTAAGGTTTAGAAAACTGAAGGGACATTTAGCTTGTAACATAATGCAAAGGTTTAAACTGAAAGTTGAAGAAAGCAAACAGTAAAGGCTTGTAGTTGAGTTATAATTTGCTGTTTTTATATTTCAGAATGTTTTTGCCCTATCAGAGTAAATTAGCTTGGAGAAGCTATGACTAATTAATAAAGCAGGAGTCACTTGCTGTAGCCGGGTGCCAATGTATACTCTTTTGATCTTGTCCCCGCACTTGTTCGGCCTTGCCGGGGAACGGTAATTTTACAGTATAAGTGAACAGAAGACAATTGGCCACACATTCTTGGAGAGCTGGCTTTTTCAGTACCCAGCATTTCATTACCACCACGAACAAAAGAGAAGGCTACAGATTACCAATAAGGGTAGTCTGCTAATACAGAGAGTGGAGACATTTCATTAGCATTAAAGAGAAAAGATTTTTTTATAACCTAGAGTTGCTTTCCATTATGACTCACTTAAGTAAAAAAGAAAAAAAATCTAATGGTTAATTTACATGTGTGAGTGCTTGAGTCTCAGTCATCCACTGATTGGTACAGTGCCATATAATGAGTGACAAACATAAGCATGCATTATCAGTAATTAGGATTAGCACAAAAATAAGCACCTATTTTTTATTAGCAGTTTTTAATAGCTTTCTTCCTGCTTCATAAAAATGGTTAAACCTATTTTTTAAATGATATTGATAGCTGATAGAGGAGAATTTTGCATGATCTTCTGCTCATCAGAATTCTTTTTTTTTTTTCTGGACCCATATTAGTAAAACATCTATTTAGTGTCCCTCTCAGAAGAGATATGAAGAAATAACATTTTTAAAAATCAGTTTTCCTCACTAATCTGATGTCTTCAGAATCATAAACAGTTTAACATGTAACATAAATATTCCAAGAGGACATAATGAAGATCCTAAGGAAAACTCTGAAGATAAGCTATTATTTATTTCACCAACCAAAACACATGTTAAAAACAAAAAACAAACAAAAAAAAACTATCCAAACACATTTCTCAACCAAGGTAAGAATCGTGTATCTAACACCTCAGGTAAAACTGAAATGCGCCTACTTGAGTGTAGAGGGTGGGAGGAGGGGGAAGAGCAGAAAAAAGAACTATTGGCTACTAGACTTAGTACCTGGGTGACGAAATAATCAGTACAGCAAACTCTTGTGACACATGTTTACCTATATAACAAACCTGCACACACACCCCTGAAACTAAAAGTTAAAAAAAGCTGAAATTCTACACTTAGTAAGGAAGACCAAACTAATGAAGAGCATTCTGCAAGTGTAATCTGAATGCTTACCAAAACATAATCTTTAAAATTCCTTAAATTCAAGAGCACAAAAAAGGAGTATATCCATGTTTTTAAGCAGCAATAATTACCATTCGTCTCCCTAGTAAAATAAATATTATATTAATTAACACTACCTAAAGGCCAATAATAACTAGCTAAAAATCAAGGCTACTAATACGATTCCATTTTAAAAGTGAAGTGGTGATTGTAGATATACTGTCACTAAGAATAAAGTGCCTTAAAAACTCTTTTTTAATAAATCAGCAAGTATTGTACTAGGCTTAATAGGCTTAAGGATAATTTTTAGGTTCCATCACTAAAACATCTACCAAAACCCCACCCAGCTCTAGAATTGTATATTTAAACACATAATACAAGACTTTATATACTAAGGAAAATGTATAGCATAGCTGTTACTGGTAAACAAGAGCATTAGTGCTGGACTTAAACTGTTAGTTACCAGTTGTGTGACCTTGGTCAAGTTACTGAACCTCTCTGACCCTCAATTTCCTCATCAATGCAACGAAAGCAGTAATAATACTTACCTTGCAATATTGTTATGAGACATAAAGTAAACTCTCAAGAAATGAGAGACCATTAACTTTGACTATTACCTATGTATGGTATATATGCTAGTATTAATATAATTCTGTATTATTAATGTATAGCTACATAGAATTTTAGCTGTAGCTAGAATTATATTTAGCATTATACAGTTATTAAGAACACAGGCACATAGAAAAACACTCAATAAACAGTAACTAATATTATAGAACATATATAATAGATGGAATATAAGCATTCTAATAAATAAATGGGCAATACCTCAAATAGTTCATAAAAGATGGATTTAACAAGCATGTAAACAAACATGAAAAAAAATCAACCATATTATTTCCTAAAGGAATACAAATTAAAACAAGACACCATTTTTTATGTATTCAATTAGACAAAAATGTTCAGATAATTCAGAATGATGACAGGAAAAAATGTGGGTTGAAGTTATAATATACCTTGGGTTCTGTAAATGCTGATTTTGCTTGAGAAATGCTATTATATGTAAGGGGAGTGGGACTTAATATGGGAACCACTTCCACAGTTTTCATTTGGTATTAGATTCATTCATTCATTCATTTATTTATTCACTACTTATTCATTCATTCTCAGACACTGTCCTAGAAACCTGAGACATCAATTAATAAAGATTCATGCCTTCAAGTTTACATTCTGGGAATACAGATAAACAATAAACACAATAAATAAGTAAATTACATATAATATGTTAAAAGGTGATATATGATATGGGAAAAAAGGTGGGTAAGGGGCACCAGAAGTGTGGGGGTCAACGGTAAGCTGCAATTTCAAATAGGGTGTTAAGATGGGCCTTGTTAAGGAGGTAATTGAGCAAAGATATGATGAAATGAGGGAGTTCCTCTTAGGAATATGTTAGGGTGTGAGGGAAACCACACAGCAACGGTTGCTGCCTAGGCATTAAAAGTAGAACCCAATGGCTCAAGCCTGTGGCCAGAGATAAGAGCTTAGAGGCATAGCTCTTGCTTACAAGATGGGGCTCCTCACTTTTCCTGCTGCTTCCTTTACTTTAAATGAACCATTCAGGCTTTTGCTCACAAACATAGTTACCCCGTCCTATTCCTACATATATATAAAGTACACACATACACGCATGCTGCTAGTTGCCATACTCTCTCTCTCTGCCTGACTCTTCATTACTGCTTCCTGTGACCAGAGACGAAAGACTGGCCTTCTGACTCATTGCTCCCTCCCTGCCCAGCATCTGTAAATAATCAATCTTTGAACTTATTTTCTATTGTAGTGGTGTATTGATTTGCACCTTCCATCTGAAGAACCAGGGTCTGCGCCAGGCCAGGATTTTTCTGGGATGCCAGGAAGAACACAAGATCAGGCTCCCAGTGCCAGAGCAATGGTCAGACAGGCATAAACTGGACATAGGTCAGAGAAGAGCCACAAAGGCATATGCCAGTATAAACAAGTTTCCTGTGTGAGGGACCCCCTGGTCATGGGTCAGACAACCAGGCATTAGGCCATCCTCCAGGTGAAAGAAGTACCCTGTGAAAGGCATGCTGTAAACACCTATGTCCAGCTCCCTGCATTTCCTGTTAGGGCAGGGTTGCCAGCCGCTCTGGTGCTGGAACCCCAATTTAGCTGGGGGCTCTCAGAACAGAGGGACCACTCTGTGCAGAAAGAATCCCCAGTGCAAAGGCTCTGCTTGTTCATTATACATTGTGTGGATGGTGGGGATCAGAGTGCTGGTGCAGCAACATTTTGGAGTATATTTCAACCTCTTGAGTTTTAGGGAAGGGGGATAAGTAGAGATTTGGACTTGTGATCATCTAATTTTGGTGTATTGGAGAAACTTCTTTAAGACCTGTAGAAGACAGTTCAGGATACTGAAACTAGCAGAGATCACTTCTTCCCTTAGGGGGCACACTCTTGCCCTTATATTTTCACTTTCTCTGGCTCTGCTAACACTGGGTATATGCAGATATCAGCCTTTTCTTGCGTGCAGCAGTAATCTCCAAGATTCAAGTTGGAATTGTAAAGGAAATAAAAGAGCAAGACTATTAACATTTTTGCATTCTAGGACATTCAGGCCAAACTTGCTCAGGGGAATAGGGTCTCCCATGTTGTCAACTCTAACATACAAGAATGCTATATTATGCAATAATTGGGAACAGAAAAAAAATGCTACACTAAAATTTGGGATCAAATGAAAGCAATCAATTTGGTATTGTCTTGTTTTGTCATCTCTGTGCATGTTTTCTTCAGAGCCCTGCAAGAAATAAGTAGTTGGTATAATACCCAACTACTAACTGCGGTTCCTTAATCTATGAAGAAAATAGTATTGGGAACAGTAGGAAGCAATGAGTGAGGCTGAACCTGTAGGAGACAAGGTCAGAGAGGAAGCAGAAGGGTTTGAGCAAGGAAAATGACACTACCTTATATAACAGAATATTTCCCCGTTAGAGTACAAGCCCTTTTAAGTTGGGTTTTCTGTTTCCTGTGGCCAAAAGCATTCCTAGCAGATACCTCATCTTTCTCTTCCTGGGCTTTAGCTCACCGATTAATTCTTCCACTGGAGGTAAGAGATTTCATATTAAGGAAAGTGACATTTCCTCACAGTACTTCTTACCAATGTTTATGCTATCTTTTACAGATCATAGGGAAATACGTCTTCACATAGCAGATGGGAGCAAAATATGACTTGAATAGTTCTATTCTCATCAAGACTGTTTGTAAGAAATAGGCACTGGAGATCCAGCTGAAGAAAAGAGATTTACTTGAAACTCCAGGATGGGGACAATACTGATGGCACCTTATGGGAACTGGAGCTCCATTACTTTCTATATTTCTTTGTTTCTGTTTCATTACTAAGAAGAGCTTCCCTCTGTGCCATTTAGTTGAAATTCAATAGAGAGGGTCTACGACTGGCCCATTCGCCAAGCCACACCATACAAGTCCAAGGCTGCTGAGGAGATTGTGGATTAGCTACTTATAGATCAGCTGTCCAGGCATGGTCCATTTAGCTATGGGACAGATAGGGCCCTGTCCTGTGATACGGAATAAGGGCCTTCAAGGCATCCTTGAGATGAATAAGTCAATGAATGAATAAATATCAAAGCAATCTGGACAGGGCAGGCAATAACAGGGATCTCTATCACATCTGCTTTCTCTCCATCAGCAAGCAGCATTTTATAAGAGCCTGTCTCCCCTGGATCTCCCTTACACTCAACATGTAATCTGAAAAATCCTTTCTGTGGCCTGCATTTCTTTGCAAGACTCAGTTCATTTGGAACATTAGTGTTCTGACAGTTGTTTTTGTTTCCTTCTTTCTAGTTATATATCAACCTTTCGAAATCTAAACCCAATGGCGTATGTCAGTACAACCAGGCAGGTTTTTGGTAGGACTTCACTATCAAGGTGGCATTATGACTCTTGTAAGCCCTAGGAACTTTTACTTTCATAAGCCCCATCCTCAATTAAAAAAACATTACGACTATGTTGGTATAAGGACAAATATAATACAAAATAGACAGATACAGGCTGGAGTCATTATTGATATATTCATTTATGTCCACAAATTTTAAAAGAAATTATAATATTTTCTTGATCCCTAAAAGTATCATGAGCCCTAGACACTATGTCTGCTGCACCGACTGGGCAAGTTGCCCTGCTTGCTCTGTATCTTCTTCAGGATCATGTGCTTTGCACAGCCAGATTTTCATAGCATCCTAACCTTCTTAGTCTTGCCTTCCAATACGCTTATGCCATAAAAACATGCCAATCAGGCCGGGCTTGGTGGCTCACACCTGTAATCCCAGCACTTTGGGAGGCTGAGGCGGGTGGATCACCTGAGGTGAGGAGTTCGCGACCAGCCTGGCCAACGTGGTGAAACCCCGTCTCTACTAAAAATACAAAAAAATTAGCTGGGCATGGTGGCGCCCACCTGTAATCCCAGCTACTCAGGAGGCTGAGGCAGAAGAATCGCTTGACCCAGGAGGCAGAGGTTGCAGTGAGCCAAGATCACGCCATTGCATTCCAGTCTAGGCAACAAGAGTGAAACTCCATCTCAAAAAAAATAAAAATAAAAACAAAAAAGCCAATCATTTCTCTGAAAGTTTTGAAATCTACATTTTTAAAATTAAGGGTAATGATTTTTACATGATACCTAGGAAATTCTAATGCCTTTAGATTTCTCATCTCCATGTGGAGATATCAACTATTTTGCAGAATTAAATGAGATAAGGATGTAAAAACACATTGTAAACTACGGATCATTTTACAAAGGCTAGGTATTAATAAACCTCTTTAAAAATTTAACTTCAATACCTTAATCAAAATTGTAACTATGCCAGTTCAGTTTTATTTAGAGATATTTGGTTAAAAGGCTAGTAATGGAAAATCAAGAGAAATGGCCTCTATTGATTCACCACTGACTTTTGTTCTTGAAAGCAGCATAACTGTTAAGTCAGTGCTTTTTCAAACGACTCAATGAGGCCCTTCTCCTGCAAAACATTGATGTGGTTAGTATGCCTCTTCAGAGCGGCAGGAGAGCATCTGTTCTTTTCCATAAAGCCTTTACTTGGAAGACCTTTGCAGTTCCAAATACAAAGGTGAGTCCAGTCTGTCTTATTATGACTGAAGGCAGAAAGAAGCAAAGATCCCTCTTCCCCAGATGGTTTAGTGTAACAGCATTGCTGGTGAAAATTCTTTCCCCTCCATCATAAATCTAGACTATTGTTAGCTATGTGTACCAGTTGCTAAAGGAGACCAATCATGCATGCTTTGGGATAAAAGCATCTTGGCCATATCATCTTCCCACTAATCCAGATTATAAAACACAGAAGAACAGGAAATAACTCACTACCAATTTAAACGCATAATTTCAGAGAATCCTAAAACTAAGAGAAACTTTAAAAGTTCAACTAAGGCAATTCCCTCCCTTTATCACAGATACATATGTTGTGAGGCTTAAATGAGATGAATCACTTGTTCTTTATATAACACTTTTTAAAAATACTTAAACATCTTTAAAGACATTGTTTTATAATAATTACATTATCTTTGTGGTGTAGGGGAGATGTACAGTCATCGACCAAAATTTAGAGGTGGGCAGACTTTTTGTATAAAAGACTGAATAGTAAATATTTTAGGCTTTGCAAGCCATATAGGGTCTCTTTTGTACTTTCTTCTTTTTCTTCTTCTTCTTCTTTCAGCTACCTTTAAAATTACAAAAACTTGGCTGGGTGTCATGGCTCATGCCTGTAATTTCAGCACTTTGGGAGGCTGAAGCTGGAGGATCACTTGAGGCCAGGAGTTTGAAACCAGCCTGGGAAACATAATGAGACCTAATCTCTACAAAATTGTTTTTAAAAATTTGCTAGGTATGGTGCATGAGCCTATAGTTCCAGCTACTCAGCTGAGGCGGGAAGTTGAACCCAGGAGTTTGAGGTTATAATGAGCTTTGATTATGCCACTGCACTCCAGCCTGGGCCTCGGTGACAGAGCAGGACCCTGTGTCTTAAAATATGTGTGTGTGTGTGCACGTGCATGTGTGTGTGTATGTGTGTATACACTCTTCTTTTCTCACTAACCATAAAAAAACAGGAAGGTCAGATTTGCCCTGTGCAGCTGTGCAGGTTGTGATTTGCCAGCTCCTGAACTAGATAGTAAAATTGAAGCAGTAAGAGATAATGTGTCAAATCACCTTATAAACCAATGATAAAATCAGGAGCAAAATTTAAATCTTCATACCTCATTCAATATACCATTCTATATCTATGAAAAATCTCTACTTTACCTGAAATTCATCAAAACATAGGAGACATGCTTCTTCGCTGATTTCTTCGGCTATGGGAGCTATTGGGTCATATGATTTAGCCATGAATCCTGGTTTCCTTTTTGGCAAACTCTGTTTAAGGCGATGTATTCCTTAAATGCATGAAATTAAACACAGATGAAATATATTAGTACTTTTTAGACAATTATAACATATTTTTAAAATCTCTAAATGAAACTTTAGTATGGACATAAAATTAAGTTTAAACTCCATGTAAAATCAAATTTGATCATTGAAATTGTTTGCATTTTCTCTACAAAATAAGTTGGTTCAAATATTATTATGTTCTTATAGTTGTAAGGAAACTTCAAGGTCATTTCATTTCTACTCTTTAATCATTTCAGAAATGACAAGGTAATAGACAAGTGATTAGATGCATCAACACATCCACCTTAGTCCTTTATTTCAGGGATGAGAGCAGAGGATGTGATCCTGCCCAAGTAGTGCATGTTATGTCTAGCATATGCAATCGAAATGCACCCTTATCTCTAGCCTAATACACTAAGGCCAGTCCACTTCATTCATTATGTGTGTACTAAATGCTACAAGTATTAGAGGAAAAAAACACATGATTCCTGCTCTGGGGAGGTTACAGTGCAGCTGGTAAACAAATCATGCAAAAGTGAAATAACGTAAGATCACTAGCAAAGCAATAAAGCTTACATGCGTACTCAAACTGAATGCCTACATGCTAAGGTAACACAGAGTAAAGGGCCTAATCAAGAATCACTTATTTAAACAGGTGCATTTTTAACATTTTTTTATTGGCCCTTAGTAGAAACAGAAAATGCCTGAGCTTCATACAGCAATCTCTGTTCTCTGATTTGAAAGTATTAAATTGGTCTTAAGGACCAACTCTGGACACATTACTGACTGTTTCAACATAGCACAAAACAAATGGAACCAAATAAAATCTTACTGCAAGCAAAAATCTAATTTTTAAAGAGTATATGTTCATTCAATGAAGAAAACCATTTTGTAGCGTTTCCCCACTGAAAAAATCACTTCTTTCAGATCATTGCTTACTTTTGTGCACATCTAGCATGAAACCATGAAAATGAACCCGTTTTTTCCTCTTCATTTCCACATAAGCATAAAACATGTCCATCACCATTGTTTTTCCTGTACCTTAAAAATAAAAAAAATTTTAAGAATACTATTAAATAGTATGTACTGATTGCTGTAATGATTGTTCATTAGCTTTGAGATAATGAAACCATACTCTTCCGCTAGGAAGCTGAAGACTATGTCACTTCTTTAGAAGGGGGAGCTTACTTTGTATGTTAAACTAGCTAAAAATAAAATGTTAATATTACTCTTTTCTGTTAAAATCCTGTTTATAGGAAATACAACATTTAGTTAACATTACACGGGCTATTTCCCCCTGAAAACTATGTGCATAAACTGGCAAGATTTACAGTCTTCTCTTCCAAAAGACACTAGCATAAATAAAATAACTTAATTAAATATTTACTGGGTCATTACTATGCATAAGGAACTGTTTTAGGCACTATGGGAAAATTCAAAAATGAAAAATAAGAGGCTGGGCACAGTGGCTCATGCCTAAAATCCCAGCACTTTGGGAGGCCAAGATGGGAGAATTGCCTGAGCCCAAGAGTTCAAGACCAGCCTGGGAAACATAGCGAGACCCCCATCTCAAAACAAAAAAAAAAAAAAGAGAAGAAAGATGAAATATAAAGATTAGTATCTAACATAAATATTGAACATGAATCATATATGTAGATTAGAGCTAGAGAATTGTCAATTGTAACACTTCTATTTTTAAAAAGCTGAGAAAATAGATCTCTCAAAATAAAGCCTACTTGAGGAAATTCTGATACAGTCAATCCTTGTAATTAAATTATCTAATTTTCAACACTCTAAAACTTTTAATGACTACAATCGCATTAGTAGTAGAACCCTCTTATCTGAGAATTCAGTTACTCAAGGCCCACAATCAACCATAGTCTAAAAATATTAAATGGAAAACTC
The DNA here is from genome assembly GCF_000001405.40 of Homo sapiens. Taxonomy (NCBI): domain Eukaryota; kingdom Metazoa; phylum Chordata; class Mammalia; order Primates; family Hominidae; genus Homo; species Homo sapiens. The sequence goes on along the minus strand of NC_000006.12, from coordinate 108,354,789 downwards.
CAAAAATAAACAATTCATAAATATTAAATTGTGTGGCTATCCTGAGTAGCATGAAGAGGCCTCATGTCACCCCGTTCCATCCCACCCAGGACATAAATCATCCCTTTGTCTAGCATATCCACACTGTATTCACTGCCCTCTCGTTGGTCACTTAGTGGCCTTCTCTGTTAAAAACATAGTATATAGGCCAGACGTGGTGGCTCACACCTGTAATCCCAGCACTTTGGGAGGCCAAGGTGGGTGGATCACCTAAGGTCAGGAGTTTGAGACAGGCCTGGTCAACATGGCAAAACCCTGTCTCTACTAAAAGTACAAAAATTAGCTGGGCATGGTGGTGGGTGCCTGTAATCCCAACTACTCAGGAGGCTGAGGCAGAAGAATAGCTTGAACCTGGGAGGCGGAGGTTGCAGTGAGATCGTGCCACTGCACTCCAGCCTGGGCGACAAGAGAGAGACTCCATCTTAAAAAACAAAAAAACAAAAAAAAAACATAGGGTTCAGTACTATGTGAGGTTTCAGGCATCCACTGGAACTATCCTCTGTGAATAAGGGGAAACTACTGTAATTGAATATCCAACAGCCTGAGCATTTAATGCAGGTAGCATAAAATGCCTTATTCCCTCTCAGAAAGCCTAGGGCATTCGGGTCAGTGGCCCAAGCTCAGTTTGTACCTGGCATTCCTCAGTAAGCCAGGCTAGCATGTGCTAGTCCAGTCTCACATCCTCCCTGCTTCCCCATCTCCCACCACCACAAGATCACTTCCTGTCTAGTAATTCCTTTGCAATTACTAGAATCCAAAGGCACTTCAGAAAGTAGGAAGATCTAAGTCTTATCTTTTGGGTTTCCTTCAAGCCACAAGATGACACTGGGCCCATGCCATTTGAATGTCAGAGTGCTTTTGTATATGAAAAAACAATCCACCAAACATTTTTTTAATAAAGAAGTCACTTTGATGGAAAGTCATTCATTGCAAAAATATTCAGTACAGTATCTCTTGATATAGTGATTAGCAGTAGATTTTAAATAATTATATTTACCCAGAAAAGTTAATAAAGTTTCAAATTCTGCTGCATGCAGTGTAGTATACTTATAGATTCAGAATAAAGTCATGAATTATCTAACCAAAAATGCATTCACTAATCATTAGGGTAAAGCAAATCAAAACTACAAGATACCACTTCACATACATTAGAACGACTATTAAAAAAAAAAAAGAAAATAACAAGTGTTAGCAAGGATGTATAAAAATTGGAATCTGTGCATTGCTGGTGAGAATAACAATGGTACTGTCACTGTGGAAAACAGTATGGCAGTTCTTCAAAAAAATTAAACACAGGCCAAGTGCAGTGGTTCATGCCTATAATTTCAGCACTTTGGGAGGCCGAGGAGGGAGAATTGCTTGAGCCTAGGAGTTCAAGACCAGCCTGGGCAACATAGTGAGATCTCATCTCTACTAAAAATTTAAAATATTAGCCAGGTTTGGTGGTGCATGCCTGTAGTCCCAGCTACTCAGGATGCTGAAATGGGAGGATTGCTTGAGCCCAGGAGTTCAAGGTTGCAGTGAGCTATGATCGTGCTACTGCACTCCAGCCTAAGCAACAGAGAGAGACTTTGTGTCCAAAAAAAAAAAAAAAAAATTAAACATTGTGTGACCATAGGATCCAGCAATTCCACTTCTGAGTATATGCACAAAACAACCGAAAGCAGGGATTCAAACAAATATTTACACTTCAATATTCACAGCAGAATTATTCACAATAGTCAAAAGATGGAACAACCCAAACATCCATTAATGGATGAATGGATAAACAAAAAGTGGTATATACATAAAATGTTACAGTTGGCCCTCTGTATCTAGTTTCTACATCCCCAGATTCAACCAACAGTGGATCAAAAATATTTTTTAAAATAAAAAATAATATAAGGAACAGGTGGAGTGGCTCACACCTATAATCCCAGCAATTTGGGAGTCCAAGGCAGGCAGATTACTTGAGTCCAGGTGTTCGAGACCAGCCCGGGTGATATGGCAAAATCCCATCTCCACAAAAAAATATAAAAATTAGTTGGGCATTGTGGTGCATGCCTGTAGTCCCAGCTACTCGAAAAGCTGAGGCAGGAGGATCGCTTAAGCCCAGAAGGTGGAGGTTGCAGTGTGCTGAGATCACGCCACTACACTTCAGGACCTGGGCGACAGAGCGAGACCCTGCTTCAAAATAATAATAATCATCATCATAAACAAAAAACAATATAGTATAACAACTATTATAGCATTTATGTACCATTTACATTGTTATAAGTAATCTAGAGGATTTAAAGTGTACAGGACAACACACAAAGTTTATATGCAAATGCTACACCATTTTACATAAGGGACTTGAGCATCCTCAAATTTTAGTATCCAAGGGCATCCTGAAACCAATCCCCCATGAATACCAAGTATATTATTCAGCCTTAAAAAGGAATCCAACTCATATGCAATACACAATAATATGGATGAATCTTGAAGATATTTTGCTAAGTAAAATAATCCAGACCCAAAAGGACAAATATTATATGATTCCATTTATATAAGGTACTGAAGAATAATCAAATTCATAAAGACAGAAAGTAGAATGGTGGTTGCCAGGCCAGGGGAGTCTGGGGTGGGATGTGGAAAATGTGGGAGAGAGGTAGAATAGGATGTTGTTGTTTAATGGACACAGAGTTTCAGTTTGGGAAGATAAAAATGTTCTGAAGATAGATGGTGGTAATAGTTGTACAACAATGTGAACAGACAATACTACTGAATTATACACTGAAAATGTTTAAAAGGGTAAATTTTATGTAATGTGTTTTACCATAATAAAAACAATTAAATACATTTTTAAAAAGCTTTAGTTAATATGCTTATTGGTAAAAGACTGAACACTTCTCCCCTACAATTTGACAAAGGCAAGGATGTCTACACTCATGTTCTGAAAATGGATGGTGGTAATAGTTGTACAACAATGTGAATAGACTTAATGATACTGAATCATACACTGGAAATGTTTAAAAGGGAAAATTTTATGTTACGTGTTTTACCATAATAAAAACAATTGAATACATTTTTTAAAACATATAGTTAATATGCTTATTTGTAAAAGACTGCACACTTCTCCCCTACAATTTGACACAGGCAAGGATGTCTACACGCACCACTTCTATTCAACATTGTACTCGGGTCCTAGCTGGTGCAAGGAGGCAGCAAAAAGAAATAAAAGGCATAAAAATTTAAAGAAGTAAAATTATCTTTATTGGCAGATGACCTAATTGTATACACACAAAAAAATCCTAAAGAATCTACCAAATCACCACTAGAGTTAATAATTAAATTTAGCAAGATCACAGGATACAAGGTCATCAAAAAATCCACCGCATTTCTATAAACAGTAACGCATATAATGACATTTTGGTCAACAATGGACCACATACACAATGGTGGTCCCAAAAGATTATAAAGAAGCTGAAAAACTTCTATCACTTAGTGATGTCATAGCTATCCTAACATGGAAGTACAATTAATTTTTTTTATAAATTTAGTGTAGCCCAAGTACACAGCACTGATAACATCTTGTATAAAGTAGTATACAGAAATGTCCTCAGCCTTCACATCCACTCACCACTCACTCACTGATTCATTCAGAGCAACTTCCAGTCCATTCATGGTCAAACAGGCATCCCATATTTTATCTATTATACTGTATTATTACTGCACCTTCTCTGTTTAGATATGTTTAGATAAACAAATACCACAGCGTTACAACTGCCTACAGTATTCAATACAGTAACATGCTGCACAGGTTTGTAGCACAGGAGGAATAGGTTCTATAATACAGCCTAGGTGTGTAGTAGGCACATGTATCCCTACATCCAAGCCAGGGAGAACTATGCTTCCTAACTCCTAACCTTAAAACCAGCCTACCTTTCACCTGGTGAAACTAGAATCTGAATCAATGTGAAACAGGTGAGGTGAAACCAGGAGGCAGCAGGAAAGGGGCTGATAAGCAAAATGTACTTTTATTCTCTTCTAGTGTACCAGAGAAATCATTAACTCTGCCATCACCACCGCAGTCAGCTGGTCAAGAGCTGAGGCTCTGTTGTGAGAAAGCCAGCTGTAGGGTATGAATGAAGTCACAAAATACTACTACCACAGCTTTTGGCTTCTATATGAGATGTGATAAACATTTTATAACAAAAATAATTCATTTCAAGATTGAACCATGATAATAATCCCTCCAACTCATACATCAACCCTACTGCAGTTCCCAGGATTTAGAATCCATCTGAGTCAATCATCTCAACACATCTGCGAAGAAAGAGGTGAAGTGAGCAGGACAAAGCCCAAATAGAGTGCAAGAATGAAAAGTGGGAAGGGAGTGCTACCAGGTAGGTATTCTCTATCCCATGAAGTCTCCTTAAAAATTATTTATTTATTTAAATTTTTCTTAAAAAAAAAAAATACATAAGAGATGAGGTCTCCCTATGTTGCCCAGGCTGGTCTCGAACTCCTGAGCTCAAGCATGTTTATTTATTTATTTTTATTTTATTTACTTATGTATTTATTTATTTATTTTGAGACAGAGTCTTGTTCTGTTGCCCAGGCTGGAGTGCAGTGGTGCGATCTCGGCTCACTGCAACCTCTGCCTCAGCCTCCTGAGTAGCTGTGACTACAGGCACCCACCACCACACCCGGCTAATTTTTGTACTTTTAGTAGAGGCGGGGTTTCACCATTTTGGCCAGGCTGGTCTGAAATCCTGACCTCAATGACCCGCCCCCCTCAGCCCCCCAAAGTTGCTGGCATTATAGGCGTGGGCCACCGCACCTAGCCCAATTTACTTATTTATTTATTTTTAAGATAGGGCCTCACTCTGTAGCCCAGGCTGGAGTGCAGTGGTGCAATCTCAACTCACTGCAACCTTGATCTCCCAGGCTCAAGTGATCCTCCCACCTCATCCTACTGAGTAGCTGGAACCACAGGCACACACCACCATGCTCAGCTAATTTTTTAATTTTTTTGTAGAGATGGGGTCTCACCTAGTTGTCCAGGCTAGTCTCAAACTCCTGGTCTTAAGCAATCATCCTGCCTCAGCCTCCCAAAGTGCTGAGATTACAGGCATGAGCCACCATGCCCAGCCTTGTTAAAATTTAATACCTGTTTCCCAAGTCCAACAAAGGAAAAGAATAAAGAATAAGAGCTTATGGTGGCATTTTGAGGCTACTCTCCCATACAGAGAGCCCCTCAAATGAAAACTTGATCTTTTATTACCTATTTTATTTCATTTTTGAGATGGGGGTCTCACTCTGTTGCCCAGACTGGAGTGCAGTGGCATAATCATGGCTCACTGCAGCCTTGACCTCCTAGGCTCAAGTGATCCTCCCACCTTAGCCTCTCGAGTAATTGGGACTATAGGCACATGCCACCACACCAGGCTAATTTTTGTATTTTTTGTGGAGACAGGGTTTTGCCATGTTGCCCAGGCTGGTCTTGAACTCCTGGGCTTAGGCAATCCACTCGCCTCGGCCTACCAAAGTGCTGGGATTACAGGTATGAGCCACCATGCCTGGCCGATTACATATTTTATAAGTGGTCTGAACTAAACTTATTATAGCCACCAAAATGTTCGTCTCACTTCCCATTTCAGAATTCCTTTCTCTTCCCCTCTCTATATTATAAGGATGTTTCCAAACAAAGGTTGCCACCTACCCAAACTATATGAACATCCCATACTATCACATCTTTTCTATTGCTTTCAAACACTCAGATGAATAACTTGTAATATGCTTCCCTTCAATTAGTTACCATATGGCTGTATTTTCTAAACTAAAATCCAACAACATTCATAGGGTTTTTAAAAAAAAAGTGCTTTTACAGAAGTGGAAGCAGTTATGCTTCTTTAACCATCTCCATTTATGGTCAGGTGGTTAAGGTAACAGGAGGAACAAAGTTGTTGATTTTAGCGATGACTTAATATGAAAGTGAAGGTACTGGAAGTAGATGTTCTCAGGAGGCAAAGAATGAGACCTGACAACAAGATGAGAATCATTAATGGTGCCCAAAGGTGCAGGAACATAAAATTGATCAAGTGTCTGTTATAACTGCTTTCAAAATAAGAAGTAAGTATACATTGGTCTCAAAAGTACCAATTAGCCAATGAACTAAGAAAAAGAATAGTTTGACCTTCTTTTCTGTAATTTCAAGAACCTGAAGAATTTTAAGGGGCAATCTCTAATGTTCACTTTTGTGAACTAAATTATTCTCTCTTATTAGATTAGCTAAATCTGGAAATACAAAACGGACATTCAATGCAAGGTAGCAGTAAACAAATTAGAAAAAGAAGGAACAGTTTAGAAAGGAACAGTTTAATCTTTAAGGCATTAAAACTACTTATTTGGCTGGGCGCCATGGCTCATGCCTGTAATCCCAGCACTTTGGAAGGCCGAGGAGAGCGGATCACGAGGTCAGGAGATCGAGGCCATCCTGGCTAACACGGTGAAACCCCGTCTCTACTAAAAATACAAAAAATTAGCCGGGCATGGTGGCAGACACCTGTCGTCCCAGCTACTTGGGAGGCTGAGGCAGGAGAATGGCGTGAACCCGGGAGGCGGAGCTTGCAGTGAGCCGAGATCGCGCCACCGCACCAGCCTGGGTGACAGAGAGAGACTCCATCTCAAAACAAAAACAAAAACAAAAACAAAAACAAAACAAAACCTACTTATTCAATGCCCTTTTTTTTTCTTTTCCTAAAAATGTTACTAAGATAATATCCCCTGCCATCACTCCCTCATAACGCAAATGTGTTGTGGCTATAGGGGAGCCTAGAGTGTGAATATTAGTCTAGGTCCAAAACTGACCTCGTTACATGTGAATGTGAGTTTTGAGTATGCCAGTAGAAGAAATAATTGATTGACAGTAAACTGAGGGATTAGAAAAAATTAAAATTAAAAAATTAAAAAAGACATCAAAGAAATAATTGAAAGCAAGGAGGCAAAAAAGCCAAGTAGAAACTCCTTCATGATATCAGTGGCTGAGGGTGGCCAAGGAGAGGTTTAAGACTAAGAGAAAAGGATTTGTTTGAAGAAAATAGAAACCACAAAACAGAATATTTCAGTAAGAATGAGGTCAGGGAAGACTTCATAAGCAAGACACTACATGATTAGGAAAACCTAGAAAGAAGTGACCACTCAGAAAGTTTCCAGCAATATGTGAGTCTTTCTGCCCAATGTCTAGAACTGGGAGACCAAGGAAATGTTACCACTTATGCATTAAGAGTATCTACTGTCAACTACATTAAAGATAATAACGACTAAATTATTCATCCAAGGGCTTAGGTTATGACTAGAAATATTAATGGAAATTAAAAGTAAAAAAGAACAGCTTATTTTTTTAAAAAGTATTAAGCTGAGTTAATGAGTCATGGAATCCTGATTTGTCTAATAACCTATCTGTAGTTGATTTCCTTCCCTGATATTAATTACTTTATACATTAAATAATGTTTGCACCCTAACATGGTGACTAATTCTGCCCTAGACTACAGCTGTATCCTGTGAGAAGTAAAGTAAAAGCTGAGATAACTGCCCTCTCTCCCTTTTCTTCTCTCCCTACCTTACCCTGCCTCATCCTATTCCCTTGCTGGTAACAGATTGAGGGATAGAAATAGAAATCATCCCTGAGAGAAAGCTGAGAAACTTTCTGTTTTGCCCACCCAAAACTTATTTTAACACACTTACCAACATCTCCATAAACATACAGGCCCCTTGGAGGTTTGCTCCTTGAAAAAAGCTGCAAATTAAGAACAAATTATAAATCTCTACCATGCAAATAATTAAATATAATCATATACATAGTCTTCCTAACTGTCCTATATACAGAACCAAGAGGGGCTATTATATACAATAAGTAAGAAAAAAACTTGATATAAAAGTGTTTAAAGCTGAAATATTATGCAGCCTTAAAAAGGGAAAAAACTCTAACGTATACATGAATGAACATTGGGGACATTATGCTAGGTGACATAAACCAGTCACAAAAAGACAAATATTCTCCATTCCACTTACATGAGGTACTTAGAACAGCGAACAATTAAAGAGACAGAAAGTAGAAGTCAGGTGCTGTGGCTCACACCTATAATCTGAGCACTTTGGGAGGCTGAGGTGGGAGGATCACTTGAGCCCAAGAGTTCAAGACCAGCCTGGGCAATATAGGGAGACCTCATCTCTGCAAATAGTTAAAAAGAATTAGCCAGGCATGGTGGCATGCGCCTGTGGTCCCAGTTACTCAGGGGGCTGAAGTTGAAGGATTGTTTGAACTCAGGAGGTCAAGGCTACAGTGAGCCATGTTCACACCACTGTACTGCAGCCTAGACAACAGAGCAAGACCCCATCTCAATTTAAAAAAAAAAAAGTAGAAAAAGGGGTTGCCAGGGGCTGGAGGGAGGAAGGAATGGGGAATTATTGTTTAATGGGTTCAGAGTTTCAGTTTTACAAGATGAAAGTAGTTCTGGAGATAAATGGTAGTGATGGCTGCATGACATTAAGAATGTATTTAATACCACTGAACTGTACTCTTAAAAAATGATTAAGATGGTAAATCTTATGTGTGTATTTACCACAAAAGGAAATTGGAAAAAATGCTGTGAAGCCCCTCTTAGGATTCAACACAGGAGGCAATAACCATAGTAGCCCACAGCGAGGGGTTCACAGTCACACAACTTGAATGTACATCCCCTCTACCATTTACCAGCCATGTAGTCTTTCCCTTCTTCTTTCCCAGATGGGCTCCCCAAACAATGACAGCTAGGTTCATTCTCAGCAATTAATAGAGTAGAAGAATTTTTCTGGAGAAACTGAATGATCTCCAGATAAAAAGGCCAGAAGGCACTTACACTGGTTAAGCTTCTCCCAAAGAAAGACCTAGATCCCTACCAGATTACCTTCTGGTAAAGCACACCAGTCACCAAACCTCTCAAGCTGGAGTTTCAATCAGCTTGTTAGTACCAATGGTCAATGGATATTTGGAAAAAACTTCCAACATAAAAGTCAGAGACCAGAACAAATATGCAGAGGGGAATAAACTCAGAGGAAACAGAGGACTATTCAGACATCAAAAAAAAAAAATCTCAAAAATAAAAGTGGGCCAGGCATGGTGGCTCACATCTATAATTCCAGCACTTTGGGAGGCCAAGGTGGTCAGATTGTTTGAGCTCTAGCCTGGGCAACATAGCAAAACCCCATCTCTACAAAAATCAGCCGGCATGGTGATGTACTCCCGCAGTCCCAGCTACTTCGGAGGCTGAGGTGGAAGGATTGCTTGAGCCCGGGAGGTGGAGACTACAGTGAATCGAGATCACATCACTGCACTCCAGCCTGGACAACAGAGCAAGACCCTGTCTCACTCAATCAATCAATCAATAAAAATAAAAGTGAAGTCAATATAATAATATACTGAAGAAAAATAAGAGAAGCTACTAAAACTATATAAAGCATAGTGGGAGAAAGAAATTGTCTCTTCAATAAATGATGTTTGGGAGGCTGAGGCATTAGGATTGCTTGAGCCCCGGAGTTTGAGACTAGCCTGGGCAACAATGCAAGACACCATTTTTACAAAAAAGAAATTGTTTCAATTGAGGAAAAATGATTTCCTACCAATCCATCCAATCTATTCATCAAGTGTGAAAATGGAAAATTGTCCTTTCATAAATTCAGGGTATGAACAAAACTTCCTACTCAGCAAGAAGAAAACATAGGCTCTGGGAAATGTAGAGGGCCCCTGAGAGGGAAAAAAGCTTGTCAGAGGGAGGCCTGCTTCCAGGACCACAGTGGCACTGCAGGTCAGGAAAGCAGTCAGGTCCAGAGCAAAACTGGAAACTGAAGGGCTCTGGAGATGAAGCAAAATAGAACTTATCTTACCTAATGCTATTATCAACCCAAATAACCATCTTGAATTTTGTTACACTTAGACGAGTAACCTTCATACTCTGCAGCAGTTCCTAACACCTGTGCAAAAAACAAGGTATGACAGGGTGGAGTGAGTTCAGAAAGGGAGGGTAAAACAGAAAAAAGTGAAGATTATGCCACTTAGCATCAACCGGAGTGGTCAATAATTTGGCAGAGAACATTCTCAAAACCTAGCTTTCAGGGTCTCATCCATAAGGCTTTTGGCTTTGTCTTATTTTATTTATTTTAGAGACAGGGTCTCACTCTGTCATCCAGGCTGGAGTGCAGTGGCATGATCATAGCATACTACAGCCTTGAACTCCTGGACTCAAGCAATCCTCTTGCCTCAGCCTCCTGAGTAGCTGGGGCAGGTGGACACCACTACATCCAGCTAATTTTTTATGAAAAAAAACTATCCTGTAGGCTGGGCGCGATGGCTCATGCCTGTAATCCTAGCACTTTGGGAGGCCAAGGCAGGCAGATCACTTGAGGTCAGGAGTTCAAGACCAGCCTGGCCAACATGGTCAAACCCTGTCTCTTCTGAAAATACAAAAATTAGCTGGGCGCTGTGGTGCATGCCTATAATCTCAGCTACTTGGGAGGCTGAGGTGGGAGAATCACCTTGAACCAGGAGGCGGAGGTTGCAGTGAGCCGAGATCACACCACTGCACCCAGCCTGGGCAACAGAACGAGACTCCATCTCAAAAAACAAACAAACAAACAAACAAACTATCCTGTAGAGATGGGGTCTCACTATGTTGCCCAGTCTGGTCTTAAACTGCTGCCTAGGCCTCCCAAAGCGCTGGGATTGTAGGCATGAGCCACCATACCTGGCCTGTTTTTGTTTTATAATTTATGGGTTCATTCCAACCTGCCTCAGAAACCTCTCTTGCTTTCCTGTTCCTTTTTGCTTTCTTTCTCTACTAAATGTAGCTTGTGCCTTCTAGACCTCACTCATGGTCTAGGCCAGACAAAAGGATCTTCTTTGCTTTGACTCTGCCATCTGGATGGCTTCCTGGTATCTCTCTGCATGTTAACTCTCCATCTATTCTTAAATCTCCACTCAAAACAGTTTTCTACTCCTGCCAAAACTTCTTAATTTTTCTTGTTTTTTTGTTTCTTATATGAACCATTATCATGCAATGGTTATTCTATTTTCAACTTGCCAGAAAAAGCATTATGCTCTTAATTTTAGAACAGCTTCAAATTGGAAAACTTGCATAAAACCTAATAATCTCTAAGTATATTCTATGTATGTGAAATATTTTGAAAGCAGCATTTTGTATTAGGTAACTGAGAGTGTCATAGCAATTCATAATTCTTCACAATACATTTTGTGGGAATAGTTTAAGGCCTATTCTAATACTGCTACATTATATACTCAAGATAGGCTGAATAAATGAAGTTCAGGGAAAAGGAATGAAGAAAGATGGGGGGAAAGATTGCATGGAGAGAGCTGAATGCTGCTAAAAAAAAACAAAAAGGTTGGCCGGGCGTGGTGGCTCACACCTGAAATCCTAACACTTTGGGAGGCCCCAGTGGGCAGATCACTTGAGGTCAGGAGTTCAAGACCAGTGGCCAACATGGTGAAACCCCGTCTCTACCAAAAATACAAAAATTTGCCAGGCATGGTGGCAGGCTACTCAGGAGGCTGAGGCAGGAGAATCACTTGAACCAGGGAGGCAGAGGTTGCAGTAAGCCAAGATCGCACCATTGCACTCCAGCCTGGGCAACAGAGGAAGACTCCAACTCAAAAAAAAAAAAGAAAAAGAAAAAGTTGCACTCACAGTCCTCTCTTCTATTTTTCCCTCTCAACTCAATATATTTTATAAAGAGCACTTTAGCAAATACTACATTATATATTACATATATAATCTGTTATGTTGTATTATATTTTATAGTAATATTCAGAAGATGACAAAGAGATACTGCTGTGCCAAAGAAAAGATCCTCAAACGTCTAAGATCACAAATACCTCATATCACATGAATACTGTATAAGACGGGGATTTTAATATAAGTAAATTGATCAACAAAATGAATACCCTCCTAACGAGAATCATTAGACACAGACATAGTCTATCTAAACAATATTATATACTCCACGTATTTTTACTTGGGGAAACAAGCTAATTTTCTCCTAATAAAAATTTCAGTTTTCTAATAATTATTGAAATTATTTTAAGGGGTTTAAAAATCTATGTCTTAAGGGAAAAATCAGAGGATCAAATGGAGAACAGTAAGACTAATCAGAAGGATATAAAATGGGTCCTAAAGAAGTTTTTGAATTCTTTATTAATAGTAGTGATTTCAAGGAGAGGAAGGGTTACACGGTTTTCTTCAAAATGGCTGTCCCTTAGGAACCCACATCATTTGCATGCTCCTAATTTACATTTTCTCACAACTTAATGCTATTTTTCTATTAAATTTCCTTCCTTAAATTTAATTCCCTATAACTTGTCCTTATGTCTCAGAAATCACAGTGAACTCCACCCTTACACTGTTTCTTGGTGCTGGTCATTCTCCATGTGCTCCCCTCCCCTGATGCCTTCTCCGTCCTGTCTGTACCCCAAGCGACTGCCCTTTCTGGCTGGCTCCTGGCTGGTTCAGCCTGTGGGAGGCATTCCTTGCAGGAAACAGGACAGAGGGCATAGAAAGGGATGGGTCGTTCTCTCCCATCCCTCCCTGCTTCAGAGCTGTGTCCCAGTAGAGCTGCATCCCTCCAGACCAACAAGCGACCCATCCCTCAGGCCACAGCTCCAGCTCTCACCAGTCTCCTCCTTTGCCCTTCCATCCCTTGTTTGCTGCCTTAAGCCTGCCCATGCCTCTCTAAGTAGTCTCTAAATTTGGTCTTTATTGAAACATCTGCTGTGAATTGTTTTCTGCCAGGACTCTGATACATCCCGGACTCCCAAAATGCACACACGTAACATTAGACTCAGACTTCAAAATCTGAAATGACTAAGTTTCTCTAGTGACCAGTTATAAGATTTGTCACAAGTTACCTGTATCTTAGGGAGTTTGTAAAGTAGGATGATGACACCTTCTCTAATGGGCTTTTGATGAGGATCCAGTGACATCACCTTTTAGATTGTGCAGATAGATCATAAGCTCATAAGCTTAAGGATGATGTTGGAAGACAGTGATAACCTACCACCTACCTCCACCAAGCATAAGAGATATGGCAGAAGAGTATTAGAGTTGAACCCAAAAGATCTAGGTACAAATCCTGGCTGGCTATTTATTAGCTAGGTGACCCTGGGTAAGCCCTCTCAACTCTCCAACCTGCTGTCTCCTTATCTGTTGGGTGCAGGGCCCAGCACAGGGAAGTTCCCCATCACTGCTCACCTTTGCATGTGTAATCACGCCAAAGACTGCAAACATAATGTGCTTACCAATACCTGTTTATACTCAGACCTGTAATTCGTGAAAAAAGAAACATCACACCCTTTGACACATCCCTCTCAAAGATCTGAACAATACAATTAGTAAGTTCAAGCAATTTACATCCATATAAACTCTAAACCCAACAAACCAAGAATACATTCAAGAACTAGCAGCATAATTTCAAATATAGTCCATATGCTAAGCCAGAAAGAAAACTTCAATAAATTCCAAAGAATCAAATGTACTCTAACCATAATTTAATAAAATCATATATAAATGATAAAAAGATAGCTAAAAATAGAAAAATCTCATACTAAAATATATACCCTTCCATGAACTTCACCCAGATTGCTGAGGATTGCTGAAAAAAGTCTGACAGTCGTGCAGAGAGGACCCTCTCTCTGGGCCCTCCATATTGTCAACAATTCTGTTTTCCTGGTGAGTTCACTGTGTCTCTGCAAAGAATCTCTGGAACCTTCTTACTTCCCATTAAGCAAAACTACATTTCACTCATCACTTTCAGAAGATGTCTCCTACTTCTTCATAAAGAGAACAGAAGGCATTGGGTTGAAAGTCCTTCAACTTCCTATGTGAAACTGCAATCCCACCCACGTCTGCACCCATCCATTCCTCCCTCCTGTGACATTCCTCCTGTTACAAAGGAAAACGATTCCTCTTCCTGTCCTTCTTCCAACCTTCTATCAGTGTTTGATTTTATACCCCATCTACCTTCTCAGGAACCAGGGCCCATCACATTAAATTCCTCTTCTCTTGTAATCCTTATCAACAGCTTATAAAGCTCACACCTGTAATCCCAGCACTTTGGGAGGCTGAGGCGGGCAGATCACTTGAGGTCAGGAGTTCGAGACCAGCCTGACCAACATGGTGAGACCCTGTCTCTACTAAAAATACAAATATTAGCTGGCTGTGGTGGCACACGCCTGTAATCCCAGCTACTTGGGAGAGGCTGAGGAGGAGAATCGCTTGAAATTGGGAGATGGAGGTTGCAGTGAGCTTAGATCACACCACTGCACTCCAGCCTGGACAACAGAGCGAGACTCCATCTCAAAAAAAAAAAAAACACTGAAATTATAACTTTCTGTTAGAAAAAATCCTAAGGAAGGAAAAACAGCAAATAAACTGCAAAAAAAAAAACTGCATCAGTTATTATGGGCAAGAATACACAAGAGTCCTATTCAGCCATAAAAAAAGAATGAGATATTGTTATTTGCAACAACATGAATGAAACTGGAGGTCATTACATTAAGTGAAATAAGCCAGGCACAGAAAGACAAACACCACATATTCTCACTTATTTGTAGGATCCAAAAATCAAAGCAATTGAACTCATGAACATAGCAAGTAGAAGGATGGTTACCAGAGACTGGGAAGGGTAGTGGGAGGCTGGGGTGGAGGGGGAGGTGGGGATGGTTAACGGGTACAAAAAAAACAGAAAGAATAAGTCCTACTATTTGATAGCACAACAGAATGACTATAGTCAATAATTGTAGATTTTAAAGTAACTAAAAGAGTATATAATTTGATTGTAACACAAAGGATAAATGTTTGAGAGGCCGGATATCCCATTCTCCATGATGTGATTATTTCACATTGCAAGCCTGTATCAAAACATCTCATGTACCCCATAAATATATACACCTACTATATACCCACAAAAATTAAAAATTAAAAAATAATTTAAAAGAATTTCAGTAGTTCACACCTGTAATCCAGCACTTTGGGAGGCCAAGGCGGGAGGTCAGGAGTTCGAAACCAGCCTAGCCAACATGGTGAAACCCCGTTTCTACTAAAAATACAAAAATTAGCCAGACATGGTGGCACACACCTGTAATCCCAGCTACATGGGAGACTGAGGTGGGAGAATCACTTGAACCTGGTAGATGGAGGTTGCAGTGAGCAGAGATCATGCCACTGCACTCCAGGCTGGGCAACAGAGCAAGACTGTCTCAAAAAAAAAAAAAAAAAAAAATTTAAAGAATTTATTTTCTGCCTGGGTGCAGTGGCTCACACCTGTAATCCCAGCACCCTGGAAGGCCAACATGAGCAGATCACTCGAGGCCAAGAGTTTGAGACCACCCTGGCCAACATGGTGAAACTCCATCTATACTAAAAATACAAAAATTAGTCGATGTGGTGGCACGTGCCTGTAGTCCCAGCTACTCGAGAGGCTGAGGCACAAGAATCATTTGGCAGAGATTGCAGTGAGCTGAGATTACACCACTGCACTCCAGCCTGGGCGAAAGAGCAAGAATCTGTCTCAAAAAAAAAAAAAAGAGTTTATTTTCTTAATAAACAAAGAGCTTTTATAAATCAATCAGTAAGAAAAACAAATGCAAATTGCTTTAACGTTGAAAGAATACTCTCATTCACAATACAAGAGGTAAGATTTAAAATATTAATGAAATACCATCATGGCAAAAATCTGAAAGTTTGAGAGGACACTGTATTAACAAAGATGTAGGGGGACAGGCGAGCTGAGATCATGCCGCTGCACTCCAACCTGGGTGACACAGCAAGACTACTCTGTCTAGATAAATAAATAAATAAGCATTGAATGTCTTAAAGCCAGAATCCAGGATGTGTGTCTTGGTAACGGGGTCTCGCATCTTTTGTTGAGTTCTCACTACATGTCAGACACATCAAACAATTCCTATGAAGCAAGTAGGGTTTTCTAAAGTTTATTGCATAAAGCATTATTTCTGCATTATGTTTATGGGTGTTCATTTTAAAAGAAGCCACGTGTTCAAGTTGGAGAAACACTGAATTACAGGACCAAAGTTTAAAAGTTTCTTTGACTAGGCATGGTAGCTCACTCCTGTAATCCCAACACTTTAGGAAGCTGAGGCAGAAAGAATGCCTGAGCCCAGGAGTTCAAGACCAACCTGGACAACATAGAGAGATCTCATCTCTACAAAAAAATAAAAAATAAAAAACAACAAAAAAAAGTTTGTTTACTGCAGAATTTCTCAGAGTCTTTGATATACTAATGGCATTGTGATTCTCTGAGAGTTATTCACATAGCATTTCCTAAACTTATTTGATCACAGAGCTCTTTCTTAAATATTTCACATTTTGTAATCATGGAGGAAAAAGTTTTCTCAGAGATAAATATTCCCACTCTTAGCAAATGACTTATGAATTAGATGGCAAAACTAAGACAAAGATGAAGATAGTGTCAGAGCCAAAATGGAAATGCACTTCAAATCTGACTCCAAAGTCCAAAATGATTCTTTTGTTTTTTTGAGACAAGGTGTCGCTCTGTTACCCAGGCTGGAGTCCAGTGGCACCATCACAGCTCACTTCAGGTTTGACCTCCCGGGCTCAAGAGATCCTCCCACCCTAGCCTCCCAAGTAACTGGGACCACAGGTGCCCACCACCATGCCCAGCTAATTTTTACATTTTTTGTAGAGATGAGATCTCCCTATGTTGCACAAGCTGGTTTCAAACTCCTGGGCTCAAGGGATTCTCCCGCCTCAGCCTCCCAAATTGCTGGGATTACAGGCATGAGCCACTGCAGTGAAATGTTTTCATTACACCATCTCCCTGAGGATTTAGTAACAAAAACAGAAAAGCTTTAGTAAAAGCCCTGTCTTTCATGTAACCACCAAGCACCAATCCCAAGATGAACATTATAATATTTAGCTTCGGAATTTTTTGATTATTTATTTCAATATACCTCATTGTTACTACCCATAATATATGATATATGTCCAATTTAGGTTTCTACTTAACTGAAAAGCAGAGGCTCAAGTCAGGGTCGTATTTGAGAACTAAGATCTCTTTATCACTAACAAACATTTCTGAACACGAGATATTTCTGCTAACCTTAGGCCTTTGTGTCTCATTAATAAAATTAGGAGATTAACCTAGATTCAATTTCATACAATTCAACCAGCATTTATGGGCATGTACTGTGCTATGTGCTGAGGATACAATAATGTGTAGAAAACAATCCTTGTTTCCAAGGAACTCACGGAATAGAAGGGGGGACAAAGCACAAATAATAAAACACACAGAGCATATAACATAATATATACTGCATGTGTAGTGAACACACAATGCTCACATGTACTAAAAAGTCAATACAACATATTGCAAAGAATTGAAGTTCTCAAATTGAGGCACCCAGGGCACTGCAGCAAACTCAAAGGAGCCCTAAGGGCTATTTTAAATGTTTCAGGAAGATACAGCAACATCTCTCGTATATCAGGTAAACTATTAGCTTGAGGTAGTTCATATCTTCAAGGTTAGATCGTGCTACATTCCTTTCAAAAATGTCATATCTTGCACTTGTAATCTAGCTACCCAGGAGGCCGAGGCAGGAGGATCACATGAGCCCAGGAGTTAGAGACTAGCCTGGGCTATAGCAAGACCCCATCTCTTACATACATACATACAATTCACATTTATCTGGGCAGCCTGTATTTTTATTTGCTAAATCTGCCAACCCTACTTTAGATAACATTACTAAATGAGTGTTAAATTTCTGGAATGTGATGATGATAATATAGTTATGCAGGAAAAGGTCCTTGTTAGGCGTTATATGTGATATATTTAGGGGTCAAGTGTTATGATGCAACTTACTTGTAGATGGTTCTAGAAAATAAGATATTTAGAGAGAAAATTAAACAAATGTGGCAAAATATTAACCATTAGTGGATCTAAGTATATCATTGAAATTTTTCAAAATGAAAAGTTGGAAAAAAACAGAACAAAATTTGGTAAGGTGACTACTGTATTACTTTTACTTTTGAAATAAGCCTAAAATTATTCAAAAATATCTGCATATTTGTATTGTAGACATTTGCTTTCAAAACTGTTATCAAAACTATTCCTTTACTGCAAACTAAAAGAATGTATGTCATCCATCATTCCAAATATTTTGATTTAATGATTTTAATATTATCCTTTGTTCCCTATGATATTAAAATTCTAGCATTAAAAAATGATCCAAGGTGATTCTCATCAAAGTTATACATTGAAATAGCACGTCCTCTGCCTTTCTGGGTCACTATCCACCTGCTACTCTGGCATCATTTCCACTAGGACAATTAGATAATAAGGGTGGTGCTGTTAAAATAAAAAGTGTTGTTTTCAATTTGTTTAAAATGCAGGAATACTACTTTTCCTGTTTCTCTCCATTCCCCCCACCATTGCATTATTATCTCCCAAAATGATAGAATCAGAAACAATGATTCCAGCTGGAATGCTGAGCATAATTACATCTTTTAAAAACTGGCATTATAGCATTCTCAACATGGACCACTTTTTGATAAAAGTAGATCATTTCAGGTTTCTAAGAAGATCTTTAAAAACTAAAAAACTGAACTATATATTAGCACCCATAAATTCTCTTTAAATGAAAATGGTTTTTGAAATGTCTTTAGCTGATTTGCAAAAGAATCTCGGCAGCCTAAAGTATAATACACCAACTTGCTCAGTTTACTAGCATAATTAAGCCTATTTAAGTATCTAAATAAGTTGGGGGTGTGCTTAAAACTCTAAAACTACTAGTGTAAGAAATGGCTCAATTTCTGATTATAACACAATTTAAAGATGCAAATGACTTTTTGACATCTCATGCATTCAAGTCACAAACATTTATAAGTTCCTGTGTGCACCACTGGGAGACAAATGACAGCGGGCTAGTTTTCTGGCAAATCCTTCCATGTTCACTTTGCTCCTACCTGATACTCTGCTTTTGGCCAGCTTAGGTGAAGCTCTGCTAGGTCTGGTCTATTCCAGTCCACTACTAGTTCAGTCCACTATTGAGATACGAGCATTACTCTCAAGCCAATCTGCGCTTCATCAAAAGAAAGAGGTGGAAAATATCCCTTGTTCTGAACGCTGTTGTTGTTCTGAATCTGAGAAATTAAACTGGCCTTCCAGGCATCTTCAGGGTTAGCTAAAAACTGATGTTAAGGAGGGAATGAGAAGAGGACATATTCACAGAGACATACGTGGATATAGGCACACAATGGAGACACCTACACTCTCACACAGATACATGGATAGGCTCTATGACTCTTTAGTGATGGCTTTGTTACTCATTCACATTTCATTTGTTCCACAAACATGAATTGAGTATTGAGCACCTACTTTGTGCTAGGCAGTGGGCTGGGATCTTCAGGCCCAGAAGACCAAGAAAAGAAAAACCAGCCGGGGCAGTGGCTCACACCTGTAATCCCAACGTTTTCAGAGGCCAAGGTAGGAAGATCACTTCAGGTCAGGAATTCAAGACCAGCCTGGCTCATCTCTACTAAAAATTAGCCAAGCACAGTGGCAAACGCCTATAATCCCAGCTGCTTCGGAGGCTGAGGCATGAAAATCGCTTTAACTTGGGAGGCGGAGGTTGCCACGAGCTGAGATCGTGCCACTACACTCCAGCCTGGGTGACAGAGTGAGACTCCATCTCAAAAAAAAAAAAGAAAGAAAGAAATACAATATCTACCAGAGGAGCATGTGGTCACCAAGCAGGCAATGTGAGGTGAGCCATAACGAAAGGATGGAGGGTGGGCAGCTTTAGCAAAGACCCAGAGACAAAATAAAGTCTCAGCCTCGTCCAAGGATCTTTAAGCAGGTCATCATAGCTGGGACTTTTATTGCCAGCAGAGAACAATGGCAGAGGAGGCTGGCAAGATGCAGGGACTAGGCTCTCAAGAACTTTGAAGGACATGCTGAGTTTGTAGTTTATCCTGAGGGGGCTGAAAGCTTTAAGCAGGAGAAGAGTGTGATCAGATTTATAAGTATTCAGTTTATGAAATTTCAGAAAGAGGAAAAGATTGCATTGCTAAAACCCTCTTATAAACATATTTCATATGCCTT
This sequence comes from Homo sapiens, assembly GCF_000001405.40. Classification (NCBI taxonomy): domain Eukaryota; kingdom Metazoa; phylum Chordata; class Mammalia; order Primates; family Hominidae; genus Homo; species Homo sapiens. Next base: position 108,334,601 of record NC_000006.12, on the reverse strand, counting down.
TCTGGAGGACTGTGCTAATAATTCTCCTTCCACAGTCTATTTGTTTTTTTTTTAATTTTTTAATTTTTATTTTTTAGAGATGAAGTCTTGCCATGATGCCCAGGCTCATCTCAAACTCCTGGGCTCAAGTGATCCACCCGCCTCAATTTCCCAAAGTGCTGGGATTACAGGCATGACGCACCACACCCGGCCCCTCAGTCTATTTGTAAGAAGGAAAGGCTGAACTAGTAGACTCTAAAATTATATTTTCAAGAAAAGTTGTAATTTTTTCAAAATGAAAAAAAAATCAATTAACCCTGCCAGGCACAGTGGCTCACACCTGTAATCCCAGCACTTTGGGAGGCTGATGTGGCAATCATTTGAGGCCAGGAGTTTGAGACCAGCCTGGCCAACACGGTGAAACACAGCATCTACTAAAAATACAAAAATTAGCCAGGCGTGGTGGCGCATGCCTTAGCCCTACCTACTCAGGAGGCTGAGGCACGAGAATTGCTTGAACCCAGGAGGCAGAGGTTACAGTGAGCCGAGATCGCACCACTGAACTCCAGCCTATGTGACAGATCAAGACTCTGTCTCAAAAACAAAACAAAACAAAACAAAAACAAAACTAACCTGTTGAAATATCTCACAATCACATGTAAAATATTTTCACAATGGAATATTACAAACAGGCAAAATTGAAGACTATATGGAACACCTCGTTACCCACCCTCCAGCTTTATCAAATCTTTCTATGTTGACATTTATTTCAAATTTAAGTAATAAAGCATTAAGTATAGTTGAAGCCTCCTTTGTCCCCTTCCTCCTCAGTATTAGCCACCTGAATGTATAGTTTATCATCCCCATGCTAAGCAACATTCCATTTTATAAATACATTCTGATTTGTTTATCCAGTCTTGTGGCATCTGCTAGTTATTTCTGAAAAAAAATACTCTCCTTTGTCTATTTTTCTACTGGGTTGTCTGTTTTTCTATTATATGGTAGATGTTATTTATATATTCTTTATTATTATTATTATTTGCAGAGATTAGGTCTTGCTATGTTGCTCAGGCTGGTCTCAAACTCCTGGCCTCAAGCGATCCTCCCAACCCTCAGCCTCTCATAGTGTTGAGATTACAGGCGTGAGCCATTGCACCTGGTCAGGGTTCTTTATGTATTCTAGAGAGCGATCCATAATCAATTTTTTTTTTTTTGAGATGGAGTCTCGCTCTGTCACCCAGGCTGGAGTGCAGTGGCGGATATCACCTCACTGCAATCTCCACCTCCCAAGTTCAAGCGATTCTCATGCCTCAGCCTTCTGAGTACCTGGAATTACAGGCGCCCGCCACCACACCTGGCTAATTTTTGTATTTTTAGTACAGACGGGGTTTCACCATGTTGGCCAGGTTGGTCTCGAACTCCTGACCTCAGGTGATCTGCCCGCCTCGGCCTCCCAAAGTGCTGGGATTACAGGCGTGAGCCACCGCACCCAGCCAGTAGTCAATTATTTTTGATGAAAAATCTTTTCTCCCAGTCTGTCGTCTACCTTTTCACTTTTTCTATGGTACCTTTTGTTAACTAGAAGTTTTAAATTTTAACATAGTCAAATGTATCAGTGTTTACCTTTATAAGTTGAACTTTTTTATTTTCTTTTTAATTTACAGGACAACATGAACATATATATTGGACTTTCATATCTTGTATAAGAAATTCTTCTGGCTGGGCGTGATGGCTCAGCCGGTAACCCCAGCACTTTGGAAGACTGAGGCAGGTGAATTGCTTGAGGCCAGGAGTTTAAGACCAGCCGAGGCAACATGGTGAGACCACATCTCTACAAAATACAAAAAATTAGCCAGGCATGGTGGTATGCACATGTAGTCCCTGCTACTGGGGAGGCTAAGCTGAGAGGATTGCTTGAGCCTGGGAGGTCAAGGCTGCAGTGAGCCATGACTGCACTCCAGCCTGGGCAACACGGCAAAACTCTACCTCGAAAAAAAGAAAAGAAATTATTCCTTTTCCCAAGTTCACAAAGTTACTCCTCTATATTTTCTTCAAGAAGTTCTAAAGTTTTCACTTTAAATTTAGGGCATTTATTTCTAGAGGTAAGTACCTAATTTTACTTTAATCTTCACATAGATAACCAATGATCCCATGCTAATTTAGTGAATAGACAATCCTTTTCCTACTAATTCACAATGTCAACTCAATCATATATCAAGTTCCCATGTATATTCTGAACTTTCTATTTTGTTCTATTTGTCTGTCTATTTAATGGAATAGTGAATAGTTCCTGTTGAATAGGGCAGGAATACAATATAGTAATGGAATATTAAACTTGAAAGCTAGACTAGGTAAAGTTCAAGCAGGACTTTGAATACAATTAATGATCTACCAGCCCTCATATCTAGTCAGGTAGCAGTCATCTAGAGCAAAGGCCAGCAAATTATGGCCATGGGCTAAATCCAGCATGACACTTGTTTTTGTAAATAAAGATTTATTGGAATACAGTTATTTATGTATTGCCTGTGGCTGCTCTGAGTGCAATGGTAGAATTGAGTAGTTCTTTTCCATCTGCCTCATGCATTGCTCTTGGAAGGGTGAGGAGGAGGTATCCAAATAAAAGATGGTAGGATATAAGAGGGAGTTGGAAATAAGTTCTCATTAGGGAAAAACTGAAAATTATCTGGTAGAGGGCAGGAGAAAAAGGAAAGGAGTTCTGTGGCTCCCAATTCTCAGGTCTCTTGGGCTACGATGTCTCCTCCCAAGAGATGAAAAAACCTGGCTGCCTATAGACCCCTGATTAATGGAAATAGAGATTTTCAGAGTAGCTCCATACTCTATTTAATTCTCTCCCTCCCTGACTCTGGAAATGCTTGATTTGGCTGTGTAAAAGTAATTCTAATTATAGTGATTTACATGAACTACTTACCATTTATGCCTAATTACCTCACAGCACAATAACAATTATGCATACATTAAAAGTGTCAGATTAACCTGGTTGTAAATTTTATTCAATAACAAAAGTAAAGTGTTTATAAATGTTCATTCTTCATAGTTTGTTGCTCATATGGCATGGTCATCTGTTCATAACATCTTCAAATGTTAATTTACTAGAGAAAACATTGTTACATAGGTAGGTGAAAGCAGCCTGGTAGTTTGTCACCAATTTTATCACCTTGGTTAATAAATTTGGTATCTTATGAAGAAGGTATACTTTATTTTAATATTATAGCATAGACTTACAGAAAGTTTCTTAGGAGTATAATGAGGGAAAAAAAATAAGTCCACCATAATGAAGTCTATTTGTGTTTTGTTTTGTTCTGTTTTGTTTTGTTTTTTGAGATAGTCTCTCTCTGTTGCCCAGGCTGGAGTGCAGTGGCACGATCTCGGCTTACTGCAGCCTCAACCTTCTGGGCTCAAGTGATCCTCCCACCTCAGCCTCCCAATTAGGTGGACCACAGGCATGTACCACCATGCCTAGCTAATTTTTTTTTTTTGGTGGAGATGGGGTCTCCCTATGTTGGCCAGGCTGGTCTCAAACTCCTGGCCTCAAGCAATCCTCCCATCTCAGCCTCTCAAAATGCCGGAATTACAGGCATGAGCCACCACACCCAGCCTATAATGAAGTTTAAACAACTGTATTGAAAACAAAATCCAAAGTTCATAAAATCATAAATCCTACTTAGCACATGTCTTAGTTCATTTTCTGTCGCTTATAACAGAATATCTGAAATTGAGTTTCAGATATTCTGAAATTTATTTATTTATTTATTTTTAAACAGGTAGTAATTAGCTGAATTTAATGATAAAATGAAGACCTTGAGAAATAGTATTTGTTATTTAAAGTTCACGAAAATGGGCAGTCAGTACTGCTTAGCTTTCCTCCAAAATGGCTGAATGTGTATCAAAGCAGCAAACATGCTGTAGCTAATAAACAACTTAAGTTCTTGAGTGATCTGTCTTCTCCTTAGCTGTTCGGATGGCCTATCAGAGAAAGAAGACTGTGCTGTGGTGAAACTTGTTGTCCCTTACAGTTTCCACTCTTCTTTCAACAATGTCAAGGTTTCATACCCAAGACAAAGGTTTACAGTCCAAAGTCAGAGTTTTATCTTCAGAAACTGAGTAATTTATAAAGAAAAGGAATTTATGAGCCAGGCGCAGTGGCTCACACCTGTAATCTCAACACTTTGGGAGGCCCAGGCAGGCAGAGCACGAGGTCAGGAGTTCAAGACCAGCCTGGCCAACATGGTGAAACCTGGTCTCTACTAAAAATACAAAACTTAGCTGGGCGTGGTGGCATGCACCTGTAGTCCCAGCTACTCAGGAAGCTGAGGCAAGAGAATCGCTTGAACCCGGGGGAGGCTGCCATGAGCTGAGATCACACCACTGTACTCCAGCCTGGCAACAGAGTGAGACTCAGTCGCAAAAAAAAAAAAAAAATAAAAAAGGAATTTATTTCTTACAGTGATGGAGGCTGAGAAGTCCATGTTTGAGGGACCCCACCTAGTGAGGGCCTTCTTGCTGGTGAAGACTCTCTGCAGAGCCCCAGATGACACAGGGGCATCACATGGCGAGGGGGCTGAGCATGCTAGCTCAAGACTCTCTTCCCCTTATAAAGCCACCGGTCCCACTTCCATGATAATCCATTAATCCATTAACCCATTACTCCACGAATGGACTAATCCATTCATGACAGCAGAGATCTCATGACCCAGTCACCTCTGAAAGAATTCACCTTTCAATACTGCCACACTGGGGATTAAATGTCAACATGAGTTCTGAAAGAGACAAATATTCGAACCATAGCACCAGAATAAAGAACTCCATCACTGGAGTTTTTCCATCACTGGAAAACCTAATAGCCCAAAGTTTCCTTTTCTGATAATTGGCATATCAGTGTTTGTTTTTAGAAAAAAAATAGGTCTGTGTCGTCTTTACACTCTTTAAAAACTAAAGTTTTATATACTTTTTTTCAAATTATGTTAGATGTTTGGATCTCTTTCAGTATTTTAAAGATTTAGTGGGGCCAGGCGCAGTGGCTCACATCTGTAATCCCAGCACTTTGGGAGGCCAAGGCGGGCAGATCACTTGAGGTCAGGAGTTCGAGAACAGCCTGACCAACATGGTGAAACCCCGTCTCTACTAAAAATGCAAAAATTAGCCAGGCGTGGTGGTGGGCGCCTGTAATCCCAGCTACTCGGGAGGCCGAGACAGGAGAATCACTTGAATCCAGGAGGCAGAGGTTGCAGTGAGCCAAGATCGCACCATTGCACTCCAGCCTGGGTGACAGAGTGAGACTCTGTCTCAAAAAAAATAAAAAATAACATTTTTAAGTAAAATCTTTATTTAAAATAAAGATTTAGTGGGTTTAGGAAACTATAAGGGCCAAGAGCGGTGGCTCATGCCTGTAATCCCAGCACTTTGTGAGGCCAAGATGGGAGGATTGCTTGAGCCCAGAGATCAAGACCAGCCTGGGCAACATGGCAAGACCCTGTCTTGAAAGGAAGGAGGGAAGATAGGAAGGAAGGAAGGAAGGAAGGGAAGGAGGGAGGGAGGGAGGGAATAAGACAAATACTATTAGAAAAAGATGTTGCTCTACCTACTAAACATTTATTCACATGCACTAGGATTTAACAAATAGGACCTTTCATTAGACACATTTGAAACTCTACCTGACATATCAAATCTTCCATTTACATTAGATTTCAACTACCCAGTAAAACCAGGGTTATTCACTAGCTGGCCCATCATAGCCAACTCAGATATCAAAGGTGGACATACGGGAAAATACCCCTAAGAAGAGCCAAAGATTTTTTTAAAAACCACCATTGTTGAATTGGCAACCAAATAAGTTAATAGTTACAGGATACTTGTGATTGGATGGGATGTCACCAACTACTGTAAGATGGGTCCTGGGGATGCTATAGAGTAGGGAGGAGGGATAAAAGGAATATATTTCCAGGAGGCTGGGGCAGACAGATTGCTTGAGCTCAGGAGTTCAAGACCAGCCTGGACAACATGGCAAAACCCCATCTCTATTAAAAAAAAAAAATACAAAAAATTAGCTGGGTGTGGTGGCATGCACCTGTAGTCCCAGTTACTGGGGAGGCTGAGGTGTGAGGCTTGCTGGAGCCCGGGAGGTCGAGGCCGCAGTGAGCCATGATTGTGCCACTGCATTCCAGCTAGGCAATAGAGTGAGACCCTGTCTCAAAACAAAACAAAACAAAAGGAATATATTTCCAAAAGGAAGAGGACTAGAAAGGGAACAAGATGTAAAATTCAGGAAAGCAATTCAAGTCTCAGATAACCAAAATATCCAGTTGAGTACAACATGTTGTTTCCTGGCTAGGCCACATAACCAAATTGTTATTTTACTTGGATGCCCACCTGTATCACAAACTATATAATTACATAGTTTTATATGTTATAGTTTATATACTATATGCAAATATATCCCTATATATATATCACATATAACTAGATATGCAGTACATAAGCAGTCTATATTTTTCAAATTTTTTGGTTCTTTACTCAACTATAAACTGAGAAATATGGGGAAAAGAGGTTGGTCATCAAAAGAAATAATTCATCATTACCTATAACCATTGTGCTGGACTGGTCACTCATGGTGCCCACCACACTCACAGTCCACTTCTGAGAGCAACTGCCATGCTCACAGGAGCAGCCCTGCATGGGACCATAGGTAAGCCAATCTTTACGCTGGTTAACGGCCTCTAAGAAACCCAATGTGAAAGCTCTGCCCAAACAGGGATGAAGTCATTGGTTGGCCTATGAGATCCTTACTCAGGAATTTAAACTACAGACACACAGAGAGAATTAAGAAGTTGGTAGAGTGAACAGAAGTGGAAGCAGACATGAGAGAAAAGGAACAACAAAATAAGTGGGTGCTATGGTCTCAATGCTTGCATCACCCCAAAATTCATATGTTGAAGTTCTAACCCCCAAAGTGAGGCTCTTAGGAGGTAGGACCTTTGGAAGGTGATGAGGTCATGAGAGTGGGGCCCTCCTCAGTTGGATTAGTGCCCTTACAAAAGAGGCCTGAGGGAGCTCATTTGTCCCTTCAGCCATGTGAGGACACAGTGAAAAGACAGCTGTCCAAGAATAGTTAAGCAGGCCCTCATCAGACACTGAATTTGCCAGCACTTTGATCTTGGCCTTCCCAGCACCCAGAACTACAAGAAATCTTTTTCTGTTGTTTATAAGCTACCCAGTTTATGGTATTTTGTTATAGAAGCCCAAGTGGACGAAGACAATGAATGACATGAATGGCAGAGCACTGTAAGGCCTAGCTGTGTCATGGAGATGCCTTTCATTGCTATGTTCTTATATAATCTTATTCTAAATCTCCATTTCTTTCTGCAATCTAAATGAATCTCTATTTCTTTCAACTAATAGTGTTAACACAATGGGAAGACATTTTCTTTACATAAAAATAAAATTAATTATACTCTCAGGAGCTTTATTAAAAAGTAAAATTACTTTCATTCATTTTTTGTTTGTTTGTTTTTTATTTGTATTGTAGAGACAGGGTCTCCCTATATCGTCCAGGCTGATCTCAAACTTCTGGCTTCAAGCTATCCTTCCACCCTGGCCTCCCAAAGTGCTAGGATTATAGGTTCAGCCACCACACCTGGCCCTTATTCTTTTTTTTTTTGAGACGGAGTCTCACTGTCACCCAGGCTGGAGTGATCTTGGCTCACTGCAACCTCCGCCTCCTGGATTCAAGCGATTCTCCTGCCTCAGCCTCCTGAGCAGCTGAGATTACAGGCACCTGCCACCACGCCTGGCTAATTTTTGTATTTTTAGTAGAGACAGGGTTTCATCATGTTGGCCAGGCTGGTCTCAAACTCCTGACCTCAGGTGATCTGCCCACCTCGGCTTCCCAAAGTGCTGGGATTACAGGCGTGAGCCACTGCGTCTGGCCCCTCATTCATTTTTAAATAAAGTACTACTAATGGTTGTTCTATGGTGCCTTTCTTCTAAAGACGTTACAGTAAAAGCGTATTTGGCAGGGGGTGGGGAAAGTCAATTAAAGGAAAACTAGTTTCTTAGGTTGGACCATATTTTAACTCTTACTACTATTAATGTTTTCTCCAGAACTTAAAGATGAGACTATTGGCTTCTATATTAGATAAGGAACAGGAGTTTTCCTGTTGTCATAGAATTTCAACAAAAGCTCAAAGCTGATGACCAGGGAAAATAAGCTCCCACTCACGCTAAAGAAAGACATAGGCTGAGTGTGGTGACTCACACCAATTATCCCAGTGCTTTAGAGGCTGAGGCAGGAGGATTGCTTAAGACCAGAAGTTCAAGACCAGCCTGGCAACAGAGTAAGGTCCTGTCTCTACAAAAAAATTAAAAAATTAGTGGAGCATGGTGATGCATGCCTGTAGCCCTAGCCTACTCAGGGGGCTGCGGGAGGAGAATCACTTGGGCCCAGGACTTCAAGGCTACTAGTGAGCTATGATTGTGCTACTGCACCCCACCTGGGTGACAGAATGAGACAGTATCTCCAAAAAAAAATAGGCCAGGCACAGTGGCTCATGTCTGTAATCCCAGCACTTTGGGAGGCCGAAGCAGGGGGATCATTTGAGATCAGGAGTTCAAGACAAGCCCGGCCAGTATGGCAAAACCCCATCTCTACTAAAAATACAAAAATTAGCCAGGCATGGTGGCAGGTGCCTGTAATCCCAGCTATTTGGGAGGCAGGAGAATCGTTTGAACCTGGGAGGCGGAGGCTACAGTGAGCCAAGATATCACACTACTGCACTTCAGCCCGGGAGACAGAGTAACACTCTGTCTCAAATAAATAAATAGGTCAGGTGCAGTGGCTTATGCCTGTAATCCCAGCACTTTGGGAGGCCGAGGTGGGCGGATCACCTGAGGTCAGGAGTTCGAGACCAGCCTGACAAACATGGTGAAACCCCATCTCTACTAAAAGCACAAAAATTAGCTAGGTGTGGTGGTGTGTGCCTGTAATCCCAGCTACTCAGGAGGCTGAAGCAGGAGGACTGCTTGAACCTGGGAGGTGGAGGTTGCAGTGAGCCAAGATCACACCACTGCCCTCTAGCCTGGGCAATAGAGCAAAAATCCATCTATAAATAAATAAATAAATACACACTAGTCACATCCATGCAGGAATTAGGTTTAAAAAAAAAAAAAAGGCAAAACAGCCCTAAAACCAAAGTGAAACTGAAGAAAGTGATCAAGGTAGAAAGTTAGCTGGGTAGAGTGCCATGGTGTGCCCTTCAGATATCTCGTAACAAATACGAGGGGTTCCCAAGAGAAGCATCCAAAGAGATGAGGATTGAATATAAATTGAGATGGACATCGCTCTCCCCAGCTGGATGCTTGCCTAGGTAAGGAAATGCACAAGCAGCTGCCAGAGCAGAGTGTGGAAGAGTTCATGGGAGAACTTGATATAAGTCCCCAGGAGAAAGGGGTATGCATGACAAAGACAGAAACCAGTGCCTGCTTCTTGCTTGCAGAAGTCTGAGGACAGGAGGCTGACTGAGGCTGCCCATGCAGCAAGGGGTGGCGAAAGGAGATGTTATGTTTCCTGTGGCCTGCACGGACACCATAAAAGATGACCCAATAAGAAATGTCCCAGGCCAGGCACAGTGGCTCACACCTGTAATCCCAGCACTTTGGGTGGCCGAGACAGGTGGATCACTTGAGGTCAGGAGTTCAAGACCAGCCTGGCCAACATGGTGAAACCCCGTCTCTACTAAAAATACAAAAATTAGCTGAGTGTGGTGGTCCACGCTTGTTACCCAGTTACTTGGGAGGCTGAGGCAGGACGATCGCTTGAATCCAGGAGGCAAAGGTTGCCAGGAGCCAAGATATCGTGCCACTGCACTCCAGCCCAAGTGACAGAGCGAGACTCTGTCTCAAAAAAAAAAAAAAAAAGTCCTGAAAGGACCCCACCCAAGAAGGCTAAGGGCAAGAGCAAGGCGGTGTCGGCAGAATGCAGGGTTGTGAGTTGCTTCCCCAGAGTCATAAGAGGTTAGTCAAAGACTGGAGAAGTGTGGAGGTCCCCATGGGAGTCTTGAAGAACCCACCAATAAGACCCTCAACAAAGAGCTAGCACGTCAGCATCTACCATACAAAGGCCCCAGTAACTAACTGGTCACTTAAGGCTGCTGTTTCACTCTAATCTTTCATTCTTCTCATTCTGACCCTAGAGATGTCAGGCAAACAGAGAAAGAAGGAGGAAGAAAAGGGAAAGAACACATCACTCCTCCTTTTCCACTGCTGATCCCTGGATGAGGCCTGAGCTAGAGGAAAGGGAAAGCTTTAATTTCCATAGAAGTTTTTATTTAGACTGGACTGCATTTTTTAAATACCTAAATATGAAGCTATTCAAACCCCTGAAGGCAAAAGAAAGCTATGGAACATCAAAAGGCCAGGAATGGGGATCCAACAGAATTTGTGTAAAGGAACTGGTGAAAATTTTTCAAGATGTTTCATGATTGTGTCCTACTGCATTGCATCCATTTTAGAAAATGCTTACACTTTTAACTGTTTAATCTTTCATATCACACAAGCCTCACCTTTGAAAAAAGGCCTTCTGCCTCTATATTGTATCCTTTAAGGTCCTCGTGTAATTTCTGCAAACACTGTATGACTCTTCTTTGATGTTCATCATCCTTTAGCTCATGAGCTTTGATCAGAAAATCATAGTGGTCCAGAGGTCCATGGCAAACGGCCAAAGCTTTCAAATAAGTCTCTGAAGTGGCAGTTGGGGTCATGCTCTCGGATGTCTGAACCGTATAGGCTATAAACAAAAACATAAAATTTTAGACTTTCTTAAATACATTTTCACAGTGCTCTACACATTTCTTAAGGGTCAAATTCAAACTTTTAACTAGTTACAAGTATATCTATTGGAGCAGTTTTTGTAAATGTCATTTTGATAAAAATAATATAAAATACATTTTCAGCCAGGCATGGTGGCTCACGCCTGTAATTCCAGCACTTTGGGAGACCAAGGCAGGCAGATCACTTGAGGTCAGGAGTTCAAGATCATCCTGGCCAAATGGTGAAACCACATCTCTACTAAAAACACAAAAATTAGCTGGGCATGGTGGTGCATGCTTGTAATCCCAGCTACCTGGGGGGCTGAGGCACGAATTGCTTGAACCTGGGAGGCAGGGGATGAAGTGAGCAGAGATTGTGCCACTGTACTCCAGCCTGGGTGACAGAGTGACACTCGGTCTCAAAAAAAAAATAATTAAACAATGAATATATTTCTAATTGTTTTATTTTAACAAAAGGAAACAAACCCCAAACCCATAAACTATAATTGTAACCTCTCTTCCAGAAGGCCTATTCCTACTACAGCTTCTGCTTTGCTTCCAGTCCACTGAAGGAGACACTGGGGTTCCTCATCTCCTTCCCAAAGCAAGAGAGTTGCCTTTCTTTGAGTAAACCCTAATTCTGGTTCTTAAGCACCAAGACAAAGACGTGAAGACTAGTCCCAAGGGTTTTCCACTGTTCCTTAATTCTCTACTCAAAGACAACATAACATTCAGATATTACCACATCGATTTCAGCCCTCTGCTTCTGAGATCTTTTTCTGTTTTCCATAACCTTTACGGAGTTGGACATGGAATTGAGACACAGCAAGAGTGTCTGCTTCAAAGCAGGGTGGTGTTCTGATCCTATTTTTGGCCTCTCCTGGGAGAGAAATGATTGTGGCGAGGTCCAACCATAATTCCATTCCTTATGTGGGGCAGGTTTAATAAGCAGCTAACTCCTTCTCTACTGTTTAGAAGCAACAATAAACAGCAGCAACCTGGCACATTTTTCAGAACAAGATTTCCCAAAGGTACTCTGCCAGCATTTTATTCATTTCATTGAACATCATGTTTCCTTTGTCACAATAACATAAAAATTACTTTAGCAAAAAGAATTAACAATCACAATGTTAGGTCCATGTTTTCCCCAAAAGAGGGGGAAAAGTCCTTAAATATATCATGAATGTTGGAGATAGGGACGGCTGTCTTCCATTATTTGTTCCACCTTTCTAAATAGAAGTTTTAGCTGGATGCATGGCTGCCCAGACACATATTACATCTCCTGGCCTCTCTTGCAGTCAGGTATGGCCATGTGAGCAGGTTCTAACAATGGGATATGAGCAGAAACGTGTGTAGTTCTGACATACCCCATTAAAGGAAAAGGGCATATCCTCCTGGCTCCCTTTTCCTCCCTTCTCTCTAACTGGAGTGAAAGTGTAATGACTGCAGCTGGAAGAGGCAATGAGATGCACACAGAATGTTGAATGAAGCAGAGCAACAAGATACACAAAGCCTGGTTCTCCAACAATGCTGAGCTGCCAAACCAGCTTTGGATTGCCTACCTGGATTTTTATGTAAAAGAATAATAAACTTCCGGCCAGGCACAGTGGCTCACACCTGTAATCCTAGCACTTTGGGAGGCTGAGACAGGCAGATCACTTGAGCTCAGGAGTTCGAGACCAGCCTGGGCAACATAGTAGGACCTCATCTCTACTAAAAATAACAAATTTAAAAAAAATTTGTTTTTAATTAGCCAGGCTTAAAATTAGCATGTGCCTGTAGTCCCAGCTACTTGGGGAGGCTGAGGTAGGAGGACGGCTTAAGCCCAGGAGTTTGAGGCTGCAGTGAGCTATGACCTACACCACTGCACTCCAGCCCGGGCAACAGAGTGAGACTCTCTCTCCAAAAGAAATTAAAAGGGAGTAATAAACTTCTATCTTGCTTTTAAAGTAGTGTATAATTGGGGTCTCTGTTACAGAAGCCTAAGTTGTACCCTAACTGATATAGTTGCTTAAGGCCTGTAAAACAGAATCTAAGGGTATCCTGGAACACTAGGCCTCACAGTACCAGGATAAGGTTTGGGTTCAATGTTGAAGCTGGAGATGCAGGTTGAGAGTTCCTAAATGTTCCCGGCAATTTGAGATATTTGCCAGTGTGGCATAATAAGAAATATATTTGATCTTTGTCCCTGGTTCTTGGCACAGAGTTCCTAAAACCCTTGGAATTTCCTGAGTAATAGGAGTGTTTTCTGTTATTCATTGCATCACACCTGAGTTTATGTTAAGGAGGTGACTCTAGGGTGAGGCTGGTAGCCAGAAGGACCAAGTGGGTAGAAGGTTGGAACTTTCAGCCCCACGCACTGACCCCAGGAAGGTGGGGTTAGAGATTGAGCTCTGTAAACACTCAAGGAGACTTGGAGAACTTCTGGGTTGGTGAACACATCTAGGTGCGTTCAACCTCTAGGTATCCCCCTAGGCCATCTCTTCTACTGGGCTCCCTGAATTGTATGCTTTATCATAAATCAGTAAACATAAGCAAAATTTTCCCCTGAGTTCTGTGAGCTATTCTAGCAAATTATCAAATCTAAAGGGGAGGAAGGCTATGGGAATTCCCAAATTTGTAGTTGCCAGGTAGATATGTGGGTAGCCTGTATACCCCATTTGCAGCTGGCATGTGAAGTGGGGACATTCTATGGGACTGAGCCCTTTTACTTGTGGGATCTGATGCTCACTTCAAATAAAGAGTGCCAGAATCAAATTGAACTGTTGAATACCCAGTTAGTGTTACAGGATTTGAGAATCTCACAAGAGAAAAACGCTCTTCTCCACCCCCTCTTTTAGACTTCTGGAGTCAACCAAGTGAGAAACTTCAGGGTGATTACTGATATATTCCTCTTCCTCCCACAATCCTGTTCTCCTCAACCAGGTTCTCAGCCAATCAATCATCGATGCTACTCAATTTTGTATGCGAAATACTCTCTAATTCATTCCCTCCTCTCCTTCCTCATCCTACCACCCCAGCTTGAGCCCTTTAAAGGAAGCAGGGGTCTCTCTTAGGGCCTGCCATGCCCCCTGCAACGTGGAAATAAAGAAAAACCTGGAATTTCTTCAAGGGAAATTCCAGACACCTAGCTAGCCCTGAGAAGTAAATGAGCCACTTGATAAGCAAGAAGATAATAGAAGCTCAAAATCATGGCCAAAGAGGTTAGAGATGTTCCCTATAGAAACTAAAGATAACATCTTAATACATGTCACTGAGTTGTTTTTCAGAAACTCCAACCCCTACCAAATGGATCCACTGGCACACAGACCTCAGATAAGGGGGAACAGAGGACTGAATTCTGACCACTATTCTTTGTTCTAAATTTCTTCCTGAGGGGCCTGGAGGAGGTTATGCTCACCAGCCAGAGCTAACATTCTTTTCTGTTGACCCGAAATTTTTAGACAAAGCTTTGTTTCCTTAACCAATTGCAAATCAGAAAATCTTTTAATCCAGCTTTGACCGGCGGGCCACTCCCTTCAAGATGTCCCACTATTTTAGGTCAAATCAATGTATAGCCTCCATGTACTGATGTATGACTCTGATCACCACCACTGTGCCAAATTTACCACTACCATGATCTGTCAAATATCTTCTGCCAACTCCAGGGCTGATCTTACTAAAATCCAAATGTGATTTTATCAATCTTTGGCTTGAAATTCGTCTCATTGTTTAAAGGAGTGGTTTTCCAACTTTATTTTTTAATAGCTGTACCTTTTTTACATACAAAATCTTCCATAGAATCCTCAATTTATTAAAGAGAAAAGTGGAAAGGGGGGCACAAAGTCCCACCCTTTTCATATCCCCCTCATTCACATACCCACACCACCCCTATTTCCCAACAGCCTCACTTCAGAGGATTATATTTAGTACAAATAATGTGCAGAAAAGGGTTAACACAACAGGCCTGAGACTACCATCCACAGAGCATATTTACTTATGTCTCAAAATAAATAAATAAATAAATAATACCTAATTTTTTAAAGTTGAGGCTGGGTGGAGTGGCACACATCTGTAGTCCCAGCTACTTGGGAGGCTGAGGCAGGAGGATCCCTTGAAACCAAAAGTTGGAGGCTGCAGAGCACCATGATCATACCTGTGAATGGCCACTGCACTCCAGCCTTGGCAACATAGCAAGACCTCATCTCTAAAAAAAATAAAAATAAGATAAATAAAAATTGTTTTGGCCAAGCACAGTGGCTCACGCCTGTAATCCCAGCACTTTGGGAAGCTGAGGTGAAAAGATCTCTTGAGCCCAGGAGCTCGAGACCAGCCTGGGAAACATAGTGAAACCTCTGTCTTTACAGATGGAAAAAAAAAAATTTTTAATTAGCCAGGCATAATGGTATATGCCTCTAGTCCTATAGGGATTACTACTACTAGGAACTATTGCTACTCGGAGGGCTAAGGTGGGAGGATAACTTGAGCCTGGGAGGTTGAGGCTGCAGTGAGTGGAGATCATGCTACTGCACTCCTGTCTGGGTGACAGAACGAGACCCTGTCTAAACAAATTAATTAATTAATTAATTTTAAAGTGTTTAAAAGTTATTCATAGGAAATATCAGTATTGTGGGTAAAACGTACTGTTTATCTTGGCATCTGCCTTTGGAGAGGCTTAAAGTCCTTCTACTTTTATTTTCACTAGCCTAACATCTTGATTTAATAGTGTAGACTTCATTCCCAGTTTTTGGAAAAGAAAACCAAGGTACAGTGAAGATGAGGCATAAATTCAGCTAGTCAGCAGAGATAAAAAGAGAATCAGTCAGGCAAGATACTCAAGGCTGACAGATTGGCCAGCTTAGCCCTGGATAGCAGCTGTATAAATTGAAATACAAAAGACTTCTCAAAAGCTGCATTAAATTAAATCTGTTACTACATCAGTGTACACAAATTATGTGATGCTGCTGCCATATTATTTTGATTTGTATTAATTTGTCTTATTGTACTCCAAATGGACAGTGGGAAAATGCCATTCGGAAGTTCCACACACTAATTTACAAACATAAATGAAAGATTTTAGGAACCCAAAAAGTCTGCGCTATTCTTTCGAATACTTCAATTTTGTACCTTATTTCACTATATTCTCCTAAACTAAGTTTCAGGAAGATCCTACTATACTCCACAGCCCACTTTCTAAAAGATTTAATCAATATCTTGTGTCCTACATCTGAATAACCTATTAAAACTTCCTTGTTATGGTAAAAATTACTCCTATTTAGTTTTACTTTCCCCAGGGAAAAAATGAGTTTCCTCAGGCTTTGTGTATAGTCGTAATTACTTTTATTTTCTCCAACTTTTTTAAGTAAATGTAACCTCAAGATTTTATTATCTGCATAATAAAACAAAAGATGATACTTAGAAACTAGATCAACACTTGGCCTTTCTCTTACCTCTTCCCAGTTCAAAATGCTTGCATCTCTTATGGCCAGCATTCTCTTAGATCTGCAGTTGGGCTCAACGCATTCAAGCTCAGCACAGTCTTCTTTGTGTTTTAGCCTTTTTCTGGAAAATCAGCTTAGTCTGCCTATGATGATGATAGCCACTCTGCTTCCTATCATAACGCCACTTTCCTTGGGCACACAGAGAATCCTTGCCCTTCTTATCCTGATCTTGGCATGAAGTTGGTACTTGGCACATGCCACACATGTTACAGAAAGTCTAGAGGGTTTTAGAGACATTCACCATGTTTATGGGAATGCTATCTACAAGAAAACACATGATTTCCTTCAATTTTTCCATTTTCACTTTAAAATATAAGTTTGGAACAAATAAAATTCTCCTGAAGCTGTGGAGTCCCAAGTTTATGCTGATATGCTCCCCTTAACTAATCTTACTACATTAAACAAATAATATATAATAAACTGAAACTGTCTTTACAAAACTATGACAGTAAGAGAAATCTGACATAGTTGACTCCACCTTGCTTCTGACCTCCAAGCTCTGCCTGATCATTCCTGGGCACAGGCCAAGCTAACTTTAGGATGAATTTAGTTTACAGTTTAACTTTAAAATAATGACGACAATATTATTGCTCCCTCCCTTAGGCTAACCCCACCATTTCTCAAAAACCAAAAGCCACCTTTGTAAGACTAATGAAAGCCTACAAGAATAAAATTATGAGAGGAGCCTGAACTCTGCTAAAGTGTAGGCCAAGTTTCTACAATCCCTTACTGCTCAGGGGTCATGTGGCCAGAGGTCACAAGATTTGTGACTTCTCCAACTGCTTCTACAAATAATATCACTGTTATAGAACCTAAGATTGGTTTTGCTGAAATGTCTTTCAGACTGACCCCACCTGGACTCATGACTCATGACTCAACTGGTCCTGTTGTCCCACCCACAGTTGGACTCAGTGCATGAGGATCGATTTCCACACCCCTATTATTTCATCCCCAACCAATCAACAGTGCCATTCCCTAGCCCCCTGCCCGTGAAATTGTCCATAAAAACCCTCAGCTCGAAGCCTGCAGAGAGACTGATTTGAGGGATAACTCCAGTTCTCCTGTGTGGGACTGCCTTGCATCAGTTAAACTCTTTTCTCTACTGCAATGCCACAGTCTCAGGGGATTGATTTTGCCTGTGCAGTAAACAGGTAATTACAAATTCATAATCATGTTCTTCTTAATAGCACCATCCAAAAAGAAGAGGCAATCCAAATTGTCACTGATATCCTTACAAGAATTGTTATATAATAAATATAGGGCTTTTTTTTCTTAACAAGGTCTGAGTTGGCATCCAAGACAGACTTAAGGGGAGGTACGTGTCTTGGAGCCTCTTGAAATTAAAAGAAAATTGTATATTGTATATTTCAAAATTAATAATGGATTTTAAATGGTCTCATCACAAACATATGATAAGGAGTTGAGGTGATGGATGTTATTAACTTGATTTAATCTTTCTAGAACATATATATCTGTTAAAACATCAGAGCGGGCCGAGCGCGGTGGCTCATGCTTGTAATCCCAGGACTTTGGGAGGCCAAGGCGGGCAGATCACGAGGTCAGGAGATTGAGACCATCCCGGCTAACACGGTGAAACCCCGTCTCTACTAAAAATACAAAAAATTAGCCAGGCGTGGTGGCAGGTGCCTGTAGTCCCAGCTACTCGGAGGCTGAGGCAGGAGAAGGGCGTGAACCTGGGAGGCGGAGCTTGCAGTGAGCCGAGATCGCACCACTGCACTCCAGCCTGGGCAACAGAGTGAGACTCTATCTCAAAAAAAAAAAAAAAAAATCAGAGTGTACCCCATAAATATATACAATTATTTGTCAATTAATTTATGAGTTCTATAAAAGAAAGAAAATTATGTGTGAGTATGTTTAATCTGAGGCAAGTCCTTTAAATATACAACTTTCCGATTTTTTTTTTTTTTTTTTTTTTTTTTTTGAGACGGAGTCTCGCTCTGTCGCCCAGGCTGGAGTGCAGTGGCGGGATCTCGGCTCACTGCAAGCTCCGCCTCCCGGGTTCACGCCATTCTCCTGCCTCAGCCTCCCAAGTAGCTGGGACTACAGGCGCCCGCCACTACGCCCGGCTAATTTTTTGTATTTTTAGTAGAGACGGGGTTTCACCGTTTTAGCCAGGATGGTCTCGATCTCCTGACCTCGTGATCCGCCCGCCTCGGCCTCGCAAAGTGCTGGGATTACAGGCGTCAGCCACCGCGCCCGGCCAACTTTCCGATTTTTAAACAAGATAAGAACCAATGTTTTATAATTTTTTTTTAAGCAGGGTCTCTCATTCTGTGGCCTATGCTGGAGTGCAGTGGCATGATCATGGCTCACTGCAGCCTCAACCTTCCAGGCTCAAGCTATCCTTCCCCTCCATTCTCCTGAGTAGCTGGGACTACAGGTGCACACCACCATTCCTGGCTCACGTTTCATTTTTTGTAGAGAGGGGTTCTACCTGTGTTGCCCAGGCTGGTCTTAAACTCCTGGGCTCAAACGATCCTTCAGCCTTGGCCTCCCAAAGATCTGGAATTACAGGCATGAGCTACCACATCCAGCCCAAGAACCACTGTTTAAAAAAGAACTGTTGGGCTGGGCACAGTGGCTCATGCCTGTAATCTCAGCACTGTGGGAGGCTGATCACTTGAGACCAGGAGTTTGAGGTTACAGTGAGCTATGATTATAACACTGCACTCCAGCCTGGGCAACAAAGGAAGCCCCTATCTCTAAAAAAGCAACAAAAAAGGAAGGAAAGAAAAGAGAACAAGGAAGGAAGGAAGGCATACAGAATCTGAGGCCCTACCCCAGCCCTCTGAATCAAAATTTGCATTTTCAACAAAATACTTAGGTGTTTTACATGCACATTAAAGGTTGAGAAGCACTGTGCCAGGGAATGACCAGAGACTCCTACAGATTATCAGGAAAAAGCCTTTCTGTGAAAAACACATTAAGTTGACACCCGAATGCCAAAAGGAGTCACCCATGAGAAATATCAATAACATCCCAGCCTAAGGTTATAGATGAGGCAAAGTAGAAATGGAAATAAGCTTCACATTTTCAAGGGAAGAGAAAGGAAGTTTATATAGTTGATGCAAATGAGCAAGGTAGAGTATGTGCTACAAGAAGAGGTTGGAAAGGACAATAAGAGGCCCAGCACAGTGGCTCACACCTGTAATCCCAATACTTTGGGAGGCTAAGGCCAGCAGATCACTTGAGGCCAGGAGTTCGAGGCAGGCAGATCACTTGAGGCGGGCGGTGATCACTTAAAGCCAGCCTGGCCAACATGGTGAAACCTCGTCTCTACTAAAAATACAAAAAAATTAGCTGGGCATGCTAGTGCATGCCTGTAACCCCATCTACTCATGTGGCTGCAGCACAAGAATCACTTGAACCCAGGAGGCAAAGTTTGCATGAGCCAAGATCACCCCACTGCACTCTAGCCTGGGTGAGAGCAAGACACTGTCTCAAAAAAAAAAAGTACAAGCACTAAATGACGTAGGGCCTTAAAAGCCATGGTAAGTAAGGCAGATTTTGTAAGTAGGATTGAGAACAAGGAGGTTTTTCTGTTTTGTTTTGATTTCCTTTTTTTATTATTATTAAACTTAACCCCTCTAAGAAGCAGAAGGGGTTTGGAGTGGTGGCTCACGCCTGTAATCCTAGCAATTTTGGGAGGCCGAGGCGGGCGGATGGCCTGAGCTCAGGAGTCTGAGACCAGCCTAGGCAACACGGTGAAACCCCGTTTCTACTAAAACACAAAAGAAATTAGCCGGGCATGGCAGCATGTGCCTGTAGTCGCAGCTACCAGGGAGGCTGAGGTAGGAGAACTGCTTGAACCTGGGAGGTGGAGGTTGCAGTGAGCCTAGATCGCACCACAGCACTCCAGCCTGGGCGACAGAGCGAGACTCTATCTCTTAAAAAAAAAAAAAAAAGAAGAAGCAGAAGGTTTTGATCAGGGTACAAGATATTATTGAAGATAATAAGGCTTGATAATAAAAGATTGCTTTAGAAAATAAGACTAGGAATGCAAAGTGGAAGCAGAATGTGTGAATTATATAGTATGTGAATTATTTTCTTATCTTTTTTTTTCTTTTTTTGAGATAGAGTTCCGCCCTTGTTGCCCAGACTGCAGTACAATGGAGCGATCTCAGCTGACTGCAACCTCCACCTTCCGGGTTCAAGCAATTTTCCCACCTCAACCTCCTAAGTAGCTGGGATTACAGGCACCCGCCACCACGTCTGGCTAATTTTTTGTATTTTTAGTAGAGATGGGGTCATGTTGGCCATGGTCTGGCCATGTTGGCCAGGCTGGTCTCAAACTCCTGACCTCAGGTGATCCACTCGCCTTGGCCTCCCAAAGTGCTCAGATTACAGGCATGAGCCACTGCACCCAGCTGTGAATTATTTTCAATAAAACTACTATGTATTTTTTTATGTGGAAGTAGAAATTAGGAGACTATTCAAATAGTTGAGTTAAGAGATATCTATGGGCTGGACTCAGTGGATCATGCCTGTAATCATAGCAATTTGGGAGGCCGAAGCAGGCAGATCACTGGAGTCCAGGAGTTCAGGACCAGCCTAGGCAACATGGTGAAACCCCGTCTCTACAAAAAATACAAAACTTAGCCAGGTGTGGTGGTGCACACCTTTGTACCAGCTACACAGGAGACTGAGATGGGAGAATCACTTGAGCCCAGGAAGGTTAAGGCTGCAGTGAGCCGTGATTATGTCACTGCACTCCACAGCCTGGGCAACAGAGTGAGACCCTGTCTTAAAGAAAATAAATAAAAGAAAGAGAGAAAGCAATGTCTATGATTTGGGCCAGGGAGTTAGCATTGTAGGTTAATAGACCAAGATCATGTAGTTACTAACAGTAGCAATTGTTAACCTTTACTGAGTATTTACTAAGTACCAGGTTACTTTTCTAAGGAATGTCTGTACATTAACTGATTCGATCTTCACAACTACCCTTTGAGGTAGGTACTAATATTATCCCTACTTTAAAGATGAAGAAACTGAGGCACAGAGAGGCAAAGTAACTTGTCCATGTTCCCAAAGCCAGGAAGTGGCATCTGTGGCCCCCAGTATAGTAGGAAGGCAGGATGTTATAATAGTGGAAGGAATGTGGGCTCTGGAATAATAACCTCCAGATTCCTCACCTGACTCCACCGTTTCAGCTCTAAATCATGATAACGTTGTTCTCCATGGTGGACTGAGCATGTGATCACCACCCTGGCCAGTGATGCCTAATGGGGAAGTTAGCTTCTGGCAAAGTCTTCCCCGATACTCTTCAAAAGGAGACCAAGACAGGGACGTGCTCCTTCCTGCCTTTGTACTTCTACCTGTGAAATCAGGATACCTGGACTGCTGCATCTTAAGAACATGAGAGGAAGGCTGGGTGCAGTGGCTCATACCTGTAATCCCAGCACTTTAGGAAGCCAAGGTGGGAGGATCACTAGAGCACAGGAGTTCAAGGCCACAGTGAACTATGATCTATGATAGCACCACTGCACTGTAGCCTGGGCAACAGAGTGAGACTCTACCTCACAACCAAAAAAAAAACATAAGGGGAAACATTGTTGACACAGGCAAGATAATCTTAATCTTGACATATGTCATAAAGCTTAATTGTATTGACACTGTTTCCACATAGCTAGGGTGATAATAGCAAAGGGAATATGGGGCCTATGTGTTCTTTGGTGCTTTAAGTTGGACTGGATTCAATATCTTTATTGTATTGATATTCTTTTTTATTATTATTACTTTATTTTAGAGACAAGGTCTCTCTCTTCGTCCAGGCTAGAGTGCAGTGGCTCAAGCATAGCACTGCAGCCTCAAATTCCTGGGCTCAACTCCTGGGTTCAAGTGATTCTCTCAACTCAGTCTCCCCAGTAGCTGGGACTACAGGTACACACTACATGCCTGGGTAATTTTTTATTTTTTTTACTTTTTTGTAGAGACAGGGTCTCACTATGTTGCCCAAGCTGGTCTTGAACTTCTAGCCTCAAGTGATCCTCCTGCCTCCGGCTCCCAAAGTGCTGGGATCACAGGTATGAGCCACTTGCCTGGCCTCTATATTTGATATGCTTTAGAAACTTAGGAAAAATGAGGGACCAGAATCTTTCAACAGAAAGTAAACATTTTCTTTTTAAAATTATATTTTAGGCCGGGCACGATGGCTCACGCCTGTAATCCCAACACTTTGGGAGGCCAAGGCAGGCGGATCCTCTGAGGTTAGGAGTTCAAGATCAGCCTGGCCAACATGGTGAAACCCCATCTCTACTAAAAATACAAAAATTAGTCGGGCATGATGGCACATGCCTGTAATCCCAGCTACTCGGGAGGCTGAGGCATGAGAATCACTTGAACCCAGGAGGCATAGGTTGCAGTGAGCAGAGATCGTACCACTTTACTCAAGCCTGGGCAACAGAGCAAGACGCTGTCTCAAAAAAAATAAAATAAAATAAAATACATAAATAAATAAATAACTTAATTATCCTGGAAAGAATCAGTTTTAAAAAGTATAAAATGGAGAGTTTAGTGAAGTAATAAATGGTTCAAAAATAATGATAAAGCGTCTATAGTGTACAAAGCTCTGTGCTAGAAACTGCAAATACAATCAGTGGCGAGCTGGATGGATGCTGTTAACTGCACTCAAAGCAGTGACAGCTGGGCTTGGTGGAGTGCATCTGTAATCCCAGCTACTCAGGAGGCTGAGGCGGGAGGATCGCTTGAGCCCCGGAGTTTAAGACCAGCCTGGGCAACACACCAACACATCTATCTCAAAAAAAAGAAAAACAAAAACAAAACAAACAAGCAAAAAAAGAAAACAAAACAAAACAAAAGGTAGACACAAATAAGTGGATAAACAACTCTAATAAAGTGTATGGTATGTCATAAGGGGAACGGGCAGATGCTGTAAGATCACAGGGCCAAAGCTAGTAATCTAGGTTAGGGAGTTTAGGAAGGGTACTCAGAGGAAATGATGTTTCCATTGAGATCAGAAGGGCAGACAGAAGTGTGCCATGGAAAGGGAGGGAAGGAAGGAGGGAGATGTACTAGCCTGAAAGAAGGCCCAGAAACACGACAGTGTGGAACACTAGAAAAAACAGAACAAGTTCAGTTTGGCTGAGACGTAAAGTGAAAGGCGGAGAGAGGTAAGAGATGAACTACTGGAGGAGTACAAGGGAGCCCGGTGAGGCAGAGCATTGCAATGATAAGCAGTTTGAATTTAACCCTTAAAGGCCACAGGAGCCACTTAAAAGTTTTAAAGAATGCAGTGGCTTATGCCTTCTCTTAAGCCAAAAAGAAGGATACTGGAAACAGAGAAACACATTTTACTATCTTAATCTTTCAGCATACCATAGATAACCAGTTGGAAAATACAATAGAAAAAAAAGGATCCCATTCACCGTTACAATAAGAATTCTAGAATAAAAATAATATTAACTTCCAGGCACAATGACACACTTGCCTGTACCTTCAGCTACTCAAGGGGTTTAAGTGGGAGGATTGCTTCAGAGCCGAGGAGTTTGAGACTAGCCTGGCCAACATGGCGAAACCCCATCACCAATAAAAATACAAAAATTAGCCGGGTGTGGTGGCACACGCCTGTACTCCCAGCTACCCCGGAGGCTGAGGCACGAGAATCACTTGAGCCCGGGAGGTGGAGGTTGCAGTGAGCTGAGATCACCCCACTGTACTCCAGCCTAGGTGACAGAGCAAGACTCTGTCTCAAAAAAAAAAAAAAAAAGAAGGTGAAAATACAACCCACAGAATGGAAGAAAATATTTGCAAATCACATCTCTGATAAGGAATCTGCATCCAGAATATATAAAGAACTTTTACAATTCAACAATAAAAAGACAAATGCAATTTTTAAATGGACAAAGGATTTAAGTAGACATTTCTCCAAAGATATATAAATGGTCAATAAACACATGAAATGATACTCAATATCATTAGTCACCTGGGAAATATAAATCAAAACTAAAATGAGATACCATTTCACATCTACTAGGATCGCAATGATAAGAAAGACAGACAATAACTAGTGTTAGAGAAGATGCAGAGAAATTAGAACCTCAGACACTGCTGATGGAAATGTAAATGTTGCAGGCTTGTTTGCTGTCTAGTATAATAACGTCTCCCCCAGGTCAAAAGCCGGGAAGGCTTGTTTGCAACCCTTATAAAAGATGAGGTTTCCTAAGCTTGGGGTTCCTGAACCGTGACACAAACCTGCTGAGTATACATCACCCACCTGGACCGATCTCTGAATAGCCCCATGGGACTTGAGGAAAAAGGGGAACTGAGGCACACATAAAGCTCACGTTGCCTGCTAGTCCATGATAAAGTTCTTTATCTCTGATCCAGGAGTTCCATGTCTTTTTCCAACATCCATGAAACAGTAACAGGCTAAAGTGTTGTCTTGCAAGCTGGGTAAAAATCTCAGACCCCTGAGAGATGTTGACATCAAGAATTGTAATTGGCATGTAATCAACATATAATAAAAATTTTTTAATTATTAATAAGATATTTTGTGTTCTTTTTTCTATTAGGTCTTAAAGTATTTGACACCTGCAACACATCTCAATTTGGAAGCTAAATTTTCATTGGAAATATTTAATCTGTATTTAGACTTCATAAAACCTACAGTTGAGAAAAAGTAGATTCACTTTCCCAAGATGTTCCAAGAATATTTAAAAGTTTTCCAATAGGTGAACAGTTTTCCAATAGCAGAATCAAGTATCCTTTTTAAATTTTATATTTAACTAAAATTAAATGAAATTAAAAATTTAGTTCCCCAGTCATATTACACATTTCAAGTGCTCAGTGTCCACATGTGGCTAATGGCGATGGTATCAAAGCTCAGGTCTGGTCAATCTTGAAAAAGAACAAAGTTGGAGGACTTACACAACCAGATATTAAAACTTATTATAAAGCTACAGAGTTAGGACAGTATGATACTGGTACAAGAATAGACCAATGGAACAAAATAGAAGCCCACACATACACGGTCACTTGATTTATGTCAAAAGCAGCACTGCAGTAGCCCAGAAAAAAAAGATGCTCTATATAAAAAATGTTGCTGGATCAACTGGATATCCATACAAAGAAACATAAATCTTGATCCTAACCTAATGTCATACACAAAACTTAATTCCAGAGGTATCATAGATCTAAACATGAAAGGTAAAACAATAAAGCTTCTAAAAGAACATATGAAAATACCTTCGTGACCTTGAGGTAAGCAAAGATTTCATAAATAGGACACACACAAAAAGATTGCTAAATTGGACTACATTAAAATTTAGAACTTCTTGGCCAGGCGCAGTGGCTCACACCTGTAATCACAGCACTTTGGGAGGCTGAGGTGGGCAGATCACCTGAGGTTAGGAGTTCAAGACTAGCGGGGCCAACATGGTGAAACCCCATCTCTACTAAAAATACAAAAAAGCAGCTGGGCGTGGTGGCACACGCCTGTAGTCCCAGCTACTCAGGAAGCTGAGTCAGAAGAATCACTTGAACCTGGGAGGTGGAGAGGCTGCAGTGAGCCAAGATTGTGCCACTGTACTCCAGCCTGGATGACAGAGTGAGACTCTGTCTCAAAATAAATAAATAAATAAATAATAAAATAAATAAAATTTAGAACTTCTTCATCTGGGCACAACCCTAGAGTCCTAGCTACTTGGAAAGCTAAAATAGGAGGATCGCTTGGACCCAGGAGTTTGAGGCTGCAGTGAGCTATGTTTGCATCACTGCACTCTGGCCTGGGCAACAGAGCAAAACCCCATCTCTAAAAAAATTAAAATTAAATAAGTAAAATAAAATTTGGAGCTTCTGTTCATGAAAAGACTCCATTAGCAATGAAAAAGCTAAATTGGACACAGTGGCTCATGCTGGTAATCCCAACACTTTGAGGGGCCAAGGTGGGAGGATAGCTTGAGGCCAGGAGTCTGAGAACAACCTGGGCAACATAGAGAGATGCTGTCTCTATAAAAAATTTTAACAATTAGCTGGGTGTGGTGGCGCATGCCTGTCGTCCCAGCTACTCGGGAGACTGAGGTGAGAGGACTGCTTGAGCCCAGGAGGTCCAGGCTGCAGTGAACCATGATTGTACCACTGCACTCCAGCCTTGATGACACAGAGAGATCTAGTCTCAAAAAAAATGTTTTTAATGAAAAAGCTAGCCTTATACCACTTATAAGATAAGAGATAAATGAAAAAATAAAATTAAAAAGCAAGCTACAGACTGGGAGAAAATACTTGCAATCTATGTATCTGACAAAGGACTTACATCAAGATTATATAAAGAACTACAACTCATTAAGAAACAGACAATGTGCATGTCACAAAAGAGCCTATCCAAATGTCCAGTAAATATATAAAAAAGTATTCAACCTTAAAATGTATCAGGGAAAAGCAAAATAAAATCATAATGAGATATCAGTACACACTTATTAGAGTGACTAAAATTAAAAAGAATACCAGCTGTTAGTGAGGATGCATAGTAACTGAAATCTCACACACTGCTAATGGAAAGATACACTGATATAACCATTTTAGAAAACTGGCCTTGTCTACTAAAGCTGAACATATGTATAAAATATGAGCCAGCAATTCTATTATTTGGTATCTGCCCAACAGAAAGCATACATATATGCACCAAATATATGTACAAACATATTCATAGCAGTACTATATAGGCCTGGGCAATATGGCGAGACCCCATCTCTACAAAAATACAAAAATTAGCCAGGCGTGGTGGTGCTCGCCTGTAGTCTCAGTTACTCAGGAGACTGAGCTGGGAGGATTACTTGGACCTGGGAGGTTTAGGCGGCAGTGAGCTGTGATCACACCACTGTACTCCAGCCTGGGCGACTGGGCAAAACCCTGTTTCCAAAAAAAAAAAAAAATAAGATGAAAGAAAAATTAAAGTTAACAGCAGTTGTCTTTTCTATATTTTCTACTGTAAACATGATGTAGTATTTTTATAATTAAAAGTAACTTATTTTTAGGCCGTATGCGGTGGCTCACGCCCGTAATCCTAGCACTTTGGGGGGCCAAGTTGGGCAAATCACGACGTCAGGAGTTCTAGACCAGCCTGGCCAACATTGTGAAACCCTGTCTCTACTAAAAATGCAAAAATTAGCCAGGCATGGTAGCATGCGCCTGTAATCCCAGCTACTCAGGAGACTGAGGCAGGAGAATCTCTTGAACCCAGGAAACGGAGATGGCAGTGAGCTGAGATCATGCCATTGCACTCCAGCCTGGGTGACAGAGCAAGACTCCATCTCAAAAACTCAAAAAAAAAGAAAGAAAAAAAAAGTAATTTATGTTTAAACAGAAAAAATAATAAATCAAATACAAACAGGAGAGACCTGTTTTAATAACTCTAAGAGTCGCAAGTGAGATATGAATGTGACCTGACCACCAAAAGTTAATGCCACAGGACACAGAAAAGGTAACCTAAACAAGGCTCTAGGCTGACCATACTTGAAGGAATATATTGTGATATGGGGGCCACATTTTCAGAGTGTCATTCAGAAAGTAGACAGTAATCTCAAGAAGGGAAGGAGTTCAAGGATCTAGAAACTATGTTGTGAGACTTGACCGACAGCACAAAAGACTGCTGACATTAACAAGACATTTAGCATACATCCCAGCATCCTGCATGTAGCATATGGGTGGCAACAAGAAGTGCTTGGAAAATGAATGAATGAATGGGAGAAATATAATAAGCCTTTAATGTTTAAAGGTGATTAAATGGAATTGGGACAAGGTGGCACCCAATACTTTGAAAAATGAATGAGTAAATGAATAAATAAATGAATGAAATATTATCAGTCTTGATATGTTAAAAGAGCGGTCACACATGGAATCAGTATTAGTGTTTTATACCGCACCTGAGGAAAGATTCAAGATGAATGGGGAGAAGTTACATAAATGCTCAAATTTCATCCCACTTTAGAGTTTTTTCAAAATTAAGGCTATCCAAAAATCAATAGGAAGCCTCAAAAAGAAGCAGTTAAGGCAGAAGCTACATGTCTAACATTGTTTGACTATATGGCCCAGAGGCCCTCTGCAGCACTAATACTCTATGCTTCTGTGAAATGCCATCTTGAGGCTGGGCACAGTGGCTCACATCTGTAATCCTAGCACTTTGGGAGGATGAGATGGGTGCATAACCTGAAGTCAGGAGTTCAAGGCTAGCCTGGCCAATATGGCAAAACCCCATCTCTACTAAAAATACAAAAATTAGCCAGGCGTGGTGACAGGCACCTGTAGTCCCAGCTACTCAAGAGGCTGAGGCAGGAGAATCACTTGAACCCGGGAGGTAGAGGATGCAGTAAGCCAAGATCGCACCACTGCATTCCAACCTGGGCAACAGAGCACAACTCTCAAAACAGAACAAAACAAACAAACAAACAAAAAGCTATCTTTAGATCTCACTGTACAGCAAATAATTCACAATCACTCCAGTTCCTTTTGAAACCAGCATCCATTTCCTACTAAATGAAGATAGTTTACCTGCACAGTATAAATCAAATTTCAACAGCTTTCTTTGAAACATAATGGCAAAAGAAGTAATTCATAGCCTGGTGTGGTAGCTCACGACTGTAATCCCAGCAATTTGGGAGGCTGAGGCGGGCGCACTGCTTGAGCCCAGAAGTTCAAGACCAGCCTGGGCAATATGCTGAAACCCTGTCTCTACCTCCCACTAAAAAAATTATAAAGTAGACTTAGAGGTTCACGAAAAAAAAATACAAACATTAGCCGGGCGTACTGGTGGGGCTTGTGCCTGTGGTCCCAGCTACTCGAGAGGCTGTCAGGAGGCTCACATGAGCCCAGAAGGTTGAGGCTGCAGTGAGCCGTGATCATACCACTGCACTCCAGCCTGAGTAATAGAGCAAGACTCTGTCTCAAAAAAGAGGTAATTCATAATTTCTAAGAACCTCTAGGTGTTCAGAGTATCCAGAGGAAAGGTAGTGAAGTCCAGGAGAACAAAAACCACACCTGGTTATCTACAGAGGCCCTTTGCACAATCTCAGAAAAATCAAAACTGCATTTTCTGGAATTCAAAGCACTGAATTCAGACTAGGCCCTTGGCCATTGTTAATATAATGAGCCTCTCCAGAATTAAAATGGCTCTAGAAATTCTGTATAAAGTTGAGTACATTCCATTTCTACTCACTGACTAGAATCCACCACCTCTGGCATGTCATTGTTAATATTTCAATTACATACATTTATGTAACATTTCTTACAGTTTTCAAAAGACTTTCTCACATAATAACCTATTTGAGTCTCATAAATTACCTGCAAGGAAGGTAGAGTTAGGAAAATGCATCGCATTCTATAGATGACAAATGGAAATACCAAATCAAATGATTGATCCAGCACTGCAGAATGAAACCAAAATCACAATCTAGTCTTTTCCAGATCAGTTTTTATTAGTCGTCTGGTATCCCATATGTTCACCATTCCTAAAACAGAACTGATCAAAATGCTTCAAAGTAACAGTTATGGAATAAAGGAGCTTCACTTCTTCACAAAGAGAAAGAAGAGGGTTGCCAAAAAGAACACATGCTTAGTTAAATGAAATCAAAACTATATAAGGAATTCAGATTTCCAGTTTAAAATGTTTACCCAACTGCTGTGAGAAAAATGCACAATCAGTAAAAGCACTTTAATATTTCTAAAGGGCTGGATTAAAATTTCAGCTGTAAACTTCATTACTGTAATGAGATTTTTAATGCATATTTATTAAACATCCATTTAAATACTGTGTTCACAATTATTCATGAGTTATTTGTACATTTGTGCTGATTTTAACAAACCATAAACAGTGGCCACTGACCAGAAATGTTCTCCTGCAATGACAGAAGCCCATGCTAAGGTCATAGGCAGCCCATTTTATGCTCTATTATGTTCTAATCATACCCAAAAGATAAATATTCAGCTGCTTTTTTGAAAACTGCAATGGTCATCAATGACCCAAAAAGTCAGACTTACCATTGACATTAAAGACCTATGTTTCATTCTGTGATGAATAAACAAAGTACAGAATAGAAGAAAATCAAATCTTAATTAAACTTTCTTTAGAAAAACAACATAAGCCATCATCAAGGAATGCACTGCAAGATGATTTACTTTATTTATAAAAGGCTTAGTTAGGGGCTTTAAAAGGGTGCTTTTGATTTAAATAGAAAAATTATGAAAATTAAAACTAAATGCTTGGTGGTTACCATTCTTTTCCTTCAGAAGCTAGTTAATCTTAAATGTGCCAATGTGTATAACTTTACAAAAGGAAAAAAAATTGTACTTTAAATTTCATGATAACAAATCAGTGAAATAATGCCTAAAGATCTGAATAAAGCTATTCTGAAGTAATTACAGGCATGGCCCAGCATACTGAGTAACTCCTTAATATTCACCCTGTTCACATACTATTTAATAAAGACATCTAAGGGATCTAATTTTTTTCAAAAGATTTTTAAACCCATTCATTTGTTATGTTAGTTTAAATTTTATACACACACATATATAAATGAGAATTTCAAAATGGAATCTACAGGAGTTGCATTTAAATGATATTATGAAGAAATGGAGGAACGACTATAAAGAATTACATGCTCAGGCTTAAAAACTTGTTGAAAACTGCCACCTGGTCAAGAGTATGGATAGATAACATGTTCATAGAGTAGCTTCTGGGATGGGAGCAATGAAGAGAAGAAATAAGAAAGATAAGCAGGATGGTAAAAAGAGGTTATGAAAGAGATTCTGGAAATTGAAGTATCAGGTATCTCCAGGCAAGGAGTAGAAATGGTCCTCAACAGAGAACTTGGGCAAGAGAGGCAAAAGACACCAGGAAGAGCTAGCATCCATAACGCTTTTAGGAGAGAAGATAGAGCTAACACACCTGAAGTCTACTACTGGAGACTGGGGTTGGAGGATCACTTGAGCTCAAATTAGAGACCAGGCTGGGCATGTTGGCTCACGCCTGTAATCCTAACACTTCGGGAGGCCAAGGCAGGAGGATAGCTTGAGCCCAGGAGTTCCAGACCAGGGAAAGCAATATAGTGAGACTGTGTCTCTAATTTAAAAAAATAAAAAGGCCAGGCATGGTGGCTCATGCCTGTAATCCCAACATTTTGGAAGGCTGAGACAGACAGATCACTTGAGATTAGGAGTTCAAGACCAGCCTGGCCAACGTGGCAAAACCCATCTCTACTAAAAATACAAAAATTAGCCAGGTGTGGCAGCTCACACCTGTAATCCCAGCTACTCCGGAGGCTGAAACACAAGAATCGCATGAACCTGGGAGGCGGAGGTTGCAGTGGGTGACAGAGCGAAACTCCGATTTCCAGAGTCAAGGAAACTTTTTTTTTTTTGAGCTATTGACAGCTTTTAACAATTAAGCAAAGTATACTCCTATAAACAAAATTTGGAGCATAATTGTTTCTCTCTACCTGATTTCTCCAGAACTTGAAAATTATTAGTGAGTATCTTAACTTACGGCAATAGTTATTTGCATAAGTGCAATAAAAATCTGTTTTCATTTGTAACAGGGCACAATTGGAGAAACTGGTTATTTTACCAAGGTTTTGACTGGAGTGGTGTGCTTTCCTTTAAGGAATCAAACTTGACTTATAGCGCCAATAAAAGCTCCTTTGGAAACTGGCCTCGTATCTTGTCTACACAGTCCGTGCCCAGGGTTCCTGACCTGTAGTAAGTAAATAAGTAAAGTACAGGCCCAGGAGCCCCAAGTTATCTCGGAACCTCAAGAGAAGAGGTATTTACTCAACTCATAGGTATTTGAGGGTACAAACCCATGGCTGGGCTCGGCTTTAAAAAAAAAAAGTCTTATCTGAGATTCCTTCTATGGAACAGAGTTCCATCAAAGTCAATTTTAAAAGCCTATGTGAAAAATAATTATTTTTCCTGCACTTTATACAAATGTCAGGCCAAGTATAACAAAGCAAATCAGTCTTACCATGATTTGTCTTTAGTAAAAATGGGAGACCGGAGAGAAAAATTATGTTTCAAGAACTGTGGTATACCTGTTATTAAATTCTAGTCTCGGGCTGGGAGCGATGGCTCACGCCTGTAATCCCAGTACTTTGGGAGGCCAAGGCGGGCAGATCACCTGCAAGAGTTCAAGACCAGCCTGGCCAACATGGTGAAACCCCGCCTCTACTAAAAATACAAAAATTAGCAGGGCATGGTGGTGGACACCTGAAATCCCAGCTACTCAGGAGGCTGAGGCAGGAGAGTCACTTGAACCCAGGAGACGGAGGTTGCAGTTAGCTGAAATCATGCCAATTGCACTCCAGCCTGGGCAACAGAACGAGATTCTGTCTCAAAAAAAAAAAAAAAAATCTAGTCTCATCTGTTGTTTTTAAGGTTTTTCTGCAATTTAGACTGGCTCTGCTTATTCTTGTAAATCAATCAGTGATCTCTGGTTGCTACTCAGAAGAAACAAGAGGGATGGGTAATGTAAAAATCTGGATCAATATTCTAATCCTGGGCACATATTGGAATCACCTAGCAACCCCACATCAGCGTGGTTCCAACAGTTGCCCCGTTCATGGAAAGCCTTCTAAGTTCATTTACTTGGGATAATTTTATTTATTTTACCTTACTGTTGTGGAATATATTGCTATTGTACTCTTCATGAAGGAATGCAGGATAAGCTTACTCAATGTTCTTTTAAACTGAACAGTTATTAATCTTCTAGATATCACCTTTTGTCAGAACTCAAGAGTTATGAATGGCCCTTGCCATACCAACGCTTTCTGACTGAGCTCCTCTCTACCCTGAATACAAGAGACCCTAATAGTTAGGCAGGAATAGCATTGCCCCTATTCAGCCTGAAGAAGTTGCAGAAGATAGATCTTTGTTTCTCTTCAACACTTATTAAGGGTTCCCTTGTAAAAGGGAGTGGGGGGAAATGTCAGAGGCATTTGAACTCGAGCAACTCCATTTTAAATAAGGGCTGGGTAAAATAAGTCTGAGACTTGGTGGGCTGCATTCCCAGGAGGCTATGGCATTATTAGTCACAGGATGAGATAGGAGGTTGGCACAAGATACAAGTCATAAAGACCTTGCTGATAAAACAACTTGCAGTAAAGAAGCCAGGCAAAACCAAGATGGCGATGAGAGTGACCCCTGGTTGGCCTTACTGCTATACTCCCACCAGCACCACAAAATCCTCCATTATCATAAAGATAATCAGTCTCAGGGATAGGCATGACATTCTTTTCTAATATAATAAATATTAACAAAAATCCAAGAAACATGAAATAAGTTCACATAAAGATATTCATCTAATTGGATAATTAAAAGTAAGTTCAGGCCGGGCGTGGTGGCTCACGCCTATAATTCCAGCATTTTGGGAGGTCAAGTCGGGCGGATCACAAGGTCAGGAGATCGAGACCATCCTGGCTAATATGGTGAAACCCCATCTCTACTAAAAATACAAAAAATTAGCCAGGCGTGATGGCGTGCGCCTGTAGTCCCAGCTGCTCAGGAGGCTGAGGCAGGAGAATCGCTTGAACCTGTGAGACGGAGGTTGCAGTGAGCCGACATCGCTCCACTGCACTCCAGCCTGGATGACAGAGTGATATTCAGTCTCAAAAAAAAAAAAAAAGTAAGTTCAAACGCTATAACCAGTGAGTATTAAGGGAAACAGACAGTAAGTCCAAAGACAAATATTTTCTTAACTAGTAATATGTACTACTAATAAATTGTACCTTGGCAAGTAACATGTAAAAGAGAAACAAAATATGTATAAATAAACAAATAAATAAAAAATAAACTATACCAATTCATATATAGGAGGGTTAGTTCTACTCACATTAATACCTAATCAGGGGATGGGTCTGGTGGCTCACACCTGTAATCCCTGCACTTTGGGGGTCCAAGTTGGGCAGATCACCTGAGGTCAGGAGTTCCAGACTAGCCTGGCCAACATGGCGAAACCCTGTCTCTACTAAAAATACAAAAAAATTAGCTGGGCAGTGGTGGCACATGCCTGTAGTCTCAGCTACTTAGGAAGCTGAGACAGGAGAATCGCTTGAACCCAGGAGGCAGAGGTTGCAGTGAGCCAAGATTGCACCATTGCATTCCAGCCTGGGCGACAAGAGCAAAACTCCACCTCAAAAAAAAAAAACCCTAATAGGGAATAAACTCCTATGTATGTATACTAAAGAGATTGTGGAGTTAAATATGAATCATCATTTAATAGAGGCACCTAAAAATATAATATTGTTATATTGTCAGCATAATAAAAAGAAATCATAAGATGTGATCCTCATATTACCTTGCTTCTATGAAATACATTTAATTTCTAAGGCTAGCTTAAAGAAAATGGAATTTCAGATATGCTAATTTTTAGGTTTTAGAAAACCTATAAACATTTCCCTCCCTGGCTTCTCTCCTAGTCTCCTAAGACCACTCTATGAGGCCCCCTTCTTCTGCTCACAAAATGTCAAGTTTCCTCAAGCACTAGCCCTCAGCTTTTGCTTTTTCTTTTCTTTTCTCTTCTATTTTTAGAGACAGGGTCTCATTATGCTGCCCAGGCTTGTCTCAAACTCCTGGCCGCAAGCAATCCTCCTGCTTTGGCCTCATGAGTAGCTGGGATTTCAGGCACAAGCCACAGGCTCTTTTCACCCTACACATATATTCCCAGGCTCATTCTTCTATTCTCATGGCTCCCAATACCTCATATTTTCTTTCTTAGTCTCAGATCCCCAAGTGTCCTACAACTAACTAGACTTATTTACCTGGAACTATAATAAATGCCTCAAATTTAACAAGCCCCATATTGAATATCCCTCTAAAATCCTTTGGCCCTATCATTTAGTTTCATTTTTGTTTTGTTTCTTTTGATTACATTGCCCAAACTCAGAAACCTCAATTGCTTTTTTATTGTTTTACTTTTTACTTATTATGTCATTATTTCACCTGCAATAGGAAACCTAAATTTACCTTCACTCCTCCCTTTCCTTGTCTCTTCCAAGTATGTCCAAGTATGTTAATTTATTTTTTTTTTTTTTCTTTTTTGAGATGGAGTCTTGCTCTGTCCCCCAGGCTGGAGCGCAGTGGTGTGATCTTGGCTCACTGCAACCTCCGCCGCCTGGGTTCAAGCGATTCTCCTGCCTCAGCCTCCCAAGTAGCTGGGATTACAGGCATGCACCACCACGCCCAGCTAATTTTTGTATTTTTAGTAGAGACGAGGTTTCACCATGTTGGCCAGGCTGGTCTCAAACTCCTGACCTCAGGTGATCCGCCAGCCTCAGCCTCCCAAAGTGCTGGGATTACAGGCATGAGCCACTGTGCCTGGCCAAGTATGTTAATTCTATCAAAGAAGTGTCTCTGAATTCCCTCCCTCAGCTGCCCTGCTCTCCTTCACCACAGCAGTAATTCAGCCCCTAAACCACTCCCTAACACTCTATCTACTTCAGCTTCCTCCTAAATAATCACCCAGCTTCCAGTATTCTCCCATCCAGGCATTTCTGGTTTGTTTTTCAGGTGGCCACAAGAGAAATCATGCTAAAATAGATCTGATCACTTCTATTCCTGAGAAACTTCCACTAGTGTCCCACTGAGCTTAGACATCTTAACATACTGTAAGAGACTCTTCTCAACCACATCAGCCCACCTTTACAGCTTCATCTCTAACTGCTCTCTCAGAGACCATAAACCAATAAGGGCCATGTACAGCTCACATCCACACTTTTGCTAAAAATAAAAAATCTGGCCAGCCACAGTGGCTCACACCTGTAATACCAACACTTTGGGAGGCCAAGATGGGTGGATCACCTGAGGTCAGGAGTTCAAGACCAGCCTGACCAACATGTTGAAACCCCCTCTCTACTAAAAATACGAAAATTAGTTGGGTGTGGTGGCGGGCGCCTGTAATTCCAGCTACTCAGGAGGCTGAGGCAGGAAAATCGCTTGAACCCAGGAGGCAGAGGTTGCAATGAGCAGAGATCACACCATTGCACTACAGCCTGGGTGACAGAGCGAGACTCTGTCTCAAAAAAAAAAAAAAAAAAAAAAATTCTTCCCCTCTCCAAGCAGAGCTGCTTCCTCCTCTGCAGTCTTATAACACTTCAAACAGGCTTAGATCATGGTACAATATGTTATTAATGTTCACTGTTACATTAAAAAGCTAGTACAAATAGCAGTTAAGTTTGTGACTCTGAAGCAAAAACACCTGGGTTTAAAATCCAAGTTGGGTGACCATCCTTGTTTATTCATCTATAAAATAAAGACAATAATTTTTATAGAGTTTTATGAAGATTAAATTATGAAACAGAAACTGCAAGCAAAGTGCCTAGAACACAGAAGGGGCTCATCAAATGCTGGCTACCATAATTCCATATGCCTCTCAAGACTATGGGCTATTCAAGGGCTAGAACTCAGGTTCATTCACTTTTCCTTTTTTTTTTTTTTTTTTTTTGAGACAGGTTCTCACTCTGTCACCCAGCCTGCAGTGCAGTGACGCCATCTCTCTCAGCTCACTGCAGCCTCGACTTCCTGGGCTCAAGTGATCCTCCCACCTCAGCCTCCCAAGTAGCTGGGACTACAGGCGTGCACCACCACACCCGGCTAAGTTTTGTATTTTTTATAGAGAGGGGGTTTTGCCATGTTGCCCAGGCTGGTCTCAAACTCCTGAGCTCAAGTGATCCTACTCCCTCAGGCTTCCAAAGTGCCAGGATTACAGGTGTGAGCCACCACACCCAGCCACATTACACTGTACTAAATAGTAGACTTCAAAAGATGAAAAATGAAGGTAAAATAGAAATGTACCCCCCCAAAAAAACAGGAAAGGGATAGAAAATCGATTTGTAAATCAGACTCTGAATACTGAACAAAATTTCAACTAAAATTTTCCTTTTATTTAAAGATGGGGGCAGGGCACCATGGCTCACGCCTGTAATCCCAGCATTTTGGGGGGCCGAGGCTCCGGATCACCTGAGGTCAGGAGTTTGAGACCAGCCTGCCCAACATGGTGAAACCCCATCTCTACTAAAAATACAAAAACTAGCCAGGCGTGGTGGTGGGTGCCTGTGATCTCAGCTACTAGGGAGGCTGAGGCAGGGAGAATTGCTTGAATCCAGGAGGTGGAGGTTGCAGTGAGCCGAGATTGTACCATTGCACTCCAGTCTGGGAGACAGAGCAAGGCTCTATCTCAAAAAAATAAATAAATAAACAAAATAAAAATAAAGAGGGGAAGGGAGCGTCCTTAGATACAATTAAATGGACCTCTAACCTAACTGCATTTTCATCAAATCTTCACACCCAGAATTGGCTAAATTTTGTGTATTGGAGAAAGTGTGAGTATAGATTAATAGCACAGCCTTCACTTGAATCCAGTTCTGACACTTACTAGCCATATAACTTCAGCAACCTTGGATTCATGATCTCCAAAATGAGGATAATGAGGAATAATAAGATAATGTATGTAGAAAGTACTTAGTATATTGTATGACACAGAATAAGCATTCAGTGAATTTTATATGTTATAATGATGCTCCTTAAATCTTTAATGTTCATAAATCATGGTATATACATAGAATGGAATACTATTTTTAAAACTTAAAACACGAGGCAGTTCTATTCATATGAAATTGATATGGTATTGATATGGAATGATCTCCAAGCTACTAAATTTAAAAAGAAATTAACAATTAACAGAATTAACTGCTGTATACACAAAACAATGTGTACAGCATGTTACTACTTCTATTTTTTTAATACCATTATCTATATATGTATATGCTTATACATACACAGAATATATCTGGAAGAATACATAAGAAACTAGTATCACAGATTGCCTCTGAGGAGAAAAACTAAGCAGCTAAGGGATAGGGATAGAAAAAAGCCTTACATTTTGCCATATTCTTTCTTGCACCTGTTGAAATTTATAGCATTTGCTTTTATTGACTACCAAAAATGAAAAATAAAATTTATATTATAATCCACAGCTTACACTACCAGAATATTCCATTATATCTTTATTTATTTATTTACTTTTAACGACTACTCCAGCAGATCAGGGCTACCCCCAGGCAGTGTGTGGAGCCTATTCCATTATACTAAATGCATTATGCTAATCTTTGCAGAAAGACGTAAGGTGACCTAATCAAAGTTCTAGTATTAATTTCAACTGCATTGATGATAAGGGTCAAAGATTGTCATATTTTTAGCTAAATTAATAAATAATCTATTAAGGTATATACCTTATTAAGGTCTATCAATCTATTAAGGTATATTACAGGGGTTGCTTGGATTTGAGAAAAAGGAAAACGAGTATGTGGATGAGGGAGACAAGGAGAATAATTTCATTCATTCATTCACTCAAAAATCATATTTGCACGTCAAGTACCAATCATTGCGCTAAGTGCTTAGGAAACAATGACACAATGTCCTTGCCTTTGAAAATCGTGCAGTTTAGTGCGAATACATGAATAGAGCAGTAAAACTGGCACTCTTGGTTACTCAGAATATACATTCATTCATTCATTCATGAACATATAACTGAATGAAGGAAGCCAGGGAGAAAGAAAGCCCGGTGACAAAATAATTCCACTGAAGCCCCTAGTGACTTGAAAAGAACACCAAGAATCGATCCCTCAATCTGAGAATGTGTGTGGACCTTCCTTCCTAGAATCACGAGAGACATCAGGGCCTGCAGAGGTCCCAGGCGCGGCTCTTCCTCCAGTGCCCGTCAGTCACCAGCCCCGAGAGCTTGGAAAACGCAGAGGGTAGGGGTCCCCAGGCCCCAACCCCACACCTGCATCTCTTCAAGCCAGGCACTCCCACTAGGTTCAGCTCTCTAAACGTCCCGGAAGGAACAAACTCTGAGTCAACCTCTGACCCTCAAAATGAAAGTCACTCAGGGTCATTTCCCTCAGTGCTCAGGGCTCATTCACAGACAGTATAAAAGGTCAAGAGAAATGGAAACTCCTCTCGAGGAGCCCTCAGCTTCGTGAAAGCAGGAGACACCTGGGGTAGATCGGACAGGGAGGGTAATCCCAGAGGCTTCTCCAGTCATATGCAGTCGGCTCGGACTACTCATGGCACAGTCACTGACCTTTCCAAAAGGGCTTCCCAGGGGCGGTGGCCAGAGGAGCGAGAGCGGCGGCCCAGGCCCCGCACCCAACACATCTCCCTCTCAGCGGGCTCTGTGCTAAGGGGCGCAGGGTAACCAAGAGCGACCAGGAGGCCGCCATCTTGAACTCCGTACGAGGAGAGGAAGAGGAAAACTTTATTGGAACCCAGAAGAGAGACGGTGGCAAAGTCAAACCCCGCCGTGCACGCTGAAGGCTCCACCCGAGAGAACCAAGGGATCAGTTAGGGAACGTGACCTCCAGTAGCCACATGGGCGGGCTGCACTCCCGTGCCCTCCCGTCCTTCCGGACGCTGCCAGCCGGGACTACGACTCCCAGCATGCAGTGGGGTGGGGCGGGGTGGAACGGAACAGGCAGCTCCAGTCTGGGCAGTGGGAGGGAGGGCGATTCTCCGCCCGGCGCTGGCGGCCGGCCGAGGAACCCGAAGTTTTCAAGGAATTGGGAAGTGATTATGACGGGTAGGCAGGTAACCACTCTTGAGCCTTTTAAGTTAGCTCACATGACCGAGATTCCGAAACCTGAATAAAATGGAGGTGACCCAATGGGCCCTCGGGTTTTAACGGAAGAGTGGTGTCACTTCGTCACACCTCCCTAAATGGTAGGCCCATTTTTTATTTTATCTCCAGCGTCCAACTCATCTTTGACGAGTACCTGAAATGTGCGCCTACCGCTTTCCCTTTTCGTATTTGAATAATATAAATGGTACGCACTCAAATGTTTTGAAAGATTGTATAAGTGGCATGGGAAAGCCAAGGGCCTAAGAAGGACTGTCGGTGGACGGAGAAGTCATGGGACAGTGTATCCGAAGGGTAACTTCTCATTGATCTGCCCTAATTTGATTAAACAATAAATGCTTTGACATACTATAATAAGCGAATTAGGAGTACAAATTGCTGTCCAGAAGAGGCTGGCAATCCAGTAAGCGAGATGAATTCCAGAAAAGATAATACAGGCCGGGCTAGGTGGCTCATGCCTGGGAGGCCCAGGCAGGAGAATCGCTTGAGCCCGGGAGTTTGAGACCAGTCTGGGCAACATAGCGAGATCCTGTCTCTGCAAAAAATACAAAACTGGGCATGGTGGCCTGTGCCCTGTAGTCCTAGTTACTAGGGAGGCCGAGGTGGGGGTTGCGTCCAGGAGGTGGAGGCTGTAGTGAGCTGGGATTGTGCCACTGCACTCCTGCCTGGGAGACAGAGTGAGTCCCTGTCTCAAAAAAACAAAAAAAAAACAAAAAAAAAAAAAAAAAGAGAAGGCCCGGCGCGGTGGCTCACGCCTGTAATCCTAGCACTTTAGGAGGCTGAGGCAGGCGTATCACCTGAGGTCAGGAGTTCAAGACCAGCCTAGCCAACATGGTGAAACCCTGTCTCTACTAAAATACAAAAATTAGCCGGCATGATGGCAGGTGCCTATAATCCCAGCTACTTGGGAGGCGGAGGCAGGGAGAATCGCTTGAATCCGGGAGAGGGTGGCTGCAGTGAGTCGAGATCGTGCCACTGCACTCCAGCCTGGGCAGCTGAGCGAGACTCTGTCTCAAAAAAAGAAAAGAGAAGAGGAGGGGAGGGGAAGGGGGAGTGAAGGGGAGGGGAAGGGGGAGTGAAGGGGAGGGGAAGGGGGAAGGGGGAGGGAACAAAATACAAAGACTTTTAGAATAAATTTTTTTAAAAATAAAGATAATTCAGTGTTGTGGAATCAATGAGAGAGCAGTTTGGCTGGTAAATCAAAAAGGCCTTCTAAAAACTCAACTTTTGTTTTTTTGTTTTTTGTTTTTTTTTTTTTAAGAGAAGTGGCCTCACTATGTTGCCCAGGCCCAAGTGCTGTGGCTATTCACAGACTCCATCATTGTGCATAGTAGCCTTGAACACCTGAACTTACATGATCCTCCTGCTTCAGCCTCCCCAGTAGCTGGGACTACAGGTGCCAACCACCATCCCAAGCTTTAAAGCTTTTTTTTTTTTAATTTTTAAAAACATGGACTACTTCACGAATTTGTGTGTCATCCTTGCGCAGAGATCATGCTAAAAGATAATTCAGTGTTGTGGAATCAATGAGAGAGCAGTTTGGCTGGTAAATCAAAAAGGCCTTCTAAAAACTCAACTTTTGTTTTTTTGTTTTTTGTTTTTTTTTTTTTTAAGAGAAGTGGCCTCACTATGTTGCCCAGGCCCAAGTGCTGTGGCTATTCACAGACTCCATCATTGTGCATAGTAGCCTTGAACACCTGAACTTACATGATCCTCCTGCTTCAGCCTCCCCAGTAGCTGGGACTACAGGTGCCAACCACCATCCCAAGCTTTAAAGCTTTTTTTTTTTTAATTTTTAAAAACATGGACTACTTCACGAATTTGTGTGTCATCCTTGCGCAGAGATCATGCTAATCTCTGTATCGTTCCAATTTTAATATATGTGCTGCCAAAGCAAGCACTACAAGCTTAACTTTTAAGAGATAAAGACCTTCCAAGAACAGGGAATACAGTGAAGTCAGGCAGGCAAGAAAGTCTGGAGTATAGGAAGGAGAAACTTCAGTTGTGTGAAAACAAATGAAAAGACTACACTAAGAAGAACTCTAGGAAGTCAGACA
Source organism: Homo sapiens (assembly GCF_000001405.40). Classification (NCBI taxonomy): domain Eukaryota; kingdom Metazoa; phylum Chordata; class Mammalia; order Primates; family Hominidae; genus Homo; species Homo sapiens. The sequence goes on along the minus strand of NC_000006.12, from coordinate 108,292,609 downwards.
GTTGGTCCACACTAGAAGAGGGATTCCAAAGAAACAAGAAAGAGAAAGTGTAGCACGGTATAATAATTTAGAGACGTCTCTACCAACTTGGTCAAATCATTCATGGAAAAAATTATTTTGATTGTATCTGTCAAAATAAGCCAATTTACACGTACTATTTATCTTCTCTCTGTAATTCCACTGCCTGACATGACAAACTGTTCTTCCATACTATGGTGATTTTTTTTTTATTTTGTTGCTAATTTTTGGTGTGACACTTTGTGAAAGACCTTTTGAAAAATCTGATTGTTTCTCCCTTGACTTGCATATGTATTTATCACACTCAAAAGACTCTCAGAGAGTATTTAGATTTCATTATGTTTGCTCCGAAAAATCACTTGCCTTGGCCAATGAAATTATCCTTTATTAGAAATTCCAACAGCTTAATAATTATGGAGGTGATATAAGCACTCATGGATAATTTGATGCCAAAGAAGACCTACAGGAAATTTTCACATGGTTGTGCAAGTAGAAACTTAGGAAATTAACTTTATTTTGTACAAATGTAAGCTAATTTAGAGGGAAATAACTTAGATTAACTTAATAACTTAGATTGTAATTGATGTATTCAATTATATTATAATTGATGTAGTCAAGAGAATGACCAGAAGACTAAGTAGCCATTGTAAACCATTTTATTAAAACATTAATCCTGCTGTTCCTGCAATTCCTAAAACAAATTAAACAAAATAATTAGCCTGAAAAAATTTTTTAACATTGTCAGGAAAACTATTTGAAATAAGTCATAAAATTACAAGGTATTTTCTTGTCCTTATTTAAAAAATCTTCCTAGAGAAAATGGCAAGTAGCTCTGGCATCTAATATTAAGCATAAAACCAAACTAAAATAGTCTAGAGAAGGACAAATACAATGAAAGAAATGAGGAAATAAGAAAGAAAGTGGTCAATAGAAAACATACTGAGTCAGGAGTTATATTTCAGCTCTGATTTTGTCACTAATTCAAGCTCTCTCTGTTTTTCTTCTTTTTCTTTTTTTTTTTTTTTTGAGACAGGGTCTTTCTCTGCCACCCAGGCTGGAGTGCAGTGGTGGGATCTCGGCTCACTGCAACCTTGACCTCTCTGGCTTAAGAGGGCAATCCTCCCACCTCAGTGTCCCGAGTAGCTAGGACCACAGGCATGTGCCACCATGCCCGGCTAAAATTTTTACATTTTTTGTAGAGACAGGTTCTCCCCATATTCCCCAGGCCCCTCAAGTGTTCCTCCCGCCTCAGCCTCCCAGTATACTGAGGATATAGGCTTGAGTCACCACGCCCAGCCTGTTTTTCTTATCTATAAAATTAGGGTGGTTTCTATGTTGGCTACCTCACAGGTTTTGTGAGAATTAAATGAGATAATATATACAGTATACACAAACTGTTAATCAGAAATTATTGTAAATAGAAATTGAGAAGAATAATATCCAAGCCTAAAATAAGGAACAGGACCAGCACCATGGCTCATGCCTATAATTCCAGCACTTTGGGAGGCCAAGGTGGGAGCATCACTTGAGGCCAGCCAGCCTGAGAAACATAGCGAGACCCCATCTCTATCGATTGATTGATTGATTGATTGATTGAGACAGGGTTTCACTCTGTCACCCAGGCTGGAGTACAGTGGCATGATCTCGGCTCACTGCAGCCTCTGCCTTCCAGGCTCAGGTGATCCTCCTACCCCAGCCTCCCTAGTAGCTGGGACTATAGGTGCACGCCATCATGCCCAGCTATTTGTTTTGGTATTATTAGAGAGGATTTTGCCATGTTGCCCAGGGTGGTCTCAAAACTCCTGGGCTCAAGCAATCCACCTGCCTTGGCTTCCCAAGGTGCTGGGATTACAGGTATGAGCCACCTTGCCTGGCCAACATTTTTTTAAATAAAATAAAATAAGGGTATGCCTAGGACAACACAGATTCATGATATCCAAGAATCGTAGAAATAAGGAATGCACTCTAAGGTTGAAAACAGTGGAAAAAAATTTTTTTGAGTCAGGGTCTCACTCTTGCCCAGGCTGGAGTGCGGTGGCATGATCTCAGCTCACTGCAACCTCTGCCTCCTGGGCTCAAAAAATCCTCCCACCTCAGCCTCCTGAGTAGCTGAAACTGCAGGCATGCCCCATGCACTCACCTAATTTTTTGTAGGGATGGGCTTTCACCATGTTGCCCAGGCTAGTCTCAAACTCCTGGACTCAAGCAATCAGCCTGCTTCAACCTCCCAAAGTCCTGGGATTACAGGTGTGAGCCACTGTGCCCAGCAGAAATTTTTAAGTAGAAGAAAGTGCTACAGAACATCAAGTAGCAAATTCACGAAACTCATTAAAGGCAAAAGAAAAATATTTTTCAAGTAGGATCTAAATAAATGAGATGGTAATTCATAATAAATATGGGTGATTGGGATTTTCCATTTCCAGGTTCATGAGGTTGCCATTTTAGAGGATGCCATTGAGCCATTGACAGAGACAGACTGCAGATGGAATAGGCCATTGGCATGAAGCAGCCAAGATACCATTTCACCATTTCCTCATACTCTTTCTTTTTTCTTTTTTTTTTTTTTGAGACAAGAGTCCCACTCTGTCGCCCAGGCTGGAGTGCAGTGGTGCGATCTCAGCTCACTGCAAGCTCTGCCTCCTGGGTTCATGCCATTCTCCTGCCTCAGCCTCCAGAGTAGCTGGGACTACAGGCACCTGCCACCAAGCCTGGCTAATTTTTTGTGTTTTTAGTAGAGACAGGGTTTCACCGTGTTAGCCAGGATGGTCTCGATCTCCTGACCTTGTGATCCTCCTGCCTCAGCCTCCCAAAGTGCTGGGATTACAGGCGTGAGCCAGCGCACCCGGCCTTCCTCAATACTCTTGTTCCTCTTCTTGTAGCCACCTCCCTAGGGAGGAAAGGACCTAGTAATTGATTCCCACTTCCACCACTTCGTCTGTAGCCTTCTTCATCTCAGTAGATGGCAACACTGGCCTTCCAGTAGGTCAAACCATTTATCACAGGAATCATCCTCTGCTTTCACCATTCACTCTCACCTTACACCCAGTCCTTCAGTGAATTTTGTTGGCTTCATCTTCAAAATTATCCAGAATTCCATCATGTTTCACTGCCAGTACTGCTACCACCAACTCTGATCCAAGTCACTATCATCTCCTTCCTGGATTATTGCAGTTGCCTTGTCACTGGTCTCCTTGCTTTCACTCTCTACCCCTACAGTTTGTTCTCCACACAGGGGAATTGTCTGTGCAAAAATTATAACTGTGAGAAAATTATGACAGTGAAAGATCTGACCGACTTGATCTTGCTTCTAACCTCCAAGCTGTCCTTGTTCATTTCTGGGTATAGGCTGAACTAACTTTGGGAGGAATTTAGTTTATAGTTTAACTTTGAAGGATGATAGCCCTTTTCCAAAACAAACCCTTTTCTTGCCTGGGGACCAGACTGCCTTTGTAGGACTAACAGATTAGCTACAAGATTAGAAATTATGGTTTAGGAGTCATGCAGCTAGAGGCCACAAGATCTAAACCTCCCCAATTGCTCCTAGGGATAACATCACCTGTAAAACCTAAGATTGATGCTGGAGATATTTTTCAGACCCTGATGGATTAGCTGGTGCCACCCAGATCAATCAACTGGCTCATCTAGTCTTGTGGTCCCCACCCAGGAACTGACTCAGCACAAGAGGACAGCTTTGACTCCCTTTGATTTCATTTCCAGCCTGATCAATCAGCACTCCTGACTCCCTGGCCCCCTGTCCACCAAATTATCCTTAACCCCAGTCTCTGAATTTTCAGGGAGACTGATTTGAGTGATAGTAAATCAATCAGCACTCCTGACTCCCTGGCCCCCTATCTACCAAATTATCCTTAACCCTAGTCTCTGAATTTTCAGGGGACTGATTTGAGTAGTAATAAAACTCTGGTCTCCTGTTCAACTGGCTCTGCATGAATTAAACTCTTTCTCTAATGGCAATTCCCCTGTCTTGATAAATCGACTCTATCTGGGCAGCGGACAAAATGAAACCATTGGGCGGTTACAAGAGCCATATATAATTTCTAAAATTCTAAGTTGCATCATTACTTTCCTGTGTTTAATACCTACTAGTGGCTTACCCTGCCACTCGGTTATCAAAACAGCCTATGAGGTCTCATGATGAGGGTACCAACTACCTCTTTGATCTCATCTCAGACCATTCTCCCGTCCCATCTCTGTCCATGCACGTTGGCTTTCTTGCTATTCCTGGAACTCACCAAGCCAGCTTCTCACTCCTGAAGCTTCTGCATGTCCTGTTCCTTCTGCCTGGGATGCTCTGCTCCAAAATATCTACTTGGCTCACTTCCTCTTGTCTTTACTTCCTTATGACACCTTCTTAGTTAAGGCCTTTCCTAACTACTATCTATATGAAATTACAATCTTGCCCAGCACTCCTTTTCTTTCTTCCCAGCTTTATTTTCTCCACAACAGTTACTACCATCTAGCATAATATGTACTTTACTAATTTATTAGCTTATTACCTGCTCTTACTACTCTTCCTAGAATCTAAGCTCCCTATGGCAGGGATTTATGTCTGTTTTGTTCACTGCCATGTCGCCAGGGCCTATAGTAGTACCTAGGTTATAAGGAACTCAAATGTTTGTTAAATGACTAAATGAGTAGTCTTAATACAAAATTTATTTTCTATCTGCAAAAAGAAAAGATTACTTTACCTTCTTCATGAAATAAGTGATGCTTCTAAGATTTTGAGCCCATTTTAATTTTTTAAGTAAATTTTATTGTATATGTTTGAGGTTTGCAAAATGATGTTATAGGATACATATAATTGTAAAATGGTTACTATGGTGAAGCAAATTAACATCTGTCATCTCACAGTTATTTTTCTGTGACAAGAGCTGCTAAAATCTACTTATTTAGCAAAAAATCTCAAATACTGTGTAATTTTATTAACTATAGACTGCTTACAGATCTGCTACTTTGTATCCTTTGAATTACATCACCTCATTTCCTCCCCTGAACCTCCAACCTCACCCCAGTAACCACCGTTTTATTCTCTATCTCTGTATGTTTGAACTTTTTAAAATTTTAAGCTGAGTGCAGTGGCTCCTGCCTATAATCCCAGGACTTTGGAAGGGTGAGGCAGGAGGATACCTTGAGCCCAAGAGTTCGAGGCTGCAGTGAGCTATGATCATACCACTGCACCCTAGCCTGGATGACGGAGCAAGATCCCATCTCAAAAATAAAATAAAACAATTAAGGCCAGGCCGGTGGCTCATACCTGTAATCCCAACACTTTGGGAGGTCGAGACAGCTGGATCGCTTGAGCCCAGGAGTTTGAGACCAACCAAGGCAACATAAGGAGACCCCCACCTCCACAAAAAATACAAAAATACAAAAACTAGCCAAAAAAGAAAAAAGAAAACTAAAATAGATTCCACACATAAGTGAGACCATTCAATATTTTTATTTCTATGTCTGGCTGATTTCACTTAGCATAACGTCCTCCAGGTCCATCCTACAAATAGCAGGATTTCCTCCTTTTTTAATGCTAAATAATACTCCAGGCTGGGTGCGGTGGCTCACGCTTGTAATCCCAGCACTCTGGGAGGCCGAAGTCGGCAGATCACCTGAGGTCAGAAGTTCGAGACCACCTGGCTAACATGGTGAAACCCCATCTCTACTAAAAATACAAACTTAGCCGGGCACAGTGGCACATGCCTGTAATCCCAGCTACTCGGGAGGCTGCGGCTCGAGAATCGCTTGAACCCGGGAGGCGGAGGCTACAGTGAGCTGAGATCGCACCATTGCACTCCAGCCTGGGCAATCAGAGTGAAATTCCTTCTCAAAAAAATAAAATAATACTCCAGTGTGTGTGTGTGTGTGTGTGTGTGTGTGTGTGCACGCACGTGCTACATTTTCTTTATTCATTCAACTGTCTATGGACACAGGTTGTCTCCACATCTTGGCTATTGTGACTAATGCTGCAAAGAACATGGGAGTGCAGATATCTTTACGAGGAGGTGGTTTCATCTCCTTTGAGTATACACCCAGAAGGGAGATTCCCAGTTTATATGATAGTTCTGTGGTTTTGAGGGGGTTTTTTTCTTTTTCTTTTTCTTTCTTTTTTTTTGAGACAGGGTCTCACTTTGTCGCCCAGGCTGGAGTGCAGTAGCACAATCTTGGCTCACTGCAGCCTTGACCTCTGGGGCTCAAGCAATTCTCCCTCCCACATAAGCCTCCCAAGTGGCTAGAACTACAGGTGCGCACCACATGCCTGGCTAATTTTTGTATTTTTTGTAGAGACGGAGTTTGCCATGTTGTCTAGACTGGTCTCAAACTCCTGGGCTCAAGCAGTCTTCCCACCTCGGCCTCCAAAAGTGCTGGGATTACAGGCATGAGCCACCGTAGTCTGGGTAGTTCTGTTTCTAATTTCTTTAGGAACATCCATACTGTGGATCCATTTTAAAGATTAATTTTTTAAAACACCATTAAATTCAATATTACAGAAGTAATTGAAACACAACCCAAGAGCCCTTTTTTCCATTTGCTTATTTATTTATTTGCCATTACACGTGGTTCTTCATAAGTATAATTTCTTCTAATTTAACAAAGAAACACTTTAGAGCTATGAAAAACAATGTGGTCCATTTGAAGATACATAAGAAATTATTTCAGGGGTACAGTGGCTCACGCTGGTAATCTCAGCACTTTGAGAGACAGAGGTGGGAGGCTTGCTTGAGGCCAGGAGTTCAAGACCAGCCTGGGCAACATAACAAGACCCCATCTCTACACTAAATAAATAAATAAATAAATTCACATGGAAACCATTACATAATAACTTCTAGTTTCTACATTCAAGTAGAGTCAAATATCTAGCTTCTAAATTCAAAACATTTGTATTTTAAATATCCTTAACCAAAGATATAACTTAGGTTACTTAATTTATTTTCTTTTCCTTTTTTTTAGAGACAAGATCTCACTCTGTCAACCTAGGCTAAAGTGCAGTGATGCAATCATAGCTCAGTGCAGCCTCAAACTCCTGGGCTCAAGCAATCCTCCTGCCTCAGCCTCCCAAGTAGCTGGCACTATAGGCACTAGGTTACTTAATTTAAACAAACTAAATAAACAAATATACCTAAGTACCTTATTAACTATGAGAAATGTAACTTCTAACCAAGATGTACACACTTCAGTAATACAGATTTATAAATGTGTACAAAGTATAGATTTTGCTACAAGCAGTCCATTTCTTATTCTTTTGCTAACCTTACAACAAAAATCACCTTTTTTCCCCTTTACTGAAACGTTGTTTAACTCATAACTAGAGACTGGCCAAAGACAGAATATTTGAAGCCAAGTCCAGTGCTCAAACCTTTATTTAGTTTCTTTTTTATTATTATTATTTTTTTTGAGATGGGAGTCTCACTCTGTCACCCAGGCTGGAGTGCAATGGCACAGTCTCAGCTCACTGCAACCTCCGCCTCCCAGGTTCAAGCAATTCTCTTGCCTCAGCCTCCTGAGTAGCTGGGACTACAGGTGCGTGCCACCATGCGTGGCTAATTTTTGTATTTTTAGTAGCAACGGGGTTTCACTATGTTGGCCAGGCTGGTCTCAAACTCCTAACCTCGTTCGTGATCTGCCTGCCTCGGCCTCCCAAAGTGCTGGGATTATAGGCGTGAGCTGCCGTGCCCAGCCAGTTTCTTTTTTCTTTTTTTTTTCTTTTTTTTTCTTTCTTTCTTTCTTTTTTCTTTTTTTTTTTTTTTTTTTTTTTTGAGATGGAGTCTTGTTCTGTTGCCCAGGCTAGAGTGCAGTGGTGCAATCTCGGCTCACTGCATTCTCCACCTCCTGGGTTCAAGAGATTCTCCTGCCTCAGCCTCTCGGGTAGCTGGGATTACAGGTGCATGCCAACATGCCTGGCTAATTTTTGTATTTTTAGAAAAGACAGGGTTTCACCATGTTGGCTAGGCTGGTCTTGAACTCCTGACCTCAAGTGATCCTCCTGCCTCGGCCTCCCAATGTGCTGGGATTACAGGTGTGAGCCACCATGCCCAGCCTTTATTTAGTTTCTTACTACTTATTTTCAACAACAAATTAAAATAACTGTTTTTTTTTCAGTTTTGAATATCCTTTTTTAAAAAATTGAATCACATGATAATATATGTGTATTTACCTATGTATTTCTTCCTTATCCAAATTTTGAGAGGGAAAAAAAAGCTTTCCATATATATATTGTAGAGAGTCTTGCTCTGTCACCCAGGCTGGAGTGCAGTGGTGCAATCTCGGCTCACTGCAACCTCCACCTCCTGGGTTCAAGCGATTCTCGTGCCTCAGCCTCCCAAGTAGCTGGGACTACAGGCGTGCACCACCACTCCCGGCTAATTTTTGTATTTTTAGTAGAGACGGGGTTTCACCATGTTGGCCAGGCTGGTCTCAAACTCCTGACCTCAAGTGATCCACCCGCCTCAGCCTCCCAAAGTGCTGGGATTACCAGCATGAGCCACTGCACCCGGCCACCATCCTCCCTTTAAAAATAGCAACAAACCCCAACTAATACTAACGTTCCCCAATTGGACACACAAACTTGGAATCTGGGAATCATCACCTAGTTTCTCTTCCTCATCCCTCCTATCCAGTCCTTCACCAAATATGATTAAATCCATCCGTTACCACTGGGTCTCCCTCTTGTCTTTCAGAGGCTGATGCAGTCATCTCCCAACTCTAGCTCTGGCTGTTTCCCCTCCACACCATACTGCTGTCAGATGCATCTTTCCAAAGATGTCACCTATCTGACTACGATCCTTCACAGTTTCTAAATTTGCAGTGCCTCCCTACTGTCTGCAGAATGAAGTACAATTTCTTTATTATGGACCTTTTAGAAAATCAATATCTGGCTCTGCCTACCTTACCATCCTCTCAGATCACTCAAATAATTTATACTCAGAAAGCAACATATCATGGGTGATTTACCAAGCATCTTATTTGTTTACATGCACCTTTGTATATATTATTCTAGAAAAACTGGTAAACTAATCCCATCCACCCACTGGACACCCCCCCCCTTTATTTCCTATGAATGTTCTGTTGGTTTTTACTAATATTTGAAAAATCAGTGCAGTAGCTCACGCCTATAATTCCAGTGCTTTGGGAGGCTGAGGTGGGAGGATCAATTGAGGCCAGGTTCAAGATATTTTTTAAATTAGAAAAAAAAAATTTGGCTAGGCACAATGGCTCACGCCTGTAATCCTAGCACTTTGGAAGCCGAGATGGATGGATCACCTGAGGTCAGGAGCTCAAGACCAGCCTGGCCAACATGGTGAAACCCCGTCTCTACAAAAATACAAAATAAATTAGCCGGGCATGATGGCCGGTGCCTCTAATCCCTGCCACTAGGGAGGCTGAGGCATGAGAATTGCTTCAACCCAGGAAGCGGAGGTTGCAGTGAGCCAAGATCACACCATTGCACTCCAGCCTGGGTGACAGAGCGAGACTCCACCTCAAAAAAAAAAAAAAGAAAGGAAAGAAAATTTTAATAAAAATAATTACCCAAGCTATCAATTGACTTTTAATATTTTCAAGGCAACTTTAAGAATGTTCCAGCTTTAGGCCAGGTGCAGTGGCTCATGCCTGCAATCCCAGCACTTCGGGAGGCCGAGGCAGGTGGATCATTTGAGGTCAAGAGTTCAAGACCAGTCTGACCAACATAGTGAAACTCCATCTCTACTAAAAATACAAAACTTAGCTGGGCGTGGTGGCATGTGCCTGTAATCCCAGCTACTCATGAGGCTGAGGCAGGAGAATTGCTTGAGCCGAGATCGTGCCATTGCACTCCAGCCTGGGTGACAGAGCGAGACTCTGTCTCAAAAAAATTAAAAAAAGAATGTTCCAGGTTTAATACTGCAATATGTATTTAGTATCCATCATTACATGTACATTATATACTGCATACTACTATTGATATTCAGCCTTAATGAATACATTTATTTTAAGATCCTCAAGGGGGCTGGGCACATTGTGGCTCATGCCTGTAACCCTACCACTTTGGGAGGCTGAGCTGGAGGATTGCTGAGGCCAGGAATTTGAGATCAGCCTAGGCAACATAGCAAGACCCCATCTCCACAAAAAATGCTTTTAAAAAGTAGCCAAGTATGATGACGTCCACCTGTAGTCCCAGCTACTCAGGAGGCTGAGGTGGGAGGATTTCTTGAGCCCGGGAGGTCAAGGCTGTAGTGAGCTGTTTTCAAGCCACTCCATTCCAGGTTGAGCAACAGGGTAAGACCCTGTCTCAATTAAAACAAACGAACAAACAAACAAAAAAACTCCATGATTCTGAGAGATACAGTAAGTGACTTGTCCAATATAATACAGCTACTATACCTTCTTGAAGTTAACTGAATGGTAATGGAAATAACCCTTAAACAAGATCAACAGATAGACAAAAAGTAGACCATGCCACATAATACTTTGATTGCTGTTCATTGATAGTCATGACCAATCTAGTTTTGTTGATTGGTTAGTTGGATTTAATGAGATGCAACCAGGCAAACAAATTGAGTGTTTTTCAGTTCTATAGACCACTTATTTAGAGAAACTGAAGTTGGCCTAAAATGTAGCCAATCTTCAAAACTCAAAGATGCCATGATAAAAGTATATGAATTCATTTGTTTATAAGTATAGTACTTGCTCCAGGTGACTACACTCAAACTTAGCCGTGATTTGGCCTAGACTTCAACGAAATCAGCTGGTTTTTGTTTTGTTTTTCAAATGGACATCTTGAGATTACTTGGATAAGATTTAAATCAAGTTAAACTTTATTTACCCAACTTTACTGATAATGAAGAAATTCTCAAGTAAGACTCTCTAGGTGATAAAACCTGAATAATTTTTAGTCTGGACATATCTAATTCAAGGAGTATTCCTTCCAAAGCTGAGTGTCTCCTGCCAAAACCAGAACTGGAGAAAACTGAGGGACCAGATGAGGAAAGTGTCATGAAACCTCTAATGTCTATACACACCAATTGTAAGGGCCCAATTTTCCCAGCATGCCTCTCACTTAGCCCAAGCAATTCTCATCAATTTCAAAGGGAGAATTGTGCATCCACAGATACGAGTTTGCAGTATCCAGGGCTTACTCGGCCGGAATAGATACTATAAATTATGTTACCAGACTTCATTTTTTTAAGCCAAATCAACCCAGCTGGATTTTCAACCTTTAGTTCTTAAAAATAATCAGCTGTCCCTTAAAATATCAAATCTGCTTGGCTTTATTTCACACATCAATCTTGTTGATTACCTAGGATAAGTCATAGTTTAGGTTGATATGCAAAACATGTAATGTAGCTGTATACTTTAGTACCATGTAGCTTTATAGTACCAAATCACCAAAATTTTTTCTGGAGGTAATTTTATGCATAGCAAAGAGAGAAGCAGGAGACATAATTTCACATGTTTGCTGTTTAACAATATTTTAAAACATATAATTCTGTTTACAAGTGTAGTTTTTCAGCTTTAATTTGATACTTTACTACCAGGTAAATTATCTTTTAATGTAATTACTTCTATATAATAATTATGATCTTCAAAGTCTGCAAAGTGATTAAAGGGTATTTTCTAGGAAATAGATTTCTGTATTTAAATTATGCAGTTTTTCTGCTTATGGTTTTGGTATTATACCTAATTTATTGTTTTCATTATTATTATTATTACTATTATTAAATACTTATTAAATAGCATGTATAGCGATAGACCTTTACAAATATCTAAGACTTTAGGTCTAAAATGTTTTTAATCACAGATTTTTAAAGTTGACACAAGTATATCCCCATTATCGTTTTTTTTAGCACTTATTAGTTTTGACTCACTAGCATGTTATACACATCAGCACCTGTGCCCATTTAGCAAAGAATTTCAGTACAAATCACTCTGAATTGAATAGACATCTCTAAGAAGCATTACAATTGTTGCAATATTTTTAGAAACTGAAACAAGGAAATAAACAACTTCAGTAAAAGTGATTTAAATAACAAATAACGTGTCTTTATAAACAGCTTATCTCCTTGAGAACAAAGAATAAACAAGGAGACAAGGGCTTTTTTTTCTTCCACTATTAAAGCAGATCACAATATGAATGGGTGAAATGTCATGAATAATTGGAGAAAATCACAGAGTAATCTTCGACAAAAACATCTGATTTATTTAAATTGTCACTGTTTGTCTTATTAGAACCTTTATTTAACCTTGTTATCCACAATGCAGTATTCAAGCTGGTTTATCAAAAATATACTTTGGAACTAACCATATTTTGAAAATTTTGACTTTCTCAAATGCAAGCTATGGTAATATAAACCTCTCATGGTAACTGTTCTACTTCAGACCTAATTAATTGACATTGCATTGAACTGAAATGCCTACGAAAACCAATGTTTTGAATCTAAAACAATAGTAAGTCAAACAGTTCAAACATTCTATCAATAGATTTAAGCTCAGGTTTCTGGTCAAGAGAATCATCAATTCCATTATTAGATTCACCTAGATATAACATTCATTCACTATCCTCAGCTAACAAACCCAGCCAAACACCACCAAAGCCACTCCTTATTGTGGGACTCAAGGTCTCATTTTCAACCATGTTCTTTCTTTCTTGATAAACTCATTTCCTCATTGACTTCTACACAGATTCCAGGTATTTCAGAGCTTACCAAGTTTCCGGCGCTGTTCCAACTGTCTTACAAATACTAACTCTTTCAATCCTCATAACACCCTGTGAATTAGGTACTATTATTGTCCCCATTTTATACATGAAGAAATGGAGACACAGACATGTAAAATAACTTGCCTAAGGTTACACAGCTACTAAGCCCATCTCTACCAACCCTTGATTAAATAGAATTGATTTGCTTATAGTACTGTCTTCAAACCAGACAGATTTATATAAAATATAAAATTCTAGGCTGGGTGCCGTGGCTCACATCTGTAATCCCAGCACTTTGGGAGGATGAGGCAGGGGATCACCTGAGGTCGGGAGTTCAAGACCAGCCTGGCCAACATGATGAAACCCCATCTCTACTAAAAATACAAAAAAAAAAAAAAAAAATTAGCCAGGCATGGTCGTGGGTTCCTGTAATCTCAGCTACTCAGGGGGCTGAGGCAGGAGAATTGCTTGAACCCAGGAGGAAGAGGTTGCAGTGAGTTGAGATTGCACCACTGCACTCCAGCCTGGGCAACAAGAGCAAAACTCCATCTCAAAATAAAAAAATTATAGCCAAGAAATAATTTATAATATAAAAGCAAAGTATACCAGGATAGTGATATGCACATCATGCTATTATTCACAATGGACTGAAGAGATTAGAGAAAGCAAAGCAGTATATGAAGAGCTCTGTAGTCTAACATTAAATAAATTAAGTTATGGCAGGGAGGTGGGGTGAGGGGTAGATGAGAAAGAAGAGAAAAACATGTCTCAGAGGTATGAGCCCAAGTAATTAGATAAGTAATGATAATATTTGCAGCAGAAAGGATGTAAATATTGGCAAATGCTTGGGGGTAGATGGGATTAGACTGACTTCAGACAAGTTGAGCTTTATTTAGTGAGTAGGATAACAAACAGAAATAGCATGTGGGTGCCTGTGTGAGCATGTGATGTGATAGGTGGCAAAAATTATAATGATATTCTCATACTTAGGTTGAGGTAATTAAAGTTTTGGGAATATTGGACAGCTTAGTACACCAAGCCTTGTCTGGCCGGCCTGGTCAGACGCTCTACCAAACCCAACCCATGGGTTCCTGACAAATATACCTCCTGTGAGGATGTGTAAATGAAAAGCTAGAAGAACTAACTTCCTTTGCAAATACAATTGGGAATCAAACCTGTTGTTCTGGGAGTGTATATCCCTGTGGCTAAGGCCTTTCATTAGAACACTGAAAACAATTGACAGAGATTTGCCAGGCCCTCCACTCCCAATAGAAGTCATGGTGCTTTTTATATCCTGACATCTTCCTCAGACATGGCATCTCACAGACTTCTGGTCTGAGCAATCCTCAGTTGTACCTTCTTTGGGGTCAAATCAGAGAAACAGGACAAGTATTTCTCAAGTCCATTAATTTCTCCACATTCCTACTGCTACTGTCTTTGTTCTGTCACATTGATCTTTTTGAGCTAAAAATAAGTTACACTCATTCAATGGTTTACTTTAGAACGTCTTTAGATAATGTCTAGAACCATAAACATGGACTATAATGCCCTTCATGACCTTGTCTCTCTGGCCTGAGTCCTGATCTTCTTTCCCTTTCATTCCAATAGTCCTTAACTATACTAGTTCCCTAAGTGTGCCATGCTCTTTATTTCCTCTGGACCCCTTCAGCTGTTTATCTCTACCTCTGGAATATACTTCAAACACTTAGGCACACCGAAAACATATGCAATTTGCCTGTCAAACACCAACTTCATGTCTCAGTTTCCTTGTTGCTTCCTTCTGGAATCCTTCCTCCATTACTCTTCCCCCAAGACTGGGCTATGTGGCTGTTATGACACTCTCCTGACATGGCTTTGTTCATTTTCATGCCCCTATGACCAGACTGAAAGATCGTGGCCAGGCATGGTGACTCATGCCTGTAATCACAAAACTTTGGGAGGGTGAGGCAGGAGGATCGCTTCAGGCCAGAAGTTGGAGACCAGTCTGGGAAACATAGCGAGATCCTGTCTCTACAAAAAATAAAATTAAAAAATTATCCAGGCATGGTGGTACTCACCTGCAGTCCTAGCTACTCAGGATGCTGAGATGGGAGGTTAGCTTGTGCCCAGGAGGTCGAGGCTTCAGTGAGCCATGATCGTGCCACTGCACTCCAGCCTGGGCAACAGAGCGAGACCCTGTCTCTAAAAAAGCTTAAAAGAAAAAAGATCGTGGAAGGAAAAACTGTATCTTGTTTACCACTTTGTCTCCTCTCCATATGCCCCACACCCACCCTAGCACCTAGCACAGTCCCTGGTTTCTTGTAGGTGCTCAGTCACACAAATAGCCAGAGTCTGAGAATCCTAAGAAAGCCATATCTGTTCAGCCAAAGAGATCACATGATGCTAATAGTTCTGGAATGGCACCCTCCTCAAGATCCCATCAATTAATCAAATACATCTGGCATTCTTGAGATTCTCTACATCCCTGCTGCTCAGTGTGGGCTGGGGTCCAGCAGCATTGGCATTACCTGGAACTTGCTAGAAATGCGAAATCTCAGGCCTCATCCTAGAACTCCTGAATCAGAATCTGCATTTTTACAAGGTCCAGGTGATCTGTATGCATATTAATGTTTGAAAAAACATTGCTCTGGTATGGCTAGGTGGCTTACTCCTGTAATCCCAGGACTCTGGGAGGCCAAGTTGGGAGGATCACTTGAGCCCAGGAGTTTGAGACCAACCTGGGCAAAAAAGTGAGATTTGGTCTCTACAAAAAAATTTTTTTTTTTTTTTGAGATGGAGTCTCGCTCTGTCACTAGGCTGGAGTACAATGGCGTGATCTCAGCTCACTGCAACCTCCACCTCCTGGGTTTAAGCGATTCTCCTGCCTCAGCCTCCCAAGTAGCTGGGACTACAGGCACGCACCACCATGCACAGCTAATTTTTGTATTTTTAGTAGAGACAGGGTTTCACCATGTTGGCCAGATTGGTCTTGATCTCTTGACCTCGTGATCCACCCGCCTTGGCCTCCTAAAGTGCTGGGATTACAGGCATGAGCCACGGCACCCAGCCCAAAAAAATTTTTTTAATTAGCCAAGTGTGGTGGTAGCACGTACCTCTAGTCCTAGCTACTGGGGAAGCTGAGGCTGTAGGATCATTTGAGTCCGAGTTCAAGGCTGCAGTGAGCTCTGATGGTACCACTGCACTTCAGCACGGGTGACACAGCAAGACTCTGTCTCAAAAAAAAACAAAAAAACAAAACAAAACAAAAAAACAACAACAACAGTTGAAGAAACTGCTCCAGTTAGATACATTGGTGGTTCTTTACTCAGAAAGTGGGTAATTCATCTCCTTGAGAGAAGCAGTGAAAATGCCTGGTTTCCAGGATTCCTGTGGCTGAGAACCTTTTTATTTCTGCCCTGATCCAGGTTTACACTAATATGTAACATGGCCTTACATGGCTGAAATCACACACTGTGCATGATATCAGGTGCTCCCCTATCTCAACAAAAATTCTGTGCCTATGTTTTTTCAGAAGCTAACCACCTGACTTGAGACTAGAATTGCACATGTTGCATACCATTCTTGCCTTTGACTCTTTCAGACATTGTATCCAATATCATCTATCAAAGGAATGAGCCTGCCTTAGTATCCCTGATGTGCTTGGCTGTTGGCTGGGAGCAGCCCATGGAAAGTGTAGTCTCTGAGCAAATGCAGTAGTCATGAATTTCAGAGTACAGCAGCTGAGGCCAAAGGTTAATTATGCTTTCTGCAGTTGGAGGTCTGAGAGACGCAGTCTCATGGCTGCCACAACACGTAAGGAGAAGATAAGAATATGATAATTGATGGAGAAGAATTTAACAAAGGTGGTTCTGAGGTTCATACAACCAACCCAGCACTGCCTGATTTACCAACATACAAGAGGCAAGGCACAAAAAATGTAACAGAACAGAAACTTGTGCCTCGGAAGAGATAATTTGTAAAGCCTAGTGGGGAGTGAGACCCCTTAATGAGCATGCCTAAAACAAAACAGATGGTCACTCCTCCCTAACCTACCAAGAGTGAAAGTCAAGTTACCATGAGGGGCCTGGCACAGTGGCCCGTGACTGTCATCTCAGCAGTCTGGGAGGCCAAGGGGGAAGGACTGCTTGAGGCCAGGAGTTCAAGACCAACCTGGGCAATATAGCGAGACCCCATCTCTATTTAAAAAAAATGAAAATTAAAAGTTACCACCAGGCTTATTTTGCTGAGATGGCATGCAAGCAGGGGCCTGGCTCTTTCCTGTTCTTGCCCCAGCAGTACTTAGCCTCTTCTCTAAATAAAACTGAACAAATATACAAAGAAATCAGTGTTCAACTAAAGTATTAGCCTCCCAGAGACATCAAACTCAGACTGTCCAGAGAGCAATCCATGTGCTGATCTCTCCATGACTGTGGAAGTAGTTAGCCTTTGAGAGCAGGGAGACTGATTGATATGCTACTAGAACACACTAAGATGAGAAGGGCTCTTCATGGGGGTTGGTAAGGGGTTTGCAGGAGGACCATCACAAAGGAGCAGGTCACATAGGTCCCGTCACAAAGGACTTCAAATAACATTAACATCATCTCCAAGGTTATGTGTGTAGTTTCTGATTCTCCTGGTACCAACTGGGTATCCAACAATTCAATTCAATTCTGACACTAACTATCCAGAGTTAGTGCACATCCCACAGGTTAATGCTCAGTCCCACAAGACTGCCCCCACTTCAGATGCCAGTTGCAAACAGGATGTCCAGACTACCCACACTTCTGCCCAGCCCCCTACTAATTTGGTACTTCTCATAACCGCTCCCCCCACCCCCTGCCACACACACACCCTTTTCATACATTCCAACAAGCACTTCCATACATTGCTGAACAGGGTATAAACTGGCAAAACCTATGTCAACCTTCAATAAGGAGATTTAGGAAATATGTTAAATGTAGAGTTTAACTGAGCCCAAAGCTTGAGGATGGCCACCCAGCAATATGGATTCAAGTTGCCCTGAATATGCACTCCTATTAGCAGCAGTTGCAAGTGGGGTGGGTCCTTTCTTTCTTTCTTTCTTTCTTTTTTTTGAGACAGGTCTTGCTCTGTTGCCCAGGCTGGAGTGCAATGGTGCCTTCACACCTCACTGCAGCCTCGACATCTTAGTTCAAGTGATCCTCCTTTTTCACTTCACCCTCTGGAGTAGCTGGGACTACAGGGGCACACCATCATGCCTGGTTAATTTTTAAAGAAAATTTTTGTAGAGGCAGGTCTCACTATGTTGCCCAGTCTAGTCTCAAACTCTGCACTCAAGCAATCCTCCTGCCCCTTCCTAGGATTATAGGTGTGAGCCACCGTGCCCAGCCACAAGTGGATTTTTTTTTTTTTTTCTAAGATAGAGATGAGGTCTCCCTTTGTTGCCCAGCTAGGCTGGTCTCAAACTCCTTAGCTCAAGTGATTCTCCCGCCTTGACCTCCCAAAGTGCTAGGATTACAGGCATGAGCCACTGCGCCTGGCCAAAGTGGGTTTTTAAAGGAAAAAAGAAGACACAGTTCCTAAGTTGTTTTGCAAGAATTTACATTAAAATAACATAAGCAGCTGGGCCTGATGGTCTGTGCCTGTGGTCCCAGATACGTGGGAGGCTGAGGCAGGGGAATTGCTTGAGCCCAGGAGTTCGAGCTTCAAGGAGCTATGATGGCACCATTGCACCCCAGCTTGGGCAATAGAGCTAGACCCTATCTCTAAAAAATAAAAAGTAAACAAAAGCTATTGATTGCTTATACTTTATTCTTTGTATCACAGACTCCAGAAACATGAAGATAATGAGTGAGGCAGCGAGTCAGGAACAAAATGCCTTTAAGTAATTGCCCTGGACATGGGGGTGAGGGGTCATGATTCAAGTCCCATACTTATCAGGTTTTTTATTGTTATTGTTTGTTTTTTTTTAGACAGAATCTCACTCTGTGGCCCAGGCTGGAATGCAGTGGCACAATCTCAACTCACTGCAACCTCCACCTCCTGGGTTCAAGGGATTCTCCTGCCTCAGCCTCGCCAGTAGCTGGGATTACAGGTCTGCACCACCACGCCCCACTAATTTTTTTTTTTTTTTTTGAGATGGAGACTTGCTCTGTCACCCAGGCTGGAGTGCAGTGGCGCGATCTCAGCTCACTGCAAGCTCTGCCTCCCGGGTTCACGCCATTCTCCTGCCTCAGCCTCCCGAGTAGCTGGGACTACAGGCGCCCAGCACTATGCCCGGCTATTTTTTTTTTTTTTTGTATTTTTAGTAGAGACGGGGTTTCACCGTGTTAGCCAGGATGGTCTTGATCTCCTCATGGTCCGCCCGCCTCAGCCTCCCAAAGTGCTGGGATTACAGGCGTGAGCCACCACGCCCAGCTAATTTTTTTGTATTTTTATTAGAGACGAGATTTTGCCATGTTGGCCAGGCTGGTCTTGAACTCCTGACCTCAAGTGATCCCAAAGTTCTGGGATGACAGGCATGAGCCACCATGCTCAACCAGGTTTTGAAGAAGTGACGCACTGCTCAAGTTTACAAGGAACTGGCTGTTAAAACAGAATTCCAATTTACTAATTTAAAATAAGAAATGTAAACTATCTGCTCCCACAAGGCAGTACCTCCTTTTGCCTATTAAAAAAAAAAGTCTTGTCAGGCGCGGTGGCTCATGTCTGTAATCTCAGCACTTTGGGAGGCTGAGGCGGGTGGATAGCTTGAGCTCAGGAGTTTGAGACCAACCGGGGCAATGAGGCGAAATCCTAACTCTACCAAAAATACACAAATTATCTGGGGGTGGTGGCGTGCACCTGTGGTCCAGCTACTCGGGAGGCTGAGGTGGGAGAATTGCAGGAGCCCAGCAAGTCCAAGCTGAAGTTGAGGTTACAGTGAGCCATGACTGCACCACTGCACTCCAGCCTGGGTGACAGAGTGATACCCTGTCTCAAAAAATAAAAATAAAAAAAGGTCTTTATTGCTTAAAGTTTCTCTGGGCCTGATAAATTTTGCATAGCTCTCCTAGCTCAGGCTGCTTTAAACTATTTTTTTCTCATCTATACGAAAGGAAATTTTTACAATATCTCTCAAAATTACAAATGCATATATCCTTTGCCTCAGTAATTCTATTCACAGCAATTTATGCTACAGATATACTCCCATGTGTATAATGACTGGCATATTCAAGGTTATTCATTATAGCACTATAATAGTAAAAGATTGGGATCAACATGTATTTGCCACTAGAGGAGAAGTTAAATAATTATAGCATATCATAGAATACTTTGCTCTTGTACAGATACAGATGTGTAACTACCTGGGCATATAACATTAAGTGAGGTAAGCTGCAAAAGTGTTTGTATCCTATTGTACTATTTCTCATATATATATGAGATACATACATATATGAGATACATATATATATGAGATACATATATATATGAGATACATATATATATGAGATACATATATATATGAGATACATATATATGAGATACATATATATGAGATACATATATATATGAGATACATATATATATATATGAGATACATAAGAAACTGCCAACAGTGGCTGTCAATAGAAAAGGGAGGATGGCTGGAGATAGGTATTGGCGACAGATTTTTCAGTGAATACCCTTAAATACATTTTGATTTTTTTTTTATTTTTTATTTTTTATTTTTAAAACTTTTATTTTCGGTTCAGGGTTTGTTATATAGGTAAACTCATATCATGGGGGTTTATTGTACAGATTATTTTGTTACCCAGGAACTAAGCCTAGTACCCAATCGTTATTTTTTCTTATCCTCTCCCTCCTCCCAGCCTCCACCTTCTGAGAGGCCCCAGTGGGTGTTGTCCCCCCACCTTTTTTTTTTTTTTTTGAGACAGAGTCTCGCTCTGTCGCCCAGGCTGGAGTGCAGTGGCGATCTCAGCTCACTGCAAGCTCCGCCTCCCAGGTTCACGCCATTCTCCTGCCTCAGCCTCCCGAGTAGCTGGGACTACAGGCGCCCGCCACCACGCCCAGCTAATTTTTTATATTTTTTTAGTAGGGACGGGGCTTTACCATGTTAGCCAGGCTGGTCTCGATCTCCTGACTTCGTGATCTGCCCGCCTCGGCCTCCCAAAGTGCTGGGATTACAGGCGTGAGCCACCGTGCCTGGCCGGTGGTGTCCCTCTTTTTGTGTCCATTTGTTCTCATCATTTAGCTCCCACTTTTTTTTTTTTTTTTTTGGACATGGAGTTTCACTCTTGTCGCCCAGGCTGGAGTGCAACGGCAAGATCTCGGCTCACTGCAACCTCTGCCTCCTGGGTTCAAGCAATTCTGCCTCAGCCTCCCGAGTAGCTGGGACTACAGGCGCCCACCACCAGGCCGGGCTAATTTTTGTATTTTCAGTAGAGATGAAGTTTCACTATGTTGGCCAGGCTAGTCTCCAACTCCTGACTTCAGGTGATCTGCCTACCTTGGCCTCCCAAAGTGCCGGGATTACAGGCGTGAACCACCGTGCCTGGCCAGCTCCCACGTATAAGTGAGAACATGTGATATTTGGTTTTCTGTTCCTGTGTTTGTTTGCTAAGGATAATGGCCTCTAGCTCCATCTATGTTCCCACAACAGACATGCTCTCGTTCTTTCTTATGGCTGCATAGTCTATTTCATGGTGTATACGTACCACATTTTCTTTATCCAATCTGTCATTGATGGGCATTTAGGTTGTTTCCATGTCTTTTCTATTGTGAATAGTGCTGCAATGAACATACACATGCATGGGTCTTTATGGTAGAATGATTTATATTCCTTTGGGTGTATACCCAATAATGAGATTGCTGGGTTGAATGGTATTTCTATTTTTAGCTCTTTCAGGAATCACCATACTGTTTTCCACAACGGTTAAACACTCCCACCAAAAGGGTATAAGCATCCCCTTTTTTCCACAGCCTTGCCAGCATGTTATTTTTTGACTTTTTTGTTGTTGTTGTTGTTTATTTATTTTTTTATTGATCATTATTGGGTGTTTCTAGCAGAGGGGGATTTGGCAGGGTCACAGGACAATAGTGGAGGGAAGGTCAGCAGACAAACAAGTGAACAAAGGTCTCTGGTTTTCCTAGGCAGAGGACCCTGCGGCCTTCTGCAGTGTTTGTGTCCCTGGGTACTTGAGATTAGGGAGTGGTGATGACTCTTAACGAGCATGCTGCCTTCAAGCATCTGTTTAACAAAGCACATCTTGCACCGCCCTTAATCCATTTAACCCTGAGTGGACACAGCACATGTTTCAGAGAGCACAGGGTTGGGGGTAAGTTCACAGATCAACAGGATCCCAAGGCAGAAGAATTTTTCTTAGTACAGAACAAAATGAAAAGTCTCCCATGTCTACCTCTTTCTACACAGACATGGCAACCATCCGATTTCTCAATCTTTTCCCCACCTTTCCCCCCTTTCTATTCCACAAAACCGCCATTGTCATCATGGCCCGTTCTCAATGAGCTGTTGGGTACACCTCCCAGACGGGGTGGTGGCCGGGCAGAGGGGCTCCTCACTTCCCAGTAGGGGCGGCCGGGCAGAGGCGCCCCTCACCTCCCGGATGGTGCGGCTGGCCGGGCGGGGGGCTGACCCCCCCACCTCCCTCCCGGACGGGGAGGCTGACCGGGCAGAGGGGCTCCTCACTTCCCAGTAGGGGCGGCCGGGCAGAGGCGCCCCTCACCTCCCGGACGGGGTGGCTGGCCGGGCGGGGGGCTAACGCCCCCACCTCCCTCCAGGTCGGGGGGGCCGGCCAGGCAGAGGGGCTCCTCACTTCCCAGTAGGGGCGGCCGGGCAGAGGCGCCCCTCACCTCCCAGAGGGGGCGGCTGGCCGGGCGTGGGGCTGATCCCCCCACCTCCCTCCCGGACGGGGCGGCTGGCCGGGAGGGGGGCTGACCCCCCCACCTCCCTCCTGGACGGGGTGGCTGCCGGGCGGAGACGCTCCTCACTTCCCAGACGGGGTGGCTGCCGGGCGGAGGGGCTCCTCACTTCTCAGACGGGGCGGCTGCTGGGCGGAGGGGCTCCTCACTTCTCAGACAGGGCGGTTGCCAGGCAGAGGGTCTCCTCACTTCTCAGACGGGGCGGCCGGGCAGAGACGCTCCTCACTTCCTAGATGGGATGGCGGCCGGGAAGAGGCGCTCCTCACTTCCTAGATGGGATGGCGGCCGGGCAGAGACGCTCCTCACTTTCCAGACTGGGCAGCCAGGCAGAGGGGCTCCTCACATCCCAGATGATGGGCGGCCAGGCAGAGACGCTCCTCACTTCCCAGACGGGGTGGCGGCCGGGCAGAGGCTGCAATCTCGGCACTTTGGGAGGCCAAGGCAGGCTGCTGGGAGGTGGATGTTGTAGCGAGCCGAGATCACGCCACTGCACTCCAGCCTGGGCACCATTGAGCACTGAGTGAAGGAGACTCCGTCTGCAATCCCGGCACCTCGGGAGGCCGAGGCTGGCGGATCACTCGCGGTTAGGAGCTGGAGACCAGCCCGGCCAACACAGCGAAACCCCGTCTCCACCCAAAAAATACGAAAACCAGTCAGGCGTGGTGGCGCGCGCCTGCAATCGCAGGGACTCGGCAGGCTGAGGCAGGAGAATCAGGCAGGGAGGTTGCAGTGAGCCGAGATGGCAGCAGTACAGTCCAGCTCCGGCTCGGCATCAGAGGGAGACCGTGGAAAGAGCGGAGAGGGGAGAGGGAGAGGGAGAGGGAGAGCGATTTTTAAATAATGTAAATGCTTTACTTACTTAAAATTAACAAACAACTCACAATGCCCTTAAATAATTTCCTCAGTACCAAAGTTGAAAATGTCCAGATCCTCAAAAGCTGGAAGTGGTGTGGGTCTGCCTCATGCTCTCAGAAGTTCTGAAATTGACTCATACTGTAAATAGTCTTGTGGTGGTGAGGAGGGAGATACTGAGCTTCATGGCTTTTACTTTTCTTTGTGCTGGAAGAAGTAAGGTTATCTGCTGAGAGTAAGGAAGAGGAGTGCAAAATGTGAGAAGAGAATTAAACAGGGGAGGCCAGGCATGGTGGCTCACATCTGTCATCCCAGCACTTTGGGAGGCCGAGGCAGGTGGATCACCTGAGGTCAGGAGTTTGAGACCAGCCTGGCCAACATGGTGAAACCCCACCTCTACTAACAAAAATACAAAAATTAGCTGGCATGTTGGCAGGCACCTGTAATCCCAGCTACTCAGGAGGCTGAGGCAGGAGAATTGCTTGAACCCAGAGGTGGAGGTTGCAGTGGGCCAAGATTGCGCCATTGTGCTCCACCCTGGCAACAAAAGCAAAACTGCATCTAAAAAAAAAAAAAAAAAAAAAAAACAAGAATTAAATGGGATTTCTGAGATGTGTCTAAGGATCAACTGAAGTTGGAAACCATAAATTTGCAAGGGTGCCAGGAGGTCTGAGATTTCCTTCAGGAATGCTCAGCAGCCTGGGAGCAGGAGTTTGGGGAGTAAGTCAGGGTGTGAGAATTGAAATGCTCCACATAGGAAAAATGATGTAAAAGAAACCCAGCTGGCACTTGAGAAGTTGACAGGTCTCATTAGGTTTGCCATGTAAACCAAAAATAAAATTCTAAGTTCCCTCAAGCATCTGAATGGACCCCTCCTCTGAACCAAAGGTATTCCAAAGTTAACCTGAAAAACTAGTGCAGGCCATGACAGGGAGAGTCAGACATGCCTCATTATACCCTCCTCCCTTTTGGAATTACTGATAGAACAGATTCTTCAGATCTGATAAGAAACATTTACGGCCGGGCACGGTGGCTCACACCTGTAATCCCAGCACTTTGGGAGGCTGAGGCGGGCAGATCACGAGGTCAGGAGATTGAGACCATCATGGCTAACACGGTGAAACCCCATGTCTACTAAAGAATACAAAAAATTAGCCAGGCGTGGTGGCAGGCGCCCATAGTCCCAGCTACTCGGGAGGCTAAGATAGGAGAATGGCGTGAACCTGGGAGGTGGAGCTTGCAGTGAGCTGAGATCGCGCCACTGCACTCCAGCCTGAGCAACAGAGCGAGACTCCGTCTCAAAAAAAAAAAAGAAATATTTACAATCTATTCTCTCTAAAGCCCTCCACCTGGAGGCTTTATCTGCAAAATAAAACTTTTATTTCTTCATAACCCCTTATCACAACCCAGACATTCTTTTTTATTGATAACTCTTTCAACCAATTGCCAATCAGAAAACCTTTGAATCTGCCTAATGGTTTGGAAGCCCTGGCTTCCAGCTGTCCCGCCTTTCTGGCCCAAACTAATGTATATCTTACATGTATTAATTGATGTCTCATGTCTCCCTAAAATGTATAAAACCAAGCTGTACCCCAACCACACTGGGGTCATGTTCGCAGGACCTCCTGAGGCCTGTATCATGGGCTATTGGTCACTCATATTTGGCTCAGAATAAATCTCTTCAAATATTTCACACAGTTTGACTCTTTTCATTGATAGCCATAATTCCAGAGTCTGACACTTCAGAGGTTCAGTGACTTGGTTTTATCCTTTTCCTTTAGAAGTAATCAGGTTTTGAGGAAGTGACACATTAATCAAGTTCACAAGGGACTGGTTGATTAAACAGAATACCAATTAATTATTATTATTTTTTGAGGTGGAGTGTCACTGTGTCACCCAAGTTGGAGTACAGTGGCATGATCTCGGCTCACTGCAATGTCCACCTCCCAGGTTCAAGCAATTCTCCTGCCTCAGCCTCCCGAGTAGCTGGGATTACAGGTGAATGCCACTGTGCCCAGCTAATTTTTGTACTTTTAGTAGAGACAGAGTTTTCCCATGTTGACCAGGCTGGTCTCGAACTCCTGATCTCAAGTTATCTGCCCACCCTGGCCTCCCAAAGTGCTGGGATTACAGGCATGAGCCACCATGCTCAGCCAGGAGTGGATAATTTTTTTTTTTTTTTTTTTGAGACGGAGTTTTGCTCTTGTTGCTCAGGCTGGAGTGCAATGGCGCGATCTCAGCTTACTGCAACCTCCACCTCGTGGGTTCAAGTGATTCTCCTGCCTCAGCCTCCCAAGTAGCTGGGATTACAGGCATGTGCCACCATGCCCAGCTAAGGAATGGATAATCTTAATGGCCAGAGCCTTCAATCTGTGATAATTAATATTCTACTCAAGGGACACACCTCTCAGGTTGCCCACAGCAATACCAGTACACAGACAACTTATTTTTTTTAGAATTAGGCCATTAAGGAAAACATAAAATTGATGATAGTTTTCTGACATTTTACCTCATCCTTAGAATATGTTCATGTCTTCTCCTCCTACCTCCACTTTAATTGCCACCCTCTTAAGCTACCAGCACTAACACCCTGGCGTATATCCTTCTATACTTCCTTCTCCCCATGCACATATAAACATATACAAATATAAATGTACATATAGTCACTGATAGGGTGGGTTTTTTTGTTTGTTTTGAGACAGAGTCTCACTCTGTCACTCAGGCTGGAGTGCAGTGGCGTGATCTCGGCTCACTGCAACCTCTGTCTCCTGGGTTCAGCAATTCTCTTGCCTCAGCATCCCTAGCAGCTGGGATTACAGGCATGCGCCACGATGCCCAGCTAATTTTTTTGTATTTTTAGTGGAGACTGGGTTTCACCATGTTGGCCAGGCTGGTCCCGAACTCCTGACCTCAAATGATCCACCTGCCTCAGCCTCCTAAAGTGCTGGGATTACAGGCATGAGCCACTGTGGCTAGCCTACTGATACGGTTTTATTTGTTTACCCAAATGGACTATAGCAGACAGATTATTTTGTGATCCTCACTTACCAATATCATGGTCTCTGGTAGTCTAGTGGCTAGGATTCTGTGCTTTCACCAATACATCATGGATAGTCCTCCTCTAATTCTAATAACTAAATAATAGAGTATTCTAATAAATGAAAATATAACTAGTTCATTTACTCTAATCATTATACAATTTCCCACACTTTAAACATACTATAATTCAAGCATTTTCTTTTTTTTTTTTTTTCTTTTTTTCTTTCTTGAGACAAGGTCCTTGTCTGTTACCTAGGCTGGAGTAGAGTGGCATGATCATAGTTCACTGCAGCCTCAACCTCTTGGGCTCAAGCAATCCTCTCACCTCAGCTTCCCAAGTAGTTGGGACTATAGGCACACACCAGCATGCCCTGCAATTTTTAAATTTTTTGTAGAGATGGGGTCTCCCTATGTTGGTCTTGACAACTGATCTGCCTGACCTGGCCTCCGAAAGTGCTGGGATTACAGGTATGAGCCATTGCCCAGCCTAATTCAAGCTTTTTAAAAAATTGATAAGCCTTGGAGCTGTTTCCAGTTTTTGCCACTACAAACAAAGATGCAATAAACATCCTTGCCCTTACAACCTTATGTACCATGGTCTCTTGCAGCAAAAGTTAAGATTTGCAGGTGAAACTACTCTAATAGTCTTACTTTTGATAAATATTATCAAATTACTTTTCCAAAAAGATGTAAAAATTCATACTCATGTCATTGAAATATGAATGCCTGTTTTCCTACTTTCCTACTGTGTGTTTCTGTTCATTTGGATTTTTGCCATTTTGATAGACAGAAAAAAGTATTTCATGTTTAATGTGCATTTATATGATTAGTGAGTTTGAGTATAGTGGCAGTTGAAGTGGAGGTAGGAGGAGAAGACATGAACATATTCTAAGGATAAGCTAAAATGTTAGAAAACTATCATCAATTTTATGTTTTCCTAAAGTGGCCTAATTCTAGAAAAATACATTGTCTGTATACTGGTATTGCTGTGGGTGCCCTGAGAGGTGTGTCATTTGAGTAGAGTATTAATTATCACAATTTGAAGGCTCTGGCCATTAAGATTATCAATTCGTCTTTATTCTGAGCGCACTAAACAGTCAGCTGATAGTAATTTCATTTCTTTTTTATGCTTATTGTCCATCTGAATTTTCTGCCTAAGAGGCAGCGTAAAATATTGGTAAGTATATAAACTCTGGAGCTAGTTTTGCCTTTTTTTTTTTTTTTTTTGAGACAGAATCTCGCTCTTGTCACCCAGGCTGGAGTGCAGTGGCGCAATCTCGGCTCAGCTGCAACCTCTGCCTCCCAGGTTCAAGCCATTCTCCTGCCTCAGCCTCCCGAGTAGCTGGGATTACAGGCGCCCGGCACCACGCCCAGCTATTTTTTTGTATTTTTAGTAGAGACGGGGTTTCACCATGTTGGCCAGGATTGTCTCAAACTTCTGACCTCAGATGATCCGCCCATCTCGGCCTCCCAAAGTGTTGGGATTACAGGCGTGCACCCGCGCCCAGCCTAGTTTTGCCATTTCTGAATGATAAAACCTTTGGGCCAGGTGCGGTGGCTCACCCCTGTAATCCCAGCACTTTGGGGGGGCCTAGGTGGGCGGATCACAAGGTCAGGAATTCGAGACCAGCCCGGCCAACATGGTGAAACCCCGTCTCTACTAAAAACACAAAAATTAGCCGGGCGTGGTGGCAGGCGCCAGTAGTCCCAGCTACTTGGGAGGCTGAGGCAGGAGAATAGCTTGAACCCTGGAGGCAGAGGTTGCAGTGAGCCGAGATTGTGCCACTGCACTCCAGCCTGGGTGACAGAGTGAGACTCTGTCTCAAAAAAAAAAAAAAAAAAAAACTTGACTCAGTGCCACCCACTCATCCAAGGTGGGAGTGGGTGAGTAAAACTAACCACATTGAGATTCTAATTGTATTAAGTTATTAATTTTAGATAGTGACTTTTTCTGATATTAAGTCCTCCCATCCAGGAACATAGACTCTTTTCTCTTTAGGTTTTGTCTTACATCTTTGAATACAATTTCATAGTTTTAGTCCTATGTTCCCTTTGCTCCTTATAGTTCCTATCCCTTCCTTCCTAGATATTTTGTACTTCTGGTCACTTGCAAACAGGGTATTTTCTTCCATTTCCATTCTAACTAGATATTGCATAGACAAAGGAAAGCTATTACATTCTTTATTTCTGTCTTGCCACTACATTCTCTTGTTAATTCTAGTAGCTTATTATTTCTGGATTTGTATTCTAGAAATGCAATCACAATTCCTGAAAAATAAGGATAATTTTTTTTCCTGATATTTACACCAAGAAGGTCTTCTTTGGCTATACAACTGTGCTATGATGCTGTGCTGCTGTCCCTCCTAGCCGCTTCCCCACTGCAGGCATTTGTTCTGGCTGCCCACTGCTGCCCTGAGTGGTCGCCAAGGAATCAGACAGAAGCATTCTATGAGAATATTCCATGATTGCTTTGTTCAGGTGTCACCGATGACAACATAATACAGTAGTTCCTGGTCTCTTAGCTTGCATAGACTTCAATTCAGAGTCATTGATATGTATTTATTGAGCTTACATTTCTAATCATACCAGTCAAATTCCCATTTGGTCTGTTGCATTAGGAGACATGCCCAGCATTAATATCTAATGAGCTTGTCTGTCACTATCTGTCACATTATTCAGTTTTATTTGCCTCATAGCACCAATTATATTGGCAGGTGTATTATTTACTGAATTGTCTCCCTAAGACAGACTATATACTAGGCTATAAACCTGACTTATCTACCCTTTCATTTCTAGTACTTAGAATGAAAACATCTAGTAGGTCTTCAACAAATATTTGTTGAATTAATAAATGAATGTTGTTTTCTGGAAAATAATATACATTGTATTTAAGTAATGCCTTTTTTTTTTTTTTTTTTTTTGAGATGGAGTTTTGCTCTTGTTGCCCAGGCTGGAGTGCAATGGCACGATCTCGGCTCACCACAATCTCCGCCTCCCAGGTTCAAGCAATTCTCCTGCCTCAGCCTCCCGAGTAGCTGGGATTACAGGCATGCGCCATCACGCTCGGCTAATTTTGTATTTTTAGTACAGACGGGGTTTCTCCATGTTGGTCAGGCTGGTCTCAAACTCCCAACCTGAGGTGATCCGCCCGCCTCGGCCTCCCAGAGTACTGGGATTACAGGCGCAAGCCACCGCACCCGGCCAAGTAATTTCTTTTTATTCCAGTGTTTCTTAGTGTTATTAAGAATGGTTGCTGTTGGCCGGGCACGGTGGCTCACTTCTGTACTCCCAGCACTTTGGGAGGCTGAGGCGAGCGGATCAGCTGAGGTTAGGAGTTCGAGACCAGCCCGGCCAATAAGGCAAAACCCCGTTTCTACTGAAAATACACAAAAATTAGCTGGGTGTCATGGCGCACGCCTGTAATCCCAGCTACTCGGGAGGCTGAGGCAGGAGAATCGCTTGAATCCGAAAGGTGGAGATTGCAGTAAGACAAGATGCGCCACTGCACTCCAGCCTGAACGACACAGCGAGACTCCGTCTCAAAAAAAAAAAAAAAAAAAAAAAAAAAAAAAAAGCAAGAAAGAAAAGAAATTTGCAGTTCAAGGGACAGATCAGTCCAAGCACGGTGGTTCATACCTGTCATCTCAGCACATATGGGAGGCCACGGCGGGAGGATCACTTTGATGCTGGGAGTTGGAGACCAGCCTGGGAATCACAGTGAGATCCCGTCTCCACAAATAATTACTAATAATTTAAAATCTAAAGAAAAGGGGGGCGGGGAAGATCAGGTTATTTAAAGTAATTATAGTGTTAAACTTGACATATTAAAAAATGCAGAAATAGTTGTGAGGGATAACTCTCTGGGCAGAGATAGAAATGTATCGTATCTCAACATTTAAAATCTGCATTTCCCATTGGACCATAAGAGATGAACTAGGACCTAATTAATTGGGTTTTCTCCCCGTTTCTTTCTTTCTTTTTTTTGAGACAAAGTCTCACTCTATTACCCAGGCTGGAGTGCAATGGCAGATCTCAGCTCACTGCAACCTCTGCCTCCCGGGTTCAAGCGATTCTCCTGCCTCAGCCTCCAGAGTAGCTGGGATTACAGGCGCGCACCACCACGCCCAGCTAATTTTGCATTTTTAAGTAGAGATGGGGTTTCACCATGTGGGCAAGGCTAGTATCGAACTCCTGACCTCGTGATCCGCCCGCCTCGGCCTCCCAAAGTGCTGGGATTACAGGCATAAGCCACCGTGCCCGGCCTTCCTCCCCGTTTCTTAAAAAGGCTCATGTGAGTTGCATTTCCAGTCCTGTAGAGGTACGTTTAATACTTTTCAAAAAAAAAAAAAACTTATCAGGACTTCGTGAGAAACGAAAGTGGACACCCAAAGCAGCTTGCAGCCGGTCTACTGTTACTTTGTTTTAGCGGACCGACCTGTCTCCAAAATCGATTTGACCATAATGCTAGGATTTAACTAGGGCTTTAGTTTTTATTTCACTCCCCCACTTTACTGGTTTCAACCTATCAATCCAGACGCGTGTCTGGTGCAACGCTCGGGTTTATGGCAAAATCATCTCAGGCATTTGCTTAACCTTCTCCAGAAAGGCATTTTCAGGGGTTCACAGTGAGACGGTGCACAGGTTGGCACAGAGTTAGTAGGGGCAGTTTTGTTTCGATTTGCGGGCAAATCTCTAAGATCTCTCCGTTTAACTTTCGCCCGCAATTCCCAAAGCCGCTAAAGCCGTTTCCGGCGCTCTACCCCGCCGCAGGCCGAGGCTGGCGCAGAGAGACAGGAAGCGCCAGCTCTGGGCGTCTGGGTCCTCGCCTCCTCGGCCGCAGCCCCGCGGCGGCGCGCTCGCGGTGCATTGTGGGCGCTGTAGTCCGGCCGGAACCTGTTTGCGACCCCGAGTCCCATGACACCGCTTCTCCTCACACCCCAGTCCGCAGTGCCCCTCCCCAGCCTCGGCCGGGCCTCCCGGGAGCCGGGCGTGGCGTTCCAGCTAGTGAGCCGTTTCTCCCCTGGGCTCGGAGGCGGAAGCTTGAGGGGCGCGGGGAGGAGCTTCGCGTGCGGGGTGAACGCCCGCTCTACGTGCTCGTTCTCTTCGCGACCGCTGCGCGCGAGCCCCGTGTCCCCACGGCGGGCAGCAGCGGCGGCGGCGGCGGCTGAACGCGGAGGGGGCGGAGGGAGCCCGCGGCGGCGGCAGCAGCTACAGCGAAATGGCGGAGACCGTGGCTGACACCCGGCGGCTGATCACCAAGCCGCAGAACCTGAATGACGCCTACGGACCCCCCAGCAACTTCCTCGAGATCGATGTGAGCAACCCGCAAACGGTGGGGGTCGGCCGGGGCCGCTTCACCACTTACGAAATCAGGGTCAAGGTGAGGCCGTCTCTCCCCTCTCCCAAGAAACCCCTCCCGCTGGCTCTGGTCACCCCCACTCGACCCGGGAGTGGACCCCCGCGGGCAGCCACAGCCTCCCAGGCCGGGAGCCCCCTTGCAGAGGCGGGCCGGGGTCGTGAGCCAGGGCCCCTCTTCCTGTAGGGCTGGTGTGGGGGGCTGCAGAGCGAGCCCGGCGCGCTGGCACTTGGAGAAGGTGCTCGAAGAGGAGGGCGTGGGTTGAGCGCCGCTTGCCCCTCCAGCAGCTGATCAGGGAATGACATTTGAGTTGGAAAGGGGTAGATCTTTCGAGAACACATCCCTTCGCTGGGAAGGGAAAGAGATGTTGACAGAGAAAAGGGGCTTGCGCAAAGTTAAAGCCTTTTCCCAGTTTTCTCTTCCTGGAGACTTCCCAGAGGTAGCAAGCCAACCCGGCTGCTCCAGGCCCTTCCCGAGCTGCTAAAGTAACCTGGGTTGTGCAGTCTTCTGAACGGGACTTAATGAAAGTTCACAGAAGCCTGACAATTTTTGATAGGGCTGAGCCAGACCAGAAGGGTGATTGGACATGGTTGACTTCAGCATTTTGGGCCACCGCCCTGCCAAAGGCTGAGGTGTGGTGTCACCTACCTCATAATCCAGAACTACAGTTGCTTTAAGAAAAGACTAGGGATCTTGCTCTCTTAATTCGAGATTTGCACTTAATTGAATAAAGAAATCAACAGAAATAAAATATACCTAATTTCATAACTAGTATTTGTTGGCAATAATTTAGATGATTTGAAAGATGTTAATTGAAAATAGTGCTTCACTTTCACTCTATAATTCAGGATTAAAGAATTTGCCCATGTATGGAAGCATCTTTAAAAATTAATTACATTAATTTAAAGATGACAGCAAATTATTAAAAGTTAAGTGTAAAGCGATTTTTCCTTTAATCAAAATTTATATGACAAGCTACTATTAACATTTAAGTGAAAAAATTCTCATTAACTTACACACTTTGTGTCGTGAAAAACACAAAAATCAAATTTACCATCCTAACCATTTTTAAGTGTACATACAGCTCAGTAGTATATTCACATTGTTGTGAAACTTAAGTATTTTTAAAAAATGATTCTTACGTAGTTAGCATTGATTTTAAAAAGTTAATCAAACTTTAAGATATGAAACGAATAGTTTAATGTTTCAAGCCACTGTTGTCTTCTTATGGATGTGTAAAATGTGGATCATAGGCCGGGCGCGGTGGCTCATGCCTGTAATCCCAGCACTTTGGGAGGCCGAGCTGGGCGGATCACCGAGGTCAGGAGTTCGACACCAGCCTGACCAGCATGGAGAAACCCCATCTCTACTAGAAATACAAAATTAGCCGGGTGTGGTGGCGCATGCCTGTAATCCCAGCTACTCGGGAGGCTGAGGCCGGAGAATCTCTTGAACTGGGGAGGCAGAGGTTGCCGTGAGCCTAGATCGGGCCATTGCACTCCAGCCTGGGCAACAAGAGCAAAATCCCTTCTCTAAATAAATAAATAAAAATTGAATCATAGGATATGTTGTCATAGGGAAACTGCAAAATCCAGACTTCAGTACACCTGGGGAACTACATTCATACATAAACCTAGTGGAAAAGTGAATGTTTTTCTAATTGTCTGTAATACATGACAGATGGTTCACTAAAAAGAACTTCCTCTTTTGCCCTATTCACTAGTATTTTCTTTTTTTTTCTTTCTTGTGCTAAAACAGAACTTGGTATTCTTGTTTCTATACTTCCATAGCAGGTACTTCCTGTCACAAAACTGAATTGGAATCTCCTGCCTACACTTCCTCCACTTACTTTGAGTTTATCTTGCTGAATGCATTATATTAAATGGGTTCTAGTATAATAATTTAATCCTCTTTTTTTTTTAATACACCTAATACCTTAGCAAATAGCTGATGTGACACTTAAAAATGGTTTCTGGGCCTGGCGCAGTGGCTCATGCCTCTAGTCCCAGCACTTTGGGAGGCTGAGGCAGGTGGATCCCTTGAGCTCAGAAGTTTGAGACCAGCCTGGGCAACACGTTGAAACCCCTTCCCCACAAAAAAAGAAATTAGTTGGGCGTGGTGGCGCGCATCCCTGAGGTCCCAGCTACTCCAGAGGCTGAGGTGGGAGGATCACTTGAGCCCAGGAGGTCGAGGCTGCAGAGAGCTATGATGAGGCCACTCTACTCAAGCCGGCATAACAGAATGAGACCCTATCTCAGGAGAGAGAGAAAAAAGGGTTTTGGTATAGTCATTTACATGTTAAAGAAAATTTTTTTTTTTTTTTTTTGAGACGGAGTCTCGCTCTGTTGCCCAGGCTGCAGTGCAGCGGCGCTATTTTGGCTCACAGCAACCTCCGCCTCCCAGGTTCAAGTGATTCTCCTGCCTCAGCCTCCTGAGTAGCTGGGATTACAGGCATGCGCCACCACGCCTGGCTAATTTTTGTATTTTTAGTAGAGATGGGATTTCACTGTGTTGGTCAGGCTGGTCTTGAACTCCTGACCTCGTGATCCACCTGCCTTGGCCTCCCAAAGTGCTGGGATTACAGGCATGAGCCACCGCGCCTGGCCTGAAAATAATCTTTTTTAAGAACGATTAATGAGTCAGGGAACTAACAAATTATACACTTACTTTGGTTTGTATTTTTGTATAAACCAACTCACTGGGTGTTAATAGCTGTTAACAGTCATAAATGCCAGTGCCTATGTGAAAACCTAATTGAGTTTTTAATGCATGAAATGACTTTGGATTTCTTTCTTTTTTTATTTTTATTTTTATTCTTTTTGAGACAGAGCCTTGCTCTGTCGCCAGGCTGGAGTGCAGTGGCGCGATCTTGGCTCACTGCAACCTCTGCCTTCCGAGTTCAAGCGATTCTCCTGCCTCAGCCGCCCAAGTAGCTGGGACTACAGGCACGCGCCACCACGCCCAGCTAATTTTTGTATTTTTAGTGGAGACGGGGTTTCACCATGTTGACCAGGATGGTCTCAGTCCCTTGACCTCATGATCTGCCTACCTTGGCCTCCCAAAGTGCTGAGATTACAGGCGTGAGCCACCATGCCCAGCCTGGATTTCTTTTAGTATGTAATGTGTTAACTTAAAACTAAGGACACCATATAGTAAGGAAATTAGGCCTTATTTGAGCAGCATATGATTTTTTAGAGTAATTATAGTCTTGCATTAAGGCAGAGTGGCTATGACATGAATAGTTTAATATTTTGTAATTTTTTTCTTCTTGAGATAAGAGTCTCGTTCTGTAGCCCAGGCTGGAACACAGTGGCATGATTGTGGCTCACTGCATTCTCAAACTCGAGGACTCAAGTATTCCCCCCGCCTCAGCCTCCCAAGTAGCTGGACTACAGGGTACTACTATACCTGGCTAATTTTTTATTTTTTGTCAGATGAGACTTGCTATGTTGCCCATGATGGTCTTGAACTCCTGGCCTCAAGTGGCCCTCCCCCTCTCAGTCTCCCAAAGTGTTGGAATTACAGGCATGAGCCACCTCACCCAGCCCTGCAATTTTATTTATTATTTTCTAAATGTTGCTGCTCTCCCGAACCCCTACTGACTACCTTTTGCTGTTGAATTTGCTATGTGGAAAACCATTTTATGTTCCAGAATTTGGGCTTTTAAACTATCTTACAGTTACTGTCTCATTCTGGTCTTGAGAAAAATTTACAGTTTTACAGGATCTGATTGAAATTACTCTAATTCACAGGGCAATTTTATATGGATGGTGGCACTTAGAATGCAAGTTTCCCAATCTCCATTTATCTTTTGGTTTGAGGATAGTGTTTAAGACTATTAGGATCACTTGATTAGTATCTCTGGGCTTTTGAAAATAATTACACAGTGTTATGTTTTTAAAAATTGTTCTAATGGGTAGGTACAGCAGAGAGCACCATAAATGATTAAAGGTTTAGGAAAGTTCAAGGTCTGGAATTATTTAGGCATATTCAAGAGAAGGCTGAAAGCAAAATTCAGTCACTGTTTATGAAGTTTGTGCTGTAATATAACTTTAATATTCTGGAGATTTTTAAGTTAATCAAGATCTATTTTACCTGGAGACCACTGTTTTGAACAGGAATGGAATTAGAATCTTTCTTGAGCTCTGACATAGTCCTCAGTTCAAAGAATAGATTTAACATTTCCTAGCTGGGTAAGATACAAAATCAAAGCTCCACTTCCCCTCTGTGAAATAGGTGTGCTAATAATAGTACCTACCTCTTAGGACTAAATGGGATAAGGCACATGAATCTTTCTAGCACAGTGCCTGGCACATAATAAGCACGCAAAATTTAGCTCTTTCTAAAGATAGACATTTTCTAAATTAAACGTCAGTGATCAACTACATTTTCTGTGTGTTAATGTTTAGTTGAGTTACTAAAATTGTTAGATTTTCTTGTCAAGAAACCTACTTGTCATGGAAGTATACCTTCATTAAGCAAGCATGGTATAAAAATAAGCTATCTTATTTGGTACTTAACCAAGTAACCTTTGTGTATGTATTTATTTTTTCGAGACAGGGTCTCCCTCTGTCTCTCAGCCTAGAGTGCAGTGGTGCAGTCACAGCTCACTGAAGCCTTGACCTCCCAGGCTCAAGTGATCCTCCCAACCTCAGCCTCTCTACTAGCTGGGACCACAGGCGCATACCACCACACCCAGCTAATTTTTAAATTATTTGTAGAGACGAGATCTCACTATGTTGCCCAGGCTGCTCTTGAACTCCTGGGCTCAAGTGATACTCCCACCTCAGCCTCCAAAACTGCTAGGATTATAGGTGTGAGCCACCATGCCAGGCTCCAAATAATCTTTTAAAGTTGAGCTTTATTAAAGCATAAAGCTGAATAATAACGTTGGCTGATAAAAATTTTGACAAGGTGCTAAATAAATGTAGCATCTTATCTTGACAGTGCTTGCCGTTCTAAACTTGTATATGTTTTTTCCTCTGGGTCAGTCATCTAATCTTAAATTAGGAGTCATTAATATCCAGATTGGAAGCTGAGAAATAAATTTTAAAATCTTAGACTTATTTTTGGGAATTATAAACATGTATTATTGAAGGGCTAAAATATTAATAGTATTTTAAAGAATCGGGGGGTCGGGCACGGTGGCTCCTGTATGTAATCCCAGCACTTGGGAGGCCAAGGTGGGAGGACTACTTGAGCTCAGGCGTTGCCACACAGCCTGGGCAACGCAGTGAGACCCTGTCCCTACAAAAATTTAAAAATTAGCCAGGCATGGTGGCGTGTGCCTGTAGTCCCAGCTATGTGGGAGGCTGAAGTGGGAGGATTTCTTGAGCCCAGGAGGAGGTCAACACTGCAGTGAGCCACGATCATACCACCGCACTCTAACCTGGGTGACACAGTGAGACCCTGCCTCTAAAAAAAGCAAAGCAAAGAAAAAAAAATCAGGGCATTTTGATGCCAGAGGACATCTGCAGAATCTATGTAGCTCTATCAATTGGCCAATGAGATGTTGTCTGTTACACATGTTGCTGCCAGCTACGGCTGACTTTTCCAGGATCTCCATCAAGGAGAAGCATGCTATTAGCAGTGAAGATTCTGTCCTTATCTAATCCATCCCCAGAATGGAGAGTGGGGGAGGAAGACAGTGGCTATTTTAAAGTAGTCCTGTTATATTGAGTTTTTAGGGATTCTGTTCTGTTAAGGGATGTATCATTTGAGTATCTTTTATGTGCAAAGCACTGTGCTCTATCTATAAAATTTAATCTTGAGGTAACCAAGCAGAGTAGATAATATTCCTGTAGAAGCTGATCAACTGATCCTCATCTCTTGTCCTTTCCTCATTTTAACTCCAGTCCTGAACTGGTATCTCCCAATTAAGCTGAGTTCTTTTGTATCCAGGCCTTTTGCACACACTTCCTCCTCTGTTAAGAACAGGCTTCCTTTAAGAGCCTCATCTGGTTACTATCACTTATCCTGCAGGACTCAGCCTTAATGTCCCCTTTTTAAAGATTTTGCTGATCCCTTGACTCTGGACCAGATTTCCTTCCTGTGTGCCCTGGTAGCTTTGTTAGGAATAAATTTGTTTGCTTGTCTTTGGCTTCCTGTAAGTTCCTGTGTCACCCATTATAAGCTCTTAGAGGACAGGGACTGTCATAATCACCCTTACTCAATATCCAACACTGCTTGGCACATAGTGGACACTTACAAATAAATGAAGTTTAAGAAAGTTAACTTCCCCAGGGTCACAGCTATTAAATGGTAAAACTGGGATTTGAACCTAGATTTTCGGACCTTCAGAGCCCGTACTTTTGTTTGAGACAGGGTCTCACTCTGTTGCCCAAGCTAGAGTGCACGGTGGTGCAATCTGGGCTCATTGTAGCCTCGACCTCCTGGGCTCAGGCAACCCTCCCAACCTTCGCCTCCTGAGTAATTGGGGCTACAGGAGCACGCCACTATGCCTGGCTAATTTTTTTGTATTTGTAGAGACAGGGTTTCTCCATGTTGCCCAGGCTTGTCTCAGACAAGGTTTTACCATGGTTGCCCAGAGCCCTCACAGAAAATTCATATCACCTGAGGAGCCTTTGAAACCATTCAGGTTCTCTTTTACTGGGGTGGGGTGGGGTTTGGGCAGTGGCGGTTTTTTTTTTTTTCTTTGAGACGGAATCTCACTCTGTCACCCAGGCTGGAGTGAGGTGGTGCAATCTCAGCTCACTGCAAGTTCCACCTCCTGGGTTCATGCCATTCTCCTCCCTCAGCCTCCCGAGTAGCTGGGACTACAGGTGCCTGCCACCACGCCTGGCTAATTTTTTTTGTGTTTTCAGTAGAGATGGTGTTTCACCTTGTTAGCCAGGATGGTCTCCATCTCCTGACCTCGTGATCCACCCACCTCGGCCTCCCAAAGTGCTGGAATTACAGGCGTGAGCCACCAAGCCCGGCCGGCAGTGGTGGTTTAAAAAGCATCCCAGTAAGGGCACTTATATGCAGCAAGGATTTCTCCTGCTGCTTATCATGCTATCTGTCTCACTGAGATAGATAGACAGTAGAGAAGGAAGAGAAATATACATAGAACCACAATGGTTGGTAGCTTTGATGGGATTAAAAAAATAGATTCTAAAATAGTAAAACATAAAATGAATAGCAGATCTTGGCAACAGAGAGGAAAACCAGTGACATTTGTCAAAGATAGAAAACTTTTTGGAGGGGAGGCATTTAAATATTAACTGAAAGCATACCAATCTCTACAGCTTAAGTTTTTGGGAGGAAGGGGAGACACAGACTACATTCAATCAAGCCAGATCTTTTTGCCCTTGTCTTGCATCATCCATGTCTATATCCCTGTATAATAATCATGAAAGTAAGCCAGAAGTAAAAAAAAAAAAAAAAAAAAGACATATGTATTCATTTAAGAAAGGAATTTTTTGGAGACAGGTTCTCGCTGTGTTGTCCAGGCTGGTCTTGAACTCCTGGGCTCAAGTGAGCCTCCTACCTCAGCCAAGTAGTTGGGATTACTGTTGCATGCCATCAAGCATGCCTCAAAAAAGGAATCTTTATAAATATTGTCACTTTATACCTGTAAAGGGGAAAATCTAAAAAAGTGCTTTGAGCTATCCTGGTGATCACATGCAATAGACATTTTCCTCTCCTGCTCACCTTTATCATCATGCTTATCTCACCCCTTCCAGAAAGTAGTAGACTGTTATTATTAGATACTTTGATGTTTGTACCATGTTATGCTGCTTTCATGTAAATAGAGCCAGCAATTTCTTGAACATCAGATAAGAAAGATGGTGTCCAAAAAAATCTTGGAACTGCTATTTTCTTTTTTCCAGAAGTTTATTCTTAGGGCCGGGTGTGGTGGCTCATGCCTGTAATCCCAGCGCTTTGGGAGGCTGAGGCGGGTGGATCCCTCGAGATCAGGAGTTCGAGACCAGCCTGACCAACATGGCAAAACCCCATATCTACTAAAATACAAAAATTAGCCAGTGTGGTGGTGCATGCCTATAATCCCAGCTACTCAGGGGGCTGAGGCACAAAGATTGCGTGAACCTTGGAGGCAGAGGTTGCGGTGGGTGGCAGCGCGACTCTGTGCCAAAAAAAAAGAGAAAAAGAGAAAAAAAGTTTATTCTTAAATGTGCAACAGGCTCCAAGACATTTCATCCTTTGCTTCCTAGAGTGGAAGCAGAAGATTTTATAGTAGGAAATGCAGATATTTAAATAGGAATGGGATCAAGGGTCATCATTGCCTCGGACACAGTGGTTTGTTTTTTGGTTTTTGTTCTTGTTTTCCAGATTTCTCCCTTCTAAGTACTAACCAGGCCCAACCCCGCTTAGCTTCTGAGATCAGACGAGCAATTGCATTCAGGATAGAATGGCCATAGACTTTTGCCGGATTTCTTAATTCCACCTATCCAGGGAACCCTTCCCTGTGGCCTTTGCTTTTAGCTCCTCAAGTTTTTTCTGCTCCTCTTCTTGTTTCTGCTTGAAATCCTTGTCTTCCTCATACATCTCCTTGGCCTGTTTCTCGTCAGGGGCTTCTTGCCGTAGGTGCCTGTCAGGAAGCTGGACGTGGTGCCTGCCATCCCTTCCTTAGACCCAGCACAGGAAACTGGAACTGCAGTTTACTGTTTTGATTCCTTAGTTAAAAGACAAAGCTTTCAACCAAAGTTCTACTTCATTTTTTTGTTTGTTTGTTTGTTTTATTTATTTATTTATTTTTGAGACAGTCTCTCACCCTGTTGCCCAGGCTGGAGTGCAATAGTGCAGTCTCAGCTTACTGCAGCCTCTGCCTCCCTGGTTCAAGCAATTCTCATGCTTCAGCCTCCCAAGTAGCTGGGAATATATAGGTCGTGCACCACCATGCCTGGCTAATTTTTGTATTTTTAGTAAAGATGGGGTTTCATCGTGTTGCCCAGGCTGGTCTCGAACTCCTGGCCTCAAGTGATATGCCCACTTCAGCCTCCCAAAATACAGGCATGAGCCACCGCGCCTGGCCACTACTTCTTTAAAGAAATATTTAACTGACAACCTAGGAATTTGGAATGTGTTAGTAAAATGTGACGTTTGCTATAGCTTGCCAGAAAGGTTGTATCAGGTAGTATAGAGTTTGGGCTGTTCTCAGATAAAGAGGATAATTTTTTGTTTTTTTGGTTTTTTTCTCCACATGGAGAGGTTTCAGGTACAGTCCAGGGTTAGTATTGTGGCTTGACTATCAGCTTCTAACATCATATTCACATTCTAGCCAAGGGGAATGTTTATTTCTGCCCTTGAAGGACACAACCAGGAAGTCGTATTATTTCTGTTTCTGCGCATTGCTGTACTTAGCTACAAAAGAAGCTGGGAAATTTAACCAGGTGGCCATGTGAAGAAGGGAAGAGTAGACACTGTTCTTTGCTTTGCCACATTAACAAATGGTTGTGGTTGGCCCTTCTAGGATATGGCTTTAAGCTACACTGTGATCATCTGTTATTTCCTTTTTTTGCTAATGCCTGGAATTTCAGTTTAGAGTAAGTTCATTTGATTTGCAAGAAATAAAATTGTACTTTCATTAGTTTGGAAGTCTTAAGTGAGTAAGTTTTGATTCTTTCATGATAATTAATTTTGTTAAGTTGAGAAAAAAGGCAAGCATGAAGACATGGCATATCTGATAGGGGTATACCTTGAGATTGGGCTAGAGATTCTAAAGGTAGTTGATTAACCTTTTTTTTTTTCCTTCCAAGGCTGCTTAAAACTATTTTGGTTTTACTTAGGACCACCATTGTAGTTGCTGACATTGAATGATGGAGTATATAATTTGAGCCACCAAAATAAATGAAGCCAGTGTCTCTTGGCAGAGAATCACTTAATCTCTTAGCAGAGAAGTAGAGAATTACTTAAAATAATTTTGTAAAGTTACTTTGTGTCCAGCAGTATTGGAATGGTCATTTGATAATTATTTGTTCTGTAAACTTTGATTTTATCACTGATGGAGCATTTCTTTTGGCTTTCCTAAAGTTATTTTAGCACCTGCCACCTATAGCTTGTTTGCTTTCCGTTTTTTCTAGTCCTGCCCTTGTGGGATGAAGTTCTCTGTTGTATAAGTCTCGTCCATATTGAGAAACAGAGGAGTCTCAAAGCCCCTCCTTGTGTCTGGTCTTGGTATCTCACCCCTCTCTTGTCTTGACTTTACTGGTTATCTTCAAGTGGAAACAAGTAGAGAAAAATCTTGTCAGCTAGGCATGTATGTGTATATCACCAGGTCTTGTCTTAAATTTACACCCAAAGATTCCCCCATGGTATATAACTGAGGACATTCTTAGGACACTGAGGAGTTTAAATAGAGCAAGGGTTGGCAAATTATGGGCTTACCTTTTTTTATAAATAAAGTTTTATTGGAACACAGCATACCCATTTCTTCCCATATTATCTAAGACCACTTTTACTCTATAAGGGCAGAACTGAGTAGTTGAAACAGTATGTTTACTATCTTGCCCTTTAAGAAAAGGTTTGCCAATTTTATGTCTAGAGTTTGCTCATGTAACATTGAAATAATGGAAATCAAAAGGCACTTGGAGAATCTATTATCAAAACATGAGGCCGGGCATGGTGGCTCACTCCTGTAATTCCAGCACTTTGGGAGTCTGAGGTGGGTGGATCACTTGAGGTCAGGAGTTCAAGACCAGCCTGACCAACATGGCAAAACCCTGTCTCTACTAGAAATACAAAAATTAGCCAGCTGTGGTGGCGTGCCCCTCTAGTCCCAGCTACTCAGGAACCTGAGGTGGGAGCATCACTTGAACCCTGGGGGCGGAGGTTACAGTGAGCCAAGATCACACCACTGCACTCCAGCCTGTGTGACAGAATGGAACCCTGTCTCAAACCCTAAAAAATATCATGAGGCTATGGAAAAAGCATTCATTTAGGAAGCCAGTAGTAAACGACTGAGGAAATAGTCATTAAATATAACACTGCACATTCATCAAATAATAAGATCTTAATGCATAACCCTATTGTTGGGTGGTGAATGAAATATTAGATACCATTCTTTCCTCCTAGAGGCCCAGTTTTACATAGAAATTGTAACTTTGTGTTGTCATCCCACTGATAATATTAAGGCCAGGCACAAGGTTTTTCAACTTTTGAAGTTTATTTTCTCACTCGAAACCTTTTATGTAAACTCCTTTGAATACCCACATAAAGGAAAGAAAGTTGGTGCTGATAAACTAGTGGGCAGCAGGTTCATGGTGGTTCAGGGTCGGTCAGCAAACCAGTGCCAACACTGAAGATGATGCCAAACAAAATTGACTGCAATCTGTTCTAGCCAGGATCATGGTTTAGATATTTTCTAGCCAGAATTAATTAATTTATTATTTTTTTCTTTTTTTGAGACAGAGTCTCGCTCTGTTGCCAGGCTGGAGTGCAGTGGTGCGATCTCGGCTCACTGCAACCTCCACTTCCCAGGTTCAAGCAATTCTCCTGCTTCAGCCTACCAAGTAGCTGGGATTACAGGCACGTGCCACCATGCCCA
The DNA here is from genome assembly GCF_000001405.40 of Homo sapiens. Taxonomy (NCBI): domain Eukaryota; kingdom Metazoa; phylum Chordata; class Mammalia; order Primates; family Hominidae; genus Homo; species Homo sapiens. The sequence goes on along the minus strand of NC_000006.12, from coordinate 108,249,277 downwards.
GCTAATTTTTGTATAATTAATTAATTTCTCATACAGTATCATCATTTAATGATTTGTGGGGTTTTGTGTGTGTATGTGTTTTAAGAGACAGAATCTCACTACATTGCCCAGGTTGGTCTTGAGCTCGTGAGCTCAAGTGATCCTCTTATCTGCCTCAGTCTTCTGAGTAGCTGGTACTACAGATGTGAGCCATTACACCTGTCTTAATGTTTTGTATTCTTACATGTTAACCCCCTATGTAATATGGCAATGTGCAGTTGTATAAATAATTTTTAATAATATTTAAGTTGGTATTGGTTGAACTATTAACATAGGTAAGTCCTTTCTACAAACTCTGTCTCTCTTGTCTAAAAGCTGGGTGTGGTGATGCATACCTGTAGTCCCAGCTACTCAGGAGGTTGAGGTGGGAGAATCATTTGAGCCAAGGAGGTTAAGGCTGCAGTGAGCTATAATGGTACCACTGCACTCCAGCCTGGGTGACAGAGTGAGACCCCGTCTCAAAAAAAAAAGAAAGGAAGGAATTAAGTTGAAAATTGAGAAACTGTGATACCAGCTCTAAATGGGACAACATAGTGAATTGATAGAATTTTTGTCTTAGTTTAGAAGGCCAGATTATGTTGATATGCTTAAGTTGGGATAAATTGCAGTTTTAGAGCGTTTTTGTTTAGACCTCAGCATGATTCTTATCTATAATTGATATTTGTTCAGTTTTCTTCCCTCAAAACATCCGATCAATTGTTTTTTTCTAACTAAATTTCTTTTTTAGAGTTGTTAACTTTAACTTGAGTAGCTCCTGTGGGTCAGTTGATTTATTGAGTACTTGCAATGCTAAGTTTAATAACACATGTTACTGCATTCAGTAAGTTCACAGCAGCCTGAAACAGGGCTAGATTTCTCTGATAAGTTTTCCCCAGAACTGTCCAATAAATGAACATTTATGAACTGTCTGTTATATTCCAGACATTGCTAGATGCTTGTTTAAAAGATGAATAAGATATGCCTAGCCTTTGGAAGCTTCCAAACTGGTGGTAAGGAGAGTGGGGAGAGGTAAATTCATAAAATATGCATAATCTGTAGTGGGAACCCAGGTCTGCCCTGAGGGGCCAGGAGTGTGTGTGGGCAGAAAGTGAGCCAGTAGTCTAGCTAGGGGGAGCACCTGTCTCTTTTGTGCTTCACTGCCAGCATCTGACATCAATGACATGCCAGAATCACACAGTAATAATACTGGAGTGATTCCTTGTTACTCTCTGACACAAACATTTTTCTCGATTTTTATTTATAATTTTATATATAATGTATAATTTGGTTTTAAAATTGTTATTTTAATTTTTATTTTTTAATAAATAGTGACAGGGTCTTGCTGTGTTGCCCAGGCTGGTTTTGAACTCCTGAGCTCAAGCAATCCTCCTGCCTCTGCCTCCCAAAGTGCTGGGATTACAGGCATGAGCCACCACACCCGGCTATAATTTGTTTTAAGCATCGATGTTCAGGCGGTATGGTAGGCACTTTCACTCTGTGTTTTCTCTGATATAGTTTATTCTACTGCATTTTCTTACAAACTGTAATTACTCTTATTTCCAGTTAAAACAAATGATAGGCTGGGCGTGGTGGCTCATGCCTATAATTTTAGCCCTTTGGGAGGCAGAGGTGGGAAGATCACTTGAGCCCAGGTGTTCAAGACCAGCCTGGGAAACATAGGGAGACTTAAACGTTGTTTTTTTTTGTTTGTTTTTTGTTTTTTAATTATCTGGGCATGGTGGCATGGACTAGTAGTCCCAGCTACTTAGGAGGCTGAGGTAGAAGGATCACTTGAGCCCAAGTGGTTGAGGCTACATTAAGCCGTGGTCGTGCCACTGCACTCCAGCCTAGGTAACAGAGTGAGACCCGGTCACACTCAAAAAATACATCCTAGATATTGACCACTTCATCATTCTTACTTAGCAATAATCGTTTCCTGTTTCCTCCTGTCTTACTCCATTTTCACACTGCTATAAATTTACTACCCGAGACTGGGTAATTTGTAAAGGAAAGAAGTTTAATTGACTCACAGTATTGCATAGCTGGGGAGGCCTCAGGAAACTTACAAGCATGGAAGGCAAAGAAGCAAGTACCTGCTTCACAAGGTGCCAGGAAAGAGAAAGTGAGCAGAAAGAGCCCCTTATAAACTGTCAGCTTTCGTGAGAACTCACTCATTATCACGAGAAGAGCATAGGGGAACTGCCCCCATGATACGGTCACCTGGGGGTTTACACGTGGGGATTACAATTCAAGATGAGATTTGGATAGGGACATACAGCCAAACCATATCACATCCTGACCATGCTTTATGATATAGCTAAGAAAGTCTACCTGCTCTTTTCCCATGCTAAACTCTGATGATCTTTCCTGATTCCTCTTGCCAGAAGCTAATCCAGTGTGGACTTGAGCCTGTAGTCTTAGCTACTTGGGAGGCAGAAGTGGGAGGATCGTTTGAGGCCAGGAATTAGAATCTGCACTGAGTTATGATCTTGCCCCTGCACTCCAGCCTGGACAACACAGCAAACTCTATCTCTGATGAGAATGCTGAGAACACATTCTATTCTATACTGAATTTATGTTCCCAGGCAAAAGAATAAAAAAAATACAATTTTAAGAAAAAAAAAGGGAGGCAGGAGATACAGTGTCTCACGCCTATAATCCCAGCACTTTGGGAGGTGGAGGCGGGTGGATCACCAGAGATCAGGAGTTTGAGACCAGCCTGTCCAACATGGTGAAACCCCATGTCTACTAAAAATACAAAAAAAAAAAAAATTAGGCATGGTGGTGTGTGCCTGTAATCCCAGCTAGTCGGGAGGCTGAGGCAGGAGAATCACTTGAACCTGGGAGGCAGAGGTTGCAGTGAGCTGAGATTGCACCACTGTAGTCTAGCCAGGGCAACAGAGCATGACCCTATCTCAAAAAAAAAAAAAAAAAAAAAAAAAAAAAGAATGCTCAAAGCTCTTTTAAGAATTTCTTACTTAGAGGCCTCAGAAATAACACCACACGTCTACAACCATCTGATCCTCGACAAACCTAGCAAAAAACAAGCAGTAGGGAAAGGATTCCCTATTTAATAAATGGTGCTGGGAAAACTGGCTAGCCATATGTAGAAAGCTGAAACTGGACCCCTTCCTTAACACCTTATGCAAAAATTAACTCAGATGGATTAAAGACTTAAACGTAAAACCTAAAACCATAAAAACCCTAGAAGAAAACCTAGGTAATACCATTCAGGACATAGGCATGGGCAAGGACTTCATGTCTAAAACATCAAAAGCAATTGCAACAAAAGCCAAAATTGACAAATGGGATCTAATTAAAGAGCTTCAGCACAGCAAAAGAAACCATCATCAGAGTGAACAGGCAACCTACAGAATGGGAGAAAATTTTTGGAATCTATCCATCTGACAAAGGTCTAATATCCAGAATCTACAAGGAACTTAAATTTATAAGAAAAAAACAATCCCTTCAAAAAGTGGGCAAAGGATATGAACAGACACTTCTCAAAAGAAGACATTTATGCGGCCAACAAACAATTTTAAAAAAGCTCATCATCATTGGTCATTAGATGCAAATCAAAACTACAATGAGATACCATCTCACGCCAGTTAGAATGGCAGTCGTTAAAAAGTCAGGAAACAACAGATGCTGGCGAGAATGTGGAGAAATAGGAACGCTTTTACACTGTTGGTGGGAGTGTAAATTAGTTCAACCATTGGGGAAGACAGTGTGGCATTTCCTCAAGGATCTAAAACCAGAAATACCATTTGACCCAGCAATCCCATTACTGGATATATACCCAAAGGATTATAAATCATTCTACTATAAAGACATGCACACGTATGTTTATTGCAGCACTATTTACGATAGCGAAGACTTGGAACCAACCCAAATGCCTATCAATGATAGACTGGATAAAGAAAATGCACGTATATACCGTGGAATACTATGCAGCCATAAAAAAGAACGAGTTCATGTCCTTTGCGGGGACATGGATGAAACTGGAAACTATCATCCTCAGCAAACTAACACAGGAACAGAAAACCAAACACTGCATGTTTTCACTTATTAGTGGGAGTTGAACAATGAGATCACATGGACACAGGGAGGGGAACATCACACACCAGGGCCTGCTGGGGATTGGGGGGCAAGGGGAGGGAGAGCATTAGGACAAATACCTAATGCATGTGGGGCTTAAAACTTAGATGACGGGTTGATAGGTGCAGCAAACCACCATGGCACATGTATACCTATGTAACAAACCTGCACGTTTTTTTGCACGTGTATCCCAGAACTAAAAAGAAAATTTCTTATTTTCTTGGCCGGGCACAGTGGCTCATGCCTGTAACCCCAGCAGTTTAGGAGGCCGAGGCAGGTGGATTACTTGAGGTCAGGAGTTCGAGACCAGACTGGCAACATGGCGAAACCCCGTCTCTACTGAAAACACAAAAAATTAGCTGGGCATGGTGGTGCATGCCTGTAGTCCCAGCTACTGGGAAAGCTGAGACAGAATTTCTTGAACCCACGAGGTGGAAGTTGCAGTGAGCTGAGATCATGCCACTGCACTCCCGCCTGGCAACAACAGAGCAAAAAAAAAAAAAAAAAAAAAAAACTCCTTACTTATATTCTTATAGACTATATTATTTTAAATGTGGTTATTCCAGAGATTGATGGTGGTGATGTTTGCATAACAATATGGATTTACTTAATGCCACAGAACTCTGTACACTTAAACATGCTTAAAATAATTTTATATTATGTATATTTTACCACAGTAATAAATATGGAAACAAACAGTATGGAGGGGCCAGGTACAGTGGCTATCTCCTGTAATGCCAGCACTTTGGAAGGCCAAAGCAGGAGGATCACTTGAGGTCAAGAGTTAAAAACCAGTCTGGGTAACATAGTGAGACCCTCCTCTCTACAAAAAATAAAAATTAGCTAGGTATGGTGGCATGCACCTATAGTCCCAGCTACTCGGGAGACTGAGGTGGGAGGATTGTTTGAGCCCAGGAGGTCGAGGTTGCAGTAGGCCAGGATTGCACTGCTGCACTCCAGCCTGGGTGACAGAGTGAGACCCACCATCTCATAAAGAAGAAAAAAAAAGCGGGGGAGAACTGGAGAGGGCAGTTTCTTTCCCTTCAAACTATCAAAGCAAGGAAAAAAGTAGTTCTTTATGTCTTTTTGCCAAGAACTCTCAGTTCTTAGTCATCTATTGTGTTTTACAGTCTACTTTATCTGATACTAATATAGCCAGTCCAGTTTTCTTATGAGTATTTGCAGGGTATGTAATTTTCTGTCCTTTCACTTTTAACCTGTTTTGATTTTTGAGGCAGTCTCACTTTCTTACCCAGGCTGGGATGCAGTGGCATGATCTTGGCTCACTGCAACCTTCACCTCCCAGGTTCATGCGATTCTTGTGCCTCAGCCTTCCAAGTAGCTGGGATTACAGGCTCGTACCACCATGCCTGGCTGGTTTTTGTATTTGCAGTAGAGACGGAGATTCACCATGTTGACCAGGCTGGTCTCAAACTCTCGACCTCAGGTGATCCACCCCGCCCTCGGCTTCCTAAAATGCTGGGATTACAGGTGTCAGCCACCAAGCCTGGCTCTTCATGTGGATTTCATTTACTATCTGGTATCATTTTTTTCAGCCGGAAGGGCTTTCTTTAGTATTTCTTTTTTCTTTTTCTAAGGTTCCCATCAGATGGGTAATGTGCTGAAGTCATAACAAGGTTTGAAGGAGGCATGTCACACACATGAGCATGAAAACCCAATCATCATGCTTACAAACTACAGAAGGATTTCTTTAGCATTTCTTCTAAGTCAGGTCTGCTAACCATGAAGGCTTGTAGTTTTTTTGTTTTGTTTTGTTTTTTTGTCTGGGACTGTCTTATATTTTTATTTTTGAAGGATAGTCTTGTTAGATGTATTAGTTTTTTATTGCTGAATTAAAAATTACCACAATTGTAGCCCTCAGAACACCCCCAGCCAGGTGCAGTGGTTTGTGCCTATAGTCTCATCTACACAGGAGGCTAAGACAGGAGAATCACTTTAGCCCAGGAGTTTGAGGCAGCTGCAGTGTGCTGTGATCATGCCTGTAAATAGCCTGCACTCCAGCCTGGGAAATAAGCAAGACGCTGTCTCTTAAAAAAAGTAAAAATTTAAATAAGTAAATGGAGTTTTAAATTATTTTAAAAACACCACCAAATATCATCTCACAAGTTTCTGTAAGTGAGAAGTCTGAATATGGCTTGTCTGGACTTTTTGCTCAGGGTCTCACAATTGCCTACAATCAAGGAGGTTGGTCGGGGTTGTGGTTTCATCTGAGGCCCGGGAGTTCTCTTCCAGGCTTACATAGTTGTGGGCAGTATTAATTTTCTTGGAGCTGTAAGTTTAGAGTAGCCTTCCTCTTAAAGGCCAGTGGAAAAAATCTCTTTGATCTCAGGGAAGACTAAAGCCCCCTTTTAAGGGGCTCACCTAATTAAGTCAAGACTACTCACAAAACTTGGTGAAGTCAAAGTCAAACTGATTAGGGAGTTTAACATCTGTAAAATCCCTTCACCTTTGCCATGTAATGTAACCTAATTATGGAAGTGACATCCATTGCATTCATAGGCCTCACTCACATTCTAGGGGAGGTGTGTATGCCAAGGGGTGGCAATTTTAGGCACCATCTTGGAATTCAGCCTACCACGCTGGATAGGGAATTCTTTGTTGATTTTCTTTTTTTCTTTGAGCGCTCTGAATATGCTGTTGCTTCCTTGTCTCCATTGTTTCTGGTGAGAAGTCAGCTGTTAATCTTATTATGGGTCCCCTGTAGTGATGAGTAGATTTCTCTTGCCACTGTATTCAAGATTTTGCTTTTCTTTGGCTTTTTACTGTGATGTTTATTGGGTGGGAATCTCTTTGTGTTTATCCTACTTAGAGTTCATTGAGCTTCTTGGATGTATAGATTAAGGGTTTAGTCAAATTTTTTTAAGTTTTCAGCCATTATTTATTGTTTCTTTCTCTCATCGTGGGACTCCCATTACATGTGTGTTGATATGCTTGTTAGTATCCTACAGGTCCCTGATGCTCTGTTCATTCTTATTTTTTTCTTTCTTTCTGCTTTTCAGAATGGACAGTTTCTTGATGTGTCTTCAAGTTTGCTGATGCTTTTGTCTGCCAGTTTGAATCCACTGTTGATCCCCTTCAGTTAATTTTTCATTTCAGCTATTATACTTTTCAGCTGTAGAGGTCCAATTCAGTGTTTTTTAAATAATCTTTTTGTTGAGATTCTCTATTCCTTGAATCATTGTCATCATGCTGTCTTTCAGTTCTTTAAGCATGGTTTCCTTTAATTTGAACATATTGATAGCTGCTTGGAAATCCTGGACAGCTGAACAGCTGAACCACCCCAGAGACATTTTCTGACTTTTTATCCTCCTGTCTATGGCTCACACTTTCCAGTTTCTTTGCATGTCTCATAATTTTTTGTTAAACTGAACATTTTAGATAATACGTTGTAGAGACTCTGAGTTAGATTGCCTCCTGCCCCTCCCCAAAGGGGAGGTGGTGGTTGCTATTTATTTTTTTTAGGGACTTGCCCACATTAAGTCTGTAGTATGAGGTGGTGATAGCACGGATCAATTTTTTTTTTTTAAGCCAGGTTTTCTAAGGGTCACCCTGAGTCAGTTTGTCAGCTTATCTCAGTGGTCAGAAATGACTGGTCAAAGGTTATGCGTAGCTACTTGAGCCAGTGAGGCTTCAGCCTTTTTCTTTTTTTAAGAGACAGGATCTTGTTCTGTTGGCCAGGTTGGTCTTGAACTCCTGGCCTCAAGCAGTCCTCCCACCTTGGCCTCCCAAAGTACTAGGATTACAGACGTGAGCCACTGCACCTGACCAGCTTCTGCTTTTTGCCAGTGCAGGTTGGGGAACAAGTCAAAGTTCAGGCAGTTTACAAGTTCGCCCCAGCTTTTACTTCGTGCCGTCTTCTCATGTCCATGGCTCTCCCTTGTCTGTGAAAGGTCTCATTCAGCCATGGATGTTTAGATAACTAGGGTTCTCTCCAGCTGAGCATGCATACAGCTTTGTGTAAGCACACATACTTTTTTTTTTTTTTTTTTTTTTTTTTGAGACGGAGTCTTGCTCTATCGCTCAGGCTCGAGTGCAGTGGCGCGCAATCGTGGTTCACTGCAACCTCCACCTCCCAGGTTCAAGTGATTCTCTTGTCTCAGACTCCCAAGTAGCTGGGATTACAGGCATGTACCCCTATGCCCAGCTAATTTTTTGTATTTTTAGTAGAGACAGGGTTTCACCGTGTTGGCCAGGGTGGTCTCGAACTCCTGACCTCGTGATCCACCCGCCTCAGCCTCCCAAAGTGCTAGGATTATAGGCGTGAGCCACTGCGCCCGACATCACACAGATTTTCAGACCTCCACAGATACTTGGGAGTTAATCAAGGCCCCACCATGGCTATGTAATTCTTCTGGTAAGTCTGCTGGTTCATTGCTTGCCCCCAGTATTGCAACCTTGGGTTGCCGCAATATTAGCCTTCCCCACTGTTTGCTGCCAATGTTGCTGTTGGTTTCAACAATAGTCCTGCATTTGGGACTTCTATATTCTACTCCTGACCAGTGGCCCCCCTCCAGCAGTGATGGTGTTGGTTTTCACAGCTTGCCACATCCTGGTAGAACTACCATTGATAGAGCTGGTGGAGCATGGTAACAATAGCCCTAGGTTAAAACACACAGACTTCTGGCCGGGCATGGTGGCTCATGCCTGTAATCCCAACACTTTGGGAGGCCAGGGCGTGTGGATCACCTGAGGTCAGGATTTTGAGACCAGCCTTGCTAACATGGTGAAACTCCATATCTACTAAAAATACAAAAATTAGCCAGGCGTGGTGGTGGGTGCCGGTAATCCCAGCTACTTGGGAAGCTGAGGCAGGAGAATTGCTTGAACCAGTGAGGCAGAGGTTACAGTGAGCCGAGGTCGCACCACTGCACTCCAGCCTGGGCAACAAGAGCGAGACTCCTTCTCAAAAACAAAAACAAAAACAAACCCACACACAGACTTCTGCTCTTCATAACTGAGTTGAGTAGTTTTTCTTGAATGATTACTTTTCAATTTGTTATACACCTGTGCCCACTTTCCTGAGTTCTGATATAGTGGTTTGACATGTTTGTCTAGTTTTTTCATTGAATTTTGGAGAGACGCTCTGTTGAGCTCACTCTACTATTCCAGCAGTTCCCCCTTTACCTTTTTACTTTATACCTTTCTTTTAGGTTCTCATATTTTTAAGAGAAATGGTCTTATTCATATTATGTTTTTCTTCACATTATTATGCTTTTACTCTTAATTTATAGGTGCTCAGAAACACTTTTTATGCAGTGTTTAAATGTTTTTAGAAGCTTCTTAATCAAATATTTCCAGGCCCCTTGAACATAGTAGTTGTTGAGATATTCATTAAATGCTCATTTAGTAGAGTTTTAAAGGTTTATTTAATATCTGCTTTGGGTCAAGTACTATAACCATAGTGTGACTTTAGAGCATGGACTTTGAAGTTGAACGTGTGTAAGAATCCTCTCTCTGTTAATGGACATGTGACCTTGAACAAGTTACTTAATTCTTCTCTTTTGAATGTCTTCGGCCATAAAATAAAACTTCAGAGGAGTAAATGTGACTTAAGGCATAATATTTGCCCTACATTAAGTATTCAGTAAGTGATAACTTGTGAGAATGTGTGAGAAGAATGTATAATAATAGTTTCTACTTAATTATTAAGGTAAGTGACAGTATTTTCTTTCTTTTTCTTTTAAGAGACAGGGTCTTGCTATATTGCCCAGGCTTGTCTTGAACTCTTGGCCTCAAGCAGTGCTCCTGAGTAGCTGGGATTACAAACATGAGCCACTGCACCTGGCTCATTTTAAAGATGGTAAAACTCAGATTAGAGAAGGAAAGTAATTTGGCATGATCGTACTGTTAATGAGTTCCAGAAAGAGGAGTCGAACCCGGGTCTGCTTGACTAATTCATTTTTCCCTGCTACTTCCAGGAATCAGAAAAGGTGTCAAGGGCTAGGCACAGTGGCTCACGCCTGTAATCCCAGCACTTTGGGAGGCTGAGGCGGGTGGATCACCTGAGGTCAGGAGTTCGAGAACAGCCTGGCCAATGTGGCGAAACCCCGTCTCTACTAAAAATACAAAAAAATTAGCTGGGTGTGGGGGCACATGCATGTAATTCCAGCTACTCGGGAGGCTGACATAGGAAAATCGCTTGAACCTAGGAGGTGGAGGTTTGAGTGAACCGAGATTGCACATGGCACTCCAGCCTGGGTGACCATGTGAGACTCTGTCTCCAAAAAAAAAAAAAGAAAGAAAAGGTGTCACAAGTTTGTGGTTAGCTCCTATCATTGGTACAAAGCAAATATTGAATTATACTTACATATGTTTGTTTGCATTTTCCCCCCACCCCATGCAACATGTCAAGAACTTCCACTACAAAAGTGATATACCAATTATTTGAACTTTGTGTGTTTCTGTAAGATACAGCCTTAGTGAATAAAACCTGGAATTTCTTAGGTGAGCGGAAAAATAAGAGGCTTTAAACTCTTCATCCACAAATACAAGCATGAAAACTTGGACACTTTTTAAAAAAATTTTCTTTTTTATGGCGGTTGAGGTGGAGGTTTCACTGTGTTGCCTAGGCTGCCCTCAAATTCCTGGGCTCAAAGGATCCGCCTACCTCAGGCTCCCTAGTAGCTGGGACTACAGGCACATGCCACCGCACCTGGCTCTCATGAACACTTTTGATATGTAGTGGTGTAAGTGGCTGTAAAAAGTATACTTAGAAAATTTTTGTTAGCTTTAAAGCCTCTGAGCCTAAAACATTGTATATACATGTTTTTATCACAATGTACTCCAAAGATTATGTACTCTCTTACAGAAACCTCCCCAGTGGTATTCCATCTCTTTAATTCTCTTTCCTGACCTATGTTTGTCTGTTCTGTGACACCTACTCTGCTTGGGTATCCTCTTATAATTCTTAACTGTGTCATAAAATCAGCTAATGCAGGGACAATGTTCATGTACTTAGTTCATGGTAGATTCTTTTTGGAGGAGAGGGGTATCCATTATAGTTGATTCTTTTTTTGTTTGTTTTTTTTTTTTTTTTTTTGAGACAGGATCTCACTTTGTTGCCCAGGCTGGAGTGCAGTGGTGCCATCTCAGCTTACTTCATCTTCATCCTTGACCTCCTGGGCTCAGGTGATCTCCCACTTCAGCCTCCCGAGTAGCTGAGACTACAGGCGCGTGCCACCATGCCGGGCTAATTTTGTATTTTTAGTGAAGATAGGGTTTTGCTATGTTGCCAAGGCTGGTCTCAAACTCCTGAGTTCAAGTGATCAGCCCACCTCAGCCTTCCAAGGTGCTGGGATTACAGACACAAGCCACTACACCCAGCCCATCATGGTAGATTCTTTTTTTTTTTGAAATAGAGTCTCACTCTTGTCCCTCAGGCTGGAGTGCAGTGCCACGATCTCAGCTCACTGCAATCTCCGCCTCCCTGGTTCACGTGATTCTCCTGCCTCAGCCTCCTGAGTAGCTGGATTACAGGCGCTCACCACCATGCCTGGCTAATTTTTGTATTTTTAGTAGAGGTGGGGCTTCACCATGTTAGCCAGGCTGGTCTCGAGCTCTTGACTTTAGGTGATCGATCCGCCTGCCTCGGCCTCCCAAAGTGCTGAGATTACAGGCGTGAGCCACCGCACCTGGCCTCATGGTAGATTCTTAATGCCTTTTATGTTGTACACTTATTAGCATTCTAAGTAACATCATTTTAATGGCTAATGAGCTGCCATAATCAATATTTATAGATATCATGGTTTAAAATCTTACCATGCTTCCAAGTAAGATTTGAGGGCTAGAGATAAAGGATCTGGAATGATATCCTTTTCTTACAAACTCTGCAACTCAGAGTAGAGGGGAAGGTATTGGAAGGTGGAGAGAAAGGTGGCCAAAGTACTTAGAAATCAATTTTAAATTATGAGGAAAAGAACCAGAATATTCTGCTCTCCAGCTCTACCTCAACCACTTATTATACCTAACAGTTAAAGAAGATATAGTAGCCAGAAAATATTTTAAATTGTGCTAAGCTGATTATGTATTGAAACTTTTGATGGCAAGTTGCAGCTTCTCTTAGCCGTGGTTTATTTAGGGGATTCTTAGACAAAGAGTTACTTTCCATTTCTAATAAAAAGATTTTTATGTTAAGTGATTTGAGTACTGTCAGACTGTTAGAACAATAAACATTCTTTGTGGAGCTTTATGAAAGGAGTAAAGTATTGTAATGGCACTACTGTCAATCTGCAAATTTAAAGCATATGCGTGTGTATAGTGTTTAATGTCATGATGTCTAGTTGCTGTTATAGCTAATCACTCTGACTGGAAGAGTTTATTAATATATGTATCACTCATGTGTTAGAGAATTTAGACTTATTAAACATTCATTTTCATGTTTTTTATAGTTTTCCAAGTAATACTTCAAGCTTTGAAGAAACAGCTTAGTTTTGTTCTTTTATAATATAGGTGGAAGCCGGGCACGGTGGCTCACGCCTGTAATCCCAGCACTTTGGGAGGCCGAGGCGGGCGGATCACGAGGTCAGGAGATCGAGACCATCCCGGCTAAAAAAAAACGGTGAAACCCCGTCTCTACTAAAAATACAAAAAATTAGCCGGGCGTAGTGGCGGGCGCCTGTAGTCCCAGCTACTCGGGAGGCTGAGGCAGGAGAATGGCGTGAACCCAGGAGGCGGAGCTTGCAGTGAGCCGAGATCCCGCCACTGCACTCCAGCCTGGGCGACAGAGCGAGACTCCGTCTCAAAAAAAAAAAAAAAAAAAAAAATAATAATAATAATATAGGTGGAAACTGTTTTATATATATATATATAAAGAGAGGTAGAGAGAGAGACAGGGTCTTGCTTGTTGGCCAGGTTGGTATTGAACTCCTGGCTTCAAGCAATCATCCTGCTTCAGCCTCCCAAAGTCCTGGGATTACAGGCACGAACCATCGTGCCCGGCCAAAACTGTTTCATATGACTATTCTTAGAGGTTTATTAAGTTATTTATTGTAGAGAGCAACTCAGTCTTCAATTACAGTTTTTATTTAGAATCTTACCTTTCTTTAGCATAGAAAAACTTTAGCTGATTTTATCAGATTTCTAAATTATGAAGGAATACTTTCCTTGCTGAATAATTGAGAATTAATTGACTTTTCTGTATTATTGAGGAACTTCAACTACTCAGAATATAATCAGAAGCTAATTAAGGAAGTAGAAAAGAACTAAACAGCGAAGAGTTGAATAAATAACAAGTCTATATACTTTTTCTTTTTTTGAGGTAGAGTCTCACTCTGTCGCCGAGGCTGGAGTGCAGTGCGTGGTATCAGCTCACTGCAACCTCCGCTTTCATGTGATTCTTGTGCCTCAGCCTCCCAAGTAGCTGGGACTACAGGCATGCACCACCATGCCCGGCTAATTTTTGTATTTTTAGTAGAGACGAGGTTTTACCATATTGGGCAGGCTAGTCGTGATCTCCTGACCTCAAGTGATTCACCCACCTCGGCATCCCAACATGCTGGGATTACAGGTGTGAGCCACCGTGCCTGGCCCAAGTCTATGTACTTTTGAGTTACCAAGTTTTTAGAGATGAAATACTGTCTTCTCATGATCTGCATCTTGTTTAGCATAACTCTACCAAAGTCAGGTTATTGCTTCAGTTGATTATTGCTATGTAAAAACCCTAAAAGTTGGTGACCGAAAACAGTTACAATTAAACATTCACTTCATTACAGTTCTACAGTTTGGTCAGGTCTTGAAGTCATGGCTTGTCTCTGTTCCACTTGATATCTGTGGGGCCACTTGACTGGGACTGGAGGATTTATTTTTGAGATAACTCGGTCATATGGCTGGCTGCCAGCTGGGATATCAGATGGAGATGTAGATCAGGTCCTCAGTTCTCCTTCATGGGGAGAGTTAGACTTCTCACAGAATAACGGTGACAGGATCGCAAGAGAGAATGTCTTTATGAACAAATGTTCCAAGAGGACAGGCCCCAATTCACAAATGTTTGATCAAAGGCAGTCACATGGCCAAGCCAATGTGAGAGAGGATACAAAAAGATATTTAAATATTGAGTGTCATGGTTTGTTGTAGGCTACCAAAGTAGCTACTACTACTGCAGTGTTCCTTCTCATTCTATAGCAAAGTAGCCTTTCTGGAGGACAACTCGAAGACTTAACATTTATAGTCTTTGGCCTAGTAATTTCACCTTTAGGGTTTATTCTAAGGAAAATATTTAAACTCCCTGGATCTGTATCAAGGCTTCATTTAGTTTTCATCCATTGCATTTTGCCTAGAGTTAGATAGCTGGTTAATGCAGGAATCCAGATTAAAGCCAGATTTTCTAGTTCCAGAACTGTGTGCTTCATCATTGTACTATACAGCCTCTCACCCAGGGATGTCTGTATATAATCATGTTAATGATATGAGAAACTGATAATATATTTAATAAAAATAAGATTTGTATATATAAAAATCTAAAAGGCTATATACTGAAATGGAGTATCTACAAGTCAATATGTATGTTTTTTAATTGTAAGGATATCTTTTATAAGTCTACCATGCAAACTCAATATATTCACATGTATATGTTTTGTTTTGTTTTGTTTTTTTGAGACAGAGCCTCACTCTGTTGCCCAGGCTAGAGTGCAGTGGTGCAATTTTGGCTCACCGCAACCTCCGCCTCTTGGGTTCAAGCGATTCTCCTGCCTCAGCCTCCGAGTAGCTGGAACTACAGGCACATGCCTCCACGCCTGGCTAATTTTTATGCTTTTGGTAGAAACGGGTTTTGCCATATTGGCCAGGCTGGTCTTGAACTCCTGACCTCAGGTGATCCACCCGCCTCGGCCTCCCAAAGTGCTGGGATTACAGGCGTGAGCCACTGCACCCAGCTGTCACATGTATATGTTATATATATATATATATGTTTTTTATATATTTTAATTTTGCCTTGATTACTCAAATACTGGTCTCCACCCTTTCATTCAAACATCAAAGAGCTGTGTGATAAATTGCGGCTGTAAATGCTACATGTAATGAATCTTGGAAGAGTATTCCGCTCTCCCCTCCCCACCCCCTCTTTACACTGTAAATATAATGTAAATATAACCCTTGAGGAGGATGTCTTGAGATCCCTGTAGTCCATAGCTGCCTGATGCACCATATGTAGAAGCTTAGAAAATACGAGTACTTACTGAATAGAGCTTCTTAACCAATATTCTTTAACTGGCTTCCACATCACAGTTTTACTTATAATGACTTTACACTCCATTCTCACAGTATTATTCCAAATCACTACCCTTAAAGAGGTAAAATATTATCGCCCATATCTGTCCCAGCTAAGCTAAACCAGAATTACTTGGTGATTGTACAAATTCCCAAGTTCCTACCCTCTTTCACATTTATTAACTCTAGGGCAGCAGTTATTCGCTCTTTCAGCCAGGCTGGAGTGCACTGGAACAACCTTGGCTCACTGCAACCTCCGCCTCCCGGGCTCAAGCGATTCTCCCACCTCAGCCTCCCGAGTAGCTGGGATTACAGGCGTGTGCCACCATGCCCGGCTAATTTTTGTATTTTTAGTAGAGACAGGGTTTCACCGTGTTGGCCAGGCTGGTCTCGAACTCCTAGGGCAGCAGTTCTTGACCCTGGATGCACTTGAGAATCATTTGAAAATACTGATTTTCAGATTCCACCCTAGATCAGTTGCATGAGATTCTCTAGTTGGCGTCACTTGAGTGTGTTTCTTAGGATTGGACAAGTTGGGAAGACACCAGAAAATAGTTTTGCATTTTAAAGATTGTCCAAAAAAGGTGTTAGACTATTAATAGACAGTTTTATTTCAGCATAAGCCTGTAGGATTATGTAAATCTTCATGAATTGTTATGAATGAATTTTCCTTTAAAATAGAATTATTAATGCACAGTTTCATTAGAGATTACTCATTGAAAACCTTGTGTGAGCTCTCCAATGAGTCTTGTTGCTAATTCACAAATGAAGAATATGGACAATGTAGGAAAAGTATCTGGAATTCCTTGGTTTATGCATTTAAGCTAGTCTAGATAATTTATTCTCTACTGTTTTGGAAATTATACCATAAAGGATACTTCTTTTAAAATAAGGAGGAATTGTATCACTGGAAGGCATGTCCTTATTTTTTAAAGAAAGAAACTAAATACGTTGGCTTAGTGACAATCTACATTTCAAAGGTTCTCTGGACTAAAAGCTTATTCTTCATTTAAATGACTTCTTCTCAGCCTTATTAAGAGTTCATCTAGGTTATAAACCATATCTCCAGTTATTCATGCTGTTCCAGATTGGGTAAAACAGGTATCAAAAGTACTGAAGGGTGAAGCAATAGCTTAAGCACTTCTCAGTTTATCTTTTATCTCTAGATGTAGATATTTGGAGAAATGCAGCTGTTTAATGAGAACTGTAGTGGGGCATCCATTTACATCTCTTAGGATTGGTTGAATAGAGTATGGCCTATTGAATATACTTTTGATGTTGTTGCCAGTCTCTTTTCAAATGTACACGTGACACTATCTGAAGAAATACTAGAAACACCTAGTAAACATTTTTCTAATATCTATTGTTAAGCTATATTCAGGTGATCACATTTTGAGGCTTGGTTTTCTGCTTGGCTATCAGTGATAATCAGGTAACATATAGGGTATCTGTGAGCTGCTGACTTTAATAGGTCAGCCTGTGTAAGTGTATAAGACCTACCTTTTTGGAGACCAATAATGTGGTAGTTTCCTGTGCTTAGACTTGAAGGGAGCACTTGTTTTAGACCTCTATACCATGGTTTGAGAAATCTTTTCCTTAGTATGTAATATCCATTTGCATTCCTGATGATCTTACCCTGTGTGATTAGTAATACTTTTTGTGGAAAATGGCTGGTTTCTCTTTTATAAAAATAGTAGTTTAAGAGTATCCGGCATACACATATCTCTTTTAACATTTTATTGCTTTGCAGTTTTGTTCCTGGTATATTAGAACAAATAGACAACAACAAAATAACATTGAACAATTCAGGTTTTTAGTCTTGTTCTTTTCTAGTTCTTTGAATGTCCCAGGATCTTGTAATTATTTCATCACTTTTTCATAAGCCAAGCAAAATATATTCTCATCTTGCAAATGAAAAGCAAGATACCCAGCAGCTTGAGCATTACCCCGAATTTCTCCAGAAGAGTACAAATATCCAAGTAGACTATAAACCCTTGTTTAATTCTGTTTATTAAATCAACAAATTGAAAACATTCTGTACTTAATACATCGGTATATTCACACTGTATTTGGCAGGGAGTGGGGCTTTCCTTCAGTAAAGCAATCTCTCCTAATGGTTAAAGTTAGATAAATAACTTCACCTAAAAATGTGAATTCTCTAAGAAGCAGAGTTTATTTTGTGGTCTGATAGTTCTGTAAGTTCGAATTAGCTAGGCAAATTCTAAATGGCAATAAATTTTATTATGAAGGGCTGGTTCAGGAAAAAGGAATTAAAAGGTGGGGAAAAGATAACTATTGGAGGAATCTGACCTCTCCTTACCAAGTGACCCAGTAATGGGACAAACTGACATTATGTGCCTTCCGATGGAAAGCATCAACACTCCTGCCATTTAGGAACATTACTGCCAACAATGCAAAACAAAGCTGGTCATGAGGAAACAGACAAACCCAAATGTAGAATGTTGCTCTGAACTCTTTATTGTCAGTGTCTTGAATGACAACAAGACAGGGGGCGACTCTTCTAGATTAAAGGTGACTAAAGAAACAACCAGAGGGCTGAGTGCAGTGGCTCATGCCAGTAATCTCAGCACTTTGGGAGGTTGAGGCGGGTGGATCACGAGGTCAGGAGTTCAAGACCAGCCTGGCCAACATGGTGAAACCCCGTCTCTACTAAAGATACAAAAAATTAGCCGGGCGTGGTGGCGCGTGCCTGTAATCCCAGCTACTCGGAAGGCTGAGGCAGGAGGCGGAGGTTGCAGTGAGCCGACATCGCGCCATTGCACTCCAGCCTGAGTGACAAGGGAGACTGTGTCTCAAAAAAAAAAAAAACACCACCAGAGGTGGGAGGATCCCTCCAGCCCAAGTGCCTGTAGCGCGCTAGGATGTTGCCTCTGTGCTCCACCCTTGGCAACACAGGGAGACCCTCTTTTTTTGCCTGTCTTCTTTGATAATGTTGGTGATCTATTTTATAGTTTTCCAAAGAAATGTTACTAAGTAGTGGTAACAAATTAACTAGCATTTGGCAAATAACAATTAACAAAGGCATGTTTTGAGTGTGGAATAACATAGTTTTATGGACTCAGTGGATTCCAGGAAACCAACTTAACTTTTTTGAGATGCAGGTAATTACAGTTCTCTGCTCTTTTAATGTTAGTTTGGGCCCTGACATAAGCTTTAAGTGACTGTTAATATTGGGTTTCTAATATAGAACCCTTGAGAGCTATCCAGATTATTTGAGCCTCTGTCTTTGCTTCAGATTTATGATGAAACGTGATTTGCAGAACTTTTGAACTCCATGAACAAAATTGAAGTCTAAAGTAGTCCAGGGTTACTCAAACTCAGAATCTTCAGCATTTACTAGTATATACCTATACAAATAGATGAAGGCTGTGGCTTACTTTTTGGTTCTTGCCCTATGCTGTACTTTACTTTTGCTTGTCTCCCATCTTACCTGTCTGTGATCACTGTGCCCACATCGGCTGATCTATTGTTATTTCCCACAAATAACATATTTCTTGTATTTCCTACAAATATTATTTCATACAGATGGTTGTATTTAACACTTTTACCTGTTAAGAAATAAAATGAACAGTAGCTAGGAAGAAAATTGTGGCTTCCACTTTATACTCAGCCTGATACTAAGCAACTTCTCTTAAAATTAGGGGGAAAATATGAATATTAGAGTGAGAGAATACTAAATCTTGCTGTTTAAATTTCAAAAGTTTTAGTCATCTTAAAGTAAGTTAACAATATTTAAGCCTGATTTACATTTAATTTCAGAATTCAGCATTCTTTCTGGGTAAATCTAGAGCATTTAAAGTGGCATCCAAGATAAAACCTTTAAGGGATTTTTGCTGTAATTTGCCTCAGTAGTCTGACTCTTGTCCATACATTTCAAAGCAGATAAACCTAGGAATCAACTAGAGCCATCTGTTCTTAATTCTACACCTTAATGCTACATGCAGCTCATCTGTGGCTTCTACTTCTGTAGTAACTTCTCTGTTCTATTTTTTCTGTTCATAGCTATCATTTTTCTATTCAAACATATTTATTAACTCCTGATGCTCACAGGTAGTCACCTTAGCCCCATATTTAGAGTGCAATTTAAACTTTTCAGTTTTATTTCCCATCATTCCCTATGCTTTAGAATATTCAAGAATTATATACTAAATATACACTGTACTTGTTTCTTCTCTGCATTTAGCTCACACTATTTTCACCATTTTCAGCTGTCTTATAGTATGGCTAGCTCTGTGTTAAAAGAGTCCTGGCTGAGGCCATTGCACTCGCGCCATTTTACCCTAGCATGGGCGACAAGAGCGAAACTCTGTCTCAAAAACAAACAAAACGAAAAAGAGTCCTGACTGGCCGTACGCAGTGGCTCACACCTCATATTCCAGCACTTTGGGAGGCTGAGGTGGAAGGATCCCTTGAGCCCAGGAGTTCAAGACCAGCCTGAGCAACTTAGGGAGACCCTGTCTCTAAAGGAAGGAAGGGGAGGGAGGGAGGGGGAGAGGGAGGGGAAGCAGAGAGACTGAGGAAAGGAAAGAAAAGGAGGGGAAAGAATGAATGAATCCGGGCCAAATCAATTGTCAATTCTTCCGTGCTTTTCATATTATACAAATGGTATTATGCTATATAATATACTGTTCTGAAACTTTTTTTTTTTTTTTTTTTTTGAGGTGGAGTCTCGCTCTGTCGCCCAGGCTGGAGTGCAGTGGCATGATCTCACCTCACTGCAACCTCCGCCTCCCGGGTTCAAGCGATTATCCTGCCATAGCCTCCGGAGTAGCAGGAATTACAGGCTCGTGCCACCTCACCCGGCTAATGTTTGTATTTTTAGTAGAGATGGGGTTTCACTGTATTGGCCAGGCTGGTCTTGAACTCCTGACCTCAAGTGATCCACCCGCCTCAGCCTCCCAAAGTGCTGGGATTATAGGCATAAGCCACCGCACCCAGCCTGAAACTTTTTACATGTCATACATTCTAGACAGCTTTTCTGATTAACCTATGGCTGAGTTATATTTTGTAAAAAGCTGTGTAATATAAGCTTGTAATGTAAGATTTATTGTTTCTGGTCTTTTTTGGGGTTTTTTTTTGTGTCTATTACAATGCTAAAATATTTTTGTATGTGTGGAAATATTTGTAGGATTAATTCCCATTGAAATTGTTCATTCAAAAGTTATGTGTATTTAATAGAGTAATGGATAATGTATTCACCAAAATGCCCCCCTTTTTTTTGAGACCGTCTCCCTCTGTCACCCAGGCTGAAATACAGTGAGTGATGTGATCACAGCTCATGCAGCCTCAGCCTCGAAGGCTGAAGCCATCCTGACACCTTATCTTCCCACTACAGGCATGTGCCACCATACCCAGCTAATTTTTTTTTTTTTAAACAGAGTTTCGCTCTTGTTGCCCAGGCTGGAGTGCAGTGGCGCAATCTTGGTTCACTGCAGTCTCCGCTTCCCGGGTTCAAGCAGTTCTGCCTCAGCATCCCGAGTAGCTGGGATTACAGGTACCCGCCACCATGCCTGGCTAATTTTTGTGTTTTTAGTAGAGACAGGGTTTCACCATGTTGTCCAGGCTGGTCGCGAACTCCTGACCTCAGATGATCCACCCGCCTTGGCCTCCCAAAGTGCTGGGATTACAGGCATGAGCCACCACGCCCAGCCTGCCCAGCTAATTTTTTATTTTTTGTAGAGATGGGGGTCTCACCATGTTGCCCAGCCTGGTCTCAAACTCCTGTGATCCTCCCACCTCAGCCTTCCAAAGTACAGGGATTACAGGCTTGAGCCATCATGCCCAGCCAGTTTGTAGTATTTTTAACCATGGAAATTCAACTTTTTATATGCTTATTTTCTAACCTTGATTGGTGTATGTTTCATAAGGGCCAGGTCTGCATCTTATTCATCATTATAAATAATGATTCTCCCTTATCTAGCATGGTGCCCTTTTATAGATGATCAGTAAATAATAGTTTAGTCCTCCTGAAGCTGTAGGTAAAAAACCTCTCCGCCCTTCAATCATTTTATGAAAGTTAAATAAATTGAAAGTGACCAATCACAGGAGTTTCAGCAGTGATAGTTCAGTACCTTAAACAACAACAACAACAAAAAAAAAAAACCCACATTTTGCACTTAGTTATTTTAATCAGTTACATTGAATTACAAATCCTTGTAATGATGAGGAAGACGTTTAACAGGCTAAGTTAACCACTGCATATGTAATGGGCAAGTGATGTTTGAATTTCTTGATGTGACTTTAAACTCTAAAGCAGTCCTCATGCAAAAAGAGAAATCATAACCAGTTAAGAAAACTAAAGGAACTTTCTTAAGCTAATCATGGTCCTCTAAATTTAAGTATATAAACTATCAAACTATTAGCTAATCATAGAAGGGAAAGTACTTTTCCCCCTCACCCCTCCCCTTTCTGTTAGAGTGAATCAGATATAATCATGATTGTGTCAAAAGTTCAAAAGGGAAAATGGAAGGTAAAATGAGCTGAATTGGCACTCTTCTCTCAACATTGTACCTGTAAGCTTGATATGTTGTTTCAGAGATTAACTTTATAGACTTCCGTACCCAGAAGTATGAAAATTCTTAGGGGACTCTTTTCGCAAGCTTGATCTTAACGTATTTGAATAAAGAGAGCAGTTAATCCCCTTTGTAAAGTAATTTGAGAGGAGGGAATTCAGAATGTAAAATCTCACCTGCAGAAAACACTCAACTCTGTAAAGGCCTTTTTATCTTTAAGGCATTTACAAAGACTTAATATTTTAATGCGGAAGGGTGAACTTGGTTAAAAAGCCAATAGGTGAAATTAGAGAGAAATAATCCAGTGCTTTCTTTCTGGGAATTATTCTACTCTCCAGGGGACCTAATTTTATTCCCTGTGGGGAATGAGAATACCCTCTGTACAACAAGCCAGCATCTTTAAATATAAGCTTGACTTTTAGTATAATAAGAGTCTTGTTAGGTGCAATTTTTTCCTTAGTCATTTATACAATGAACAAATGTTGTGGTTACCTGGGAAAGAAAATTCAAGTGCTTTTAAATCTCTTGTGAGATTTGGTTTCATGCTTGAAACCTATACACTGTTATGCCCAATAGCATCTGTTGAAAATTCTGAGCTGTAAGGTATACAACATAGAGAAGTTAATACACTTAGGAAAAAATTGAGACCACTACAAAATGGATTTAAGGGCCTGAATTAAAAGCTTTTCTTGTGCTGAGTGACAGCTACTTACCAGTAGCATTAAGCTTAACAAATAAGTAGAACTTTCTTAGGAGTGAATATTACAAGATGATGTCCCTGTATACACAGTAGGAAGCCAGTCTTTCCTTCAGGTGGCACTTAACTTTTTTCTTCCAATTGTAAAACACTTTTTAGTTCTATGCAAATTCTGTGCTAATTAGTTCAAAGTCTGAATTAACGGACAGAATATAATCTAAGAGAATATATAGTGTTGAGTAGTATTTTTGGTAGGGTATGGCATTAGTTATTATGTTAAGTCATTTCTGTCTCCTACAAACTTTGTGATAATTTGCACATTTTAAAATCTTTTTGGCTGGGCACGGTGGCTCATGCCTGTAATCCCAGCACTTTGGGAGTCCAATACAGATGGATTGCGTGTACTCAGGAGTTCAAGACCAGCCTGAGCAACATGGTGAAACCCTGTCTCACCAAAAGTACAAAAATTAGCCAGATGTGATGGCATGCGCCTATAGTCTGAGCTACACAGGGGGTTGAGGTAGGAGAAATCACTTGACTTGACCCTGCCATGATCATGCCTCTGCTCTCCAGCCTGGGTTACAGAGTGAAACCCTGTCTCAAATAAAATTCTCAAATAAAATAAAATCTTTCTTCTCCTTTTTTTTTTTTTTTTTTTTTTTGAGAGAGAGGGTCTCATTTGTTGCCCATGCTGGAGTGCAGTGGTGCAATCATAATCATAGTTCACTACAGTCTGGAACTCCTGACTCCTGGGCTCAAGAGATCCTCCCACCTCAGCCTCCCAAGTAGTTAGGACTACAGGCACATGCCACCATACCCAGTAAATTTATTTTATTTTTTGTAGAGATGGAATCTTCTTATGTTTCCCAGGCTGGTAACTCTTGGCCTCAAGCAGTCCTCCCATCTCAGCCTCCCAAAGCACTAGGATTACAGGCATGAGCCACCATGCCTGGCCTAAAATCTATTCTTAATGATAAAATACTGGTCTCATACCACTCCTAATAGTCTTTAGTGTTTTTAGTCATAAACCATTTTTTATTGGATTTGGTAGCATCTTTTTTTTGTTTTGTTTTGTTTGAGTCAGAGTCTCACTCTGTCGCTCAGGCTAGAGTGCAGTGGAGCGATCTTCGGCTCACTGCCACCTCCACCTCCCGGGTTCAAGCAGTTCTCCTGCCTCAGCCTCCCAAGTAGCTGGGATTGCAGGCGCCCGCCACCATGCCCAGCTAAGTTTTGTATTTTTAGTGGAGACAGGGTTTCACCGTATTAGCCAGGCTGATCTCCTGCCCAGGCTGGTCTCTTGCCCAGGCTGGTCTTGAACTCCTGACCTTGTGATCGGCCCACCTCGGCCTCCCAAAGAGCTGGGATTACAGGCGTGAGCCACCACGCCAGGCCTAGCATATTTTTTCTTGTTGTTGTTTTTGTTTTTGGAGACGGAGTCTCGCTCAGTCGCCCAGGCTGGAGTGCAGTGGCGCGATCTCGGCTCACTGCAAACTCCGCCTCCTGAGTTCACGCCATTCTCCTGCCTCAGCCTCCTGAGTAGCTGGAACTGCAGGCGCCTGCCACTACGTCTGGCTGGTTTTTTTGTATTTTTAGTAGAAACGAGGTTTCACCTGTTAGCCAGGATGGTCTCGATCTCCTGACCTCGTGATCCGCCCGCCTCAGCCTTTCAAAGTGCTGGGATTACAGTCATGAGCCACCGCGCCCTGCCGCATATTTTTTCTTTAAAGGGGATCCAGTAAAAGATAATAGAAATCTTTCATGTTACTTTTTTTAAATTTAGAAGTTGACTGAAGTGGCAACAAGTAGCCTTTGCAATCTTAAAAAGAACAGTCTCCAGAAATTTTCTTACATTCCAGTGTAACTTCAAAGTACTGGGTGTTATGTTTTCAGTTCTTAAACTTGCCCTCCGCCTTTAAAGCTCTGGGTTTATGAGCTTGGTCTACTGAGTACGATTTAATTTCCTACTAGGGGTAAGACCCATAGACACTGTATGCAGCACTTTCCCTGCTTTTCTTGGCATTTTTTAGAAGGCCATTAAGAATAATGTTTTATTTAGGTCTTTTATTATGCAAGATCTAATCCAGTCCTCATAACAAAATATTTTGGTTTCATTTAGAAGCAGCTAAGTGGGCCAGGTGTGGTGGCTCACGCCTGTAATCCCAGCACTTTGGGAGGCTAAGGTGGGCAGATCACGCGGTCAGGAGATGGAGACCATCCTGGCTAACACGGTGAAACCCCCTCTCCACTAAAAATACAAAAAATTAGCGAGCCATGGTGGTGGGCATCTGTAGTCCCAGCTACTTGGGAGGCTGAGGCAGGAGAATGGCGTGAACCCAGGCGGCGGAGATCTCAGTGAGCCGAGATCACGCCACTGCACTACAGCCTGGGCGACAGAGCGAGATTCTGCCTCAAAAAAATAAATCAAAAAAAGTAGTTAAGTGAGCCAGCACAGTGGTATGACCCTGCAGTCCCAGCTACCCGGGAGGCCAAGGCGAGAGGATTGCTGGAGCCTAGGAGTTTAAATCCAGCCTGGGCAATGGAGTGAGACCCTGTCTCTGGGAGAAGAAAAAGAACTTCTACATCAACGGGCAGTGTGATAGGCATTGAGACATAGGTTAGGGTTTTGCTATGATGAATGAGCACCAAGAAAATAAAATTTTAAAAATTAAAAGGTAAGGTATATTTCCCCTATGAGGACTGTTTGCTGAGGTACTAGCTAAGCTGGAGAATAGTCAAGAGCTAGCCTTTTTTCACCCCTGCTTAGTTGACATTTTTAAAGCTCACTGAAATAATAAGAAAATGACCTACATTTATGTAAATATCCTCAGGCAGAATGACATCCAAAAGCATGCATGCAAAGGTACATTTAAAAGTTGTGTTCTTGTGTAAATACTTTTAAAGAACTAGTGGGCCAGGCAGTGGCTCAGGCCTGTAAGCGTAGCATTTTGGGAGGCCGAGGCAGCAGATCACTTGAGGTCAGGAGTTTGAGACCACCAGCCTGGCCAACATGGTGAAACCCCGCCTCTACTAAAAATACAAGAAAATTAGCCAGGCCTGGTGGCGAGTGCCTGTAATCCCAGCTACTTGGGAGGCTGAGGCAGGAGAATCACTTGACCCTAGGAGGTGGAGGTTGCAGTGAGCCAAGATCACATCACTGCCTGGGCGACAGTGAGATTCTGTCTCAAAAAAAAAAAAAAAAAAAAAAAAAAAAGAACTAGCAAAGTTTTATTTTGTTATGGGTAAAAGGTCATATTAAAAACATCATGATTTCGGCCGGGTGCCGTGGCTCATGCCTGTAATCCCAGCACTTTGGGAGGCCGAGGCGGGCGGATCACCTGAGGTCAGGAGTTCAAGACCAGCCTGGGCAACATGGTAAAACCCCATCTCTACAAAAATACAAAAATTAGCTGGGCATGATGGTGGGTGCCTGTAATCCCAGCTACTTGGGAGGCTGAGGCGGAAAAATCATTTGAACCTGGGAGGTGGAGTTTGCAGTGAGCCGAGATCGTGCCATTGCACTCCAGCCTAGGCAACAAAGGGAGATTCTGTCTCAAAAAAAGAAAAAGAAAGTCATGATTTCTTTTGTTTTGCCATACCCGTCCCCCCATTTTTTTGAAGTTTCCTTAATGTGCTTCAATTTAGGACTAACTTTTTTTGTTTCAGACAAATCTTCCTATTTTCAAGCTGAAAGAATCTACTGTTAGAAGAAGATACAGTGACTTTGAATGGCTGCGAAGTGAATTAGAAAGAGAGAGCAAGGTAAGAATGATTTATGATGCAACTTTAAAGCAAAACATTCCAAGTTTTAATGTTTAATATTTCTCAGGAAAATGATATTGAATAAAATGGGTAAAAGCAAATATGATTTCTTTTTTTCAAATAGTTCAGTGTCATTTTATAGAGGTAGAGTCTGTGTAAATTTTCCTTAGAACTCTTTCTCTTGTCTGCTTTGGCCCAGTTGAGGTCTTTGCTGACTCACACTTCAATAACACTTCTTAGAACCTTGTTGCTATTACTTCCTTCCTTTCCCTCATCGTCCTATTCCATCTTCCCCTCTCCACACACTTAAGCCAAGTTTCTCTTCCTCAATACATTTTATAAATGTCAGTGTATTTCCAATTTTGTTTTAGTGACATATAAGTTTTTTTCATCACATATATGTTCATGTAACAGAAGTTTCATAAAGCAGTAATGACCTCACTCTGTGTGATATGTGCTGATATTCTTCAGATTAGCGTTTTTAAATGATGGCCATGATCCACTAATGGGTTGCTGCCGGCAATTTAAAAACACTGTTACATGCCTGATCTTCTCTTAGAATAGAATTTGGTAGCTTTGGCATCAAAATAAATTAAAGCAAGGTCTCACTCTGGTGTCTCTCATTTCAGCCCTGCCTCAGAATGACATCAGAGGCAAGGAGTCATGGAAGGACGTGGTGTGCTCAGAATGATGAAAAGTTATTTTGTGACTAGAAAGTAGGTAAAAAGGTGTGGGTATGGTAGGAGTCCTGAACTAGATGAAGGCTAGTCTGTACTCATTTCTCAAGTTTAATAAGGGTTTTCTTTTTTTTTCTGTTTCTAGCCTAAGATAAAAGTGGCTGCATATGAGCACAAAATATGCAGATCATAGCATTCCAACAAAAATGTAAAGAAGGCCGGGCATGGTGGCTCATGCCTATAATCTCGGTACTTTGGTAGGCCGAGTCAGGAGGATCTCTTGAGCCCAGCAGTTCAAGACCAGCCTGGGGAACATAGTGAGGCCCCATCTCTTCCAAAATTTTTAAATATGAATAAAACTAGAAATACAAAATCTGTGTTAAGAAAGCTCTCAAACTTTACCAAAAGACCAGACCTAAATAAAGAGGGGCCAGGTGCAGTGGCTTACGCCTGTAATCCCAGCACTTCAGGAGGCCAACGTGGGTGGATCACTTAAGCCAAGGAGTTCGAGACCAGCGTGGGCAACATGCGAAACCCCATCGCTACAAAAAATACAAAAATTAGCCAGGCATGGTGACATGCACCTGTAGTCCCAGCACTCAGGAGGCTGAGGCAAGAGGATCACTTTGAGTCCAGGAGGCAGAGGTTGCAGTGAGCTGTAGTCTTGCCCCTGCACTCCAGCATGGGCACCAGAGCCAGGCCCTGTCTCAAAAAAAAAAAAAAAAAAAAAAAAAAAAAAAGTGTAATACTGTATTCCTTGTAATACTGTATTCCTCGTTTGGAATGTTTACTGTTGAAGATTTTTTTATTTTATAAACATTTTAGCTCGTCCTTTGTGTTCTAGGAGTTACAGGTAGAGCTATGAACAAATTAAGGTCCCCTCTTTTATGGTGCTTATATCCTATTAGGTAAATTGCGGGGGAGGGGGTTGTTGAAGAGAAGGCAGGAAAAATATAGTAAAATATATAGATGTCAGATGATGAGAAGCTCTAAAAAAAAAAACAAAGCTAAACTAAGGGAAGTAGGAAGTGCCAGGGGAGCCACTCTCATATAGAGCACAAGGGAAGGCCTCACTCTAGGTGACATTAGCAGAGACCTGCATGAAGTAGAGCAGTATCTTCTAACTTATTTATAAATTCATAAGATTGTAGTAGAAATTTCAGTAGGGCTGTTTATAAAGTTGCAGATTTATTTATGAGCTTTAGAATCAGAAAAAGCTCAAGAATAACCAAAAAATATTTTCAGTATATAGTGGGCAGCAGGTTATTTGTTCTACCAGACATCAAAACATCTTTTTTTTTTTTGAGACTGAGCCTCACTCTGGAGTGCAGTGGCATCATGTCGGCTCACTGCAACCTCCATCTCCGGGGTTCAAGCAATTCTCCTGCCTCAGCCTCCCGAGTAGCTGGGATTACAGGCACCCACCACCACACTCGGCTAATTTTTTTTATATTTTTAGTAGAGATGGGGTTTCATCATGTTGGCCAGGCTGGTCTCGAACTCCTGACCTCAGGTGATCCGCCCTCCTCGGCCTCCCAAAGTGCTGGGATTACAGGTGTGAGCCACTGTGCCTGACCCAAAACATATCTTAAGGCTATAGTAATTCAAACAATGTGGTGTAGTCATATGGCACTTAATGATGAGAATACATTCTAAGAAATGCATCCTTAGGTGATTTCATTGTTTGTGCAAACATCATATGAGTATACTCACACAAACCCAGGTGGTGTAGCCTACTACACACCTAGGCTATATGGTACAGCCTATTACTCCTAGACTACAAGCCTATCCAACATGTTACTGTACTTAATACTACAGGCAGTTGTAACATAGTGGGAAGCATTTGTGCATCTAAACATATAAAAGATATGGTAAAAAATACAGCGTGGAAGACTTTTTTTTTTTTAAAGCATGGAAGATTTTTTAAATAGTACACCTGTATAGGGCACTTACCATAAATGGAGCTTGCAGGATTGAAAGTTGTTCTGGGTGAGTCAGTTAGTATGTGGCGAGTGAATGAGAAGACCTAGGACATTACTGTTTATTACTGCAGGCTTTATAAACACTGTACATTGAAATTTATAATTTATAAAATATTTTTCTTCAATAATAAATTAACCTTAGCTTACTTTTTAAACTTTTTACTTTAACTTTTTGACTCTTGTAATAACACTTAGCTTAAAACACAGACACATTGAACAAATGTACAAAAATATGTTCTTTATATTCTTATTCTATAAGCTTTTCTCTATTTAAATTTTTTTAACTTTTTCTTAAAAATTAAGTCACAAATATACATAGTAGCCTAGGCCTGCACAGAGTCAGGATCACCAAGACATCTCTAGGCAATAGGAATTTTTCACCTCCATTATAATCTTAAGGCACCACAGTTATTATCTTAAGTGGTCCATCTCTGATGGGAAACACTGTTATGCAGTGTATATTGCTTTAGGTTGGGCAAATAGATTAGTGGAATATAATAGAGTTTAGAGTTTGACCCATGTATTTATAGGGAATTTAGTTCATAACAAAAATAGCATTGTCATTCAGTGGGAAAGGAATTCAGCAAATGGAGTTGAAATATTTGTCTATTAGGAAATAAAGATTTATATCTCACTATATTACAAATTACAGATGGTTGGGAGATTGATTGATTGATTGATTGACAGAGCCTTGCTCTGTTGCCCAGGCTGAAATGCGGTGGCGTGATCATAGCATACTATAATATCCTCCAACTCCTGGTCTCAAGTGATTTTCCTGCCTCAGCCTCCCAAGTAGCTGGGACTACAGGCATGAGCCACCATGTCCAGCTAATTTTAAAAAATTTTTTGTAAGGATGAGGCTTCACTATGTTGCCCAGGCTGGTCTTGAATTCCTGGCCTCAAGTAATCCTCCTGCCTTGGCCTCCCAAAGTGCTGGGATTACAGGCATGAGCCACCACACCTAGCTGAGAAGTGTCTTGATACATAGGCTTTGGGCTTTGCTTGACATACCATGTGGCACACTGGAAATGTTTAATAAACGTTTGCTGAGTGTATATTTTGCTTTTTTTTGTAAATTTATTTATTCATTTTTTAAAAATTTTTAGTAGAGACGGGGTTTCACCGTGTTAGCAAGACGGTCTCGATCTCCTGGCCTTGTGATCCGCCCGCCTTGGCCTCCCGAAGTGCTGGGATTACAGGCGTGAGCCACCCCGCCCGACCGCTTTTGTTTTTAGTAACAGCTTTATTGAGATATAATTCACATACCATGCAATTCACCCATTTAAAGTGTATAATTCACTGGTTTTTAATATGTTCACAGAGTTGTGCAACCATCACTATTTTAGAGCACTAGTCAATTTTAGAGCATTTTTATCACCCAATAAAAGAAACCCTGTCCCCATTAGTAGACACCACTGATTTCTCCCCAACCCTTCCTCACTCAGCCTATGGCAACCACCTGCTAGTCTCCTTTCTCTGTGGATTTGCCCATTCTGGGCATATGTAAATGGAAGCCCACAATATGTGATCTTTTGTGTCTGGCTTCTTTCACTTAACATGTTTTCACAGTTCATGCTTTTCTAACATGCATCAATTACTTCATTTCTTTTTATTCCTAAATAATATCCTATTGTATGCTTATACCACATCTTATTTATACACTTATTTGGTGGACATTTTGTTCTACTTTTTGGCTGTTATTGGTAGTGCTGCTGTGAACATTTGTGCATAGGTTTCTGTCTGCATGTGTTTTCATTTCTTTTCAGTATATACCTACCAGTACATTGCTGGGTCATAACTCTTTTTAACCTTTTGAGGAATTGGCAGACCGTTTTTCCAAAGCAGCTGTGTAATTTTACATTCTTACCAGCAATGTGAGGTTCTACTTTTCTCCACATCCTTACCAATTGCCTGTCTTCTTTATTATAGCTATCCTACTGTTTGTGAAGGGGTATTGCATTGTGGTTTTGATTTTTATTTCTCTAATGGCCACTAATGTTGATTTTCTTTTCATATACTTACTGGTCATTTATGTATCTTCTTTGGAGACATCTTTATTGAGAGCTTTTGCCTTTTTCAATGGGTTCATCTTTTTATTATAGAGTTATGTCGAGAATATATAAGACTCTTAGAGTTCCCTATCAGATACATAATTTGCACATATCTCCCAGTCTCTGGGTTGTTTTTCACTTTCTTGATGTTGTCCTTTGAAGCACAATACTTCACATTTAACATTAGACCAGTTAAATATATTGAGAGTTAAATCCATGTGAAAGTTTTACTCGTATTACAGTATTGCAAAGAACAATGTAATCAAGTTATTTTGTGGTATATTAGTACTTTTAACTAAGATCTGTTAAACTAAGCTAGAAATTAGCTGACATGTATTATGGTCAGATCTTTTAGCTTTTATTCTAGTTTGCTTTAGCTTTCAATATATTGTGCTCACCAGATATTCTCCTATTTCTCACCCCACATGCACGCACATATCTTTGCATTCATGACTTTTTAATTAGTATTAGAATTTTTTTTTTTTTTTTTTGAGACGGTGTCTAGCTCTCGCCCAGGCTGGAGTACCGTGGTGCAGTCCCGGCTTACTGCAATCTCTGCCTCCCAGGCTCAAGCAATTCTCCTCAGCCTCCTGAGTAAAGGGGTTACAAGCATGCACCACCATGCCCGGCTAATTTTTTGTATTTTTAGTAGACACAGGGTTTCACCATGTTGGCCAGGCTGGTCTTGAACTTCTGACCTCAGGTGATCCACCCACCTTGGCCTCCTGAAGTGCTGGGATTACATATGTGAGCTACCGCACCCAACCTGGTGTTAGAATTCCAGTTAGGTGTTTTCAGACTGCTTCAGCAAAAATAATTTGATGTAGAAGAGAATCTTAGCTGGATGAGCCATTTATGATTTTTATAGATCATTAATCCTGTTGCCTACCACCTCCCCATCCATTTGAATGACTAGTTTGAATATGTTAGGAAGAGTGTATCTCTACAGAGGATAATGCATAGCTATCCTTTTCTTAAATTCCCATTATATATGAAATTTATATATATTTAATTATATATATATTGTTACATTTTTTATCATTTTCCTTCTTTCTTTAACTGACATCCTTGAGCTATCCTTTTCTTAAGTTTCATGCTAAATTCTACCCTGAATTAATGGTGGTCATTTATTTAACACAGTGGTTCCAGAATTCTTTTTTTAAATAATAATTGTGTAGATACAGATATTTTTCCCTGCCCACCAGATAGCCATTCTACTGGAACGTAATGGTTAGCATTCCTTTGTTTCTCAGTTATAGAAGGTCCCTGCAGATTTTAACTCTCAACTAAACAGATGTTAACATGGGGGTGAGATCTGAGAATGCTAGCATAAATTTACGGAGACAAATCCATAGATATCTTCATCATTGGTCATCTGAGGAGAGTAAATCTAGGAAGGGATTATAAAGTTTATTTGGACATTTGGTTTTTTTGTTTTTATTTTGTTTTTTGTTAATCTATATGAAGTCGAGTTGCTCTTTCCCTTTTTTACCCTATTGAATTTTGTTTGAGGATAAACAACTCGTTGTAGAAACTATATCAAGGGTTTAAAGTTTTAATTTTTTTGAATATGTGTAATTTGTATTATTGGTGAAAAGAAAAATATGTATCAGTTTACTATATATATTTCTCCTTGTTCTGATTGTTTGCTTACACATTTCTCTGTTTGCGTTTAAAGTAAGGATCCAGCTAAGTGGTTGGTCATTTAACAGATATTTGAGCTTCTGTTGTATGCCCAGTTTTTCTTAAAATAACCACAAGAAGCCTAAGACAGGGGTCTTGATTTGAAGACATTAGTATGATAGATTGATGGTTTTCCACCAAAGGCAGTTTTATCCCCCAGGAGACGTTTGACACTGTCTAGAGACATTTTTTATTGTCTCAGCTGGGGGTGCTATGTTGTCTAGTGGGCAGAGGCTAGGGATGCTGCTAAAGAAAAGAATGCCAGCCTGGCCAACACAGTGAAACACCATCTCCACAAAAAATAGAAAAATTAGCCAGGCGTGGTAGCACGCTATGTACCTGTAGTGTCCCGGCTATTTGGGAGGCTGATGCAGGAGGATCATCTGAGTCTGGGGGAGGCTGCAGCGAGCCATGATCGCACCACGGAACTCCAGCCTGGGTGACAGAGCAAGACCCCATCTCAAGAAAGAAAAGAATGCACAAGAAAGCCCCCCAGTACAAAACTTATCTGATTCTCAGTAGTGCTAGGGTAGAGAAACCAAACTAACCTGTGAAATAGCTAGGTGCTATTTAATCAAAACAAGTATTTTGAGCTCCAGAATAACATTTTTAAAAATTTATTTTTTTTTTAAGACGGGGTCTCGCTGTCACCTAGGCTGGAGTGCAGCGACATTTTAGTTCACTCCAGTCCTGAACTCCTGGACTCAAGTGATCATCCCACTTCCGCCTCCTAAGTAGCTGGGACTACAGGCTCACACCACCACACCCAGCTAAGTTTTTTTTATTTTTGTAGACATGTGCCCAGGCTTGTGTCAAATTCCTGGCCTCAAGCAATCCTCCCGCCTGCCTTGGCCTCCCAAAGTGCAGGGATTGCAGATGTGAGCCACTGCACCTGGCCCAGAATAATATTTGAGCTCCAGATAATTCCCAGAAGGGAGAGATCAGCAGGAGTTGACCCTTGGTTAGGCTTTGAAGGGGAAAATTTGGGATCTTCCTATAGTGCGAGAAGGGAGAAATGACAGGTCTTTGGGAAAAGACAGCAGGATAGGGCATTTGGGAGAAAGTTGACTTGTTTCTTAATTTAGGAAACAGAATAGTGACAACTAGAGTTATTGGTATTTTGTCATCACCTCAAACACAAGTAGGAAAGACTGTATGCAGATGGTAAGAGGTTGAAGAAACCAGAAATCTTTTTTTTTTTTTTTTTCTAGACGGAGTCTCACTCTGTAGCCCAGCTGGAGTGCAGTGGCGTGATCTCCACTCACTGCAAGCTCTGCCTCCCGGGTTCATGCCATTCTCCTGCCTCAGCCTCCAGAGTAGTTGGGCCTACAGGCGCCCGCCACCACGCCCGGCTCATTTTTTGTATTTTTTAGTAGAGACAGGGTTTCACCGTGTTAGCCAGGATGGTCTCGATCTCCTGACCCTGTGATCTGCCCGCCTCGGCCTCCCAAAGTGCTGGGATTACAGGCATGAGCCACCACGCCCGGCTGAAACCAGAATTCTTACCTAACCATGTTGCAGAGAGAACATTAACGTTTCTTCATTTAATTGAGAGTTGATTTTGATCTCTGCAGTTTCCATTGCAATAAGGCATTGCCTTCTCCAAGTGGCATCACAAGTGTCTGAGGGGCATGGTAACCTTTATTTCAGTGTTGTGAGTGTTCTCTTTGTATACCTGGGCTTTGATAAGGCCAAGAAAAATGATATAAGCTATGGGCCCTGCCTTTGAATTAGGAGCTTTTGTCTGATGGGCTATTCTGCATTTGTCTAAACATTTGGTCTTTTTTCAGTGTATTTTTTGCTCTTTTATATTTCAACTAGTTTGACCGGACGATGGCTGTCATAGTGAGGACATGCTTTGTCTTCATGTTGTGCTCTATAAATTTTCACAACCCAGTCATCATGATCAAGGAGTTTCTGTCTTCACATTTTAGGTCGTAGTTCCCCCGCTCCCTGGGAAAGCGTTTTTGCGTCAGCTTCCTTTTAGAGGAGATGATGGAATATTTGATGACAATTTTATTGAGGAAAGAAAACAAGGGCTGGAGCAGTTTATAAACAAGTAAGTGCTTCCTATTCCTCAAAGTGTAGGACTACTTTAAGTGACTACTTGTAGTTTAGATGTTAAGCTAAACTGCACTGTTGCCTTTTCTTTCAGCCATTTCCTAACTTTTCATATCATTTAAACAAAGTAAAAGTATCTGACAAGTTGAATATCATGTGATAAATATTAACACATTTGAGTGATTGAAATGAGCATCTTTGTGTT
The DNA here is from genome assembly GCF_000001405.40 of Homo sapiens. Lineage (NCBI taxonomy): Eukaryota > Metazoa > Chordata > Mammalia > Primates > Hominidae > Homo > Homo sapiens. The sequence goes on along the minus strand of NC_000006.12, from coordinate 108,214,290 downwards.
GACCTACGTTTTGTATTTGTTTTTCTTGGTTAATTTATGCAAATTACATTTAAAATTACGGCATTTAAAAAATACAGTTTTACTTATGATTCTTTCTGATTTAAGGTATGTTCTAGCATGAACAATAAAACTTACAATGTACTTGCAATCATCTTGTTTGATTGCAGATGGAGGTATTAGCATGTCTTGTATAAAGGTGCATGTTTTTAATTTTCATGGTAAAATGTATTCTTTTGAAAATGTAAGAAGACTTAGGATTGTTTCTTTTTTACTTTAGAAACTCTTGATAAGCTCAAACCAATATTTTTAGCTTTTAATTTTATTCCCATTTGAAATATAGCTATTTTGTAAAATAATAGAAAGCCAGAGTGTTAGAAAGATTTATGCCAAGAAAGACCTCACTGTAATTGTGCATTGGCCTTAAACTAGCAAAAGTAAATCAAATCGTACAGAATATGGTAATGTGAGCTTACACTGTAAATTTTATCTAGTGATTTGAAGATCCATGAGTGGTAAACAGGAGAGAAAGGGTTACATAAAGCCCTTGGTTATCTACTGTAGCACTCAATATTCATTGTCTGTGAATCTGTTTTCCTTTTGGAGAAGGCAGTACTATATTAGATTTTTTTTTTTTTTTTTTTGAGACAGTCTTGCTCTGTCGCCCAGGCTGGAGTGCAGTGGTGCAGTCTCGGCTCAGTGAAACCTCCACCTCCCAGGTTCAAGTGATTCTCATGCCTCAGCCACCTGAGTAGTTGGGATTATAGTTGCGCACCATCGTGTCTGGCTTATTTTTGTATTTTTAGTAGAGACAGGGTTTCGCCATGTTGGCCAGGCTGGTCTCAAACTCCTGACCTCAAGTGATCTGCCTGCCTTGGTCTCCCAAAGTGCTGGGATTACAAGCATGAGCCACCACGCCTGGCCTATATTAGATATTTTTAAATTCTGAAATAATAGTCCGGTTGCCCAGTGTGGTTTTAAGCAGGCAAAAACAAACAAAATACCTGGATATTTGTGCCTGTTTTTTTAGTATTTTGGGCTTTTATTGAACTTCATTGTATTTCTAACTTCAATCCTGTATCTTCTCCTCTTTAAAATAGACTCTGGCCTGGTACAGTGGATCATGTCTGTAATCCCAATATTTTGGGAGGCCGAGGTGGGCAGATCACTTGAGGTCAGGAGTTCCAAGGCCAGCCTGGCCAACATGGCGAAACCCTGTCTCTACTAAAAATACAAAAATTAGTGGGGCGTGGTGGTGTTTACCTGTAGTCCCAGCTACTCAGGAGGCTGTGGCAGGAGAATCGCTTGAACCTGGGAGACAGAGGTTGCAGTGAGCCAAGATCACACCACTGCACTCTAGCCTGGGTGATAGAGCAACACTTTTGTCTCAAAAAAAAAAAAAAAAAAAAAAGATTCTTAGGATCAATTGACATGCTTCACTTTTAACATTAAAATTAATTTAAGTTTCTTATGAATACACCAGCTATGATGTAAAGCTAATTGGGTACATGTGCCACAAGCAGTGAAAAATTTGTGATTAATGTTTTCTTAATTAGAGTTGTGAACCAAACAAAAGAACATATACCATTAGTTGATAGTGCATAGCTTTATGGACAGTCCAGAATAATACTTATTGGTAAACTGTACATGATTCTGAGCCGGGCGCAGTGGCTCACGCCTGTAATCCCAGCACTTTGGGAGGCTGAGGTGAGCAGATCACTTGAGGTCAGGGATTTGAGACTAGCCTGGCCAACATGGTGAAACCCCGTCTCTAGTAAAAATATAAAAATTAGCTGGGCATGATGGCACACGCCTGTAGTCCCAGCTACTCAGGGGGCTGAGGCACGAAATCACTTGAACCCAGGAGACGGAGGTTGCCATGAGCCAAGATCAGCCACTGCACTCCAGCCTGTGCAACAGAGCAAGACTCCATCTCAAAAAAAAAAAAATTATACATGCTTCTCAACTTTAAAATATGTGTTTTGAACTCCCCCACCTTGTATAAAATATTGGACTAAATTTATATTTTTTATTCTCAGGGTCGCTGGTCATCCTCTGGCACAGAACGAACGTTGTCTTCACATGTTTTTACAAGATGAAATAATAGATAAAAGCTATACTCCATCTAAAATAAGACATGCCTGAAATTTGGCAAGAAGGGGCAAAAACGTGACTATTAATGATTGATAAGCACCAGTGAAGAAGTTCTAACTTTTAGCATGCTGCACAGAAACTGGTATAACATGCCTTCAGTATACTAACACTCATATGCTCAGTTTTGTTTTGTTTTGGCAGTTGACAAGAAGTTAATTTGCTTTAGTAAAAATCCCTCATTCCAGCCTTTCTATATAAATAGCTCTTTCTTGCTGTTTTAATGTGGTGCACACTATAGCCTCACAAACCTGTTATTCCAGTGTAATCTGCAGTGTCGTAACTAAAGTTACTGGCTTGGTCTTATTTGCACAGTTTTTGCGTCTTGTTTGCTTCTTGCATCTGATTAACTAGAATATTTCTCTTTCCCCCTTTTAATTTGTGATGTCACTTGACCCCATTTATGTGTAGGAGCACTACACCATTGGTTTCCAATACTGCACACATAAGATACATACTTGTGTGCAGAAAGTATCTTCCTCCAGGCTTGTAATACCCTTCACATGGAAGATTAATGAGGGAAATCTTTATATTCTGTATAAAAACAAAAGCAAATTTATATACTAAAATCATTTGTCTAAAAATTTAAGTTGTTTTCAAATAAAAATTAAAATGCATTTCTGATATGCACTGATTGTGTTGCCTCCAGCTTTTTTTGCTCTCTATGAGTGACTACTTAAGTCACTTGTTGAGAGGGATTATTTACTAATTATATACTTCTCATTCCTGTAACTCCATTCCCTTTAAACAGTGGTGATATCAAATATACTTCCATCCATTGAATGGGGTATTTTTAACAACAACAAAAGTGATATACTAAAAAATGTATTGCTTAAGGCTTATTGAATCATTTTGAAGCACTTTGTGTATTTGAAAACTGCTTTATAATCTCATTTATTAAAAGGACTTTCAAAGATAAAATACCATTTCTCCTATTTTTCAGAAGTTTTTTCCTAGTCAACTGAGTGACTTGTTTAAACAAACTTAGCAAGGGTGTAATAACTCTTCTTAGTCAGCAGGTTTGTGCTTTCTCTTTAATTTGGTTTGGGATAGTAGCACACTTTATCCTCTTTAAGAGAAGGGCACAGTCTTCTAGCCTGACCTGCAAAAATGATAAGATACCAGAAAACACATGACTTCTTGCTGCCTAACTTGTGTTGTGTTCAGACCTTTCAGCCAGAATGTGGTCTCTAGTTTGTACAACTTGCGGTGGTTTGGGGACCCATTGTGACTTGGAGTTAAATCCCAAAGTAAAGAAATTTTGTCCTCCTACAGCAGATGCGTCTCCTCTGAAGATGGATCAGTCCATTTAAAAGGAAACAAGCTTGGGTCTTGGCCAAACTAGGATGTCCACCAAGCACATAGAAGTCATAGGAAGAAGTCAGAGTTGCCCCATAAGGCCTTTTGTTGCTCAAACAGTATTTCACAGTTCCCTAATACTGGATGTTTCAATTACTGTAAGAAGGTACAAAGCTAAACAACATGTAAATTTTATTTCAGTGAACTAGAGAAGTAAAGTCAGAGGCTGTCAGTTTTGGGTATGCAGAACAGAATAATGGTAGCTCTGCAAAACCAAATAATTCTTTAAAGCAGTGGTTCTCGGCAAGGCACAGTGGCTCTCACCTGTAGTGCCAGCACTTTGGGAGGCCAAGGCAGGGGGATTGCTTGAGGCCCGGAGTTCTGAGACCAACCTGGGTAACATAGTGAGACTATGTCTCTACAAAAAGTTTAAAAATTAGCTGGGCATGGTGGTGTGTGCCTGTAGTCCCAGCTACTTGGGTGGCTAGGTGGAAGTGTATCTTGAGCCCAGGAAGTTGAGGTTGCAGTGAGCCAAGATCATGCCACTTAATTCTAGCCTAGGCAAGAGTGAGAGACCCAGTCTCAAAAGAAAATTTTTTTTTCTGTTAAACATTAAAATAAAGCAGTGGTTCTCAACCAGGGATGATTTTGTCCCCCAGGGGACGTTTGGCAATGTCTGAAGATATTTTTGGTTGTCTCAACTAGGGAATGTTACTGGACTCTAACAGGTGGATGTCAGAGATGCTGCTAAACCTCTTAAAATGAACAAGCCAGCCTCCCACAGCAGAAAAATGTTAGTAGTGTCAAGGTTTCCACTCACCGTGGAGTCTTGATTTTGATCATTTACAGACAAGGAATAGCGTGGTTTAGGATGGCTTGTACTAGCCTGCCCGCTTTTAACCTCTACCACAATTTCCTAAGGGCAGGCATGCTCTTGAAAAGTCAAGGGTTTTAAAGTAGGTGAAAAGTTTATTCCAGGTAACGTGTTTTTGCCTAATGGAGGAAGGTGCTTTTCAGTGTTATCTTGTAGGAAATTGAGACCATGGTTTATAGTGAAACTATGCCTTTAACCCGCTGAAGTAAAAATGCAGGTGCTCTTAATTCTAACTACATAGGAGGGGGTTCCAGAATCCCTTAAGAATCTTCCTAAAAAAAAATTAATTTGGCAGTGAGTTACAAAGCAATAGATGGATAATTCTAAGGAATCTCAGGCTCTGTGTCCACTATTCAAGTATTTAATTGCCTTGTCTCAACTCCTGCCAGTTATAAAGGGTCAATATCAGTGGTAACTTTATAACTTACATCGAGGATTACATGTAAAATTCATAGGACAGTGTCGGAACATATAAAAGCATAATAATAGTTATCAGTTGGCAGTGGTAGTCATAATAGTAGTAGTAGCAAATGGTACCACTCTTACTCATTTGCCATGGCAGTTCCAGAATAGGTTTATCTGGTATTTGGTTTCCTACCCAGAGGTTCTAACATCATGACCCCTGGTAGTGATTATGACTTTGGGGAAGGGGTGTTAGGGGAGGAGGAGCATCTCCTTTTTATACATCCCATGGTTTTTCCACTCAGCCCTCTTTGCTAGGAGGCCATCCTAGATTAAAATTCCGTCCTGTTGCCTCTGCTTGCTTTGCCTTTTTTGGTTACATGAGTGGGGCGAATATGGCCAATGAAAGAATAAGGCTGTGGCCTCTAAGGCCTTTACAGATAAAATGTGTTTGAGGTATGGATGGACAGAGTTTAGCCCACTCCCTCGCATATAGATTAATACTCAGTGGGTGCCAGCTGCTATTACTAACAATATGCCAGTGTTTAGGCTAGGAAAGGAGTTAAAACTGTTTTGGGATAGAGAGAATAAGTTTGTAATAATTCCACTGTGATCTCTGTCACAGAACTTCCCTATGAAGTAGATAATGTTATTTTTACAAATGAGAAGACTGAGGTTTTGAAAGCTTGAGCAGAATTTTCAAGGTTAACCAGGAGAGGATGGTACTGCATTTAAACTGTGAAGACGTTTGATTCTAAAGGCCATGGCTTGGTGTACTTCCTTCTTGTGGACAGGGCCTATGACTTTTTTTTTTTTTTTTTTTTTTTTTTTGAGATGGAGTGTCACTCTGTTCCCCAGGCTGGAGTGCAGTGGCGTGATCTTGGCTCACTGCAACCTCCGCCTCCTGAGTTCAAGCAATTCTTCTGCCTCAGCCTCCTGAGGTAGCTGGGATTACAGGCATGCGCCACCATGCCCAGCTAATTTTGTATTTTTTTAGTAGAGACGGGGTTTTACCATGTTGGTCAGGCTCGTCTCGAACTCCTGACCTCAAGTGATCCACCCGCCTCAGTCTCCCAAAGTGCTAGGATTACAGGCGTGAGCCACCGCGCCCAGCCGTGCCTATGACTTTCAATACAGTTACTGAATGAGTGAAAGGGTGAATGTTAAACAATTCCTATGTCCTTTGTTACGAATGGATAGGTTTGGTTTGGTTTTTCTAATAGTATTTTCACTTTGTCTCCCTAGTATGTTTTTTAGTTTTGATTTTAAGTTTAGGTGTAAGTAGCTCTTTTGGACATGCACAGCTTACTAGAAGTATCGTATTTTCCTAAACATAGCTGCCCACCACAATTACTCTCTTAGGACTGCATTTAGGATTTTCTTTTTTAAAGTTTCCCAAGTAATTCCAAAACTGTCAGGTTTAGTCATTTAGATAGGAGGCCCTATGATTTCCTTGAACTTGGCCAAATCCGATCTTACCTGGCTACTTAAGTCATTACAAAAAGAAATCAAGAAATTGAGAAAAAAGGACTTACCAGATCTTGAGAAATTACTTTTGTAAATCCTGATTTACAGAAAGTGAAGTTTGCTTTATTCCAACCTTGCTAAGAAAATAAGACTGATTTGGAGGCCAGGGAAATTAATTTAAAAGCACAAAGGAAGCTTAGAGGATGCTGGGCAACAACACCTCATCCCAGATGCTCTTTACTGTAGAGTGAGTGCCAGAAATGAAAGCGACCCAGTGGACTCAACTAGCAACACCAAGCACTTGATTGTGCAAAGTGCTAACAGACAGGAGAGATCGAACACCAGTCATGAAAAGACTCACTAAGAGGGACAGTAGTCATCGCAAATGTGAGGACAAGAAGGGACACAGCAGTTCAGGTGGATGGAAGGGAATGGCCAGAATGAAATAATTCTGGTTTAAGCTTCTACAGGTAAAAAGCTTGAAAGTTGGCACCAAGCCTGGCACAGTGGTGTGCACCTGTAATCACAGCACTTTGGGAGGCCGAGGCAGGCAGATTACTTGAGCCCAGGAGTTCAAGACCAGCCTGGACAACATGGCAAAACCCAGTCTCTATAAAAATAAAAAAATTAGCCAGGGATGGTGGTACACACCTGCAGTCCCAACTACTTGGGAGACTGAGGTGGGGGATCCCCTGAGCCTGGGAGGGTGGGGCTGCAGTGAGCCATGATTGCGCTGCTGCACTCCAGCCTGGGTGACAGAGTGAGACCCTGTCTCAAGAGAAAAAGTTATCACTTTGTCCTTTCAACAAGAAAAATCTGTACAAATGCAAAATCAATGACTTTTCTTGGACCCATCAGAGAATTGAGGTTGAAGGGCAAACCACCACCCTAAAATCTGGAGAAACAGGGCTATCTAAAGAGAGACAGCCAAAATCTGCTTATCTGGAGCAAAAGCTACTGGAGCCATAAGCTAGTTAGAAACACTTAGATGGCAATGAATTGCTAGCGGCTGAGTGTGGGTGAGCGTGAGAGTGAGAAGTCCCTGGGGATCACAGTGTTAAGAGGGGTCTCCACAAGTTCGTGGGCTTCACCTCCAAGAATCCCACCACATTTTCAGTGAAGATCTAGTAAGATGTGTGGCTCTGACGTGGAAAAGGGATTAATAATCATTATGAAATAATGTCCAAAACCTTTATTACGAAGGCTTACTCTCCAGGGTGAAAGACTCCCAGAGCCTATCCCAGTTGGGGGAAGGGCGTTCTTCCCACTCTAGCCCCCCTCTAGGCTTCCTGTCTTACTTACATGGGGCAGGGATGGGAACTTAGTCAAGAGGGGTCAGGATTTCAAGGAAATAGACTGGAAATGCTGCAGCCAGGGAAGGGAGTAGGGGGCCAGAAAGGAAACGCTCTACCACTGGAAAAACACTTGTGAAGCTCACAGGCCCACTAAGACACAGATTTAATCTGAAGATTATAGAATATCCCACTTCCCACACTTTACCACCGCACCAGTGGGATTCGAGTGTAATCGTAGTGGATTACAGCTGGAAGTCCCCCTTTGTGGAGGAGTAATTAGGGAAACCCAAAGTTAAGAGACAGGCAAAAGCAAAGACACTAGAGGAAGGTGAAGCCTCTGGCACCTGTAACTACAGCAAACATTAAACATAGTCCGTCCTCCAGCAAGATTACCATGAACCTTCACACTTAAGGCCTGTCTACCTCAGTTTCTATTACCCAGTGCAACATACCTGGCTTTCAACAAAAAATTTGAAGGCATGCCATGCCAAAAAGCAAGTAAAAACAGTTTGAAAAGAGAAAGCAATCAGAACCAGAGTTGGATATGACACAGATTCCCTGTTTGATAATTATAACCTAACATATTAAAAGTTGTAATGGAAAAAGTAGACGTGCAAGAATAGATGGGTAATCAGAGAGATGGAAACTCAAAAGGAAATGCTAAAAATCAAAATCACTATAATAAAAATGAAAAATGTTTTTGATGGACTCATAAATAGACTTGACAAATTTAGGAAACAATTAGTGAATTTGAAGGTAGGTCAATAAGAACTTCCCAAACTGAAATGGGAAGAGAAAGAGTAGGATAAAAACCCAGACCATCCAAAAACTGGGATCATTTCAAAAGGTATAGCAAATGTGTAATTGGAATACCTGAAAGAGAGTAGAGCAAAAAAATATATACAGTTGAACAATGCAGGGGTTAGGTGTGCCAACCCTGCATATAGTTGAAAATTTGCATATAACTTTTGACTCCCCCAAAATTTAATAGCCTAGTTTTCCAGAAGCCTTACTGATAATATACTTAACACATATTTTGTATGTTACATGTATTGTGTACTGTATTCTTAAAGTAAGCTAAAGAAAATGTTACTAAGAAAATCATAAGGAAGAGAAAACATATTCACTATTCATTAAGTGGAAGTGGATCACCGTAAAGGTCTTCATCCTCATCTTCATGTTGAGTAGGCTGAGGAGGAGGAAGAGGAGGAAGAGGAGGGGTTGGTCTTGCTGTCTCAGGGGTGGGGAGGCAGAGAGGTGGAGGAGGTGGAAGGGGAGGCAGGAGGGACAGGCACATTCTGTTACTTTTATTGAAAAAGGCTACGTATGAGTGGGCCTGCGCAGTTCAAACCTGTATTGTTCAAACTGTCTACATGTTTGAAGTAATAATGGCTGAGACCTTTCCAAAATTGGTGAACCAAACCACAGATCCAGGATGCTGAGAGAACACCAAGCGGAATAAATTTAAAAAGAATAACCTTGTTGGTAAAAAAAAAAAAAATAACAAAAACACCTAGGGATGTCATGTATGTCACGTTCAAACTGCAAAAAACCAAAGACCAAGATAAAATCTTGAAAGAAGTCAGAGAAAAAAGTAAAATAAGGGACTGCTGGCTTGACAGTTTGTAAGTATCTTTTATCACTAGTCTTGAGAACAGAGGTGGTAATATTTTATAATACCTGGAGTCTAATTTGAATGGGAAAACGGTGTATCTTTAATATTTTTTTCTTCTGCTCTAAGGAAGAGAGTTAGGGGGTCATATTTAATATTCTGTAACTGAAATTAATTATTTCTTCCATTATGAATGTGGAAGTAAACCAGAGTATTAGTAGAAGCAGGACTTTTGACTGTCACCAATTAGAAAATGCAAGTATATTAATTATATCACATTTGTTGTTGCAAATCTTGGAATACACTGATCACTGCTTGAAAATTATTGTAGTTATCAGACTCACTCCCTGATCTTGTTTAATTTTTTTTTTTTTTTTTTTTTTTCAGACAGGGTCTCACTCTGTCACCCAGGCTAGAGTGCAGTGGTGCAATCTCGGCTCACTGCAGCCTCCGCCTCCCGGGTTCAAGCGATTCTCCAGCCTCAGCCTCCCAAGTAGCTGGAACTACAGGCACACACATGCCTAATTTTTTGTTTTGTTTTGTTTTTCAGTAGAGTCAGGGTTTCACCATGTTGGCCAGGCGGGTCCCAAACTCCTGGCCTCAAGTGATCCGCCCTCCTCGGCCACCCAAAGTGCTGGGATTACAGGCGTGAGCCACCGCACCCAGCTTGTTTAACATTTTCCAAAGAAGCACATATTTTATCACAAGTTTTAAAAATATTTTAATAAACATACTTCAATAAGTTGGTTTCTTTTATAATCCCATGTATTTTATTTTATACTTTTACAAACAGATATTTGAGTAGGGATCTTTACAAACACGTTTAAGAAGCCCTAATGTAAAAACTCTGAATGCTCCTGTCACAGAGTAAGATCTGAAGTGCCTGGAGTTAGTCTGACGTGGAACAGGTTCACTTGGTGGTCAGGTGTGTGTGCAAGGGGGAGCAGGAGCAGGAGAGACAGAAAGAGATTGGTGATCCGACCACCTATTGAGTGTTTAGGTTTCGGTGTAGGCTTTTACATGTATTACCTCATTTAATTCTCAAAACAACCCTATTGGATGGGTATTATCTTCATTTTACCAAGAGAGGAAATGGGACAGAGTTTAATTTGTCCAAGGTCACACAGCCAGTAAAAAGTACAATTGGGATTTAAACCCAAGTCTTTGTGATTCTAAAACCTGCACCTGTGCGATGGATGCTGCCTCCAAGCTGGACCGTGTGCAGCTTGGCCAAGGCCCATGCCGAACACTCGCCCTGACAGCTGCTGCCTGCAGACTCCTGGACTCTACACCCGTCGTGCTCACACAGTTGCCTTGGTGCCAGTGTTATCAAAGAGGCCAACACGAGCAGAGGCTCACGTTGAGCTAAAGAAAAATTAAACATTTAAGAGAATTCAGTTATAAAGCTGGAATGGCCGTTCCTGCTTGACAGATGTAAACACTGCAGCTTTGTCATTACTTAGCTAGTTGTCTCAGCACATGTCCTTTCCTTTCTAGCTAGATTATACTTTAATCCAGTTGTTTTCATGTTCACTAAATCCAAACCATGTTTAACCGGTTTATTCATTGGAGAGTCTCTGAGGTGAAGAAAGTTTTGTCCTTTCAACTTCACTGGGGATTTGCTGTCTTCTTTCTGCAAAGGGATTTTCCTGAATCTGTAATCTGAACACTTTGACCTGTGAGGGTTTTTCCCCCAACTAGGAGCAAATCTGTGAGGCTTGACCCTTTGTGTGCTGTGGAGCAGAGACAATGCCCTTCTGTGAATGTCTTCTCCTCTTGAGGACAGTAGTAATTGGCGACAGGAATGTTAATCATTTGGCAAGCGCTTCTTCATGGCCTTGCTGCCCTTTGCCACTGCAGCCAGCTCCCTGCTTGCCTCTACTCCCTCGAGAATGGAGCCGCCATTTTGTAGCAGCTTTCTAGAGAAGTTTTTTTCAAGAGCACTTTGAGAGTTGACAGTCTGACTTAAACTGAGGTAAGTGAATACCAGTTCACTCTCAGACCACAGTCTGTGTTGATGATACAACAGGTCCTCACACACATTGTCTGGTGGGAGGATAAATTGGTACAACTTCTATGGAAGGCAATTTGGCAATAACTATGAAAACTATATGCCCAGGAATCCCACTTCTAGGAATTTATCTCAGAGACACACTTTCTATTTGGAGATATATTTGTAGAATATACATTTTCTTTGAATATTAATTGAATATATCTGAAAGATTATATAAGAAACAGATAACATTGAACGTTGGTTGTCTGGCTTGGGGACTGGGTGGCTCAATGACTCGGGCAAAAGGAAAACATTACTTTAAAAACAAAAAACACAAAAACCCTTTTTATTTTGGAATAATTTTTTTTTCTTTGAGACAGAGTCTTGCTCTTGTCGCCCAGGCTGGAGTGCAGTAGCACAATCTCAGCTCACTGCAACCTCCACATCCCAGGTTCGAGTGATTCTCATGCCTCAGCCTCCCAAGTAGCTGGGATTACAGGCACCTGCCACCACGCCTGGTTAATTTTTGTATTTTTAGTAGAGACGGGGTTTCACCATCTTAACCAGGCTGGTCTCAAACTCATGACCTCAGGTGATCCACCCACCTTGGCCTCCCAAAGTACTGGGATTATAGGCATAAGCCACTGTGCCTGGCCTATTTTGGAATAATTTTAGATTTACAGAAAAGTTGTAAGAGTACAAAGAGTTATATACCCCTTCATGCTGACATCTTACAGGACCATGGCATATTTGTCAAAACTAAGAACCTAGCACTGGGCCAGGTGTGGTGGCTCACACCTGTAATCCCAACACTTTGGGAGGCCAAGGTGGGCGATCACTTGAGACCATGAGTTCGAGACCAGCTTGGTCAACATAGTAAAACCCCATCTCTACCAAAAACACAAAAATTAGCCGAGCATGGTGGTACACACCTGTAATCCCAGCTACTCAGGAGGCTGAGGCCAGAGAATCGCTTGAACCCAGGAGGCAGAGGTTGTAGTGAGCCGAGATTGTGCCACTGGACTCCAGCCTGGGCAACAGAGTGAGACTCCGTCTCAAAAAAAAAAAGAAAGAAAGAAAGAAACTAGCATTGGTACATTGTTACTAACCAAATTCCAAACTTTGACTTTCACTAATTTTTTTTAAAATTATTTTTCAAATTTTTTTAGAGATGGGGGTGCGGGTCTCACTGTGTTGCCCATGCTGGTCTCCAACTCCTGGGCTCAAGTGATCCACTCATCTTGGCCTCCCAAAGTGCTGGGATTACAGGTGTGAGCCACAGTGCTGGGCCACTTTCACTAGTTTTTAAAGAATATCCTTTTTCTGTTCCAGGATCCATTCCAGGAAACCATATTTCACTTAGTCCTCCTGTCTCTTTAGTTTCCTGGTCTCTGACATATATATCCTTTTGAGCTTTGTATCATGTGACTATTAACTATTCAAAAAGTAAATTAATTTTTTTTTTTTTTTGAGGTGGAGTCTCACTCTGTCGCCTAGGCTGGAGTGCAGTGGCGCCATCTCGGCTCACTACAACCTCTGCCTCCCGGGTTCAAGCGATTCTCCTGCCTCAGCCTGAGTAGCTGGGATTACAGGCAAGTGCCACCACACCCAGCTAATTTTTGTATTTTTAGTAGAGACAGGGTTTCACCATGTTGGTCAGGCTGGTCTCAAACTCCTGACCTTGTGATCCGCCCGCCTCAGCTTCCAAAGTGCTGGGATGACAGGTGTGAGCCATTGCACCCGGCCAAAAACAAGTCAATTTTTTAAAAGAAATAGACTTGGAAGGTGCTAGGATGTTAGAACTATAACAAATCTTAGAAGCAATCTCATCTAAGCCTCTCATTATGGGAAGGGACTTGTCCAAGGGCCTCCCCTAACAGCCGACCTGGGGCTCAGACTAGAAACCAAGGGGAGAGGCCTGGGATTCAGGGAGCTGGGGGGCCGTTGGGGAGTGGTTGAAAGAACACAGGCTTTGAAGTCACCCAGACTTGGGCCAGTCACTACACTTCTATTCGGACTGGCTTCTTTCGCTCCACATAATGTTTTAAGAGTCATCCATGTTGCACACATATCAATGATTTGCTTAAAAGACCAAAAAAATTAAAAATAGTTCCTTGAAGTATTCCTGATTTCTAAGAATTTACTGAGAAATGGAAATATGTTTCTCTATCCTGGATCTGTACTCGTGCAGAAATGCGACACCACTGACCACTCTCTAACCTTCCCATAGTCATTCCCACACATTTCAGCACCAAACAGAAGCTTGCCTGGTGCACTTTGTCCTCAGCCCTGGCACTGCTGCTGGGGAGGGCCTGCGGGGAAGCAGTTGGCAAGAGCACTGTGAGACAAAGCCCTCGGGCAGGGGGAATCAGAAGAAAGCCTCAAATGTAAACACTGAGTCAGTACCTCCATATTAAGAAAGAAGCAGGGGAAATTAGCCGGGCGTGGTGGCGTGTGCCTATGGTCCCAGCTACTCAAGAGGCCAAGGTGGGAGGGTGGCTTGAGCCCAGGGGGTCAAGGCAGCAGTGAGCTGTGCACCACTGCACTCCATCCAGCCTGGGTGACAGAGCGAAACCACGTCTCTAAATAAATAAATTAAATAATGCAAATTAAAAACTACGTGATAGATTTTTTTGAAAATGTAGATGAAAAGACAACTTAAAGGCCCAGGTGGGAGGATCCCTTGAGGCAAAGAGTTTGAGACCAGTCTGGGATTCTACCCTGTCTCCAGGCAGGAGAATCACTTGAACCTGGGAGGCAGAGGTTGCGGTGAGCCAAGATCACACCACTGCACTCCAGCCTGGGCGACAAGAGCGAAACTCCGTCCCCCCACCACCACCGCCAAAAAAATTCAAACTGTCCAGATCTTGTCTTGCAGGCCTGCTGACCTCCATGACTGTACCTCTCTGGAGGAAGAAGGCACTGACAGTGTGAGGTCCAGCCTCCCGGGCCCCGGGGGTCAGGTCCTAAAGCTTCCTCTTCTCTCTTTGATTCTCTCCCAGAGACAGGCAGCACCTCCTAGAGTGAATGTGTGCACCACATAAAAATTCAAAGCAAATGGAAATTTTAGTAAATTTGCCAATTCCACTAACATATGCATTTGAGAATCCTTTTTGAAATAAAGGACTACAGTCCTAGAGAATAATTTGTTGATTTTTCAGAGCTGATGTATCTAGTTACACAGCTTCAATTTCTTTGGTAGGTTTTACCATTGCGCCCTTCCTTTCATGCCGTGAATCTGTATTAATAAGGCAATTAAGGCCAGCCTCAGTGGCCCATGCCTGCAATCCCAGCACTTTGGGAGGCTGAGGTGAGTGAATTGCTTGGGCCCAGGAGTTCAAGACCAGCCTGGGCAACATAGGAAGACCTTGTCTCTACAAAAAATACAAAAATTAGCTGGGCGTGGTGGTGCCCACCTGTAGTCCTAGCTACTCAGGAGGCCGAGGTGGGAGGATCGCTTGAGCCCAACAGATGCAGCCTGCAGTGAGATGAGATCATGCCACTGCACTCCATCCTGGGTAACAAACCAAGACCAGCTCTCAAAAAAAAGTAAAATAAAATAAAATAAGGTAATTAAGAAACAAAACTAAAATTAAGACAATATGAGGGATATGAAGCTGATGAGAAAATGTAAGTTGGTTTTTATCCCCTCAGAAACCAGGCAACATATATATTTAAATTATCACCCCAGTTATTTTATTGGTCATTTATAACGATTCTTATGGCTTGTACTTAAATGCTGCCATCACGCCGACTGCAGCAGGGAGGCACGGCTGGGGCTGCACACTCCGTGGAGCCAGTCAGAGCCCCATCGGGAGCTCTGCCCTTTCTGAGTTGGGATGGGAACTCCCAGAGCTGCCGCAGCCTCCCAAACCACAGCTGCAGACCCAGGCCTCCTGCTCTGTGGAGCAGGCAGGAGTCCCACGACTCCTGGGCGGGGCTACAGCCACCCAAACTGCAGCTGTGAATTCGAGGCTCCTTATGCTCTTGGAGGAGGGCTGGGTGCAGGCAGGATCTGCTGAGACTACAGCCACCCTCCTAGGCACAGGACCCGGCGTCTCTGCAGCCTGTACCCTCGGGGGGCCCCAGGAAGGAAACTCCCCGCCCCAATCCCTGCAGATTGGGGGGTGTCTGCTCCCACTGCCTGGCCCTCCTAGGTGCTGGACCTCTGCATCGCTGCAGCCTGCACATTCAGAGGCCCCAGGAAGGACACTCCCCACCTCCTCCGCATCCCTACAGGTTCGAGGGTGTCTGTTCCCACTGACTGGCCTCTCTCCACTCCTGGCGCCTGCTCCTATCTTGGAGTGGTGTTGGGGCTGAGCCCCCCGGGCCTTGAATGGCAGTGGCAGACAGAGTCCTGGCCTGAAGGGGGCAGGTCCCCAGCAAGGCCCCACTTGCAGGCCAGAGAGGGCTTGAAGGCTGAAGGCCAGGCTGCCAGTCCCACAGACTGGAGTGGGGACTGGTGGTGCCTCTTCACGGCACCCATGGCCGCCCATGGACCAATTGGCACCCACTTCCTCCCCTCTGAGGTCCATGAAAGCTGGGTTCAGCCAGAGCAGGGCAGAGGATGGCCAGAGGAGAAGAGGGCAGAGAGACGATGGGAAGACAAGACGACCCTCTCTGCTGAGAGCTTCAGAGACCTGCAGAGACATCCAAATGACCTGCCTGCAGAGAGGAGCCAACCCCTCCAGGGCCTCCTCTCTGCTGAGAGCTGAACACTCCATGGGATGATCTGCCTGCAAAGAGGAGCTACCCACTGTGGGTCTCCTCTGAGCTGTTTTAACACTAAATAAAACTCTTCATCTTCTTCACCCTTCACTTGTCTGTGTACCTCATTCTTCCTGGATGCAGGACAGAAACTCAGGCCACAGAGGTTTCTAGCCAGAAAAATCAACACCCCAGAGATCCCATAACAAAGCGAAGAATAAGTTCATGACCGTGGCCCTGAAACAAAACTCAGGCTAGGACATGGCAGGTGGCTGGGCTGGTCACTGACTTGATTTTTCAGACGTGGCAGCTCCCTCTCTCTTTCTGAAAGAAGTTGAGCTGCAGCCAGATTTTGGGTGGAATCATATGGCAGTTACTCCAAGTGCTCACCATAGTCTACTCGTGGTCATCTGGTGGTTTCTGGAGCCATTTTCTGGGCCCAGCCTCACTCCGGGGCCTGCTTGCTCAGCCTCTGCTTATAGCTGGGCTAGACCCAGATTTGGGAGGTTTAAGGCAAATAAAGGAAGGTAAGGCAGGCATTTTCCTTTCTGCAGATAATTCTGGACCACCAAGACACCAAAGAGGAGGAAAGTGAACAGGTCAAAGAGACTGCCAGACGGTTTCGGCTTGGGAGAGAAGAGATGCTGGCAAGTGCAGCCTGTGTGTGCAGAGAGAGAGGCCCGGGCTGCCAGGAGCAAGGCCCAGCATGAGCCAAGCCATCCCTCACTGCCCCCTTCCCTGTGCTGACTGCCCAGATCTCCACCAGCTGCAAAATGTGGGCCCTTCGTACTACCCCATCATCTGAGTATTGAGTTACTGGAACAAAGGCACCTGGAGCAGATGTGACCTAGAGCCACAAGGTGCTGACATGTCCTGCGGCACGGCCTTCCAGGAGAGCCAGTGCCCAGGTGGGGGAGAACAGCCCCGTGGAGAAGCAGCTCCAGTGTGACCCACAGTTGTTGTTGTTTTTTCTTTTCTTTTTCTTTTCTTTCTTCTTTTTTTTTTTCCAGGGTCAGGATCTCTGTTGCCTGGGCTGGAGTGCAATGGCACAAACAAAACTTATTGCAGCCTTGAACTCCTGGGCTCTAGCCATCCTTCTGCCTCAGCCTCCCAAGCAGCTAGGATTACAGGAATAAGCCACCGCACCTGGTCCACCCACATGTGAGATACACACACACACACACACACACACACACACACACATATGCATATATATGTGTGCGTGTATATGTATTTCACATATATATATATATATATATATATATTTTTTTTTTTTTTTGAGACAGTCTCATTCTGTCACACAGGCTGGAGTGCAGTGGCGGGATCTCCGCTCACTGCAATTTCCGCCTCCCGGGTTCAACTGATTCTCCTGCCTCAGCCTCCCTAGTAGCTGGGATTACAGGTTTGCACCAACACGCCCAGCTATTTATATTTTTTGTATTTTTAGTAGAGATGGGGTTTCACCATGTTGCCCAGGCTGGTCTTGAACTCCTGGCTTCAGGTGATCCGCCTACCTCGGCCTCCTAAAATGCTGGGTTACAGGCATGAGCCACTGCGCCCAGCCCCTACACACGATTTTTGAAGAGATATTAACTCTAATCTTCTGCCCAACCTTGGTGTTAATTGGAAAGGAAGATGAAAGCAACTGCTCTTGGTGTTTCTGTGGTGGCTGTAACCAAGCCCCTATCATTGATGGTCCCTGAAGAAACTCAGCAAGCCTCAGGGCAGTGTTTCAGGAAGTACAGAGTGAGGACCAATGGCATCAGGGTTGTGAAATGCAGGTGCCAGGGCCCTACCTCACACTTGCTGAGTCCCACTCTTAGGAGGTAAGAACTGGGAATCTAATCTCCACGGGTAAGTCATAGTCATGCTGTTTCGTATATTGCGAACTGATTTCCTTAAACATTTTTGTTGGGCCTAATTAGCCAAAACAGTGAGTGGCAGGTAAAATGATGGCACACACCAAGTAACAGAATTATTATGCAAACACCAAAAGGAATTCTAGACTTCATAACCACTACTAACAATGTCAGTGATCGAATGTTAAGAGGGCTATCAGAATGCAAAACATGTTTACTCTGATTACAATTATGTTAAAATACATAGGTACATGTGCAGGAAATAGAAAAAAATAGGCAAAAATAAAATAGTTGTATTAGAGAAGTAGAATTATAGGTGATTTATCCCTCTCCAGATTTTCCTATAGTGTTATCAAAAAAAAAAAAAAGGCTGGATGCAGTGGCTCATGCCACTTTGGCAGTAATCCCAGCACTCTGGGAGGCTGAGGTGGGCAGATCACTTGAGGTCAGGAGTTCGAGACCAGCCTGGCCAACATGGTGAAACTAAAATACAAAACTAAAAATACAAAAATTAGCCGGACGTGGTGGTGGGCGCCTGTAATCCCAACTACTCAGGAGGCTGAGGCAGGAGAATTGCTTGAACCAAGGAGACGGAGGTCGCAGTGAGCTGTGATTGCGCCACTGCACTCCAGCCTGGGCGACGGAGTGATACTCCATCTTAAATAAATAAATAATGAAAATAAAAATAAATCACTTTCATGTTGTTACAATGTTGTATTTGAAATAAAATAGGGCTGGGCGTGGTGGCTCATGACTGTAATCCCAGCCCTTTGGGAGACTAAGGTGGGCAGATCACTTGAGGCCAGGAGTTCGAGACCAGCCTGGTTAACATGGTGAAACCCCATCTCTACTAAAAAATACAAAAATTAGCCAGGCATGGTGGCATGCACCTGTAATCCCAGCTATCTGGGAGACTGAGGCAGGAGAATAGCTTGAACCTGGGAGGCAGAAGTTGCAGTGAGTGGAGATCTCACCACTGCACTGCAGCCTAGGTGACAGAGTGAGACGCTGTCTCAAAAACAGAAAAAAAAGAGAGAGAGAGAGAATAACTACCCTATCACCTCTGGCATACATACCACTTACCATGTATCTATAAAATATTCCACAAGGCACTGCATGGGTCAGAAATGTCTTCAGACAGCCCAGCCCTCCCAGAAGGGAAGGTCAGCCCTTGTCCTGGGGCACTGTGATTCTGCAGCTCGCTGCATGTGGAAGGAGCATGGAGTTACCTGGGCTGCGGGGAGCCGCAGAGGGTGCATTGCATCAGGTTCAGCTGCCATTTTTGTTGCCCTAAACAAAGTTCCAAGGAGACTAGGGAAGGATGGATCACCTCCTTGGGTCTGACAGTCTCAACCCCACTTCTGAACTACAGATAATCTGGGCCCACTGCCCCTCCTCAGCCAGACATGGGTTGCCTAGTGTATACAGAATTCTCTGATCTTCCTTATCCCAGGGATGCTGTGAGAGACCTTCCTTCCTATTGCAGAGCTTGGGGTGAGCCTGGAGTCCCATTGGCAAGAACTGGCTTCCTTATTTTGATATTCAGGGAAGAGGAAGACTGAAGCTTTCTAGCCCCTGGGGGAAGTTTTGGGAGTCAGCTCAAGGGGGACAGAGCCCTCCCTGCACCCCAGGCCCTCCCTACCTCCAGCCTCCCACAGACCCTGGATGCTCTGCTCCAAATCACAGGCTGCTGCCAATTACAAAAGGACTCTTAACTCCTTTTTGCAGCCCCTTGATTGATAGCACTGGTGAGTAAAATTATAAGCCTTAATGATCATGTTAATTTCTGGGGAAAGGGAAGCGGTCAGAAGAGGTTCTCAATCATAAGCGCCACAATCAGCTGGGTGAGTTCAATGACAAGCCAGAGCAAAAAAGAGGGGAAAGAATTAACTTTTTAAAAGGTCACCAGAGAGTAGGGGGGAGAGCAACCAGGCATGACGGATGAGAGCACAGATGACTCTGGAGCCTGAAGATAAGCCCCTTTTCCAGGATTCTTGACCAAAGGCCAGCATCGGTGCTTCTCATCCTTAGCTGCACACTGGAATTGCTTTAAAAACACTGATGCCAGCCAGGCGCGGTGGCTCAAGCCTGTAATCCCAGCACTTTGGGAGGCCGAGGCGCATGGATCATGAGGTCAGGAGATCGAGACCATCCTGGCTAACATGGTGAAACCCCGTCTCTACTAAAAATACAAAAAAAAAAAAAAATTAGCCGGGTGCGGTGGTGGGTGCCTGTAGTCTCAGCTACTGAGGAGACTGAGGCAGGAAAATGGCATGAACCTGGGAGGAGGAAGTTGCAGCGAGCTGAGATAGCGCCACTGCACTCCAGCCTGGGCAACAGAGTGAGACTCCATCTCAAAAAACAAACAAGCAAAAAACCACTGATGCCTGGGCCCTGCCCCAGAAATGCTAGTGTAATCTATCTGGGGTACAGCTTGGGCACCGAGCATTTTTAACACTCCCCAGGTGATTCCATGTGCAACAAAGATTGAGAAGGACCAGTTTAAAAGAAGCAAGTGGCCAAGGTTGAACACATTTGCAAATGTGCTTAATCTGATTTGTTCTTTTATTCTTTTCTTTCCTTTCCTTCCTTTCCTTTCCTTCCTCTCTCTTTTCTTCCTTTCTTTCTTTTCCTGTCTTTTCTTTCCCTTTCCCTTCCCATCTTTCTTTTCTTTCTTTTTCTCACTATGTTGCCCAAGCTGGTCTCAAACTCCTGGCCTCAAGCAATCCTCCCACTTTGGCCTCCCAAAGTGCTGGGATTACAGGTATGAGTCACTGCACCTGGGCACTCTGATTAACTCTTCCCACAAAGGAGAATTTCTTCTAGGGTCTCCTGGCACCACACCAGTTAAAGATGATGATGAGATTTTAGAACAGAAGGAGGAAAATTAGACATCACTGAGCCTAATACTCCTTTCACAGATGAAAACCCAGAGGTGCAAACAGGTTAGCTGACCTGCCAGAGATCACACTGGTCACAGCTGGAAACTCAGTCTCTTCCCCCTGACCAATGCTCCTTCTACTAGGCCCATTGCTGTGTCAAACAAGATGCTCTGCTCTGACCATCAGGGGTCAGGAGCTGTGAGCTATTTTCTAGGCTGCATGGTAGAAGAGTCCAGGTCTCTCCTGACTCTTGCTCAGTTTCCTGGGACATAGTGTTTGACAGATATTAGAGATACCAGTTCCATGGACAGAATAAGGCCACCTGGTTCACCTGAAAATCCAACCTATGACCTTAGTCTCCTCAATACATTGACTCCACCCATGGTTTCCCAGCAGAGCATTGCAACATCTTGGCACATCATGAAGATGCCCAGGATATGTGACAACATCCTTGTTTCTTCATCTGAGAGTCTGCCCTCTGCTACATTGCTGCCGAGCCTGCCTAACAGTGTGTGGTGAAAGCTCTGATGAGACTCCCTGATGGTCTATATTGAGGTCAGCAATATTCAATATTCAGCAATGTTACAAAATGAGTTTCAAAAATCTGAAAACATTATTAAAAATGAAGACTACATTGAAAAGAAGCCATTTGTAATTTGTGGTAAAGGTACTGGAGTTATTCAGTTAAAGAGAGTTGTTGTTCTTCAATTTCCATAAATGATTGTTTTTTAAAAGGTATTGTAAAATGCATAGTACAAGATCCTTAGAGCAGCATCTTAGTAGTAGAAAGCATGAGCCAGCCAAGTGCAGTGACTCACACCTGTAATTCCAGTGCTTTGGGGGGCTGAGGTAGGAGAATCACTCGAGGCCAGGATCTGAAACAAGCCTTGCCAACATAGCTTAGACCCTGTCTCTACAAAAAAAAAAAAAAAAAAAAATTTAGTAAAAAATTTAGCTGAGCATGGTGGCATGCACATTTACTCCTAGCCTACTCAGTAGGCTGAGATGGGAGAAGTCCTTGAGCCCAGGAGTTGGAGGCTGCAGTGAGCTGTGATTATACCACCGCACTCCAGCCTGGGCGACAAAGCAAGACTCTGTCTCAAAAAAAAAAAAAAAAAAAAATTATCATGCCTATAATCACAGAACTTTGGGAGGCTGAGATGGGCAGATCACTTGAGTCCAGGAGTTCAAGACCATCATGGGCAACATGGCGAGACCCCCATCTCTACAAAAAAATAGAAAAAAATTAGCCAAGCATGGTGGCGCATGCCTGTAGTACCAGTTACTTGGGAGCTGAGGTGGGAAGATCACTTAAGTCCAGGAGGCGGAGGTTGCAGTGAGCCTAGATGGAGCCACCGCACTCCAGCCTGGGTGACAGTGAGATACTATCTCAAAAAAAATTTTTTTAATTAAAATTTTAAAATAAAATAAAAAGCCTCAGCCAACCTGGTTCTACATTTTCACATTTTCATTTACCCTTTCTCTAAACCTTCACTGTAGCATGGGCACTCCCAAAAGTTCTTAGAAGTGGCCTGTGCTAAAAATTTGGTGGAACCAAGCTCTATCAGTACAGGGTGGGACCTACTTAATGAGTCCAGGAAGCATTGTAGCAGAGGCATATTCACAATAGAAACATATGCATTCTCTGTATTTTTCTAACAGCTTCTGAAGTGTTCATCAAGCCTGTGTCTGATTAAGCACTTTTAAATTCTGAGCAATGAAATGGGCCCTCTCATACCCTCTTGGCAGGAGTGCAAATTGATACAACCCTTTGGAGAGCCATTTGGCTGTATCTATCAAAATTAAAAATGCATATAATCTTTGACCCAGAAATGCCACTTCTAAGAGTTTATCCTACGGAAACACCCCCACAAACCCACAAAAGTGTATATGGAAGGTGAGTTCTTTGCAGTTTAATTTATTATAGTGAAACACTGCAAGCAACCCAAGTTCCTGAACAAGGAATTAGTTGGGTAAACAGTGGTCCATCCTTAAAATGGAATACTAGATAGATGTTAAATTGAATGAGGTAGAGCCATATGTATTCATCAGGAGAGATAGCCTTAGGCAAAAAAGAAACTTGCAGAAAAGTAGTGTTTCCATTTTTATAAAATGTTTAAGAAAGGCAGCCATGAGTAATCTCTGGCCAATGGATTCAGTGCTTGGGCTCCTACATTGGATTGAAAACCTTGAGCTATATGTAAAATAATTTAGGAGTCTCAATTCAGAGACTGAGCTCACCGCCTGTTCTCTCTCTTCTCTTGTATCAAAGGATAACTAAAAGTAAGTTAAACACAAATGTAAGACATCATATCTAATAGCCATGGTATGTAAATAACACTTTTGAAAAGTGACCCTCCAAGATTTAGAAAAAACATTTATCAAAGGAGAAGCATTAGGCTGGGCATGGTGGCTCACACCGGTAATCTCAGCACTTTGGGAGGCTGAGGAGGGTGGATCACCTAAGATCAGGAGTTTGAGACCAGCCTGGCCAACATGGGGAAACCCCATCTCTACTAAAAACACAAAATTAGCCAGGCGTGGTGGCGCACCCCTGCAATCCCAGCTACTCCAGAGGCTGAGACACGAGAATCACTTAGAATCCAGGAACTCGGGAGGTGGAGGTTGCAGTGAGCCGAGATCGGGCCATTGCACTCTACCCTGGGAGACAGAGTGAGACTCTGTCAAAAAAAAAAAAAAAAAAAAAGGAGAAGCATTGAAGACAATTTTTTCTTTCTTACTGGAATAATCATTTGGCTGAATGCATCTCTTATTTGTCCATTTGGATTGTATATCTTGAACTTGTGTATTCACGGACCACTGTTGAGCCTCCCCCACAACACCAGCCATAGAGAATATCTGCTACTGAGCTTTAAATTCTGGGCCTTCTCAAATGTTGAAAGCCAGGCTTGCTTTTTTTTTTTTTTTTAAATAATGACAGAGATGCCCAAAAGAAAAGCAATCCCAGTAGGAATCAGTATTCTGTGGCTTGTCACAAGAATCTTACTCCCTTTTAATTTTCCTGAGAATATTTATAATAGACTAAAGTAGATTGTGATTGTACTAGATTTTGTTATAGTTCAGTGAATCTTCTCTCCTCACTCCACCTCTACGGGAGGAGTGCACTTCTCTGCCCATTTAAGGTTGGGAAGGTTGACCATCGATCTTGCTGTGGCCGGGGGAAAGTAAGCAATGTGAAGTGAGTAGCAGCTGTAAATGTGTTTGCATCAGCCTCTTGCACTTCTGCACGTTGCCATGAAAAGAAGCTATCCTAGGAAAGCTGCTAGTCCAGGATGAGGAAACCCTGAAGCTTATTTATTTATTTATTATTGAGACAGGGTCTCACTCTGTCACCAGGCTGGAGTGCAGTAGCATGATCACAGCTCACTGCAGCCTCGACTTCCTGGGCTCAAGTGATCCTCCCACCTTGGCCTCCCAAATAACTAGGACCACAGGTGCACATGACGACACCTGGCTAATTTTTTGTATTTTTAGTAGAGACTGGGTTCCACCTTGTTGCACAGGCTAGTCTCGAACTCCTGGGCTTGTGATCTGCCTGTCTCAGCCTCCCAAAGTGCTGGGATTATAGGTGTGAGTCACCTCCCCCAGACTCCCTGGAGCATATTAAACCCAAACTATAGCCTGGAGTCAGCTCCAGCTGAGCCCAGCCAAGCCCTGCACAGCCACATGAGGCTGGCAGTCCTGTGAGCAAGTTATAAGAGTTTGTTGCTGTAAGCTTTGAGGGATGTTTGTTATTCAGTATTATTGAAGGAAAACTTGACTGATACACAGATGAACAGCCTTGGACCCATCACTCAGCTTTACTAAATCTTGTCATTCATCTCATATTTGTTTGAGATTTTTTTCTTATGAAATTAACCATTACAGAAACATTTGAGGGTCCTGTTATACCCTTCACCCATCCCATCTCTTCTTGGAAGTAGCCACTATCCAGCAGTTAGTGTTTATAATACTCATGCCTGTTTTAAATGTTTCCTATACATTTATATGCCCATAAACATTGTCTAGTATTGTTCTGTAGGTTGTAAAACTTTATATAAATGATACCAAGCTGTATGTGCCCTCTGCAAT
Organism: Homo sapiens; assembly: GCF_000001405.40. Classification (NCBI taxonomy): domain Eukaryota; kingdom Metazoa; phylum Chordata; class Mammalia; order Primates; family Hominidae; genus Homo; species Homo sapiens. Next base: position 108,189,660 of record NC_000006.12, on the reverse strand, counting down.
TTACTTTCCCCATAACACACACAAACACACTGTATTTCAGATTTACCCATGTTGATACATTAGCTCTAGCCATTCACTTTGCCTACGGTAACATTGTCTGTATTCACCACAATGTACCTATTATCTGTCAATGGATACTAAAGTTGTTAAATACGAACAGTGTTGCAAGGGACATTCTTACACAGTCTTTGAGTACTGTGCTTTTCTTTAAGACCAATTCTCATTCTCCGTAGAATAAGTAGACAAGAAGTGCACAGCTGATTGAAATTTCACATATACGGTCCGCAAGACCATTTTAGCAAGAGCAGAGGCACAAGCATCTCTTGCTGGAGCTGCCACCCAAAAGGAGTCTACAGTGCCTGTGGCCTTGGGCACCTCTGATGGCCTTTGCTTGTGGGACCGGTGCCTTAAGACTTGCTGGGAACATCTGGATGACATTTCTACTGCTCCCTCCACATCTTACTCACCATATGAACTTTATCATACTTTATCTTTTTGATCATTAAATGATTTCAAGTGACTGGTCAGGATTGAAATGTTGGCAAGAGAGTTAGAAACAGAGGAAGGAATGAAGACTCTGTTAATCGGCCTCCTTCCTCCTCACACAGCAATTTTTCTAACAGATGCAATTACATTTGAGAGCTGTAGAGAACAGAATCTTACGTTTTATTTCTTTATTCATCATTTTCCAAATGGTATTCACTGTAAGAAGGAAATTGCCTTTGTAGTTCAGTTCTGCAGGCTCTGTGCTGGAGTGCTCCGAGCTTCAGTTTTAACACCAGCTGCTGCCCCTACCTTGTTTCTGGTGGGTGAGAACCAGCCAGGGAGGGAGGGTAAGAAATCAGAAAGAGTTCATTTAAATTCAATATATTTTTATTCTTTGTAAATACAATGAGTACAACCTTTTAACTTCACAAATCAGTTAATTCACTTTGTACAAGAAAAGTTTTACTCATCCTATGATAGTCCAAGTGCTGAATTTTTTTTCCTCAGTGCTAGTACCTAATAAATCAAAATGTGAAAAGTACAGCAGCTATTTAAAAATGTTTGTTTCTACATTTCCATAAGTATAGAGTCATACCAAAGGAGCAGCTTAAAGTGTAGGACGGTGTGTGTGTGTGTGTGTGTGTGTGTGTGTGTGTGTGTGTGTGTGTGTGTTCATTCAAGGCTTTACTAGAAACCAGTTTTCGGAAAGGCATTGAAGAGTCTCAGGCTGTTAGCAATGGATCAGTCAAGAACCCTTTTAGCATTCATTCATCTCCTTGAAGTTCCTTCTGCAATTACGTCCATATTCGTTTCCTGTCTGGTGTGACTTGCTGCACCACGAGTTTGGACCCCCACTGCCTTTGGTTTCAGCACTATGTTAACGGGACAGCAATCTACCTCACTCAATCACTCATCTCCACTTTATTTGGTTTTGCTGTTTTTATTCATCCTCCCTTGACTTATGTTCTTTTAGTAAAGCTCTTCTCTTTTTGACATGTTATCCAACCTGAAGTCCTGGTGAGAATCTCATTTTGTCCATCAATTCCTTTGACAAGGTTGCCTGGCCTATGGTATTAAAAAAGAAGAAGAAAGAACAAAAGAAAGAGAAAGAAAAGAAAAAAGAAGATAGAGAAAAAGCAAATCACATGGCATAAGCTACTTTTCACTTATTAACTCAGTTCTGAAGGCCACTTAATAATGTATTACAATAGAGGGGAAACTTTTGATAACACTTTTAATTTAAAACCTACCATTATTTTTAAAATAAATGCTCCAACATAACGTAGTTTTGAAGGCCGCAGTACGATGTTATACACAGAGCTATATTTGGTTACCAAACTTTGTATGCTAAAAAGGAAGAGAAAGCACTACTTATGTTTCAGCTTTTGATCGTTCAGCCTGATCTTCCAGGTAAGAGGCAGAATGGCACGGCCTGTGGCAACCCCCAGTTTGCCCCCTCCCAGGGCATGGCAGCAGTGAGTTTTCAGTGCAGGCGGTCCTGTTGCACCCCTCTCCTTCCCACCCGCCCTATCCTGGTCAGGGCGGCAGGTCATAGCTACTGGAATGCTTTGTGTCAATTGGCATTTTTTTCCTGAAGGCTACACATTCCCCGGTATATGCTTCCTGAAGGGTTTGTTAGTTGAGGCTTGTTCTCCATGGGTTGAAGTTCATCTGATACTGTCCCATCCTGAAAAGTGGGTATCTTGTGAGCTTAGATATCACTGGATTTGTACATATCTGAAAGCAGTCTTGTAATTGGCACATTGCCGATGGTTTTTTTGAAAAACACTTCTTCTATAGTTGATGGGCTAATAGAACGTAAAGCTGGCAAAAGCAACAGGAGTTTTCCAAAGCGACAGGGTTGAGTGGGATATCTGGAATGTGAGAAGCCATGAAAACAAGGTCAGAGGCCATTACTTATGGAAACTAACGTCTTACACTTGAACACACATCATCTCCAGCATTGCTGATCTAGGTCTCTTGAATAACACAGTATCCCTGCAGCAAAGTTCTGGACAGGCACTGTTGTCCCCGTTTTGCAGGTAGACTACTTGAGGCAGGGAGACCATAAATGATGCTGCCAAAATCACACGGACACCCTCTCTACATTAACAAATGGATTGCATTTTGTTTGGGAAAAAAAAAGAAATTTAAGAAGCATAATACTAATTTTAAGCCAAATAATAAATTTAAGGTTTCCATTATAGAAAACGACCAGGGCATTGAGGATAAGGCTAGCAACAGAACCCATGTTTTCTAATTCTAAGGACTCCTCAAGGCTATTTCCCTCAAATAAAATGGCTTCTTTTTCTAAGCAATTCTCCAAATTATTATTCAGGCATTATACTTAGTCTCTCTCAGGAATAATTCCATCCTTATTACACTGCAAATTAAAGACTAAGTTCTGTTGGGTGGCAGTGCCACCCAACTCTCATGTCAATGAAATTGGCATGTAATTAAAGATGTGAGAAATTGCTTAACAATTTCCTCTTTTGATGTCCAACATATATCTGTGCTCAGATGTGCAAGTTCAATCTTCTGCTGCCTTTAGATGCCTGCAAGCCACCTCCTCACTGCAGCCCTGATACTTCTTCAGCCAATAGTTAGAATTAGATATCAATATACATAAGGAGAGCTCCCTCCACTGAAATGAAACACCTAAAACCTGAACTTCCGGGATACACATCTGTGACTAAGCTGGGTTCAACCCAGGCCACAAGGTGCTAGAAGCTAAGGGATATCAAAATTCCTTCGAAGGAGTCAGGTGGCTGTGTTTAACTGCCTGATAACTCCACCCTGCAAATAAAGTTCAGGGGAGCAACTTTCATGCTTGTCTAAATATTTAGCTCTGGGCACATAAGAGTCCTTCACTTCCACAGAATACAAGGCTTATAGTTCATCTGGGCCTCTCAGGACCTCAGCTGGCTCTTTCACTGCCCAGCTTCATGACCACCTGCAGATAGGGGCCACCAGACCACATCTAGTAGTGTGGTGTGGAAATGGTGAAGCTTACCTGCATTAAAAAAAAATACTTAAATCCTACCACTTGTTCTCCTTGTTTAATGTATTTCTAATGTTTCTTGGAAAGTAATCCCCAAATCCGTGTCTCCCTTTCACCTTGGCCACTTCTTTTCAACAGCTCTATTTCCCTTCCCAGGACCAGGCATAGTAGAGATAATTCTTCAGCAAGTCGGAGGCAGTGGCTGCCTGGACGACCTCTGCCATCTGCAGCATCCACCCAACATGCTGAACATTTCCCGTGGTGAGAAACCACTGTGAGAAATAATCACCTTCAGAAAGGATGAATTTGGGGGAATCTATAGACAACCAACTCCTGATTTTCTGCGATTAGATTACCCACTCATCTACTCTCCCACTTATTTTATTCTTTAGTTGGGAAAGGGTTGGTTAGTCAGTCAACAAAAATTAATTGTCTATTACATATAGCATACTGTACTACTACCAGAAACAATAGCAATGTATGAGGTCAGGTGTGGTGGCTCATACCTGTAATCCCAGCACTTTGGGAGGCTGAGGCAAGAGCATCGCTTGAGCCCAGGAGTTCAAGATGAGCCTGGGCAACATAGCAAGGGCTCATCTCTACAAAAATTCGCTGGGCACCTGTAGTCCCAGATACTCAGAAGGCAGAGGTGGGAGAATTGCTTGAGCCTCAGAGGCAGAGGTTGCAGTGAGCCATGATTGCACCACTGCAATGCAGCCTGGGCATCCAAAACAAAAACAATGTGTGTGTGTGTGTGTGTGTGTATGTGTGTGTGCGTGTGTGTGTGTGTGTGTTAGAGAGAGAAGGTCTGACTAATCAAAATTATTTTTTAGAATATCTATGCCCTTGTCTTCATCCATTAGCATCAATAATTGGATTTTCTTTTAGGTTTAAGTGTTTTAGGTCTATTACAGATTTGCATATTTGATCTTCAGTTATAGAATATAGTTTGTGTGGAATGTCAATTCCTAGCCTTCTCCTTACGTCCTCGATAATTAGAGAAATAGCTTAGAGAGCTGTAATATACAATTAGGCTCAGTTTCAGTTTGCATGTTAAGTTTTCATTTCAAGTTCAGGTTTTATTTTTCTAGACAGGAAAGTGCTGGAGGAAAAAGTGTTCACTGATTTGAAGGGCTAAGAAATAAGGCATAGTCATTTTTGTCACATGTATGACCCTAGATATAAATATTAAATTACAGCTGTAGCTGATATCAGAATGAAATAAGAATTCCATGAAATAAGAAATTCCATAATTCCATTATTTAATAAGAAATAAGATACTTATTTGATATTTACTATTCTAATATTTAATAGAAATAATAAGAATTCCATGGCAAAGCAGATGTGTTTTTTCCACACATAATTTTCTTCTTTTGCGGTGTTGGGGAGATGTACTTTACTTGCCATTTCTCTAAAATAGGCTGTTGTTAACCCATGGTTGAATTCTCTCGGGCCACCCTATCAGCAGCTCCTGGCACACCAGGCTCCCCTCCTCACTCACCTCTCTGGCACTTCCCACAGGACCCCTACCAGCTCCTCCACCACTCTCAGGACACATCTTCTCCCCTGCTGAAATCCTCCTCCCATTGAAGGACCAATTCACATGTTCTTTCCTCCACCCATCAGACTTTGAGCTTTTCTGATTGTCCCTCACTCCCTCTGACTAGGATTCATCTGTCACACTCCCCACATTGCTTTCCTCTCTTCTCTAGTTTGGATTGGAGTGACACTGCTGCCCACTTCTTGCAATGATAAGGGGCAGTGTCTTGCTCCTTCTGGTATCCCATATCGCCCACCTGCAGCCCTGCATGTGGCCAGTACTCGGCAAAGGCTTGACTGGATCAATAACTGGATACCACGTCCTTCTCATTTTTAAGTTCTTAATACCATAATGGCTCTAAATGTCAAAGGTCAGTTAGGACATACAAGTTAGTTTGTTTTTGTTTTTTTGTCTTTTTAATTTTTTTGTTTGTTTTTTAGACGGAGTCTCACTCACTCTGTTACCTGGGGCTGGAGTGCAGTGGCACAATCTCGGCTCACTGCAACCTCCACTTCCCAGCTTCAAGCAGTTCTCCTGCCTCAGCCTCCTGAGTAGCTGGGACTACAGGTGCACGTCATGACGCCCAGCTAACTTTTCTATTTTTGGTAGAGACGGGTTTCACCATGTTGGCCAGGCTGGTGTTGAACTCCTGACCTCAGGTAATCCGCCCTCCTTGAACTCCCAAAGTGCTTGGGATTACAGGTGTGAGCCACTGTGCCCGGCCTACAAGTCAGTAGAAGTACCCAGATTATGTACTGCTCCATTTAATAAATTTGAACAAATATTAACTGCCTACTATATATATTCTGTAATTCAATATGCATTTAAAATTCAAATCCTGGCATTTTAATTTGAAAAAACATATACAGGTGCACTATCTGTCAACATAGTTTCAGTGATATTCCATAGACAGGGAACAGTTTTATTCATTTAGTATTCAAAAGAGGTTTACGATAGAAATAGAGAGACTCTAGCAGAAGTGGTATCACCCCAAATGGACAGAGTTGACTTGGGATTTCTCTGACCCATTAGTTGAGGGAGGCATTAACAGCCTCTACCCATTTGATGTATTTATTCCCCCCACAGTGTCTATAGCTGATGTTGAGATTATGGAGCTGAGCTTTCACAGATTCCTTTCAAATCAGCCTAGAGAAGAGTAACTCTATTCTAACTTCAAATCTACCAGTCCTAACTCAGGAAACTAGAAAGTTTCCATTTCTCTTTAAAAGCCTGGCTTTTTTTTTAAATGGCATAATAAAATTTACACTTCTTCTTTTTTTTTTTTTTAAATTTTTGGTGGAGATGGGGTCTTGCCATGTTGTGCCCAGGCTGGTCTCGAACTCTTGAGCTCAAGTGAACTGCCTGCCTTGGCCTCCCAAAATGCTGGGATTACAGGTGTGGAGCCACCTCAGCCCCCAGTCTATACTTCTTAATGGGCTTGCCCAGTGCTGGGCCAGGAGGAGCTTTGTTGGAGCCCCAGTCTCTGAGAGTTCCTACAAACAGCCAAAAACAGCCTCTGCCTGTGGGCCCTGCATGGCCAGAAGTAACCTGGTAGATGTTATGACACAAAATAACAGATACCAGTCACCAAGGCCAAACAACAGTTATGATAGGTGAAAAGATGGCTTCTTTAGGCTGGGCACAGTGGCCCAGGCCTGTAATCCCAGCACTTTGGGAGACTTAGGTGGGAGGATCACTTGAGGCCAGGAGTTCGAGACCAGCCTGGGCAACATAGCAAGACCTTGTCTCTATAAAAAGTTTAAAAATTAGCTGGGTGTGCCGGGCATGGTGGCTCACACCTGTAATCCCAGCACTTTGGGAGGTCAAGGCAGGCAGATCACAAGTTCAGGAGTTCGAGACCTGCCTGGCCAACACGGTGAAACCCCGTCTCTACTGAAAATACAAAAATTAGCTGGGCGTGGTGGCAGGCACCTGTAATCCCAGCTACTTGGGAGGCTGAGGCAGGAGAATCACTTGAACCCGGAAGGCGAAGGTTGCAGTGAGCCGAGATTGCACCGCTACACTCCAGCCTGGGTGAAAGAGTGAAACTCTGTCTCAAAAAAAAAAAAAAAAAAAAATTAGCTGGGTGTGGTGGCATGCACCTATAGTCTCAGCTACTCAATAGGCTGAGGTGGGAGGATCACATGAGCCCATGAGTTCAAGGCTGCAGTGAGCCATGCTCACATGCCACTGCACTTCAGCCTTCCAGCCTGGGCAACAGAGCAAGACCCTGTCTCAAAAAAAAAGATAGCCTCTCTGGAAAGTTCTCTCATCCTTTTATTTGAGATTGGCATCTGAAGAAAGTCACCTGTGTTTTCTCAAGGATGATGTGGCCACTCTCTCACATACCAACCATTACACTTTGAGCTTCTTTTTTTTTTTTTTTTTTTTTGAGACGGAGTCTCGCTCTGTCGCCCAGGCTGGAGTGCAGTGGCACAATATCGGCTCACTGCAAGTTCCACCTCCCAGGTTCACGACATTCTCCTGCCTCAGCCTTCCGAGTAGCTGCTGGGACTACAGGTGCCCACCACCACACCCAGCTAATTTTTTTGTATTATTTAGTAGAGACGGGGTTTCACTGTGTTAGCCAGGATGGTCTCGATCTTCTGACCTCGTGATCCACCCACCTCGGCCTCCCAAAGTGCTGGGATTACAGGCGTGAGCCACTGTGCCCAGCCTAGGCTTCATTTTTGACCCCTCCATACCCATTCACACAAATGTTGTTCCATTATTTTGATGGATCAATTTGTTCCGCCAGGACAACTGTAATATGTCTGGCAGTGCTTTCACTTTGATCATCTAATTAGATTTGCTCCTCTCACCCACCCTGAGAGATAGGTAAGGACATGGATTCTCCCTAAATTAACTGGCTGGCAACAAGATAATTAGTCACAATGTTTGAACTGGCTTATTACCGCCTGCTCAGGCATTCACAATGGAGGCAATTTTCTTAAGTACATGTTCAAGGCAAACAAGGGTCACCTGGTATGGATGTAGCTGTTGAGCGTTAGCTGAGCCTCATCTTGAAGGGCTGCAATGGCGGCAGCATTCCGGAAACTTCTCAGTTCAGAACCACTATGTGTAGGAACTAGAAATGAAGACCAGGAAACTGTGATAGACAGCATAGAAATTGCATCTGGGAGCCGAGCGCAGTGCTCACGCCTGTAATCCCAGCACTTTGGGAGGCCGAGGCAGGCGGATCACTTGAGGTCAGCAGTTCGAGACCAACCTGGCCAACATGGTGAAACCCTGTTTCTACTAAAAATACAAAAATTAGCCAGGCATGGTGGCATGTGTCTGTAATCCCAGCTACTTGGGAGGCTGAGGCAGGAGAATTGCTTAAACCCAGGAGGCAGAGGTTGCAGTGAGCTGAGATGGTGCCATTGGACTCCAGCCTGGGTGACAAGAGCAAGACACCATCTCCACAAAAATTTAAAAAATAAAAAAAAAGAAAGAAAAAAAGAAATTGGGTCTGGGAATGCACCTCTCTGGAAGTTGATGCCCAGCAGAACATGCAGGTTCCCATAGCAATAAAAAATGGGGCCAGATTAAGAGTATCAGCTCCCTTGAAAACCATCACCTCTTTTTGCAAAGGTCAGTTCAGACTTCGAGGTGGCTGAATTAGTGAGGTGGCAAAACTGGGGAAGGAGAAGAAACAGGGGTCTGTGTCTGCTTACCGGCTTTGAAAGTGACGATGCATTTTAGACAGGCAAATTCAGTAGCATCTAACCGGAGTTGTCTAAATCGAGCCACCACCTCTTGTAAAGCCTGTATTTCAGATATGATCTTGTTCAGCTTCTGGGAATCTGTGTTGTCACCGTTCATGCCTAGAATAAAAATATGGGATAAATACTCTAATATGAAGGCATTTTCATGATTTAATATTGATTTTTGACAAAATCCTGCATATCAATATCTATTCAATTGTCACTCTAAGATATCTGATTCCATGTAAACCGGCTATATTGTATGAAAGTTAATATAAAATCTTCTCTTGGATGATAACAAACACAGTAATTTGCATTTAAATAACAATGCAAGCAGTCATGAATACAACAAAACAACATTATTTGCATTTAAATATAGATTTATAAATGACAGGTATACTCTATTGTTCAGCAGGAATTTGTTATTCTTTACATGTTGTTCTTTTTTCAGTAATGTATTTTTATGGTAATTTCTACAACAAAGTCATTAAATTGTGCAATTCTTACCAGATACAGCCAGTAGAGTGTTAGCATCAACCGGAATGGCCCATTGTGCTATTCCTAGAACAAACAGTTCTCTCCAAGCATCTTCCAAAAGCATCAGCTGTCATACAATAGATGTATAATATAATATAGTGTGTAATTTATAAATTTATAAACAATTTCACTATGTAAATTTCCATTATTTTAAAAAGTGTTTTAAATGCCTGTCTTGGTAATTTTTTCTGAATATTCTAGCTTTCCCTTATTTTCCCATATTTTCCTTTTGAAAAGGTGCCTATAGATATGCATATGGATTTGAGAGTCAGCCATTCCAATTCTCCAAAGTTTCCTTCTCTCAGAAAAGGATTTGCCCCTCTTGTCCTTGTATCCACCCATTCCTGACCACCTAGAAGCTCCTCTAGAGAGCGAGGCTTTATGAAATGCCAGCAGCTCAGCAGGTGGATTCCCCTCACAGAGAATGCTGCTATTAGCAGGGTTGAGGATTCCTCAGACGCTTGCAGAGCTGGGTCCCCATCTTCCTGGAGGGTTGAGGGGGCTGGGCTGGGAGAGAGACAGAGATCACTAATTCCCAAGAGGCACTGGGGGAAATCAGGGTGTAATTATGTTAATCGGGTTTTGCTGAGTTTTCCTCGTCTCACTGCTTGATTTTTCTGAGACCCATAAATGGACAGCATCAAGGTGCTTGTCATTTTTATTCTAATAAAATGTGCTACTGAATATTTAAAATGAAAATCTGTCTCTTTTTCCAAATTAATATACCAGATTCCACTTCACTGCAGGTTGCTTGTTGTCGAAGGATTTCTACCAAAGGGCTAAGTGGCAGACAGTAAGTAAATTTTGTTTGGGTGAGAGTATACAAATACTTATTTTGAAAAAAAATAGCCAGTCTACACACACACACACACACACACACACACACACACACACACAGGAAGTGGTTAGAGCTAACCAGTAAACCTGGTCAAAGATAGGACCTAACTACCTTTAAAAATCTCAAAACTCAAAAGCCAGTCAACTCTAAATGATTTATGTAAAAGGATTTCTTTTGGGAGCTAAGAGCTGAATCATGAAGGCTTGTAACCAAAATCACAATTAGACCAAAGGGTTTAATTTTTTTAATGTTTTATTTTTAGTTTTATTCCATCAAGTACAGGAAATAATTATAAAATGCAAGGTAAACAATATTTAATTCTGGCCATATTTGAAAGGGCAGGCCATGAAAACAAGAACATCTCATGCTAGAAAATGAAATGCTTTTAGCACATTGCCCGATCTTTCCGTAGGAAACATACTTCATATAAAGGGGCACTATTATGCTTTAATTAGGTATGAAATGAATTGAAGAAATAAATCCTTTGCTTTTAGAACTACTTATTAGCCTTTGGAAAATTTGTCATTAATTCCTGTGAATGCACTGGTAACAGCCAATGGTTGGGAACACTTTATTTTCTTTCTTTCCTTTAAGGTTAGAAAAATGTTAGCATTTCTAATATTCCTATCAACAAAATTTCTGGGTCTCAGTACAATACAATGTTTCACTGCACACACTTTTTCTTCCCCTGAATGTCATTTACAACCACGGAATTAAGCAAAATGCCTATTTGTTTACAAAATGTCTAAAAGTACATGAAGAATCAAGGAAGAACCTAGCCTACAGGAGGTGTGCACTGTGCCCTTTGGTTTTACATGCTTATCAATTAATGACCAAAACTGGGAGCATCGCAATGGAGAATATAAAGCTGGGAATATAAAATAATAACATCAGTTCTGAAAAATCTCATGAGGGCATACTCTTACCACCTTCTACTTCTCTCAGTTCCAATGTTCTTAGTAAAACATTGTTTCATCAACAGTTTTAGAAAATCATTACAATTTTAAAATTTGAGATTATATTTGCTGTTCCAATCAAACAAAAAGAGGTAATGTTCTTGTATGTGTGTTTTCACAGACTGGACCCATCCTTTCTGAAATAATGTAATTACGTTTCTTACTAAGGATCATATAGGTAGATATTTTGAACCCACAGGAAGAAGCAAGTAAAAACAAGTAGTTTCCTCACTGCTATTAAGAATGGATGCCTGCCTTGGGTGGTTTACCCAGGGATAGAGGAAGTTTTATAAGGCTGAGTGCTACTGCTTCTTTCCCAGCTCTCTTTCTCCCAAGGCCTCAGTGTGGTCATACCTGGTCTTGCAAAGACAGCGTGGAGAAGGCTGGCACACTCTTAGCCCACTTGATGCTCATGAAGAGAAGTCTGGCAGCTGATTCACACACCGACTCCGTGGCCACTTCATAGAGATACATTGGGGTCCCATTCACTTCATGGGGGTACTGGGTAGGGAAGAAAGAAAGACACCTGGAAGTGAGGAAACCACAGCTTTGCAAGAAGAACCAAACTTTTAATTTCTAATTAAAGCAAGGAAGGGGATAAAAAAGAATTTGGATGTTTTGTTTAAACATGCAGTTGACATTGGTGGGTAAAAAAATCAAACATCGCTGTCTATAGAGTTTGAAAAGTAATACTGGTTGGGGGAGGTCCATTTCCACTCTTTGGGAGCCTCTCCCTTCCAGAAGGCCCTCTGGCTTTTCTATCCCCTGCAGCAAATTTTCCTTGGGCTGAGCCAAGTGCCAAGCCTGGCTCCCAATTTAGACAAGAGCTGCTTGCATTTGTGTAAATAAAAATAGATGTGAAAAAGTATAAATTAATAGGCATCCCAAACACAAATATGCATATGAGTATTTTTAGAAAGGATTAGTATATTATGGAAATATTTCAATTAGACATCTTAATCATTCACAGAGCATTCCCATTCATAACTGACAACATATTCATAACACTACTTTCCAGAGCTTATTATACACATCAAGGGTAAGAAAGCCATATTAAATATTGTGCGTGTGCATGTGCCCAGGTGTCTGGCTTCCCTGCAGTGTGGGGCTGCAGCTGGCCCTCCTCTGAGGGAGATCCTAGGCCCTCATCAGCCTGGAGTGGGGGTGTTAGTAGGTATCAGCTGTAGGCCTGGAGGGTAGGCCTTAGGTGGCAGCCTTTCCAGGTGGTTCAGGCTGTGGCCCTGCTCCTATGGAATCAACCCTGCTGTAAATCCACCTGCCTCAGAAGTAGGTGAGGGGAGCATGGGAAATGAACTCAGATTCCTCAAACTGTTCTAACAGTGTGATCTCCACATTTCGCACTTGCGTTAGAAACTCATGGCTTTGCCCAAGATCATACATGCCAAGATTTGGAATTCTGGAGCCCTTCCTCCAGCTGTAGCCAATTCCTCTCCTCTAAAAATGAACGTTGGTTCTTCTGGTCTTTAGGAACACCTGAGGCTGCCCTCTGGGTTTAGACGAGGTCTCCACCCACCACCCATTACCAGTGGGTGTTTCCTAAAGGTGCAGGTTCCTGGCCTCCACCCCAAACTTGCTGAAATGAAATTTCTGGGGGGATAAGATCCGGAGTGCACACTTGTAGCCACTCGGAGGTTGACTCTACTGTACACTCAAGTTTGAGCACCCCTGGCTGAACAAGGGAGAGCAGAAGGGCTGGAGCTCCATGCAGAGACCCGCCAAGCACCCTGGAGTTCTCTCCCCAGTTTGCCTGACCCCAATCACACAGCTCAGAAGAACTGGGTGCGTCCCTCTCCATTCGCTGGCACGAGTCTCTTTGGGCCCAGCAAGGCCGCTGACCTTGGGCGTGGGCTGAGCCAGGCTCACGAGGGTCTGCCGCTCTGGAGTGGTGGACACCGCGGCCAGCTCCAGGCCGTGCGGCTCCAGCTGCGTGACCGCGGTGAAGAAGGCCGGCGCAGGGAGCGCCGCCGAGGGAAAGTGCGCGGCGGCCCCGTTCTCCTCCTTGTGTCCACGGAAGTAGAGGGCCACTTGCTTGCGGATGGTGGACGTCCGAGGCCCCCGCTCGTGCTGCACGGCTGCAGAGGCAAACAGAGAAACGCATGCCGGCGATTAGAGACGTCGAGACACAGCCGCTGCGGCTCTCCCCCCAGCCCCGCCCCAATGTCAAGTCTGGGCGGGCAAAATCGCCCAAGAGGTGAAAAGAAGAAGGGAGAGGGAATCTGAGGGAGGAAGGGATTCTGAGATCGTCTAACCACTACACTGAATAGATTCGGAAGCTGAGGCTTAGAAGAGGGGCCCGTGCTCAAAGTGCCACGATAATGGCAGAGCCTCAAGTAAGACCAGGTGTGTTCTCCTTCGGTCCAGGGCTCCTCCCCACCAGGGAAGGGGGTTCGCAGGGAAACCAGAGACCCTCTGGGCTGGAGTAGCCAGGTATCCTCGCCCCCATCCAAAAGAGAGGGAGCGTCGCGCACGCCAGACACCTCGTTTCTGCGCAGACTTTTCCAGCTCCGTCCAAGAACAAGCCTCCCTACCCGCAGGCCCCGCCCCCACAGAAATAGCTTTTGGCCTCCGAGGGCCGCAGGAGGAAAGGACCCGAGCCCCGGGATTGCTAGGGAATGGAACGAGGGAGAACCCGTCTCCGAGTATGCTGGAGAAAGGCAGGGGAGATGTGACAATTACCACCAACAGTTTAAACAAACAAATTAATTCAGGGCAATCTTCGGCCTGCCGAGCTTGACAACTTGTCAATACACAAGTTCAACAGGTTGGACGCTCCCTCCGGCTTCCTGCGCCGCAGAGGAAGGGGCTCTCTCTCCTCCTGGAGCTGCCACCCGGCCCGGGCCGCCTCACAGCAAAACCCACTCGCACCCTGTTCCCAGGCCCCACGGTGTCCTCCAGCCCATTACCCTCGCCCCCTGCCTGGGCCTGGGGCGCCCTCGACAGGCTGCAGCGGGGGACGCAGCTCGGACCGTGCTCCAGGCCCAGGAAGCACTCTGACGTCCTGGTTCTTGCTGTTGCGCGCTTAAGAGCCTTGGGAGAGCTGGGTGTCCGAGGCACCCACGGGCGTTACCCTGCCTCTCCAGCCCCCTTTCCCTCTTTTCTGTAGAACAGAGAGAAGGCCCTGGACTCACATCGGCCCAATGGCCGTACTGATTTTGGCATCTTGGAGAATTTGCACACGGGCTGGAAATTCCGCGTTTTCGCGTCTCTGCCCTCCCTTTTTCAACACACCGCGAACTTCCAGCCTGTATGATCTCCTCCCCGTGAGACTATCCAGATTTTAAGATCCTGGGGCAGGCTAGCAGGCTTAAGGGTGGCCACGAAGGGCTGCAAAGAGGGATTAGGACCGGAGGCAGAAAATGCGCGCCGGTCCCCTGGAGAGTGGGGTCCCCCCAAGCGCTGCCTGTGTGGAGATGACTGTGGGGCGCAAGTTCCTGATGTGGGCATGGGTCTTGCCCTGGGGAATTCTAGGGGTCGCCAGCGGCTCCTGCTGAAAGACGGGAAGGATACGACTGAAAGCCCGAGGCCAATTCCCAGCATCTGGAAAGAAGCGCTCCGGGGTTGATTTACATGCATAGGAGTGCCATGTATTTTCTGTACATATAATTTACTTACTACTCAATCAACATTGGAATAAAGGGATGCACTGATTACCGTCTTTGTTCATGTTGACTTCCAAACACTTCTTCAGCCGACACGCCCTGCACTGGTTTCTGTGCGTCTTGTCCACCGGACAGCCTCCCTGGAACAGAGAGCAGGAGGTCAGCGGTCCCCAGGGCCTTTAGGCTGGAGACCCGGAGCCGGCACCCGGGCGGGGAAACGGTGTGGAGGCGCGACCTTGCCCGGCCGCAGGCCCTGGAGCCCCGAGCCTGGGCCTGCAAAACGCGAGGGCCTTGGGCATGAGCAGGGCCAGATCGAGAAGGGGCTGGGACGTCCCAGGCTACTTCAAGAGGGCCAGTCCCGGACCCCAAGAAAGCGGACAAGGGGGAAACGTCCTTCTCCAAGCAGGTGAAGCTTAGAGAGCCGGGTTTGGCAGACCCCGCAGGCCTGCGGGGCTCTCGCTAGGGGAACTTCCGCCAGTCGCGGAGTGGTGGAACAGGGACGAGACTTCAGGACCGAAGACAGCGACTTGGCCCCAGAGAAAGAGGCCACTAAGTTCCTTCCGTTAAGAGCTGGCTTTTGGGTCAGGATTCACACCATACCGCCCTCCCACCAACGATTCTTTCTGCTTTCAGTACTTGAGTCTACCTCTTTCTGCCACTTTCTGGGAGAGCCCGTTTATCTATCAGATAAATCTCTCCCATTTATTCTTCACTCTCCTATTACCTCACTTTTGCTTTTGTATGAAGCCAACCTTATTATCAGCAAGTTGAGAGTTGCCTTAAAGACTAGCCTCGGCCCAGGTGCATAGAAACACAGCCCTTCCTGGAAGGTGAGAGTTTAGGAGGGCAAGGCCTAGAGAAGATGAGGGTGAAAAAGGAAGAGCTCAAGTCTTGAGCAAAATATAGAAATGCTCACCATGTAAACAGGACCAGGAAGGTAATGTGATGGACTGTCAGACTAAATGATAATATGGGCTCAGACTGTTAGCATAGTAACTGAAAAAATAAAGGTAGTCACTTCTTTAGAAATATTTATCTGAGATGCATGAGAAATTAGATGTTTACCTAATGCAATTTTCTGTAAAAACATTAGCCATTGAAAGAGGAAATCTACAGATAAAGTTTCCTTTGGAATTTATTCAGTGTTAGATGTCATTACCGAGGGGACATATGCATAGATACATAAAGAGTCATGTGCATGAGTTTTATACACAGAAAATATTTAAGACATTGTGTGCTCTCCTATATTTATAGAAGTTGCTACTGTTAGATTTGTAGTGAGAAGAAAGATAATAAATGTATTTTTATTTTGCTTCATAATCTCAAAAATTCATATACTCTGGAGTTGGAGTAAGTATGTTTTTCTTCCCCCTGAAGCCCTTTAGGGGAAAATTACACATTCGAATGCAGTTTTATGAGTTCACACTTCTCCAATTTAAATTATGATGATTTATTTAAAATAAAGGTGGGACAGATGTTCATATCCATTTCTAAATGTCCTCATTACTGTTAATAATAAATTGGAATATAATTTAATCCTAGAATAAGAGAGAAAGGAGATAATTTTTGGGTCCAAAGTGAATTATTTAGGGCATCTTTGCTGGCCAATGTAATAGTTCATTGTAAACAGGTTTTTTAAAACTTGTTATTAAATGTAATTATATATCTATCCTCAGATGGTATCTTTCCAGTATTCTTATAAGTATGCAAATGCAAAATGGAAACCTTCATAAGTTCTTAAGTGTGTCTTCAAATCAGATCAAATGTATATAAATATCTAGCGCCAGAGAGAAGGATAAACGCCTCAGCTCTGATCATTTACTCTCCTTGCAAGAAGAACACCAGGCCTGATGAGTCTATTATCAGTCCTTTACAAGCACTTGGACTGATATCAATATGCTTGAATTGATAGCCATCCCCTTCTAAAAGATCAAGCACAACATCAGAGATCTTGATTTTCCAATTCTGTTCACTGCATAAAAGCAAAAGACAATCTAAGTAGAAGTTGGTTCAAATCTGACAACCCGCAGTAATCGCACAATCCTGTGGAGTTATTGGGATACAGTCCTATGCGTGTAAAATGTGATGTGTCCATATGGTGAAGCTAGAAACTGATACAGTAGCCAATTAAACAGGTAACAGGGCTAGAGAGCTCAAAATTTATCTCAATGCAAATATCTTCTGTTTTTGTGGTTAATCCAAAACTATTAGAAAACAATATGAGCAGACATGACTTCAGAAAAAGATGTCAGAACAATTCACTAGCAGCAGACAATATATGCATGTGTATACATGTACCCTATATATATCAATTAGTGAAAAGTGTTTTACTATTTTGTTACCAAAGGATGACTGCTGACTAATGCACCCTCAGGGATCTTTCCACAAGTGAAATGGAGGACTCTGTACTGAGGGTCTGAGTCGCTGATAAGGAGAGGGCAAAGTGTAGGACCAGAAGGTTGATCTCCTTAGTTAAAATCAGCCTATTATTGAGCTGGAAACTGAGTCAAGAGGTTCTGCTCACTCTTTCTAGAAGCTTTGGCTCATATTCAGCCCATGCCAGATTCCTCTGTCTCTTTGAGACAGTTCTGCCTACTCAAGACCAAAACAACCGACTGGGCCCAAATTCTAAGCAGAGAAGGAGGACAGGGATATGGAAGCTTGAGGAGGGTCCCAGTTGCACCTTCCTTTTGAATCTTCTCTTCTTCCTCACCCTGCCCTTTTCTGACAAGGCATAGCTAAGGTCACATGGGTGCTGGATTCCCACTGCCCACTTCCAGAGCAGCCCTGCTTCTCCAGAGTTGAAAATGCACAACCCTTCAGAAAGCACGGCCTCTCTTCCAAGTGGCTAGCACTCACTTGGTGGTCTCAGCTAAAGGTGGTGGTGACCTTGACTCAGATGTCTGTGTGCCGCTTACTTCTGCATCCCAGGCAAGTGATCAGGGGACTGAGCTTGATGCTGCTAGGAGTGAGTGTGGGGTGGGCAGGCACAATAACAAAGCTCTTTCTCCTGCTTGCTACTTGTGGTTTAGATGCTAAATTCTTTAGGTCCCTTGGGCCGGCTTTAGAGCCACAGGGTGTGGGCCTTACCCAGTGTCAAAATCTTTCAGAATAATAATAATTTAAAAAAGTGTAGGGAGGCTCTAGGACTTCAGACTCCCTCCTGTAAACTCATATCTTCCCTTACCTCTTCCCGCCTTTCCCCAGCCAAAGGGCCTCCAAGAGTTGAGGCAAGAAGGAGGGGAGAGGAAGGGAGAGGTCAGGGCCGGGTCTCTCCTCAACTGCGTGGAAACTCAGAGGAGGCCTTGGCACAAACAAAAGAGTGAGGAGGCAGCAGAGCGGAGCCCAGCAGTGCAGCCCTGGCTAAGGTACCTGGTTTCCAGATTTGCAGACATAGGTCCTATTCCTTCGGATGCTCCGTTTGAAAAAACCTGAGCAGCCGTCGCAGGCGTAGACCCCGTAGTGCTTCCCCGAGCTGCGGTCGCCACACACTTTGCAGGGGATATCTAAAATGCGGCCTGAAATCGCAGGAAAGACGGGGAAGGGGGGAAGGGGCGAGAGGGAAAGGAGGGCGGAGAAGAGGGAGAAAAGGGGAGAGGGAGAGAGAGATGCTAAGCAATCTGACCTCTGAAGGGATTAGCACCGAAGCTGCGGTAAAAGCAAATAATGAAGTGATTTTATACCCAAACTTTTTTTCCTTGAGCAAGTGTCAGTTTCCTACAATGAGCATTATTCATGCACCGCTACATGTATTTGGTTCTCTTCTAATCGCCGAGACCCATTTTGGAATAAAAGATGACAGCAGGCCCGGGCGGCAGTGCGGCCCTCCACTGCCTTTCTGCTCCGCGGAAAGTTTGGCCGCCTCCCTCCTTCGCTTTTGCATTTAACAGAGAAAGTTGTTAGTGAGCGCGCGAGGAGACAAACTTGAAATGTAAAAGGGAAAAGAAGAAAAACAAACACGGCTGGAACCAGGGATGGCAGCTGGAAGGCAATCGAGTTTTCTCTGAGCTCCGCCGGGCGGTGTTATTATTAGGATTATTATTGTAATGCTAATACTTGGATTATTAATGATAATAAGGGTAGTGGTAATTGGCCAACTTTCGCTTTACCTATTTAAAAAATGCTTGGTGAGTCGCTTTAGAGAAATTATTTCTTTTAGGAAAAAATTATTTTCTCCGCAAAGTGGTTCGGGACTAGGCAAGGGAGAGGGGAGCGACGCAAGTTGTCGGTTCCCTGTCGGGTTAGCTTGGGACAGGCTCCCTCCATTTCCTAAGCCCTTTCTCCCTAGAAGACTGGCCTCCACACACTTGGTCCTGTGTGGATCTCTTCCTCCCGGTTTTTTCCAGTGCTCTTTGAGCCTGATTTTTTTTTAAATTAAGAATCTGACTGATTTCTCTAGGCTGTATCCCCCCACCCCCCATGGACCCCACCTCAAGAGAACTTTCCCTGGAATCCCCTCAAGCCTGGGGTGGCCACCGACCCTGGAGGAGTGTCAGGGAGAGGGTAATATTTGGCCGTTTAGAAAGGGAGGGATTCTTTTCCTCTAAGGTTCAAGAGTCCAACAAGTGCCTGAAGCGGTTTATAGGGACTTAGAAATGCTTCCTCCCGCAAAACAAAGGGAGTATTAAACTGTTAACTTAATTAACACTTTAATTTTAAAAATAACAATAGTTGATAACAATTGACTTATTAACACTTGCTTTTCTCTTCTTCTACCTATCCGAAGGCCTCCAGTTTGGGCCCCAGCGGCCTCAGGCCTCCCTGAAATTCGACAGCTGCTGCCGAAAGCGCTTGGGTTGGGGACTACGATGGGATTGAGGTGGGAAGGGGCGGCAGTGGAACGTCTGGGCGAGGGGAGTAGGGGAGGTGAGGGCGTGGCGCGGGGAGGGCCTCGAGGCACCGCAGGTGTAAACTTGCTCCTGGAACCCGAGGCGTCCGGGCGAGCTTGCACCGTGGGTCCCAGACTCGTCTCAGGTGGAGGGGGTGGGGGAAGGAGAGCGCGGGGGACCGTGCTTGGGGGTGAGGGGGTGTTCGGTAACGACCAGGCTCGGCCGGGTAATTACAACCCCGCGGCAGCACCTGCCTATAGAGCCACCAGTGACCCGTCAAAAAGAGTAGCATGGGAATTCGGACGGCGACAAAGGCGGGCAGGGGAGGCGCGCGGCGCGGCGGCCACCGGCTCGGCGCCCCCCTCCCACAGGGCGGGAGGGGAGATTGTGCTGTGGGAGGGAGGGGCTGGAGAGGGCCAGGCAAGGGCACAGCGGGTCTTGTCCTCCACTCCTTCGGGCCTGTCACTGCGCCCAAGGGAGTTCCTGGTCGCTCAGGAACCGGGTCTGGAGCTCCGCTGCACTGCACTCACTCTGGAAGCGGTAAACTTGGTTTCCATATCTTACAACCATCCTCTGCTTAACACGCGCCCTCTGACCGCTCCAGGGTCCACGTTTGGGGCCCAGCAGTACTGTCACCCCAGCTGTCCTCTTCCCTGTGGCACTGTTGAAGATGCCAAGATGAGTGAGTGGGAGGAGCAGTGGTGGGGTCTCTTTTTCCCCACTTCCCATCCGGACAGGAGGCCCATGACAACATCTCTGGAGAACCCGATGAGGGTGGAGGGAAGACCAGTGCAGGGTGGGGGCCCCTCCTCGGATTCCCCCGCCCGAGCTTCCGGACTGTTGCCCTCTAGGCCACCACCAGTGCGAGTCCTGCCTCTGAGCAGACCTCTGAGCCGCGGCTCCCGGGGCAGATTAGAAACAGGCAACCGGGCTGGGGCGGGGCCCAGGAGGGAGGGACGCGAAAATTCCGGGGCATAGCGGGCCTGTGCCTCAGACTCCGCCACCCAGCCACGTTAAGGTGACTTGGGGTCACGAGACAAGCTGGTTGACCCCGTTGCAAAGCTCCTCTCATTTAGCAAGCCGAGCGAGCTCCGACGTGAGGCGAGCCGGAGTTTCCTGAAGCTGGAAAACCGTTCTTAACTTCCCTCGCCAGGGGGTCCCCTCGGGGCTTTTTGTGTGTCATAATTGCCTAAAGATATATGGCAGCTTCGATTACTGTAATTACCATCAGAGGCTGTTGAAAGAAGTTAGTCTGGGCTGCAGGGGTGACTGGCCAGGGTCTCGTTACCACCCAGGCGGGGCTCCGGGTGACATCGCTCTGCTCTCCAGCCGCGAGAAGCCGGGCAAGGCGGGGGCTGCAGCTCTGTCTGCTCGACCCAGTCCTGACCCGGCCCGCTGCGCGCCGACCTCCTAGCTGCCCCGGGCCCGAGGGACGCAAGTCTCGGGTTGGCTGCCGCCACCGGTCTGGAAAGGGCCTAAATGCAGCGGCGCCACCGGCGGGGGCCGCTGTCCTGCGGGCCTGAGAAAGCTCAGCAGCCGCGTCCCGACCTGAGCCGGGGCTGGAGGCTTCCAAGGCCTCACTCAGGCTCTTGGCAAGTTAGAACGGCCAAAGTTTCCGCAAGGAGCCCGCTGTGGTTTTTCCCCCAAAGTCCGGAGGGTTGGCCTGCCTCCTAGTCCACAGCGGGGGCGCAGCCGCAGGCGGGCAGAGCTCCCCGCTCACCCCTCCCTCGCCTCTGAGGCCTCACCTTTCAAGGGCCCCAGGGGCTCCACACCCCGAAAAGGACGAAAGAGCCCGGGGCTCCTTACTTCCAGGGGTGTAGGCGAGGGCCTGTCCCGGGGCGAGCGAGCTAGGAGGCCTGCCGAGACCCACGGGCTTCAGTTTTTGCAACGGAGGCTCAGAATGCAACAGAAACGGCCTCCTGAGCCTCCTGGGAAGGACACTCACGCCCGGGAATGCGGGCAACAAAAATCGAGGTCGCTTTACCTCCTGGAGATTCCAACAGCGAGGGCCAGGGTAGGCCCGAGCCTAAAGGGAAACCCAGTCCTGGGCCAGGGTCCGCTCTGCATTCCGGCCGCGGTGAGGGCTCCTTCTCTGCTCCCTCTGCCCCAGCTCGAAACATTTCTCCTTTTCTTTTTGTTCACGTTCATTTTGCTCTAATTTTTTAAAGGTCAGCACCCAAAGCAAAACAAAATGAAAACACAACCTCCTTCTTGGAGGGGGGTAGGAGGGCGGGAATTGCATCCCACTTAAGTGAGACTTCATTACCAGTCCTCAGAAGTATCTCCGATTCTCCCAACTTTCAAAGACTCAGGACAATGAGGGCGAGTGAAAGGGGGAGGGGGAGGGAAGGAACGCACAGAGCGCCAAAAATGCTATCTGCGAAAACAACACAAGCAGCAAGGCAACTTCGGGATATGGGGACTGCGGCGGCAACGGTAGTCCCCAGCCTCAGACCCTGGAGCCCGCAGCCGTGGGCCACTGGATGGCGGGAACTGAAATGCCCCCGGGAGATCTGAGCACCGTGACCGCGCCTGCTCAACGCTGGCTCGGGCCTGCACATTCTTGGGTTCCGCAGGCAGGGTGCAAGCAAATGCCCTCGCACACACACTTAGCCCTGCGCTCGTGAGTCTCGGGGTGGTGAGAGGTCAGCTGCGGCCTGGCGTTCGGAGAGCCGGCAGCTAAGGAAGTTCGAGGAAGGAGAGAAGCGCACGGAGGGAGCAGGCCGCGCACTCCTGCCTCTGCTGGGCTCCGGCTCGAAAAGTCCTTGGGATTAGGGATTTGGTCCTCTCTTTGCTAGAGTGGTTCGCCATACTTTAAATTCCCCAGTTATGACCTACGCGGATTTAGGATTAAGGAAAATGTGACTTTTAAATTGTTTCTGCTTCCCAGTTTGCAGGATTATTTGAAATAGCTAGAAACGGGGTGCAAAGCATTCCATTCAAAATCCGCTTTGCACAGAGTTGCTTTTGCGCGCTGGAGCTCGGAGTTTTGAGCGAGTGTGTTATTGTGCTACCGCCTGGAGCTGCGGCCCAGTTCCCGCCCCCATGGCCCCCCCATCCAGCACCTGGCGGCTAAATGGAGACAACTCATCCGACTGGTGGGCTGCGCGGGTCGTAACCTTCTCACCGCACCAGACAGGGGGGATCAAGCAATCCAGAGGCAACGAAACGGCTCTCCCCTCTCCACGAAATGCTCCAACTCACGGTCTACAGGTCTGGGCCGAACGCACACGCCCGCTGGAATCCCTCTCAGGGGCTCAGATTCGCAGCGCTCCAGGCAGGACCTCCCCCAGCCTCCCCGCTCGCTCGCCCCAGGCTGCGCGCCTAGGCCCCACGGCGGCCCGAGAGGTACCCACTTGTTGATCCGGCTGGCTTGCTCATGCTGGCTGTCCCGGGGCGGAGCGGTTGGTGGGCGCTGCCCGAGTCCCGGCCGGCAGCGCCCGCCTCGCCGCCGGGCGCCGCCGCTCTCCAGCTGCCCTCCAGCCTGCAAGGCTCCTGGGCGGGACAGGTGGGTGTCAGTCGCGCGCTGCGCTGCTCCCTGGGCGCTCAGAATTCGTCCAACAGTGGAAATTTAAGCATCCTTAAGTTTCTTCCCGGCTCTTGCAAAACCGCAGCTGCTGGGAATGCTGCTTGATATGGACACACACATGGACAGACAGATGGAGAGATGGACAGGAAGACTGAGGAAGAAGGAAGAACAGCAAGAGAGGGATGTTGAAAGACAGAGATGGAGACACGAAAATGGCCTTCCTACGGAGCGAAATCCCTCTTTTTCCCCATTCCTGTCACTCAGTCTTCGATCTCTCCCTCTACATAGGCATGCAGAGTGTGGGCAATCTCTGCCGACCGCTGGTCTCCCAAGGAAAGAAGGAAAACACTACCGCAGTCTCAGAGGCAGACGGGCTCCGCGCTGCCGGAACCCAAGCGCAGAGTGGGAAAACTAGATTGCTGGGAAATCTTCCGAGGGAAGAGGCGGCCAGGTCCGGGTTTCCGGGGAGAGCCGCGCACGCAGCGGCGAAGGGTCCCCGAAGTTCATTACCCCGTGACTTTGTGCCTGTCGCTGCGGGCTGGGTCCCCTGTAATATCTCCAGAAGCGCTCTGACAGGCAGCCGCGGGGAGGGGAATAGGGCGTCCCTGGCCCACTTAGCTTTTCCCCCAACTCCTGGCGGGGTCTGACGTCAGCCATGTGCGGGGAGGGGATGGGAAGAGGGAGGGGGTTAAATGCTAATGATATTAATGAACCTCCAAGCGGCTCCCAAAGAAAATGCAGGCGCTGTCGGAGCTTACGAGTTAGAAAGTGTGAATATGGGAGTGTGGCTCTGTGCGTGCGTGATGGTGAGGACGGTGCGGCTCGTAATAAAAATGAATTCGTATATTTCACGGCAAGAAGGAAGGGGAGGGGTGACGGGGCTTTCTCAAAACGCTTTTCCCCCTCTCTCCAGAGTGCCAGATAGATTCGCGGAAGAAATTGGGTGGCTGTGTGCTGGCGTGTGATTGTGCGCGCCGGACATGGCCATGTGAGTTGGTTCATTCTTGGTCCGGTGCCCCTTCTGTTGGGTAAAACTTGGATCTGGCCCGAGGTGAGTAATTTACTCATTTTGCACATATCTACGGAAAGTCAGGGCTGAGGATGGGGTCTTCTGGAGGTTCCGCGTTCCTTCGGCCTTCGCGCAGTGGGTTTGGGCACCAGCCGAGGGGAGGATGCCGCCAGCTTCCCCAAGCAGAGCTGGCCCATCCGACGCTGAGCGAATCTCTTGTCGCCTCCATTATCTGCACCGGGGCGGCTGGAGGGCAGAGCGTTCCCTCCCGCCGCTCGTCCTCGGCGGGCGTTGCGGGCTCCCGCTCTCCGGGCGGAGGAATAGTGAAGAGAGGCCCTCATCCCCTACCCCCTCCCCATTCCGCTTGCCTTCCCGCGATTCCTGAGCTCTCTCGCGCCTTGCTCTGTGCGCGGCGCTGGGAGAGCGCATGCCGAGGGAGCGATGATCCCCGATCTCTAAGAGATTAATTCTATTTAAGCTCTCTCGGCAGCTTGAACTTGTCGAACAAGAGCTTGCCAGTCCCTCCTCAGGGCGTGGACCCGGCCAGAGGTCAGAGGTTACACCTCCCGCCCTCCGCTCGACGTTCGCGGGGAGGGGAGCTGTGGCCGGCGCTCTGCAATTCCGCCAGCCCACCCCCCGGTCCCTCTTTCTCCAGACTCGGTGTCATCCCGGGCTTTCAATCAGAGTTCGCCTGTGCGTGCAAGTGAATGCTGGAGTCCCCCGAGCCCTGGGAGGGCGCAGCAGGTCCTCCGCCTGGGCGTCCCAGGGGGAGCGGGCTGTGCGCTCCAGTGGGCTCCGACAGCACGTGATTGCAACTTTCTGCCCAGCCTTGGCTCGGCCTCGAGCTCGGGGTCTCGCACACCACACACACCAGAGCCTGTGTCCTCCTTAGTGGGGCGCCGCGACCAAGGCTGGGGTCCCGGGGAAAGAGCAAGATGGGGGGATCTTTATCTCTCAGTTTATTCCCTCCTCCTCGGTTTTTCGAATTGGGACGAGATTGGGGGATTGTGGGACGAGGCCATAAGCGCGTAGGGGTTTATTAGGTGACAGGAGGAGAAATCAGCGTTTTTTGACAGCCAACTTGTACAGCCGCTTGTGGAGCTAGCCCGACCGGCGGCGTAGCGCTTTCTCGAACTCGGCGCCCAGAGAGGGGAGGAATTTCGGGCAGGATTTGAGAAACACAATAAGATGCCAGGCTCCGTTTGGAATCCTCAGGTTCTGGTTCACGCCAGAAATCCACTTGCTTCAGCCACCTACCACCACCACCCCCATAACGCGGACGCGATTATGGGGTTCTTTGGTTCAGGACAAAGAACTTCAAGGGTGGAACTAATTTATCTGGGGCGAAGATGAGGGCAGTGTGGGGGGTGATGACTAGACCCAGGCCTGTCTGCAGGGGAAGCATTTAGGGGTCTGTTTCGAGAAGGAGAACTACTAATTGCTTTGCCTGTGCGGGGGCTGGACGATGGCTTTCCTGGGCTCCAAACCACCTCTTCCCCTACTCTCGAACGCTCCTGCCAGGCTGGCTCATTTGTAGGCACCAAAACTTCTGGAAAATACTCCCAAGGCTCATCAAATTGTCTCAAAATCAAAATGGGTATCTTCCCTCTTTTTCCTGTCACCAGTCCCCGATCAAGCATGGTGTCAAGAAGATGCCTACGGAATACACACACACCCCATTCAGCCCTGGCGAAAGGCACAACACTGCGCGCACACACCCGCAGCATATGCATCCTGTGTTCTGTGCGCCCGGCTGTAATTATCGGCGCGCTTTGCATAAATCACAATACAGTTCTGAAATCATCGTGATGACTTTCTGGCATGACTGGTTCAGTGGTAACGGCGGCAACAAGCTCCAGGGTAGGCGGGAGGGGCTGAGGCCCCGTCGCCCACCAGGTCCCAAATAAGCCTGGAGCCTTAGTGCGGGCTGCCTTCTACTCAGGCAAAGCTGCTGCAGGCCACGGGGGACCTCGGATTTAAGGCGTAGAAACTTGGGGCTACCATGGGTACAGCTCAGAGAAGAAAGCCTTTGCAGGACAAAGACTATGGCTCTTCATCTTTCTATCCACAGGCCCCAGCATGCTGCCTGATTCATAGTAGGTGCTGCATAAATGTTGGGCAAATGAAGGGAAGTCACCTGCAGATGCCCTGAGGGGCCACTGGAGGCACAGCCAGGCTAAACGCTGGAAACCACGAGATAGGGATTCAGGGCTGTGCCAACAAGCTGTGTGACCTTAGGCGAGTGGCTAGACCTCTCTGGGTTCCAGATTGTTATTTGTAAAAGGATTCTCACCCTGTTCGGTCTTAACTTTCAAAGATTTTTTCCTGTGAGTCCATTAAAGGAAATGATTGATAAGGGGCAAATGCCATCTGGCTCAGAATTATCTTTTAACAGAGACAAGACCTTAAGTTACAAGGATAAGTTTATTGCTTTGGAAGGTGGTGGGGATAGCCACACCCTCAGAGGTTCTGAAACCCTTCTAAACAGGTTCAGACATAGCCCCTAATTTCCTCTGTAGGCGCTTGTGAGTATGGAGCTCTCAACCAAAACCAAAGCCTAAAACGCAGGGAAGGTTCTTTTATCGAAGGATGTTTACATTTTGGTCCAAGAGATAGGAAATAAGATCATGAGAGGACCATGGATCAAGGGGTATTTCTGCCCATCCATCAATCTACCCACTCATCAAATACTGAGCACCCACTATATGCCAGACCCTGGGGATATAGCAGATTAATGACATGACTCCTTTCTCCATGTAGCAGGGAGCAGACACATAAAAGATGATAAATGTTTTAGATTGGGATGAAACACAGGACACTGGAGATATATACAAGGAGCCCTAAACCAGTGTGCGGTGACATAGGCTGTCCAGAATTGCCCTGGAAAGCTGGCCTTGTGTTAGGAGAATCTACTGATTCTACAGTCCTCTGAGGACTGTATTGTATTATAGCTCATTCCTCTGCTAGTGCCCTGTTAAAGAGAATCCTATTAACTAGGTTGTATGAGAGAGGCAGGGGTACAGAGCACCCCTCAAAGTTTCAGACTATCTGAGGTTGACTGCTAGCCCTGCCATTCACTAGCTTCTCTAAAAACGGTGACATTTTTTCCATTAACACCCCCTCCACACACACACATTCTTCTAAATTAAAATACCGAAGGTGAAAGGACAAGCTTTCCCATCAGCTAGCAGAGCTGATGGAATTGGTGTTAAAGAGACCCCTTCCCCAATCCCCTGTGATCGACCCCTCACAGAGGCCATTCAACCTCTAGAGAGTCACTCCTTTAAAATACCATTCCCCTTACCGATATGCAGAGTTAAGAGATGCTCAGACCAAGGAAATCGCTGGGAAAACCTACCAGCTGAGCTTGGCTGAGTTTTGATGTTTAGTATCCAAAAACATTCTGACACAAGTTTTTGTTTGTTTGTTTGTTTGTTTGTTTATATGAAGGAGGAAGTTGATTTGCATTTGCTTCCACATCATAATTCAACCTATGGCTGTTGTTTGCCCAGTGGATGGTGAGAGAGGAGGTGGGTCATGGAGCAGTGTCTGGCACATAGTAGGTGCTTGCTAAGTGCCAAATGAAAGAAACAGTGTTTGCAGGCTTGCTCTTGATTCTGCTGTGGATCTCTCTACAAGTTGTTTGATTCTTATCCAAATTTACCCCCCAAATAAACAAGAACAATCCAGAAAAGAGACGCTTGTTCTCTAGAATCCAGTGGGTCCTGAGTTGCAGGGTTTTTCTTGACACTTTTGAGCACTGTATTGCCAAAAGTAGTCTGTTACTCCCCACAAGTAGGAAGATGAACGCTGCTAACAACAAGGAGACAATGCTCTGTGTGACCACCCCCCTCACCCCACAACCTTAACAAATAACAAGTCATGTCTTTGCATTTATTCACACCCTTGGTTGGACAAAAATTCAGTTCTAAAGTCAGGCTGAGACTCCGAGGCTTCTAGAGTCCCGCTGCATCTTGACATTCTCTGGCTCCAAGAATAATCAAGTAGAAACATCTTTCTAGTCCCTTGCACCCTGGCACATAGTGGTGCTTTGTAAATGTGGAATGTATGAGTGAACCTGCCTGATGATACTCAATGAAAGCTACTGAAGCTTGAGGTGAAGGGCTCATTTTTGCTCAGCCCCAGCAATGGGGTAGGAAGGGAACAGGGACAGGTCCTCTGAATCTCCAAACCTTGGGAAGCAGTGCAGGTCATTTTTGGCTTTCTGAAAACAAAAGAATGACTAGAGAAACAAGAAAGCAGAACACAGACTACATCCAGGGAGATACTGGCTGCCAAGCTTTCTTCAGCCTCCTAATTTCCTGTGAATTACACAGTCTAACTTGGCTTCCATTTAGCGTGGAATCACAGAGCACATAAGTTACAAGGCACTCCTCTAATGTAGTCATTTTATAGATGAGGAAAGTGAGAACCTTAGAGACAACTTGTCCTTGCTTACTCACTGAGAGACAGAGATCATCCCCAGAACCCATATCTCCTGATGCTGAGTCCAGTGCTCTTTGAAATACTCATTCCACTGCATTCTACTGCATCCAGCTACCTCTCATTTCCCAGAAGGGCTTCTAGAAGCTCCAATTAAAGCAATTTCACTTACTTACTAGTGAAGTAATTAGAATTAAGAACAGTGTTTTGTGCATCTTGAAACTATAGTTCAGTATTTGTGCAACGTCAGCCTCCTTTACTTCACAGGGTTTTTTTCTAAATTCCCTTTCTGCCAGTACTTAAAATTTGCTGTGTTCCAAGGTATAGGAAACCTGTGAGGTGTCCTCTCTGTTTTATAGAAGGGATGATATGACCTACAGGAGCAATACTTAGAGACACAAATCATAGATGCTGAGAAAAAGGCAATGATTAGATTGACCAATTAATCGCTGAATTTGATCTGCCTGGATTGCCAATCTAGGCCTTTCAGATTTTAAAAACGTCCCTGTCTTCCCTTCACAGCAGCTTTAGGACCTACTTTATCCAGATTACTGTTTCAACACTTGTAGAAACAATTGTTATGTAAAACCAGGTACTCCAGTTTGAATGTGGCCAATATATTTCAGAATAAGCTACAATTCTTTATTATGTGGATGAGTATATCAGGACCACATATTTGATCTCTGCCAATGAAGTGAAAAGCATCATACATTCTACTATGCTTTGTTTCCAACAGATCTAGTTCACACAGTACTCTGTTGTCCTATTCTAGTAAGTAATTTCAGAATTCACATCACTTACAAAGATGCCGAGTGGCTATTTAGGGAACTCTGATTCAAAAAAAAAAAAAAAAAACCCTCCAAAACAAAACAAACCTCCCTCTCTCTTCTCCCTCCCCCAAACCCCACGTGCTTTGTGCAAGACGGAGTCAACCAGTGGGATTCACAGGAGGTCCCCAAGTCAAATGCTGCAGCTGCGTTTTAAAAAAGGGTTGGATAAACTACAGCCGTTAATAACATCTGTATCTATGCAAGCTAAGATGATGATAGGGGTAATCAGATCTCATGCTTCAGGGCATAAGATGATTGCCTGCTGGGAGGAGGAGGATTTGGCCTTTCAGGTACAGGAGTTCACAACTGAGGAGGTAGGTTGCAGACATTTCTCCTTAGCCTCTAAAATTTCAGGTGTAACTGTTGGGATAGGTGAAACAGTGATTTGAAATCTAACATTTCTATCAGATCAGGACATTAAATAATGAGATATTTGAAACACCAACATGCACTACATACAACATATGTGTATCTATCTAGGATATAAGTATTTTGATACCTTTTTGGAAGGCTGACATTGTTTGATATATTTTGACCATCTTTTAGTGCCAAGTGGATACTTGTTAAGTACTAAATAACAATGAAAACAGTGGAGGTAATTTGATTTTAGTCCATGCATTAATAGTTAGTTACAATGTGTAATTACCCAAGTATTCATAATTGTACATATCTGTATCCCTAAATATATGTATTTCCAGCTGCAGTAGCTAAATAATCATTGGAATTGCATATTTGGAGTGTACAGAAATGCATTCATTTTAATCTTTGGATCACCAAGTAATTTTTAAAATGTAATATTTATCTGGAAGAGTGAGAAAGCAATTTTGCAAAATAATCTTACCCTCTCTTGATTTCTTTAATATTTTCAAACCCCAAGAAAGGTACACTTTAGTACAGTTGCACAACTTAATCAATTTTGAAAACACTAGTGCAAGTGTGAGCAGGGTTAAATAATTCCATTTATTTAGACATGTAAACCATACTGAAGGTCATACAGTAGCAGACAGCTTCTACATTTCAGAGAGTAAAAATGTAGCCCATTTCTAGCAGAGTGGTTAGAGTTCTTTTGGCATGAAAGACATTCTTACTACTTACTGGCTTCATCGCTATTGCTAAACCATTCACTTCAGTTCCACACAGAGGGACTGCTCTGGAGAATATGGCTGTTAAATGCAATTTTTAAAATGATGCACAAACAGTTTTTAAAGGGGGAAAAATCCTGCAGCTGTTTGGCTGCAGACAGACATGGGAAATTAGTCAGAAGCCCAAAGCATCATAGTTAATAACCATTATTCTGTTGTCTGGGATGTTTGTTTAAATACTATTGACACTGTGTATGTATTGTCATCTTTTCTAAATTGTAGCTCTTAACCACTGAAATCTTGCTAAAGACCACCTAGGGTTTCCTCTGTATGATGCTGAAGTGTGTATTCACCTGATGGATAAACAAAAAACAGATTTTTTTTTTTTTGCTTCAATTTTTCTCTCATGTGCAACTAGTAGGAAATTTTCTGGACTAAAGGGAGAGATTGCTTAAGTACAGTAGAATTAGACGCTGTGGATTCCCAACCTTTGTATTTCTCATCTAGTGATAGAAGATGAACAAACCCATCAACTGATTAATACAATTCAGTTCTGCTTAAAATTCACAGATCTGTTTGGTATGAGACTGTATTTTAAAAGACTCCTACATGCCATTAAGTGTGAAGAAATCAGTAACTATTCTTTTCATCCACAGCATGTTGAGTCCCCCCCCACCCCATTTAAATTTTGCTTATTAAGTGAGGTCATTTGGGAGAAGAGTGGCTCTGGTGGGTGGGGAAAAGAAAATCTAACAGCTCAACTCCCAAGTTGAGCGCTCCAGATCATGGGCCATTCAGTACAAAGCGTTTTATATCTTGACTTATGAGGGGACAATAGCTGGTCTTACAAAGGCACCACCTGTGATTTAGCACGGTTGACATCTTTGTTAAGGAGGAGCCGGAGGGCAGTGGCGAAACAGCACGTGCACGATCCGGACCGCATTACGGCGACCGACCGACCTTCAAGACCGTTTCTCGCCGTCGCGGAGGCCTGGCCAGGTTTTCTGGCTTACAGTTTTTGGAAAGGGTGTGGGGAGAGAGAAAGGAAATGAGCGTCGTACACGCTGGTGGAGCCAAAGCTCTTGGACTTACGGCTTGCCAGCGCCCAGCTGCTCCATTTTACAGATGGGTAAAACGGAGGTCAGGTCCGCGGAGTGTCTGGCTCAGCAGGTGCAGTGGTCTGGACCCCCGCGGGGCTTCGGGACTGCAGGGCCGGGGGCGCGGGGGGGCGGCGCGGCCGCGGGTGGGACGCAGAGTCCCTGTTTTGGGCCCAACCTTCGGGCCGGTGGCTTTTTGCTTCCTTCCCGAAGGTCGCTTCTGACAAATCTATCTATTTGGGGCAAATTGTCAGTGAGAAACTTCCGCTCGAACTGCCCTGGACAAAACCGGCTGTTTGAAAAGGGTAAATCCCGCGGCCCGGCGAGGCCGAACAATGGGCCGCTGGTGCGGCTGCGGCGGGGGCGGCCGGGCGGGCCGCACAAAGGGCGGATTAATTGGGGCCGCGGCTGAGCGGTTCGCGCTAGCTCCACTCAGCCCGCGCCGCGGGGCGCCCCATTGACTGGGCCCCGAGCCCCACTTTTCACAAACTCCAAACAAAAGTCAATTTCTTTTTTATAAGGCGGGGGAGGGGGCCGCGGCCAAGATTCCCCACTTGTTCCTGCGACTCGCTCTTGCCGCATGGGGGGCTTCGGGGGCTCAAGGAACTGGAGGCAGAAGGGCCCTCGGGGATGCCCGAGAGGGGAAAGAGATGCGGGTGTGGCTGCCGCGTCCCTGTCCCCTCCTCCGCTGCCCCGCTCCGACGCGTGTCGCACCCTCTGGGCCGCACCTACAGGCAGGGGCTGAGATCCCAGCCCGAGGCCTGGAAGCCGCGAAGAAGCGGGATGAGGTGGTGGCCGGACCGAGGTGAAGGCTGGGGCACCCGGCTGGGGGAAGCGCAGGCAGGTGATTTGGGAGGAAAGAACACGTCCCTTTGATATTCTAAATCCTGGGAAGGGTGGCCATGCATTAGATAGTTATTGAGAAACTACTGTGTTCCCGATGGCGAATTTGCCTTCAATGGACAGACAAGTGGGTGGGGGGCAGATTTATAAGTCAATCAGTCAGCAGGTGAGGGACCGCGGTCAGTATGGGGCGCTAAAGGAAGTCACCATCCCTCTGTAAAATGATGAGATGGACTTGCCGGTGTAACATGTAGAAGATATCTAATTATAGACACAGACTTTGTACTTGGAGAAGTGGCGGTGATTAGAAAACAAACAAATAAATCCAAATTGTAGGACTAACATTGTCACTGGTCTATACACCCCGTAGGAAGGAACCAGGAGTTCGTCTCCTCTTGTTTCTCTTCTCTCAAAATAGGAGAATGACTGCAGAGGGCTCTTCAGCTGACACTGAGAGGAGCAGGAAATTCCTTTAACAATACAAATCGATACACTCCCTAGCCCACAAGCCTCTGCTGGAAACCGGATTGGCGGTGGTTGTACAAGACACTCCAGGCCTTGTCATTTCAAGGACTGTCTTCCAAAGTGAATGAACAGGAAAGAGAGACCATGTGCTGGTGTAAGGGAATTCATGTGTTGGCTGGAGCCATGTGCTAATGGATGATATTCCAAGACTTTATCCAAGGTGTTTCTTTGGGGAAGGAAGGAGGCTTGGATCTGTGGGCACTTGTGTGCTCTACAGCTGGCAAAGTGACTTTATGAGACTGTTGAAGTCTTTAATAGCCAGGCTTTATTGTGGAGTCCCTCCAGCGGCATCTGGCTAGTATACTGGCACCCCTCTGGGCAGGCTCAGTGAGAGGGGAGCTCTGATGCCAGGTAATGAATCTGTGGCAAGCTCAGTAAATGAGGTGAAGCAAATCCTCAAGGACAGGCTGAAACAGGGCTGGAGGCAGAGACCTAGGCGTTGACAGTGGGGAGGTAACAGCGGCCAGCGGACCTGCTGGCAGAATCCAACCTGGGCTCCTTTTCAACCACATTTTAAAGCTGTAGATTTAAAACGATCTTCTCCGGGCCAAGCTGTGAACACTTCCAGATTTCTGTTGAATCAGAGGCTGTGAAAATCAAGGGCAAATATTTATCTAAAGATGTCACAACTTTGAATTTCAATAATAACTTATCTGCTAATCTCTGATGGAAATCTAGAACAGCTGTTGCTCTATTGTGTATTTTGAATTCCCAAAAGACCAATTTGGGAATTGACATTTTTTTCCTCCACCAAATCTCAGTATGCTTTCTTTTAATTTACTGATGCCTTTGCAAGTTCAAATCAAATAAATGACAGGAATGGTAGCTCATTATGAAAGTTATTAAAGCCTGCCAAAAAATTGTATAGTTTTTACCTTTATTGGCAAGTGTGGCAATGCTGAGCATGTCCATGCCAGAAGTTGAGTGAGGGTGTAAAGGCTGGGATACTGAATTATTAGAAAGAAAAAAGAAAATATGAGTCAGACTGATGAAACTTCCAAATTAATGTGTAGATTTAGACAGAGTTAACAACAGGCTCTACTGTCTATTAATAGAGTTTATGACCACACCTTCTAAGAACATTCAGCACAGTTGCTTCTTATTTCTGTTTTACAGATGAAGGTCTTCAGAGAGGGGGACACTGGGTGATTTTGGAAAGGTCTACCCATGAAAGGTGTGAGTGACATACTGGTATCAAGCCTTTCTGTCACTCACTCTGGTTGATATTCAAGGCCTTGAATTACTCTTATTTATTTATTTATTTATTTATTTATTTATTTATTTATTTATTTATTTTTGAGACAGAGTCTTGCTCTGTCGCCCAGGCTGGAGTGTAGTGAAACGATCTTGGCTAACTGCAACCTCTGCCTCCAGGGTTTAAGCAATTCTCGTGCCTCAGCCTCCCAAGTAGCTGGGATTACAGGCACGCACCACCGCGTTTGGCTAATTTTTTGTAATTTTAGTAGAGACGGAGTTTCTCCATGTTGCCCAGGCTGGTCTTGAACTCCTGAGCTCAGGCAATCCACCCACCTCGGCCTCCCAAAGTGCGTGAGCCACCACACCCGGCCAGAATTACTCTCTTTTAGAATGAAGAATTATTTTGGAGTCACTTGATGTGGACATCATTAGAGGAAAGCAGTCCCTGGAGAAGTGATTATAATTAAACCTCTTTTTTTTCTTTTTTTTTTTCCCCTCTTACACTTGCAGGCTGAGCAAACACTGTTGGAAAGGCAGGAGGATGATCTTGGTACCCCTAAGCTTAGGTTGCCAGAAAAGTACAAAAATCTGACTGCTGATAATTGCGGAGCAGGGACAAGTACAGCACTAGATTTGGAATATGGTAGTAATAAACCAAAGGGAAGGGCTTATCCAGAGGTCGACTAGATTTAAATCAATAAGAGAATGGAATTTTCATTTTAAAAATGTATTATTTATTTATTATTTTTTGAGACGGAGTCTTGCTCTCTTGCCCAGGCTGAAATGCAATGGTGCGATCTCTGCTTACTGCAACCTCTGCCTTCCAGGTTCAAGTGATCCTCCTGTCTCAGCCTCCTAAGTAGCTGAGATTACAGGCATGCACCACCATGCCCGACTAATTTTTGTATTTTTAGTAGAGACTGGGTTTCACCATGATGGCCAGGCTGGTCTCGAACTCCTGACTTTAGGTGATCCACCCTCCTTGGCCTCCCAGAGTTCTGGGATTACAGGTGTGAGCCACCGCGCCTGGCCAGATGGAATCTTCTAACTCGTTCTTGGAGAGGGAAACAGAAGAGACATAGCCCAGCCTCAATGTGTTTAGTCAAGATCCCAGAAATAACACACAGTGGCCACTTGTTTGTTTTTTGAGACGCAGTCTTGCTCTGTCTCAGGCTGGAGTGCAGTGGCACAATCTTGGCTCACTGCAACCTCCACCTCCCAGGTTCAAGCAATTCTCCTGTCTCAGCCTTCTGAGTAGCTGGGATTACAGGCACATGCCACCACATCTGGCTAATTTTTGTATTTTTAGCAGAAACAGGGTTTCACCATGATGGCCAGGCTGGTCCCCAACTCCTGACCTCAAGCAATCCACCAGCCTCGGCCTCCCAAAGTGCTGGGATTACAGGTGTGAGCCACCGTGCCCGGCCACATTGACCATTTGATTGTAAAATGTACCATACATATAAAATACAGTATGAATGTATTTGTGCAATTAAAAGAATGAAATAAAACGTATGTTTATATCCTCGCAGCTACATTAAAAATTAGAATCTTAGTATTCACAGGAACCTCTTCATGCCCTCTTAGATGGTGTCTCCCCTCCCCACCAACACACACCAGAGATAATCACCACTCTGAGCTGTGTTTTATTCATTTGCTTGCCTTCTTTATAATTTTACAACTTCTACATATACATCCCTAAAATCATGTGAAGTTTTGCTTTTTTTTTTTTTTGAATGTTACATAAACAGAAGCATACATTATATAGCTTCAGTGATTTGGGTTTTTCCCCAACACTCTGTTTAATGTTGATATTAAATTAATTGTGTTACATTTGCACAGTGGGGTTTCTTCATTCTCATTGTTGTATAGTATTCCACTGTGTGAATATACCACGAGTGACTACTCCTTACTACTATGAATGCACATTTGTGTTCTGCCTTTCTCTGTCTCTCTCTTTTTAGTAATTCTGAACAATGCTGCTATGAGAATCTGTAATGCATGCCTCCTGGAGTACATATGCAAGAATTTTTCTAGCATATAAACCCAGGAGCAGAATTGACTTTCCTACTGAATTTTACTATCAATCTGTTTCTCTAAATGGTTGTATTAATTTACACTCCCACCAGAAGGTAGTAAGAGTTATTATTGCTCCCCATCCTTGTCAACACTTACTATTGACTTACTTTTAAATTTTTCTTATTCAGATGGGAACAATATCTCTGTGGTTTTAATTTGCATTTCTCTGATTACTAACAAGATCAAGCATTTTTCAGGTATCTGTGAGCCATTTGTGTTTTCTCTTTTGTAAAATACTTGTTTGTGACTTTTGCCCATTTTTCCATTGTATTGTTTATCTTTTTCTTTTTTCTTTTCATTTTCTTTTTTTTTTTTTTTTTCTGAGAGTCAGGGTTTTACTCTGTTACCTAGGCTGGAGTGCAGTGGTACAATCACAGCTCAATGCAGCCTCAAACGCCTGAGTTCATGTGAACCTCTGGCCTTAGCCTCACAAATATCTAGAATACGGGCACCTGGCACCACACTTAGTTTATTTATTTACTTAAGAGATGGGGTCTTGGCCAGGTGCAGTACTTCACGCCTGTAATCCCAACACTTTGGGAGGCCAAGGTGGGTGGATCACTTGAGGCCAGGAGTTCGAGACCAGCCTGGCCAACATAGCGAAACCCCGTCTCTACTAAAAATACAAAAATTAGCTGGGCATGATGGCGCATGCTTGTAATCTCAGCTACTCAGAAGGCTGAGGCATGAGAATCACTTGAATCCAGGAGGCAGAGGTTGCAGTGAGCCAAGATCATGCCACTGCACCCCAGCCCGAGTGACAGCGTGAGACTGTCTCAAAAAAAAAAAAAAAGGGGGGGGAGAGAGAGAGAGAGAGAGAGATGGGGTCCTGCTATGTTAGCAGGCTTGTTTTTTCTTCTCCCTTTGATTCATAGGAGTTTTAAAACATATATTTTGGATATTAATCCTTTGTCTCAATTATATATTTGGCAAATTCCATTCCAAACCATTCCCCAACCACCCCCACCCCCCATCCATTTAGTGGTTATCTTTTCCTCTCTTTTAAATGTCTTTTGGTGAAGCAAAGCTTTAATTTTACGCGGTAGAATTTATCAACATTTTCCTTCATGAGTGGATATTTTTGTCTCTTGTTTTAGAAAAACTTACCCTTTATTGGATTGTAATGGTATTCTCTTAAACTGTTTTCTAAAAGTTTTATAGCTTTATTTTCCACATCTAAGTGCTTAATACAACTAAAATTGATTTTTGTGTATGGTTTGAGTAGGGTTCCAATTTAATTTTTTGCAGTTGTTTAATAAATTTTCCTGCCTGGGTGCAGTAGCTCACGCCTGTAATCCCAGCACTTTGGGAGGCTGAGGCAGGTGGATCACATGAGGTCAGGAGTTTGAGACCAGCCTAGCCAACATGGTGAAACCTATGTCTACTAAAAATACAAAAATTAGCCGGGCATGGTGGCACGCCTGTAATCCCAGCTCCTCAGGAGGCTGAGGCAGGAAAATCTCTTGAACCCAGGAGGCACAGGTTGCAGTGAGCCAAGATGGTGCCACTGCACTCCAGGCTGGGTGACAGAGTGAGACCCTGTATCAAAAAATAAAAATAAATAAAAAAATCAAACTTCCTAGTACTATTGATTGACTTTTTTTTTTTCTTTTTTGAGATGGGAGTCTCGCTCTGTCTCCCAGGCTGGAGTGCAGGAGCGCAGTGGTGCGATCTCGGCTCACTGTAATCTCTGCCTCCCGGGTTCAAGCAATTCTCCTGCCTCAGCCTCCCGAGTAACTGGAACTACAGGTGCCTGCCACCACGCCCAGCTAATTTTTTGTATGTTTAGTAGAGACGGGGTTTCACCGTGTTAGCCAGGATGGTCTCGATCTCCTGCCCTTGGGATCCACCCACCTCGGCCTCCCAAAGTGCTGGGATTACAGGCGTGAGCCGCCGCACC
This sequence comes from Homo sapiens, assembly GCF_000001405.40. Classification (NCBI taxonomy): domain Eukaryota; kingdom Metazoa; phylum Chordata; class Mammalia; order Primates; family Hominidae; genus Homo; species Homo sapiens. The sequence goes on along the minus strand of NC_000006.12, from coordinate 108,151,612 downwards.
TGGCCCATTGATTGACTCTTTACTCATCTCTGGAGCCCACTCTGTTATAAAATCAAGTCTCCATATATGCATTGGTTTGTTTCCAGGTTCCCTATCATCTTCCATTGTCCCCTTTGTGAGATACCTCTGCTAATATCACACTGTCTTATTTACTTAGCTTATATAGTAAGTATTGCTATCTGGGAGGGCAAGTCCCCTTACCTTATTCTTTTTCTTAGGGGCACTTAGCTAATTTTGACCTTTTGCTATTCCCTTTAAATTTTTGAATTAGCTTGTCAAGTGTGGTGAAAAGTATTGTTGATATTTTCACTGGAATTGGATTTAATCAGTTTGGGGAGAATTAACATCTTCACGCTATTGATAAAGCTTTCTACTAACAACTTGCTATTTTTCCATTTATTTAAGTAATTTAAAAATGTCTTTTCAGCCTGGTACAGTGGCTCATGCCTGTATTCCCAGCACTTTGGGAGGCCAAGGTGGGAGGATTGCTTGAACCCAGGAGTTGAAACCAGCCTGGGCTACATAGGGAAACCCCATCTCTACAAAAAATAAGACAGATTAGCTGGGTGTGGTGGTTTGTATCTGTAGTCTCCTACTTAGGAGGCTGAGGTGGGAGGATTACTTGAGCTCAGGAGGTCGAGGCTGCAGTGAGTTATGATTCTGCCACTGCACTCCATCCTAGGTGACAGAGCAAGACTGTCTCAAAAAAAAAAAAGAGTACATGATTTTTGGTGCATATAAGCGTAGAATTAATTGGTCTATGTTCTTCGTGAATTAGGTAGCAATCCTTTTCATTTCTAGTAATGCTTTGTCCATAGTCTCTTTTTTATATTAATATAGACAGCCCCATCAGATTTATTCTATTAATATTTGTTTTCTTGTCCTTTGACTTTCAACATTTCTATGACTTTATGTTTTAAAAATCTCATGTAAACAGTATATTGCTGATTTTCAAAAATGTAGTCTGACAATCTTCATCATTTAAGTGGAGTCTTTATTACATTTATCTTATTGTGAGTACTGATATATTCAATTTGTTACTACCATCTTTTTGGTGCTTTATATTTCCATGTTTTACCTCTTCCTTTTTGCCTTCTTTTGCATTGACTGAGAATTTTTTTCCCCTCTCAGTCCAGTTCTTCTCATTCTTGTTTGGAAGTTATATTCTTTGTGCATCTATTCTTTTAGTGGTTATCTGTTTTAATATTTTCAGTTAACAAAGTTAATATCTTTCTGCCTCTTGAACAATATGAAAACCTTAGAAATCTTTATATATTATCATCTGTTTCTAGTACTGGGATCCAGTTCTAGCTTAATTTTTCCCCCCACAAATTAGATATTATTATTGTTCATACAATCACATAGATTTATATAGGGTTGCCTACATATTTACCTATATCTTTGCTGATTATTTCTTCTTCTCAAACCTTCCATCTGGGAAGGTTTCTATTGCTTTTTTTTTTTTTTAATTTAAAAAAATTTGGCCGGGCATGGTGGCTCACATCTGTAATCCCAGCCCTTTGGGGTTTTTTTTTTTAGACAGAGTTTTGCTGTGTCGCCCAGACTGGAGTGCAGTGGCGTGATCTCAGCTCACTGCAACCTCTGCCTGTCGGGTTCAAGCAATTCTCCTACCTCAGCCTCCTGAGTAGCTGGGATTGCAGGTGTATGCCACCACATCCAGCTAATTTTTGTATTTTTAGTAGAGAAGAGGTTTTGCTATGTTGGCTAGTCTGGTCTCGAACTCCTGTCCTCAGGTGAGCTGTCCACCTTAGCCTCCCAAAGTGCGGGTATTACAGGTGTGAGCCACTGTGCCCAGCCCATTGCTTCTTTATGAAGCATAACCTTTATAATTTTCTTTGGTGAGGGTCTGCCAGTGGGAAAGTCTCTCAATTTTTGGTTAAGTGAAAATATCTATATTTTACCTTCATTCTGGAAAGATATTTCACTGGGAATATTATCTTATTATTTTTTATTTTTAGAGATAAGGTCTCACTCTGTCACCCAGGCTGGAGTGCAGTGGTTTGATCATAGCTCACTGCAGCCTTCAACTCCTGGGCTCAAGTGATCCCCCTGCCTCAGCCTCCTGAGTATCTGGGACTACAGGTGGGATATAATTTTAGATTCATGGTTATTTTCTTTCAGCACATTGATGATGTGATTTCACTATCTTTTGGTTTTATTGTTGTTATTGTTGCTGTTGGAAAGTCAGTATTCAGTCTAAGGCTCCATCTTCAAAAGTAACCTGTCAGACAGAGCATGGTACCTGTAATCCAGCACTTTGGGAGGTTGAGGCAGAAGGATCACTTGAGCCCAGGAGTTTGAGACCAGCCTGGGCAACACAGTAGGACCCCGTCTCTACAAAAAAATTAAAAAAAATCAGCTGGGCTTGGTGGCATGTGCCTGTAGTCCCGGCTACACAGGAGGCTGAGGCAGGAGGACCACTTGAGCCCAGGAGGTTGAGGCTGTAATAAGCCATGATCACACCACTGCACTACAGCCTGGGCCACAGAGCTCAAGACCCTGTCTCAAGAAAACAAAACAAAAAAGTGACTTTTCCCCCTCTGTCTACCTTTATGGTTTTATCTCCCCTTTGGAGTTCTGCCTTTTTAATTTTTAATTTTTGTAAGAGACACAGTCTTGCTCTGTTGCCCAGGCTGGAGTGTAGTGATATGATCACAGCTCACTGCAACCTGGAACTCTGCAGCTCAAGTGATCCTCCTGCCTCAGCTTCCCAAGTAGCTGTGACCACAAGCATGCGCCACCATGCCCAGCTTGGAGTGCTGCATTTTTACAATCATAGTTCTACATGTGGATTTCTTTTTATTTATTCTGCTGGAGATGCACTTGGCTCCTTGAATCTGAAGGTTGGTGTCATTTACAATTTTGGAAAATTCTCCGTTATTATCTCTTTGGAAATTTTATCTTCCCTACTCTATTATTTCCTTCACGAACCCTGATTGTGAATTATAACTCTCATCTCTTTCATATTTTCCATCTCTTTGATTCTGGATGTATTCTGGAAAATGTCTGTGCCAGTTTTCCAGTTCACTAATTCTCTCTTCTGCTGGGTCTAACCAGCTGTTTAAGGCCCTCCTCCCTAATTTAAAAAATGGATCATTGGCTGGGCCCGGTGGCTCACACCTGTAATCTCAGCACTTTGGGAGGCAGAGGCAGGCACATCACTTGAGGCCAGGAGTTTGATACCAGCTTGGCCAACATAGCGAAACCCTATTTCTACTAAAAATACAAAAATTAGCCGGGCGTGGTGGCATACGTCTGTGGTCCCAGCTACTTGGAAGGGTGAGGTAGGAGGATTGCTGGAGCCTGGGAAGTTGAGGCTGCAGTGAGCAGAGATTGTACCAATGCACTCCAGCCTGGGTGACAGAGTGAGACTCTCTCAAAAAAAGACAAAACAAAACTGAATCATTGTATTTTTCATTTTCTAAAGTATTGTTTGTTTCTGTTTCAGACCTGTTTGGATTTTCTTTATAGTCTCAGTTCCTTGCTAATATTTTAAGCTCCTCTGTTATTTAATTAACATGTAATATTTGTATTTGGTAACTAAAAATGCCAATATTTGATGTCCCGGAGGGACTACTTTTGTTGTCTGCTGCTTGCCTCTTCTAGTTCACTTCCTGGTGCCATGTTTTCTCCTAGGTTTTGCCTTGGCACTCTATCTGAGGATTCTTGGAGTTTAAGGTTAAAGATGAACTTGTGTGAAGATTTGCATTTGCTCTTTCTAGTTGGCACTCTATCTGAGGATTCTTGGAGTTTAAGGTTAAAGATGAACTTGTGTGAAGATTTGCATTTGCTCTTTCTAGTCAAGTCACCTGGTTGTACTACTAATGTGGAGTCCTTTTATATTGAAATACTGTATTATTAGGGTTTTTTTGGACTACATAAATGGTGGATCTAGATAGAAAATCTGTGTGAGATCTCCTTGTATTAATAGTTTCAAATTCTTAGAGGAGATCTTTTTTCGTGTCCTTCCTTTCCTGTCAACAAGATAGACAAATGTCCTGGCTAATAGCACTGCTCTTTGGGGCAGGGTTTATTTATTTATTTATTTAATTTTTTTTTTAAGATGGAGTTTTGCTCTTGTTGCCCAGGCTGGAGTGCAATGGCGTGATCTCGGCTCACTGCAACCTCTGCCTCCTGGGTTCAAGCAATTCTCCTGTATCAGCTTCCCGAGTAGCTGGGATTACAGGCGCATGCCACCAAACCCAGCTAATTTTTTTTTTTTTGTATTTTTAGTAGAGACGGGGTTTCATCATATTGATCAGGCTGGTCTCAAACTCCTGACCTCAGGTGATCCAGCTGCCTTGGCCTCCCAAAGTGCTGGGATTACAGGTGTGAGCCACTACGCCCGGCTTATTTATCTTTATACTGAGGATGTAACCCTTTGTGGTTTCAGCTTTATGCAAGGATTCTCCTGACAGGTTCCCCACCTTGGGCAATACCTAAACATCATCTCAGAGTTGAGATTCAGGGTCTCCAGAATCTGACAGAAACTTTCAGGGTGAAAGCTGGAAGTGCTTTTTGGAAAATGCATTTGGAAAATGCTTACCTACCACGGTTCCTGCTTTCATTTATTTTTGGGATATGAAAATCCCTCCCTTTTGTGCCAGCTCAGTGATGCATTTTAAAAGATATCTTAAAAATATTTTACCCAGCATTTTAGTTATGTCCGTTGAGATTGTCATTCAGTATGTCTGTATTAGTTAGAGTTCTCCAAAGAAACAGAACCTATAGAATATATAGATAAAGAGGATAGATACGTATGTAAGATATATGTATATCTTCTATTTATCACATATATGTATGTGTGTCTGTGTATGTGTGTGTATATATATATACACATATATATGTGTGTGTGTATATATATATGTATATACACACACACACACACACAGAGACAGAAAGACAGAGACATTTATTTTAAGGAATTGACCCATGAAATTGTGGGGGCTGGCAAGTCCAAAATTTATAGAGCAAGGCAGGAAGGATGGAAATTTCACATGAAGCTAATATTGCAGTTTGAGTCTGGAGGCAGAATTCCTTCCTCTTCTAGGGACCTCAGTCTTTTAAGGCCTTCAACTGTGTGGATGAGGCCCACCCACATTGTGGAGAGCAATCTGCTCTATTCAAAGTCTACTTTAAATGTTAACCATATGCAGCCAGGCACAGTGGCTCATGCATGTAATCCCAACAACTCGGGAGGCTGAGGTGAGAGGATCACTTGAACCCTGGTGTTTGAGATCAGTCTGGGCAATATATTGAGACCCTGTCTGTAAAATACATAAATAAATAAATAAATAAAATAAGCCAAGATGGTGGTGTGAGCTTGTGGTCTCAGCTCCTTGGGAGGCTGAGGTGGGAGGATCACTTGAGCCCAGGAGTTTAGGCTGCAGTAAGTCATGATCGCACCACTGCACTCCAGCCTGGGTGACAGACTGAGATCATGACTCTAAAAATAAAAATAAATGTTAACCACTTCTAAAAAATACCTTCACAACAGTATCTAGACTGGTGTTTGGCCAAACAACTGGGCACCATAAACTAGCCAAATTGACACATAAAATTAACCATCATAGTACCTAATCCACCAGAGCGCTGGAAACAGAAGGCAGAGCTATAATTATCTCATGATAAAGTGTTAGTATGATCAAGAAGCCCAGCACTGTCATGCTTAGAGACTTCAGTAAAAAGAGGCCCAAGGCGATATTGAGCATCCTCTTAGGAGGCTGACAGACTGTTCTGTTTGCGTAGCCTAGTGCGCACTATAGGTACTACAGGTCATGTGTTCTTCCTCTGCGGAATTACAGGAAAAGGAGGATACATGTAATTGTCTCACGTTCTAGGCCACAGTGATGCAAGCTACTCTGGAAACTGGGTTATTTACTCAAACTTGCAAAAATCCTAAAAATATGAAGAAGGCTTAATGCAGAGTGATAACTAGATGGCCAGGAGGTCAGAATAATGGTCATCTTCGTGTTAGAATGTAAAATATGTTTTCAGGGGACTGAAAAAAATCATTTGGGGAAAAAAGATATTCATGATTTCTTAGAAGCCTAAAAACACGTCGTGATAGAAATGCAAACATCCAGAAATTACCTAGCCATCATATACATTGATATTTTCCTCACAAGGAATAATAGTAGACTGGCTCGTGATGCTTTTTGGGTCTGGAACAGCTTTTTTGTTCTATTTGAAGGTTTGGGGAATGCCTCCAGGGGAAGAAGGTGTAGGGGGGCAGTATCAGCAGTCAAGGGGAAAGGAGGCGAGAGGATCTGGCTGCCTGCCTCTTCTTTCTTTCTTTTACCAATCCTTCAAGACATTTGAATCTTTCTGGTTCTTGATCTCTCTCTCTCTATCTCCTCCTTTATTATGAAAATTGAGCCATGCCTCAGCATGAAACATTATTGATTGCTTTAAAACAGGACAGTGAAAATCTTTAAAAGAAATTTCAAAATATATGCATAACCAAGGGACTGGGAGAAAATACGAGCAGTAGTTATCTGGATGGTAGAATTATCCATGATGTTCTTCTTCTTTTGTTTTTTGTTTATTTTGAGACGGAGTCTTGCCCTGCCACCCAGGCTGTAGTGTAGTGGCGCGATCTCGACTCACTGCAACCTCTGCCTCCCAGGTTCAAGCAATTCTCTGCCTCAGCCTTCCGAGTAGCTGGGATTACAGGCGCCTGCCACCACGTCTGCCACCATGCCTGGCTAATTTTTGCATTTTTAGTAGAGACAGGGTTTTACCATCTTGGCCAGGCTGGTCTTGAACTCCTGACCTTGTGATCCACCCGTCCAGGCCTCCCAAAGTGCTGGGATTACAGTTGTGAGCCACTGTGCCCAGCTCCATTTGTGTTTAAAATAAAAATTCCAGGCCAGGTGCGGTGGCTCATGCTGTAATCCCAACACTTTGGGAGGCCGAGGCAGAAGGATCACCTGAGGTCAGGAGTTTGAGACCAGCCTGGGTGGCATGGTAAAACCCCGTCTCTACTAAAAATACAAAAATTAGTTGGGCGTGCTGGCACATGCCTATAATCCCAGCTACTTGGGACGCTGAGGCAGGAGAATCGCTTGAACCTGGGAGATGGAGGTTGAAGTTAGCTGAGATCATGCCACTGCACTCCAGCTGGGGAAACAGAGGAAGACTCCATCTCAAAAACAAACAAACAAACAAACAAAGGGTTTTTCTCATGCACCGTATAATTTATTTTATTTTATTTTTTATTTTTAGAGACGCAGTGTCTTGCTCTGTCGCCCAGGCTGAGTGCAGTGGCACAAGGCCTGGCTAATTTAATTTAAAATTTTTTTTGTAAAGACAGGGGTCTCACTATGTTGCTCAGGCTGGTCTTGAACTCCTGGCCTCACTCAATCCTCCCATTTTGGCCTCCCAAAGTGTTGGGATTACAAGAGTGAGCCACCACACCTGGCCAGATGCACAGTATATAAAACTAAGCTTTTATATGCTACAAAATCGTATCCAAATAAGATATTTTAGTTTCAAAAAACTTATTTTCATGCCAGCAAAATTAAAACTTACCAAATAGTAACAAATTCACATAATTTTATAAACTTATGGAAAGTTTTAATATTTTAGCTCTTCTCCAGAATTTATTAATTTTACATTTACATTTTTGCTAAAACAAAAATATTTTTTTCCAGCTGGGCATGGTGGTTCATGCCTGTAATCCCAGCATTTTGGGACACTGGGGCAGGAGGACTGCTTGAGCCCAGGAGTTTGAGACCACCCTGGGTAACAGAGAAAGACCCAATCTCTACCAAAAAAAAAAAAAAAATTAGCTGGATATGGTGCACACCTGTGATCCCAGCTACTTGGGAGGCTGAGGTGGGAGGGTCGCTTGAGTCTGGGAGGTCAATGCTACAGTGAGCCAAGATCATACCACTGCACTCCAGCCTGGGCAACAGAGTGAGAGGCCTTTCTCTCTCTCTCTCTCTCTCTCTCACACACACACACACACACACACACACACACACACACACACCCAGCTTTCAATTCAAGCTGGTATTTTGCTTGTCAACAATGTAGCTTAAAAGGCTGCAGTCTTCTTTCAAACCCCTATCGTCTATAGACAGTTTAGCTCTAGTTAGAGCTCTTAGAAGTCCACATCAGGAGGCAAATTCATCTGTAAAAGCTGTGATTCTTTGGACTACATAATTATGGAAAGGCCAGAAAGATCAGTTTAGGGGCACAGAAGCTCAAGGTAGTTCCTTCTAGAGAGTAATTACATAGATAGGAAATGTGTAAATCTGTGAACAGATACACTTGTAAGTTTCTCTGGGGAGGGTAACTATTGACTGAGCTGGGGAGAAATTAGTATTAGTGATAAGACCTCCTAGGACTTGACTGGCTTTTCTTGAAAAGAAAAAAGAATACTAAATGGTTAGTAGAAAAAAAAAAAAGGTTCTGCACTGGCATGTCATTGTTTTCTGGAGGGTTATTGGGATGGTGCTCAGTGACCTCTCTAATGTCACAAAGAGCAGAGGCATCTGGATTAGCAGAGAAATTAACATGCAGAAGAGACTTCAAAGGTTTCTACCACATCCAGAAAATTCTTTAATATGTATGTACACGTAAATTACATGTATTCTGAATTAAGCTCCACAAAATATCTCTAGATAGACATAGGGCTTCCTTGTTTGGTGGCTGATATGAGAAGGAATGCTGGACCACTTGCAGTTCTTAATGTTAAACCCATCTTTTATCCAGCAGAGCAGTTAGGGTTTCAGAAGCAGGACTTTCTCACTTTGGTGAGAAACATTAAATATACGACTAAAGATTGATGTGATGAAAGAGAAGGGAAGAATAGATAAGAGAAATAAAAATAGAGGTGCAAAATAGGAGGAAGGAGGGGAGAAAAGAAGAGAGAAACCAGAAACGGTAAAGGAGGAAGAAAAAATGTGAATTGAATGAAAGGATTAAATTGGGGGTAATGGGGAATAACACTTCTCCACAGGGTCCTTCTTCCCATGAACTTTTAAAATAGAGACTCCAACCCATAAACAAGATGTAACCTTTCAGCAGAGAAAACATCCAACCTTCTCAGTTGTTAGGAAGTTTTTTCACACTGGGAGGAAATCTTGCCCCTTGTGAGTGGGTCTTACTGATATTGAGAACAAAGAAAAAGGAACTGATACCAGGGATGTTGTGCAATGGTGGGGTTGCCATCCATTATTTCTGGCCCAGTTTGGTGATATCTCACCCCATTCATGCCTGGAATTAGAAGACTCTTCTTTTTTTTTTTTTTTTTTTTTTTCCAGTAGAGACAGGATTTCGCCATATTAGCCAGACTGGTCTCTAACTCCTGACCTCAGGTGAGAAGACTCTTCTTTCCATCCTGCCCTCTGCTCTCTCTATTTTTGTCAGGTGGGTGGTTTGGTGTGAATACATGGAATTGATTCTAGCAGAGATTGTCTAATCTCTCCAGCAAAACACTTCCTCGCTCATCGTTCCCCTGCTTTTCCCTAGCCATTGTATCTTCCTCACAAAAGCAAACAAGAAGGCTAATTGAAGCATATTGATCTAATGAAAACTTGTGACCAGATAAATGATCAAAACCTGCATTGAAACTTTGAAGAACTTCCTTGAAAATCTTGCGCTTTTCCCCATTGTGCTTGTCTCTTCTAATACTTGCCATCATGGCTGCTGGGAGATGGTTTGCAGGGGGTGCTTGTTGTCCCTTGTTTGTCTGTGTGTTATATGATAGAGGAGCTTTATGTGTTGTAGTAATAGGAAAAAAAAGTGGCTTGTCCTGAGTTTTCCTTTCAAAGTCCCTTTACCAAGTTATATGATTTTGGGTAAATCACTTACCTACGCTTGCTTTTCTCTGTGTGAGATGGAAGGACCAAAGTCTGGCCTCTAACACACCCCTACCTACCCCAAACAGTTGTCAACTCAATTTGTGTCCTATCAGTATGTGTTAAACTTCATGCAAAGTGAAAAGCATTGAACTCAAATAAGGCACATCTTATAGCCTGATGATTGAGGGATACAAGGGTTGGGGAGAAGGAGGGACATCCCTCAAACACTTGTAAGCAGCACAGGCCGAAAGCTCACCATTTAACAAAAACGCCTTTGGTATTTAAACTTCATGGAGTAACTGAAAAAAAACAGTAGAAATTTAGAAAACTATTTCAGACTAAATCATTTATAGGAATTCAAATCTATATTTTAGATTTTTTTCACATACTCACAGACTTGTAAAATCTTACGATTGTTGAATTCCAATTTCCAATTTTTTTGTTTCAAAATCTGAAAATTGCTAATTCCTTTTTCTTCCATTTTGTAATAATAATGACTATATATTCTAAAAATAATCACTCAAGATTTGCTCACACCAGCTGATAGGAAATTTCTTATCTCTTGTGATGAGTTGACACAAAGTCCCAAAATACAATCATCATAATAGCTACATAATAAAATGGCAATAACTACCTCTTACTGACTCTTACTATATGCCAGGAACTACGTAAAGCTTTAGCTCCATTCTCTTATTTAATTCTCACATCTGTCCTGTAAGGTAGTTACTGCTTTAACCTCATTTTACAGATAAATAAACAGAGGCCTAAATTTTAGAGGCTAAGCCCACAAGTGCTCATTAAGAAGATACACCAAGATCCATTCATTTGTATGTGTAATCCATTTGGACATGCTGGCACAAAGACACATAGGTGGATCCTGTCTTCATGAAACTTATAGTCTGCTGGGAGATAGAATCTTCACTGATTTTGCTTAAATGACTACAAAAATCCAAATCTAATTAGAGAAAAAATAGTCTTTCTATTAAACTGGTTATATTTAATTTTGAAAGTTGGCTCTTAGTTGTATGGTAATTTTGGGATCTTTTAAATAATTATAAGAGGCATTTATTTTCTTAATTTTTTATAACAGTTTGTTGTTGTTGTTTTGTTGTTGTTGTTGTTGTTTGAGACAGAGTCTTGCTCTGTCACCAAGGCTAGAGTGCAGTGGCGTGATCTTGGCTCACTGCAGCCTCTGCCTCCCGGGTTCAAGCAATTCTCCTGCCTCAGCCTCCCGGGTAGTTGGGATTACAGGAACACGCCACTACACCTGGCTATTTTTTGTATTTTTAGTAGAGATGGGGTTTCGCCATGTTGGCCAGGCTAGTCTCAAACTCCTGACCTCGTGGTCTGCCTGCCTCGGCCTCCCAAAGTGCTGGGATTACAGGCATGAGCCACCGCGGCCAGCTTATAACAGCTTTATTGAGATATAATTCACATACTATAAAGTTCATCTTATAAAGTCTACAATTCTGTAGTTTTTCATACATTCAGGGTGGCATATCCATCACTACTCTCAAATTCCAGAATTTTCATCACTCAAAACGGAAACTCCATACTCATTAGCAGTCACTTCCCATTTCCCCATACCAGCCCCTGGCAACTACTACTAATTTACTTCCTATTTTATTTTATTTTATTTTATTTTATTTTATTTTATTTTATTTTATTTTATTTTGTGACAGGGTGTCACTCTGTCTCCCAGGCTGGAGTGCAGTGGCGCCATCTTGGTTCACTGCAACCTCCACCTCCCAGGTTTCAGCAATCCTCCCACCTCAGCCTCCTGAGTAGCTGGGACTACAGGTGCACACCACCATGCCTGGCCAATTTTTTAAAAAATGTTTTGTAGAGACAGGCTTTTACCATGTTGCCCAGGCTGTTCTCAAACTCCAGAGCTCAAGCAATCCACCCACCTTGGCCTCTCAAAGTGCTGGGATTACAGGTATGAGCCACTGCACCCAGCCTAATTTACTTCCTATGTCTATGGATTCACCTATTTTGGACATTTCATATAAATAAAACTATACACTATATAGCCTTTTGCCTCGGCTTGTTTCACTTAGGATAATGTTTCAAAGTTTATCTTGTAGCATGTGTCCGAACTTCATTTCTTTTTTTGTTTTGTCAAATAATATTCTGTTGTGTGAATATGCCACATTTTGCTGATCTCTTCATAAGTTGATAGATATTTGAGTTGTTTCTACTCTTTGGCTATTATGGGTAATGCTAATATGACATTCGTGTGTAAGTTTTCATATGGATGTATGTCTTCAGTTCTCTAGGGTATATATCTAGGAGCAGAACCACTGGATCATACAGTAACTCTATGTTTAACTTCTTGAGGAACTGCCAAACTATTTTCCAATGTGGCTGCACCATTTTACATTCCCACCAACAACGTATGAAGGTTCTGATTTCTCTACATTATTGACAACATTTGCTATCGTCCATCCTTTTTATTATGGTTATCCTAGTGGGTGTAAAGTGGTATCTCATTGTGGTTTTCATTTGATTTTCCTAATGACTAATGATGTTGAGGAGGCATTTATTTTTATGATTTAAAATAATTTTGGCTGGGGGTGTTGGCTCACACCTGTAATCCCAGCAATTTGGGAGGCTAAGGCAGGAGGATCACTTGAGCTCAGGAGTTTGAGACAACATAGAGCCTGGACAACATAGAGAAGCCCTGTCTCTACAAAAAAATAAAAAAAATTAGCTGGGTGTGGTGGTGCCCCCTGTGGTCCCAGCTCTTCAGGAGGCTGAGATGGGAGGATGGCTTGAGCCAGGGAGATTGAGCCTGCAGTGAGCCATGATGGCGCCACTACACTCTAGCCTGGGTGACAGAGCAAGACTCTGTTTCAAAATAAAATAAAATAATACAATAATCTCAACCAGAGGAGCACAATAGAATCACTTGAAGAGCTTTTACAAAATACTACCTGAGCCTCACACTACTTTATGTGGTGAAAATGTATAATAGAACACCAACTCAAAATGGCTTAAATCATAAGGAAAATTATTATTTCACACAGCAAAAGTGCAAGTTTGGGGGATTACATAGTTGTTTAATATAATAGCCCAGTACTATCATTGCGACCCAACTTCCTTTCTTCTGTGTCTCCTCAGCACGCTCATTTTGTCTGTACGCTTACTGCCTTTGTAGTGGTAAGGTGGCCGCTGGAATTCTAGACCTGAAAATATCCAGTGGAAGAAAAACCTTTCCCAGAAACCTCTGGCTGTCTTTTATGACACCTCAAGGGCCTAGAACTTTATCACATGCCCAAATCTAAACCCATCACAGGCAAAAGAAGTCGGAATTCCATTTCTATGATTTAGCTGAAGTGAGATTTACTACCTTCCTAAATGGGAATTAAATGGAAGTACTAACAGGGAAAAAGGGAAAAACGGATGTTGGACAGGCAACTAACAGTGTCTCTGCTACAGGCTACAACATCATGATGATGTGAAATATTAGGTTGAATCTTAAAATTGCTGCTGTTGGGGCTGGGCCTAGTGGCTCACACCTGTAATCCCAGCTGTTTGGGAGCTGAAAGGAGAGGATCGCTTGAGGCCAGGAATTCAAGACCAGCCTGGGCAACACAGCAATACTCCCTCTTTTAAAAAAAGTAGACCAGGCCCAGTGCCTCACGCCTGTAATCTCAGCACTTTGGGAGGCCAAGGCAGGCGGATCACGAGGTCAGTAGATCGAGACCATCCTGGCCAACATAGTGAAACCCTGTCCCTACTAAAAATACAAAAATTAGCTGGGTGTGGTGGTGTGCGCCTGTAATCCCAGCTACTCGGGAGGCTGAGGCATGAGAATCACTTGAACCCAGGAGGCGGAGGTTGCAGTGAGCCGAAATCGTGCCACTGCACTCCAGCCTGGCGACAGAGCGAGACTCCATCTCAAAAAAAAAAAAAGAAAAAAGAAAAGAAAAGTAAAACAATTAGCCAGGCATGGGGGCATGTGCCTGTAGTCCTAGCTGCTAGGGAGGCTAAGAGGGGAGGATCTTTTGAGCCTGGGAGTTTGAGGTTACAGGGACCTATAATCACACCACTGCATTCCAGCCTGACGAAGCAAGACCCTCTCTCTAAGAAAAAAAAGTGCTGGTATTGAACCACTGACACAACACTAATTTCATATCTTCAACCTAGTAATTTCCAATCCTATTTATACAGACAGCCTGGGTTGAGGGGTGGGGAGAGAATAATATTGGCCCTAGGTTTTAGTTCAATCACTTAATATAGCTCATGAAGTGTGAATCACTTACATTGATTGATACAAGTAAATCAGACTCCTGTGAGCAAGAAGAATTTGCATAATACAAGATCTTATTTGATTTCTTTATCTCTTTCTTGGCACATCTCAAATGTTAGGAAATATTTTCACAATTCCAAGGCCCAAAGCATTTGTCCCGATGCACGTGCTGATGAAGCCTGTGAATGTTTTATTTATACAGAATTAACAGTTTGTTGAATTTTAATTTTGAACAATTAAATCACAGAATGCATTATTCTGTTTTTGTTATAAAACATTTAAAAATTTCAAAGAGAGAGTGACTGTGTACCTTCCATTTTAGGGGTCTTTTAACCCAGGTAGACTTCGAGAAGTCTAAAATGAGCTATTTAGTATACGGAAATGAACAAAGACACTTTTAAGACTGGGCCACCCTTGAATTGTACAGAGCTATGCAGAGAGCACATTGGAAAATGGCAACCCATTCTCTTTTAAAAATGTAGATGTACGTTTTAACTCATTTTTTTGTTTGTTTTGTTTTCTAGAGGCGGGGTCCTGCTATGTTGCCCAGGCTGGTCTCAAACTCCTGGGCTCAAGAGTTAATTTATTTTTTGAATAGGTAATATACACATTAAATATTTCTGATCTGAAAATCCAAAATCTGAAATGCTCCAAAGTCCAAAACTTTCTGAGCACTGACATGATCCTCAAAAAAAAAAGTTCATTGGAACATTTCAGATTTAAGGTTTTTGGATTAGGAATGCTTAACCAGTATTGACACAGTATGAAATTCTAAAGATATGAAAGTTATAGTGAAGTGTCCCTCCCACAGCTATTCCTCAGCCACTCCATTGTCTTCTTGAAAACAACTACTACTAGGAAATTTCTATGTCAAATCCCACCTTTCCCCACCAATAGTGACGTACTTTACACAATGTTCTGCTCCTTGTTGCTGTTGTTTGTTTGCTTGCTTTGTTACCTAACAGGCTATTTTGGAGACTATTCCAAATTGGTACATAACGAGCACCCTCATCTATTTTTTATGGCAGCATAACAGTCCTGTCGAGGATGTAGTATATTTCTTTAACCAGTTCCCTACTGTTGAACAGTTAGATTGTTTTCAGTCTTTCACTATTATAACAATGCTGCAAAGAATAACCTTCTACATATAATATTTTCTACATGTGCAAGTATATACTTCTAGGGAAAATTCCCAGAGAGGAATTGCTACATCAAAGCAAGATTACAAAATTTACAAAAATTACCAAGATAGATAATGCCAAATTGCCCAGAGAGATTGTAGCAATTTAAATGCCTGCGGCAGTGCCCGAGAGCACTTATTTCCCCACAAGTGACAGAGAGCTTTCTAGAAATAGATATCAAGTTGCCCCCACCTTTAATCTGGGTATGTGGACCCAAAAGGTATCTTGTTCCCATTTTTACAAAAAAAGGGAACAGAAGATGCTAATGATGGACAAGCATGGTGGCCCACACCTGTAATCCCAGGGCTTTGGAAGGCTGAGGCAGGAGGATTGCAGCTGAAGGATTGCTTGAGGCCAGGAGTTCGAGACCAGACTGGTCAACATAACCAGGTAGAGCCTATCTCTAAATTGAAAAACAATTTTTTTAATGTTAAAAAAAGAAAAAGAAAAACAGGCTGGGTGCGGTGGCTCATGGCTGTAATCCCAGCACTTTGGGAGGCTGAGGCGGGTGGATCATTTAATGACAGGAGTTTGAGATCAGCCTGGCCAACATGGTAAAACACCATCTCTACTAAAAATACAAAAAATTAGCTGAGCGTGGTGGCTTGCACCTATAACCCCAGCTACTCAGGAGGCTGAGGCAGGAGAATCGCTAGAACTTGAGAGGCGGAGGTTGCAGTGAGCCAAGATCGTGCCACTACACTCCAGCCTGGGTGACAGAGTAAGCCTCCTTCTCAAAAAAAAAAAAAAAAAAAAAAGAAAAATGCTAATGATATGGTATTAAGGTATTAAAGTAACAAAAAGTAGAATATAATCTGAACTATGTAAAAATTTGAGGGGACATAGAAAAATGAATAGACACAATTAAAATATTGCATTAAAATATTAAATAGTAGCAATTAAATTTATAAAATTATAATTTAATTTATAAAATTACAATATTGACAGTATTTAAAGGTTTGTGCTTTTTGATAATTAGCTCTGATTTTGTTTACAACCAGAAAACAATGATCAAATAGCTGCTGTTGTCCTTGGGCTAGGAATCCCATTCCCTTGCAAGTTATCTCAGAGGAGTGCTCCTTTAGCAAAATTATTTAAAGGATTCTCCATTTGGTTCCACTTTAGGCCGGGCACCTGCTGTTTGTTCCCTCAGTATCTCCTTTACATTGCCCTCAAAGATGCCAAGGAACTAGAGCAGTGTCCACAACTCATCTGCCTAGTTTGGCAAATCTACCAAAAATAAAACTCAATTTTTTTTAACTTTTTAAAATAAATTGCTCTGCTCTGTCAATATTATGATCACAGTGGAGCTTTATCTCGTTTTCTGGCTTTTCCACTGCAGTTTGTTTTTCACTGACACCATTAAAATATTTCTGAACCCCAAAAGATCACTCTATCCAGAAAAAGTCCTGCTCATTTGTGAAGAGTCTTTAGGTCCCTCAGGCAGTTTACAGCTCAGCTTCTGCAAGGGCAGTGTATTTTGGAGCATTTCCTCAGGGAGATAACTCCGAGGTATACGAGTTCCCGGCCCTGACTCGGAGGGATCCGAGTTCCTTGCTCTCTCAGCATAAAGGCTGATAGCTGTTGCAGTTGCAATTTTCTCTCTAAACCCAACTCCTTTTGTTGACTTGCAGAGGCTTACATTCCAAAAAAGGTAATTTGAAAGTGCTGCTGAATTTAGATGCATTTTGCTAATTTGTTTTTATTATGCATAGAAATATTGGTATAAAAGGTGTTTCAATTATTTTCTAAGGGAGGGACCTATGTATTCTCTGCAGCCACAAAGCTTTTAAATGGAGTTATTTTTCTCGGCCTATAGCCGCTCTCCCTTTTAAGTACCCCAGCAGAAAAAGTAAGTTTACTGCTCCTCGCACAATGGGCCTCTTCACTTTTCAGGTTTGGGAGACCTGGGTGACCTACGAAAGTTAATTAGAAGGTTAACAAAGACGAAGACAGAGTCGAATCCATCGTTTCTCCTTCAGCCAAAGATGTCATCCATTAATTAGGGAAATCGTTAAGGTGGCCTTTATAGAATCCATAGAAAATCTGTCGTTGGCGGTCGACAGTTTTGATCAGATTTTCCTCTCCCCAATAATGCTATCCTTAATGGTACGAAAAGCAGAGGGCCGGGGCAGGGAGAGGGGCGCGGGGAGGGGGTGGGAAGGATGTGTTTCAGCAACAGTACAGTTAACCAGCCGCCGGTGCTGACGGCTTTGATTCTCAGGCTGCCCCGCATACTTGCTCCATGATGTAATCCTTATTGAACCTGGAGGCCGAGGGAGCGGGAGGAGCCGTGCCACCGCCTCGCCGCCGCAGGAGGCCCCGGGAGTTAATAGCGCCGGCCTCTGGGGGAAGCTGCGCCTGGGTCCGCAGCCGAGGCTGCCACTCAGCTGCCGGGAGGCGACTCGGCCCCGCAGGCCCTGGGCTGGGGCAGCTCCGTGTGGGGGCGGCCCTCCAGCCGTGCGGTGGGGCCCGGCTCTGTCTCCGTTGCTTTGAGGCTTTCTCCCTGTCTCTCTAGGGCTTCGCTGGTTTCTCTCTCCTTTTCCTTTGATTGTCTGGCACCGAAACACCAGCTGAACGAAGGAAGAGTTCCAGTCTGACAAGCTGTTTGCGAATGGAAAGTCTGGTGTTGGTGGTGGCACAGACACGCCCTGCCTGCCATGCCCTCGCTCGCCTTCTCTCCTGCACGTACAAGACTGTATCTTTCAGTGTGAATATCATGTATTTAAAGGGTTTCGGTTTGAATATCATGTATTTAAAGATGGTGTTAACTCTGAGTATGGGATGCCTTTAGTTTTCAATGTGGATTTTTTTTCCTTCTTATTATGTTAACCATTTGAAAGTGTACAGTTCAGTGGCACGAGGTACGTTCGTATTGTTGTGAGACCATCACCACAGTCCTCTCCAGAATTTTTTCATCTTCCCAAATGGCAACTCTGTATGCACGGTGGAACTTATTTTTGAAACTACATGGCAGGGTTGGTTCCATCTTTTTCAAGTGATCATCAATGGATTCTCTTTAAGGAATTAGCATCTTTTAATGGATTGGAGTTTTTGCGTAGTTCTCTATGGCAAAAGCTGGAACAATGTCACATGGCCCTTGTTTACCATGCAAAAAATGTCAGTGTACTTTTGGCCTCTCACCAGATTGATATTGAATGAATATTGCACAAAACCTTGCCTCGACGGTAAATTGCCATTTTGGTTTGCTTTACTTCCCTCATGGCAGAGTGGATAAGAGGTGCTGCCCCTCAGCAAAGAGGGAAGTGTCACTGTCCGCTCCTAGCAGCACAGAGGAAAGAACCACAGACAAAATCATATCTGGTGACACCACCTACACCCAGGCCCAGTGGCTTCCTCAGCTAGGATGGAGAGGAACTTCTCTCCCTGTCGTCTTCCCAGCCCCATCTCCTCCCCACCCTGCAGGAGGCCAAACTTAGACCCAGTAGCCCTTTAGTGGGACCATTCCTCTTTTCCTGGCTGTGAGCTGGGAAAAGCGGGGAAAATGAGGGAGGGTGGTACGCTCCCAACTTCCCAGAAGAAAAAGTAGTAATTGTCAAAAATCAGCCTAATGGGCTGGGCCTGGGTGCAGTGGCTCACGCCTGTAATCCTAGCACTTTGGGAGGCCGAGGGGAGTGGATCACCTGAGGTCAGGAGTTCAAGACCAGCCTGGCCAACATGGTGAAACCCCGTCTCTACTAGAAACACAAAAATTAGCCTGTAATCCCAGTTATTTGGGAGGCTGAGCAGGAGAATCACTTGAACCTGGGAGGCGGAGGTTTCAGTAAGCCAAGATAGAGCCATTGCACTCCAGCCTGGGCAACGAGAGCGAAACTCCATCTCAAAAACAAAAAACAAACAAACAAAAAAAATCAGCTAAATGATGATAAGTGCATGGAAACAACTACATACATTATGAAACATAAGCCAGAGCTCTATTTGTCACCAACACCATAGTTTAAACAAAACCCCACCATTCCCATATCCAAAGAATCTCTATTTCCCCCGAAAGCTCTGTGCCTTTGATTTCAGTTTTATTGCATGTGTACTTAGCACACCTATGTTGCTAAATTGCTCTATATTCCTTTGCAGGTACAGCTAGAAGAGTATAAAGGCCCTCAACCAATTGAACTAAGAGACTGTTAGTAGTCAATTGGTGTAGCTCTGGGGCTGAGCTACATAAAGTGGCCCCATCCAGCTCCTCTGTCCCCCTAACTTTGCTTGATGATGTACCATGTCTGCCCCTAAACAGCATATTAGAATTACCTGATGGGCTTTAAAAAACTCCCAAGACCTGAGCTGCACCTCAGACTGATTACATAAGAATTTCTGGTGGGGGAAACTAGAGTATGGTATGTTTATTAAAGCTTCCTCAGGGGACTCCAATGTGCACTTATATATCTAAATCTAAGGTGATTTATGTAGTTGAGATTTATGAGATGAGAACTATGCTAGTTAATTTCTTTTTATTTTTTAGAGAGGGTCTCTCTCCATCACCCAGGCTAGAGGATCTCGGCTCACTGCAACCTCTGCCTCCCAGGTTCAAGCCGTCCTCCCATCTCAGCCTCCTGAGTAGCTGGGACTACAGGCACACACCATCGTGCCTGGCTAATTTTTGTATTTTTAGTAGAGACGGGGTTTCACCATGTTGGCTAGGCTGTTCTCCAACTCCTGCCCTCAACTGATCCACCACCTCAGCCTCCCAAAGTGCTGGGATTACTGGTATGAGCCACTGTGCCCCACCAAGGCTAAAGAAGTTTTGAGGTGCATGCTGGAAAATGTCTAGATTGCTGAGGAGGGGTTGTTGATAGAAATATGGACTTTATTTATTTATTTTTTTTTGAGACAGAGTCTTGCTCTGTTGCCCAGGCTGGAGTGCAATGGCACGATCTCGGCTCACTGCACCCTCCGCCTCCCAGGTTCAAGCAATTCTCTTGCCTCAGCCTCCCAAGTAGCTGGGACTATAGGTGCGCACCACCCGCCCAGCTATATTTTGTATTTTTGGTAGAGATGGGGTTTCGCCATGTTGCCCAGGCTGGTTTCGAACTCCTGGTCTCAAGTGATCAGCCTGCCTTGGCCTTCCAAAGTGCTGGGATTACAGGCGTGAGCCACCACGGCTGGCCGAAATATGGACTTTAAAGACAGTTCTGGTGAAGACTCGGAAAGAGAAGAGAGTTGGAGAGAAAGCCTTCATTTTCTTAGAGAATACACATAAATAGCAATGAGCAGAATGTTGGTAGAAACGTAGACCTCGCCAATCTGGTAAGGTCTCAGACAGAAATGATGAACAATTATTGGAAACTAGAGAAAAGGTGCTCTTTGTTGTAAAGGGAAAACGAACTTTGCTGGGCTGCGTTCTAGTGTTTTGTGGAAGGTAGAACTTGTGAGCAATAAAATTGGATATTTAGCAGAGAAGATTTCCAAGCAAGGTATTGAAAGTGAGGCGTGGGTCTGCCTTACTGCTTATAGTAAAATGCAAGAGGGCAGCGATAAATTGAAGAAGGAATTGTTAAACGAAAAGACATCAGAACTTGAAGATGTGGAAAATTCTTAGCCTATTCATATTGCAAAAAAATGAGGAATCATGTTCTGAAGAGAACACTAAGGGTGTGGCTGAGTGACTATTTAATAATGAGGTTAATGTGGATGTGAACTACGATCTAATCAGCCATCTCAGCAGAAGCCAGGAATGGAGGTAGGATTATACCAGCAAAACTTCACTAGCTGGGAGAAAACTGGCCAGAATGAAGGAAGGCTGTGAACATGAGCTATCCTTTAAGAAAGAGAAAAGTGACCTGAAGCCAGTTCAGAGATCACCAAGGCTGTCACTCCCACCACAAGCCCAGAGGCAAGACTATTTTCTCCTCAGTTTCAGAAGGCAGAGCCCTTGAAGACAGCCATATGTGCAGGGCCTTTCTCAAGAGCTGGAGAGGTGGGGCACCCTCTGAGCTGAAGAATTATTCTCAAGCCTTACCATCTAATGGAAGTTGCCTTTCCAGGTTTTGGACTTTCTTGAGACCTATCACCCTTTCCTTTTTTGCTCTTTCTCCCTTTTAGAATGGGAATGTCAACCCTATGCCTGTCCCACCATTGTAGTTTGGAAGCATATGATTTTTCTGGTTTTATGGGTTGCTAGCTGAAGAGGAATTTTGCTTCAGGATGAATCATACATTGAGTCTCACCCATATCTGATTTAGGTGATATTTAGATGAGATTTTGGACCTGAAACTTTGAGTTGATGCTGGAATTAGTTAAAACTTTGGGGGCTATTGGGGTAGAATGCATGTATTTGCATGTGAGAAGGATATGAATTTGGGGGGACCAGGAGGCAGAATGTTATGGACTGGATATGTGTGTTCCCTCAAAACTCACTTGTTAAAGCCCTAAACCCCCATGTGCCTGTATTTGGAGACAGGGTCTGTAAGAAGGTGATAAAGGTTAAATTAGCTCATAAGGGTGGGGCTGTAATTCAATAGGACTTGTGCCCTTAAAAGAAGAGGAAGAGACACTTGAGCTCTTTCTGTCTCTGCCATGTGAAGACACAGAGAAGGCAGCCACTTGCAAGCCAGGAAGAGGGCCCTCACCAGAAACCAAATCAAGCAGCACTTTGATTTTGTAATTCTCAGACTCCAGAACTGTGAGAAAATGAATTTCTGTTGTTTAACTCACCTAGTCTATGGTATCTTATTATGGCAGCCTGAGCAGACTAATATAAGAATCATACAAAGGTGATACCAATCACTGCCCCAACCCATATTCCCTTTTAAAATAACCCACCCTGGCCCACTGGTCCAGCTGCCCTGTGGGCCACATGCTCCTGGTGCCCTCAGTTTATTGACCAGAGGTAAGCACCTGACCCAGGTAACTCACCCCCACCCTGGCCATGGGCCCCTGTAACATTTCCCCCATGAAATCCACAAATTAGAGCTTCCTTTAGGTTACGAAGACCTTCTTTTGAATTGCGTCTTCTCTAGTGATCATTCATGTTAGAATGAGTTAACTTGGTCAGATAATCTTAATACTCAACTAAAAAGCTGGTTGTGACAGTAATTTTGAAGCCTGAGGCACTTCCAAAAGGGACAGGCCCAGGAAGTGTGTAGTGGTTACAAACTTTCAGGAGCGAAGGACAGCATGGGTAAGGGAGACCACGGGAGAAGTGGCTAGGAAGCAGGTTAGGGAGGGCGATGGGAGATTGAAGGATGCAAGTCAAACCTGGCCTGCATTGCCATTTCCCCCAGGCTTTCTGATCAAACGAACCCTCCATCTTTCCCATCCAAGTCATCCTGAGGGTGACCTTTATCCTAACTATCCTAATCAGAGCAAATTGTATTGTAAGGGAGTATTAGTCCATTTTCCTGCTGCTGATAAAGACATACCTAAGACTGGGCTATTTACAAAAGAAAGAGGGTTAATGGATTTACAGTTCCATGTGGCTGGGGAAGCCTTACTCTCATGGCAGAAGGTGAAAGGCATGTCTCACGTGGCAACATACAAGAGAAAAAAGAGCTTTTGCAGAGAAACTCCCATTTTTAAACCATCAGATCTCTTGAGACCCACTCACTATCATGAGAACAGCACGGGAAAGACCCGCCCCTGTGATTCAATCACCTCCCACCAGGTTCCTCCCATAGCACATGGGAATTGTGGGAGTTACAATTCAAGATGAGATTTGGGTGGGGACACTGCCAAACCATATCAAAGGGTAAGAGACCTCTTCTAACTTCCTTATGTATTGGGATAAGGGATGGTGGTTACTGAGTGGAAACGGGAAATATAGCAGAGCGTTTTGGGAAATTGTAGGTATTTCTCTCTCTCTCCCTCTCTCTCTTTCCTCTCTGTGGCCCTGTAGCTTCTTGTGTTAGCTTACCACCTGGGCAGATGTGCCCACTCCCTCTGCACAATAGCTCTCTCAGCCACAACAGTCAGGGATGGACCTGGCAAGGGGTTTAAGTTACCAAGCATCTACTGAGGAAATTCATGCTGAAAATTCCTATTCAGATTGTTAGAAACAGCCAAATATACCTTTTTTTTTTTCTATTTTAAATCCTAAATAACTAGATTCAAATTTGGATTAATGGGTACACTGGGGAATGAAGTAATCTGATTCATTTTATTTTCTGATGAAACCTTCAAGTTAACCAGAAAATGCTTTTTTCTTAAAAAAAGAAAAGAAAAACAACAGTACCCAAAAGTGTTTCTAAAATATTTACTTTTCTCTCTTTGTAAACATAGTGACAATATTTGTGTTCTCCTGGTGATGTGTGAGTCATGAGTTTAAACAGCAGTTCCCATGGAAGGGATCACAGGAAGAAATTAAAACAGAACTGGGTTTATGGGTCAGAGCATGCCTCAGCCCAGCGGTGACATCAGAGGAGCCTCAGGCATGTCACTGAACCTTTTTGAGTCCTGCTTTCCTACTATGGGGAGGGAAAATGAAGGTGGTCATGCTTGTCCTTTTCGTCAGGGATAATTACTTTAAATTTATATGTGAAAGTAATTAGTAAATTGAAAGTTATGTTGTTATTTTAGTCTTTGGCATATACCAGGGGTCCCCAACCCCCAGGCCATGGACAAGTACTGGTCCATGGCCTGTTAGGAACTGGGCCACACAGCAGGAGGTGAGCAGAAGGTGAGTGAGCATTACCACCTGAGCTCCGCCTCCTGTCATATCAGCGGCAGCATTCGATTCTCATAAAAGTGCAAAGCCTATTGTGAACTGCATAGGCGAGGGATCTAGGTTGCCCGCTCCTTATGAGAATCTAATGTCTGGTGATCTGAGGTGGAACAGTTTCATCCCAAAACCATCCCTCCACACCTGTCTGTGGAAAAATTGTCTTCTATGAAATTGGTCCATGCCAAAAAGGTTGCCAAAAAGGTTGGGGACCACTGGTACATAGGACTTGCTCTATAAATGTTTGTTGAATGATTTCTGCAGTGCTAATGAGCTCCATGCACAAGGTTTAGGAAATTGGGCTGAATCTGTACAAATCCCAGATCATACTTTGAAAAACTGTGATTAGTTTTCTTGATACTAAATTCCTCATATGAGCTTGTCCTGTTAGCACTTTCTTTCACAAAGTGAGATGTAGAAAAAAAAAAAGTAAATTGAGCGTTCAGTTCATTGAGTTCAGGTTTAACTGAGCTGCTACTATACAATACAGTCAAGCTGCTACTATACAATACAGTCATTAATAATGTATTCTACTTTTTTAACTTATTCAACAAATATTTACCAAGGAGTATGTTGTTGAACAGGAACAAACATGGTCCCTGCCCTCATGGAGCTGACAATCTGGTAATTGAAGCACCCTCATACATTAAAAAGGCACTGGGGAGATGCTTCACCTCTCCCTCATGGGTTTTCTCAGTCCCTTCCAACATCACTTCTGACCAGGACTAGAAAGAAGTGGGGAAAGCAGGACAAACACGAGGGTCTGGCAGTCCAAAAAAGGGCTGGGGACTGAACACAAACCCCACATCAAGATTTTCAGATCACTGTTCCTGGCTGGGAGTTGGAAAGCTTGTTTTTTCTTCTTTTGTCACTGAGGCTAGAATATTCTCAGTGATCCTGCTTTTTTTTTTTTTTTTTTTCTAACAGTATCCAAATGCCATGTCTTGGTTTAACTTCAATCTGACAGTAACAAATATTTTTGAGAGCCTATGAAGGGTCAGGCACTGTGTTGGGCACTTTCCATATTTTGTCGTTAATTCTCATAACAACTTTGCAAGGTAGATACTATTACTATTCTCAATCTGCATTTGAAGAAATTGCAGCTTGTAGAGGATGTGGCCAAGATCACAATAGGTGGTTACAACAGAAATAAACCCAGTTCTGTCCTACTTGAGTGCCTTTCCTCTTCCTGCCTAGCCATGCAGGGCCTATAGTCAAACAGAACAGTGGGAACTTTGTTTTCCTATTTCTTCCCACAATAGGAGGGAAATGCTTTTCCAACACATCAAAGAATAATGATAACAATAGCTAATATTAACTGAGCAATTACTATGTGCCAGACACTATTCTAAGATCTTTACATATATCAACTCATTTAATCCTCATAAACCTATGAGTGGTTACTCTTATTATTTAATGTTATCTATCTGTCATTTTATAGATAAGAAATGGAGAGGTTAAGCAATATGGCAGAGGCAGTTTGAACTCAAGTTACCTGAGTCTAGAACTTTAAAATTGTTATTTCAGGCAGGGTGCGGTAGCTCATGTCTGTAATCCCAGCACTTTGGGAGGCCAAGGCAGGTGGGTCACTTGAGGTTAGGAGTTTGAGACCAGCCTGGCCAACATAGTGAAACCCTGCCCCTAACAAAAATACAAAAAATTAGCCAGGCGTGATGGCAGGTGCCTGCAATCCCAGCTACTTGGGAGGCTGAGTTGAACCCAGGAGGAAGAGGTTGTAGTGAGCCAATATGGTACCATTGCAGTCCAACCTGGGCAACAAGAATGAAACTCCATCTCAAAAAAAAAAAAAAGTTGTTATTTCATCCCAAATAAGTACACTACTTTCAACATCTATCACAGTTTTCTTAAGTTGCTGAAATAAAGGATGGGAGTGACCCCTCCGTCCTCACCTCCTACCCCCATGAGCAGAAGACACAATTCTGTCCACCCATAGTCTGTGTGAATGTTTCCCTCCAGCACAGTGCAGTGTGGAACCTATATAACTGTAAGCTGCAGCCATGAATTCCATCCACCATGAAATGGCACATGACCAAAAAATGCATGTACTGTATTCTAAATCTGAGCTATCTGCCTAATTTAGTTTTTGTTCCCAAGTGTAAAACATTCCAAATGTATAACATATCCCATAGATATGTGAGTTCCCTCAAAGGGTTAACAGCTCTCCTTGAGAAGAGGAATTGAAGAAACCTGAGAAACATTTTCTTTACCAGTTCAGGCAGGTGACAGAAAGGTAAAAAATTAATTTTAAAAATATGAGATGTTTGGGTCTTTATTCCCACTGGCTGGCTATTTGGGCAAATTGGGCAGTGGCATCACTGATTGGGCTCCAACTGCGGGCACAGCAGAGGCAGAAGGCAGCAGGAAATTATCAGGGCATCAGGCTGATGAATTCTAACCTCAGTCCACTAATGTCTCACCTAAGAACACGCTCCTTCTTTCTGCATCTCGGAGACACACATGAAGGTTCTCTGAAGCAGGCTGATATCCTCTAACGTAAAGGATGATATCCTATAGTTTATGGCTGGAACCATTAAGGGTGCTTGATAACTGCTCATTAAATAAATTAAGTGCCTAAAATATAATTACTGATGTTCTACTTTTCCCCTGTCTTTGCTGCACCACAGGAAAAAGTTTCCACGGCCATTGATTTATATGAGCAAAAACCAAAATTAAATTAAGAGGTCACACACCAGTAGCAAAAACAAAATGAGGAAAACATTTTCTAATGTTTTACTGCAAAGGAATCGGGGCTTTTACGTAATAGCAAAATTAGGGTTTAGATGGTAGTATTCTTTCAACCAACTTTTCACAAATATTTCCTGGAACTGGCCCAAGGAATGAATCCTAATTTAGCCTAATCTTTTTCAGATGTAATTGAATTCACTTGTTTAGGTTTCTGCCTCCTCCACCTTTCATCCGGTGGCAACACACGAGTGTGGCTTAGCTCTCACAGGGCCCACGGTTTAGTCTGCAGGCCATGTTGGGATCCACTTCTCCAGGGATTGGCCAGAGATCTCTGAGGCTCTCAGTCCTTTCTTCTACAGCTACTGTTTTCCCCCCACCCCTGAGAAATTCCTCCAGACCTTGTTTGTACTCCCCCATCTACTTATCAACTCCCCCCTCCACCTCTCTGCACCCCAATCACCAAAGTTTACTATGAAAATGAGTGACCCCATTTGCTGAGAAAGAGATAGTCTCTGGGAGCAATTGAGTGAGAGAAAACATGAACAAAAAGTCTAGAACCCTTGACTGAAATCACTTAGGATTGCACTAGCTGCCACTGAGCTGAAGCAACATGCATTCCTAGTGGCTAAGGGATCCGTGAAGCATGAGCTCGAATCCCTAGCTTTTGTTGTGTGGGGCTCAGGAAAGGATTTAGCACTACCTACATCAGGTTGGAGTGAAAGGTTTCTAAGGACGCACTCATTCCCATGATAGCCTCTGAGACCTCAGGCCTCTGGCTGGGCATCTGCTCAGCCCGGGGACAGGAAACCAGCTCCACAGGGAGGACAGGCTTGCCAGACAATCCCCACCCCAGGCAGGCACCCCCCTTGTGCTCCCGGAGCTCTCCCTGGCAGGGTGGTGGCTCGCTGACAGTTCATCAGGTTTTACAAACATTAGCTTCTACATCTGCTCTTTGAGCTTAAAAATCTCTTCAGATGAAGGCGCTACAAGGGTAAGAAGCCTGTGTCTCTCTCCTTTCTGTCCTTGAGTGGAAATGTAGAGATAGTTTTTAAAGAAGAATTTGATTCGGATGTAGAAACTTAAACAAAAAGACTTGTTTATTTCCTCTTTGGGGATTCTTTTCTCCCACTATGTGTATCAGAGGCTAATTGCTGTGGACACGCACGTGCACACACACACACACACACATACCTGCAAACACCAGCACCGGCAGTCTCTGCTCTTGTACTCACATTTCATCCTGAGGATGCGGGTGCCTCTAGAACAAGAGCCCACAGTCAATGCGGAGTAGAGTTTGGTGAGGAGCCAGCAGGCCGGTGGGCCCCCGTCTTGCCATGAGTGGTTCTTTAGGCTGGTTCTCGGCGGGAATCAGAGTCTGCGTGATTTCTGCCATGGCTTCCCAGAACCTAGTTGTCCCGTCTCCAACTGCAGCCTTCTACGTGCAACAAGGGAATGTGGGCTTCTTTGAAACAGGCTTCTTAGAGCAGGAGTGTAGGCAGCCAAGTGTGAAGGGTGTCAGCCGGGGTGGCACGCCCTGGGGGAAGATGTGGGACCAGCTGGGTCCTGGGCCAACTGCAAAAGAGGGGAAGCCTGCTATGAGAGACAGAGCAGTTCTCCAAGGATCCCACTTGCTCCAGAACTGTCTTTTGTCATTTTAAAGTGGCGCTGTCATCACTGGTCTTACCTTGGCTCCAGGACATGCACTGATTTTCATTCATTAATGTATTCCTTCAAAATCAAGTCATTCACATACGAATGCTATTTAGTTCTCACAATCCATGAATTAAGGGGCATTGTCCCCATTTTATTAATGAAGAAGCCAAGGCTTCAGAGTAGTTAGGCAGTGTGTTCCCAAGGTGAGGCCATCAGTTACTGGCAAGGACAAGAAGTGTCATCAGAATCTGGCCTCCTGACTTTGAATTCTTCCCCTTGCACACCTTTAATCAATGGACAGGAGAGGACAGTCAGTCCTCCGTATTTGTGGGTTCTGCCTCTGTATATTCTACCAATTGCAGATCCAGAATATTTGGAAACTTTTTCCACAAGGTTTTAAAAAAGCAAACACGCTTGAATCTATGGCACTAAGTACTACATTGAATTCCTTGGAACTGATGTGCAGGCATTGCATTAGGTATTAAATCTAGAGATGATTTAAAGTATACAGGAAGATGTACATAGGTTATATGCAAATACTATGCCATTTTATATCAGGGACTTGAGCATCTTCAACTTATTATTATTATTTTTTTCAGATGAAGTCTCGCCCTGTCTCCCAGACTGGAGTGCAGTGGTGCAATCACAGTTCACTGCAACCTCTGTCTCCTGGATTCAAGCGATTCTCCTGCCTCAGCCTCCCGAGCAGCTGGAACTATAGGCGCACACCACCATGCCTGGCTAATTTTTGTATTTTTAGCAGAGATGGGGTTTCACCATGTCAGCCAGGCTGGTCTCGAACTCCTGACCTCAAGTGATCTGCCTGCCTTGGCCTCCCAAAGTGCTGGGATTATAGTCATGAGCCACTGCACCCGGCCCATCCTCAAATTTTGGTATGAGGTGGTGTCCTGGAATCAATCCCCCATGGATACCAAAGGATGACTGTACTGTATTCCTAGCATGAATTCAGTATCAATCAGGTACTGTTGAGAATTCAGAGACACCATAACTTGGTTTCTGCCATCTTGGTTACTTACAACCTGGTTAGCCACCATGAAGAGCTAAGGAAGGGCTGGGTAGTATGTGCTTAATGAGTTATGGGTTCATTGGTTCAGCAAATGTTTCTTGGGCATCGCGTGCCAGACATTGGTAGGAGTAGAGGAACACAAAGATGAAAAGCATGTAGTTTCTATTCTCCAAAAGTTCAGTCAAGACAAGGGGGACCTCACTGCTCAAACCTGTTCAATAGCTTCCCATTGCTTCCAGGGTGAAATTCAAAATCCCTGTGTGGCCCACAAGGCTGTTTGAGACCTGACCTTTGCGCCTCTCCCGAGCCTCATTCTGCTCCAGCCACACGGGACTTCGTTCAGTTCCTCCATCAGGCTCACTTTCCTCCCTCGGGGTCTTTCCACCCTGGCATGGCTTTACAGAAGTGTTATGTGAGCAGGGGCTTGAATAATGCATAGGTTTCCAAACAGAAAGTGATGGACAAGCGAGGTAGAGGAGTCTGAGTGGGGAGGAGCATACTGAGGAAGAGTAGCTGGGGAAGTTTCATAGAAAAGGCAAAACACCCGCTGTACGTAACTGACAGTCAATAACTATTTGTTGAACGGAGCTGGGCTGAGAAGGCTAGAGATGGGCAGAAGCTGGAAGGAAAGGAGCTGGGGGAGTTGGGGGAGGAACACCTGCGTGAAGCCTCAGAAGCTAGAATCGCCTGAGGACAAAGATGATGGGGGCTGAAAGGTCAGCCATCCTTGAGTTGGGGCGGGGGCGGGGTTGAGGTCCTTTGGGCAAGTTCAGGGGTCAGACAGTGAGGTGTGGGAAGGTGGTGATATGTGGGATGGGATGGCCTGGCAGGTGAGAGAGCTGAATTCCAGTTGCAGCTCAGTGCCTGGCTTGGTGATCTTGGTCCAGTCACTTCTCTGGGCCCCAGGATTTGTGAGGATGATGGAGCAGATTATCTCTAACCCTTTCCTTTCCAGGTGAATCGTGCTCCTTAACAGTCAGGTGATGACAGAGTTGCAGGAACCAGGATGGATGCCAGGTGCTGGAAAAGAGGAGGAAATCTCAGGAGGCTAGAGACAGCCCAGGCCTCTGCAGCACCCGGGGCTGCGGAAAGAACTGGGGGCTGGAGGGAGAGACAGAAGGTGAAGTTCCTTCCAGGGGAGGAATGGGTGGGGGTATCCACAGCCTGTGACTCATCAGTGTCCCACCAGGACCAGGTCAAACCCCAGCAGAATTCTCCAAGACAACCCGACTTTCTCTCATTCCTGCCCTGATCTCAAGTCCTCTTGCGGGGGGGTCAGGCCTGCCATCAGAGGAGAAGGCTGCTGTGGCCAGTAAAACTGAGGGCCAGGCTGGACGTTTTCAAAGAGTAAGCGGGGAGGGCAAAGAGCTGAAGGGGCTCTCAGGACTGTCCAAGTAACAGACCAAGCCCCTCACATAGGTTTTTTTCTCTAGTGACCCCATTCTGCCCCATGGATGTCACTTGTTTTTTTCTTTTTCTTTTTTTTTTTTTTTTTTTTAGCTTTTGGGAAGGAGGAGCAAGGCGAGGGAGGTGGGAAGAGACTTTTTTTTTTTTTTTCACATGAGCCCTCAGAATTACAGTTCACAAACTATTCAGTAAACTGACCGGCCTCAACCTCCCCTTCAACGGCCTAATCTAAGGGGTGGATCTATGTGTTTTGTTGCTTGTCAGAAACAATCGCTGCGCGGCCCATTACATTTACAGCACGTCGCCCTTTAATTGGTGTAACACGCTGAGGCCTGAAAGGAGGAGAGGCCCACAAAGGCGCCCGTGAATGAGCCTTGACTCACACAAAAACACTCTGCAGAAGTTCAGAGCTGGCCACTAACAAGGAGGTAGGGAGTTAGTTTGAAAAGAGGGTGAAGTTCAGAAATGTGTCACCTTGAGGAGCCTCCCATCAAAGCAATGGTCGCATTGACAAGCTGCAAAGAAAAAAAGTTAAACCTTCAGGGCTGCGGACTTGCCTGCTGGATTTATTCTTAAACTTGAGGAGGGGGGAAGGAGAGGGAGAGTCTTTCTTTTTCTTCTCCTCTTCTCCACCCTTGTCTCTCTGCGCCCCCCCCCACCCCTATTTACTTCAGAGAGCCTTAAAGAAGTCCCAGCAAAGAAACATACCTCCCACCCCCCTGCTAAGATACACTTTTAAAAATAAACGTATAAAAAGTCAGGCTGAATGCCGCTGCCTGAGGCTGCTGCTGCTGATTTCGGCCTCTGTGGGAACAGCGATTTTTCCCTGCCCTCTAGTGTGTCCCCTGCCCATCTTCTGAGGCAACTCCTCTGGGCGGGGGGCGTTGCGGCCTAGGCCGGGGCGCCGTGCGGGCCTGGAGAACGTGTCCCCAGAGGCCGCCAGGGCCAGGGCGTGCGCGCAGGGTCCGTGTGGCAGAGGGGACCAGGTCGCGCGCCATTCAGAAGCATTTGGGAGAAGGGATCCGCCCCCGCGCCAGTCCAGCTCAGTGGGGTCTTGCGTGTGAGGGTCCTGCCCCATCCCAGGAAGGACTCAGTTTTCCCTCCTCCTGCCTGTAACACCAGGAAGACCCGACACCGGCCCACGCTTCGATTCCAATTGCGAAGTGAGACGTCTTTAAAAGAAGACACCACCGTGCCCGGGGTAGAGGTGGGGGACCGAGTCGCACCTCCCATTCCCCGGACTTCCACGGTGATGGACTCAACCCCTATAGCACACCTTCCTCGCTCCAGATGCCCGGAATCTCCCCAGTGCTGGTGGTGCTGCGGTAGACCTCCCTCGGTCCCCTTCCTGCACCCTGCCCCACGCCTTCCTCGGTGGGGGGCGCCCTGCCACGCCTGCGCTGGGGTGGGCACCTCCGCGTCTCCTGCCCGATGCGCGCCCGGGCGCCCCGAGCCGCCCTCCTCCGCTCGCCCCCTCCCCGCCTTTGTCCCGCTATCGGACCCCCGCCCCTCGCGCTGCTCCTGTGAACCGGCTGCCCGGTGCGAAGGCGGGGGCACTTTTCAATGCAGCGCCGCAGCTCCCTCCAGATTTGTAATCCGCCAAAAAGCCGCTGATTGCCGCAATCGTTACTTTTCATTAAAAAAACTTAGAAGCAATTTGGGAGAACCCTTCTCAATGAATACATTTACCCCCGAACGGTCTTTATTCTCCGCCTCCACTTGATGAGTTTCTCTGGCACGAATCGGTTCTTACAGGCACAGAATGGGCAATCCCTTGATCCCCGTCAATTGTCATCCCGAGTCGGGGCCACTTTGACCGCCAATAGTGGGGAAGTCAGAGCTAATCCTCAGAAGGAATCACGGGAAAAGAAAAGCAACAATAACCAAGTCAAGCGTAAAAAATGAAAGAGAAATCTCTATTATCACTCACTACATTTCCCAGCTATGTACTGAAAAAATCAGCTCGCTTGTCATTCGAGTCAGACACCCGCACAAGAATATGAGGTCGTGGTGGGTTGGTAGACTCACACGACGTAAGGGACGATATTTGAGAGCGAAAGGCCTCTCTTCTGCCTCTGCCAAATCCCCCTCACATCCGCCATAACCATTAAATACAGACTGACTTTATTCTGTATGGGGAGGCCAGGGGTGGGTGGTGAGGGAGCCCCCAGCTGTGCCTGGATACAAAAAAAAAAAAAAAAAAAATCCCTGGAGAGAGGGGTGGGGGCGGGGTGTGGATGCGAAAGAAACGCGCCCCTAGCCGGTACCTCCCGCTCCGGGCCCCGCAGGCGGCTGGGCCTCGTCAGCCCGGGTTCAGCCGCCGCGCCGGCCGCCCCCTGCGCCCCCTGCGCCCCCTGCCCACGGCCCCCGCAGCCCGGCGGGCGCACGGCCTCGGCGGCTGGGTCCTCGCGCGGGCGCAGGTGTGCAGGGCAAGCGCGGACGGGCTCCGTGGGCCGCCGGCGAGGCAGGCGCAGCGGCTTGCCGGGCCGCGGAAGCCCGCGCGGTGAGACCCATGAGTGTGCACGCGTGGCTCCTTTCCACGCCGACACCTGCGATTATGGACGGGGGCCTCGATTCCTTTCTGCTACAGCCAAGTGAGGGCCAAAGTTATTTCTAAGAAGGCCGGGCAGAGCAGGTCGCTGGGCGGATTCCCGGCGCGGCCGCAGCATCTCCGGGAGGGGTCGCCTCAGAAGCCGCGCGCCCCTCTCTCCCTCCCTCCCTGTCTCATTCTCTCCCTCGCTCTCTCCCTCTCTCCCGGAGAGGAACTTCGAGGGCGGGAACTGCTCCGGCGCTCATGGACTCGGGGGCGGCAGCCCGAGCCTCTCCTTGCACCGTGTCTGGGAGGGCCTGAAGCCCAAACTCCTCGGGCTGAGAAGGGTCCGGGGCCGCAAGGTGCACGCGCGGTCCTTGCTGTCAGCGGCCTTTCCGCGCTCTCGCGCTCTGCAGGCCAACTTGTGCTTCTGGGGTACTTTCATTTTCCAGGGGATGGGTGGAGAGAGCCTCCACCGGCCGGCCTCGGGGCGGTGGGGCAGGGCCGCGGGAGGCGCGGAGGCGGTTCCTTCTTCCCCTTGTCCGACCTCACCCGGCCCAGGAGACGCCGCTGCCCCGCGCGGCCGGGCTCCCGCCTCGCGCCTCAGCCTCTCGAGGCACCGGGCTGGGTGGGGCAGTGCCCAGCTCCCGCCTCACCCCCAGGCACCCTCACTCCGGAAGCCCTCC
This sequence comes from Homo sapiens, assembly GCF_000001405.40. Taxonomy (NCBI): domain Eukaryota; kingdom Metazoa; phylum Chordata; class Mammalia; order Primates; family Hominidae; genus Homo; species Homo sapiens. The sequence goes on along the minus strand of NC_000006.12, from coordinate 108,117,663 downwards.
GTGCCTCTCCCTTTGGGGAAACCTCTCTGGCCTGTCACCTCCCCTCTTCGCACCACACGCACATCACACACCGCTCACACATCACATGTGTACTATTACACACACTACATACCATTTAGACCAACGTTCACACGTTTGTGCCTATACCAAGAAAAAACACATTTACACAGCAACAAGCTTATGTAGAGTCACATTTACACGACAGCTGGACTCACCTGCACACGCATACACAAACACACACACACACACACATACTCCTGCGCACCCAGGCACACCCCTGCGCGTGCTTTTTGTACCAGCTTGCGCCCTTGGGTGCCCGCGGACTGGCTCCGTCCCGAATGGCAGGTCAGGAGTGGGGAGGACTAGAGGGAGACAGCCTGGTGGGGGTCGAGGACTTTGGCCGTGGGACCTGGGCCTCCTTGGGGATTCTTGTCTGTGCAGATGTCCCCGAGTTTCCCTTGGGGCCTGAATGCACTCGCGCCCTTCACCCCGCGGACGCTGCACCGGAGTTGGGACCTCCCCAGGGATCCTCACCCACTAGACCAGAGCCCGCTGCAAGGACTGGGCGGCGGGTTCCACTCACCCGGCCACCAGACACTCGCCCACGTGCCCCTAAGGGGGTGGGTGAGACGCCTTCGCGTGGCCGCGGGAGTGGAGGTAGGATAGATAGGGAAGAAAAGGGGATCCGACCCGAGTAACCCCCGTCCCCGCCCCAGTTGGGCTGCCCGGGCCAGGGAGGACGTCGTAGAGGGCGGGAGTGATTGTCGCCTTCTACAAAGCCAGTGAGAGCTTTTAGTGCTCCCCAGATTTACATTAATGCGAATCTCCGCTTGGTCCGCAGTCTGGAAACGGTGCTTGCCGAGAGGCCGACACTCTGCAATCCTAATTAGTGATTTTTGTCCCCTTGTTACTGGGCTCAGCATCTCATGCAAATGAACTCTTCATTTCAGCCACATTACCCCAGCTCCAGAATTAACTGACTCTTATCTTTAATGATATGCTGCTGAAGTTCTCCGAGCCCGGCTAGCTTTTTATCTTGATTACTCTAATCAATAAGAAATGATAGAGTAGAATTATAAACTCTATTGGCTTTTAAATGTTGCCGACAAGCCCTCTAGATGCCATTCCTGTTCATTGTTATTTATTAAAATGATCCTCAGCCTAACAGCGGATGCAAATAGGCGAACAAGAAGAATTAGCCTTGGGACTCCTCCCAGCCAGCCCCTGACTCCATTGCCCCCCAATCCCAAGGGAAGACTCCTTACTGTTGGGGCTTGAAAAGGTGGAAAATAAAGATATTTAAAAGTGTTTAAAAGAAATTTGCTCTTGTAAAGGGGCCAGAGAAATAGAAAGACAATTTTTAAAACACCAGGCCCCCACCCCATCCAGGTAGTCTTAAAGGTGGAAGCCTCGAAAAAGGCACTTTGAGACACAGAGCCTCATGTTCTGGGAATAACTCTCTCTCTCTTTCTCTGTCTCTTTCTCTCTCTCTCTCTCTCTCTCTCTCACACACACACACACACACACACACACACACACACACACCCCTTCCACCCCACCCCTTTCTGCATACCAGTATCTATAGGCTTTCGTGTGTGTATGTGTAATTTCAGACCGACCTTGGGAAATGCAATTTCCCTCACATAGTTCTCTTGGGTGAAAAATGGTGCTTGAGTCCCTTCGAGTGTGCAGAAGCAGCCCTCGTTGACCAAAGCGTCAGGGCGCCTCCAGTGGACAGTTTTGGGTTCCTCGACGTCCAGCACCAGGTGGACTGAGACCTAGAACCTATCTTCTGGCCTCAGGCAGTCCCGTCACCGACACCCGGCCAAGGTCCCGGGACCCCACAACCCTCCCGGGTCACACCTTTCTCGCAGGCCCAATTTGAGAGGCATTGTGTTTCCCAAGAAGTCAAAATAGAGGGTGTGGGACATTTCTTCTTTCCTTTGCTCATAGAGAGTGAAAGGTGTTTTGTCGTGAGGTATGTCGGAAAAGGCTATGAAACATCCCTCCTCACCCTCGATCAGTGCATTACCCGGCCTTCGCCCCCACCTCGGCTCTGAGTTTCGTCTCGGGTAGAGTGGGAACTTTCAGGTCGCCCCGTGAGGGCCAGGGGCTGCTGAGAACACCTGGCCGTCATCTCTCATTAGAATCATGTACGAATTTCACTAGCTTTCGTTTAGATCCAATGCAAACCTATTAAGAGCCTACTCTGCATTAGGCACTTTGTCTGGGGCGCAGCCCAGGCTCTGAGGCTTAGGGGACCTTTTCCCTGGCTTGCTTGAGCCTCCGCCCCCTCGGAGCTTTGAATGGGTCCTCAAAATCCCCGGCATCCAAAGCCCTGAAAGCGCGCAACCCGGAGGCGAGCACACACAAACACACACGCGCCACAACTCGGCCTGCCCCTGTCCTGCAACCCTGCGGGCGCACGACTGTCTGTCTAGATCCTTTTACGCACAGCCCTACTCGCCCACCGCTAGGCGACCCGTCCTCAAGCAGCCGCGCCGTCCCTCTAGCCCTCGTAGCTGCGATTTCCGTTCTTTTCTCCCCTTATCCCTCAGCACAGCCCAGTGAGCAACTTGGCCCTCTGGCCTCGCCAGACGGGGAAGCTAAGAGCTAGGGTTCCCCAAGGCTCCTAGCTGCTGAGCGGGTACCGGCAACCAGCAACCCGCCGACGCAAAGGCGAGAGGCTGCGTGCGCGCTGGGAGCGGAAGGGGCTGGAACGCAGACTCAAGTCCTTGCCAAGGCCGCGGTCGATCCGTGGAAAGAGAAGTTGGAAATCGCAGGCAGGCTAAGCCTTTTTTTTTTTTTTAATGACACGTGGGGGGAAGGGCTGAATGTATGAAAATCATGTAAAATTTCTGTTCTTAGCAACATCCTTGTTATTAGGAATGATGACTAAACCGCCAGGATTATTCTGGACTGTAAGTTATCAAGAGCCCACTAATTTCACATTAAAGCCCATTGACTGCAACGGCGTGATTGAAGGGTTTTTAACAATTAACATAATCAGAAAATGAGCTGAGATAATTTTTATTCAACTCATTACTTTTTAATCATGTATTTCTTTTAATTAATATCTTCTCCGTGAACATAACACAAAGCGGAGCCCCAGTGCTGGCCCAAGCCAGCCTGCGGGACTGAATTTGACACAGCCAAACATTTCACCAGCAGCATTCATTGCATCTCTATTGTGGTGTGGGCGAAATAGAAAAATCTTGTCCAAAAGTCACCATGTTGTTTTGAAACACAATTTTAAAAACAGGGGAGGGCGTTGGGAGCGCACAAGCCATACGCTTTCAATTCGACTTGACTTTCATATTTGGGCGCCTCTCTTGGTTTGCAGCCAGAGGGACATAAATGGGAAGAAACAGAAGAAGAGGAAGAAAAGGCTTTTGGAGATGAATGTCCCATCCTGGCTTCGCAGGCGAGTGGGCTTTGGTTGTTTGCGCCTAGTACACTGGCTGGCTGGTGGGACAGCTGGAGGCACAGACCTCGGCCTTTGAGTCTTGGCCCCGCGGACAAACCTGGCCTAGACCGTCAGGGCTGAGACGCTCAGGCCCGTCCACCACCACCACCACGCCACCTCCTGGGCTCTGACCCAAGCAGGCGAAGTCCCTCGGCTCCCCAAGCCCGCCTGGAAGTGGGCGGTGATTGCGGGACCCTCTTTGGGCAGGATTCTGGATTACCGCTGCCGTGCGCACTACCTAGGCATTTGCATTGCAGCCTGGATGCCGTGACCTTGCCTGTCCCCCAGCACTTCCTAGTATTCCCAACCCGGGAGACTTGCTCCTATTCAAATGCCTCACATGTGGTGGAGAACGAGCATTTATCTGTGGCACAGGGGGTTCCAGCCTCCCCCATGGAGTGTCCAGTCTCCACTCGGGCGACTCCGACCCCGAGGCGCATCTCGCCCTTGGGCTGACCACGGCATCTCCCACACCTCCCAAAAAAGGCTGTTTCTGGACTAAGATCTCTGGCAGTAGGGGAGCCGCATCAGTCTCGGAAAAAAGAAACAAAGCCGACCCCTGGTGGAAGAAAACGAAAGTTTAAGAATATAAGGTTTGAGGGAATCGCATGCTTAAACTTCTGTACAAGAAAGAGTGGGGAAGAAAGAGGGAGTAGAGGGGAAGGAAAGGATAAATAACGAAAAGGAAAATTGGAAGACAGAGAACAGGAGAGGCTATATAGCAGATGGAATTCAGGTGGAGAAAGCTGGGAGGAATGAGGCTCAGAGAGACTGACCTTTTATGCCTTGATCAAGCTTGTTTCCTTAATCCTTGTGGCCTGGCCAGTGTCAGGGGTCAGGCAAGGACACCTAATTTTCAATTTCTCTCCAGTGTAAGTCTGGAAGTTCTGTGATTACAGAGGGCAGATCGAGGTTTCTGTTGGACATTGCAACTACTGTCTGCCTGCCCTAGAGAGCATCCAGAATCTTTCTTCTCTTTTTTCCAAACAAACCTCTACCTCCCATCTTGACCTCTCAGTCTTCTACAGGTGATGGCAACTAAGACAAAACTCCAATCTATAATGGCTAGAATACAAGCCCCAATCCTCTCTGGTATTTATCTGTTATTCAATTTTAGCAGGGAACATCTGGGGCACAGGTTGGAGCCCAAGGGATAGAGGAATTTCAGACACTAGAGCAAAACAGTGAAGGAAGGGCTGGGTGCAGTGGCTTATACCTGTAATCCCAACACTCTGGGAAGCCAAGGCGGGTGGGTCACCTGAGGTCAAGAGTTTGAGACCAACCTGGCCAACATGGTGAAACCCTGTCTCTGCTAAAAATACAAAAAAGAAAAAAAAAGTTAGCTAAATTAGCTGGGCGTGGTGGCAAGCACCTGTAGTCCCAGCTACTTGGGAGGCTGAGGCGGGAGAATCTCTTGAACCCAGGAAGTGGAGGCTGCAGTGAGCTGAGATGCACCACGGCATTCCAACCTGGGTGACAGAGTGACACTCCATCTCAAAAAAACAAAACAAAACAAAAACAAGGAAGAACCACTGTCCTGAAGCCTCTGCTGATGTCCAGAGCCAAGCAGTTAAAAAGAAAAAAGGAAAGAAAAAGTGACATCAGAGATAAGATCTCACTGGTGAGCGTATCACTGTCTACCTGGAGTGAGCACTTTGGGTTAATCAAGGAAGAGCAAAGGTGGCATTAGTGTGGCTGAGCTCCTTCTAAAGCCTCTCTTGAATCCACAATCACTATGTGCCTCCGTGTTTGCTCCCTCATCTTTCTACCTTCTCTCCCATACTCTCCTATGTGTACTGATATTCCACAGGGACTTCTTTCAAACCTCCTATTTCTTCTGCATCCATGTCAAGCCACAAGCATTTTCTTTTCTTGGAAACCACCCTAATCCATTCATTTATTGGAGGCTTACCCATCTTTAAGGTAAAGCTCAAATGCCACTCTTCCAAAAACGACTTCCTTGTCATTTCTTCCACCTTTAAACTCTCCTCATATCATAACTAACTTTTCCTTCAATTTTCTTCTTATATCATAACTACCTCATAAGGCAGTTAATTGTATACATCTTTTATTTTTTCTACTAGTTTGTAAGTACCTGCAGCTAGTATAGGCCATGGCACTGAATCTAGGACTTTGCCCTTGCCCTGCATCAGTTCTCAGCAAATGTTTGTTGAATTGTTGACCATTTTCTTTTTATTTATTTATTTTTGAGACAGAGTGTCACTCTGTTGCCCAGGCTGGGGGGCAGTGGCACGATCTCGGCTCACTGCAACCTCTGCCTCCCGGGTTCAAACGATTCTCCTGCCTCAGCCTCCAGAGTAGCTGGAACTACAGGCATGCACCACCACACCCTGCTAATTTTAGTATTTTTAAGTAGAGATGGGGTTTCACCATGTTAACCAGGCTGGTCTCAAACTCCTGGCCTCAAGTGTTCCACCTGCGTCAGCCTCCCAAAGTGCTGGGATTACAGGTGTGGGCCACCGTGCCCGGCCTTGTTGACTATTTTCTAAGATTCAGAGTTTGAGTTTATAACCTAGGCTAGAAGCAGGGAGGTTTTGGGCTGGTTTTTCTGTAATCTCTGGTGTGAACCACAGCCACTCCTTGGCAACTGAGAACAGCCCTTGCTGATGGGTGTGATTCAAGGATGCTGTTGGAGGTTGTGTCTGAGTATTATAGGAAGGACAACTGTATGCTGTGCTTGTGTCTCTCTCATGTAAGTGCAAAACATGAGTGGGGCTGGAAAGAGGGCAAGACATGCAGAGTACATGACTTAGGCTTGAGATGAGAAATACCAGGTCAACAAAGAGAACACTGGCAAATGAATCAGAGCCAGAGGCAGAGCTATGGCGACCCGACTTTGGCCCAGGGCACTCTCCCCAGCCCACTCTGTCTTATCTTTAAGGCTTTCCTGAACCCTCATTAGCTGGCATCCTTTTCAGTCTTTCCTGTTCATCAGAGCATCGTGACACATCAGCTCATCCTAGTATTTTAACCACTGTCCTGAAAACACCCATGGTGGTTCCGGCTAATTTAAAAGGTGATTTCCTGATTTCTTTTTTCCATTTTGGACTGAGTCTAAACAGTACAAAGCAGAGAGAAGAGTGTACAATTATCAAAGCATTTTTCTTTTTCTTTTTCTTTTTCTTTTTTTGGATACAGTCCCAGTCTGTCACCCAGGCTGGAGTGCAGTGGCTCAATCTCTGCTCAGCTCACTGCAACCCCTGCCTCTCAGGCTCAAGAGATCCTCCCACTTCAGCCTCCCAAGTAGCTGGGACTTCAGGTGTGTGTCACCAAGCCCAACTAATTTTTGCAGAGACAGGGTTTCATTATGTTGCCCAGGCTGGTCTTGAACTCCTGGGCTCAAGCAATCCTCTTGCCTCAGCCTCCCAAAATGCTGGGATTACAGGCATGAGCCACCACACCCAGCCCCAAAGCACTTTTTGTTTTGAGACAGCCAAAGTGCATGATTCAGCTCTGAATATACACTTAATCAACTGAATTGTGTACCCCACTCTCTCTGTCACCCGATGACGGTCTCATTTTTCTTTGCTTTATTCACTACAGATACAAGCTTGCTCTTTAGGAGAAATTTTTTGGGTATTCTCAGAGTGTATGAGGAAAAGCTTAGTACTTTGAATGGTTTGTTGGGACTCCATCATCCCTTTGGTAACAAACTCTGAAAATCCACTCATGTTATATTGAGATAAAAAGAAAAATGAACACAAATTAGTATTCAATGCAAAGTATCAAAACTTAATATGCTGCATTATATAGCACATGAAATCTTTCTTTTTCATAACTTTTATAAAGAAAAATTTCCACTATACACAAAAATAGAGTATAATAACTCCCTGTAAATCCATCTCCAAGCTTTAATAACCGTCATATTTTGCCTTTTTTTTTTTTTTGAGATGGAGTTTTGCTCTTCTTGCCCAGGCTGCAGGACAATGGTGTGATCTCGACTCACTGCAACCTCCACCTCCCTGGTTCAAGCAAGTCTCCTATCTCAGCCTCCTGAGTAGCTGGGGTTACAGGCATGCGCTGCCATGCCCAGCTAATTTTGTATTTTTAGTAGAAACGAGGTTTTACCATGTTGGTCAGGCTGGTCTCGAACTCCTGAACTCAACTGATCCACCCGCCTCGGCCTCCCAAAGTGCTGGGATTACAGGCGTGAGCCACCACACCCTGCCATATTTTGCTTTCTTGTTTCATACCTCCCTTCTGGTTTGGCTAGGGTATTTTAAGGTGAATTCCACACATCAATGTCATTTAAAGGTGAATTTTATTTTTCTCACACAAGAAGGCCAGAAATTAGTAGTTGCTGGCTTTGCTTTAGCAACTTGGTGATGACAGGGCACATGTTATTTCTTAGCTTTGTCCACTTGGTCTCAAGATGGCCACTGCCTCTCCAACCACCATGTCTGCTTTCAAGGCAGAAAAGGGCTGTGCCAGCCACCTCTGTCCCTTTTAATAAGAAAACATGTGCTTTATCAGAAGTCCCCCTAGCAGAATTCTCTTGGGTTAGAACTGGCTCATGTGGCATCCTGAGCTGCTAGAGAGGCTGGGAAAACAGTATTTGGCTTTTAAACCTCTATATTGGAGCCAAAAAGGGGGTTGGACTTAAGTGAAATGCGTATCCCCCTACACCAATGTCATCTGTCTTTGCCTTCTGACATATCCTGTCTCCTACACTTTCATAAATTTCTAGCCATACATTCTGTAGGACAAATGGAAAGGAATAAGGGTGTCCATAAACCACTTTGAATGACCAAACAGATGGCAATCAGACAGAGATTGCCTCCAACCTCTAGGAGCGAATGAGTACCTTGGATGCTAAGTACTGTGTTCTGACTGTGTTCCTCAAAATTCATATGTTGAAACTTAATTGCCAATGTGATGGCATTAAGAGGTGGGGGCCTTTAGGAGGTTACTATGTCATGAGGACAGAGCCCTCACGGATGGGATGAGGGCCCTTATAAAGGGGCTTGAGGAAATGGGTTTGCTCTCTACTGCTCTTCCACCATGTGAGTACACAGCATTTGTCCCCTCTTTGCCCTTCTGTTCCTTCTGCCATGTAAGGATACCTCGATGGCATCATCTCTGAGGAATATGCCTTCACCAGCCTCCAAACCTGCCAGTGCCTTGATCTTGGACTTCCCAGCCTCTAGAACTATGTGAAAATAAATTTCTATTGTTTATAAATTACCCCATCTCAGGCATTTTCTTATAGAAGCACAAACAAACTGAGACACTAAGGTAGATAAAGTTTTGTGTGAGTGTGTGTGTGTGTGTGTGTGTGTGTGTATTTTGAGACAGGGTCTCCCTCTGTCACCCATGCTGGAGTGCAGTGGCACAATCTCAGCTCACTGCAGCCTTGACCTACCAGTTCAAGCAATCCTCCCACCTCAGTCTCTCAAGTAGCTGGGACTACAGGCTTGTGCCACCACACCTGGCTAACTTTTAAAATTTTTATTTTTTAGTAGAGATGGGGTTCTCCCTATGTTGCTCAAGCTAGTTTTGAATTCCTGGGCTCAAGTGATCCTCCCACCTTGGCCTCCCAAAGTGTTGGGATTATAGGCATGAGTCACTGCACCTGGCCTAAAGTTGGGTTTTGAGTTATCTGACAATTCTATGTTGGTTTAAGGATATTAGAGGACATTAATGATACAAGAGTGGAGTTGGGGTGAGAGTGAGAGGCCAGGGCAGATTTGCAGAAACAAAATAGAAGCCAGGGTATCATGAGTCAGAAAGTAGCCCTGACATCAAGAGATTTTCACTTTAGCAGGATTTCTAGCTACCTCTGTTCAATATCTCCCACATATGATTTTTGAATGTTTGAAACTCCCCCTTACAGTGGACAAATTGTATCATAGTTAGCAATAATGTTAAAATTTAAATAGTTCTGGAAAATTAACCTTAACTTACTTTTTTTTTTCCAAAATATAAAGGGCTGATAGGAAAAATAATGTCATTCTTATTTAAATAAAGTTCAGGCCAGATGCGGTGGCTCATGCCTGTAGTCCCAGCACTTTGGGAGGCCGAAGTGTGAGGATCGCTTGAGCCTAGGAGTTCGAGATCTGCCTGGGCAACACAGGGAGACCTTGTCCCTACAAAAAACCATTTTTTTAATATTAATAAATAAAGTTCAGATTCTTCACTTCCAGGGGCCAAAAGTAAGAAATCAGTCCTTTTGTGTCCTGTAGCACAGCAGAGTTCTAGTTAGAATATTAAACAAATGGGGCTGAGCACCGTGGCTCACGCCTGTAATCCTAGCACTTTGGGAGGCTGAGGTGGGTGGGTCACTTGAGGCCAGGAGTTCAAGACTAGCCTGGACAACATGGTGAAATCCCATCTCTACTAAAAATACAAAAATTAGCCAGGTGTCGTGGTGGGTGCCTGTAATCCCAGCTACTTGGGAGGCTGAGTCAGGAGAATCTCTTGAACCCAGGAGGCAGAGGTTGCAGTGAGCTGCGATCATGCCACTGCACTCCATCCTGGGCGACAGAGTGAGACTCCATCTCCAAAAACAAACAAACAACAAAAAACCAAAGACTTTGCTGGAGGCTAAATAGCAAAAGGCATAATAAAAGTGAAACAAACAGTCATAGATAATCCAGTTTCTGGTTTTTTTCTTTAAAAAAAATTTTTTTCTTGATTTAATAATCCAGTTTTTCAGACACAGCTTATACTCCATGATTAAAGACCCATGCCATTATTCAGGGAACCCAGGGAAAGATCTTTTGAAGGTATGCCCCTTTAGATTCTGGCTAGAGTTCTGGTTCCCTGTCTGATCTCTCACAACTTACTCACATGACTGACTCCCCAAATGACCTCCCTCTTCAGCTGAGAGGTGTATTCACAAGACTGGGGCCTGACTATGACCTTTGCAGGATATTCATATCAGAATAAAAGACACCATCCCCACAGCCTCAACATTCATACACAACAGGGAAAGGGAATCGCAGCTGGGGGCTGGCAAGAGGTCCAGTGCAATAGGAAAGTAATGTCCATTCAAGAACCAATATTAGCTCCTCTGAGTGGGAAAGGATTCTTCTGAAGAAAAGAAGTAAGGCAGAACTACAAAATGTGGAAATGAGCAGAAGGCTAAGTCTAGGGTCAGAAAAACATAACTCATCTTTTCCAAACAGGTAGTAAGAAGTTCATCACAATAACAGTCAAAGTTAGCATTACTTTATGAGAGCTCCAGGCCCTATGCTTCTGAAAGCCCTAGGGAGAGTTGCATGTTGTTCCTAGAACTAGTCCTGTGGCAATCCTGGGGTGTTGACCCTTTTCCTCTGATGCACTCTGGTGACATATCCCACGGCTGCCTGCCAAAGTCCCCATGCTGAGCACTTCTAGTCTGTGTGCACAGCCTAGCTGTGCAAGGCCCCTGATGCCACCATTAGAGCACATTGCTGGCCTTTCTCCCATCAATGACAAGTCCCTAATGCTGCCTGTAGAGTTGTTGATATTGCCTCTGGGGATATTGATGCCTCTTAACTTACTATAATTTTTAAAACAAAACAACATCTTTTAGTTCCTGCTGGTTCCACTGCAGCCCCTTTGCTCGAAACAGGAGAAATGGAAGGCGGTTGGCCTTGGGAAGGGAGTCCATGTCAGACTTCCTGGCGTGCTCAAAATCATCTCTCTCCTCTACCCAGCCCTTTGTCTTTGAACCAAATGTCAAGTCCCTGCCCCTGGGAAGCCATTATTACCCCAGCAAGCCCCTGGGCTTCTCAAGTTCCAGTCCTCTAGAGGGCCGCCTCCCCTCCAGGACCTTTCCTTGCTCCTATGTAAATCCCTGTGCCTACATCTGCTATGTGTCCGCTGGGGCCTTTGTTATGTATGCCATCTGCTTCACTGCTTTTCTATTTTTCTGCTACCTTATATGTCCTCAGAAAAAGTTAATACTAAGCCTGAAAAATATAGTCCCACACATGTAAAAACCAAGGAAAAAAGCAATACGTGAAATAGTATCGAGAACTTCATCAAAACTGTGTGTAAGCAACAACATTCATTTAAAATGTTTTAAATTATCACCGAATTTAAAAATTATAATACCAATAGAACATTGTATCTTGAGATTGCCTTAACATCATTTGCCTCTCTTATTTGATAAGTAAACTGAGGCTCAGAGAGATTAAATGACTAGTCTAGAGTCACAGAGTTGATCAGTCAAAGGACTAAATTAAGTGAAACTTTCACAAAGTGGAATATCTGAATGGGAACTTATATATCTATATAGCATTAGCGTACATATTCTAATTTGAGGAGGTAAAAAATTCTTTAGTAATCTTGAGCTTTAGCTGTGAACTAAACTGAATTTCAGTTTGAACATTGTCTTCCCACTCCCAACCCTTACCACATCAGCACAATCTTTAAATTCTTTAAAGGTCAAGCAAGTGATAATCACAAAGGAATGGAGTGCTTCCAATTTTACTCTAGCAGGCAATGCAATTTTTATTCATTAGCTTATACAGTTTATATGCAGTTTACCATACTGTTAGTGGATGTCTCTGGAATGTGAGTGCTGCCTGTGGGACTTTGGAACACAGAGATGGCTATAACCAAATAACAGTCAATGAAGCAGAGATTTGTAATTATTTGGTTCATTTGAACCCTTAGGTAGCTTATTTGAGTAACTTAGAGTCCAAAGCCTAGATTTTCTCATGTTAATCAATCTAGCTTTATTTATTTATTTATTTATTTATTTATTTATTTTTGAGACAGAATTTTGTTGCCCAGGCTGGAGTGCAATGGTGTGATCTCAGCTCACTGCAACCTCCACCTCCCGGGTTCAAGTGATTCTCCTGCCTCAGCCTCCCAAGTAGCTGGGATTACAGGCATACACCACCACGCCCGGCTAATTTTGCATATTTAGTAGAGATGGGGTTTCACTATGTTGGTCAGACTGGTCTCAAACTTCTGACCTCAAGTGATCCACCCACCTTGGCCTCCCAAATCCAGTTCTTAACATAGATACACAGTGGGTACTTAATTAATGCTTAATGATGAGGGTGATAACTAACATTTTATAGCATGGTCCTCTCCATCAAATCTTTTTACACACAAAGTACTACTAATAATAAAAGCTTCATTGTATGTTGTATAGTTTCAGGCTGAATAAAAATGCTGGGAGATTAGCCTGGCATGCTGGCTCACGCCTGTAATCCCAGCACTTTGGGAGGCCGAGGGGAGAGAATCACTTGAGCCCAAGAGTTTGACACCAGCCTGGGCAACATAAGGAGACCTCATCTCTACAAAAAATATAAAAATTAGCTGGGTGTGGTTGTGAGTGACTGTGGTCTCAGCTACTCCTCAGGCTGAGGTGGGAGGATCACTTGAGGCAAAACTGACTTTGCAGATTGGGAAATTGGATGGTAGGCAGACAAATCAATGGTTTTCACAATTGGTCTGAGTAGTACAGAGGCATGAGAGAGGAGGTGGCTGGGTTGAGCAGGATCCTAGTTTAGGCTGTAAGAGGTTCTTACCTCCTATTTCCTCTTTCCAGAGCTCCTACTTTGTCTTCATGCTGAGCAGCAAAGCTGGGAGCAACAGAGTGAGACCCTATCTCAAAAAAAATAATAATAATAAGGCCGGGCGCAGTGGCTCATGTCTGTAATCCCAGCACTTTGGGAGGCCGAGGCAGGCGGATCACGAGGTCAGGCGATCGAGACCATCCTGGCTAACACAGTGAAACCCTGTCTCTACTAAAAATACAAAAAAAATTAGCTGGGCGTGGTGGCGGGCGCCTGTAGTCCCAGCTGCTGGGGAGGCTGAGGCAGGAGAATGGCGTGAACCCAGGAGGCGGAGCTTGCAGTGAGCCGAGATGGTGCCACTGCACTCCAGCCTGGGCGACAGAGCGAGACTCCGTCTCAAAAAAAAAAAAAAAAAAAAACAAAGCTGAGAGACCACTGTAAGCATTCTTTCTCTAGCTCAATCTTCAATTTCTTTTTTTAAAATTTGATGACCTATGAAGGACAGGATACAAAAATTTTGTGCCTTTTTAAGAGATATAAACAGGTTGTGATAATTTTTCTTTTTGAAAATATTAGGACAAGTATCAAGAGGAAATGGGCATGCCAAGGTAGGGTCAATTTGGGATCCCCTGCCATGAAATTAGATTTCCTAGTCTAGCCAGGTGCGGTGGCTCATGCCTGCAATCCCAGCACTTTAGGAGGCCAAAGCAGATGGATCACCTGAGGTCAGGAGTTCGAGACCAGCCTGGCCAACATGGTGAAACCCTGTCTCTACTAAAAATACAAAAATTAGCTGGTCGTGGTGGCGGGTGCCTGTAATCTCAGCTCCTCAGGAGGCTGAGGCAGGAGAATTGCTTGAACCCAAGAGGCGGAGGTTGCAGTGAGCCGAGATCGCGCCATTGCACTCCAGCCTGGGTGACAAGAGAGAAACTCTGTCTCAAAAAAAAAAAAAAAAAATTTCCTAGTCTAGAAAAGTGAGTGTGCACAGGCCTGTGGTATAAGTTTATTGACTCAGTGACCATGCAAGGAAAGTGCATGTTGGATGTATGAAAATGGATATATTTGGATATATGTAGGCATTAGCTGCCTACAAGCCTACGAACAGAGAGAAAGTGAACTTGTTTCTTTTTTTCTTTTTATTATGAAAAATTTAAAACATTACAAAGAGTAAGGACATAATATGATAAACACCCATATATCAATCACTTATGTGTAACAATTGTTAGTATTTTGCCTCATTTGCTTAATTTTTTTTTTGCTAAAGTATTTTGAAGAAAATACATGCTGTATACATCCCTAAAAGTTAAGAACAATTTGTCTACACAGCCTCAATGCCTTATCACACCTGACAAAATTAGCAAATGTTCTCTAATATTCTCTAATATCTACTTTACAAAATAAGCTTCACATGGTCATTTCATGGGTAAATGGAATTATGAACATTAAGTAGAGAAACCCATTCTCTAGCGACTGATATTCATCTTTATTGTCCACAGAGGTAGCTTGGTGTTATGAACAGCATTCTAGGGCTGAGGACAGCTGGGTTCTATTTTTGGGTCTGCCACTTACATATTGCTTAATTGCTCTTTGTCTCTTGCTCGTAAACAAAGAGGATGGACCAGTATTTGAAGAGCTGATAACCTGTAGGCCTAAAGATTATTTGGCTGTATTTTCACACATTATTGGGATTGTTCAGGGATGATGCAGGAAGAAATTGTTCTATCATAGTCGCAAACATTATTTCTATCTAAGGTAGCATTTTTTCCCTACAAGAATACACTTGTTTCACTATCTCCTTATTCTTTTCTTCTATGATGCTACTTAGTTGGGTTAAAATGATGGTGTCACTGTGGCTACCCCTTACAAGAAACTGAACCAGAAGATTTTTGGACTTTCCCAGAGTGACACAAGGAAGGAGATGAATGCCTCTAGGTTTTTAGTTCTTGACCAGCGTGATGGCCAGCTTTAAGTATTAACTTGGCTAAGATATAGCAGTACCCAGGTATTTAATCAAACAGTAATCTAGATATTGCCATGAAGGTATTTTGTAGATGTGGTTCACATGTACAATCAGTTGACTTTACATCAGAGAGATGACTCTCAATAGGTAGGGGGTCCTCATCTAATCAGTGAAGGACTTAAGAGCAAAAACAGGTTTCTTGAGAAGAAATTCTGCCTCAAGACTGCAACATCAACTCCTGCCTGAGTTTCCGGCCTGCTGGCCTGCCCCACAAATTTCAGACTAGCCAGCTGCCACAATTGTGTGAGGCAATGCCTTTATTTATTCCATAAAGAGATCATCTAATATATACAGTATATATCCGATTGGTTCTGTTTCTCCAGAGAACCCTAACTGATACAATCTGCTTTATAGACCAGAATAATTTTGAGCATATGTATGGTATATATTGCAAATTAGTTTGGCTTCCTCTCAGAATTTTATTAGTGTGGAATTTTAACTCTTTAGATACATGCTGTTTTGAAATCTAACTGTTTAATATCTAAGAAGAAAAACATTGAGCAAAAACAATACATCACAGATGGCAATGGTTTATTCAAAAGGAGAATAATGAATGCATAGCACTGGAGAAGCACCTGAAACTCCCTGGAATCACCTCCTAAATAAACTGCCTGAGCACAAGTCTTTAGTTCAAGCTCTGTTTTTTGGAAGCATCTAGGTTGAGACAATGACAGAAATTTACTATCAAGGAATGGCTTCAGGCTGTGTGCAATGTCTCACGCCACTAATCTCAGCACTTTGGGAGGCCAAGGTGGGAGGATCACTTAGGCTATGAGTTTGAGATCAGTCTGGGCAACATAGCAAACCCTATCTCTACAAAGAAACAAAATTAGAAAAAAAAAAAATTAGCCTGGCATGGTGACACGTGCCTGTAGTCCTAGTTTCTCAGCTACTCAGGAAGCTGAGGTAGGAGGGTCACTTGAAGCCAGGAGTTCAAGGCTGCAATGAGCTAGATAGTGCTACTGCACTCCAGCCTGGGCAACAAAGACCCTGTCTCTTTAAAAAAAAAAAAAAAAAAAAAGGGTGTGGGGGCGGGTGGGGAATGCCCTGGCCTCAAGAAGCAATTGGACCTGTTCATTAGAAATAATTCAAAATTAATTACTTCAAAATCATTTTTGAACAACAATGTTTTTCAAACATTAGTTTGGAGCTCTTTATATAAAGAAATCTTATTCAGAAATCCAGTGTACAAACAAAGAGAACTGGGCTTCCACTTGTATCCTTCTTCCAGAAAGTGCCTAAAATGTATTTGTGTTAGCGTGCTAGGGTGCCATAACAAAGTAGCACAGACTGCAGGGGGTTTACACAGCAAATGTGTTGTCTTACAGTTCTGGGGGTAGAAGCCTGAGATCAAGGTGTCAGCAGGGCTGGTTTCTTCTGCAGGCTGTGAGGGAAGTATCTGTTCCAGGCTTGTCTCCTTGGCTTGTGCATGGCCACCTTCTCTCCTGTGTCTCCTTACCTTGTCTTTCCTCTATCTATCCCTGAATCCAACTATCACCATTTTATAAAGACACCAGTCACATTGGATTAGAGCCCACTCTAATTGACTTCATTTTAACTTGATTACATCTTTAAAGGCTATCTCCAAATAAGGTTACATTCTGAGGTACTGGGGGTTAGGACTTCAATATATGAATTTGGGAGGGGACACAGTTCAACTCATAATAGTATTTGAACACTTTCAGATCACAGTTTGAAAACCACAATTCTCAGTTGGATAATTTTAAACAACTCCACCCATCGGATTAACATTTCGATTAAAGAGGGGAACTTTATTAAGATCCTTAGGGTAACTGTACTTCTCAAACTTAAGCATTCTACATGAACAATATGAACTTTTTTGAATAGTGGAAGCAGTTTATATAGAAACTCCTGACCTCAAAATTCAATGGTTGTCTTGTGGTGTAGATCTGTTTGGGAAAAGTTTTGGCTAAGCCTACAAAGCCTTACTCTTTCATATCGTTTCTGCTATGCCTGGTTGCTGGAACAGCTGGGTCTCCTATTAATCAGTAATACAGAATGCCTGATTGCGCCCCTCCCTAAAGTTATGGTATAGGTTTATTCTGTGCCCCAAATAACTCCCAATTTTATCAGATTGGGACCTGACAAAACAAAATTTTAACAGAAGAAAAACTCAGAGAAAATATTAAAGGTTATTTTCAAATAAAAGAGTGAAAGAGGGAAATATTCTGAGCAGTTATTTTTTTAAAAGATTTTACAAAACCAAGAAGATAGTGCAGAGTTCCCATATACCACACACCATTTCCCCTGTTATTAACATCTTACATTAGTATAATACATGTATTACTATTAATATACCAGTTTATATGTTCTTATTAATTAAAGCCCACTATTTACTCAGGTTTCCTTTGTTCTATGAAATATTTTTTTTCTGTTACAGGATCCCGTCCAAGATGCCACATTACATCTGATTTTCTTGCCTCCTTAGGTTCCTCTTAACTGTGAGTTTCTCAGATTTTTCCTATTTTTGATGACCTTGACAGTTTTGATGAATATGACTCAAATATTTTGTGGGCTGTTCCTCTCTTGGGATTTATTTGATGTTTTGTGCATTATTAGACTGGAGTTACGGGTTTTTATGAGGGATATCACAAAGGTAAAGTGCCATTTTCATCACATTATATCAAGGGTACCTACTATTAACATGCTCTACCATTGTTGACATTGACCTTGATCACCTGGCTGAGGTGGTGTTTGTCAGATTTCTCCACCATAAAGCTACTCTTCTTTTCCCCCTCCTTTCCATACTGTACTCTTTGGAAGGAGGCCACTATAAATATTCCATGCTTAAAGAATGGGGAGCTGTATTCCACCTTCTTGAGGACAGAGCATCTACATAAATTATTTGGAATTCTTCTGCAAGGGAGATTTTTCTCCTCCCCCATTTATATATTCAATCATTTATATCAGTATGAACTCCTGAATGTTTATAATTTATGGTATAATTCAGTGTGGGTTGAGTATTCTGCTTGGGACCAGAAGTATTTTAGATTTTGGATTTTGGAATATTTGCATATACATAATGAGATATCTTGGAGATGGGGCCCAAGTCTAACACAAAATTCATTTGTGTTTCATATACACCTTATACACATAGCCGGAAGGCAATTTTACACAATATTTAAAAATAATTTTGTGCATGAGACAACGTTGTGTCAAGTACTTAGGTGTGGAAGTTTCTACTTGTGGCATCATGTCAGCACTCATAAAGTTTCGGACTTGGAGCATTTCAGATTAGGGATATTCAACTTGAACTATTTTATTTTATTGCTCAAATTGTTCCACCTCTCACCATTGGGAGCTCTTTCAGTTGGCTCCTGTGTCCTTTTGACATATTCCCACCAATGTAGGGTATGTTTACTTACTTGTTCAATTGCAGCATACATGTACAATAGTA
This sequence comes from Homo sapiens, assembly GCF_000001405.40. Lineage (NCBI taxonomy): Eukaryota > Metazoa > Chordata > Mammalia > Primates > Hominidae > Homo > Homo sapiens. Next base: position 108,099,280 of record NC_000006.12, on the reverse strand, counting down.
TCAGAATTGTTAACTTGTACCCCTGTGAGAAACGACATCAACCAGAGTATACTGCTCATGTAGAGTCCCTTTTGTCTTTAGTCTTTTTTTCTTTGCAATTTATTTATTTTTATTTATTTTTAATTTTTATATATTCAAGGGGTACATGTGCAAGTTTGTTACATGGGTATATTATGTAATGATGAGGTCTGGGCTTCTAGTGTACCCATCACCTAAACAGTGAGCATTGTACCCAATAGGTAATTGTTCGACCCTCCCCCTCTCCTATCCTCCCCTGTTTTGCTGTCCCCAGTGTCTATTATTTGTCTCTGCACCTCCGTGTATACCCATTGTTTAGCTCCCACTTAAAAGTGAAAACATGTGGTAGCTGATTTTCTGTTTCTGAGTTATTTCACTTAGGGTAATGGCCTCTGGCTTCATCCACATTGCCACAAAAGACATAATTTCATTCTTTTTTATGGGTGCATAGTATTCCATGGTGTGTATATACCACTTTTTTCTTTGTTTGTTTGTTTGTTTGTTTGTTTTTAGACAGAGTCTCACACTGTCGCCCCAGCTGGAGTCTGCAGTGCAGGGGCACGATCTCCGCTCACTGCAACCTCCACCTCCGCCTCCTGGGTTCAAGCCATTCTCCTGCCTCAGCCTCCTGAGTAGCTGGGATTACAGGCACCCGCCACCATGCCCAGCTAATTTTTGTATTTTTAGTAGAGACGGGGTTGCACCATGTTGGCCAGGCTGGTCTCAAACTCCCGACCTTGTGATTCGCCTGCCTCGGCCTCCCAAAGTGCTAGGATTACAGGCATGAGTCACCGTGCCCGGCCTATACCACATATTTTTAATCCAATCATCTGTTGATGGATATTTAGGTTGATTCCATGACTTTGCTATTGTGAATAGTGCTGCGATAAACATATGAATGCAGGTGTCTTTTTTTTTTTTTTGGTATAAAATCCAGATCCTGTACAATTTTTCTTTTTGGCAGGTATCTTTTTGATATAACTTTTTTTTTCTTTGGATAAGTACTCAGTAGTGGGTTTGCTGGGTTGAATGTTAGTTTTATTCTTAGTTCTTTGAGAAATTGTCATACAGTTTTCCATGGAGGATGTACTAATTTATATTCCTACCAACAGTGTATAAGCTTTCCCTATTCTCCACATGCTCACCAACATCTGTTATTTTTTGACATCTTAACAATAGCCATTCTGATTGGTGTTGAGATCATATCTCATTGTGGTTTTAGTTTGCATTTCTCTGATGATTAGTAATGTTGAGCATTTTTTTGTGTTTATTGGCTGCTTGTATATCTTCTTTAGAAAAATGTCTGTGTCTTTTGCCCACTTTTTAATTTTTTTTCTTGTTGAGCTGTTTGACTTTCTTATAGATTCTGGATATCCGTCCTTTGTTGGACACATAGTTTGCAAATATTTTCTCTCATTCTGTAGGTTGTTTGTTTACTCTGTTGACTATTTCTTTTGCAGTGCAGAAGGTTTTTAATTTAATTAAGTCCCATTTGTCTCTTTTTGATTTTGTTGCATTTGCTTTTGAGGTCATAGTCATAAATTATTTGCCTAGGCCATTGTCTAGAAGAGTTTTCCCTAGGTTTTCTTCTATGATTTTTACCATTTCAGGTCATACATTTAAGTCTTTAATCCATCTTGAGTTAAAAATTTTGTTTATGGTGAGAGATAGGGGTCCAGCTATATTCTTCTGCATATGGCACTCCAATTTTCCCAGCACCATTTATTGAATAGGGTGTCCATTCCCTATTGTATATTTTTGTTGATTTTGTCAAAGATCAGTTGGTTGTAGTATGTGGCTTTATTTCTGGATTCTCTTTCTGTTCCATTGATCTGTGTGTCTATTTTTGTACCAGTACCATGCTGTTTTGGTTACTATATCCCTGTAGAATAATTTGAAGTCAAGTAATGTGATGCCTCCAGCTTTGTTACTTGTTAATTTTTCTTTCTTTCTTTCTCTTTTTCTTCCTTCCTTCCTTCCTTCCTTCCTTTCTTTCCTTCTTTTTCTTTTTTTTTTTTTTTTTAGATAGGGTCTTGCTATGCCATCCAGGCTGGAGTGCAGTGGCGTGATCTTGGCTCACTGCAGCCTCAACCTCGCAGGCTCAAGTGATCCTCCCATCTCAGACTCCCAAGTAGCTTGTACTACCGGTGAGTGCCACCAAGCCCAGCTGTTTTTTTATGATTTTTGTAGATATGGGTTCCCACCATGTTGTCCAGGCTGGTCTCAAACTCCTGAGCTCTAGCGATCATCCTGCCTCAGCCTCCTAAAATGCTGAGATTACAGGTGTGGGCCACCACACCTGGCCTAGCTTTGTTTTTTTTTGTTTTTTTGCTTAGGATTGCTTTGGCTATTCAGGCTTTTGTGTGGTTCCATATGAATTTTAGGATTGGTTTTTCTAATTCTGTGAAAAGTTATATTGGTATTTTGATAGGAAATGCATTAAATCTGTAGATTGCTTCGGGCAGTATGGTCATTTTAGTGATATTAATTCTTCCAATCCATGACCATGTTTATCCATTTGTTTGTGTCATATGATTTCTTCCATTAGTGTTTTATGGTTCTTGAAGAGATATTTCATCTTGGTTAAGTGTATTCCTAGGTATTTCATTTTTTTTTTTTTTTTTTTTTGAGACGGAGTCTCGCTGTGTCACCCAGGCTGGAGTGCAGTGGCGGGATCTCCGCTCACTGCAAGCTCCGCCTCCCGGGTTCACGCCATTCTCCTGCCTCAGCCTCCCGAGTAGCTGGGACTACAGGCGCCCGCCACCACGCCCAGCTAATTTTTTGTATTTTTAGTAGAGACGGGGTTTCACCGTGGTCTCAATCTCCTGACCTCGTGATCCGCCCGCCTCAGCCTCCCAAAATGCTGGGATTACAAGCGTGAGCCACTTTGCCCGGCCCCTAGGTATTTTATTTTTATGTGTGGCTATTGTAAGTTGGAGTGACTTCTTTATTTTGTTCTCAAGTTGATCATTATTGGTGTATAGAAATGCTACTCACTTTTGCACGTTAATTGTGTATCCTGAAACTTTACTGAAATCATTTATCAAGTCTAGGAGTATTTTGGAGAAGTCTTGAGGTTTTCATGTCATCAATAAACAGAGATCATTTGACTTTCTCTTTTGCAATTTGGATGCCTTTTATTTCTTTCTTTTCCCCAATTGCTCTGGCTAGGACTTCCAGTAGTATGTTGACTAGGATGTATTTAGTCTTATAGATTCTACTCATTTCCAAAGTTACTTAGATCAGAACCCCCTCTACTGCCCACCCTCCTCAGTGAGGTTGTTTTGTATATTTATAATACAGTTTCATTTTCTTGTCACTGTATGCATTCTGTCCTGTTATCCTCCAACATCCTAAATGACTATTTTTTTACATTTGCCTAATATTAAAGTTCACCTTTTCTGCTAGAAACTTCTACAGTTTTCACAAATGCATAGTAATCATGTAGCCACCATTAGCGTATCAGACAGAATAGTTTCATCACTCCTCGAAATCCCCTGTACTTCACTTGTTCAGCCCTCCTTGCTCCTCACAAACCCCTGACAACCACAAATTTTTTTGTCTCTGCAGTTTTACCTTTTCAGAAATGCCATATAGTTAGAATCACATAGCATGTAGTATTTTTTTTTTCTTTTTCTTTTTCTTTCTTTTGAGACGGAATCTCGCTCTGTCTCCCAGGCTGGAGTGCAGTGGTGCAATCGTGGCTCACTGCAAGCTCTGCCTCCTGGGTTAATGCCATTCTCCTGCCTCAGCCTCCCAAGTGGCTGGGACTATAGGTGCCCGCCACCAAGCCCAGCTAATTTTTTTTTTAATTTATTTTTTTACTAGAGACAGGGTTTCACTGTGTTAGCCAGAATGGTCTCAATCTCCTGACCTCGTGATCTGCCCGCCTCGGCCTCCCAAAGTGCCCAAAGTGCTGGGATTTACAGGCGTGAGCCCCCGTGCCCGGCCAGCATGTAGTATTTTTAAACTGGCTTCTTTCATTTAGCAATATGCATTTGAGGTTTATCCCTATCTTTTATGGCTTGATATTTTTTTAATTTTCAAAAAATAGGCCATCATGTGGATATACCATAGTTTATGCACCTATTGAAGGACATCTTGGTTGCTTCAGTTTGAGAGTTATGAATAACACTAATGACATTGATTAAAACAGTGATAGAGTGGCACAGGAGCCTACACAAAATTGGAATAGGTCAGATATAGAAAATTATATAAAATAAAGGTCACATGTGCTGGTTCATACCACTTTGGGAGGCTGAGATAGGAGGATTGCTTGAGCTCAGGGGTTGGAGACTAGCCTGGGCAACATAGAGAGACCTCATCTCTACTAAAAATCACAAATATTAGCGAGGAATGTTGGTACATGCCTGTAGTCCCAGCTACTCACGAGGCTGAAGCAGGAAGATCATGAACCCAGGAGATCGAGGTTGCAGTGAGCTGTGATCATATACTGAACTCCAGCCTGGGCAACAGAGTGAGACCCTGTCTCAAAAAAAAAAATTATTGGCCAGGTGCCGTGGCTCACACTGTAATCCCAGCACTTTGGGAGGTCAAGGCGGGTGGATCACCTGAGGTCGGGAGTTCGAGACCAGCCTGACCAACATAGAGAAACCCCGTCTCTACTAAAAATACAAAATTAGCCGGGCGTTGTGGCGCATGCCTGTAATCCCAGCTACTTGGGAGGCTGAGGCAGGAGAATCGCTTGAACCTGGGAGGTGGAGGTTGCAGTGAGCCGAGATCGTGCCACTGCACTCCAGCCTGGGCAACAAGAGTGAAACTCTGTCTCAAGAAGAAAAAAAAATTTCACAAGGATATATTTTAAAATTAGTATATGGTAAAGTAGCAACTTAAATTATTGCATATATCATTTTCATTACATGTTGCCTGCCACTTACTCAGTGTTCTTCATGCATTCAAATGATTTATAATAACTAATCACCTATATTTAAATCACTTGGGTCTATCAAAAAAGGTATTACTTGTGATAATTTTTTAATTATGCAAATCCAAATGTTAGGCTTTAATTTTATGGCTCATTTCCACATAGTTTTATTCCTTTTCCATGGATGACATAGTTTTTTATGAGGGCCATCTCGATTTCCCCTTAGGAAAAACCCAGTATAACAGCATTTCTTTCATTTCACAATGAATGGTACAATTAAGATTTAATTAGAAGCACACTAGTAAGGGAATTGAAAGCTACTCCGAACCCGTAGATGAAATGTTACACTTTAAAATTGTTCACATGTTGCAACCCACAGCCTTAAAAGGCTAGCATGCGTAAACTTAATTTGAGATGGAGCTTTTTAAAACAACATGATTACTTGTTATATTGAATCTCTTCCTTGTCATGTGTCCACCAAAAAGCCTCATTTTATCTAAAAAAGAAAGGCTCACAGATGCTTCAAGGAAGAAAAGGGGAATTTTCAGCACATGTGCTTTACAAAGAACATCCTGAACAAGCATTCAAGGGTGAGGAGAAGACTTTACTCTCCTTAATACATGTCCTACCTACTTCTCCCACTTTTTTTTTTGTTTGTTTTTTTTTTTTTGAGATGGAGTCTCTCTCTGCCTCCCAGGCTGGAATGCAGTGGCGCTATCTCGGCTCACTGCAACCTCCGCCTCCCAGATTCAAGCAATTCTTCTGTCTCAGCCTCCTGAGTAGCGGAATTACAGGCACGCGCCACCATGCCTGGCTAATTTTTGTATTTTTAGTAGAGACGGGGTTTCACCATGTTGGTCAGGCTGGTCTTGAACTCCTGACCTCGTGATCCACCCGCCTCAGCCTCCCAAAGTGCTGGGATTACAGGCATGAGTCACCACGCCTGGTCCTCTCCCACTTTTTTATAGCCTCACAAAGATGCACGTTTAGGAAGTGATTTGTCCACCACATATGAATTGATTTTTAATAAATATGTAACTTTAAACAATGCTTTAAAAAACTAATACTTACTAGAATTTGAGTCTTCTAACATTTTTTCAAATTTAAAAATACCATTAACTTTTTTTCAAATTTAGAAATACCATTTCAAAGACTGAAACAGAGGGTATATTTAAAGGTGATTTGCATCTACAGCCATACCACCCTAAACATGCTTCTCATTTGAATTGAGATTAATTGCTTTTCTGAATGGTGCGTTGGAACAGCAATTTAGTGTAGACCTGTGAGCCTTGGTGAGGCTGCCAAAAATGACCTATTGATATCAGTTAACTATAAGAAAGAGGAGTGACTTTGCTCCGAAGTGGATTTCTGGAAATTATATGTATAAGTGCCTAAGGCCTGAAAGGTTTCTGATAACCTGGACTATAAGTAGATTAGTATCATAGAAACCTTTTCTATCCATCCTGTTCTTTACATCCAAATCCAGAGGGCCCAGTCATGGGATGAAGCAGAGAAATAACCAAGTGCTTGCAAACATGGAGACCAGAAATTACAGGAAATCCAGAACACTCAAAGTCTTGACATTCAGAGGGTGGCCCAGAATTTATGCTGTAAATGCAGAGCATCTCTGGAGACAATTTATTATCCACAGGTCTCCGTCATTGAGACAATATACTATCCTAATCAGTACAACTTCTAATAATGGGGTAGATGATATTTTAATATATTTTGAGAGGAAGTAGAAGGATCTTCTAGAGGTAATTATTTTAGAGAGGTGGCTAATTATCTCATGTTTAAAGATCTCCAGGAAAGATGACTTTATTAACCTTGAGCCTTAAATTTCTTTTTCTACAATTTTTAGAATATAACCTGAATAGTAGTGGCCACATATAATGCTTCCCAGGATGACATTAAATCCCATTTCTCCCAGGATGGCATTCATTTGCTCAGAATGTATAACCGAGGATACACATACACACACACACACACACGCATGCACTAAAACAGAACTTAAGACCAGCATGGAATAACAGACTTGCTGTCCTGAGTTGATATCATTTTATTCTAAAGCAGAGAAATTTGATGGTTTTGATGTTTTGATGTTTTAGGTAGTCCATCATAGCTTTGTGCCAGGTAAGTGCATCATTTGCTTTAGACTTTATGAAATACTAGAAATACCTTATGGGTCTTCAGTTTTTTCCTTGTAGATCCTTAGATGTCCCGGGATTTGAGGCTGAAACCCATTGGTTTACAGAATGGAAACAACGGAGTCACTGCTTGTACATTATGGTCATTTCAGGCACTATGGTAACTGAGTTGAATCTCTGCAAAGATGATCCAGATAATCAACATATATTTGCATTTGAAGATGGATCATAATCCAAGAATAAGTTTGCCACAATCAATTAAATCTTTTTGTATAAAAATGTCCCAAATATGCGGCTGGACGTGGTGGCTCATCCCTGTAATCTTAGCACTTTGGGAGGCCAAGGCAGGTAGATCGCTTGAGCCCAGGAATTTGAGCCAGGCTGGGCAACATGGTGAAACCCTGTCTCTACCAAAAATACAAAAATTAGCCAGTCTCATAACCTGGTCTCAAAATAGGTAAATAGATAAAAATTTAAAAATATAACATAAAATATAAGTTTAAAAAAGAATGGCCCAAATAATGAGCTTTATATTTTTTTAAAGAACCATACATATGGTATGAATTGAAGGGGCCCAGAAAGGTCCAGTTGCCTCAAAATTCCTCCCTTTACCAAACCTACTTAATACCATCTACCTCCTTTTCCCCAGTGTGGTCTCCAGAAGGGCACTGTTTAAGATCCATTTTCCATTAAGAGGGAAGAGAGGGCCTTGCACTGGACACCTATTAGGTTTGGCACCCAGTTCCCCTTTTCTACAAACTTCTCTCTTCTATGCTCATCCACATGGTCACAGGCTGGCTTCCAAGCAGCCATGGTTATATATTATGGAGTCCTAATTAGGGAAAAGGAGCCAGACTGGCAGGATGAAGGGAAAGCAAAGAGATAAAGCAAATAAGCTATAGGTCTGCCTTTCTTCATGGTCCAGGACATATAAATGAAAAGAGGAAGCAGATAAGCTACAAGTCTGTCTTTCTTTATGGCCCAGGACATATAGTCCTCCTGAGCAAATAACATACACAACTCACAAACTTTCTGCTTATCACCAAACGCTTCAATTCATCATCAAACACGTTGGCTGACAGAAGAATACAAGCTGGCTTTCTGCTACCTTTGCATTATCAATCAGCCCAAGAACCATCCAGTAAAATCTCCAGCAAGCCTTTGTTTCCTTGTAGTCAGCTCCTCTTCTGCTGGTTCTGCCCACTGCTCCCTGGCAACATATTCTCATACTTTCTTTAATAAATCTGCCTTTCTTTACCTACAACTGTCTTGGTAAATTCTTATCCCCCCCAAATCCCATGCCTCACCACCAGCCCAGATAGTTGCTGCTCACCTGTGACATATATTATGGCCCATAACCATCATGTTGGCTACAATCTGGGCTGAATAGAGATTCCTTGGAAAATTTGGGATTGGGAATAAGAGGTCTGGTCTTTGTCTGGGTTGAAATCTTTAGTGCAAGACATATAAAAACTGGAGTTTGGGCTGGGCAAGGTGGCTCGCACCTGTAATCCCAGCACTTTGGGAGGCTGAGGCAGGTGGATCACCTGAGGTCAGGAGTTCGAGACCAGCCTGGCCAACATGGTGAAACCCTGTCTCTACTAAAAACACAAAACTTTACTGTGTGTGGTGGTGTGTGCCTGTAATCCCAGCTACTCAGGAGGCTGAGGCAGGAGAATCACTTGAACCTGGGAGGCGGTGGTGCAGTGAGCTGAGATCACACTGTTGCACTCCAGCCTGGGTGACAAAAGCAAAACTCTGCCTCAAAAAATATATATATATATAATAATAATGGAGTTTGTGTAGCTATATTTTCCACCACAAAGCCTGGGAAGACATGTAGACTAGAACAAGGACAGACAGACTGTTTGGTGCTAGTTCCAGAGTGTTTGGTGCATAGTTCCAGAGTGTTTGGTCCATAGTTCCAGAGTGTTTGGTGTATAGTTCCAGAGTGTTTGGTGCATAGTTCCAGTCCCATCCTGAGACATGGTCTTGGTTTCATCCTTGAATTTCTCACTTTTTGCTGAAGTTAACTTGCATTGGTTTCTGTTTCTTAAAGCCAATAAAGATCCAACAGATAGGCTGTCTTGATGGAAGTCTATTAGTCAGTCCCAGAGTCACATTATTGCCTCTACCAGATCAGCCAGTAGTTATCCTCAGATGCACAGAGAATCTAGTCTCTGAAGACCTAGGAATACAAACAAGGTACCCCAGGAGAATCAAAATGAGATCTTGGCTTACATCTGACTAATCCAAGATTTATATGTATACATAAATGTATACATATTTCTTTGTTGTAAAACCAAATAATTAGTTTAAATAGTTGTCATAGTCTTCAAAATGTTAATAGACCAATAAAAGGGAACCGATATGCAACATCTTCTCTGTGGTATTCTGAGCAGCAGAATGGTTTTTTTTTTTTTTGGTGGGTAATTTCTTTTTTTTTTGGAAGAAAAAAATGACGCTGTCAATAGTTTTATCATTCAAATATAGAAAGCATAGTTCTCCATTCTTCATAAGGAGCTGGGGTGGACACAGCTGGAAAGGACTGAATAATTAAAATATTAATCAGAAGAGCAGAGATTAAATGACTTTATTTGAATAGAGCAATTGGGCAAAATTAGAATTGAAAGGAAAATAAAATAGCTTATAAAAGAAGCAAACATTTTAACACTGGCCCTGTCTTCAACTAAGCATAGCATAAGGATGGTAACAAGTGGTACTTGTTCCAAATGTTGCCATAGGTAAATTCAGGAACATCCACTTCTCTGAGACATGAACATTCGTACACTTCATCTTGACTGTAACATTTGCTTCCTATACTTCTGTTGTTATGTACACAGTGAATATGAAATATAACTTATTTACAAAGAATATTTAAATGTTGATATATTTTTAAAGACATGCTGCATAGAAATAACATCTTATTGATTTCTCTAGTAATCTATATGTCGTAGGAAATTAAATGGATAATAAGCAATAAATAATAAAACATACTTTAAAACTGTCAAGAGACACATAAAATCCATATGTGGTTATTAATAAGCATTGAACAACAAATTTTTTTTTTGAGACAGACTCTTGCTTTGTTGCCCAGGCTGGAGTGCAGTGGCGTGATCCTGGCTCACTGCAACTTCTGCCTGCTGGGGTTCAAGTGATTCTCCTGCCTCAGCCTCCCAAGCAGCTGGGACTACAGGCATGGACCACCACGCCCAGCCAATTTTTGTATTTTTTGGTATTTTTAGTAGAGGTGGGGTTTCACCATGTTGGCCAGGCTGGTCTTGAACTCCTGAGCTCAGGTGATACACCTGCCTTGGCCTCCCAAAGTGCTGAGATTACAGGCGTGAGCCACCATGCCCAGCCTGAACAACAAGATTTTTTAATAGTGCAATCACTTTTCTACATATAATTAATGTATCTTTATGAGTCACAGCAGAACCAATAGGAAACATATATATCTAGATATGGGTAGACAATGAGATTAATTACAACAAATGGCCCGCATGACTATGGACGCTGAGAAGTCCCAACATCTGCATTCTGCAAGCTGGAGACCCAGGAGAGTTAATGTGTGGTTCCAGTCTGAAAGCCAGCAGGCTGGAGATTCAAAAAGAGTCAATGTTTCAGTTTGAGTCCTAAGGCAGAAAAAACTGATGTACGAGCTCAACAGTCAGGAAGGAGGAGTTCCCTCTTATTCAGCATTTTTATTCTCTTCAGGTCTTCAATGGACTGAATGAATGAAGCCCACCCACACTAGGAAAGGCAATCTGCTTTACTCAGTCTACCAATTCAAATGTTAATTTCATCCACAAATGCTCTCACAGATGCACCCAGAATGACATTTGATCAAATAAATTAACCATCATAAATCCATTCCTTGTTAACCTGGCATCTATATGTATCTCCAAATAAAGACAATAACAAGATCATAATTATACCTAGTATGACACAACTATCTTCATACAACTGAACATGCACTAACCTCTATTCCAGAAAAGGAGATAAAGTCCTTGAGTGATGTTTAACTCTTCTCCTTGATATTTTATAACAAATATTATGATATAAAATTAACAATACTTACATATTATATTATACTATGATAATATGAAGTCAATATATCTTTTTTTTTTTTTTTTTGAGATGGAGTTTCGCTCTTGTTGCCCAGGCTGGAGTGCAATGGCACGATCTCGGCTCACTCACTGCAACCTCTGCCTCCTGGGTTCAAGCGATTCTCATGTCTCAGCCTCTGGAGTAGCTGGGATTACAGGCACACACCACAACACCTGGCTAATTTTTTTGTATTTTTAGTAGAGATGGGGTTTTGCCATGTTGGTCAGGCTGGTCTTGACCTCCTGACCTCAGGTGATCCACCCACCTCAGCCTCACAAAGTGCTGGGATTACAGGCATGAGCCACTGCGCCCAGCCTAAAGTCAATATATCTTATAAGAGAATAAAAGAGAGAAGAAAATAAAGATATTTGGGGTGTGTGTGTGTGTGTGTGTGTGTGTATGTGTATATATATATGTGTATATGTATATATATATACATATTCATAACAAAATATGGAGAAATACTCATAATAATTATATTCCTAATTTCTATAACTGGTCACATGGTCATAGCTCGTATTTATAACTACCTTCTACCGCCCATTCTGTATTATCTTTGATCTCAGCAAGCATCTCAGCTGGTGGTGATCCTTTACCTGTAGGGCAATCCAAACCTCCATTCCTGAAAGGCCTGGGCCATTCACAATCCTGCCTAGATTAGCTTGTTATAGTTTTCCATCAATCTTAATAATAGGGCATAATAATACTAAGACATACCCTAAGGGATCTCCTGTATTTCAGACATACTCTTCCTTACTTCCATTGTGGAGTGGTAGTCCAATTTCCCCTTGGTAGTTAGGATCAATCACCCTAGCCAGCACAGTAACTCTCTTCTTTAACCATTGATTTAGAGGGAGCCCAAAGTGGCCAGGTGGCAATCTTAAATTCCAATTCCGTCATTCTTGTATCTCCTAGTGGATGCACTCCTCCTTTTGGGACTGTAGACCTCTAGCCCAGCAGGGCATAAAGTCATTAGAACAGGAAGCAAAAATTTTGCTAGTGGGTCACCAGGAGTAATAGTGAGTGGCGCCATTCTCATTTCTACTTATGAATGCTGGCTTTCCAAGAAATAGTACCACATATTAGGCATCTAATTAACAAGAGAGTTTCTGTTATATTAGGAAATGGGTTCGGTGATCAGACTTTGGTCACTGATAATATATATCTACTGAAGCACACATATTTTTAATGTATATTTTCATTTGTAAATTGAACAAATATTTATTAAAATTATGTTGATACAAACTCAAAGTTCTAATACCACTCATCTATTAGAAACATACATTTACCACCAGAGAGTCTGTCAAGTAAATGTGATTCAACTTCATTGTTTTAAAAATATCTCCTAATGCCGAAGCTATAAGATTATCTTCAGGTGAAAAAAAATCTATCTTCAGATGAGAGTTCTGGAAATGAGATTGGCCACTGGAGTGAGTAGATTAGACTTTTGCAAAGTATCATGAATGAACAACATGATTTACATGTCCCATGTGTTCAGGTCATTCTGCTCAGGCATGCAAAGCTTATGGGCATTTACTTACAGCATTGTTTTGCCCATTAAAGAATTACAAAAATAAAAATATGTTTCCATTGATGTATCAATCTGAAAAGCACTTAAAGCAGATGTGCATTTGTATTACACAAATTCAATGTAACAAATGTTTTGGGTACCTTCTCTGTACAAGACATCAGGCTAAGTGCTTCTAAGTATACAAATATAAATAGGACTCAGTCCACATTCTCCATAAGATCATCTCATGGCTGGAGGTGACATAAGATATACATGCTGACTTTAATAAAGAGCAAGGTAAAACACAGAAAAGACTGCCACTTAAGACAGCAAGTTGAACACATGATTAGATCTGTTCCTTCCTGAAATCCCACAAGATTTGTAAAATAATTTTTAAAAAGACACATAAGAACATAGAGAACAGGAGAAAAGAAAAAGTAAAAATATTGGTTCTTGGGATGGTGATGCATACCTGTAGTCCCAGCTACTTGGGAGGCTGAGGCAGGAGGATCACGTGAGCACAGGAGTTTTTTGTTTGTTTGTTTGTTTGTTTGAGATGGAGTCTCGCTCTGTCACCCAGGCTGGAGTGCAGTGGCGCGATCTCGGCTCACTGCAAGCTCCGCCTCCCAGGTTCACACCATTCTCCTGCCTCAGCCTCCTGATTAGCTGGGACTACAGACGCTTGCCACCATGCCTGGCTAATTTTTTGTATTTTTTAGTAGAGATAGGGTTTCACCATGTTAGCCAGGATGGTCTCGATCTCCTGACTTCGTGATCCGCCTGCCTTGGCCTCCCAAAGTGCTGGGATTACAGGCGTGAGCCACTGCGCCTGGCCGAGCACAGGAGTTTAAGTTCAGCCTGGGCAACATAGCAAGACCCCATCTCTTCAAAAATATATTGGAAGCGGGAAAGCAGGTGGACTAATAAAAACTGACTTAGCAAAACCTAAGCAGAAAAGCTAATTTGTATGCCTGTAGTAGGAAAAAAAGGCAACTGAATTATATTATAGAACCCTCAAAGAGCCCAAGAAGTGGAAAGACATCAGGTACCTCTGAAAATGTAGATAAAAGAAGAACCAAAACAAGATGATTGAAAGGCTATTTACAATACCCTCCCTACTATTCTATGTCCCATCCCAACTCCAGCAGAATACCACTAAATTCCTGATATCTGGAGAAAGTGAAGCAAGGGGAGTCTGGACCAAGAGACATAAGCATATTTGAGGGCAGGGACATTTTGCTAAAACAGGGAGATTAAGTAAAAGTTCATTCACTGAAGTTGAGTTGCCAGCTTTTTTCCACTGCCAGGATCAGGGATTACTGGCAGCAAGGTAGCATGCTGGCAGAATCTTCTGTGAAGAGGATAATCTGCCCAAGAGAAACGATTTAAAATACTGATGTTTTCAATGCTTTGTTTTGGGTGACCATCCTGTGCATTTTAAGATGTTTTGCAGTGTTCTTTGTCTCTATTCATTAGATGCTAGTAGCATACCCTTCTCCCAGTTTTGACAACCAAAAATGTTTCCACACATTGCTAAATATACCACAAGGGTGGGGAGCAAAACTGTCCCCATTGAGAACCATTGGCCTATACTGAAACTCATAGTCTAAAAGAACTATCCATGAACACAGAGTTTCCATTCAGCTTTGTAGTGCCTCTCTCTTAAATGTAAGCAGAAAGCCAAGGTTCACTAGACACTTAAAAGTATAGATAAAAACAAACAGGAATAAAAGTAACTTGGCCGGCTGTGGTGGCTCACGTCCGTAATCCCAGCACTTTGGGAGGCTGAGGTGGGCGGATCACCTGAGGTCAGGAGTTCGAGACCAACCTGACCAATATGATGAAACCCTGTCTCTACTAAAAATACAAAAATTAGCTGGGTGTGGTGGCGGCCGCCTGTAGTACCAGCTATTTGGGAGGCTGAGACAGGAAAATTGCTTGAACCCGGGAGGTGGAGGTTTCAGTGAGCCAAGATCGTGCCTCTGCACTCCAGCCTGGGTGACAGATCGAGACTCTATTTCAAAAAATAAAATAAAATAAATAAATAAAAGTAACTTGGAGGAAACGGGCTAGGAGGAAGAAAAAAACTTTAAAAGGACGTAACATCTACATAATCCTAGCATTTTGGGAGGCCAAGGAGGGCGGATCACCTGAGGTCAGGAGTTTGAGGCCAGCCTGACCAACATGGCAAAACCCTGTCTCTATTAAAAATACAAAAATTAGCTGGGCATGGTGGTGTGTGCCTGTAATCCCAGGTACTCAGGAAGCTGAGGCAGGAGAATCACTTGAACCTGGGAGGCAGAGTTTGCAGTGAGCCAAGATCGTGTCACTGCACTCCAGCCTGGGCAACAGAGCGAGACTCCGTCTCAAAAAAAAAAAAAAAAAAAGAAATTTTGGGAATTAAAAGTATAGCAGAAATGAAAAAACTCAGTAGAAGCATTGAAGAACAAAGTTAATGAAATTTCTAGGAAGTACAATAAAAATATACAAAGAGATGAAAAAATAGGAGAACATTAGAAGTTGAGAAAATTTAAGTAACCATCTAGGAGGACTGCATTAGGATCAGCTTAAGTTGCTGTAACAGAGACTCCAAAATATAGTGGCATTAATAGGACAGAAGTTCATTCCTCTGTGGCCTAGAGTAGGTAGATGACTCTGCTTTATGACCAGCTGGCTCCGTCATGCTAAACATGTTGCATCCATATCCATCTCTGTACCCAGGCCTGATGTTTCAGTTATTAACATTTTCTGTCCAGGCGCAGTGGCTCACACCTGTAATCCCAGCACTTTGGGAGGCTGAGGCGGGTGGATCACCTGAGGTCAGGAGTTTGAGACCAGTTTGGCAAACATGGCCAAACCCTGTCTCTACTGAAAATATAAAAATTAGCCAGGAACAGTGGTACGCGCCTATAATCCCAGCTACTCGGGAGGCTGAGGCAGAAGAATTGCTTGAACCCAGGGGTCAGAGGTTGTAGTGAGCTGAGATTGCACCACTACACTCCAGCCTGGGTGACAGAGCAAGACTGTATCTCAAAAACAAAACAAAACAAAAAACATTTCCTAACAGGAAGAGGGCGGATACAATTCATGACTTAAAGATATGACTAGTAAGATATACGCACTTCAGTTCACACTTAGCTGCAAGGGAGGTTGGAGCATGTAGTCCTGCCATGTTCAGCTAAATCTCAGGAGTTGTATCATTAAAAGGAAGGAGAGAATGGATGTTGGAGGAAGTTGAGCAATCTCCACTATAAGGTTTAACATCTGGCTGGGCCTGGTGGCTCACACCTATAATTCCAGAGCTTTGGAAGGCAGAGGTAGGAGGATTGCTTGAGGCCAGGAATTCGAGACTGGCCTGGGCAACACAGTCAGACCCCATCTCTACAAAAAATAAACACAAAAATTTTAGCTGGGCATGGTGGCATGTGTCCGTAGTTCCAGCTACTTAGACGGCCGAGGATCCCTTAAGCTCAGGAGTTCATGGCTACTGTGAGCTATGATTTTGCCACTGCACTCCAGCCTGGGCAACAGAATGAGACCCTGTCTCCAAAAAAAAGAAAAAAGATTTAACATCCAAATAAAAAAACGTTCCAAAAGAGTGAACCAGAGAAAATAGCAGAGAGGAAATCAGCAAAGAACTATATATTTGGATGACTAGGTTTTGCTGTGGTGGTAATAAACCTCTTCCAAGGGAGACAACCCAAAAGTCTGACCATGTCATAGTATAAAGCTCAGTCTAGAATCTCAAAGTCTGGAATCAGGATAACCTCAGAAACCAGCAAAGGTGTATTTGGGTGACTAGGTTTTACTGTGGTAATAAACCTCTTCCAAGGGAGACAACCCAAAACTCCAATCACGTCATAGTATAAAGTTCAAAGTCTAGAATCTTTGGGTAGTGTGTGGGATAGTTTCTACAACAGGTTCAAATGTGGCTCCTTCAGATCCAGAGACCTATGTGCTGAAAGGCTAAGCTCTCTCTCCTCATATACCAATGCACAGTGATGGAACAGGATCAGGATAACCTAGGAAATGGGGACTGGAGACACACAGCAGACATTAGCCCACTGCAAAATGTAACAAAACAGTGGTTTCCAAACTATTTTTTCCCCTAGGGGAAACTTGAAAATAATCTTCTGTGGAATTCCAATCATGAAAGCAGGTCAAGGTGGGCTGCTCTGCTTGGGGACTGGAATGCTCACTGAGCTCCTCTTACCCTCAAACTAGGGGCTGCTCCTGAGGAAGCTCCACAAAATCTATAGAGGCCATGAAGCATAGCAAAAGTGAGGTCATCAAGAGATAGTCAGCTTTTGTTCCATCAAAGAGGGTAAAGGGACGGTTTAGAGAAGATATTGAAGAAAAGAGATTACAGATGATAGATCATGAGTTACAAAGGACCCAGTGGAACGGTTTGGGAAGGTGGGAAGGCATTGGAAACTGGGTCAGGTGGGATGTGTAAGGTGATATGGTGCACTCTCCTTTCATCATACTGGCCTAGGCAATGTCCCAACAATTTTAAGCCCAACCATTATGCTGCTCTACACTGTCACCTGAACAACTAAACATTGCTGACGAGAACACTTAATTAGGTCTATTGATTATACCTTAAAACTGTGCCCACGGATCTCAAATAGGCATTCAATATTGCCTGGCAATGGTATTACATATACCTAATACATTTATTTTTTCGTAAGTTTATTTTTTCCAGAATAATTATTTCATACCTTCTTTTCGAGCCTCAAACTGCTTATATTCTACCCCTCTCTAAAGGAAATCATATTTCAATAAATATTTATTGAGCATCTATTTCATGCCATTGTTCTAAGCACTGAGAGAGCAGTGGACAACACAGTCTTTGCTCTCAAGGAACTTAAATTCCAGTGCGGGGAGACAGAAATAAACAAGTGTATAGGATTCCGTATGGTGCTAAGTGCTATGGAAAAAAAATAAAGCAGGTTGGGGAAAAGAGAATGCTGATAAAAGCAGCAGATCCCAGATTCTTCTAGGGCATAACAAGAGCTTTGCTTTAACTTTGGGTGATATCTGTAGCCACTGGTGGGGTCAAAACAAAAAAACTGACATAACCCAACTTAGGTTTTGAAAGGATCACTTTGTCTGCTGTAGTTAGAATAAACCATCCATGAGAGAGAAAGAGTATCAATAGGGAGACTGTTTTATTGGCCTTGGTTCCTGGGCCTTTTCTGGTCATCTTCGACTACCTTCTTGGCCTAAATTCTTGCTTCCCCACTATTCCACGTTTTAATGGGAAAAATTGTCAAAGTATAATTTTCAAAAAGTTAAAAATGTGACTCATACAAATATAGAATGAAAATGTGTCGAATGTTTATTAACTCATTAATATTAACTCAATGTCTCTCAAACCAGGTATAGGCACTGAAAAAGTAATGTTAGAATTAGGTTGCTGGACAGCATAGAGGATCATGGTGGACGGGAGGCGGGACTAGATTGCAACTACCACGCAGACAGACAGAGCAGTATGTGGAGACTCGCACTGTAACCTTTTGCTCCAGAACTACTGCAGGAATAAACCAGGAAAGCTGAGAAAACCCACAGACTCTCTGAAGAAAGCGGATGACTCCTGTAGGACACTGGAGACAACCCAAATACTGTGAATGCCCAAGCTGTGGTAGTGGGAAAAGAGAACTGTCCACCCCTGAACACATACCCTCACTGGGGAACCTGAAGGTCTGGATCACAGGAGAATATTCTGACCTTACCTGGAGCTGAGTCAATTTAGAGAGCAGAGCAAAATACAGGGGTAAAGGAAGCAGCAGGAAAAGCCCTGTGGGCTCTCTGGGTCCCCTGGGTACCCATTTCTGCCTTGTCTCACAGGGGTCCTTGAGGAGGGCTGCCAGAGAAAAGACCACAGGGAGAAGGAAACCTCTAGCTGAACTTTGTAACAATTCCAACTGAATGTGAAGTCTCCTGGCCAGAACCCGGTGGAGGTCATGAATCTGGAATGCAGACTTCACAGGCTGAAAGGAACAAAAACCCAGCTGGCTTTCACAGTGGGAGGCTGGTAGCCTGGGGCAAGCTCTCAGCCCTGCTCTCCCACTGCCTGGAAATTCACTTGGTGCTGTTGGGGGGGTGCACAGTGGGAGTGAGACCAGCCTTTTGGGTTGCTTGGGAGGTGGGTAAGGCCTGTGACTGCCAGCTTTCTCCCACTTCCTTGACTAACTGCATGACACAGCAGAGGCAGCCTTAATCCTACTGGGAACATAACTCCATTGACCTGGGAACCACATCCCCATTCCCCACAGAAGCCGCAGCAAGACCCACCCAAGGAGAGCCTGAGCTTAGACAGGCCTAACCCTGACCCAACCTGATGGTCTCCTTCCCTACCCACCCTGGTGGCTGAAGACAAAGGGCATATACTCTCCTGAGTTCTAGGGCTCTGCCCACCAGCTGATCCTCCCTATACTACCACAGCTGATGCTCTCTTCAAAGTGCCACCTCCTGGCAGGAGGCCAATCAGCACAAAAATAGTGCATTAAACAACCAAAACTAAGGACCCTCACAGAGTCCATTTCACCCCCCTGCCACCTCCTCCAGAGCAGGTGCTGATATCCATGGCTGAGACACCTGCAGACTGTTCACATCACAGAACCCGGTGCAGACAATCCCCAGTACCAGCCCAGAGCTTGGTAGACCTGCTGGGTGGCTAGATCCAGAAGAGAAATAACAATCACAACAGCTCAGCTCTCAGGAAGCCACATCCCTAGGAAAAGGGAGAGAGTACTTCATCAAGGGAACACCCCATGGGACAAAAGAATTTGAACAGCAGCCTTGAGCCCTAGACCTTCCCTCTGACACAGCCTACCTAACTGAGAAGGAACCAGAAAAACAATTCTGGTAATATGATAAAACAAGGTTCTTTAACACCCACAAAAAAATCACACTAGCTCACCAGCAATGGATCCAAACCAAGAAGAAATCCCTGATTTACCTGAAAAAGAAATCAGAAGGTCAGTTATTAAGCTAAAATCAAGGAGGCACCAGAGAAAAGCAAAGTCCAATTTAAGGAAATAAAAAATGATACAAGAAATGAGGGGAGAAATCGTCAGTGAAATAGCATAAATACAAAACAATCAAAACTTCAGGAAACAATGGATGCAAAAATTGTAGAAATGCAAAATGTTCTGGAAAGTCTCAGCAATAGAATTGACAAGCAGAAGAAAGAACTTCAGAGCTCAAAGACAAGGTTTTTTAATTAATCCATATGAAAAAGACAAAGAAAGAATAAGAAAATATGCCCCAGTATGCTGATTGTTTTTTACTTTATTTCCAAATTCGAGGTAATTTTTCTTAACAATTTCTCATGAAAACATTTTTTTTGAAAGTCTCACAGAGTCTTGATTAACATTTTGAATTTACATGAGGAATGTGAGGTAGCATCGTAGGTCAATTTCTCATCTTCTTTTCTGGTTTTCCAGACGTTTCCCTTTGATTGCTAGTTTTTGCTGTTACAATATCGTAGACAAGAGATGCAAAGGATCTGAATTTAGGCAATAGCATTACTTTTTTTTTTTTTAAATCAGGTTTACATTCAAGACAAGACCTTTCCTTATTCTTACACTATGGGGCTATTGTATCATGATGAATATAATCTTCTCTCATAATCATTAATCTCATCAGCAATGTACATAACTACCATCTAATTCTCAGACCCTATTCAAATTTTGCTAGTTGTCCCAGTAATGTCCTGTCAGGTGCAGTTCCTCAATCTTTCCTTGACTTTTGTAGCTGTAACACTTTTGAAGATTATAGTCGAGATATTTTATATAATGAACTTTAATTTGATTTGTCTGACACTTCCCTCATGATTAGAATCAGATTATGCATCTTTGGCAGGAATATAACAGAACTGACACTGTATTCTTCTAATTGCAGCCTATCAGATGCACACAACTTGTATATGTTCCATTATGATGATGTTCATGTTGATCATTTGATTAACATAGGACTGGACAAGGTTTTCCACTGTAAATTTACTCCTTTTTCCCCATTTGTAATTAATAAGTATTTGGTGGGGAGAATCTATGAAAATATGTAAATGTATTAGTCCTTATCAATCTATTATTTAAATTGATCACTATGAGCTTGTGGTTTTATGTAATGGGTTATAGTTTGTTAACCATCATTATTTCAATGCTGAGAGTGACTCAGATTTGACCAGCGGGAGTCCATTCAAGCTGTTTCTGTATGCCCTTCACATGTTTCCAACATTATTCTTTGAGCACTTCCTTACTTTCTGGCACAAGATGATCCAGTCTCAATTTGTGCTTTTTCTGAATCAGCCATTTCTCCAAGGATCCTTGGTTCCTTTTAGTGGAGAATGATACTTCAAATCCAAGATCTGGGCATTATGCATGCTCATTATCACTGGGGTACCTTTGCTACTAAGTGTTCTAAGTGGACAAAGCCAGAGGAAGTACACCCACACAAGTACATATATATGTATACATATACCATATATTCATATATGTACATACACATATAAAATGTATACACATAAATTTACATCTGTATTTATTTCTATACTATATATAGTTGGCCCTCTGTATGCATGGGTTCTGCATCTTGGGATTCGACCAACTGCAGGTCTAAAATATTTGAGGGCTGGGTACAGCGGCTCATACTGCTAATCCCAGGACTTTGGGAGGCTGAAGTGGGAGGATCACTGGAGCCCAGGTGTCTGAGACCAGTCTGGGCAACACAGGAAGATCCCATCTCTACAAAAAAAGAGAAAAATAAAACCACAATAAAAAGTAACATGCCACTGAAAGTACATTAAAAATGGTAACTTTTATGTTATGTATATTTTACCATAATTTTTAAAAAAGTAGTATCTCCTAGTAGAAAAAAAGTAACAATAAAAAATAATATAAATTAAAAACCCAACATAGTATAACCACTATTTACATAGCATGTATATTGTATTAGGTACTATAAGTAATCTAGATATGATTTAAAAGTATAAAGAGGATGCTTTAATAGCATGTAAGAAAAAAGAAAAAGAGTATACGGAAGGAAATGTGTTAGGTTATATGCAAATACTATGGTGTTTTATGTAAGGGACTTGAGGATCTGAAGATTTTGGCATCTGTGGGGGGTCCTGAAACCATTCCCCTGCTGGTATCAAGGGATGACTATGTATTTTAAGCTATGAATTTGCACTATTTCTAATTTTAATCCAACATTAGAGTTCATTTCTCTCTTTTCATATTTGTAACTTTCTTCTCTGACAGTCTGAAACTGAACTCCAATTATTCTTAATATATTTACTGATTCCATCAATCCTTCTGAATGTAAGCAACCTCCCAGTCACTGCTGCCCAATCCTCTGCATGGAGACCCTTCTTATCCACTGAGAACCCAATACTCTGCATCAGGCTGATGCTGCCACCCTCCCTCACACCACTGTCCTCTTCAGCTTACCTATGCTCTGACACCTCTCTCTGGGCCTCTGACACCCCATTCCTACCAAGCACCGATGCCTATCTTGCTCTACTTGACCTTTAAGATTGAATTGTTCCGGGAATGGAAAGGAAAGGAAGAGGGAAAGTGTCTGTAATTTCCTTAAGTTTTTTTTTTTTTTTTTGAGCAGGAGCACAGTGGTGTGATCCTGGCTTACTGCAACCTCTGCCTCCCAGGTTCAAGAGATTCTCCTGCCTCAGTCTCCTGAGTAGCTGGGATTATAGGCATGCATCACCATGCCCGGCTAATTTTTGTATTTTTAGTAGAGACGGGGTTTCACCATGTTGGCCAGGCTGGTGTCGAACTCCTGACTTCAGGTGATCCGCCCGCCTCGGCCTCCCAAAGTGCTGGGATTACAGGCATGAGTCACCGTGCCCGGCCCCTTAACATGCTTTTTGAAGCCATCCTTTTACCACTACAAACAATATTGTAATGAATAAGTGTCTATGACAAGGTTGTGAACTTGCTGCATCAAAGAGCTTGTGCATTTGCAAGGTTGTTGGTTCTGCACATTGATTTCCATAGAAGTTAACAATTTACACATCCACCTGCAACACAGGATGGTGCTTGAAAGAATTTAAAAGAAAGATAATTCTAATACATAGAAAGACCTAAGAGTTACATGATGACTTTTGCAAAACTTAAGACAACTTATTTTCTCTTTTGGAAATACGTTTATTGTTACACAAATCAAATTTCCTACTATTCAGTTTCTTAGTAACAAAAATGAAACAAAATTTAGCTATCCCAAGCAAATTTAGGAACATAAAACAATAACCAAACAGACGGGGTAAAAAGTAACTATAAGAACCCCCAGGCTGGGCACAGCAGCCTGTGCCTGTAGTCCAATTGTTTGGCAGGCCGAGGCAGGAGGATCCCTTGAACCTAGGAGTTCGAGGCCATCCTGGGCAGTCTAGCGAGACTATGTCTCAAAACCAAACCAAACAAAATACACAACAACAACAAAAAAGTTTTTGAAGAACCCTCAGAAACATAAATTAGGACCCTAAGCTAAGTAGACTTTAGTGCAACAGCTCTGCAATTTACAAGGCAAAAATTACAACCCTGAAAAGCAGGATGACACAAAGCCCGGAAATAATTTTCTACCAACCTGGTTGGTCAGATACTTGTCAGAAAACTGTTTTCCAGGTTATGAGCTTAAATTCTTTTTACAGACTGGCAACGGTATCAGGACGCTTTTTAGAGTGTCCCCTGCTATTGCCTCGGGCATGTCAGAAACTGGATAGGAGTTTCAAGTTGAGCAGTTTGTCCAGGATTTCCTGGGCTTTAGCACTGAACGCGCTGCGTCCCTGGTACCCCTTCAGTTCCAAGCAAACCTGCTTGTTGGCCACTGTAGGACCAGACTTACGTCAAGTACAGTTGCCACTACACAGATGTGGCTACTTACATTTAAGTTAAATACTTTTTACTTTTGAGATGGAGTCTCACTTTGTCGTGCAGGCTGGGGTACAGTGGCGCGATCTCGGCTCACTGCAGCCTCGACCTCCTGGCTCAAGCCATCCTCCCCGCTCAACCTAGGACTACAGGCTTGCGCCACCACGCCCAGCGGCTAATTTTTGTATTTTTAGTAGATACGGGGTTTCGCCATGTTGGCGAGGCTGGTCTCCAACTCCTGGCTTCAAGCGATCTGCCTGCCTCGGCCTCCCAAAGTGCTGGGATTACAGGCGTGAGCCACCGCGCCGGCCCTAAATTAAATTAAAAATTCAGTTCCTCAGCCGGCTCAACACCACACATGTGGCCAGTGGCTGCCTTAATAACGCAGATGTAGAATATTTCCCTCATCTCACAGAGTTCTGACAACGCTGAGGCAGACAGTTGAGAGTTTTTTTAAAAACAAAAACAAAAAGCTTGGAAACCGCTAGTCTCCACCACCTATAATAACCAACGGGCATTATTACTCTCTCCAAATGGGATGAGGAAAAAACTACGCTAAGGAACACCATGCAGAAAATCTGCCGAGGCACAGGCCAGCGGGGTTTCTCTGCGAACGCAGCCGACGGCCATTTCCACAGCGGAGGCCGTCGTCGGTCCAGCGAGGTAAGAAACTTGTAGGACGCCCGGAACTCCCAGAGGGTTGGGCGTTCAAGGGTCAGGACCCCCGAGATGCAATTGTCCAAAGCGGTGGGTGCTCGTGGTCACCGGCTGGCGAGCCTCGGCTACGGATACCCCAATGCACCACTCCGCCCCGCCCCGCGCCTAACGCCGGCTGGAGAGCGCGCGGCCGCAGGGTAGGCGCCCTCCCGCACGCGCGAAGGCCTGCGGCCCGGAGGCAGCCGGCAGCCAATGGGGCGGGGCGCCGCGCGCAGGGGGCGGGGCCGTGACGCGCCCTCCTCGTGACCCGGCTCTCGGCCTGCGCTCGCGGAAACCGGAAGCGGCGGCTGTCCGCGGTGCCGGCTGGGGGCGGAGAGGCGGCGGTGGGCTCCCTGGGGTGTGTGAGCCCGGTGATGGAGCCGGGCCCGACAGCCGCGCAGCGGAGGTGTTCGTTGCCGCCGTGGCTGCCGCTGGGGCTGCTGCTGTGGTCGGGGCTGGCCCTGGGCGCGCTCCCCTTCGGCAGCAGTCCGCACAGGGTCTTCCACGACCTCCTGTCGGAGCAGCAGTTGCTGGAGGTGGAGGACTTGTCCCTGTCCCTCCTGCAGGGTGGAGGGCTGGGGCCTCTGTCGCTGCCCCCGGACCTGCCGGATCTGGATCCTGAGTGCCGGGAGCTCCTGCTGGACTTCGCCAACAGCAGCGCAGAGCTGACAGGGTGTCTGGTGCGCAGCGCCCGGCCCGTGCGCCTCTGTCAGACCTGCTACCCCCTCTTCCAACAGGTCGTCAGCAAGATGGACAACATCAGCCGAGCCGCGGGGGTGGGTACAGGACCACGTCCGGGACTGTGGCTCAGGAGAGTTGGGAAAGGAGGAGGGTGTAATGATGGTCAGCGCTGGGGGCCTCAGTTTCCCCAACAGTAAGAAAAAGGGGTTGGACTGAGTCTGTAGAGTTGGGTCATCAGAAAAAGGGGGTGGCATTATGGGGCTTGGGATTTGGGTTTTTGCTTCCAAGAATGCTGTTGGACATCTTTGGTTCATATAGGTGTGATTGGTTTTCTTGGGGGTCCTGATTCCCCAACCCTCTTGCTCTTCCTCCACCCACTCCACCACGGCTTCTTCTCATCTTCACCTGGAGTTGCCAGGAAGGATCCTTTTCTGAAACAAGTGGGGTGGAGACACTGGTAGTGGTTAGAAATTTGAGCTTTGTAGCCAGAAATGTTCATGTCCACCAACTTCTAACTATGTAACCTTGGATTAATTATCTTCTCAGAACCTTAGTTTCCTCCTCTATAAAGTGGAAAGAACATCTGCCTAATGCGGCTGTTGGAAGAATTAAAAGAGATATTGCCTGTGACTTCATCTTAGTGATGTGAACAGTCTGGAGCTAGCTAGCGGCCAGGACTCCAGTTCCACTCTGCTTATTAGCGGTATACTATGGGCAAGTTACTTACATTCTCTGTGCCTGTTTACTAATCTGTAAAATGGGGATAAAAGGAGGTTTTAGAAAACAACACATAGTAATACCTCTAAGTAAATGGGAGGTAAATTTTTAAGAAATTGTAAGACTGCTCTTCATTCTTCATACCTTAAGGGTTCTCTAGGTGTGTGGTAGCTGCTGTGAGGCACTTAATTTTAAAAAGAAAAACAGACAATTCCTGCTCCTAAGTACTTTATAAAGTTTAGACTAGGAAAAGATTAGAGTGTCAGGGTTGGTGGGAGTCACGAGGTGTGGGCCGGATATGCTTGGTAAAGGAAAAACATGAGGAATAACATTGGGATTGGAGAATGAGAAAGTTCCTCTTGTATTACGGGGACAGCAAGTAGTCTCATGAAAATGTGGTTGGAATTATTCCATAAATTTAAACTTGTCTAAACTTGTTTATAGTTGCACTAAATATAAATTTGTACCTAGTTGGATCCTGCTTTAAGTCAGCCTGTTATTTAAAATAAATCTGTCATGGCTGTGTGCGGTGGCTCATGCCTGTAATCCCAGCACTTTGGGAGGCTGAGGCAGGGGGATCACCTGAGGTCAGGAGTTGGAGACTAGCGTGGCCAACATGGTGAAACCCCCGTCTCTACTAAAAATACAAAAATTATCCGGGCGTGGTGGCACGTGCCTGTAGTCCCAGCTGCTCTGGAAGCTGAGGCAGAAGAATTGCGGTACACGTCTGTAGTTCCAGCTACTCGGGAAGCTGAGGCAGAAGAATCACTTGAGCCTGGAAGGCCAAGGTTGGGGTGAGCCAAGATTGCACTACTGCACTCCTTCCTGGGCAACAGAGTGAGACTCCATCTCACAATAAATAAATAAATAAAAATAAAATAAAAATCTGTCATTTTACATAACTGGGGAATTTATTTGCATTAAATAAATTCTGTGGTCAATCTCTCTGTAAAGAGCATGTTTTTTTTTTTTTCTTTTTTCTTTTTTTTCTGAGACAAGGTCTTGCTCTGTTGCCCAGGCTGGATGGAGTTCAGTGGTGTCATCTCGGCTCACTGCAATCTCCGCCTCCTGGGTTCAAGTGATTCTCCTGCCTCAGCTTCCTGAGTAGCTGGAACTACAGATGTGCACTGCCACACCTAACTAATTATTGTATTTTTAGTAGAGACAGGTTTCACCATGTTGACCAGGCTGTTCTCGAACTCCTGGCCTCAAGTAATCCACCCACCTCAGCCTCCCAAAGATTTGGGATTACAGGTGTGAGCCACCACACCTGGCCAAGGACATATTTTCGAGGTAAATAAATTCAGGCTTACATGCGGTATTTTCCAGGCACACTTCCATTGGGTATAGCAAGGAATATATATCTTACTATCACTTTAAAATAAAGTACCCAAGACATGTCCCTGTCAACTACAGCAGGATACGATATAGCATCATATTCAGTGTTGAGTGGTTAAGATGAGTTGTTTTAGGGTTCCATTTACTCTAAAGAACAAGGGCTATTGTGGGCAGAATGGCCAGGGATCATGATGCAAAGTTTGGGTCTTTGAAGGCAGCAAATGCTTTTCTCATGTGTGTAGGTACTGTGGAATTAAAGAGAGGCTAAAAATAGCACCTCAAACTCTAGGGTGCAGTATTATGGGCATCACCCAATCTGCATGTGAATTTCCATATGAATTCCCCACTACCCAAAGGAGGCTTCCCAGTGGGGGAGTTGTAGAAACCCCCTTCCTTTCCCTCAGATTCTACCAGCAACCTGGGTACCCAGCTCAACTCACCCTGATGTGAAAGGAAGTGGATAAACAGGTGAAAAGAGGCAGGGAAACTTTTTTTGTATTTTCTCTCCAACTCATCCTAGGCCTTGGTCTCGGCTCGCCTTATTTCCCCAGTAGAGCTGGATATGATTCATTAGCTCAAAAGTGTGACATCTACAGTTCTGAGGTACTTTATAGATTTAAAAGGCTATATGGACTGGTTTGGGAGTTGAACCATCATGTATAATAATGAACTTATGAGGCCAGGTGTGGTGGCTCGTGTCTGTAATCCCAGCACTTTGGGAGGCCAAGGCAGGCAGATCACCTGAGGCCAGGAGTTCGAGACCAGCCTGGCCAACATGGTGAAACCCTGCCTCTACTAAAAATACAAAAAAAAAAAAAAAAAAAAAAAATTAGCCGGGTGTGGTGGTGCGCAGCTACTCAGGAGGCTGAGGCAGGAGAATTGCTTGAACCCGGGAGGTGGAGGTTGCAGTGAGCCAAGATAGTGCCACCACTCTCCAACCTGGGGGACAGAGTAAGACTCCGTTGCAAAAAAAAACCAAAACAAAACAAAACAAAAACCTATGGAAAAATGTGTCATGAGTGAACTTGAAGGAATTAGTTGTCTCTTGGGGAGGTTTATTTATCCAGTGTAGTATATTTTCTTTTCTTTTTCTTTTTTTTTTGAGACAGAGTCTTGCTCTGTTGCCCAGGCTGGAGTGCAGTGGCATAATCTCAGCTCACTGCAAGCTCCACCTCCCAGGTTCATGCCATTCTCCTGCCTTAGCCTCCCAAGCAGCTGGGACTACAGGCGCCCGCCACCACGCCCGGCTGATTTTTTATATTTTTAGTAAAGACGGGGTTTCACCGTGTTAGCCAGGATGGTCTCAATCTCCTGACCTCGTGATCTGCACACCTCGACCTCCCAAAGTGCTGGGATTACAGGTGTGAGCCACCACACCCAGCCCTTTTTTTTTTTTTTTGAGACGGAGTTTCCCTCTTGTTACCCAGGCTGGAGTGCAATGGCGGGATCTCGGCTCACTGCAACCTTCGCCTCCCAGGTTCAAGCGATTCTCCTGCCTCAGCCTCCCAAGTAGCTGGGATTACAGGCGCCCACCACCACGCCTGGCTAATTTTTGTATTTTTAGTAGAGACAGGGTTTCACTATGTTGGCCAGGCTGGTCTCAAACTCCTGACCTCAGGTGGTCCACCCGGCTCGGCCTCCCAGAGTGCTGGGATTACAGGCGTGAGCCACCACGCCCAGCCTATCCAGTGTAATGTATTTTGTTTGACTCAGACTCAGTCTTTTATTGAAATCAGTTTTTAGCAAGCACCTACTATTCTTGAATATTGGGCTGGTAAAAGGATAAGAAGGAAAAGAAGGGTAAGATTCAGGCCTCAAACTATCAGTATAGTTAGGGGAAATAAAATACCTTATATGGGGAAATAGGAAAATATCAGTGAGTGTTATAAATTGTACCATAGCAATTTAGAACAAAAGAGTGAAAGGAATGCCAAGTTAAAGGAGGGAACAGAGCCAGATGCAGTGGCTCATGCCTGTAATCCCAGCACTTTGGGAAGCCGAGGCAGGTGGATCGCTTGAGGCCAGGAGTTTGAGACCAGCCTAGCCAACATGGCAAAACCCCGTCTCTACTAAAAATATAAAAAATTAGCCAGGAGTAGTGGCATGTGCCTGTAATCCCAGCTACTCAGGAGGCTGAGGTGGGAGAATCACTTGAGCCTGGGAGGCTGAGGTTTCAGTGAACCAAGTTTGCACCACTGCACTCCAGCCTGGGTGACAGAGCAAGACTCCATCTCAAAAAAAGAAAAAAAAAATGACGGAACAGAGCAAGGCTGGTTCATCAGGGGAAACCTACAAGCTGAATCTCAAGGCATTCTTTCTACCCTTCTTTAGTGTGAATGGACATGGATTGATTGAGAGAGGAGAGGAGTATAATAAGGAGAAAAAAAGAATCAAAGCCAGAAACTAGTAAGCTATTTATGTGGTACAGCAATATAATTAGTTTAACTATAATAGAATTCCCTGATAAGAATCCTAGGTTCTTGTCACTTCCTTTTAGAATTTCTGGGAGAGGGATCGCATATAGTTTCATTATCTCAAGGTGAAAAATACAGTGATTTCTGAAACCTGAATGATAGAACTGAGGGATTCCCTCTTCCTTAGAGTCATACTTTCTCCTTTTAGTTTAAACTGATAGGGACATAGTTTCATTGTGATTCAGCATTATCGGAATGGTCCTGAGGATGCTTTTGCCCCCTCAGATTCTGAATTGGTAGGCTCTGTCCTATTCTACTTGGTTTGTTTAAAATTTAGATAGTGTTTAAAATTTAGATCTATAGATCCATCCATCTACCTATCTATCTCTATCTATCTATGTATCTGTGTATCTTTGTGAAGTGCTAGTCATTTGGGTTATGTATTTGGTGAGTATTCAATATACTTTTACTGTAGATTATTAAATAATGAATTCTGAGGACTATAGGGAGAAAGCCAGAACATAGTGTAATAATCTGTGTCTTTCATTAGAGATCAGAAAATGTAATATTTCTTCTGCATTCATTCAAAAAAATTATTGAGTACCTATTATGTACAGGTTGTGGTAGCTACTAGGGATATAGCATGAATGAGCAGAGCTTGTAGTCTGAAGACAGACATTAAGCATCTCATTATACAAATAATTATTTAATTCATGTGTGATAAGTGTTGCTGATTAAAAAACCCAGATGCTACCAATGCATATGACAAGAGTGCTGATCTTGAGTATGACTGGGGGGTAGGTAGAATGGTCAGTGATTAAAGCAGACACCTACAATTTGAGAGAACACAGGCAGGGGAGGGAAGGTATACATGTAAAGAAATAGCAGGCATGAAGACTGAGATGGGAAGGAGTTTGTGGTGTATCTGAGGTCTAGAACACAGCACAGTGAGCAAGAAGGAAACCCGTGGTCTGAGCCTAAGGAAGTACACAGGTGCCAGGTCATGTGGGCCTTGTAGGGTATGTTAAGGATTTTAGACTTTGATTTTAAAGCAGTATGACGTTAGTGAAAGGTTTAATTCTGTGGAATGACATAATCAGATTTGTACTTTAAAAGGCTATGCTGGCTATGTGACAGAAAATGGAGAGGGTAGGGGCTGGGGAGGGTAGGGGAAGAAGATATGTGGGGAGATGAATTAGGAGACTGTTGCAGTGGTGTGAGAGACAGTGGTGTCTAGGCTATGTGGGGGCCATCATGATGTGGAGAAATGGGTGGATTTCAGAGATACTTAGGAGGCAGAAATTACAGGCTTGGAGGTTAATTGAATGTGGGGAGTAAGGAAAAGGTAGTGATGATTTCCAGGGTTTTAATAAGAGCAGCTTAATGAATAGGGTTGTCATTTACTGAGCTGGAGGGAGGAGTCTGTTTAGTGGGCGAAGATCATTAACTCAGTTTTGAACGTGTTGATTTTGAGGTGTTTATGAGCTTTCTAAGTGGATATATTGATTGCCTATGTGGTTGAATATACACATCTAGAGGACTGGACTAGAGATAACACCTTTGGGAGTGTCGGCATAAAAATGGCATTTGAAATTATGACATGGGTGAACATACCTGAAGAATGAGTAGGAACACTAAGAGTTTAAGATTAAATAGAGGGTAAACTCTCAAAGGTGACTGAGAAGGAAGAATTGGAGAGATAAAGAAGAATGAGGAGAGCATGATGCCCTGTAAATCAAGGAAAAGGGAAGGGGTGGTTATTTGTGTCAAATCCTGCTGAGAGAATTGGAGATATATCTGTCAACACTGGCAGTATTGGTGACACTAACAAGAGTGAATTTGATGGAGTCCTTGGGTACGAAAGTGAGATCAGAGTGGGTTGAACAGGGATTGGAAGATGAGGACATGGGAAGAGTGAACCTAGACAACTGCTGAAGAGTTTGGCCTTGATGGGGAGATAAGAAAGAGAAGTCACTAAAGAGCAATGTGGGACTCAGAGACTTTCTTTCATTTCTCTTTCTCTATTTTTTTTTTTTTTTTTTTTTTTAGACAGAGGCTCGCTCTGTCAACCAAGCTGGAGTGCATGGCACAATCTCGGCTCACTGCAACCTCCACCATCCCAGGTTCAAGCGATTCTCCAGCCTCAGCCTCCTGAGTAGCTGGGACTATGGGTGTGCACCACCACACCCAGCTAATTTTATACTTTTAGTAGAGATGGGGTTTCACCAGGTTGGCTGGACTGGTCTCGAACTCCTGACCTTAGGTGATCTGCCTGCCTCGGCCTCCCAAAGTATTGGGATACAGGCGTGAGCCACGGTGCCAGGCTGACTTTCTATCATTTCTTTCCATTCCCCTGTCCCTCCATTCCTCTGTCCTGCCTTCCCTTCTTCCTTGTCCAAGATGGGAGAGAGCTGGACATGTTTAAATGTTGATAGTAAGGGTCCTTTAGAGAAAGTGAAGATTCTGTAGGAGGGAGTGGGAAGCAGACAAGGTCAGTTTCCAGAAAAGGCAGGATAGATGGGATCTAGGGCATCCTCAGAGAGATGGGCCTTGAAAAGGACAGGTGCCTTCCCCACCTTAATGGGAGGGTAGAAGGAGAGGTTGCATGTAGGGGTAGGCAGGTTAGAGTTTCAGCTCGAAGGCTTCTGTTATCCAGGAGGCTAGATCTTCTTTTGAGAGTAAAGAGTGGGAGAGAGATCAGAGTTTCTGGGAGAGTGGAGAGGATTTGAAATAGCGGTTGTAAAAAGGAGAGAATGAGCAGACAGAAAAGTGAGGAGTACGGTTTGGGATTATGGATTTACTTTGGAATTAATCTGTGTTGTTAATTTTTTGCCAGCAGCTCCTGACTTCCTGGGTGCAGGCATGATCAAAGGAAATGGCTGGCTTCAAGATGGTTAGGGTTCTGCTAAGTAGTTAGGATAGATTTGAGTATTAAGAGTTCTAAGTATAAGCAAGGACCATTGATTTTTTGGTCACTTGGCGAGGTGTTGGGAATACAAAGATGTGACAGTTTCCATTTTAAAGGGACATCTGTCCAGAAGAGAAACCTAAACATATATAGGTGGATATCATGCTTTAAGAAACCATGCATCAGGGTAATGACGCATGGGTCCCACATTGCTCTTTAGTGACCTCTCTTTCTTATCTCCCCATCAAGGCCAAACTCTTCAGCAGTTGTCTAGGTTCACTCTTCCCATGTCCTCATCTTCCATTCCCTGTTCAACCCACTCTGATCTCACTTTCACACTCAAGGACTCCATCAAATTCATTCTTGTTAGTGTCACCAATACTGCCAGTGTTGACAGATGTACCTCCAGTTCTCTCAGCAGGATTTGACACAAATAACCACCCCTTCCCTTTTCCTTGATTTACAGGACATCATGCTCTCCTTATTTTTCTTTATCTCTCCAATTCTTCCTTCTCAGTCACCTCTGATAGTTTACCCTCTACCCAGCTAACACTACCTATTTCATAGAGTTGTTATGAGGATTAAATAAGGAAGTTGGAACATTTGGAACTGGTAAGTAGTAAGTACCTCATCATCGTTTGGATTATTAATCATTTCCTTTCTGTCCTCACTGTTGCCATCATCCTTTCATTATACCTGATCTATGGAAGTAGTGTAATGAGTCTCCCTGCCTCCTCACCCTACATATCACGGCCTAAAGATGTATTCCTCAAACTGCTTTTCATGACACCCTCCTCATAAATCTTAAAGAATTTCTCACTGGCTAACTCTCATGACCCTCACGGCCTCTCATAACCTTGTTCTAACTTAGCCCTTTAATAGCCCTACTTTCATAGACTACTGAATACTCTCCGAATACCACATAATCATTATCACTTTCACCCCATGATCATTTAATTCTTCTATTTTCGAATCCTCTTCTCTTCCTCAATATAGGGCTTAGTTCATATCCTGCTTCCTTCATGAACTCTTTCCTAATTTCTCAAAACTACATTGATATCTTCCTGAACCGAACTGTTCCACACATTGAACACTCATACAGGCTCTACTGTATTGATTTTTAAAATAGCCAGTCACCCACTTATGAAGATTCAACTTAACCAACTAATGACACTTATCCAACTAAACCTACTTAGAGCACTTCAGGTTGGCAGCATGGTAGCTAGGTGAAATAGCATATATCAGTCACTGTGTGCCAGACAGTGTGCTGAGTGATTAATGTATGCTATTTCATTTAATACAGTAACTGTAGGACCCCTGATTTTGAAACTGAACCTTAGCGAGGTTGGGTCAGCTGCCCAAGGTCACTAGCTAGTGACCCAGGCTTGTATTAATACAATATTATTACTTCTACTTAAGAAGTGATAATAGGCCAGGCATGGTGGCTCATGCCTGTAATCCCAGCACTTTGGGAGGCCGAGGCAGGTGGATCGTCTGAGGTCAGGAGTTCGAGACCAGTCAGGCCAACATGGTGAAACCCCGTCTGTACTAAAAATAAAAATTAGCCAAGCATGGTGGCATGTGCCTGTAGTCCCAGCTGCTCGGGCGGCTAAGGCAGGAGGATCGCTTGAACCCAGGAGGCAGATGTTGCAGTGAGCTGAGATTGCGTCACTGCACTCCAGCCTGGGCGATAGAGTGAGACTCCATCTCAAAAAAAAAAAAAAAAAAGTGATAATAGAAAATTTTCTTCTATGGCTGGTATTGCTCAGAAGGTAATTCTAAAAAAGAGTTTTAAAATGTTCTGTTCATGGCCAGGTGCAGTGGCTCATGCCTATAATCCCAGCACTTTGGGAGGCCGAGGTGGATGGATCATTTGAGTTCAGGAGTTCAAGATCAGCCTGGCCAACATAGTGAAACCCCGTCTCTACTACAAACACAAAAATTAGCTGGGTGTGGTGGCATGTGCCTGTAGTCCCAGCTACCTGGGAGGCTGTGGCATGAGAATCGCTTGGATTTTATATTTTAAAGCAGAAATTCTTCCTTTTCTCCCTCTTTTCTCCTTTTTTCCATTTCTTCTCCCACATGACTGACCATTTGTTTCCCAGGAGTTACCACTCTTTTATTATTCATCACACTGTATAACTCCTTGTCTGTGTAACTGCGAGAGGTTCTCAAAGCCCCAGAATTGATGGCATTCTTTTATACTTTTTATATCCTCAGAACTTCAGGATTTTTATAGTGCCTAGTAAATAGTAGGAGTTAAATAACTTTGAAAGAATTAAGGGTCAGCAGGACTTAGTTCCTTGCTTGGGGCACGAAGGAAAGGAAATAGATAAGGATCAAATGATTTGGGAACTTGGATTTATTATTTGCATAGCATGAGTTTCTTTCATTATTAAAATGATCTACAAAAGCATATTTTTCCATCTGGGTACAAACTATTTAGATAACAAAGATTTTCTTCCTTTGCAAGTGAACCTAGTACCAATAAATGTTAGCTGCTAATTACTTTATTATCATTGTTTTTATTAATGTTAACATCTGATCATATCAAACAAAATGTTAAAAAGCTTATAATAAATGTTATTTTTGTAAGGTTTTTGCCTCAAGTTGTTTGCAAAGTCTGAAAATACTCAGATTGTATTTTTCTGTCTTCTTTTTGTTACAGAATACTTCAGAGAGTCAGAGTTGTGCCAGAAGTCTCTTAATGGCAGATAGAATGCAAATAGTTGTGATTCTCTCAGAATTTTTTAATACCACATGGCAGGAGGCAAATTGTGCAAGTAAGTAATTCTTTCATTTTCATGTTGCAGTTATGGTTCAGTAGTACAGATGTCAGATTTTATTTTAGTGAATTTTGGGATCTTTGAAGCTGGATAATACTTTTTATTGCTAAGTTTAAATAAACTGTCATGGACACCATGGTTTATTAATGGCAACTGAGCAAATAGCGAAAGGCAGAAAAGTGTAGCAGTTACTATGAGCTTTGGATTTAGATAGACTTGGGTTTGATTCTAAGCTCTGCCACTTACTAGCCCTAACCTACTAGCTGTCAGATATGGGAGAAAAACTTTGCCTCTTGGAAGTTCAGTTTCTTCATCTGTAAATTGGTGGTAATGATAGAACCTATCTTATATAGTCGCCTTGAGAATGAAATGAAATAAATTGTGTAAAGCACTTAGCTCAATGCCTGACACGTATTTAGTGTTCAAGAAATGTTAACTGTTTAGTATAATAATAATTATGATGTTTACAGTAATCTGTCAAGTGGTGTGTGGCAGGCGGCGGGGTGGGATGATGACATCTGTTCTACCTTCTTTGCAGGTTTGTGTGTAATTGTGTAATAAAATAAGATCTATTTTTAGATATTCTTTGGAAAAATTAAAATCACTTCCAATTCAGATGATGTTTTGAATACCAACTATGTGCTAGGCAGTTCTTATTTTTCAAGTCTTATAATTTAATGAGTGAGAAAGATATATTTACAAATACAGCCTAGGACAGACACATAAATGCTTTAATAAAGTTATAGAGTCCTTGGAGGAAGAAGAAAATAAATCTTACTGGGGAGAATTTGAAATGACTTCCTGGAGGAGCTACCTTTTGAACCTAGGCCTGTACTATTGGACATGATTTCAATAAGTAGAGATGACGCCAGTGAGGCGGCTCACGCCTGTAATCCCAGCACTTTGGGAAGCCAAGGCAGAATTGCTTGAGCCCAGGAGTTTGAGACCAGCCTGGGGAACATAGTGAGACCCCCATCTCTACAAAAATATATATTTTTTAAATTAGATGGACATGGTGGTGTGTGACTGTAGTCCTAGCCACTTGGGAGGCTAAGGCAGGAGGATCCCTTCAGCCCAGGAATTCAAGGATGCAGTGAGATATGATTGTGCCACTGCATTCCAGCCTGGGCAACAGAGCAAGACCCTGTCTTAAAAAAAAAAAAAAGTAGAAATGAGAGAAGGACATTGCAGGTAGTCACAGAGGTATAAAAGGGCAACAGATGTTCCAGGAAGCATAGTGGGAGGTAAAGTTAGCAAGGGAAAGTAGGACCTTGACTGACAGAGTAGTATACTATTTGGGCCAACATTTTTTATACTGCTTAGAATATCAGCATATTATTAAGAAGGGGTTATAGACCAGGCATGGTGGCTCACACCTGTAATCCCAGCACTTTGGGAGGCCAAGGTGGGAGAATTGTTTGAGCCTAGGAGTTCAAGACCAGCTTAGGCAACATGGCAAAACTTTGTCTCAACAAAAAATAAAAAATTAACTGGACTTGGTGGCATGTGCCTGTAGTCCCAGCAACTTGGGAGGCTGAGATGGGAGGTCAAGGCTGCAATGAATCATGGTTGTGCCACTGCTCCCCGCTCTGGGCAACAGAACGAGACCCTATCTACAACAACAATAACAAAAAAAAAAAAAAAAAGAAAAGAAAAGCTTATATAGTATTCTCCTATTATGATTATATAGTATTCTATTAGCCATGGTTTCACTTGCTGTAGTTTCAGTTACTGCAGTCAACTGCAGTCCAAAAATATTAAATGGAAAATTTCAGAAGTAAACCATTTATAATCTTAAATTGTGTATGATTCTGAGTAGCATAATGAAATCCCATGCCATCCTGCTTCATCTACTTGGGCTGCGAATCATCCATTTGTGCAGCATATCTATACTGTAGATGCTGCCCCTCCTGTGAGGCACTCAGGAGCATCTTGGTTATAAGGTCAACTGTCATGGTATGGCACTACTTGTGTTCAGGTAACCCTTAGTTTACTTACTAATTCTTTAATAATAGTAACATAATTATTAGTTTTTGTTTTTAATCTCTTACTGTGCCTAATTTATAAATTAAACTTTATCATGGGTATGATATAGAAAACAGAAAAAACCATAGTATATAGAAGGTTTGGTACTATACTAGAAAAAAAAACATAGAAATAGAAAAAAACGTAGTATATAGAAGGTTTGGTACTATACTTGGTTTCAAGCATCCATTGGGAGTCTTGGAATATATCCCTTGAAGATAAGAGTTGACTACTGTATGTTGTAGTATCTTTGGGATTTACAATGCACCTGGAATATTAAATGCATTGAGATTTTTTTAAAAGGGTTTTTTTTTGGCTCAGTGGGGAGGCTCACACCTGTAATCCCAGCACTTCAGGAGGACAAGATGGTAGTATTGCTTGAGCCCAGGAGTTCAAGACCAGCCTGGGCAACATTTTTTGTAGAGACAGAGTCTCTACAAAGAAAAGAAAAGAAAAGAAAAAAATTAGCTGGGCATGGTGGCAAATGCCTATAGTCCCAGCTGCCTGGGAGGCTGAGGTAAGAGGAGTGCTTGAGCCCAGGAGTTGGAGGCCACATTGAGCTATGACTGTGCCACTGCACTCCAGCCTAGGCAACAGAGCAAGACCCTGTCTTAAAGAAAAAGGTTTTTTAAACATCATTTAACCTAGCACTTTCTAAGCCTTTAAAAAAAAAAAAAAACTACAAAGATCCTTTTTTCATGGAACCTCATTGGAAGAGAGAGAGACCAGTAAGAAGTTTACTGCTATAGTTTAGGCAAGAAGGAAAGAAAATGTGAAGTAGGGAGGGGCCTTGGAAATAGAAGGATAGATTAAAAATTTGTGTACCTATAAGTCATTAAGTAGCTTAGCTTTTATCAAGACTTGTCTTTTTGTTTAGTTCATATGAAGAAAAACTAAAATGGGATAAGAAGCCCCAGCCAGTTTTTTTCCCTTGTCAGTATACTATGGTATATTGAATACTGACTTTTAAAATTTTGTTTCCGAAGCTTGACTAACACAACTTTTTTTTTTAGCATATCCTTTACTTTTCAGAGTAAAATTTTCTAGTATAAATATGATTGAAGAGCATTTGCTTAACATATGTAGACCTGTTTTTAAGTATTCTTAAGCTTTTTAGAAAAATCCATTAACATAGAAAAATATGTTAATTATAAATAATTTAAAATCAGTTAATTGGAATAAGTGGATATATACTGGGATTCACTTCTTTATTTTTTAATTTTATTTTAAGACTAGTCAAGTGCAGCAGTGAGAAGAGGGGAAAGAGTAGAACAAGGAGTTCGATCTGTAACCAACTGTGAACAATTAATTGAGATAACTCACTACCTTCAGATGAGCCAGGGGTTCACTTCTTTTGACAGATGTGACTAAATTTATATACTTAGAAGAGGCAGGGCATTTTTTTTCTTTAAAAAGTGTTTTTGTTTGTTTGATTTTTGAGACAGAGTCTTGCTCTGTTGCCCAGGCTGGAATACAGTGGCACAATCTCAGCTCACTGTAGCCTCCACCTCTTGAGGGCTCAAGTGATCCTCCAGCCTCAGCCTCCCAAGCAGCTGGGGCTACAGGCAGCACGAGGATGCCTGGCCAATTTTTGTGTTTTTAATAGAGATGCTGTTTTGTCATGTTGCCCAGGCTGGTCTCGGATTCCTAGACTCAAGCAATCCTCCTTCCTTGGCCTCCCAAAGTGCTGAGATTGAAAGTGTGAGCCACTGTGCCTGGCTTAAAAGGTGTTTTGTAAAAAAGATTTCACTAATTCGAAGTACAGACCTTTTTTCCCCAGTTAGTTGAAAAGAAAACGTTTTACCGCATACTCAGTATGGCAGGTATAAAATGCTTTAGAATAAATTCTTAGGGTATTTTGTTCTTCTGTGAGGCATCCTATCTTGAAAATATTCCTTACATTGAACTTCTGAGGACCAAATAAAATGCTAAGCAATTAGATATGACTTACTTAAAAGACTCTTCCCAATTAAAATTAATTTGGCCCAGACATATGGTCTCAGGTAAAAGAAGCGAGGTACAGAGAAGTATGATATTTTGTGTTCTAAAAATACATATGTATTTTGAGGGAGGGCAGTTGGATAGCTGTGTGGGCAGGAAAGAAAGGAAGATTTAGTTTTCACCGTATTTGCATTTGTACCCTTTGGATTTTATGCCATATACATTTAATATGTATTCAAAAATATATAGAAATTTAAAAAATTTAACAGAATGTTCAAATCTGTGATGAGTATTTGTATGTTAGATGTGGTTAGAGAGATTAGCTATTTCATTTTCCAGAATTACGCATTAAAAATTATCATCATTCATCATCCCATTTATGTGGCAGAAAAGTGGAAGAGTAAATCCCATTTGTGAAGAAGGAACCCTCATGACCTAGTCACTTCCTAAAGGCCTCACTTCTTGATATTATTGTATTGGCCATCAAGTTTCAACATATCAATTTTGGGAGACACATTCAGACCATAACAGGGGCTATTAGAATTTTTGTAAAATAATATTATTAAATAACAGAAAAAAATGTAAAAACATGAAAGGTAAAATATTACTAGAAAGAATATTATTAAAATGAGTATACTGCCCAAAACTATCTTTCTGTTCTGCTTAATTTAGCTTGAAATAGGGGTGGCATCTAGTCTCTGCAGTTATTATTCATGAAAGGAAGGCTAGGAATCCAAGAGAGGAGAGAATGCCATCCATGTACTACTCCCATCCCTTTTCTTCTCAGAATTCCTGTGTCTTCAAATGGTATTAGTCTTGGTAGGAATCTGGTTATTGGAAATTGATGGAAGGTCAAAAGAAGTGTTAAGAGTGCAACTTTTTCTACTCATACTACAAATAACATGGAAACTAGCTGTTTCTGATGGAGAATGACTGCCAAAAAGTAAAGAGAGTATATTAAAGGTTTCTCAGAATTTTAAAGGTGTGTATTGTTGACATAGGGATAGCCTTGTTATTGAGACCCTTCTTGCTTATCTTGTGCATACAGCAGTTAAATAATCAGCAGAATGACCAGATTTGATGAGTTCATGACTGCTTTAGTGTTTTGGTTCTTTGGTAAGCAGTATCCAGTATGAAGCATTATTATAATGAGATAGGCCTCAAAATTATCAGTTCAGATATTTGTTCTTACACACTGAAAACTCTTTCTTTATGAGCAACCTATATCTTCAGTGATACAGGTGATCTGGGTGATAATTAATGAGCATAATGATGCTGTTGAACCACTGTGTAATCCCGATGTATATTCTGATTCATCAGAGGAAAACTAACTTTCAGTTAACACATACAATGTATGTCTTGATGCTTTAAAAAGCAACAACAATAGTACTTAATGATTAACCAGAAGGTCAATTAACCAAAACATTTTTTTTTTTTTAAGACGGAGTCTTGCTCTGTCACCCAGGCCGGAGTGCAGTGGTGCGATCTCAGTTCACTGCAAGCTCCGCCTCCCAGGTTCACGCCATTCTCCTGCCTCAGCCTCCTGAGTAGCTGGGACTACAGGTGCCCACCACCACGCCCGGCTAACTTTTTTTGTATTTTTAGTTGAGACGGGGTTTCACCGTGGTCTCGATCTCCTGACCTCGTGATCCACCTGCCTCGGCCTCCCAAAGTGCTGGGATTACAGGCGTGAGCCACTGCGCCCGGCCCAAAACCTTTCTTTCCCATATTTTATCCAGAGGGAAATGTACTAAGCGTTATAATCATATTATTTGTATCTTATAATTTAAAGTATCTTAGTTTTCATATTTGTTAAACTTAATTAGGTCATTTAGGTACAAAGTTGCCGTAGTTTATTTTTATTTTCTGAAGCTTACCCTAAATTGGTGATTATCTCTGCTATTTTCTATAAAACTAGTTTTGAAAAACAGCAAAGATCTTTGTAAAATTCCTAAGAGATGCCAAATGCTTTATTTAAAGATGCATAATTCCTGTTATGATAATTTAGTAGGTTTCTCTGTGAGGTCTTAACTTGAATCCTTAATACCTTTAAGAATGCCTCTTGAGGCCAGGCACATTGGAGGCTGCAATGAGCTGAGATTATGCCAGTGCACTCCAGCCTGGGTGACAGTGAGATTCTTCTGTCTCAGAAAAAAAAAAAAAAAAAAAAAGATTGACTCTTAAGCTGATGCCTGAGCCTTCTCTGAGAAAGCCACTCTGCTAATCTGCCCTTGATGAGGCTCCATTGATTATCTAAGATGAAGGAAATTCATAATGACCACTTCACTTAGTGCTTAAAGGAAGCTTTATTATTATTAATATTCTTTAACTCACCAATTTCTAAAACATACAGCTTCTCACTGTTTATAATCTTAAGCTCCCAATTCCTGCAAAAAGATAAAAAAGGAATTTACTAGAGATCTGTTATTTCGATTCAGAAAGTCATGGCTTTTTAATAATGAAGACTTTTTAACCCCATTATATAAATGAACTGCTTTATGCTTTATGTTACCACCATCTAATGATCATTGAAAAAGTTTTGATGGTAATGCATTAATGTAATTATTAATAAAAGAAATTAAGTTCTTTTGTTCTTCAGAGAAGCTTTCTTTATAAATTGCTTTTGCAAAAGAAATTATTTGTTTTAATTAGGTATCTTGCATAGAAGAAATTTGCTATTGCTCTCTCATGATAATGCACTTTATACTACTTTTGCTGGCAGTATGTGGACCCCTTTTATCCCTATATTGTTATGTCAGTTGTCACGACATAGCTCATTATAACACAGATGTACAACTGTTGTGAATGAAATTGTGTTCCCTTAACTTCCCTGCAACACATCAACTACAAAAACTATATAATTGTTTTTGTAAACATGTACAAAAACTATGTAATTGTTTGTTTTTATTTATATCAACTCTGCCTCATCCCTAAAAGGATTGCGGGCTACTTCATGATGATATTAAACTAGCATTAAGAGGGGCAATGAGACAAGTTCTTACTCTTTCATGCAGGTTGGAATGCAGTGGCGCAATCACAGCTTATTGCAGCCTCGACCTCCCCAAGCTGAAGCAATTCTCCCCTCTCAGCCTCCCAAGCCGCTGGGACCACAGATGCACGCCACCATGCCTGGCTAATTTTGTATTATTTGTAGAGACAGGTTTTCACCATGTTGCCCAGGCTGGTCTCGAACTCCTGGACTCAGGCAATCCACCTGCCTCCCAAAATGCTGGGATTACAGGTGTGAACCACCATGCTGGCCTATTTTTATATCAATGGCTTATTAACTTGTGGTATGATCATCAGCATATCACCTATTTCTGTGGCTTAGTTTCCTAATTTGTAGTGATCCCTCAGATTTTTTAAATAAGGGTGAGAAGTTAGAATGAGATTCATGTTCTGGAGAAGATAAAGCTTCAGAGAATGTAGAGTATGTGAGTTCAGAGAGGGGACAACTCCTGAAATAGGTTTACCAAGAGGATCCTGTGTACAATGGGTGCAGAAGGAGCCCTGCACAAGGGGGCTGTACAAGGAGGTGAATGGGGCTGAATTCCAGCTTAGCTTCTGGAGGCAGGAATGACCTTTTGTAATTTATCTACCCAGAGGGAATATCTTTTTCTGATTTGCACAAAGGAGCTTTACTGTGCTGTCTGCCCCTGTCTACCAGGTTTAGGTTTCATCTCAGTTGCTAACTCTGATCAGTTGGTGGGGACTGCCTGAATCCCTGTATGGTGTAAGATATCTATGGGTAGTGGAGGGAGTAGGCAGTGGCATGTATTTGTAGATTCCGAGTCTTGAACTTTTAATGGTTTAGAATGTAGATATAAATATGTTTATTTTGCAGTGTTTGAGAGTGCAGGCTCAAGAATCAGACTGAGTACAGAGTCTAGCTTTTTACTTACCAGTTTTATGTCCTTGGGCAACTTCCTTAATTTATCTAAACCTATCTCTGTTCCTTATTTATAAAATGGAGATAATGATAATTTTTCCCTCATGGAATCACTGCAAGAATTAAATGGGCAAATGTGTTTAAAGTGCAG
This sequence comes from Homo sapiens, assembly GCF_000001405.40. Lineage (NCBI taxonomy): Eukaryota > Metazoa > Chordata > Mammalia > Primates > Hominidae > Homo > Homo sapiens. Next base: position 108,056,175 of record NC_000006.12, on the reverse strand, counting down.
TGTAAGCATAGTTCTTAGAACATAGCAAGTATTTAGTAAGTGTTAACTTTCGTTGTAGTAATTGTTGTCTGTCAGAGTACATGGATGTCCCTTAGTGTGTCATATCCTAGTGTCTACCTAGTCCGTCTCTCTTTTCTCCACAAATTCTACTTGCCTTGCTGCCTTTCTCCTGGGTAATTGCAATAGCTTTGCATGTTGTCTTTCCACTTCCAGTTGAGAGAGATCCTATCTGATGGCCCTGAATTTCTAAATAAGGTGGGCATAATACAAAGCCATCTGTTGAAATTAAGGGGAACAAGAGTAGGGCTGGGACTAGAGATGAGAAAATATGTGGAACATCCCTTGCAGAGCAATTAGGAGGGCATCTACAAGGATCATTTTGTTGCCCCGAGATCAGAACACATGAATTTGAATTGAGTCCCTTCATTATCATTTTAGAATTTCTGTAGTAGTATTCTGTAACCAGACTGAGAGTACAGAAAGTAGATGGGGACTGTCCAGGGATGAAAATGGCTGTGAATATGTGGAAGATAAAGAGGGCAAGGATTCTAGGAGAGTCAGATGGAAACGACTGACCACAAGTTCCAAGATCTGGAACCAGGCAGTTGAACCTCGATTGGAGATAGCAGGCTGAGAACACAAGGAGAGGTAAAGACAAAGGTTTACCTGAGGATAAAGACTAGGTTCCCTGGCTGAGCGCAGTGGCTCATGCCTTTAAGTAATCCCAGCACTTTGGAAGGTTGAGGTGGGAACATCACTTGCGCCCAGGAGTTCAAGTCTGCAATGAGCTGGCAAATTGTGCCACTGCACTCCAGCCTGGGCAACCGAGCAAGACCCCGTTTCTTAAAAAAAAAAAGAAGAATAGATTATTCCCTGAAGAAGGGAAAATGGATACATAAATTGTGATATACACATACATAGAAAATAAAAGGGATGAGTGAACTTGAGCTAACTCTAAGCAAGAATAGCCAGTTGCAGAGAAATACCATTTATGTAGGATTTTTAAAAATGTAAAACAATTTTGTTTCTAGACTTTACTTGAAGCCCCCACGTCAGTATTTTAGGCAAAATTCTCACCAGTTTGTTTCTCTGGGCTCCCAACTCGTGATGGATTAGAAAGAGCGAATTTTAAAAGTTACCCCATTAGGTACAATAAATGACTCATTAGTGAAGTTGGAAGATGCAGAGAACTATGAAATTTGACACAAAAAATGATAAGGCATATGAGTTTCGGTAAAATTAATGCAGGGTAAACAGTCTTATGCCTAAATAGCACTGTTAAGGCAGCATTTGATAGCTGATATTCCGTGATTATGACCTTGTGCCATCAAAAGTCCATTTGAATTTTATTTGGTATATTTTTATGAAAAGAGAGTATGTGATTATTTTAACATGTTCATGAAAATGGTTATGACTTTTTTAACTTTTGGAAAATAAAAGGAGTAAGCTTCATATATTTGGAAAATTCATGCTTGTTTGAATAAAGAATTACTGTAGTGTGAAACGAAGCTGATAGCTTAAGATATAAATGACAACATAGAATTGTTCCTTGAGTTATATTAATATACTTTTTGAATTTTTTTGACAGATTGTTTAACAAACAACAGTGAAGAATTATCAAACAGCACAGTATATTTCCTTAATCTATTTAATCACACCCTGACCTGCTTTGAACATAACCTTCAGGTATTTTATATATAATATTTAAAATTAAAATGCTGCCTTGTACAAAGGAATAATGTGCAGTTCCAAGTTTTTAGAGCACTAATTATTGATATTTATCTAAATTCATGATGTAAAGGAGTTAGTGGACCTGGATTTCTGCTCTTAAGTAAGTTCTTCTACTTACAAATCATGAAAACCTCAGTTCTCTCATTGTAAAATGGAGATAATATCTATCCTGCCTATCTTAAAGTATTTTGTAATGAGAATCTGGTGAGATAATGATTGTGAAAACATTGATTGAGGTGTGTGATTGTTTAATTAAAACACAATGGTTTTCAATCTGACTTACGTAGGTATTTTGCAGTGTAGTATGATTCTGTCTATAGGAAGTTTATTCTTTGCCTGAAATTTGCTTAAGTATGTTTTACCTACCTTAAAAAGCACTGTTTAGTAAGATAACTTTGAGTATTGAATTATGATAATAAAAGGTAGCTTTAAGAATCTTAACCTTGTAGATTATTGCCATCTCTATCTCTGACTCTTGAATTTTGGTATTGGAACTTGCCCGGTCGTGGTGAAGGACGAGGTTGGAACTCTGGTTAAAATGTAGTTTTGAAACTTACATAACAAGTAAGTAATCCCCATAGTAGATGTACACATGCTTAGGGTATAAGCATGTATGATTTCTTCTGTAATAAATGTGGTAACACTGAATTATGAATTTCCTTGAGAATAATAAAAATTGGGCCAGGTGCAGTATCTCATGCCTATAATCCCAGCACCTTGGGAGGCCAAGGCAGGCAGGTCACTTGAGGTCAGGAGTTCGAGATCAACCTGGCCAATATGGTGAAACCCTGTCTCTACTAAAAATACAAAACTTAGCCAGGCTTGGTGGTGCACGCCTGTAGTGAAGTAGAGGTTGCAGTGAGTTGAGATCGTGCCATTGCACTCCAGCCTGGGCGTTGCAGAGAGACTCTGTCTCAAAAAAATAAAATAAAAAAAATTAGGTGAACATTTCTCAGAATTTGTTCTGCAGCATGTTAATAGATGTCCTATCAGAAAGGGTTTAGTATTCCATTAAGGTTGGGAAATGCTTTACTACAGGACTTCAGAGCCTTTAGTGGACTGATGTGTGTTGTAACACTCAAATAGCAATTTTTCTATAAAGTCATCCCTTTTATATATGGCTTCACTTTCCACAGTTTCAGTTACCTGTGGCCAACTGCAGTCCAAAAATATTAAATGGAAAATTCTGGAAATAATAAGTTTTAAATTGTACACCATAAACAGTCTTCTTTTCATTTAACTTAGAGTACTTGTATGAGTTTGGTAGATTTCTAGAAGTAGAATTACTATATTGGCAGCCTAAGAAAAAGACACTAGAGAAAATTATCTCCAAATATGATGAGTTTATTAGGGAATAAGAAAGAAGTATGGTAATTTGGAATGCACTGGCAAACCACCAGTACATCCAGTGAGGGAAGGGTAAAGGGAAGCTTTTATTAGCAAAAAGGGAGAGGTTCACACAAGCTGCTTGGAAACTGAGTTCATTGGTTCCTGAGGCTCAAAGCCAAGTTGTCAGTTCATTGGTGGCGATGCCATTACTGGGCAAGTGTTCTTTTGAGTGCATCTTATCTGAATTACTGCAGTCCTAAAGAATGGCAGTGATAAACCATGTGAAAGCAGGAGTTGCAATGAAGGGCGTGAAAGGATTTCTTGTGGGGTTTTTAGAAAGTCTTTGGAAACAAGGACTCTTTTTGTCTCTATTTTGTCTTGGTCTGTCAAAAGGTGATTTCATCCTAATGTCTGCAACTTTCACATTATTAAAAGATATGTGCATTTTAAATTTGAATAAAAATTGTGGCCAGGTATGGTGGCACCTGCCTGTAATCCCAGCACTTTGGAAGGTTGAGGTGGGAGGATCATTTGAGCCCAGGAGTTAGAAATTAGCCTGGGCAAAATAGCAAGACCGTGTCTCAAAAAAAAAAAAAAAAAAAAAGGTTAAATTACTCCCCATCTAGATTATGTGCACAATTTTAGTTAAATGGATTATGTGCTCAATTTTTTTTTTTTTTTTTGAGACGGAGTCTCGCTCTGTCACCCGGGCTAGAGTGCAGTGGCGCGATCTCGGCTCACTGCAAGCTCCGCCTCCCGGGTTCACGCCATTCTCCTGCCTCAGCCTCCCAAGTAGCTGGGACTACAGGTGCCCGCCACCACGCCCGGCTAAGTTTTGTATTTTTAGTAGAGATGGGGTTTCACCGTGTTAGCCAGGATGGTCTCGATCTCCTGACCTTGTGATCCGCCCACCTCGGCCTCCCAAAGTGCTGGGTTTACAGGTGTGAACCATCGCGCCCAGCCCTGTGCTCAATTTTTAACTAAGTGCACAATTGTTCTGTGAAAAACAAGCAATGGGCTATTTCTTGTAGCAGACTAAGGAGAGACTTAGTTTTTCTGTCAAGCAGATGGTGAGGGTAACATTGTTGGGCCAACATCAGTGTAATTACTTTGATTTTTCTCTTTTCTCTTTCATCCCAATGTTCAGTTAATATTCTTTCTTCATACTACAAAGTAAAGAATAAAGGGCATAGAAAGCAAAGGTGTGAACTGACTGTTTAGCAAACTTATTCTTGAAAAGACAAGTGTCAGTCTAGAAGTACAAAATATTGAGATTTAGTAGCATAATATTTTATGTACCTCCACTATCCTCATTTTAGGTTATACAATTCTTTGGTATTTGGCCCTTTTTGTTGACTAGAAAGGCCTGGATTATGAGCCTTGTGATAAGAGAGTTGAGTGGGGATGCAGTTTTGGTGCCTTTTCCCTTTCCATTTAAAAAGTTCTGTCTCAGTAAGATAAACTATGGTGTTCAAGTCAGCATAGGCAGGAACCTATTTTATTTATTCAGTGAGAGTAGGATAGATAAGTGAGGGTTTGTGATGATGAGATAATTTAGGAAATTTTGTATTTAGTTACTAGTCATTTGGCATATGAATTATTGTTATCCTCAGTTAACATTAGCTAATGCAGCAGTTTTGAAAATTTAGAGGCACCTAGAAAGTTCCAAACAGTTTGCCATCTGCTTCACATACCGGGTCTCTAATCCTTCGGACTTATAATACAGGTAGAGGTCGTTTTATTTTATAGATGATAAAACTGAGACTCAGAGTGATTTAGTAACCTACTCAACATCACAGCTTAGCACTTTAACACACCATATTGTTTCCCGTCTTCTAGAAGCGTAAATAGCTTACATTAAAGAGATATTGTATATAATGTTTATTGTATATATTACATGTGCCTTTGTCATTTTAGGGGAATGCACATAGTCTTTTACAGACAAAAAATTATTCAGAAGTATGCAAAAACTGCCGTGAAGCATACAAAACTCTGAGTAGTCTGTACAGTGAAATGCAAAAAATGAATGAACTTGAGAATAAGGCTGAACCTGGAACACATTTATGCATTGATGTGGAAGATGCAGTAAGTACTTTGCTTCTGATGTGATACATATTTTAGAGTGTTATTGAATGTACCTTCAGTATGATTATTATTTTTGGTGATAGGGTGGAATCTGCATATTCTGTCCTCAACCAAAAATAACTAGTTATAAAGTAGTAAAGTTTTAGAATATCCTGGTCTGTTAAACCAAAATGGATATTTCCTTAGTAGTCTCATGGTTAGGATAAAAATAAAACAGAAATTAATTAGGTACTTCATAAGTGAGTTGATGCTTTGGTACATTTTAATCTTTTTAAATTTGAAAATATGTGCCATTTGCAGAGGTGTAGGTATTGTTATATGTTTATATTTCAGTTTCTTGTGCACTTGTTGCTAATTTAAGAAGTTTCTGAGCTGGGCACGGTGACTACACCTGTAATCCCAGTACTTTGGGAGGCTGAGGCGGGCAGATCACGAAGTCAGGAGTTCAAGACCAGCCTGACCAACATGGTGAAACCCCGTCTCTACTAAAAATAGAAAAATTAGCCGGGTGTAGTGGCACACGCCTGTTATCCCAGCTATTCAGGAGGCTGAGGCAGGAGAATCGCTTGAAACCGGGAGGGAGAGGTTGCAGTGAGCTGAGATCGTGCCAGTGCACTCCAGCCTGGGCGACAGAGCGAGACTCCGTCTCAAAAAAAAAAAAAAAAAAAAAAAGACGTTTCTGGATTTCACTACATGTTTCAGAAGCCATTCCTCAATCACTTCCTATTCCATTGTTTTATTTTCTTATATCTATTACCATCTGAAAATATTTATTTATTTATTTTTAGTCTGTCTTCCTCACTAAAATATAAGCCACATGAGGACAAGGACTTAGGCTTTTTTTGTTCACTATTCAGTATTTAGGACAGTATTTAGGACAGTCTAGCATATAATGGGCTTAATAAACATGTATTAATTGAATGGTCAAAAAAAATTTTTTTTTCTCCATTTTATAGCCTGCCTTTACATAGGGTGCCACTAGATGGCAATCATGCCTTTTTAGGCACTATGATGCTGGAGTTTTGGGGCATTAGAGGAAACTGAGAAATTATTGGCTCAAAGTAGAGAACTTGAGGTCAGAATTAATGAGCTTAAGAATTGAGAATGTGTGAATTATCACAGCAGCTCAGAGGGAACTATAAGAACCAATAATATTCGAGATGGTAAAAAGTACTTAAAATGAAATGTACAGTGTGGCTTTTTGTTTGTTTTTACTGCTCCATTCCTATTGCCTAAAACAGTACCTGGTTTCTAGTAGGCTCTCAATAAATAATAAATATTTTGTAAATGAATAAAACAGGGCCTAACTATATTCCTCTTCATATAAGTTCTTTGTTTGAATGTACAAATGGTTGACATTCTAGAATACTTTGGTCAGTATTATGGACTTAGAATATGAAATTTCTGTATGGATATAAATTTCTACAATGACTGTATTTTGAACCAGGTTTTTTTCCTGGCAGAAGAAGTTGTCCTCAACTATCAGTAGGTTTTTAGAGGTATGTATTGAGTCTAAATTCTAGATTCCTGTTTAGTTATTAGCAAAATAATTATAAGAAATTGAAGACAAGTTAAATATAAAATAGAAAGATATTGTTTGCTCTTGTTCCAGATGAACATCACTCGAAAACTATGGAGTCGAACTTTCAACTGTTCAGTCCCTTGCAGTGACACAGTGCCTGTAATTGCTGTTTCTGTGTTCATTCTCTTTCTACCTGTTGTCTTCTACCTTAGTAGCTTTCTTCACTCAGAGCAAAAGAAACGCAAACTCATTCTGCGTAAGTTTTTTACAATTATTTATTTTATAGATAAAAGCCTGTATTTTAAAAATTTAGGCCTGTTTTAGAAATGATAGCTACTCTGAGAACTCAAAGTAGATTAGCCTAAAAGGACTCTCTGCTTTAAGTTTTACAATCATGCTTACTAGTGAAAGAGATCTGTGAAAATTTTATAAGTGTGGACAATAAAAAGTTAAAACAGGGCTAGGTGCAGTGGCTCATGCCTGTAATCCCAGCACTTTGGGAGGATGAGGTGGGCGGATCACGAGGTCAGGAGATCGAGACCATCCTGGCTAACACGGTGAAACCCCATCTCTACTAAAAATGCAAAAAATTAGCCGGGCATGATGGCGCATGCCTGTAGTTCCAGCTACTCGGGAGGCTGAGGCAGGAGAATCATTTGAACTTGGGAGGCGGAGGTTGCAGTGAACCGAGATCGCACCACTGCACGCCAGCCTGGGAGACAGAGTGAGACTGTCTCAAAAAAAAAAAAAAAAAAAAAAGTTAAAACACAGTGTCTTTCAGATGATTAAATTGAGAAAGCTAGATTACCCCTGGAATAAGGTTGGCAACAACAGAAGAATAACAACAGAGGCTTTGCACTCCTAACATGGCAATAGCAGGGAGATACAGACAGCTCTTAGACCCATCGGAGTCATGGTAGAACCACCTAAGTGTGGCAGGCAGGAAGAAACTATAGCTGACATAACAGACAGTTTGTTTGTGAACAAATTGGAATCGTAGTTCCAAGGAGATTACTTGATATAATAGTATATGCTCAATACATATTAATTCCCTTTCTTTCTCCCTATGAAATAGGCCAGAGCAAAAGAAGCACTAACTAGAGATCCCATCCAGCTAAGGAAGAGTGGCTTCTAAGTCACGTGGCTTTCTTGTTTATTATCAGAATGAAAGTACAGGCTTATGCCTTAATAATTTTAGTTTTTAAAAAAGAGAACTGTTTAGGGGAAAAGGTTAATTTTCTTTTCTCTCAAATACTATTTGTAGTCTAGGAATGTCTGATATAAAAATTCTTTTCCCTATAAATTTCGATCACTACTTCATCTAACTTCACTTCTAATATATCTAATTTTTTTAAAAAAAGGTTACCTGTAGATCAGTTTGAACTGAATTTGTAATGTTTTGTCACCTTAAAATGCTAGCTACTAGAGGGGAGAGTCTTTGTCATGGGTGTATTTATTAAAGGTTTTTTGAAGGCTGCCAGCATTCTGTAAATATGCAGTAGCTCAGGTCCTTAAAGCACTTACTTAGAATAATAGCAAAATATTGTGGGCACCTCACCATTGAGAAACTATTTTTCAGAGCTTGGTATACTTTTAAAGTTTAGCATCTTATTTGCCTTGCTAATCTATTTAACTTTATGGAAAGTATTTACTGCTTCTGATCAGGATTTTTTGTTTGCTGTCAAAGTAAAAGTCACTACCAGTGTCACTATTTGCTATGGAAGCCACAAACCTTGTAGTCATTTCTTAATTATTTTCTTTCTTTTATTTTTCCATTCCCACATTCCCCTCTCATCCCCTTTTAATTCATTAGCAAGTATGCTGCCAGTTCTGCTTAGTCCGTCTCTCTCCCTCCACTGGTAAACCCTAGCCCAAACCATCTTCATCTCTTATCTGTACTAACGCAAGAGCCCCTTAACTGGTATCCCTCCTTCCATTTCTTGATCTACTAAAATCCATACGCCACATAGTGGCTAGAATAATTTTTTAAACACAAATTCACCATGTTTCTCTACTAACTTGGAATGCTTAATGTGTTCCCATTGTACCTAGAATAAATCCAAACTTACTTTCCAGGGTCTGCTCTCCAAGCTGTACATGACCTGGCCCATAGCCACCTTTCTAAACTCGTCACATCCATTCTCCTCATTGCTCATGGTGCTGTGGACAGTCTGGTTCCTTTCTGTTCTTCTCCACTACCAAGCTCATTCACACTGCCCCTTTTCCAAGGCCCTTCCCTCTTTACTTACCTGGCTTCTTGCAAGCCAGGTCTTAGCTCTAAAGTTACTTGCTCAAAGAGACCTTTTATGACTCCCCAGTCTAAGAATACACCTCTCCATTTGTTCTTCTGTGCCGTCTTTCTTTAATGGCACTTAATCACTTAAACTAATTTAAATTAAATAATTGGTTATTTAAATCATCTTTTTCATTTATTCTCTACTTTATTTGTTTGTCTTCCCTGCCTGAAGGGAGGAGCTAACTGCATTAGAGGTGTTGAAATTCACCGTTAGATGATCCCTGGGCTAGAATTTTAAAGGATGTGGGGATTTATCAGGTAGGGAATATAAAGGCAAGGAAGATGTAGGTGTATGTACTCATTCGTATTTAACTTGTCCAGTTTATTAAGTCATTTGAATTTTGTCAGAAGCTAGATCACTTCTAGTAGTTTTTAACAAAGTAATTCTCAAAAACCCAAACTATTGATTTGGTTTGCCTCCCAAATCTACTGAAGGCTTAAGAAGTAGATTTTAGTTTAGGCCAATGTTTTTAGTTTAAGTTTTCCCTTTATTTTAAGCTGAAGCAGTACACTCGTCCAGGAAGTCATGTTGTGATTTTCCACTTACAGTTGATAGAAACCAGAGACAGGCCGGGCGCGGTGGCTCACGCCTGTAATCCCAGCACTTTGGGAGGCCGAGGCAGGTGGATCATGAGGTCAGGAGATTGAGACCATCCTGGCTAACACGGTGAAACCCCATCTCTACTAAAAATACAAAAAAAAAATTAGCCGGGCGTGGTGGCAGACGCCTGTAGTCCCAGCTACTCGGGAGGCTGAGGCAGGAAAATCGCTTGAACCCAGGAGGCAGAGGTTGCAGTGAGCTGAGATCGCGCCACTGCACTCCAGCCTGGGCGACAGAGTGAGACTCCGTCTCAAAAAAAAAAAAGAAAAAAAAGAAACCAGAGACATTGGTAGGCCAGGCACGGTGGCTCACGCCTGTAATCCCAGCACTTTGGGAGGCCGGGGCAGACGGATCATGAGGTCAGGAGATCAAGACCGTCCTGGCTAACACGGTGAAATCCTGTCTCTACTAAAAATACCAAAAAAAAAAAAAAAAAAAAAAAATTAGCTGGGCGTGGTGGTGGGCACCTGTAGTCCCAGCTACTTGGGAGGCTGAGGCAGGAGAATGGTGTGAACCCAGGAGGCGGAGCTTGCAGTGAGCCAAGTTCGAGCCATTGCACTCCAGCCTGGGTGACAAAGCCGAGAGTCCGTCTCAAAAAAAATAAATAAAATAAAATAAAAAAAGAAACCAGAAACACTGGTTCTCATCCTTGGCTACACATCAGAATTATCTGCAGAGCTTTAAAAAAGTACAGGTACTAGGGTCCCATTGCAGAGCTTCTAAATCATAACCCCTACCCAAGTTTTGTGAAGCTCTGAAGTAGGGAGACTCTTAGTTACTCAGTATAAAATACTCTCACTATGGGCATGATTGTTTTTCATTTCTAGAACATGAGAAACATTCATGTTTAACTATAAGTACAAAACATATTACCAAGCCAAATAGCCATGATTTGTTTTATTAACCCTAATGACTCAGTCCCATTAGCATCAAATCAGAATTGATGGTAACGTATTTTGTTAGCAGCCATATGTGTTTGTGTGTTTATATAACATAAAACTCACTTTTCTTTGAGGATCATTAAAATTTTTTTTTTACAATACAGAGTTCCATAATAATATACAACTCACTTTTCTTTGAGGGTCATTAAAATGTTTTTGTTTTTTTTTTTTCCCATTACAGAGTTCTTTCACTGATTTTTTTTTCATCTGAAAATAGAAGCAGTTTTCTTTCTTTCTTTCCAATATGTATAGCTTTCCTTTTCTTTCTCTTGCCTTGTTGCGCTGGTGATAAATTAGTGGCATGATGTCAAGCAAGACCAGGTATTTTCGTCTTATTCCAGATCTTAGGGGGAAAAATCATTCAGTCTTTCACAGTTAAGCATAATGATTGCTATAGAATCTTTGTACATGCTCTTTATCAGGTTGGGGAAGTTTTCACTGAATTCTTTTAAGAGAAATTCAGATTTGGATTTCTAACTTAGACTTTTAGATGTATAATTTTGTTATTCTACCTTATAGCACTTTCATTGTCTAAGTACATTTATTTCACGTACATTACATATTTAAGATTGTGATGTTCAAGAAGATATAAATGATGTTGTTTTATTTGTACTGCTTCTAACAAAGTCATGTGCAATTTCTAACAAAGTTATGTGTTTTTAAGGTTGGTAGAAAAAAGTTTTAATTAGGTTTTAATTCTTATAAGGCTGGAACTGTTAGGATTCAAACATAGAATTAATAGATAAATACTATAGATTACATAAAAATAGTAAATAATCATGTTTGATAATTAAATTTAAATTAAAATATAATTCTTTTGATTTATCTAGCCAAACGTCTCAAGTCCAGTACCAGTTTTGCAAATATTCAGGAAAATTCAAACTGAGACCTACAAAATGGAGAATTGACATATCACGTGAATGAATGGTGGAAGACACAACTTGGTTTCAGAAAGAAGATAAACTGTGATTTGACAAGTCAAGCTCTTAAGAAATACAAGGACTTCAGATCCATTTTTAAATAAGAATTTTCGATTTTTCTTTCCTTTTCCACTTCTTTCTAACAGATTTGGATATTTTTAATTTCCAGGCATAGCAATGTTATCTATTTTAATGTGTATTTGTCACAATAACAGAACATGCAAGAACAATCATTATTTTATTTTATAGGCATTTGATTACTATTCTAGACTTCTGGTATCTTCTTACTAACATAAATATCTCAAGTAGAAAAGTTTTTGAAAACTAACATTTAAAAATTAATCAGTTACAGTAAAGACTTTGAAAAAGAAATGTACTTGTTAGGAAGTAGCTTAATTACCCCCCATTGCAGTATTATTGTTATATATATAGTTAATATGTTGTACATCACAATAATATATAATTCAGTCTCTAGTTTCCCTAGAGTCATTTTTGAAACCACTGATTGCAAACCTCCCTGACAATTTTTAAAAGTAGTAAGCCACATTACATTTATCTTTGTAAAAAGATTTATGGTAACTGGTTTCTTACTTGACTTTTATAAATAGTATTTTACATCTTATTTTTGCCTTTATTTCATAAGTAATTTAAAAATCACTGGATTGCTTTATTATATTCAGGGCAATATGGATTATTTTTATACCAAGGATTTGCATCGTGAATTACATTAAGTTATTTGGCAATTTATAATTTATTACTACTTTAAATCAAATGTAGCATTATCACACTGTATTTAAATTGTCATTTTTTAAAGGAATATTTTCTTCTTAAGATATATAGAGGATTTTGGAGAAGAGAGACAGGAGGGGTAAAACCAGCTTAAGGTTCAGCGAGCAGAAAGGGACCTGAGAGGATGCTCACTGTAAGACTGTTGGACAGTGGTGTGTATTGAGGGGATGAATCGGAACGATAGTCTCATGCAGAAAATAGTGAGATTAAGATCATCCTTATTGTTTCTAAATTATTTCAATCAGATGAAAGTGATACGATTGAAATGAAATCACATAGTTCGTGCTCAGAAATTCTATTTTGGTATGTTTGTATTAGCCTTTAGAAAAAACACTCCGTTTCAGAATTGTTCACAGTTTTATTTCTTAGGTTTTTAGAGTTCAGGATTTCATTTATTAATTTCTTCTTGCTTTTTTGGTGGAAATAGGCTTTGTTGTAAACATTAAGAATATAAAATCTCCTCTATATAGAAACAAGAATTTTGTTAAAAAGAGAATTTGAATCCCTTCCTATACTATAAAATGCTCTATAGGGAGACAAAGTGTTTCTTTTTTCTTTTATGTTTACTGTTTATGTGGAGTGAAATATAAGGCTCTTGGATGTATAACATACTCAAAAGCTGTTACACTTTCTCTGATCTGCTGTGATCCACTGAAAATGTGCTGGGGTTTGTTCTGCTGTCACTGTTTATGCTGCTGGAACTTAGCACTGTCTTGATTTGAAGCATATGATTGAGAGCCATTTGAAGCAATCTTCATTAATGCAGATAAAACAAGTTTACATGTGCAGAGTTAGAAAATGACATGTTCAATTCTGTAAGTGGTGACTTTTTGAGCACCTTTCAGTATTATGTATTTGTAAAAACCATTGTTTTTGGATATAAAGCTAATAAGCACTTTAAAAAGGAAAAGGCAGCCTTTACTATTTTTTCTGGTTGAGTCATTGCTCTTTAGACCTAGCATCAGCAATAGATTTCAAAGATAAGTATTAAGCGCTACCCTAAAGTGTGTAAGTTTTTCATTTTGTCATATTGAAAAATGATTTGCATAGTACTGAATGTTGACACACAGCTTATATGTATTTACAAGAATATCTTTAAGTGTTTTTTTGACACATTAAAATAAAGGAAATAAGGAAATTGTAAGCTTTATTTGGATTTTTAAATACATTTTTAAAATTTCAGATGTAATTTAACATCACATTTGTTTTTCAGGTATTGAGTTTAGATGCCTACTTTTATGAGTACCATCAGCTGGACACAGTGTCTCATACCTGTATTTGCAGCACTTTGGGAGGCTGAAGCAGATCGCTGGAGCTTATGAGTTCGAGACCAGCCTGGACAACATAGTGAAACACTGTCTCTGCAAAAAATACAAAAATTAGCTGGGTATGGTGGTAAGTGCCTGTAGTCCTAGCTACTTGGGAGGCTGAGATGGGAGGATGTCTTGAGCCCGGGAGGTGGAGGTTGCAATGAGCCAAGATTGTACCACTGCATTCCAACCTGGGCGACAGAGCCAGACCTTGTCTCAAAAAAAAAAAAAAAAAAAGAAAAAAGAAAGTACTGTCTGTCTTAAATTTTGCTGCAAATAAAAATGTACTTTGGATTATTTATTGTTGAACTTGAGAGATAGAAATAACATCAGATATATTTTTTCTTTTTTTTTTATAATTAATTTTTTTTTTTTTTTTTTTTGTAGAGACAGTGTCTCACTATGTTGCCCAAGCTGGTCTTGAACTCCTGAGTTCAAGAGATCCTCCTGCCTTAGCCTCCCAAAGTGCTGGGATTACAAGCATAAGCACCACACCTGGCTGAACATCAGATATTTTAAAGTGTAGCCCAGAGTCTAGTTGGTAAATGTTACTTATATTGGGACTAGTATTTTCTAATGTTTCTGGGATATGCTCCCTATAAAATGAAATGTTTTCCTGGAACAATGCTAATTAGGATTGCATTCCTGGCCAAAGACATGACATCAAATAAGTAATAGACATCACCAGCAATGAATTTTGAAAAGCAAAAAATACTATTAACCTATATAACCATTTAAAATTTAAAAAATTATGTTCCAAGTACCTCTATTTTCTGAGCTAGAAGAAACCTTAGAGGCCATCTGATGATAGATTCCCAGAGCTGGATGGATCCCTAGGGACTACCTAATCTGACTTTCTGTCCACTGCATGGATTCTTCTAAAAAGTATGTCACTTATTTCCCTACCTTATTAAGACTAAATAAGTGGAACATCATAGAGCTCTTTATTTATAACAGTCATTCTTTGATAGTCAACTCTTAAATGGAGACTTGAGATGCTTAAATATTGTACTACTGTGCTTATCTTGTAAAGATTTCATAAAATGATAGTATTGGTTATTTTAAAAAGGCTTTGGCTTATGCTGAATTATACATGTAGCACCAAAATGTTACAACTCTACTAAATTTCCTTGTTCTAAACTATTATATTAGCTATAATAAATATTAGTCATACATGTAACATGTTTAATGACAAATAACTTTCTTTATCTCCTTGGAATTAAAGAGGGCTTTTAAAAGATAATTTGACTGATCCATGCTTCTTACAGTGTGGAGCTTTGCAATGATGATTTTTTAAATATGTTTTTCTTGTGATAAACAGGTATTTTTTAAAATCTGCTGGGTGTGGTGACTGGTACCTGTAATCCCAGCACTTTGGGAGGCTGAAGCGGGAGGATCACTTGAGCCCGTGAGTTTGACACCAGCCTGGGCAATATAGTGAGACCTTGTCTCTACAAGAAATTAAAAAACTAGCTGAGCATCATGGTGTGTACCTGTAGTCCCAGCTACTCAGGAGGCTGAGGTGGGAGGATCGCTTGAGTCTAGGAGGCAGAGGTTGCAGTGAGCCAAGATTGTGCCACTGTACTCCAGCCTGAGTGACAGAACAAGACCCTGTCTCAAAAAAAAAAAAAAAAAATCCATCTCAGTACCCCAATGCAATCAAAAGATTTCAGAGCTTTAAAATGAATGATGCTGGGTGCAGTGACTCCTGCCTGTAATCCCAACACTTTGGGAGGCTGAGGCAGGGTGATTGCTTGAGGCCAGGAGTTCAAGATCAGCGTGGGCAACAAAGTGAGACCCCCATCTCATATTTTTAAAATTAAAAAGTAAAAGGAATGATAGGTTCATTTTAGCTAGAAATTGTGATAATTCCTCCATTGTCTCAAATGCTCAGGATCATGTCTGAAAGATTTGCCCAATAGCATTGGAAGTGGAAAATAATTCAATTGTAATTTCTCAGATAATTGTATATAACTAGAGTATAGATAGGCAGAATTGAAAATTATTAGTTGCTTGTCCTGTTTTGACTTCTGAAACAGAAGAGTGATCACATGAAGGTAGGAGAAGGGCTGGGTACGGTAGGTCACGCCTGTAATCCCAACACTGGGAGGCTGAGGCTGGTGGATCATTTGAGACCAGCTTGGCCAACATGGTGAAACCCCTTCTCTACTAAAAATTAGCCAGGCGTGGTGGTGCGTGCCTGTAATCCCAGCTACTCGGGAGGCTGAGGCAGGAGAATTGCAGGAGGCAGAGTTTGCAATGAGCCGAGATCGCACCACTGCATTCCAGCAAAAAGTAAAAAGAAGGTAGGAGAAGGCTACTGTCACTGTATTGGGTATCTTTAGAGGCAGGGGCCCACAGCAGAAATCCTTGCAGCCATCCCTCTTTCCAGAGGTGATCAGCTATTTCTTCCTTTTCCTCTCTCTCCTACTAGTACCTCATTTTCTACATTGATTTGTAGTGCTATTACCAGTAATGTAATAGAAGCTGAGATACCAAGGGCTTGCTTGGCCTTGGCTTTTTGAAACCCTCTTTATATCTTGGCTGTCCTCCATTAAATAAGGCACAATGTTTACTTGTATAACCCAGGGACTCTGAGCAGTCAAAATCCAACACCCACCCACCTCCCTCCCCACCCCATGCTCATGTTCCCTCTTGCTGCTTTTCTCTTACTGTGGTGCAGGCAAACAACTAGCATAAGGATAGCATAAAGAAGGAGGAGTAAGCAAGTAGAATCTCTAGATCAAATTTCCACTCCCCCAATCGTGGTTTCGTCCTGTGATTCCTGAATGTATATGAGGGAACTAGAGGTAGCAGTCTACACGGAAAAGGGAAGTTGGGGGTCACTTGTCTTGAAGAGTGCATGCATAGAAATTGTAAAATTAGGCTGGGCGCGGTGGCTCATGCCTGTAATCCCAGCAATTTGGGAGGCCGAGGCGGGCGGATCACAAGGTCAGGAGATCAAGACCATCCTGGCTAACACGGTGAAACCCTGTCTCTACTAAAAAATACAAAAAATTAGCCGGGCGTGGTGGTGGGCTCCTGGAGTCCCAGCTACTTGGGAGGCTGAGGCAGGAGAATGGTGTGAACCCGGGAGGCGGAGCTTGCCGTGAGCTGAGATCGCACCACTGCACTCCAGCCTGGGCCACAGAGCGAGACTCCGTCTCAAAAAAATAAATAAATAAATAAAAAGAAATTGTAAAATTAGATTGTATATTTTTAAGCTTTTGGGAAATGATGGAGATTATGGAAAGGATTGAAGTTCTGCTTGACCTTGCACTACTTGGCACATTTGGCCCACCATCCATTCAGGACTTACCCCTTGCTTCAACCCAATATCTCAAATAGGAGCACATGGGTGTTTAGCTGCTTCAGTTCCTCCTGGGTCTGTGACCTCTGCATCAGCAGATTATCTGTTCACCTTCTTCCTGTCTCCTGATATCACAATAGATGAAATCATAGGAACTATCCTTTGTAGTTTGGCTCTTGTCACAATCTGTACCATTCATTCTATGTCTTTGAGACACTGGGGAATAGGTGCTTAGCTGGGCACTGCAGTTATGCAATTTTGCTTGTAACCAACTCCACTGTGCCGAAAGTGATTTAGAGAATGTAGTCTGATGTGGTCTGGCTCTGAAAAACACATTTTGGGTTTGGGGACCTTGCTTATTGATGGTCTGATTTCAAGAGGCATACCCATGTCATTCTGGCTCTCAGGTGCACCCCAGCACCTTGCATCTAAGCCCTGTCATTTACTGTTGTTCCCACAGTACCACCATCTTTCTTCTCAATTCTAGCCCTGATTAGCTTCACCAACACCAAGATTTCAAGTTACCTGATAGGATTGTGGTAAAGTCTAAGTTTTCTAATACTTTAAAGAAATTACTCCATTGCCTCCTGGCTTGCAAAGTTTCTGTTGAGAGTTCTGCTGTAATTCTAAATTTTGTTCATCTATATGTAATTTTTTTTTCTTGCTGCCTTCTAGATATCGTTTTTTTTTAATTTTCAGCAGTTAAACTATGATGTGCCTTTTTTTTTTTGATACAGGGTCGACTCTGTTGCCCAGGCTGGAGTGCAGTGGTGTGACCTCAGCTCTCTGCAACCTCTGCCTCCTGGGCTCAAGCAATCCTCCCACCTTAGCCTCCTAAGTACCTATCATTACATGCATGTGCCACCATACCCAGCTTTTTTTCTTTTCGTTTCTTTTCTTCTTCTTTTTTTTTTTTTTTTTTTTTTTTAGTAGAGATGAGGTTTCCCCATGTTGCCAGGCTGGTCTGGAACAACTGTGATCAAACAATCCTCTCGCCTTGGCCTCCCAAAGTGCTGGGATTGCAAGCGTGAACCACCGTGCCCAGCCTCTGGGTGTGTTTTTCTTTGTATTTCTTTTGCTTGAGATTCTCCAAACCTCTTGGATCTGTTTGTTGTTTTTTTATTAATTTTAGAGAATCCTCAACTATTATATGATCAAATATTCCTCTGAGACTGCAATTAGATTTATGTTAGGCCATTTGATAGTGTCTCATGGCTCTGTTGGATGTGCTGTTTTCTTTTATACACTCTATTTTTCTTTGTGTTTCAATTTGGATTATTTCTGTTAACCTATTTCAGGCTTACTGATTCTCTCTTGTGCTGTGTTTAGTCCACCAATAAGCCTGTTGAAGAGATTCTTTATCTCTTAATATCATATTTTTATTTCTATCATTTTTATTTAACTCTTTTTTTTACAGTTTCCATCTCTCTGCTGAAATTCCCAATCTATTTATACATGGTGTCCATCCATTCCACTAGGTCCTTTAGCATTTTAATCATAGTTGTTTTAAAGTTTCTATCTGATAATATCAATATCTGGGTCATCTCTGGATCTGGTTCTGTTGACTACTTTTATCTCTTGATAATGGATCTTTTTTTTCTTACTTTTTATTTTTTTTGAGACGGAGTCTCGCTCTGTCACCCAGGCTGGAGTGCAGTGGCACGATCTCGGCTCACTGCAAGCTCCGCCTCCCAGGTTCACGCCATTTTCCTGCCTCAGCCTCCCGAGTAGCTGGGACTACAGGTGCCCGCCACCACGCCCAGCTAATTTTTTGTATTTTTAGTAGAGACGGGGTTTCACCATGTTAGCCAGGATGGTCTCGATCTCCTGACCTTGTGATCTGCCGCCTCGGCCTCCCAAAGTCTTACTTTTTAAAATGTCTTATAATTGTTGATTAAATGTCAGATGTTGCATGTTAAAGAACAGTAGAAACTGAGGTAAATAGTATTTATATCTGGAAATGGGCACAGCTGTCTTTCTATTAGGCCATTAGTGTTGGGGGAGAGGCAAATAACTCTAATAAATAGTTGATTTGGGTTTGAGTTTGTTGCTGCTATAGTTACTTTCAGTATATCACAGATTTCAAATTCTTCAGTGGTGGACTGCTGCTGCTGTGGGCTTAGTGTGTGGCCTAGAGTGCCAGAGTTTTTCTCAGTGTTCCTGCTCCACCCTCAGCTTTTAGCAGACTCTGCACACTTGTACCACCGATGATATCTCTTTCTCTCTGCTCCTGCCCCTCCTCAGCTGTAGAAAGCTATTGCTTACTACTTTGTGCAAGGCTTTATGGTTGGGGCAAGAGGCGGTTCTCCTCCTCCAGCCTCAGTCTCATGCAAGCCATGGGGGTGTGAGCTTCAGGGCTGGGTCCCCTTTCTCCGTGGCACTCAGACCTTGTTTTGTAATTGTGGGGTCTTAGGTGAGAGTGAGTTTCCTGTCCCTCTCTCATTGGCGGCAAACCTCTGCTTTGTATCAGTGCAGGATCATGGTCACAAGTGTGAGTTTCCTTGCCCCGTCCAACGGCAGATGGTTTTTGCTTCAACTCCTCCCTGCCTACAGCCAACTTTGTTGGCTGACACCAGGGGATAGGAGGTTTTGTATCACTCCCCTGGTGGCAGATGGCTTTTTCTTTATGTAAGAGAAGGACCTGGGTTTCATGTCTCTCTCACAGTGGTAGCTGGTTGTCACCTGCATGCCTGTGTCACCAAAAGGAGTCTCTTTCAGTTCTCCTGCTCTGTCCCCAGTTTTTCTTACGAATACCCAGTGGAGGCTATGAAAAAGAGCCAGTAATTTGGGCTAAACTCTCCTTGTATCTGTGGCTCCCAGGAATTCTAAGCTATCACACTAGCCCACACTTAGTCTTTAAGCATTTGTTAAAATTTCGGTTTTCTTCTCTTTTTTTTTTTTTTTTTAATTTGCTGCTATCTTTCATCCTGTACTCTGCGCAAGGCAAAGTAGTTTGTGAAAGCAACGCTTCTTGGCTTTCTCTATCATAAGTGGAACTGGAACTTATTGATTGCTTTTTTTGTTGTCAAGTTTTACTTGACAGAAAATTGCTCTGAAATGTGTTTAATAGGTTTGAAGAGCTAAAACAAGAAACAAGATTAATAATTATGGAAACCGTAAAAAGAACAAAATCTCAAACAAAAACAAATAGCAGCTGAAATTGAGAACTAAATGGAAAGGTTTTATAGCAAATAAGATATAGTTGAAGACATAATTAAGAATACATTAGAAGAACATTTCCAGAAGGAAACATGGAGTGAAAAAAGGTCATAAGTACAGACAAGGGGGATAAGAGATATAGGGGATACAATGAGAAGATTTAATATAAATGTATTTAGAGTCCCTGAAAAGCAGAGAACAGAGAAAATGTGAGAGAAGCAACTTTTTTTTTTTTTTTTTTTTGAGACAGAGTCTTGCTCTGTGGCCCAGGCTGGAGTGCAATAGCGTGATCTCACCTCACTGCAACCTCTGCCTCCTAGGTTCAAGAGATTCTCCTGCCTCAGCCTCCCGAGCAGCTGGGATTACAGGCATCTACCACCACGCCTGGCTAATTTTTGTATTTTTAGTAGAGACGGGGTTTCATCATGTTGGCCAGGCTGATCTTGAACTCCTGACCTCAGGTGATCCACCTGCCTCTGTCTCCCAAAGTGCTGGGATTACAGGCATGAGCCACTGTGCCCAGCCTAGAAGCAACTTTTGAAAAGATAATAGCTGAGGACTTTCAAAACTGGTGAAAAGCATTGTCACAGATTAAAAAACCCAAGCAGAATTTAAAATACACAAAAAACCCAGGCACATTCATAGTAATTGATAACCAAAGATAAAATCTTATAAAATAGCTAGAGAAAAAAAGACATCACCATCAAAAGAGCAACCACTAGACTTACTGCTGGATTCTCCAGAGAAATAATGAAACCCAGAAGACAAATGGAATATTTTCAAAGTGCTGAAAGAAGGTAATTGATTGGTCAGGTGTGGTGGCTCATGCCTATAATCCCAGCACTTTGGGAGGCCAAGGCAGGTGGATCACTTGAGATCAGGAGTTCGAGACCAGCCTGGCCAACATGGCGAAACCCCATCTCTACTAACAATACAAAAATTAGTCGGGTGTGGTAGTGCATGCCTGTAATCCCAGCTACTCAGGAGGCTGAGGCAGGAGAATTGCTTGAACCCAGAAGGCAAATGTTGCAGTGGGCTGAGATTGCACCACTGCACTCCAGCCTGGGTGACAGAGCGAGAGTCCGCTTGAAAAAAAAAAAAAAGAGGGTAACCAATTGTCTAGAATTGCATGCCTAGCAAAAATGGTCTTCAAAATTAAAAGGGAAATAAAGGCATTTCAGGACAAAAAGAATTTATCACAAGTAGGACTGCATTAAAAAAATGCTAAAGACATCTTCAGGTGGAAGTAAAATAAACCCAGCTGGGGCTGGGCGCGGTGGCTCACGCCTGTAATCCCAGCACTTTGGGAGGCCGAGGCGGGCGGATCATGAGGTCAGGAGATCGAGACCATCCTGACTAACGGTGAAACCCCGTCTCTGCTAAAAATACAAAAAATGAGCCAGGCGTGGTGGCGGGCGCCTGTGGTTCCCAGCTACTCGGGAGGCTGAGGCAGGAGAATGGTGCAAACCCGGGAGGTGGAGCTTGCAGTGAGCGGAGATCGAGCCATTGCACTCCAGCCTGGGAGACAGAGCGAGACTCTGTCTCAGAAAAATAAATAAATAAATAAATAAACCCAGTTGGAAACTCACAGGGGCAAGAACAGGAAATTAGTGTAGAGGGTAACTATATGGATAAATCTAAATAAATACTGGCTGTATACAATGATGTGATGTGGAGTTAACATATATATATATAGACACACACACACACACATACAGAGAGAGAGAATAAAATGCACAAGTGACATAAAAGTCAAGAGGTGATTTGTATTAGGGTTCTCCAGGAAAAACAGAACCAAGAGGAGAGAGAGCTATATGGTATATAAGCCATATTATATATGATAATATATAAGCCACTTTTAATTTAATTTTATTTTTTGAGACAGAGTCTCACTCTATCGCCCAGGCTGGAGTGCAGTGGCGCAATCTCGGCTCACTGCAACCTCCATCTCCCAGGTTCAAGCAATTCTCCTGCCTCAGCCTCCCAAGTAGCTGGGATTACAGGCACATGCCACCATGCCCAGCTAACTTTTGTATTTTTAGTAGAGATGGGGTTTCACCATGTTGGCCAGGCTGGTCTTGAACTCCTGACCTCAGGTAATCTGCCTGCCTCAGCCTCCCAAAGTGCTGGGATTACAGGCGTGACCCACCATGCCTGGCCATAAGCCACTATTTAATAATTAATATGTATGTCATAGGAGATAGATATTTTATATATATGTTTTATGTTTAATATATGTCATAGGAAATACATAATCTACATATATAACATTCTATATGAAACATAATCTACATGTTATATGATCTATATATTATGTATTCTCTATGTATTATATGTCTCCTATAACATATATTATATATATTTAGCATATAAATGTCTCCTATGACATACATACATACTGTAAGAAATTGGCTTATGTGATTATGGCACCTGAGACATCCCAAGATGTGCATTTGGCAAGCTGCAGCCCTGGGAAAGCTGTCGATGTGGTTCCAATATGAGGGCAGGAGACTAATGCCCCAGCTCAGAAGTCAGGCAGGAAAAGTTTCATCTTATCAGCCTTTTTATTTTATTCAGGTATTCAATTAATTCGATGAGGTCCACCAACATTGGGGAGGACAATCTGCTTTATTCAGTCTACTGATTCTAATGCTAAGCTCATTCAGAAATACCCTCACAAACACACCCAGAATAATGTTTGATCAAATGTCTGGGCACCCTGTGGCCCAGTCAAATTGACACATAAAATTAATCATCACAATATTCTTGGAGTTAAAATGTTTTAGGGTTGTTGCATTATTTGGGAATAAGATAAAAATTCAAGTAACATTGGAGATTAGGATTAATGTTGAAACCTTCAAGGTAACTGCTAAAAGAAAGTAAAAGAGGGTGTAACTATCAAACCAATGGAGGAAGGGGGAAATATCAATATAACAGAAATCAAGAAAAGAGGGAAACAGGAACACAGGACAGGACAAATAGTAACATGATATATTAAACTCAAATATCAGTAAGTAGATTAAATAGAAGAGGGAAAGAAGGGAGGGAGGGAAGAGGGAGGGAGGGAGGAAGGGAAGGAAGTCCCAATTAATTTTACAAAGTCAGCATCATCTTGATATCAAACCTGATGAACATAGCACAAAAATGAACTAAAAAACTCACTAAAAAATATTGAGAGCGAAAACAAAACAAAAATATTGAGAGTGGCAGGAGGCAGCCAAACGCCTAGGCAAACAGGGATGGGTCCCTGGTGAAACCCCATCTTCAAGCCTAAAAGCCTGAAACCTGCAGCCCAAAGTGAGAACTTCTATTCCTGTTTGCTCACTCTCTCTTGATTGGTTCTTTCTGAATAATGTCTTTTTACCAATCCAGTGTTGTCTTTTCCAAAACTACGTGTGGCCCACCACACTCCACCCACCCCCATCCTGTGCCTATAAAGATCCCAGACTCAGTCAGTAGAAAGGAGAGATGGCTGGACTTTGGGGAAGAGATGGCCAGATTTTGGGGAAGACTATCTGCTTTTCCCATCCCCTCTCCAGCTCCCCTCTAGGCTAAGAGCCATTTCCACTGCTCAATTAAGTTCTCTACCCTCACCATCCTTCAAGTGTCCACACAACTTCATTCTTCTTGGATGCTGGATGGACAAGAGCTCAGGACCCACTGAGTGTGGGGACCCAAAAAGGCTATCACACCGGCCCTTTGCCCTTGCTGTTAGAGGGCAGCCACCCCACGTGATGAGACAAGGGGCCAGCTGAGCTGTTAACACATAGCCATCTGCAGATGGCAGCGCTAAGAGAGCACTGTAACACTCCCCCTGGGGTTTTGGGGTCATGGGCACCCTCATCTCGGTGATGCCATGGGCCCTGCACAGAGCTTGCTCCCGCCAGTGCCCAAAGTGGCCAGCCAGATCCTGCACTCACTCGCTCACTCCTGATCTGGCCATGAGCCCCACATGGAGCCTGCTCCTGCCAGTGACTAGAACAGCTGGCGAGATCCCACACTCACTTGCTCATGGCTGGTTTGGCCATGGGCCCCACATGGAGCTTGCTTCTGCTGGTGCCCGGAGCGGCCGGCTGGATCCTGCACTCACTCGCTCACAGGCTCCCACCCACAAGGGGTTGAATGTGGTGGGCCGAGCAAGTGTTCCCTCCGGTTGGGAGTCCAGTGAAGGGGCCAAGAAAAATCCTGCATCAATCTGAAGACAAAATGTCACATATAGTATTTGTGGACTTAACAGTATGCCAAAAGAATAGTACACTTTGAACAAATTAGAGATTATCCTAGGAATTTAAGTTACTAAGAGATCAGTGTAACTGAGGCGACCTTTAGTTGTATAGCCATCAGGAGTTACTTGTCCTTTTAACAACTATGAATCTCATTGGAGCCCTGAGTCTGCACAACTGGGATTGTCCTTGCAGATACTTAGAAGTTGTACAAGTCTGCCCTGGCTATCCCTTCACCTGAGCTACTATTTCGAGACAGCTGTCTACTCTGAAGGTTACCTCTTGCTGTAACTGTATTTCCAGGATGCTACTGCAGAAATTATAAAGAAAATGACTCAGATTTGTTTGTGTTAAAAAAAATCAACTAGAAGTAATATGCAGCATATATGACAATTCAAAGATCTTAATGTGTAAAGTGTTCTAAATGCAATAATGAAAATGAATTTTAATTTATAAAATTAAATTTAAAATAAAATTATTTAGAGGTAAATAAATATAGAAAAATAAAGTAGGGCATGGTGGCTCATGCCTGTAATCCCAGCATTTGGGAGGCTGAGGCGGGAGGATTGCTTGAGTTCAGGAGTTCAAAACCAGCCTGGGTAACCTGGTAAAACCCCATCTCTACAAAAAATAAATAAAAAAATAAATTAGCTGGGCATGGTAGCGTGTGCCTCTAGTCCTAACTACTTGGGAGGCTAAGGTGGGAGGATTGCTTGAGCCCAAGAGGTCAAGGCTGAAATGAGCCAAGATCATGCCACTGCACTCCAGCCTAGGAGACAGAGCGAGACCTTGTCTCAAAAAAAATCAGCAAAGGAAAAGGTACAGAGAATTCTAAAACAAAGTTAGGCAGCAAAGATATGAATAGGTGTTCATATCTACCCACTAAAGAAACACAAATTATAGCTACATGGTGATACTATATTCCATCTAATGGACTGGCAGATATTGAAAAGGAATGATAATGTCTGGTATTGGCATGAGAACAATGAATTTATATAATATATGGTGTGAGTGCAAATGGATACAAACTTTCTAAAGGGACATTTTCTTAATTATTTAGGCTTAATTCCTGGAAGCAGAATTGACTGTCAAACAGATTGCATCAAGGTATTTGCTGCTTTGAAGTTGGGTTGAAGGGTACATTCAGACTCAGATCCAATTCCACTTCTTCCATGACATCTTACATGATTTTCTTCTGCTCCTGACTCTTCATATTTCTTAAAGAAACAATTTGCCATAAAGGAAAAGGCAAGGACTTTGAAATCAGACCTGGGGCTTTCCCCCTACTTGGGTAAGCGATTTGGTTCTCTGAGCCTTGGTTTCTACACCTGTGAAATGGGAGTTCATAATACTTGCCTCAAAAAAAAAAATTTGCACAAATTAAGTATACAAAAAGCCTACAGCACAATACCCAACCTGGAGTATTTCATGCTGCTCAGTAAGTACTTGTCCATCTGTTTCCTTATGGGCTACACTGCACAAATTGGCTATGTAATTTGGCACTTGTTTATGTACCCGCTCATGCTGTTACCAGCTTCTTTATTGTTCTTTATTGTGTGTGATTGTTATTCCTCCTCTCCAGACTACATTGTAATCTCTTCCAATTCAAGGACTCTATCTCCTTTGTCCTTTGTACCCATAGTTCAATGAATGGTTTTTGAAGTTAGAGTAGCAGTTGTTTGAGAAAAGATAAAATACATTCCTGAACTACACTGTATGATGTTAGAAGGTGTCTTTGTAGCAGGTCTACAGAAAAGAATGTTTGAGACCTTGAAGAAAAGTCCTTCAGCTGCCCATAAAAAGTATAAATGGTAGAAACATAACTATTTAGTGGAAAGTGAGAAGCACTGCTTTGCCACTCATGAACCCCTCGTGTTAAAGCACTGAAGATTCCAGGCTGGAGCCAGTGCTGAGTATCATGAATTACTGCCCTTAAAACTAGCATCTCAAGTCATATATAATACCTTTTCTGGGCAAGAGTCCCATCTCCTTAATCTCTGCTAAATGAGTGTTTATTAGATCTGGCTGTTGAAAAATACCAAGTTAAATCAGACAGTTAAAAAAAATCAACATGATGCCCATAACTGGTTTAATTTATCTTCCCTCTTCAGTAATCCCACACATTACCTACTTATTTGCTGTAATGAACATGCCATTCAGCTAAAATAAGATTAACTGCTTAAACCATGGCATTACAGGCAGAGAACTTTAATGCCGCTTTGTGTTTCATTGTAAGGGTTCAGCAGTTAAACGATATGCTGTTGTCGTTTCTTCCATTGTAATCAAGACGGTTTCACTTAGGATTAGTGCTCCCCAGCTGATTCTCCTGATGGAACATTTGAAGCAGCAAATTTATATGTCTAAGTTACAGCCTGGCAGCAATAACAACCTTCTGAATCAAACCTGTTGGCCTCATCAGCACTCAAATTGCACTGCTCTTTGTGAAGCCCCATCTGCTCTAATGGTGATGGAAATCTCGCCTGCCATGCAGACCAGGGATGGAAAATTGAAAGGGGACTTGGGCATGCATCTGGAAAATAGCACTGTGATGCCCCAGGTGGGATCAGGATTCAGAAAATTAACCCACATTCCCCCACGTGAATGAGCATTTGCCTGTTCTCTGCATCAAAGTCAAATCCCACTTCTTCAATGGTGCTTTCTGGACTGTTCCAGCCCCACTCATCTCTCTTTTCTTTGAACTCATTATAATTATACATCTTCCTACATTACTTAAGGCCAATTATTTATTGATTTATGCAAATCATGTCATTATTTCCTCCGAGGTAACACTGTCTCTTCACTTAGACTGCAAGCTCTTATAAGTCAGGGACTAATAAATAACTGCGTGGTCCTGGGCCTATAGGAAGGGCCCATAGGAAGCTCCTTGACTGAGGGAAATACCCTCTGTGCACTGTGACCAATATTAAGATTCTGCCTGGATAGTCCAGAGTGGGGAAGCAGCTTCAGCTGAGTGTGCTTGAACCCCTCTCGTGATCCTCCCTTCTCTTTCATGGAGTATATTTTACTCCTGTGGCTCATCACATCTGGCACCACAAAGAGAGTCAATATGATGACCCACAGATGTGTCCATCCATTTGTTCAGTTATCCACTCAGTAAATATTTATCGCTGGGCCTTATGCCTACAATCCTAGCACTTTGGGAGGTGGAAGGATCACTTGAGCCCAGAAATTAGAGACCAGCCTAGGCAACAGAGCAAGACCCTACCTCTACCAAAAAACAAACAAACAAAAAAATAGCCAGGTGTGGTGGTGCACATCTGGAGTCCCAGCTACTCTGGAGGCTGAGATGGGAGGATCACTTGAGCCCAGGAATTTGAGATTGCAATGAGTTATGATCACACCACTGCACTCCAGCTTGGGTGACAGAGCGAGGTGCTTAATAATTAGTAATTTATTTTAATTTAACTTTAATTTTTTTTGAGACAGAGTCTCGCTCTGTCACCCTCTGTCACGCTCTGTCACGCTCTGTCACAGGCTGCAGTGCAGTGGCGCGATCTCGGCTCACTGCAAGCTCCACCTCCCAGGTTCACACGATTCTCCTGCCTCAGCCTCCTGTGTAGCTGGGACTACAGGCGCCCGCCACCACGCCTGGCTAATTTTTTTTGTATTTTTAGTAGAGACGGGGTTTCACTGTGTTGGTCGGGATGGTCTTGATCTCCTGACCTCGTGATCCATCTGCCTTGGCCTCCCAAAGTGCTGGGATTACAGGCATGAGCCACTGTGCCCGGCCTTTAATTTAACTTTAAATTAATGTTTAAATTAATAATTTAAAATTAAATTATTATTTACCAAGAACCTACTGTGTGGCAGGTCTTGTTTCTCAGGAATCTGAGAACTGAGAAACTCTTTGGTGGTATTTTGGCAGAAATGGCAGAAAGTTTGAAAGAGCTAGAAGAAAACCCATTTCTTCTTATACACTACCCTTCAAACCCAACTTTGGAGCAGAAGCAAACTTCTGCAGAACTTCCTTTTCCTGTGTGTTTATTCACCACTCCTCCCCATACTCTTCTCTCCTCCTGCTTAAATTGCCTTGAGGATGAAGCTTCTCCTTCCCTGCCTTCCTGGCTGTGATAATAGCAGGCTATTGAATTTTCCGGTGTGAAATTGGTTTGCTCAGGTCGCCACTAGGCAGGCTGCACTTGCTAGGTTGGATGGGTTCCAGGTATGCTGCTGTGGGTGGGGTTTAGGTTGAGTCAGGACTCCTTCATTGGGTGGGAAAAGGGTGAGGAGGGAAGGAGGAAATTAGGTTGGTTTTACCTTCTCTGCCTAGGGGATTACATTAACTATTTAGCAAAACAAGGAGACCTTCCTTGGTTCCCTCTCTCATTGACCACGTCTTAACCCTTCCAGGATAAAGCCAGAGCCTCAGATGCCTGTGGTTTGATCTGAGCTTGGGTCTGGGGGCACTGGAGCAGCTGCCCTCCAAGCCAGACCTCCTGGGAACTCTTCTGGGAAACTGTCTTCACAGCTATGAATCCAATAGTGATGATCCCTAATCCTTTGCTTCCTTCATGTTCCTGCTAAAAATAGGGATACACTGGAATAATAGACGGTTGAAAGGGAATATTAATCATCTTTTATTCCAGGTCTCCTTATTTCTCAAGTGTAGGAATTACAACTTAGTCACACTAGCTTATGCAAGCAGATGGCACATTTGTGGCAGAGCCAGGACTGTACGCAGGTCCTGACTCCCAGGCTGGAGCTGTCTCATATGCCATGGCGTTTCTCATAATTCCCTTCTCCATCACTCTGTTCCCAGGCTTCCTCTACTGCTTCTCAGTCTATTCCTTTTCCCTTGGCTGGCTACACTTACTGTTTCTTTTCCTCTTAGAATTTCAAAAGCAGAAACTACTAGCATAAGAAGGAAAATAAAGAATGAAAATGAGCAAAACTAGTTTCCCCAAAATTCTCCGAAACACCTTTGATTTATCAATAGTTTGCTAATAAAACTTCCTTAGATCGTATCTGCTTAAACATTCATTCCATTGAATTTACTGTGGACTCATGGAAGTTTCTTAAGCCTGTTTCTAATAGGAAGAGCATGTTACTTTTTCTTTTTTAGATGGAGTTTTGCTCTGTCACCCAGGCTGGAGTGCAGTGGCACAATCTTGGCTCACTGCAACCTCTGCCTCCCAGGCTCAAGCAATTCTTCCGGCTCAACCTCCCAAGTAGCTGGGATTACAGGCATATGCCACCATGCCCGGCTACTTTTTGTATTTTTAGTAGAGACGGGGTTTCTCCATGTTGGCCAAGCTGGTCTCAAACTCCTGACCTCAGGTGATCCGCCTGCCTCAGCCTCCCAAAGTGCTGAGGTTACAGGTGTGACCCACTGTGCCCAGCCCCCGCTTTTTTTTTTTTTTTTTAAAGTTCAGACTTGTTTTGATTACAAGTGACAGAAACCCAACTCAAAACTCAAACTAGCTTAAGCATAAAAGGAGATTTACTGGATCACATAACTGGGAAGTCCAGAAATTGATCTCGCTTCTAGTTTGACCAGACTCAAGAACTTGAAGGAAGTCACCATCTTCACTCTCCACCCACTTGTCTATGTTGTCTTTGTTCTTGTTGTGGGGAAAAAAAAGAGGCTGCAGCATCCCCATTCACATATTTCTGAAAGTAAGGCCCCTTCTCCTTCAGCTCCAAATGGAAAAGTCACCAAAAAAGGCATTGATTGGCCTAGATTGAGGCACATGGCCACCAATATATCAATCACACTGCCCAAGAGAATGAGGCACTATCATGGGCTGGGTTTGAGATACTATTCTTGGTTGCACCTACCACTACCACACACACACCCCACTGTGGTCAGAGGGACAGAGTCCTGCAATTGGCAGGCTCATCAAAATCATGTAGAGTAGCAGAAGAGCAGTTCCTCACAAAAGGAAATTCAGAAAAGACAACATTGGCAGATTCCTACTTGAAACATCCTTCCACTGTGTCCCCCGAAGACAATTGGTTTTTGGTTCCTTTGGAGTAGATGTCTATCTGGAGCCTTCCCATTGACCTTGTGTATCTCACCTGTCATCACCACTGACAGGGACCATGGCAGTATCTGCTCACTGGTGTCATCTCCATTCTCTCCCTTTCCCATATATTTAATACTCTACCAGGTTAATATTCTTAGACTACATATCTGATCTTCTGTGCTCATCTACTCGAAAATCTTTAATTAAATCTGTAAGATTTTAAATATCACATAAATCCAGTCCTGTGATTTATGGAGGTTGCCACAAGGCAACAGAATGGTCTTGTCAGGCAACTGCCATGGCTACTAGCTAAATCCATGCCCTGTGGCATGAGGCACCCAAAGTCTGGCTCCAGGAAGCCATCATTTCCCTTAGGACTGAAGGAGCAAGGGGAGAGAAAAGTGGTATTAGAGCCTGGTGACATGGGCCACCTGATGGGAGTGATAGGTGCGGAGCATGACAGCTACCAACAGACACAGCTCCTAAGCAAAGGCATAGATAATAAAGCCTGACCCCTCTCTCCTCTTGCCCTCTGATCTGAAGGGGTTGGTTCAGTCTCCTTGGGCACAGAGCAGGGCAAGGAAGGATGAAAAATGAATCCAGGAGGCAAGTAGAGAAATTATAACCTGCGCAGTTGTCTCAGAGCTACACAACAGCTCTGTAATTCAGCCACTGCTCTAACTTGTACAGCAAATGGAACCATGCAGTGGCTCATGCCTGTAATCCCTGCACTTTGGGAGGCCGAGGCAGGTGGATCACTTGAGGTCAGGCGTTCAAGGCCAACCTGGCCATGGTGAAATGCTGTCTCTACTAAAAATACAAAAATTAGCCAGGCATGGTGCTGCACACCTGTAATCCCAGCTACTCAGGAGGCTGAGGCAGGAGAATCACTTGAACCCAGGAGGCGGAGGTTGCAGTGAGCCAAGTTCATGCCACTGCACTCCAACTGGAGTGACAGAGCCAGACTCTGTCTAAACAAACAAACAAACAAACAAAACTAGCAGGCATGGTGACATATGCCAACTACTCAGGAGGCTGAGGTGAGAGGATCAGTTGAGCCCAGGAGTTTGACGCTTCAGTGAGCTATGATTGCACCACTGCACTGCAGCCTTGGCCATAGAGTGCGACTCTGTCTCTAAAAAAAAGAAAAAGAAAATGATTCTCTGAAGAATCTCTCTTGAGGAAAAACCCCTAGTGGAGTGGGGGCAGCTCTCAGAGCTCAGGACCACCCACTTTCTTACTGTGCTTTGAGAGGGCAGCCCAGAATCTTCAGCACTGCATGGGCAGCTCGTCTTGGAGTCTCACTGTGCGCCTTTCCTCCGTGTCACCTCTCTAGCTATCCTCCAGGACAGCCTCAGCCCTTATTGCTGTATTCCTTCATGCTACAGGGAGGAGAAGCACCTGTCAGAGTATAAAAGTGAGCAGATGATAGTCAAATAAGAGTTGCTTCAATTACTAAGATGTATTTCATTTTTTTGTTTGTTTTGTTTTGTTCTTTGTTTGTTTGTTTGTTTTTTGAGACACAGTCTTGCTCTGTCACCCAGGCTGGAGTGCAGTGGCGCAATCTCGGCTCACTGCAACCTCTGCCTCCCGGGTTCAAACAATTCTCCTGCCTCAGCTTCCTGAGTAGCTGGGATTACAGGCGCCCGCCTCCACGCCTGGCTAATTTTTGTATTTTTAGTAGAGACGGGGTTTCGCCATTTTGGCTAGGGTGGTCTCGAGCTCCTGACCTCAGGAAATCCACCCGCTTCAGCCTCCCAAAGTGCTGGGATTACAGGCATGAGCCACCGCGCCTGACCAAGATGTATTTCTTACTTGGGCCTACTTGGGCCTAGTGTGGTTGTTTTTATTTTTATTTTTTAAATTATTTTCCTTTTCTTTCTTAGATAAGTGATAACTTATTAACTTGCATTCCTTTGACTACAAGTGAAGTTGAAAATGTCTTACATTTATTAGACATTTTTCTTTTCTTTTTTTATTTTTATTTTTTATTTTTATTTTTATTTCCAGGGTACATGTGCAGGATGTGCAGGTTTTGTTACATAGGGAAATGTATGCCATGGTGGCTTGCTGCACCGGTCAACCCATCACCCAGGTATTAAGCCCAGCATCCTTTAGCTATTTTTCCTTATACTCCCCCTCCCCATGTCCCACCCCCCGACAGGCCTCACTGTGTGATGTTCCCCTCCCTGTGTCCATGTGTTATTGTTCAGCTCCCACTTTTAAGTGAGTACATGTGGTGTTTGGTTTTCTCTTCCTGTGTTAGTTTGCTGAGGATGATGGCAGGTGGTTTATTTTTTGAAAATCCATAAATAAGGCTGGGCACAGTGGCTCACGCCTGTAATCCCAGCACTTTGGGAGGCTGAGGTGGGAGGATCACTGAGACTAGGAGTTCAAGACCAGCCTGGGAAACATGGCAAAACCCTGTCTATATAAAAAATTAGCCAGGCATGGTGGCACGCTCCTGTAATTCCAGCTACTCAGGAGGCTGAGGTGGGAGGATCTTGAGCCCAGGAGGTCAAGGCTGCACTGAGCCAAGATCATGCCACTGCACTCTAGCCTGGATGACAGAAACCCTCACTCAAAAAAAAAGAATCTATAAATATTATACCAATAGGAATAAAAAATTTAGTTTCAAACTCTTGTAGACACCTGTTTTCTTTTTTTTTTTCTTGAGATGGATTCTCCCTTTGTCGCCCAGGCAGGAGTGTCGTGGCACAATCTTGGCTCACTGCAACCTCTGCCTTCCAGGTTCATGAGATTCTCCTGCCTCGGCCTCCCAAGTAGCTGGGATTACCGGCGTCACCACCACACCTAGCTAATTTTTGTAAATTTTTTTTTTTAGGACACCTCTTAAAAGACAAACGATGATGGGCCAAGGCCCATGCCACTGGTATCAGTTGTGTGTGTGTCACATTTTTCACAAATCTCCATAGAAAGGAAGGAAGAGAGAAAGCCTGCAGGGAATTTGTAAGAAAATATTTTGAGTGAAACAAAGGGTAAATAAACTGACAATCTACTGTCTTTTCCTAAGGAGGAAGAAATTTCAACATTTGTGGATTCCTCTCAGGGAATATGTTGCACTCATTAAGTATGAAAAAAATGTCTTATTGCAAGGAAAAGGAAAAAGTAAATTCTGATCATATAAGCGTCTAGGAAGCATGGGTGATGCTGCTGACCTACAGTGCAATCTCGTTTTAATGAAAAAAAGTCTGAAAAAAACTCTGGCAGCCTACACAGCCCAAATCAAGGCTTTCATAAGCAGATATTTCCACCTTTGGGGCCAGTAGAAAATCAAATCAAATCCTTGGGCAAATTATAAAACAATACTCTTAGGAAATATTAAAATAATGAGTCATTCTACTTTTCAAATATATGGTAGTAAAATCACATTATTTCTCTGTTTTGTGGTAGTTTTATTTAAGTGTATTTTTTAAAGTTATATTTTCGTAAAATTGTTTTTCTAACTTCATGGTCTTTTGGAAAGCAGTTTTGTTATATTTTTCTGTTTGTGATGGTCACTGAGGGACTATTTTACACATAAAAAAAGGAATAATAAAAGTCCTGGCTTCAACAGGCAAAAAGACAAAACCTACTTTGTAAGAAAAACTTACTTCCTTCTTATTTAAAAATACATATTTGGCCAGGCATGGTGGCTTACGCCTGTAATCCCAGAACTTTGAGAGGCTGAGGCAGGTGGATTGCTTGAGCTCAGGAGTTCAAGGCCAGCCTGGGCAACATAGCGAAACCCCATCTCTACAAAAAATACAAAAATCAGCCAGGCATGGTGGCATGCACCTGTAATCTCAGCTACTTGGGAGGCGAAGGTGGGAGGATGGCTTGAGCCCAGGAGATTGAGGCTGCAGTGAGCCATGATCATACCACTGCACTCCAGCCTAGGTGACAGAGCAAGACCCTGTCTCCAAAACAAACAAACAAATAAAAAATAAATAAATAAATAAATAAATAAATAAATAAAAATTTAAAAATCTATCTATCTATCTGTATACGTATATATATCTAGATATATTGGGTCTTTAAACTTTCATTTTGGCTTTTGCCATGCCATACACAAAGAAAATGAAGACCTCTGAAGAGAAAGGTGTTGACACTTATGGGTGCTGACACTTAAGAGAAAGGTGTTGACACTTTTTTTATGGGTGTTGACACTGAAGAGAAAGGTGTTGACACTTTCTGCAGCAAAAAAGTATATAAGAGGAAGGTAGAATTACTCAATAAGTCAGTATTTCCCAAAAAAAGACTCTGCAGAATTCTAGTCTTAAGAGATCACACATACACACACACACAAAGACACACACACAGGCATATTATCTTTGCGATTCATAATGTATATATGTACATTAACATTAGGCCGGGCATAGTGGCTCACGCCTGTAATCCCAGCACTTTGGGAGGCTGAGGCAGGCGGATCACGAGGTCAAGAGATTGAGACCATCCTGGCCAACATGGCGAAACCCCATCTCTACTAAAAATAAAAAAATTAGCTGGGTGTGGTGGCACGCCTGTAGTCCCAGCTTCTCAGGAGGCTGAGGCAGGAGAATCGCTTGAACCCGGGAGGTGGAGGTTGCAGTGAACTGAGATGGCGCCATTGCACTCCAGCCTGGCGACAAAGCAAGGCTCCATCTAAAAATATATATTTTTAATATTATATATAAAAAAGGCTCTGATAATTACAATAAAGAAATCAGGTTAACATTGGTTTTGCCCACCCTTTTTTTCTTCCACAAAACTCTATTAAGATATTAAGGAAAAATTAAAAACATGCTTTGAGGAATGTGGCCTTGAACTGAAGTTTCCTTAACTTCAGTGTAACGCATTATAAAGATGTATGTTGTCAACTTGTTTTGAAATGTTTAAGCCATCCTGGAAGGAGTCTGATTTCTAGAAAGGTTTCATGGAGATCAAATCTCATCTGGAAGCCAATGACCTGTCAAATGTCACAAAGCCAGCACCAGCAAGAGCGACACCGAGCTCCCACGCTTTGTTTCGAGCCTAGGAAACCTTTCACTTCCCTGTTGATACCCCAAGTTCCTGACCTTTTCTGCCCAAACTTTCCCCTTATCTCTTACATTGTCCTCACAAAAGTCTCTCACAGGAGAAAACAGAATCACAGCATATTCAATACTCCTCTGGTGTTAGCTCTTCTGTTTTGATTCATATTTATCCCTTAAATTCTATCTCCTTTCAGCCTCTCCAGAAATAATCCAACCAGATTCAGTTTATCCTGAAGTCCTGGTGCTGGATTGTGTCCACTCATTCATTCTTGAAGAAATATCACTGGTCCCCTAAGACAAGGCAGGCCATGTGCCAGGCACTGGGGCTGCAGCAGAGACTCTGACGGAAGCAGACCTGACCTTGCAGAGGTTGAGATCTAATGCCATACCAGTAATACCAATGGTGGGGTCTTGGGCCCAGAACAGGACGAAGGCAGATCCTGGGTGAGAAACCAGGGATTACTCAGTAACAATCAGTGAGAATGGAACTTAATTGTACATAGGCAATTACATTTTATATAAAACTTTAAAATGCATATCCTTTTTTTTTTTTTTTGAGATGAACTCTCACTGTTTTGCCCAGGCAAGAGTGCAGTGGTGCGATCTCCGCTCACTGCAACCTTCACCTCCCAGGTTCAAGCGATTCTCATGCCTCAGCCTCCTGAGTAGCTGGGATTACAGGTGCCTTCCACCATGCCCAGCTAATTTTTGTGTTTTCTTGTAGAGACGGGGTTTCACCATGCCACTCAGGCTGGTCTTGAACTCCTAGACTCAAACGATCCACCTGCCTTGACCTCCCAAAGTGCTGGAATTGCAGGCGTGAGCCACCATGCCCAGACTTGCATATCCTTTTTAATGGAGTGGTTATTGTTTCTTTTGCCATTTTAATAAATAATTATAATTTTACATGAAAAGCAAAGTTGCTTTTATAAAAGCATGAGGATTTCCTCTAGATTAACTGATTTTGTAGATAATATAAACCAAGTTTTCTTGATGGCTTCATAGTCTAACTTCAGTATAATAAGTGGAGATCAATAAGAAGCTTTTTCAAGCTGGTGTAACTTGAAACATTTCAAATGCCAAGCGAGTGGTAGGTATTTAGATGGAAAGAGACAAGAATTTGTTATGAGGAACATTTTTGGGTATAAATTCT
Source organism: Homo sapiens (assembly GCF_000001405.40). Taxonomy (NCBI): domain Eukaryota; kingdom Metazoa; phylum Chordata; class Mammalia; order Primates; family Hominidae; genus Homo; species Homo sapiens. The sequence continues at coordinate 108,019,804 of NC_000006.12, read as the reverse complement.
TTTGGTCTAAGGACTGTTGTTTTTTCAAGGGGCTCCTCTTGTTTGGGAGAAACAGCTGGCCTTGGATAACTTTGGAGAAGAGCAAGGCTTCTAAGAATCAGAGCTCAGGAAACCTGGCTCCTGCCTCTTTCTCTTTCTTGCTCTGTGTGAATATTCAATTCCAGCAATTCCAGCTTCTTCTTCTTCCTGTCACTGATTTTCAGATGAATTGGGCTCCTTTCCCAGGGACAGAGTCTGGCAGCTTTTTGGAAGCATCAGCTATTTCCTCCCTCAAGGGCGGCGAGCTTGGGAACTAGGGGTGAGGGCTGCTCTGGGAGGGATTGCAGGGTGAGGCAGATCTCACCCAGCCTTTCGGATCAAAGTATAGTCAGGAGCAACTGAGGGGAAATTTTCCACTAAACCTCAGGTTCGTAGCACCGGAACAAATCTTAGGGAAAAAGGCAGGTGGGGAATGTAGACTGGAGGAGGTAGAGGAAGAAATGTCTCAGGCTTTCTTCCAGAGTCTGTGCCCATCTCTATAACGATGTGGTCATTATGCCCTGGTAGCCTTCTCCATAGGCAGTTCTCCAAGCCCATTTTTGAATCCCTGATTTAAAAATGACAACCCAACTGCCTGCCAATCCACCACTCTAGTTTCACCTTTTTTGATCCTTGAGAGCTTTCTTCTTAAAAATGCACATATTCCCCAGGAGGAGTTATAGGTTAGTTTAGGAGTTACAGCTCATAACATCACATGTCTAAAACCAAATTCCTGATTTTCCATCTCACTAAACAGGTAGCAATACCCATCCAGTTGCTCAAACTGAAACATGCCCTTTCTCCTACATGCCTTATGCTGTCTATCACCCCTTCTTGTTAGTTTTTCCTTCAATATACATCTCTCTTTTTTTTTTTTTTTTTTTTGAGACAAGGTCTTCCCCTGTTGCCCAGGCTGGCATGATTATGGCTCACTGCAGCCTCAAGTGATCCTCCTTCCTCAGCCTCCCAAGTAGCTGGGACCACAGGTGCACACCACCACACCCAGCTAGTTTTTAAATTTTTTGTGGAGATGGGGTCTCACTATGTTGCCCAGGCTGGTCTCAGACTCCTGAGCTCAAGTGGTCCACCGGCGTCAGCCTCCCAAAGTGCTGGGATTACAGGCGTGAGCCACTGCTCCCAGCCTCTGTAAATATATTTCTAAGAATAAGCTGGCCTGAAATGAATCCAAATCGGTTTAGACGGTAAAAGATTAGACTTCGTTTAGGACCAAGAAACTTTTCCAAACTTCACCTATCAAAGTACCTTCAGGGCAACCATCTGTTGTTGAAATCCCAGCTGATGCACACTGCAAAAGGTTTAAGAGAAGATTCTGGATGAATTAAACAATGGGGATCCTTTTGAATTAAGGTTATTGGGAGCAGCCCAGGCAGACACACACAAAAAAATCCTTTTTAACCTTTTTGAACTTTAGGGCCAAATTGTCACCTTCATATCTAGAAGACTTTGGGGCTGGCGTTGCAGTGTCTAAATGATCCGTCCTTCCATTTCTTATCCTTATTCCTCCAGCTCCTTGCCTTTCTCCAATTTAGTGCTTATTTGAACTTCACCAGCCAGGACACAGAAGAAAAGATAAAAAGCTCAAAAAGTTGATTCCACTTTTCCAAGGAAGTTAACAGGGAGCAGGTTGACTTTACAGTACAATATTGAGGATCCTTGTTCTTCAAAGCTTTCTTTGTTTTTCTTAGATTCTGTCTCTTCTTGCCTCCCTCATCTTTCATTATATTTCTTTTTTTTTTAATTAAAAAAATGTTAAAACAGCAATGAGACCGGGTCTCACTATGTTGTGCTGGCTAGTCTCCGACTCCTGAGCTCAAGGGATCCGCCCGTCTCAGCCTCCCAAAGTGCTGGGATTACAGGTTTGAGCCACTGCACCTGGCCTGTGTTTCCTTTATCCTCTCTCAGAATCAGCTCCTTGATTTCTAGAATCACAGACTCTTAAAGCTAGAAGAGACCGAAGGAACTCTTCTGTATATGGCTTAATAGCTCCTGGGGGAAACCAAGCCTCAAAGAGATGAAATGATTTCGCATGACACCTAGAAACCAAGTCTTTTGACTCATGGCCCTCAATTCTTTCTACTATGTCACACTGCCTTGCTTCTCTAAAATAACAGTAAAATGAAAGAAAACTCCAGGCACTGAAGAAAAAATTTTCTTTTTCTTTTTCTTTTTTTTTTTTTTTTTTTTTTGAGACAAGTTCTCACTCTGTCGCCCAGGCTGGAATGCAGTGGCATGATCTCAGCTCACTACAACCTCCACCTCCCAGGCTAAAGACATCCTCCCACCTCAGCCTCCCGAGTAGCTGGGGCCGCAGGCATATGCCACCACGCCTGGCTAATTTTGTTTTGTATTTTTTATAGATATGGGGTTTTGCTATGTTGCCCAGGCTGGTCTTGAACTCCTGAGCTTAAGCCATCTACCCGCCTTGGGCTCCCAAAGTTCTGGGATTACAGGCGTGAGCCACTGTGGCTGGCTGAATTTTTTTTTCTTTTGTTGGAAAAAAATAATAGCAGTATCACACATGCATTTTTGCTTTCAGAATATGTTTCTTGAGTTAAAGAGCAAAACTCATGTAAGATAGAATAAAAAAGAAATCCCAATTAAAGTAGGAAATAAAAATGCTTTTAATATGAGTTTAATCATTAGATTTCTGATTGGTTCCTCCAGTTAGCTAGTCAGTGGCCCAGTATTTCTCAGGTACAAAGATCTGATAACATCCTAATCAGCTCCATGGAGCAATAGGGACCCTCAGCTCTGGATGAATTCGGGAGGCTTAGAACTTTTCTGCATGCCTTGCTCATTTCTTTACTTTCTTTTTATGGATTTGGTTAATTACTTTCCTTCTGCATTCTCAGGTGTTTGAAAGGTATCCATCCAAGTGTCTCTTTACTGTGGTGTACCATAAAAAAGTTGAGACAAAAATATTGATACAATTTGGCTGTGTCCCCACCAAATCTCAACTTGAATTGTTATTTCCCAGAATTCCCACGTATTATGGGAGGGACCCAGGGGGAGGTAATTGAATCATGGGGGCTGGTCTTTCCTGTGCTATTCTTGTGACAGTGAATAAGTCTCATTAGATCTGATGGGTGTATCAGGTGTTTCTGCTTTTGCTTCTTCCTTATTTTTATCTTGCCGCCGCCATGTAAAAAGTGCCTTTCGCCTCCTGCCATGATTCTGAGGCCTCCCCAGCCACGTGGTATTGTAAGTCTAGTGAAGCCTCTTTTTCTTCCCAGTCTTGGGTATGTCTTAGCAGCATGAGAGCAGACTAATATAGTAAATTGTACCAGGAGTGGGGCATTGATGAAAAGATACCCGAAAATGTGGAAGCAACTTTGGAACTGGGTAACAGGCAGAAATTGGAACAGTTTGAAGGGCTCAGAAGAAGACAGGAAAATGTGGGAATGTTTGGAACTTCCTAGAGACTTGTTGAGTGGCTTTGCCCAAAATGCTGATAGCGATATGGACAATAAAATCCAGGCTAAAGTGGTCTCAGATGGAGATGAGGAACTTGTTGGGAACTGGAGCAAAGGTGACTCTTGTTGTGTTTTAACAGAGAGACTGGTAGCATTTTGCCCCTGTCCTAGAGATTTGTGGAACTTTGAACCTGAGAGAGATGATTTATGATATCTGGTGGAAGAAATTTCTAAGCAGCAAAGCACTCAAGAAGTGACTTGGGTACTGTTAAAGGCACTCAGTTTTAAAAGGGAAATAGAGCATAAAGGTTCAGAAAATGTGCGGCCTGACTATGTGATAGAAAATAAAAACCCATTTTCTGGGGAGAAATTCAAACTGGCTGCAGAAATTTGCATCAGTAGCAAGGAGCCTAATTTTAATCCCCAAGACCGTAGGGAAAATGTCTCCAGCTCATGTTAGAGACCTTCATGGCAGCCCCTCTCATCACAGGCCCAGAGGCACAGGAGGAAAAAGCGGTTTTGTGGGCCGGGACCAGGGTCCCCATGCTGTGTGGAGCCTAGGGAGTTGGTGCCCTGTGTCCCAGCCACTCCAGCTGTGGCTGAAAGGGGCCAACATATAGCTCAGGCTGTGGCTTCAGAGGGTAGAAGCCCCAAACCTTGGTAGCTTCCACATGGTGTTGAGCCTGCTGTGCACAGAAGTCAAGAATTGAGGTTTGGGGACCTCTGCCTAGATTTCAGAAGATGTATGGATTTCAGAAGAAGATAGAAGCAAAAGTTTGCTGCAGGGGGCCCTCATGGAAAACCTCTGCTAGGGCAGTGTGAAAGGGAAATGTGGGGTTGGAGTTTCCACACAGAGTCCCTAGTGGGGTGCTGCCTAGTGGAGCTGTGAGAAGAGGGCCACTGTCCTCCAGATCCCAGAATGGTAGATCCACCAACAGCTTGCACCATGCACCTGGAAAAGGTGCAGACACTCAACACCACCCCATGAAAGCAGCCAGGAGGGGGCCTGTACCCTGCAAAACCACTGGGGTGGGGATGCCCAAGACCATGATAACCCACCTCTTACATCAGCATCACCTGGATATGAGACCTGGAGTCAAAGGAGATCATTTTGGAGCTTTAAAATTTGACTGCCCCGCTGTATTTTGGACTTACACAAGCCCTGTAACCTCCTTGTTTTGGCCAATTTCTCTCATTTGGAATGGGTATATTTACCCAATACCTGTACCTCCATTGTATCTAGAAAGTAACTAGCTCGCTTTTGATTTTACAGACTCATAGACAGAAGGGACTTGCCTTGTCTCAGATAAGACTTTGGACTGTGGACTTTTGGATTAATGCTGAAATTAGTTAAGACTTTGGGGACTATTGGGAAGGCATGGTTGGTTTTGAAATGTGAGGACATGAAATTTGGAGGGGCCAGGGGTGGAATGATATGGTTTGGCTGTGTCCCCACCAAATCTCAACTTGAATTGTATTTCCCAGAATTCCCATGTGTTGTGGGAGGGACCCGCAGGGAGGTAATTGAATCATGGGGGCTGGTCTTTCCCATGTTATTCTTGTGATAGTGAATAAGTCTCACGAGATCTGATGGGTTTATCAGGGGTTTCTGCTTTTGCTTCTTCCTCATTTTTCTCTTGCCGCCACCATGTAAGAAGTGCCTTTCACCTCTTGCCATGATTCTAAGGCCTCCCTGGCCATGTGGAATTGTAAGTCCATAAACCTCTTTTTCTTCCCAGTTTGGGTATGTCTTTATCAGCAGCATGAAAACAGACTAATACAAATATCAAAGAGATTACTCTTGAAAAACTGTTCCCAGGGAGGCATGCTTCCCATTCAGTCCTTAAGAATAGGTTGAAAACACAGGGCCTTGTTCATTAGGATAGACAAAAACTGACTTAAAAGTAATAGCTTATAGTATAATTTGAGAGCAACGAATTTTTTTTTTACTTGTGCAGTTGATGAGTAATTTTTCATCACTTGGATGAAGAACAGGTTTACATTTGTCATGGTCCAGGTTGCCCTTTTGGTACCCTGCAGAAGAAACAGAGTGTGCACACACAGAAAGTAACCACCGAACATTTTGTGAGAGAACCCTGAGAATCTTGTGGTCAGCCTGAACCTTTCACTTTGTTTAGCCTGCTTGGCCCTTGTGAACTGACACTGCCTGCTTCTCCCAGGCTCGTGTCTTAATGCTCTCCCCTCACTCCACGCTCCAGCCAGCTGTCTTCCACTCTGTTCCTTGCATTCCGCCCACTGTTCACTGCTTCAAGGCCTGGACCTTTCCCTTCTCTCTCTGACTGCCTCCTTCTCCTCCAGTGGAAGCTTTCTGAGGCACTCTATCTGCAGGAGGCTCCACCTTTATCCACTCAGTCTCCAGCTCATCAACCTATTTGTCTCCCTTATAGCACCTACCATGACCTGAAATCATTGAGTTTATTTTTTTATTGATGCATAATATTTGTACATATGTATGAAGTACATGTGATATTTTGTTACGTACATAGAATGTGTAATGATCAAGTCAGAGTATTTATCCATTGCCTAAAGCATTTATCATTTCTATGTGTCAGGAATATTTCAAGTCTCTCTTACAGCTATCTTAAAATATACAATATGTTGTTGCTAACTATAGTCACCCTATTCTGCTATTGAACATTTAAGAAAGTATTCCTACTTATACCGGTATGTTTGTACCCATTAACCAACCTCTCTTCATCCCCCTGACCCACCCACACATCCTTCCAGTCTCTAATAACCACCATACATTCTCTGCCACCATGAGATCAACTTTTTTAGCTTCCAAATATGAGTGAGAACATGTGGTATATGTCTTTATGTGACTGGCTATTTCACTTAACATAATGAACTCCAGGGAACATCATTCTTTGTTATGGCTGAAGAGTACTCCATTGTGTATATATACCACATTTTATCCATTCATCCATTGGTGGACATTTAGGTTGATTCTATATCTCGGCTATTGTGAATAGTGCTGTAATTAACATGAGTGTGCAAGCATCCCTTGGATATACTAATTTCCTTTTCTTTGGGTAGATACCCAGCAGTGGGATTGTTGGATCATATTGTAGTTCTAGTTTTAGTTTTTTGAGAAATCTTCATATTGTTTTCCATAATGGCTGCACTAATTATCTTTTTTTATAATTTTTTTAAATTTTATTTTTGTTGGTACATAGTAGGTGCATATATTTATGGAGTACATGACATGTTTTGATACAGGCATGCAACGGGAAATAAGCACATCATGGAGAATGGGGTCTCCATCCCCTCAAGCATTTATCCTTTGAGTTATAAACAATCCAATGACACTATTTAAGTTTTTTAAAATGTACTTTTAAGTTATTATTAGGCGAGGCGCAGTGGCTCACACCTGTAATCCCAGCACTGTGGGAGGCTGAGGTGGGTGGATCACCTGAGCCCACAAGTCCAAGACCAGCCCGTGCAAAATGGTGAAACCCCATCTCTACTAAAAAAAAAAAAAAAAAAAATTCAAAAAATTAGCGAGGTGTAGTGGCGCACACCTGTAGTCCCAGCTACTCAGGAGGCTGAGGTGAGAGGATCACCTGAGCCCACAAGTCCAAGACCAGCCCGTGCAAAATGGTGAAACCCCATCTCTACTAAAAAAAAAAAAAATACAAAAAATTAGCGAGGTGTAGTGGCGCACACCTGTAGTCCCAGCTACTCAGGAGGCTGAGGTGAGAGGATCACCTGAGTCCTGGAGGCAGAGGTTGCAGTGAGCCAAGATCATGCTACTCCACTTCAGCCTGGGCAAGAGAGTTAGACCCTGTCTCAAAAAAAAAAAAGTTATTATTGACCATAGTCACCCTGTTGTACTATCAAACAGTAGGTCTTATTCGTTCTTTCTAATTTTTTTTGTACCCAATAACCATCCCCACCTTCCCCTTAGCCCCTTGGCTATACTAATTTTTGTTCCCACCAACAGTGTATGGGAGTTTTCTTTTCTCTGCATCCTTGCCAGAATCTGGTTTTTTGTTTGTTTTTTATCTTTCTAACAATAGCCAGTCTAGGCCTGGCACATTGGCTTATGCCTGTAATCCCAGCACTTTGGGAGGCCAAGGCAGGTGGATTTCTTGAGCCCAGACCAGCCTGGGCAACACGGTGAAACCCCGTCTCTACCAAAAATACAAAAATTAGCCAGTCTCATAACCTAGTCTAAAAAATAAATAAATAAACAACAGCCAGTCTAGCTGGGTAGGATGATATCTCACTGTGGTTTTGGTATGCATTTCCCTGATGCTTAGTGATGTTGAAGCTCCATAAGCATTTGCTTGTCTGGTTCACCATACGTATTCCCAGCATCTCAGATAGCACCTGACATGTTGGAGATGCTTGATAAATACTTGTTGAATATATGAATGAACAAAGACTGGGTGTGGTGGCTCACACCTGTAATCCCAGCACTTTGAGAGACCAAGGCAGGAGGATCACTTAAGGCCAGGAATTCAAGACCAACCTGGGCAACATAATGACCCTGTCTCTACACAAAAATAAGAATAAAAATAAAATAAAACAAGCTCGAGGTTTGTGGATGTTGTTCAAATAGCAATGGGTTGTACAATTATGATGTTGACTGGATTCGGAATTGTCTGCCAGGAATGAAGCTCCCAAGAACATCAGTGTGGGCAGTAAGACACATATAGACTCAATCATCCCAAGGCAATTGGTTCTAATAGCAATTCTTCCTAAACTGGGGCTGCACTCTGACAGTTCCTTATAGTGTTTCTCATCATCTTGAAAGGTGGCACATCGGCTGGGTGCAGTGGCTCATGTCTGTAATTCTAGCACTTTAGGAGGCTGAGGCAGGAGGATTGCTTGAGCCCAGGAGTTCAAGACCAGCCTGGGCAACATAGAGGGACCCCTGTCTCTACAAAAAAAAAAAAAAAATTAGTCAGGCATGGTGGTGCACACCTGTAGTCCCAGCTACTTGGGATTCTGAGGTGGGAGGATCTCTTGAGCTTCTGCACTCCAGCCTCGGCAACATGGTCTCAAAATAATAATAATAATAAAATAAAAATTAAATTAAAAACTAAAAAAACAAAGGTGGCATGTCATTAGGGTTGTTTCACACATCACTCTAAATTCTTCAATGAGAATGCCCATACAGTATTGGGAACTGTGATGTGCCTATTGATGCTAAGTCCTGAAGTTGATGAGATGAATAAGTCACCATTCTTTTCTTTAAGAATCTCATGGCCAGGTGTGGTGGTTCACGCCTGTAATCCCAGCACTTTGGGAGGCCGAGGTGGGTGGATCACCTGAGGTCGGGAGTTCGAGACCAGCCTGACCAACATGGAGAAACTCTGTCTCTACTAAAAATACAAAAAATTAGCTGGGCCTGGTGGTGCATGCCTGTAATCCCAGCTACTTGGGAGGCTGAGGTAGGAGAATCCCTTGAACCCAGGAGGTGGAGGTTGTGGTGAGCCAAGATTGTGCCATTGCACTCCAGCCTGGGCAACAAGCGCAAAACTCTGCCTCAAATAAAAAAAAAAAAAAAAGAATCTCATAATTTAGGGCTGGGCGCGGTGGCTCATACCCGTAATCCCAGCACTTTGGGAGGCTGAGGCAGGCGGATCACCTGAGGTCAGGAGTTGGAAACCAGCCTGGCCAACATAGTGAAAACCCGTCTCTACTAAAAATACAAAAATTAGCCAGGTGTGGTGGTGGGTGCCTGTAATCCAAGCTACTCAGGAGGCTGAGGCAGGAGAAGTGCTTGAACCCAGGAGGCGAAAGTTTCAGTGAGCTGAGATCACACCACTACACTCTAGCCTGGGCAGAGCGAGACTCTCAAAAAAATAAAAATAAAAAATAAAAAATAGAATCCCATAATCTAGTAAGGGAAGACATGAGGTGCTTTACTTTTTGCAAATTGCCTGGAACACAGGCTTTTTATTAGCACATGAAGCAGTAACAGCAGTGTTGTTCTGCACCATATGATGTTGAAATGGTTGCTGAATCCTTCAGCATTAAAAGCTAGGACACTTTGGGTACCACTAAAGTGTCCAGTGTTTCAAAATGAATAATGGTAGTGATAAAAACTACCCATTGCTGAGCTCCTGCTATGGGCATTTTTTATATTGGTTTTCTCTCAAAGTATTTCTGATTATGTTATACTCACTTTTACATATGATGAAACAGAGACTCAGAAAAGCTTAGAAACTTGTCCAAGCTCACACAACTGGTAAGTGTAAGCCATGAGTCATATCCAGGTGTTTCTAATGACTGAGACCATGTTCTTTGCATGACACCACAGGCTCTTGTTTCAAACATCTCAGGTCCCACTTCCTCAGTTCTTCACCTACAATGGATCTCTTCCCAACTTCCCTTCTCTACTCTAGTCAGAGAACATCTTATACACATCAGGTAAAAACTGTGTAGATGCATGCAGGCTTCTTTACAACAGAACATCCCATGGCACATTGTGTTGATAGGACCATTATATAAAGTTGTAGGAGCTATAAGAATACAGAGAAGACATAGTGATATGGTTTGGCTCTGTGTCCTGACCCAAATCTCACCTTAAATTGTAATAATCCCCATGTGTCAAGGTGAGGACCAGGTGGAGATAATTCAATCACGGGGGCAGTATCCCCCATGCTGTTCTCATGATAGTGAGTTCTCATGGAATCTGATAGTTTCATAAGAGGCTTCCCCCTTGACTTGGACTCATTCTCTCTCCTGCTGCTCTGGGAAGAGGTACCTTCCTAATTGTAAGATTCCTGAGACTTCCCCAGCCATGTGAAACTGAGTCAATGAAACCTCCTTTCTTTATAAATTACCCAGTCTCAGGTATTTCTTCATAGCAGCATGAGAATGGACTAATACAGTAAATTGGTACCAGGAGTGGGGTGCTGCCTTAAGGGTACCTAAAATATGGAAGCAACTTTGGAACTGAGTAACAGGCAGAGGTTGGAAAAGTTTGGATGGCTCGGAAGAAAACAGGAAAATGTGGGAAAGTTTCAAACTTCCTAGAGACTTGTTTAATGGTTTTGACCAAAGTGCTGATAGTGATATGGACAATGAAGTCCAGGCTGAGGTGGTCTCAGATGGTGATGAGAAACTTGTTGGGAACTGGCATAAAGGTGACTTTTGCTATGCTTTAGCAAAGAGACTGGTGGAATTTTGCCCCTGCCCCTAGAGATCTGTGGAACTTTGAACTTGAGAGAGATGATTTAGGGTATCTGGTGGAAGAAATTTCTAAGCAGCAAACCATCCAAAATGAAGCAGTGCAAAAAGTTTGGAAAATTTTCAGCCTGATGATGCAATAGAAAAGAAAAATCCACTGGGTGCGGTGGCTCACGCCTGTAATCCCAGCACTTTGGGAGGCCAAGGCAGATGGATCAGGAGATCAGGAGATCGAGACCATCCTGGCTAACATGGTGAAACCCTGTTTCTACTGAAAATACAAAAAATTACCCAGGCATGGTGGTGGGCATCTGTAGTCCCAGCTACTCGGGAGGCTGAGGCAGGAGAATGTCATGAACCCAGGAGGCAGAGCTTGCAGTGAGCTGAGATCACGCCACGGCACTCCAGCCTGGGCATCAGAGTGAGACTCCATCTCAAAAAAAAAAAAAAAAAGCAAAGAAAAATCCATTTTCTGGGAAGAAATTCAAACTGGCTACAGAAATTTATATAAGTAACGAGAAGCCAAATACTAATCACCAAAACAATGGGAAAAATGTCTCCAGGGCATGTCAGAGACCTTAACAGCAGCCCCTCCCATCACAGGTCCAGAGGCCTAGGAGGGAAAAATGGTTTCATGGGCCAGGCCTAGGCCCCCCTGCTCTATGCAGCCTCAGAACATGGTGCCCTGTGCCCTAGATGCCTCAGCTGCAGCTGTGGCTAAAAGGGGCCAAGGTATAACTTGGGCCATTTCTTCAGAGGGTGCAAGCCCCAAGCCTTGGTGGCTTACATGTGGTGTTGGGCCTGCAGGTACACAGAAGTCAAGAATTGAAGTTAGAGAACCTCTGCCTAGATTTCAGAGGATGTATGGAAATGCCTGGATATTGCTGCAGGGGCAGAGCCCTCGTGGAGAACGTCTGCTAGGCCAGTGTGGAAGGGAAATGGGGGTTGGAGCCCCCACAGAGTCCCCACTGGGGCACTGCCTAGTTGAGCTGTGTAAAGAGGGCCACCATCCTCCAGACCGCTGAATGGTAGATCCAACAACAACTGTGTGCCTGGAAAAGCTGCAGACACTCAACACCAGCCATGAAAGCAGCTGGGAGAGGGGATGTACCCTGCAAAGCCAGAGATGCAGAGATACCCAAGGCCATGGGAGCCCACCTCTTGCATCAGCATGACCTGGATGTGAGACATGGAGTCAAAGGTGATTATTTTCTAACTTTAATGTTTAATGACTGCCCTATTGGATTTTGGACTTGCATGGGGCCTGTAGCCCCTTTGTTTTGGCCAATTTCTCCCATTTGAAATGGGTGTATTTAGCCAATGCCAATACCCCCATTATATCAAGGAAGTAACAAACTTTTGATTTTACAGGCTCATAGGCAGAAGGGACTTGTCTTGTCTGAGATGAGACTTTGGACTTGGACTTTTGGGTTAATGCTAGAATGTGTTAAGAATTTGGGGAACTGTTGGAAGGGCATGATTGTGTTTTGAAATGTTAGGACATGAGATTTGAAAGGGGCCAGGGCAGAATGATATGGTTTGGCTATGTGTCCCAACCCAAATTTCATCTTGAATTGTAATAATCCCTACATGTCACGGGTAGGACCAGGTGGAGATAATTGAATCATGGGGGGCAGTTTTCCCCTTGCTGTTCTTGTGAAGTGAGTGAGTTCTCAGGAGATCTCATGGTTTCATAAGGGGCATCCCCCTTCACTCGGACTCATTCTCTCTCCTGCCGCCCTGTAAAGAGGTGCCTTCTGCCATGATTGTAAGTTTCCTGAGACCACCCAAGCCATACTGAACTGTGAGTCAGTTAAACCTCTTTTTTTTTTTTTAATATGAATTACCCAGTCTTGGGTATTTCTTAATAGTGTTACAGGAAAGGGGTCCCAATCCAGACCCCAAGAGAGGGTTCTTGGATCTCACGCAAGAAAGAATTTAGGGTGAGTCCGCATTGCACAGCAAAAGCAAGTTTATTAGGAAAGTAAAGTGGTGAAAGAACAGCTACTCCACAGACAGAGTAGGGCATTCCTATAAATAGGAGGAGGAATGCATCCACGTACAATGCTTTTGCGTGTGTGTGTGTGTGTGTGTGTGTGTGTGTGTGTGTGTGTGTGTATAAAATTTAAAAAGATCATGCACCAGGCGGTGGCTCACACCTGTAACCCCAGCACTTTGGGAGGCCAAGGCAGGTAGATCACTCGAGGTCAGGAATTCAAGACCAGCCTGGCCAACATGGCAAAACCCCGTCTCTACTAAAAATACAAAAATTAGCCAGGCGTGGTGGCATGAGCCTGTAGTCCCAGCTACTTGGGTGTCTGAGGCACAAGAATTCCCTGATTCTTGTGCAGAGGTTGCAGTGAGCTGAGATCACAATACAGCACTCCACCCTGAGCAACAGAGCAAGATCCTGTCTCAAAACAACAACCACCACCACCACCAAGAAAAAAGATCATGGGGAGATGTGCTCTGCTACAAGAGTTTGTGATAAAGGATTAATTTTCTTAATTACTGTACTTTGCAAGAATGTTATCTTTTTCATGCCTATAATCCTAGCACTTTGGGAGGCCAAGGCAGCTCACGAGGAGATGGAGACAATCCTGGCTAACACGGTGAAACCCAATCTCTACTAAAAAAATATACAAAAACATTAGCCAGACATGGTGGCGGGCGCCTGTAGTACCAGCTACTCGGGAAGCTGAGGCAGGAGAAAGGCGTGAACCCGGGAAGCGGAGCTTGCAGTGAGCCAAGATCGCACCACTGCACTCCAGCCTGGGCGACAGAGCAAGACTCTGTCTCAAAAAAAAATAAACAAAACAACAACAACAACAAAAAAACTCCCTCTCAAAAAAAAAAAAAAAGAATATTATCTTTAAAACAAAATTAGGAATGTCTTTGTTCTCCAGATATCGGGATATTAGAACATTCCCAAGTCTGGTTCTGTTTAGTAAACATTATCAATCTGTTTCATTAACTGTAAACATCTAGAGGCTAGGAATACCTTTCTGGGAATGCAGCACAGCAAGTCCCAGCTTCATTTTCCTGGCCCTCACTCAAGATAGAGTCGCTCTGGTTAGAACACCTCTGACAACAGCAGTGTGAGAATGGACTAATATATATGGGAAAAAATAACACTAAACCATTAAATACAGATGTGACTGACACAGACCCTTGATGAACTCAGCTGCTGCTTCCTCGTTTATAACTACAGAGCCCTTTTGGGTGACACCATTTCTCCTCCAGGTCTGTCCAGGTTTCTGTCATCTCTTGCCTTACCATAGATATTTTCAGTCCTTAATGGTCACCTACAAAATATTCATTGATGTGGCCAGGTGCGGTGGCTCACACCTGTAATCCCAGCACTTTGGGAGGCCAAGGTGGGCGGATCACGAAGTCAGGAGATCAAGACCATCCTGGCAGTGGCGGGCGCCTGTAGTCCCAGCTACTCGGGAGGCTGAGGCAGGAGAATGGCGTGAACCTGGGAGGCAAAGCTTGCAGTGAACCGAGATTGCACCACTGCACTCCAGCCTGGGCTACAGAGTGAGACTCCATCTCAAAAAAAAAAAAAAAAATCATTGATGAAAAGTGGCTGTGCTCTACCGGCGGGATTTGACTGCGTGATGTCTCACAGAAAGTTTTCTGCTCCCAGACATGGGTCCCTCGGCTTCCTGCCTCAGAAGCGCAGCAGCAGGCATCGTGGGAAGGTGAAGAGCTTCCCTAAGGATGATCCGTCCAAGCCGGTCCACCTCACAGCCTTCCTGGGATACAAAGCTGGCATGACCCACATCATGAGGGAAGTCGACAGCCCAGCATCCAAGGTGAACAAGAAGCAGGTGGTGGAGGCTGTGACCATTGTGGAGACGCCACCCATGGTGGTTGTGGGCATTGTGGGCTATGTGGAAACCCCTTGAGGCCTCCGGACCTTCAAGACTGTCTTCGCTGAGCACATCAGTAATGAATGCAAGAGGCGTTTCTATAAGAACTGGCATAAATCTAAAAAGAAGGCCTTTACGAAGTACTGCAAGAAATGGCAGGATGAGGATGTCAAGAAGCAGCTGGAGAAGGACTTCAGCAGCATGAAGAAATACTGCCACGTCATCCGCGTCATTGCCCACACCCAGATGCGCCTGCTTCCTCTGCGCCAGAAGAAGGCCCACCTGATGGAGATCCAGGTGAACGGAGGCACCGTGGCTGAGAAGCTGGACTGGGTCTGCGAGAGGCTCGAGCAGCAGGTAAATGTGAACCAAGTGTTTGGGCAGGATGAGATGATCGACGTCATTGGGGTGACCAAGGGCAAAGGCTACAAAGGGGTCACCAGTCGTTGGCACACCAAGAAGCTGCCCTGCAAGACCCACCGAGGCCTGTGCAAGGTGGCCTGTATTGGGGCATGGCATCCTGCTCGTGTGGCCTTCTCTGTGGCACGTGCTGGGGAGAAAGGCTACCGTCACCGCACTGAGATCAACAAGAAGATCTATAAGATTGGCCAGGGCTACCTTATCAAGGATGGCAAGCTGATCAAGAACAATGCCTCCACTGACTCTGACCTGTCTGACAAGAGCACCAATCCTCTGGGTGGCTTTGTCCACTATGGTGAAGTGACCAATGACCTTGTCATGCTGAAAGGCTGTGTGGTGGGAACCAAGAAGCGGGTGCTCACCCTCCACGAGTCCTTGCTGGTGCAGATGAAACGGCAGGCTCTGGAGAAGATTGACCTTAAGTTCATTGACACCACCTCCAAGTTTGGCCATGGCTGCTTCCAGACCATGGAGCAGAAGAAAGCATTCATGGGACCACTCAAGAAAGACGGAATTGCAAAGGAAGAAGGAGCTTAATGCCAGGAACAGATTTCGCAGCTGGTGTGGTCTCAATAAAAGTTATTTTCCACTGGGAAAAAAAAAGAAAAGTGGCTGTGTCTTCCAAGCGATGTGACTCCACAATACATGGGCAGCAGTGAACATTGGTTTTCCCGTGGCGCCAGACTCTTCCTCTGCCTCAGGGAAGCAGCTCTGCTTGAAGCCCCTGTGGATATGGTTTCCATGATTTTTCTTCCAGATATCACTACTTGGAAAATTGTGGTTTTATTCCTACTCATTAAGTCTTATAAACATTATGATTTGACATGTCACATTCCCCAGTGAATTTCCGCTTTGTAAACTCTGGGCTGTTTAGTCAGTTGCAGAAACTAGGTAGGGAGGCTGGGGGTGGCAGGAATGTAGACTATCACCCCCTGTCCCTGTCCCTTCCCACACAGACAATCCAGCCAATGGCAGAAGACTGCCGGAAATGTAGAAGAGTTAAGGTAGAAAAACTTTGGAAAATAATTATTTGTCTGCTGAGGTAATAAAATTAAGGTTCCGTAAAGCCACTTTTTTGGAGTATTAGGCAAATATCTTTCGACCTCTTGAATTTGAAATGGTTTTGTAGGTGCATGTGACCATTGACTTCAAAACAAAGGCTTTTGGAGGAGACAGGTCTATTAGCTGTGCTCTCCTCTAAATATGTTTTAGGCTGGGCGCAGTGGTTCACGCCTGTAATCCTGGCACTTTGGGAGGCCGAGGCAGGTGGATCACTTGAGGTCAGGAGTTCGAGACCAGCCTTGCCAACATGGTGAAACCCCGTCTCTACTAAAAATACAAAAATTGGCTAGATTTGGTGGTGGGTGCCTGTAATCCCAGCTACTCAGGAGGCTGAGGCAGAGGAATTGCTTGAATCCGGGAGGCGGAGGTTGCAGTGGGCTGAGATCGTGCCACTGCACTCCAGCCTGGGTGACAGAGCGAGACTCCATCTCAAAATAAATAAATAAAATAAAATAAATATGTTTTCAAAGAAGGCATATGACCATAGTGGGAAGGAGAGGGATGAGAAACCAGGGAAACAGTCGAAGAGAAAAAGAGGGGGAGAGGGGAAGGACAGGAGGTAAGGAGAGTCAGAAACAAAAGACATACAGGGTTTAAGTGTCCCGCTTCCGTTTCCTTTTCACTAGCACAAAAGCCTGTGGATTTCAAATTCATCTGAGCTGTTCTTGGGAGATGGTTGTGGCCCGAGGCAAGGGCTGACTCGCAGAGGACAGCTTGGCAGTGACAGAGGCAGAAGTCAGACAGAAAGGCTCTGACTGACATGTGAGCAGCGGGGTGATGTCAACAACAGCTGACCCGTCATGAGACCTTAGGAAGAAAACCAATGGGAATCTTGTTTTGGAGCGTCTAGTGCCCAGCTAGCTCCCTACTAGGTGCTTGCAAACAGATTGACTAGCATAATAGAGTGATTTTGTAATCTGTCATAATACCATAAGCCACAGATCCACAGACTTTGACCCCTCACAGGTATAATAAGCGCCTTTATTCAGCTGCACATGATCTCCCTATGGGGAAGGAGGGAGGGGGCCCTTCTTCTAATTACACAACCTAAGCATATGTTTTGCTGGAGAACAAAGCATTATATTCATTAGCAACAATCTTGTAAGCCAGGTTCCTTTTACTAGCCAGTTAACTAATTGACAGTTAAGAATGTGTATTAATAATAGACTGCAGCCAGGCATGGCTTAATCTGACAGTTTTATTAAAAATGTAGGCAAGTTCCTCAAGCCGGTATGACTGTCAGCTTTTATGTAGGAATCCTGCTTACCAAGGATCTCAACTTGCTATAAAACAATATCACCCTGGCAGAAAATTGTTCTCCCAGGTCAAAGTCCGGGAGTCAGCAGAGTTATTCACTTGGAGGATTTTTGTTGTTCTTCCCTTTGTGACGCATCTGAACAAGGAAGTGATTTTGCTGTGTTTTCTTAAAATCTTATTGACATGGTTCACTTGTTCTGGACCAAATTATTCTGGTGGTGAATGATCCTAATTCTTCCTTGCTGCTTTTCTGTGTACCTTGTCCTCTTTTTAAAATTTTATTTTGTTTTATGGGGTATGGAAATAATTATTTCTCAAATCACTAGCAACTCCATTGAAAGTTCTGCGAGAGATGGTAGAGAGGTTGAAATTCAAAATCTGTCCTGCCACACACTGTTCTTTCCAGTCTTTGCCTTTGAAATTCTTCCAGTACCTAACTTAGATACGCCCTAGCCTATGGCGTCTTGTTGAATTTCCCCCATGTTGGAAATTGAGCGTTTTCTGCCCCCCATTCTCCCAGCACATGCACCAAACTTCTCTCCAGCTCCCTACTCACCTGACCTAACACCCCGCTTGGGACATGGTCTGTCCTTTTATCCCTTTTTCCCATGATCCCTTGCCCTTAGCAAATATGCAGCAAATATGTGCTGGGTTAAAGTGAATGTACTCTTTATTACTAACTCTAATCTCAGTAGTCAGTCTGTAAAACACCTTTGATCTCTGTTGGTTTGTAAATGTCTCTGGAATCTAGCCTTTCTCTGTGGCAGGGCCTTTATCACCTCTTGTCCCCTGCTTCAGCTCAGCCTCCTTGAGAGGGATCTTTCTGAGACATAAATATGGTGACGAGGCCGGGTGCAGTGGCTCATGCCTGTTATCCCAGCACTTTGGGAGGCCGAGGCGGGTGGATCACCTGAAGTCAGGAGTTCAAATCCAGCCTGGCCAACATGGTGAAACCCTGTCTCTACTAAAAATACAAAAATTAGCCAGGCTTGGTAGTGTGCACCTGTAGTCCCAGCTGCTGAGGCACAAGAATCGCTTGAACCCAGGAGGTGGAGATTGCAGTGAGATAAGATCACACCACTGCACTCCAGCCTGGGAGACCCAGCAAGACCCTGTCTCAAAAAAAAAAAAAAATCACCCAGGCTACTGGGTTGGGTTGAGTTGACTGCTGGGGAGGGGCAGGTAACGACAGAAGTGAGGTGAGCTGTTCAGAGGCTATTGTAGCAACTCAGTGGAGAGGGGACCATCACCTGGATTAAGGCGGGTCTTGCAGGATATTGTTTGAAGGTAGAGCAAACAGAACTTGCTATCGGAATGGATGTAAGGGGAAGGATTAATCGAGAGTGATGAGAGTGACTGCAAGTTTTAAAATATTATTTATTGATTTTGAGCAACAAGAAGGACAGCTTAATATGAGTCCTATGGGCTTTTCATCCTAGGACTCAATTTGGCTCACCTTTCCAGTGTGGTCACCTGCCCCTCCCTTTCTACACCCATGCTCCATTCATACCTAGCTCCTCCATGGTCCACACTCAGATTCTTTTATTTATTTAATTATTTTTTAATTTTTTTGAGATGGAGTCTTGCTCTGTCTCCCAGGCTGGAGTGCAGTGGTGCAATCTCGGCTCACTGCAAGCTCCGCCTCCCGGGTTCACGCCATTCTCCTGCCTCAGCCTCCCAAGTAGCTGGGACTACAGGCGCCCGCCACCACGCCCGGCTAATTTTTGTATTTTTAGTAGAGACGGGGTTTCACCGTGTTAGCCAGGATGGTCTCGATCTCCTGACCTTGTGATCCGCCCACCTCGGCCTCCCAAAGTGCTGGGATTACAGGTGTGAGCCACCGCGCCCAGCCTCTTTTATTTATTTATTTAAGAGACAGGGTCTTGCTCTGTTACCCAGCCTGGAGTGCTGTGTCAAGATCATGGCTCACTGCAGCCTTGAACTCCTAGACTCAAGCCATCTTCCTGCCTCAGCCTCCTGAATAGCTGAGACTACAGGCATGTGCCACTGCTCCCAGCTCACACTCATATTCTTCCATGTGCCTGGGTCTTTGCTTATAATCATCCCTCCTTCTGAATGACCAAAGTGTGGTTTTTTGTCCCTCAGGAAAACTCCTATTCCTACTTCAAGACTTTTTTTTGTTTTTTGAGATGGAGTTCCACTCTTGTTGCCCAGACTGGAATGCAACGGCGTGATCTCAGCTCACTGCAACCTCCGCCTCCCGGGCTCAAGTGATTCTCATGCCTCAGCCTCCTGAGTAGCTGAGATTACAGGCATGCACCACCATGCCGGGCTAATTTTGTATTTTTAGAGGAGGTGGGGTTTCACCATGTTGGTCAGGCTGGTTTTGAACTCCTTACCTCAGGGTATCCACCTGTCTCAGCCTCCCAAAGTGCTGGGATTACAGGCATGAGCCATCATGCCCGGCCTCCTCCTTCAAGACTTCTAAAATGACACTTCCTCTGTGAGGTCTGCTTTTTGTTACACACACACACACACACACACACACACACACACACACACCCCAGAGCACATGCATCCACATACACCTCTCTTTCCCATGGCCCTTTATAATGCCTCTCTTGCACTTCATTCTCCTGTTTGTGTAAGGGCCATGCATCTGGGGCCTCCTTGAGAAAGCTTGCCTCCTGAGGGTGGGATTTGACCTTATTTAACACTCTAACCCGACCACAATTAGGAAAAAGGTGGGGTTTGTTAAGTGTTTACTGAATCAATGAATGGATAGGAATCAAGGAGGGATGTGCCTCTCCCTCTAAATCCTATCCCACCCCTGACAAAATTTTGGTTTATCCCCTGCTCACATCATAAGAACTCATGCTGCCTGGCATGGGATGTGACAAAGGGGCTTGAATGAAAACTAACACTTACTTGGTTTGGAAAGTCAGGAATATAACTTTACTTGCACCTCATATGCATTTGAAAACATCAAATGGGCTGGATGAAGTAGCTCATGCCTGTAATCCCAGCACTTTGGGAGCCTAAAGTGGGAGGATCATTTGAGCCTGGGAGGTCAAGGCTGTAGTGAGCTGAGGTCATGCCACTGCATTCTATCCTGGGCAACAGGGCAAGACACTGCCTAAAACTAACAAAAAACAAACAAACAAACCAAAAACAATAAAAACATCAAATAGATTGAAGGCTGCTTTGGCTATCCCCCAAATCAGGCTGTATTGTGGGGAAAGGCAGCCTCCAATTTCACTATCAGGAAAGAGTTCTCAGAGGTCAGGGAACAGAAGGGTTCACAGATGAAATGTATATTGCTCAAAGTGGAGATGATTGAACCTACTTAAAACACACAACAGAAAGCAAGGAGGATGTAGATGGAATAGGTTAACACTCTTAGGAGAGGGAGCAAGCAGGTCTGAGGGAAGATGACCTTTCTCTGCCAATGGTGTGGTTGGAAGGAGCAGAGTTGAAATTGGGGAGGGGTCAGCAGAAAGTGCCTGGATGCCCTCCCTCCCCTATGCTTACTCTATTAGAAAGATCCACAGCAAGTAAGCCTGCCAGAGCTATAGCTTGCCAGTTAGCCTGCTGAACACTTACAGGTTTTATATGCATTTCTGGGGCAAAGCATATGTAGGGCCCTAGGAGATGATACTGAGATTACTGAAAGGTGGCTGATTTAGGGATGATGTAAGTGTCAGCCTAGAGGCAGCATAACCCATAGACTTTCCATCCCTCTTTTTTTTTTTTTCCAGAGTCTCTCTCTGTCACCCAGGCTGGAGGGCAGTGGTGCGATCTCGGCTCACTGCAACCTCTGCCTTACAGGTTCAAGCAATTCTCGTGCCTCAGGCTCCCGAGTAACTGGAATTACGGGTGCCTGCCACCATGCCCGGCTAATTTTTGTATTTTTTGTAGAGACAAGGTTTCACCATGTGGGCCAGTCTGGTCTTGAACTCCTTACCTCAGGTGATCCATCTGCCTCGGCCTCCCAAAGTGCTGGGATTACAGGCGTGAGCCACTGCACCTGGCCCCTTTTTGTCTTTAAGACTTTTGTTCTGACCTTTTAAACATATTACTTACTACCTGTATTTAACACATTTTATGAATTGTTTCATAAGCCATTTGCTTGATCACCACCTATACTTAACATATCTTATGAATTTTATTTCTCACAAGCTGCTTAAGTTTGTTTTTATCTATGCTTAACATTTCTTATGAGTATTATGAGCTGAATGTTGGTGTCTCCCCCAACTGAATGTTGATGTCCTTCATATGTTGAAGCTCTAACCCCCAATGTGATGGTATTTAGAGGCAGGGTGTTTGCGAGGTAATCAGGTTTAGATGAGATCGTGAGGGTGAGGCCCCTGTGATAGACTTAGTGTCCTTATAAAAAGAAGAGAGACAACAGCTCTTTTTCTCTACCGTGTGAGGGCACAGCAAGAAGGCAGCCATCTGCAAACCAGGAAGAGGGCCCTCACCAGAAACTGAACCTGCCAGCAGCTTGATCCTGGATTTCCCAGAATCCAGAGGTGTGAGAAACGCCTGCTGTTGAAGCCACTCAAGTCTGTGGTGTTTTGTTATAGCAGCCCAAGCTGACTACGACAATGCATTTCACCCATCCTAGGTGTTTTTCCTTCTTCTGTAGCAGAATTGCATATTCTTAAATAACACAGCAAACGGTACAATGTAGAGTGAAAAAGAGAAGTTCTACAATGCCAGTTTAGGCAGGGTGTGGTGGCTCACACTTGTAATCCCAGCACTTTGGGAGGCCGAGGCAGGCAGATCACTTTAGGTCAGGATTTCAAGAGCAGCCTGGCCAACATGTTGAAACCCCATCTCTACTAAAAATACAAAAATTAGCTGGGCGTGGTGGCGCATGCCTGTAATCCCAGCTACTTGGGAGGCTGAGGCAAGAGAATCACTTGAACCTAGGAGGTGGAGGTTGCAGCGAGCTGAGATCATGCCACTGCACTCCAGCCTCAGTGACAGAGCGAGACTCTGTCTCAAAACAAAACCAAACCAAAAAACAGCTACAATGCCAGTTTAAGTGTGTGTGTGTCTTATTCCAATGTCTAGGGAAGTAATTGCACCCGGCCATTCATGCCTCCCACCACCTACAGAACATTCTCATGATTGGCTTATTGAAGAAAATGTTTAAAGGCAAAAGAAAAATGAAAGTCATAAAAACCTCTGGAATTATTATGTAAACCCATGCTGGCTGGTTAATAATCATACAGTTAATTGGAAATTTTTGTTTCCAGTCTCTTTAGTAACTCCGAATCTTTCTTTTCCTGTTTACTCACTGAAATTCCTAAACTATTTCTAAAATGGTATTGCTCAGCCTAAGGAAAGGAAGTCCAGGGCAGTTATTTTTTATTTTTCAGATTCACTCTGTTATTTTGTATTGTATAATTTGCTCACGAGAGAACACACCCATTTTAAGTGTGCAATGCAGAGGATTTTAACAAATGTTTGCATCTGTAAAAACACCACGACAATCAAGACACAGAGTAGGCCAAGTGCAGTGGCTCACAATTGCAATCCCAGCACGTTGGGAGGCTGAGGTGGGAGGATCACTCAAGCATAGGAGCTCGAGACCAGCCTGAACAATATAGGGAGACACTGTCTCCACAAAAATATTTAAAAATTAGTTGGGCATGGTGGTACACTCCTGTAGCCCCAGCTACTCAGGACACTTAGGTGGGAGGATTGCTTGAGCCTGGGAGGTTGAGAGCAGATTCGGCAGCATAGTGAGACCCTGTCTCCACTTAAAAAAAAACAAAAACAAAAATAAAGCTGAGCATGGTGGCTCACGCCCGTAATGCCTATAATCCCAGCACTTTGGGAGGCCGAGATGGGAGAATTGCTTGAGCCCAGGAGTTTGAGACCAGCACTGGGCCACATATGAGACCTTGTCTCTACAAAAAAAAAAAAATGTTTTTTAAATAGCTGGGTGTGGTGGCATGTGCCTGTGGTCCCAGCTACCTGGGAGGCTGAGGTGGGAGGATTGCTTGGGCACAGGAAGCCGAGGCTGCTGTAATCCTTGATCAAACCACTGCACTTTAGCCTGGGTGACAGACCGAGACCCTGTCTAAAAAAAAAACAAAAAACAAAAAACTAGAGCATTTCCATCATGTCCCCAAATTTCTTCATTTCCCAACAGCAATTTGATACAAGAGGAATAGACTCTAAAGTGTCCATTTTAAAAGGATTTGCTTCCTTAAATCCAACTCATGCCTCTGTGGGCAAATTAAAATGACTTTATAGTACATCACTTAATAGTTTCTTTCCAATAGGTCATGTGTAATGTCTACTCAACATATAAGTTTAGTTATAACTGTCATTTAGGAGCCTCAGCCTTGCCTTCTGCCCTCATCTTGAGAGATGGCCCAACCACCTTTCCAAAGTCACTTCCCACTTCTGAACCCTCAGCCATGACTGTACTTTAAATGCACCATATTCAATAGTCAACACAATGCAACATCTGTGCATTTGCTCACGTGAAGTCCTAGCCTGGAAAGCTCTTCCTCTAGGGGCCAGTTCAATCCCTGCCTCTCTGAGAAGGCTTTTTCATCCAACTCAAACTTTTAGAGATCCCCCTGTCTCCAGAACATATGTGTTATACACTGCCTGGCACACATTGTTAGCATCGTCAGATTAGTGTCTCACGTGTGTCTCTCTCCTCCACAACTGGACTGTAAACTCCACAGGGGCAGGAACCTCCCATCGCCCCAGCAGTGTCCAGGGCCCAGTGAATAGTCGCTGAACGGCTGAACCCATGAGACTTTCCCTGGAAGAATATGTTATGTTCGAATAGGTCCCAAGTCACTTCATCACTCACAACGGGTAACTGGATGTAGATCTCAATTCTGCTTACAAAATTAAGTCTGCAGAACAAAGGCTAAGTTTCTTTCTTTCTCTTTCTTTCTTTTCTTTTCTTTTTTCTTTTAAAACAGGGCCTTACGTTGTCACTCAGGCTGGAGGGCAGTGGCTCCATCTCAGCACACTGCAGCCTCAACCTCCTGGGTTCAAGCAATCTAGCTGGGACTACAGGTGTGTGCCATCAAGCCTGGCTAATTTTTGTATTTTTTTTTTGTAGAGACAGGGTTCGAACCACGTTGCCTAGCCTGGTCTCAAACTCCTGAGCTCAAGCCATCCGCCCACCTTGGCCTCCCAAAGTGCTGGGATTACAGGCATGAGCCACTGAGCCTGGCCAAAGGCAAGTTCTTTGGTCCACTCTACACCTCCTCTCTTCCCCTTCCTTAGGAGATAAACTCTGTTATTAGATTGATATTGATATATACATTTTCAAGATCTTTATGTATATGTATGAGATATATGTGTATATATATACATATACACATACACAGCAAAATGTGGTATTGAAATAAGATCACACTGTACAGGTTGTTTCACACTTCCTTTTTTTATTCAACCATATTTTCCAGAAACAATAGTCCCTGCCTGAAAGCTTGACTCCCAATCCAATCCATCCAATAAATGGAAACTAGGATTCTACAGTATTTCCAAAACACAAATTTTTTTTTCTCTTTTTTTCTTTTTTTAGACAGGGACTCACTCCTGTCGCCCAGGCTGAAGTGCAATGGGATTATCTTGGCTCACTGCAGCCTCCACCTTTCTGGGCTCAAGCAATCCTCCCACCTCAGCCTCCCGAGTAGCTGGGACCACAGGTGGCACTGTGAAGCCTGGCAAATTTTCGTATTTTCAGTAGAGACGAGGATCTCCCTATGTTGCCCAGTGCTGGTCTTGAACTCCTGAGCTCAAGGAATTCTTCCACAGAAAGAAACCTCGGCCTCCCAAAGTGCTATGATTATAGATATGAGGCACTGTGCTCAGCCATTACTCATCTTCTTGTACCCATGCCTAGTAGTCTCTGTAATCCTTAAACATTCAGTTATGAAATGAATGGACTCAGACAGTGCATTTGAAATATTTAACTCTGACTTCAGCTGACCCCCCTCACCATTCTATTCCTGTGTTGTCTCAGTGTGTGTCCTATGCGTTCTACCTCAATGCAGATATCAGAGTCCCTTTGAGCTCCCTGAAGAATATACTCACACCAAAGTATTAGTAAGCAATGCAGATTTTTACTGCCGGAGTGAAAAACAAAAAGTAGTGGTGGGGAGGGAAGGGAGGATTGCAATTTGACAGTATAATTCACTGTTATTTTGTTGCCCAATAAAAGGGTCATACTCTTTCATCCAATGAAAACACTTTTTTTTTTTTTTTTGAGACAGAGTCCTACTCTGTCACCCAGGCTGGAGTGCAGTGGCATGATCCCAGCTCACTGCAATCTCCACCTCTGGGGTTCAAGAAATTCTCCTGCCTCAGCCTCCCAAGTAGCTGGAATTACAGGTGCACCACCATGCCCGGCTAATTTTGTATTTTGTATTTTTTTTTTTTTTGAGACAAGGTCTCGCTCTGTCACCAGGCTGGAAAGCAGTGGTGCATTCTCGGCTCACTGCAACCTCCACGTCTCGGGTTCAAGTGATTCTCTTGCCTCAGCCTCCCGAGTAGCTGGGACTACGAGTGTGCATCACCACGCCCGGCCTAATTTTGTATTTTTAGTAGAGGTGGGCTTTCACCATGTTGGCCAGGCTGATCTTGAACTGCTGACCTCAAGTAATCTGCCTGCCTCAGCCTTCCAAAATGCTGGATTATAGGCTTGAGCCACTGCACCCAGTGAAAACACTTTTTCTGCAACTGAATTCTAGGAGAAATTTACTACAAGAAACCTTATGTAGGGACACTGGTTAAGATTACAGTGTTCTCAGTCTCAGTTCCGAAAATATAGAGAAACATTATTTAGATGGATATTCCTGATATCACCCCTACATAAAAGCCTAGGTAATGATATTCCATTTTAAATTCAGTGAAGACTTTCCAGGGGGAGTAAAGATAATATAGTTTGGATACGTTCTTTTCTGATAATATAGTTTGAATACCTTTTTTTCTGATTATCTAATGACCCAATGTTGATAAATATATTGCATATATGCTGATCCTCTGAGCTGTCACACCTGTGGCAGACATGACTAGTCAATCACGACAGAATTTCCCACTGAGCCCAGACGTCATAGATCTCAACATAGCATCCACCACCAATGATTGAAATTGGCGTATATGATGAAAAGATAAAACCCCTGCCATCGGCCGGGCGAGGGGGCTCACACCAGTAATCCCAGTACTTTGGGAGGCCGAGGCGGGCGGATCACGAGGTCAGGAGATCGAGACCATCCTGGCTAACACCGTCTCTACTAAAAATACAAAAAATGAGCCGGGCATGGTGGTGAGTGCCTATAGTCCCAGCTACTCAGAAGGCTGAGGCAGGAGAATGGCGTGAACGCGGGAGGTGGAGCTTGCATTGAGCAGAGATAGCACCACTGCACTCCAGCCTGGGCAACAGAGTGAGACTCTGTCTCAAAAAAAAAAAAAAAAAAAAAAAAAAAATCAAACAACAAAAAAAAAAACCCTGCCATCCTGGAATATATTGATAGCTTATTTAATGTCTGAGAGGCTTTTGTGTATGGAGAGTAATGCTCACTACTCTTTGGGCTTTGTTCCATGCCAAATTTATTAATTTTATGAATTTGTTAAATTAACGTCTCCTTAAACAATTAACACTCGTAAGTATTCAAACTACTTATAAGAGGAACCAACCCAAACTTAATAGGTTTAAATAAGTTAAATTTCCCTAAACATTTAAACATTTACCAAAATTTATTTAACTAAACTCTTCTAATCATTTAATGAAAATCCCAAGTTCAATCGGAGTCTCTCAAATGCTCTTTAAACACTTTAAAGAGCAGACAACACACACAAAATCTCACAATAATTACAAAACTGCATATTTATACTAAAACTGATTAGAAAAGGCTAGCGGTGAGGATTTAAAGGTTTTCTTTATGCTTTTTTTTTATATTTGTTTTTACAGATGAGGTTTCACTATGTTGCCGAGGCTGGAGTACAGTGGCTGTTCACAGGCTTGATTATAACACACTGCAGACTCAACCTCCTGGCCTCAGGGAGTCCTCCAGCCTCAGCCTCTTGAGTAGCTGGGACTACAGGCACTTGGCTCTTTATGCTTATCTAATCTAATTTTTATATCTCCCGAGACTTACATTTTTGCGTGTATATAGTGAATGCTGTGGTGTGCCATTTAGATCCTTCTGCAGGACTAAGGCACTCATTCCCTCAGGGGCCAAACAGCTCATAACTGAGCCCCTCCCAGAGCAGGGTCTCTCTGCCAATGAAAGCTCCAAGATTATGCCTCCTGGTGGGTGGGGGTGGGGGAATGTTACATTCAATGACTTGTCCATAAGAGAGAACAAAGGCCTGGCCCCTTGGCAGCAAGTTGAGACATCTCTGAAGGGCCACCCCAGATTCACAGCAATCTGCAAGGTTGGCTGAGACTTTTGTAGTGATTGCATTGCAGTTTACCTTCCCCCACCACCGAATCCTGCTTTCCTTACCACCCATCATAGATGGTGAACCCCAAGAGCACTTCCCAATAAATCTCCTGCATACAATCTCAGAATCTCAGAGGTTGTCTCCCGGGGAACCTGAGCTATGACAGTGAGGTTGTAGAAATATTACTATATGTAGCATATGGTGAATATTCTATTCACACTTCTCAGGGTTGCACTAATTTTACCAGCACTGACTGGGCGTGGTGGCTCATGCCTGTAATCCCAGTACTTTGGGAGGCCGAGGCGGGTGGATCACTTGAGATCAGGAGTTCCAGACCAGCCTGACCAACATGGTGAAACCCCGTATCTACTAAAAATATAAAAATTAGCTGGGCGTGGTGTTGGCTGCCTGTAATTCCAGCTACTCAGGAGGCTGAGGCAGGAGAATCGCTTGAACCTAGGAGGAAGAGGTTGCAGTGAGCCGAGATCACACCATTGCACTCCAGCCTGGGTGACAAAAGTGAAACTCCATCTCAAAAAAAATAATGATTTTACCAGCACTAAAAGGAATAAAGAAGAAAAAGCAAAACAAAAAGATCTTGTTGCGGGACAATCAAAGATGGGAGACACCGAACAGCGTGAGTTCAGGAAAGGTCTTTATTAAAAGGTGATCACCTGGCTCAGTAGGACTAGCATCCAGTAAAGTCTGAGCCCCGGACAAAGAAAGCAGCCACCTTTTAAGCAGTCAGTGGTCAGGAGCTACGTGATGCAGGAAGTGTACTTACAGAAGCGAGAATTAAGGCAGTTGATCAGTCTTTTACATTTATCTATACTACATGTTCCACATCCTTGGGAAACCATGTTTCTGTATCAACCTTGTAACTTTGCAGCTGGGCTAGGAAGCTGAAGCAGGAACTCGCTGAGCCTCAAGGAATGTGAAACTAGCAAGTACAGGCAAGGCTCACTGAGCACAGAAGGAAAAACAGGCAGTTAGTATTCTTCTCTAACTTAGACTACAGGGGCACTACACTACATTTAGCTTTTGAGAGAAAAAGTAAAAATTTTTGGTTGTCTTTGATTATACTTATACAATTCATGAATTCGCTCTTCAATCTCAGAACAACCAAGGTCAGAATTGGGGTTGTTGACTGATTATTGGTTGGGATCTGGGACTTAATTGTCTAGTTCAAAGAGATCTACATCAGGCCATGTTGTTGGGGTGATCAGACCCAATACCAGGTTGTGGGGGCGACGAAGTGTGGCGGAGTCAAAGGAATGAGAAAAAGACAGAGAGAGAAAGTGGGACGGGGGGGCCATCGCGAGTGTGGAGGCTGCAAAGGCCCCTAGCTCTGGGAGCCCACGCTATTTATTGGTGATCAAACAAAGAAAGAGTTGGTGAGGATGTGGGGGTTGAAAGGAAACGGTGTATCAAGTGAATGAGAAACATATGGCTACTTGAGATAATGGGAGTGCTAGAAGCAAGGAGCCAGCAAGTCTAGCAGACATGCAAGCCCTACCTCAGCTTTGCTCCCAACACTCAGCTTTTCTCCCAGCACCATGTGAAGGTTATTAGGTGGGGTCCCTCTTTATAATTTGGTCTCCTTTATTTAATCACAGGACTCTTAAGTTCCTGACTTTCAAGTAGATTTTAATCTTTTGAAATTTGGTGTCTGATATATTCTTTAAGTTTTGCATGCAAGGCTGGTTGTACCTCACCCATTGTTCTGGGTCTTTCAATATCTTGGAAACTTACATTTGCTCCATCCATAGCTCATAATTAGGAAGGTCTACTAATGAAGTGGCCTTGTCATCTGGGGTGATACCCAAGGTTCGTTGTCTCACACCGAG
Source organism: Homo sapiens (assembly GCF_000001405.40). Lineage (NCBI taxonomy): Eukaryota > Metazoa > Chordata > Mammalia > Primates > Hominidae > Homo > Homo sapiens. Next base: position 107,990,332 of record NC_000006.12, on the reverse strand, counting down.
GAAATCAAGGACATGGACAGATAAGGAGTGAGGTTAAGAGTGGAAGTTTAATAGATGAAAGAAAGAGAAGAGCTCTTTGCAGCAGAGAGGGGTCCCAGAGAAATGGGTTGCTAGATCTGCAGTGAAATGCAGGGCGTTTTATAGATGAGCTTGAGGAGGCAGTGTCTGACTTACATATGGTGCAAAAGATTGTTTGGACCAGGTAGTGTACCATTTGCATAGGTGTGAAAAACTGGTTAGGGCTAGGTGTGCCATTTGCATATAGCATGAAAAGATGGCCACCCCCACCCTAATCTTTTATTATGCAGATGGGTTATCTGCCTGGCCGATGCCACGATGTCCATTCCTGTACTGTACACATGGTAACAAAAAAGGGAAGATGGAGCCTCCATGTTGGATATGCCTGGCCCCCAGGTAACACCTTTCTATTGGCACAGCTGCCGGTGTTCCCCTGTGCAAACTTCCAGCTTGCTTATCTACATTTGCAGCTTGATTTTTCGGTCTGCTCTTTGTTAGAAAAAAATAATAATTCCTTGGGCTACTTTTTCTTAAAAGGGAACCCTTACTAAGGACTCTTTTGCCCTCACTATCTATCTGCATAAATAATTTATTTCTAGCTCCTGTATCACTAACGATCTTCTTCCTTGAGGAATTTGGGTAATGTGTTGCCTTGGAGCACAGAATTGGCTCCTCTTTTTCACTGGCAACTGCCAAGGACTCCCAGTGCTGACCAGCTCCCAGAGAGCCTTTGACCTGCTTCTATCTGAGCTGCCCCTGGACTGGTAGGGATTTTGCTTTTCTGGCTGAACACCTAATTCTTTAGGGATAATTTGACTCATTACTGTCTATATTTACTCTTTTCTTTTCTTTTTATTTTTTCTGAGACAGGGTCTCGCTCTGTTGCCCAGGCTGGAGTGCAGTGGTGTAATCACAGCTCACTGCAGCCTTAACCTCCCAGGCCTAAGCAATCTTCCCAACTCAGCCTCCCAGGTAGCTGGGACTACAGGCATGTGTCACCACACCCAGATAATTTTTAAAATTTTTGGTAGAAACAGGGTCTCACTATGTTGCCCAGGCTGGTCTCAAACTCCTGGACTCAAGCAATGCTCCCACCTCAGTTTCCCAAAGTGCTGGGATTACAGGTGTAAACCATAGGACCTGGCCATATTTACTGTTTTCTACTTACGTAGTTCAAAACAACAACAACAACAACTAATATCCATACTATAACTTTTACCAAAATCAATAAAAATGAAATCTATTTTATCATATTGTTGATGAAAAGAGTAAAACTCCGTAATATATTTGAAGAGATTTATTCCAAGCCAAATATGAGTGATCATGGTCCATGACACGGCCCTCAGGAGATCCTGAGAACATGTGCCCAAGGTGGTTGGTTTTATACATTTTTGAGCATTTACGTTGGTTCAGTTGGGTCCAGAAAGGTGGGACAACTCAAAACAGCTGGGTCAGGTGAGCTTCCAGGCCATAGATTTAAAAATTTGCTGATTGGCAATTGGTTAAAGAGTTTATCTAAGGACCTGGGATCAAAAGAAAGGAAATGCCTAGGTTAAGACAAGGGGTTGTAGAGACCAAGGTTCTTATTATGGAGATGAGGCTTCCAGGTAGCAGTATTCAGAGAGAAGAGATTGTAAATATTTGTTGATTCTCTCCTGGAAAAAGGGAAAGGGAATTCTCTACAGAAAGGGGATTTCCCCCGACAAGAGATGACTTTGCAGGGCAGTTTCAAGATACGGCAAGGAAATATATTTGGAGTGAAAATATTTTGATTTTCTTCCTTATTTGTTATGCGATGTTATGCCAGAGTCAAGTTGGAAAGTGAGCCACGTTATATAGGGTTAAATAAAGCCCCTCTGATGAGACTTTATGGTTTGTAGGATGTGACTCCTCAGGCCCCTTAGGTAGGAATTTGGGCAAGAAAAGAAAAAAGTCAAAGTTTAGTCCTCAATATTCACCCTTTTTATTTATTACAACTATCTGTTGCTATTTAAAAGAGTGTTTCTCCTTTGATTATGGTTATAAACTCATTGCTATCCAGGTTCAGCTAGTTCAAAATAACTGTCATATTATTACTTACTACTACTATTACTACTACTAAAGATATCTAAAATTGATATTGTTATTTTCTAATGCTCACATTATCACAGGCTGGCCAATGGGAGCCCTTTTGGTTGGCTTCCTTTCCTTTCAGTATTGCCTTTGACATCCTTGTGTCAGAGATATTTGAATCAGAGCAACTCCATCTTGAACAGGGGCTGGGTAGAATAAGGCTGAGGCCTACTGCGCCGCATTCCCAGACAGTTAGGCATTCTAAGTCATAAGATGAGATAGGAGGTCAGCACAAGATAAGATCAGAAAGATCTTACTGATAAAATAGGTTGCAATAAAGAAGCCCGCTAAAACCCACCAAAACCAAGATGGCAATGACAGTGACCTCTGGTTGTTCTTGCTGCTCATTATATGCTAATTATAATGCATTAGCATGTTTAAAGACAGTCCCACCAGCACGATGAAAGTTTACAAATGACATGGCAACGTCAGGAAGTTACCCTATGTGGTCTAAAAACGGGAGGCATGAATAATCCACCCCTTGTTTAGCATATCATCAAGAAATAACCATAAAAATGGGCAACCTGCAACCCTCAGGGCTGCTGTGCCTATGGAGTAGCCATTCTTTTATTCCTTAACTTTCTTAATAAACTTGCTTTCACTTGATTGTATGGACTCACCCCAAATACTTTCTTTCGCAAGATCCAAGAACCCTCTCTTGGAGTCTGGATCCAGACCCCTTTCCAGTAACATTTGTTTCCTGCAAATAATAGGATATACCAAACAGGTGTAGAGTTCTTTTATGGAAGACACCTTGGTTCTGTTTAATGGAGAATACTTTTAGAGAACAAAATCTGGGTGTTAGGAGTGCATAAAAATGTTGGTGGGAAGGTAAGAGGAGTGCCACAGGGGGGTCACTTTCAATGACAGAGCTGGGAAGATATTTCCTTTATATATGATGAGTTCACCTTAATTTTTTTACAATTTAATAATCTATGTCTATATTTTACTTTTCTTATTATTGGTGGTTTCATTGACCCAGGGCACCTATGTAAATCTGAGGGATGCTATTTACATTGTAGATTTGAATATTTATCATGAAAAATGTCTGGTAGGCCACGTGAAGTGGCTCACGCCTGTAATCCCAGCACTTTGGGAGGCTGAGGTGGGCGGATCACCTGAGGTCACGAGTTTGAGACCAGCCCAGCCAACATGGTGAAACCCTGTCTTTACTAAAAATACAAAATTAGTCGAGCATGATGGTGCATGCCTGTAATCCCAGCAACTCGGGAGGCTGAGGCAAGAGAATAAATTGAACCCCGGGGGTACAGGTTGCAGTGAGCTGAGATTGAGCCATTATACTCCAGCTTGGGCAACAAGAGCAAAACTCTGTCTCAAAAAAATAAAAAGTCTGGTAGATGGCAATAATGTTTCTTGTTCTTTTTTTCTTTTTCTTTTCTTTTTTTTTTTCTGAGACAGGGTCTTGCTCTGTTGTCCAGGCTGGAGTGCAGTGGCATGATCTCTGCTTACAGCAACCTCCGCCTCCTGGGTTCAAGTGATTCTCAGCTTCCCAAGTAGCTGGGGTTACGGGTATGCGCCACCATGCCCGGCTAATTTTTAATTTTTTTTTGGTAGAGACGAGGTTTTGCCATGTTGGCCAGGCTGGTCTCGAACTCCTGACCTCAGGTGATCCACCCACCTTGGCCTCCCAAAGTGCTGGGATTACAGGTGTGAGCTACTGTGCCTAGCCAACGTTTCTTGTTTTAATAAAATCAGATGTTTATGACAGTTTTCCAATAGATACAAAAAGATGTCTTAAGGAGGGGACACTTCTTTCTTTCTTTTTAAATTGAAAAGGGGTCTCATTAAGTTTCCCAGGCCGGTCTTGAACTCCGGAGCTCAAGTGATTCTCCTGCCTCAGCATCTCCAAGTCCTGGGATTATAGGCATGAGCCACTGTGCCTGGCCCGAGGGACACTTTTTTCTAATTTGCCCATAGACAGTCCTACATCGGCCACCATGACTTTCTACTGCACTGACAGGAAATAGAAATGGAAAGTAGAGAACTGAAAAGAATAATGGCTAATTAGTCCTTACATGGTAACTCTTAAACAACATATGTCTGAAGAATTTTTGGCAAGTGCTGAATTCTACTGAGTTCATAACTGAATTTTCTGGTGATTGCTGTTGATTAAAGTGTGACCTGGCCCGTCGTGGTCACCGGCGCGGGCTATGGCTGCGACTTCCCTCATGTCCGTGTTGGCTGCCTGGCTGCTGCAGCCTGCACATAGCTGCTCCCTTCCACCTCGCGGCAGTTCAAAATGAAGCTGTTGTCATTTCTGGAAGGAAACTAGCCCAGCAGATCAAGCAGAAAGTGCGGCAGGAGGTGGAAGAGTGGGTGGCCTCAGGCAACAAACCTGAGCATGATCCTGGTTGGCGAGAATCCTGCAAGTCCAAAACTCTTTAAGAACACGACAAAACCTTCCAGTGTGGATATCCTGGGAGGTCACTCTCCCCAGGCGCTGTCCACGTGGCATGGGGGAGCACAGGACTCTGCTCATAATATACAGGAGAGTCACAAAGGCAAAGAAAATGAGGAACAGAATAATCAAGAATGACATTAAGAAGCTTCAAAAAAGGCCAGGATCGGTGGCGCACACCCATAATCCCAGCACTTTGGGAGGCCGAGGTAGGTGGATCACTTGAGATCAGGAGTTCGAGACCAGCCTGGCCAACATGGCAAAACTCCATCTCTGCTGAAAATATAAAAATTAGCTGGGTTTGGTGGCATGCACCTGTAGTCCCAGCTACTCAGGAGGCTGAGGCAGGAGAATTGCTTGAACCCGAGAGACGGAGGTTGCAGTGAGCCGAGATTGTGCCACTGCACTCCAGCCTGGGTGACAGAGTGAAACCCTGTCTCAAAAAAAAAAAAAAAAAAAAAAAAAAGAACATGAAGCTTCAAAAGGCAGGTCTCTTGAAACCTTCTCCCCCAAAAGTACCTGCTGCTATAGTTCCAGCAAAAAAGATGACTTCTTGCAGGCAAGAAGGCTCCAGCCCAGAAGGTTCCTGCCCAGAAAGCCACAGGCTAGAGGCAGTGCCTCCTCTGAAAGCTCAGAAGTTTCAAAAGCAACGTGCCCAGAAAGCATGTTGTCCAAAAGCATCTGGCAAGAAAGCGTTAAGAGGCTATTATAAAAGTAGTAAAGGTTCTTTTTGACATGTTGGAAAAAGAGAGAGAGAGAGACTGAGACTGCAAAATCTGGCATCCAACAAAATAAAATTCACAATGTCTGGCAACCAATACAAATTAGCAGGCATGCAAAGAAGCAGAAAAATAGAACTAACACCCAGGAGAAACACTAACCAATAGAAACAGATCCATAAGTGACAGAGATAATGGATTAAGTAGACAAGGAACTTAAAATAGCTATTATAAATTTTAAAAATATTTTCAAGTATGGAAAGGAAAACATGAGCATGATAAGAAAGGAAAGGAAAGATCATGTTTTTTGTTTTTGTTTTTAAGACAGTTCTCACTCTGTTGCCCAGGCTGAAGTGCAGTGTGTAATCATGGCTCACTGAAGCCTCAACCTCCCAGACTCAACCCATCCTCCCATCTCAGCCGCCCGAGTTCTGGGACTATACAGGTGTATGCCACCACGCCCGGCTAATTTTTTTGTTTTCTTGTAGAGACAAGGTCTCCTTATGTTGCCCAGTCTAATCTCTAACTCCTGGGCTCAAGTGATCCTCCTGCCTCAGCTTCCCAAAGTGCTGGCATTACAGGCATGAGCATGCCTAGCCTAATATATATATACACATATATACAAGTATACATATATACGTGTGTGTATATATATATATATAGTTGTTATTGTTTTAAATACTAGAGACTTGGATTTTAATACTGATACTTCCACAGGCTGGCTGTGTGACCCTAAACAATACCTCTTCCCTCCCTGGGCTGATGACATCTGTTCTTATACTCTTGCCTTCCTTCTCTTCTCTCAATCTTTTTCTCATCCCCTAAGTTCTATATCCTAAATATCTCTTGAATCCATCACATGTATCTATCTCAGTTTCCCAATCACCTCTCCCCTAAACTATGACAACATGTCTCCCAGGTAGATTCCCATCCTAACCTCCGGCAATACATTTCCTCCACAACATAGCTGGAGGGATTTTGTTAAAATGAAACATGAATCGTTCATCTTTTATGGCCCTTCACGGCCCTTAGGATAAAGTCCACAACCCATATTGCAAAATAAAGGCCTTTCTCGGTCTGCTCCCCCTTTGCTTGCCCCCTTGAGCCTCTCCTGGAGTCATTCTTCCCTTCCCTTGTGGCTACCCCTGCCTTTTTATCTTGAGGCTCCCTGCCTGTAACATTTCCCCAATGACTTCTTACTCAGTTGAGATCTGATTCTTTTTTTTTTTTTTTTTTTTTTTTTTTTTTTGAGATGGAGTCTCACTCTATTGCCCAGGCTGGAGTGCAGTGGCACAATCTCGGCTCACTGCAACCTCCACCTCCTGGGTTCAAGCAATTCTCCTGCCTCAGCCTCCCGAGTAGCTGGGATTACAGGCGCCCGCCACCATGCCCAGCTAATTTTGTATTTTTAGTAGAGATGGGGTTTCACCACGTTGGCCAAGCTGATCTCGAACTCCTGATCTCTAATGATCTACCCACCTCAGCCTCCCAAAGTGCTGGGATTACAGGCATGAGCCACCGAGCCCAGCCTGATTCTGTTTTTTTTTTTGTTGTTTTTTGTTTTTTGTTTTTTGAGACAGTCTCACTCTGTTGCCCAGGCTGGAGTGCAGTGATGCAATCTTAGCTCACTGCAACTTCCACCTCCCGGGTTCAAGTGATTCTCCTGCGTCAGCCTACCAAGTAGCTGGGACTATAGGTGCGTGCCACTATGCCCAGCTAATTTTTGTATTTTTAGTAGAGGTGGGGTTTCACTATGTTGGTCCGGCTGGTCTCAAACTCCTGACCTCAAATGATCTATCCACCTCGACCTCCCCAAGTGCTGGGATTACAGGAGTGAGCCACTACCCTCGCTCCTGATTCTTTTTTAAGTGCCCAGTTTAAACACCACTTTCTCAAGGAAGACTTCCCTGACCCCCGTGTCCCTCCCCATGACTCAGTGAGGTGCTGCTCCTGCTATGTGCTCCCACATTTCTCTGATTTAATGGTCACAGAACTTCAATCCTACAATATTAACAAAGCTTAATTGTCTCCCCTGATCTTAGCCTCTGTGCCCCACGATATCCAGTGTCCAACCCAGTGCCCGGTTCTAAGAATGAATGAATGTTTATCCCACATAACATATTCGAGCTCTGCTCCTTCTACCCCATCCCCAGAATCCTGTTCTAGGCCACGTCCCCTCACACCTGGTTTGTGAAACAGCCTCAGATCAGCACCCCCAGCCTGAGGATCTCCTTCATCTAATCCACTCTGCTCACAGCAGCCAGAACAGCAAGAACCGTTGTCCTCAAGCATCATTTTGATCATATCACTCCCCTTCTTAGCAGCCTGCAATAGCTCCAATTGCCTCTTGAATTAAATTAAAACTCCTAATCACAGGCTTCAAGGGTCTCTACCAATTAGCTACCTCCCTTCCCCCACACCTAACTGCTGTCATCTTTTCACAGGCCCTCAAGCATGGCTTCCCTGCTGCCCTGCAAATCTGCTCCTAAGCCTGCCCCAATGGCACTCTCTCCTACCTTTTCAGCTTTCTCCCCTCTTTCTTTCTTTCTCCTAAATGATATCCCTTCCCCCACCTTAAAAATATCGCTCAATAATCATTTCCTTCATGAATACCTCCTAAGTCAACTCCATGTGGTTTTGTCCTGTCTATCACAACCTGTTATTAATCAAGCGCGTAGAGTATTTCTGCTTATTCATGTGCTGTGAGTGTCCTGTGCCCTGTGGCCGCTGCTAACTTACTGTTTGTACCATCTGCCCTCTTAGGGTCCAACAACTTCAAGGACAAGAATGATGTATTTTCATCACTTGTGACTTCCGGTGAGAGACCTGAAAATAGGAATTTCCAAACAAATCTGTTTTCCCTCAGGTTTCCTAGACCAGATTTCGGGTCGGTCTGACCAGGTGCAGCCCCATCCTAGCAGCAGATTGCTTGTTCTCAGCATTCCCATCATGGAGAATCTTAGTGTGGTGGTGAGGAAGAGGGACAATAACACTCCTGAGTGCTCACCTATGCCAGACACTGTGCGAGGAGCTTTACATGCGGCATTTCACTGATACCTCCCAGCAATCTGATGAATTAGAAATTATCATTCCTGATTTTAAATCGCATTAGGAGTCCAGGAGAATTTGTATCATCTGTCCTTGTCATTCAACAGGTTTTTCTGGCTCTAAAAAACATGCTTCTCTTCCTACATCAGGGAAGACATGCTTCTTTCTTTCTTTTTTTTTTTTTTTTTTAGTAGAGATGAGGTTTCACTATGTTGTCCAGGCTGGTCTCAACTCGTGAGCTCAAGCAATCCTCCTGCCTCTGCCTCCCAAAGTGCTGGGATTATAGTCGTGAACCACTGCACCCAGCCAGGGAGGACGTGTTTCTGAACAAGTGGTCCTTCTGGCAGAATGTCCCAAATATAAACCAAAATCGTGACAGGTGTTTTGACAACGGTGCATAGGCCACTTTAAGTCAGTGGTCACTATGCCTGTGCCACAAGCTTTGCTGCCTGTTTGCTTGTCTAGTCCTTGTGAGATAAGACTCTTTTATAAGTGATTACTTTTAAAATTTTAGTTGAAGATTCCCTTAAGCATTTGATGAAAGCCATTGAATCTCTCCCCCCAAAAGTACATAAACACACGAAATTTATGAACAATACCAGGGTGCTTGCAGAAACAACACTTCTTCCTTAACTTCTATCTATCTATCTATCAACTTCTCTGGATCTGTGTCTGGAGCCCCTGGTTTACAGCTCCTGGTTTATATGTTCTCCTTACACCTTTTCGATGTTACAGAATCCAGAACATATCACAAGCAAACTTTTGAGGACTCTATCAATATTAGCTATGTTTTAAAAGATGGGCTGCATCAGTCTTGAGTTATTTAAAGATGCAAAGATTAGCTTAAAAATGGAAACCTCGCCAGGTGAGTGGCTCACATCTGTAATTCCAGCACTTTGGGAGGCTGAAGTGGGAGGAGAGCCTGAGCCCAGGAGTTTAAAACCAGCCTGGGCAACATAGTGAGACCCCATCTCTACAAAAATAAAAAAAATTAGCTGGGGGTGATGGCATGAGCCTGTAGTACCAGCTACTCGGGAGGCTGAGGCAGGAGAATCACTTGAACCCGCGAGGTGGAGGTTGCAGTGAGCCGAGATTGTGCCACTGCACTCCAGCCTGGGCGACAGAGGAGACACCGTCTCAAAAAAATAAATAAAATAAAATAAAAGACCTAAGAGAAAACCTAGAGTCTGAAAAGACATTAGAGAAAGGGCTTCTTGAGAAAATAAATTTAATGATTCTTTCTTCTGGTTGTGCCCTTATTAATCTTTGGTCCCTGCTGTTGGTTTTAATCCCAACACCTTTATCCAGATTGGCCTTCATCCTGATTGCAGATAACACTATTATCCTGTTTCAGCTTAACTTTTGGAAGCACAGCAGCAGAGGCTGCTCTATTTATAAGATGAAGCTCCTTTTCAAACAACAGTCACTTCATTTTCCTGGAAAACTCTTCCCTTTGTAGTTAAGAAGAAAGAAAAAAAGAAAAAACAGGGAGGCTGTTTGAGGCTGAAGAGTGACCTCTCTCGGTGGAGAGGTGGAAGAGGTTCCTTATCAGGCCAGTTTCAACTGGGACAGGAAAGAGACCAAGCATCCATAGGTCCAGAGTGTCTGTGAACCCTCTTAAGTTGTAGGTAAAATTTGGGGATGTGAAATGTGCATTTATCTAGAAAATGGTCTAGAGCTTTCATCAGGTTCTCAAAGAATTCTTTGTTCTTTAAGGTCCACAGGGTTGGGCCTGTGCTTTCTCAAAGTGTTTGAGGTCAGAAGAGTGCCTGCAGCACAATCACTGGAGAGCTTGTTAAAAACTCAGATTCCTGGCCAGGCACGGTGGCTCATGCCTGTAATCCCAGCACTTTGGGAGGCCGACACGAGCAGATAGCTTGAGGTCAGGAGTTTGAGACAAGCCCAGCCAACAAACAGTGAAGCCCTGTCTCTACTAAAAATATAAAAATTGGGCATAGTGCTGCATGCCTATAATCCCCGCTACTCAGGAGGCTGAGGCAGGAGAATCGCTTAAACCCGGAAGACGGAGGTTGCAGTGAGCCAGGATTGCCCCACTGCACTCCAGCCTGGGAAACAAAGTGAGACTCTTGTCTCAAAAAAATAAATAAATAAAAATAAACAAATAAACAAAAACACACCTCAGATTCCTAGGCCCCACACCAGATTTTCTGAATTAGTATCTCTAGGGATATGGTCTGGGACTCTAAATTTTTAACAGTTTCCCAGGTGATTTGGTTAAATTTCTGCATTAACTAGGAAGTTCCAAGTGTTTAACACCATTTGTTAGAATAAGATCAACAATTAATTATAGTGCAGGGAAGTGCTTACATTTACCCAAATAGGCCTGGTTCCAATCTCAGCTCATGTAACCTTGGCAAACTATGAATCTCACTGCTCCTTAATTGCCTAATCTATATATATGGGCTAAATAATTTGTCTGTCTTAAGATAATATTGCCTAATACATAGCAGAAGTCCAAAAATATTATTTATTGTTCATAACTTCTCTTAAATACTGGACATTCCCCACACTCTCCAGGTACAATGTTTGTTTGTTTTTTAAAGTGTTTTATGAGGCTTTTTTCTGGTAAAGGTATCGTCAAACAAAACAAAATGAAACAAGACAGGTTAATCATCTTCTACAATGAAGTACCAGCCATATTTCAAGGGGTTTTGTTATGCCATCAAATATATTTGAGCTGTAAACTATAAACTGAAATTCTCTTTGTTTCAACCTAACAGAAAAATTAGCAGTATTAGCATTCTGTAGGCTTGACCACACTGCAACTCTCCCTGGAAACTCAGAGCAATTTTAGCAAATGGAAAGCATAGATACCAGTATTCGTCAACAAGGACAAAGTCTTCTATTACCCTATTGAGAGTGTTTGATTTAATTGAACACCTACTCTCTAACACGTCTTCAGAAGCAAAGTGCAAAAAAAGAGAAAAGGGCCAGGGGCGGCGGCTCATACCTGTAATCCCAGCACTTTGGGAGGCCGAGGCAGGCGGATCACGAGGTCAGGAGATCGAGACCATCCTGGCTAACACGGTGAAACCCCATCTCTACTAAAAATACAAAAAATTAGCCGGGCGCGGTGGCGGGCGCCTGTAGTCCCAGCTACTCGGGAGGCTGAGGCAGGAGAATGGCGTGAACCTGGGAGGTAGAGGTTGCAGTGAGCGAAGATAGCGCCACTGCAGTCCGGCCTGGGCGAAAGAGCGAGACTCCGTCTCAAAAAAAAAAAAAAAAAAATATTAGCCTGGCGTGGTGGCACATGCCTGTAATCCCAGCTACTTGGGAGGTTGAGGCAGGAGAATTGCTTGAACCCAGGAGGCGGAGGTTGTGGTGAGCCAAGATCGTGCCATTGCACTCCAGCCTGGGCAACAAAAGCGAAACTCTGTCTCAAAAAAAAAAAAAAGAAAAGAAATTCCTATTTTTGTAAAACCAGTTGTAAAATTCGTTTTTCTTAAAGTTGTAAAATTGCTGTGAACTCCCTTTCCCCATCCCCATGTACATGTACTGGAATGTTATCAGCAAATTCCTTCCCTCTGATAATTTTGCAGCTCTATTCTGCCAGAACTATAAGTTTTCTACCATTGGAAAAGCATTTACACAAATGTTCATTTTTTTACATACCAAAGAAAATGTACCTTGGCTCAAGATGTAAGCAGGAAATCAAAAGGAAATATAATACCTAAATAAAAACAAATTCTACTAATTCATTTTTACATAGAATAACTAAAGTTTCCATTTGTCTTTGTTTTTGTTGTTTTAATTTTTTAAAATTACAGATGGGGTCTTGCTTCGTTGTTCAGGCTGTTCTTGAACTTCTGGGCTCCAGGAATCCTCCCACCTTGGCTTCCCAAAGTGCTAGAATTACAGGTGTGAGCCACCACACCAGGCCTAAGTTTCCGCTAGATTACCTAAAGGATCTTATAATTTGTTTCGGTGACTTTTTTGAGGTTAGACATTAATTCTAGTCACTGGTAGAAGATGTGTTTGGGGCATGAGAAACTGGCTCTGAGAAGAGCCGATATTCAAGAGGTAGAATACAGTGGTCTGCTTACCTTAAATTTATCATCTTATGATTCCTAAAAAAAAAAAAAAAAAAAAAAATGGAGGCCAGGTGTGGTGGCTCACGCCTATAATCCCAGCACTTTGGGAGGCCGAGGCGGGGAGATCACCTGAGGTCAGGAGTTCAAGGCCAGCCTGGCAAACATGGGAAACCCCATCTCTACTAAAAATACAAAAAACGAAAAAACAAAAGACCTAACTGGGTGTGATGGTGGGTGGCGCCTGTAATCCCAGCTACTTGGGAGGTGGAGGTTGCAGTGAGCTGAGATTGAGCCACTGCACTTCAGCCTGGGCCACAGAGTGAGATTCCTCACCCCTGCAAAAAAAAAAAAAAAAAAAAATTGTTGTTGTTATAGAGATGAGGTCTTGCTATATTGCCCAGGCTGGTCTCAAACTCCTGGCTTCAAGCAATCCTCCTGCTTTAGCCTCCCAAAGTGCTGGGATTACTTTGGTGTGAGCCACCGTGCCCAGCTCATCTTATGATTCTTAAATCTATTTACCAAAATCTTCCTAAATAGGATAAACTCAGATTTTTGTATTCCTTGATTGCCATCTGCTGGTGGTCCTCCATACTAGAAAATAAAAATTCCTGGGAAGACAGCAACAACCTGGTAATTGCTTGATTTAAGTAGTTCTTGAAAACTTGGAGAGAATATTTCTTTAAACATTTTTTTCTGTTTATTTTGAGACCAGGTTATGAGACTGGCTAATTTTTATATTTTTGGTACAGATGGGGTTTTGCCATGTTGCCCAGGCTGATCTCAAACCCCTGGGCTCAAGCAATCCACCTACCTCGGCCTCCCAAAGTGCTGGGATTACAGCCATGAGCCACTGCACCGGCCAGAGAGAATATTTCTAATGCCCTCGATGATACAAGACAGTCGAAGGCAAAGTGAGGAAGGGACATTAGGTAATAATAACAATAGCAATTATGATAACTAACTTCATTCAATCAATAAATATTTATTGAGTATCTACTATCCTGAATAGAGAGGTAAACAAGACAGACAAAATCTCTGTCTTCATGGAGATTTTAAGCAAATATGATATAAAGTAGTTACTTTATATCATAAAGTGTTACTCAGAAAAATAAACCAGGGCAAGGAACTGGAAAGTGATGGCAGAAGGAGGGCACTGTTTTAGATGAAGAGGCCTGAAAGGCCTTTAGGAGGTGACATTTGCATTTTTTAACATTGAGTATTAACATAAATATTCAACAAAGTGGATTTTGTTGAATATTTCTTTCTTCCTTTTTTTTTTGAGACATGGTCTCACTCTGTCATTCATGCTGGAGTATAGTAGTGCAGTCACTGCTCACTGTGGCCTTGACCTCCTGGGCTCAAGCGATCCCTCCCATCTCAGCCTCCTGAGTAGCTGGGACTATAGGCATGCGTCACCATGCTTGGCTAATTTTTAAAATCTTTTTGTAGAAACAAGGTCTCACTCTATTGCCCAGACTGGTCTCAAACTCCTGGGCTCAAGCAGTCCTCCCACTTCAGCCTCCGAAAGTACTGGGATTGCAGGTGTGAGCCACTGTGCCCGGTCTGAATATTTATTTATGCAGGCCCTGAGTCCACAGCTGCCTATGCAGCATATTATGTAATCCTCTCAACAACCTATGAGGCAGATGCTACTACTAGCCTCATCTTACTGATTAGCAATTTGAAGGAGAGAAAGATGGAGCTGGTATTCAAACAGAGGCACTGTCCTTTTATAACACTATAACTTTTCAAAGCTCTTTCATGCAAATGCAATAATATATGCAGAAATGTTTTGTGGATGATAAAGTACTATGCAAATGTAAGTAATTATCACTATTTTAATGTAATCTGATTTGACCTTCATAGTATCCCTGTAAAGGGGATAAAGTGTGTAATATTATATCATTTTGTAGATGATAAAACAAACACACTCAATTGTAAAGTGCAAAGTGATGTGACTTGTCCAAGGTCACAAAGTTAGTTAATGGCATATTCAGAATTAGAGCTTATGTTTTTAAGGAGCATTATTTTAAAGTTTTGTACTTTTATACTTTTATCTCTTGAGATGATAAATTATACTAAGTATTTTTCTTGCCAAGCTTATTTATAACCACATTAATCATAGGAATTAAAAACAGTTTAGGGGCCAGGCACGGTGGCTCATGCCTGTAATCCCAGCACTTTGGGAGGCCAAGGCAGGAGGATCGTCTGAGATCAGGAGTTTGAGACCAATCTGGCCAATGTGGCGAAACTCTGTCTCTACTAAAAATACAAAAGAAAATTAGCCAGGCATGGTGGCACACACCTGTAGTCCCAGCTACTGAGGAGGCTGAGGCAGAAGAATCGCTTGAACCCAGGAGACAGAGGTTGCAGTGAGCGGAGACCACCCCACTGCACTCCAGCCTGGACGACAGAGCAAGTCTCTGTGAAAACAACAGCAGCAGCAACAACAACAACAACAAAACAAAAAAAACAGTTTAGGGTTCATAAATAAATCTTCAAAATATCCCTCTTTCTGTATCTTCAATTCCACGCACTCCACAGGCTCCTTCCTTCTCCTTCCATCTTCTCCCCATTCCATAACTCTCACTGACACTGACGCCCCTCACATACACACTCCAGGAATTAGGGAGGTGCTGTCCAGGTTTCCCATTCCTCTTAATGTAAGGAAGAGGCATTTCTTTTTCTGACAGAATGAGACTGGATCATTAGCTGTCAAGATAGTCACGGTGCAGTTACTAGGTAAATATGGATTTCCTAAGGTGACCAGACAGGGTTTGAAAATCACTCTTGGCCAGGTGTTGTGGGTCATGCCTGTAATCCCAGCATTTTGGGAGGCTGAGACAGGAGGATTGCTTGTGCCCAGGAGTTTGAAACCAGCCTGGGCAACATAGTGAGACCCCATGTCTACAAAAAAGAAAAAGATTGGCCAGACATGGTGGCACCTGCCTGTGGTTCCAACTACTTGGGAGGTTGAGGTAGGAGGATCACTTGAGCCTAGGAGGTGGAGGCGACAGTGAGCCACGATCACACCACTGCACTCCAGCCTGGGCAACAGAGTGAGACCTTGTCTTGAAGAGAAAAAAAGGAAAAGAAAAAGAAAGAGAAAAGAAAATTACTCCTTAAGGTGATTAAATGTGCTTGACTTTGGATGCTCTAGATCGGCGGAAACTAGCAACATCCCCAAATGTAAGACCCGGTAGTAACAAATGGTATCATTGATTCTTCTCTCCATCCATGTGACCAGAGCTTGGTCCCTCACAGGCCATTGAGGGCCAACATCAAAGGCTGTGAGACTGTAAGAGTTCGGAAAACCCCGTGGTGGGGATTTGGTTTGTGATTGGTGACTGGGAGCAAAGTGGCTGGGTAGGGGTCTGAGGATATTTACTTTAAACCGCACCCACCCCAACTCCCATCCCCAGTGAAGCTTGGTTCTGGACTTCTTTCCTAAATCTTTGAGTAAATTACTACTTAAACCTTCCATAGGGATTGGAGATAAGATTGTATCTAAGAATAAGATGGCCCCTTGGCAATCAGCTTGGGAACCTCTTGGCAGACCAGGAGGGCCCCAAGCCCCAGAGTGGGGCAGGGGGATGATTTCTGTGATGTTCCACCCAGGAGAGCAGCTAGAAGCATCCTGTAAGAGATGGAAAACAGATGGGCTGAGAGTGTGTTCTAGAAACATGGCAAGACCACACATATTTTAAAAGAAAATAAACCAGGCTGGGCACAGTGCCTCATGCCCATAATCCCAGCACTTTGGGAGGCTGAGGTGGGCAAATAGCTTGAGCCCAGGAGTTTGAGACAAGACTGGGAAGCATGGCGAAACCCCATCACTACAGAAAATAACAACAACAACAACAAAATTAGTCGTGCCTGGTGGTGTGGGCCTGTGGTCCCAGCTACTTGGGAGGCTGAGGAGGGAGAATCACCTGAGCCCAGGAAGTTGAGGCTTCAGTGGGCTGTGATCACACCACTGCACTCCAGCCTGGACCACAGAACGAGACCCTGTCTCAAAAACAAAGCAAAACGAAACACCCCTAGCAATCAGTTCTTCCTCAGTATCCTCCTCCCATGCCACTTTCTCCAGCTGTCATTCCTGTTCCTTCCCTTCCGCTGAGCACCTTCGTTCCTCCCTGTCTTTCCTTCCCCTTCTTACCTGACAAACTGGTTTCTCTACTCTTGATAAAGTCATCCATTGGTGGCATGTGTGTTCCAAAAATCTACTAGACCAGCATTTCCCAAGTGTGTTTTTGCAAAACACTAAACCCTTGTTGACTAGGCATGTTGGCTGACCCCTGTAATCCCAGCACTTTGGGAGGTCAAGGTGGGAGGATCCCTTGAGCTCAGGAGTTCAAGACCAACCTGGGCAACATAGTGAGACCCTGACTCTACCAAAGGGGAAAAAAAAATAAAGAAAAAAATAATAATTAAAAAAAAACTCTTGTTTTGCTTATTCTGTTAAAAAAAAAAAAAAAAAGGGAGGCAGTGGTCAAATAATTTGGTAAACCTCACATCCTGTACTGCATCTTAAAGATTCACATGCCTGTTAATATATAAAGGATTTTTGGGTGTACTTCAATCCCTTCTCTTTCTCTTATTCTCTCTCTGCCTGATTCCAATTTAGGACCCTTCATCTGATACCTGCAGGTGAGGGATGGGTCACAGCAGCTGTAACACCATATAAATGACAGCCCCACAGTTCTCTTGCTCACTTATTTCTTAGGTTCATCTATTGGAGATGGGACCCTATGGGAACTGAATAGCTCAGCTTCAAAATGCATTTCAAAACTTTTTCCCCCCTTTTTCTCTTTTCTCTCCAGTCTCAAGATGTAACCTTGAAGCCTACTGCAGAAACCCTTTTTTCCTCCTTAGTATTAGGACGTAGCCTTGAAATGTACTTTATTTGAAACACCGCGTCTCTCCCTTTCTTACCATACACTCCCTTACACCATGCACATTTATCTAATTGTACTTGGATCTAATTATGTGCTTACTTAGAAGTTCCAGGGTCTAATCTTGACATAAACCAGACATGGAGGCCCAGCTGCAAAATGCCAGAGATTACCTCAAGGCTGTTAGTCTACAACCCGGCCATCGTTCAGATGACATCAGATCACCCTGACAGTCACCAGGGAAACAAGAGACACAGACCTTGAACTCAGCACCACTCCTGCATACTTCCCATTCCAAGTTCCCCTTTTTAAGTCCCTCTCCCTAGCCTAAAGTTGGGAATGGTCTTTTAAAGGCATGAGCCTGGCTATTCCCCAACTTCTAGCATTTGAATAAAGTTGCTTTCCTTTCACCACACCTCGCTTCTTGTGCTTTTGACCTCTGAGCGGCGAGCAGCAGGACTTGAGCTGGTTACACTGCATCTGAAGCACCCTGGGCTGCCCTCATCACTACTGTTGTAACTCATGTTCTGCAGGAACTGAGAGCCTGAGCAAATGAACCTGAAATTCAGTTTTTTCTTCCTTTTTGGTCCTCCTTACCCCCTTCTATTATATGAATGATATAGTCATAGAATTTGCCTATAAAATCCAGAAAACTTAGTTCCAGCCTATCAAAGTCACCCAGTTATGGGATTAAGATGATAATGATGGAGCAACTTTGTAAAGGGCTTTGAAGATCAGACTGAGACTCAGATATTCCTGGAGAGTGGAGGCTGGTAACCCCCTTTACCTTGTAGCTATTTGCATTCACTGATTTGCAACAGAATTAAGGAGCCCTCTGAATAAAATACTTGAACACTGTCCACGATTAGGATTAAGACATATACAGACATATCTGATTGACTAGGGGCCCCAAGTGGAAGCTAGATGTTTGGAGAATGAAATGGTCAGTATGAGGAATCTGGTGCAGGGAATAGAATAGTGAGTGGACACAAAGCTGAACATGCAGCTGGGAGAGGCGGCTCACGCCTGTAATCCCAACACTTTGGGAGGCCAAGGTAGGAGGATCACTTGAGGTCAGGAGTTTGAGAGCAGCCTGGCTAACGTGGTGAAACCCCATCTCTACTAAAAATACAAAAATTAGGCCGGGCGTGGTGGCTCATGCCTGTAATCCCAGCACTTTGGGAGGCCGAGGCGGGCAGATCACGAGGTCAGGAGATCGAGACCATCCTGGCTAACATGGTGAAACCCCATCTCTACTAAAAATTCAAAAAATTAGCTGGGTGTGGTGGCGGGCACCTGTAGTCCCAGCTGCTGGGGAGGCTGAGGCAGGAGAATGGCGTGAACCCGGGAGGCGGAGCTTGCAGTGAGCCGAGATCGCGCCACTGCGCTCCAGCCTGGGCGACAGAGTGAGTCTCCATCTCAGAAAAAAAAAAAAAATTAGACAAGTGGCTCACCCCTGTAATCCCAGCACTTTGGGAGGTCAAGGTGGGAGGATCCCTTGAGCCCAGGAGTTCAACAAGCTGGGTGCCTGTAATCCCAGCTACTCAGGAGGCTGAGACACGAGAATCGTTTGAGCCTGGGAGGCAGAGATTGCAGTGAGCCGAGGTCGTGCCACTGCACTCCAGACTGGGCAACAGAGTGAGACTCAAAAACATAAATAAATAAAAATTAAATTAAATAAATAAATAAAATAAATAATATAAAAAAATCTCAAAAAAAAATAAATAGAAATTTTAAAAAAATGAACATGTTTGTCCTGGAGTCAGAATGACTTTATTCAAAACCCACCTCTACTGCTTACTATATGCGTGACCCTGGGCCTATTTCTTGGTCTTTCTAAACCTTCTTTCTCTCATGTGGAAAATCGATGCAGTTATAGTTCCTACTTCATAGGGATAGTTGAGGATAGCTGATATAAGTCCTCAGCAAATGTTCATGTTATCAGCAACAAGACTTTACCATCAGAGAGTGGTTAGTGAGCCGCTCTGGATAGAATGGATGTCTACACAGGAACGTCCACTCCATTTGTGTACTCTGGGGAGAAAATGCCTGTGTGTGTGAGGTGAAGGTTCTGAGACCTGTTGATGCTCAAGATTCCTTTCTGTGGACGTCTCTCCTGACATCACTACTTCCACCCCAGTTTCAGAGAATATACGCTACTGCCGTCACCAAATTCTAGACAAATAACGTAGGTAATACTCAGGTACGTTCATTTTGCAAGAGCAATGACATGGATTTCAACTATTAAGATGCAAAGGCTCCAGTATTCAGGCATTGGCAACCTTGGTGGTGATGGCAAGGGTAATGCCTCTCTGGGTTCTGTTGTGGTCTGAGCCTGCAGAGAGCAATGAGAAAGTCCAATACGGGAACGCAAGAGAGCTCCCCAGGTTATTTGCACAACTTCTGCATAAAGTTGGATTTTCTGCAGCCTGCCAAGCAGGGTTAGAAAGCTACCTAGGGTCAGGCACAGTGACCCACTCCTGTAATCCCAGCACTTTGGGAGACCGAGGTGGGCAGGTTGCTTAAGCCCAAGAGTTCGAGATAAGCCTGGACAACATGGTGAAACTCCAACTCCACAAAAAATTAGCCAGGCGTAGTGGCATGTGGCTGTGGTCCCAGCTACCTGGGAGGCTGAAACAGGAAGATCGCCTGAGGCCAGCAGGTCAAGGCTGCAGTGAGCCATGATCGTGCTACTGCACTCTAGCCTGGCCAGAGAGTGAGACCCTGTCTGGAAGGAAGGAAGGAAGGAAGGATAGAAGGAAAGAAGGAAGGAAGGATAGAAGGAAGGAAAGAAAGAAGGAAGGGAGGAAAGCAAGCCATCAAGATTGAATGAATGAACATACAATTGGTGAAGCCCTAGACACCTGGGCTTCATTTATATATTTATATCATGGTAGCAATCATTTATTGAGGACATACTGTTACCAAGCCTGGGCTGGGCACCTTTCATGTTAACCCATTTGCAAAGGTACAAAACTAGTAGGAAAGTTATTCCCATTTTACAGATAAATTAAGTCATCTGCTTAAGTCACATAGGCAGTAAGCAGTAGAGCCAGGTTTTGAATTTAATCTGATTTGGAAGCCCAGGCTCTTCTCTGCTACTCTGCTTTTCTTTATCTACCCTTCTACCATATCTTTCAGTATTGTTTTACACACTCTTTAGTGTAACTATGACTATCTCAAATCTATCTCATCAGTTTGGTCTACTGTTCTTTCCACTTTAGTTTCCTCAAATATTGTTTTTTATGCTCTTTTCTTTTCTTTTGAGACAGTTTCACTCTTGTCGCCCAGGCTGGAGTGCAATGGTGCGATCTTGACTCCCTGAAACCTCCGCCTCCCGGGTTCAAGTGATTCTCCTGTCTCAGCCTCCTGAGTAGCTGGGATTACAGGCGACCCACCATGCCCCGCTAATTTTTGTATTTTTAGTAGAGATGGGGTTTCGCCATGTTGGCCGGGCTGGTCTCGAACTCCTGACCTCAGGTGACCCACCCGCCTCGGCCTCCCAAA
Source organism: Homo sapiens (assembly GCF_000001405.40). Classification (NCBI taxonomy): domain Eukaryota; kingdom Metazoa; phylum Chordata; class Mammalia; order Primates; family Hominidae; genus Homo; species Homo sapiens. Next base: position 107,969,562 of record NC_000006.12, on the reverse strand, counting down.
GTGCTGGGATTACAGGCATGAGCCACCGTGCCTGGCCCAATTGGCTTTATAGCATCCTGCCTACAAAACAGTCACCATTCCCTTTTATCTTAGCATATTTGCCACTGCTACATGCTGTTGCTGCTTTTATCTATTGACACTGGCTTTCAGGGAGGATCCATAGCTTTGCTACTTAAAATGTAGTTTATGGTCCAGCAGCATAAGCATCAACTGCAGCTTCTTGGAAATGCAAAAAATCTACGCCAGGCCTGAAACAGAATCTTCATTCTACTAAGATCCCCAAGGGATTCATATACACATTAAAGTTTGAGAGGCACTGGTCTACAGTGCCTACAGCTTTAAGCAGAGTCCCAGAAGCCACCAAACTCTGGGGCAGTTCCTGATCCCTTACAGAACTTTCAAAAGAGGCTAGGCTGCTGGCCTCAATAGATCAAGAACGCTCAAGATCCCCACCTCCCCAGCACAAGCCCCCCAGCACTTAAGCAGGATGTAGGTTGTCATGGTAATGGAGGCCGTTTCAATGGGAAGAGACTGTGAAAGGTGCTTCAACATGAAGAGAGGCTTAACTTTTATGGGCTGGTTCTAAAATTTGGCTGCCAGTTGGAATCACCTGGGGGAGATTTTGATTTAATTGCTATAGGGAATAGGACTAGGCATTGGAAATGTTTTTAAGTTCCCTAAATGATTCTTACATGCAGCAAAGTTTGAGGAGCACTGAACTATTGTGAATACTTTCTCATTTTAGTTAATACAATTCTGGGGGCTATGTTGTATTTGAAGATTATTTTATTTTATTTTCTTATTTATTTTGAGATGGAGTTTCACTCTTGTTGCCCAGGCTGGAGTGCAGTGGTGCGATCTTGGCTCACTGCAACCTCCACCTTCCAGGTTCAAGTGATTCTCCTGCCTCAGCCTCCTAAGTAGCTGGGATTACAGGCATCCACCACCATGCCTGGCTAATTTTTCATATTTTTAGTATAGACGGGGGTTTCATTATGTTGGCCAGGCTGGTCTCAAACTCCTGACCTCAGGTGATCCACCCGCCTTGGCCTCCCAAAGTGCTAGGATTACAGGCATGAGCCACTGGGCCTGGCCGAAGATAATTTAAAACAGTGTTTCCCACACTCTTTTGGTAAGACTTATCTGAAGTACTTGCTAAAACCATAACTACCAGGCCTCATACCCAGCTCGGTGCATCAGGATTACCAACGGCCTGACAGCTGTCATTTATCAACCACCCAGGTGCTCTGCTCCTTCTCACAGGGAGGCTTGGGAAATACCGTTTTCAAAGACCAGTGGATTAGTAGCCTGAAAACTCGCCAGCAGTTGCCTGCTTTTGTCATCTTCCTGTCTCTGGAAGAGCACCTGATCCTCACTACCAAAAACTAAATGGTTTTAAAAGGACAAAAATGGTCTCAGCATGATTCTACAGCTTTCTTAAGGGCAATGTTTTCTTTTCAAATGCTCAGGCTGACTGTATTCTAGAACTTAGCATGGCTCTTGGCACATAGTCTCAATATTTAAATAAATGAATGAATGAATGATTAAATAGTTCTGAAAAGGAGCACCAGAATAGCTTGGAGGAAGGAACCAGGAAGCAGGCTGCCTCCTTGAAGTCCTCACTTTTGACCTCATGTACATTCAAAAAAATTACATTCACACATATCCAGCCAGTGCAATATACTTTGTTTCGGTGAACTTGACATATGACCAACAAATAAGTTAGGAAGTGATTATTCACTGTGCAAAGGATTATTTGATTCACAGAAATGATTCCCTAGAGCAGTGTGGTTTCCAGACCAGGAGCAGGAGTATCACCTGGGAACTTGGTAGAAATATGAAACTTGGGAGCCGCCGTGGCTCAGGCCGGTTGCCCTGGCACTCGGGGAGGCGAGGCTACACGTTCGAGGCCAACCTGGTCAACACTGATTAAAAAAAAACAAAAAAAAACTTGACCCTGAGGGCCTGAATCAGAAACTCTGGCTTGGGGCCTAACAATTTGTGTTTTAACAAGCCTTTCAGGTGATTGTCAGGCTGCTAAATCTGAGAACTACTGCCCCAGAGGAGTTTCTTAAATGAAAAGCTTTCCACCTGATAATACAAAGAATGTTCAAGAACACGCTAAGGTGATCTTAGCTAAATTTTATGACCAAGTTCCCCAATGCACCTGCAGAAAATTTCTGGATTGTAGTTGCTTATTTATTTAATAAAGCATTTTATATGTTAATATGTATCATTTATTTATATTTTATATAAATAAATTTATGGAATAAGAAAAAATCACAGTGGTTTGCACATGATATTTTTTTCAGTAACACACTGAGCCATAATGTAAAATATATTTATTATGAATAATGGTCAAAAATAAGTTTGAGACTGGGCACAGTGGCTCATGCCCGTAATCCCAGCACTTTGGGAGGCCAAGGTGGGTGGATCACTTGAGGTCAGGCGTTCGAGATCAGCCTGGCCAACCCTGTCTTTACTAAAAATACAAAAATTAGCTGGGCATGGTAGTGCACGCCTGTAATCCCAGCTACTTGGGAGGTTGAGGCAGGAGAATTGCTTGAACCGGGAGGTGGAGATTGCAGTGAGCCAAGATTGCGCCACTGCGCTCCTGCCTGGGCAACAGAGCGAGACTCCATCTCAAAAAACAAACAAACAAAACATAAATTAGCTGGGTGGGGTGGTGGGCACCTGTAGTCTCAGCTACTCGGGAGGCTGAGGCAGGAGAATCGCTTGAACCCAGGAGGTGGAGGTTGCAGTGAGCCGAGATTATGCCACTGCACTCCAGCCTGGGCAATAGAGCAAGACTCTGTCCCAATCAATCAATCAATAAGGCTCTTTACTGCTGTGGTCCTGACTCAGATTCAAGCAGTGAGCTTTGGTTGGTTGGTTGTTGTCTCCTTTTTTCCCCTGAGCGTCTGGGATTTAGTGACAGGAGATGCAGGTACTTGGCAGGACATTAAGATATCTATGCAAAACTACTAATATGTGTGTAATACTATACTTAACAACTGTTAAGAGCAATTCGTTTAGCATTTATCTACCTAGAAATAAAGCAAGACCACCTCAATGAGAACAAACAGATGCTGTTTATTCAGAGCTTGCTATAGCAAGGGATTCTGCCACTGTTCCTTGTGTTTGGCAGAGACTCAGAGCCAGGCAGGGGAGTGGGGAAGCTTTGGAATGGAAAAAAGGGAAGGTTTCAGGTATGCTTAGATTGCAGGTTGTTGGCATGGGGAAATTGGAGGCAGGCTAACTAGAAGCAAGGCATCCTATGTGATTAGTTTATGTGTGTTTGGCTGGTTGATCCTGATTTGGAAGTGGGGCAAAAAATTGGGAAGCTGGTAGTCATTGACCACATCCTAATGTTCTAGGCCAGTTGTTGTGGAGGCTGTGGGTTGGCTCCCTGGACTGGTTGCCATAAAGGTTGTAGGCATATAGTTCTGCCCATTGTCTCACTAGCCATGAACGCAAGACAACAACTTAACCTGTAGGGCAAGTTTATTCATTTATTTAACACTATGGTCTTTTGCCAGCTTGTCCGGTGAATCAGAAATTAAAATGAGGGCTGAAACAAGTCAATCTGTAGTTCAAAGTTTCCCTCCCCCTATCTGATTTGTCAGTGTTGGCAGGGATGTGCTCACACATTAATGTTACCAATATGCTTTTGGTGGACTAGAAGTGCTCGTTGATGCTGAAACTTCTTGGCTAGTTATCAGACAGCTTTAGGGCAGATACTCTGATGAGTCTGTGCTAATCTTTTTTTTCTAGATGGACTCATGCTCTGTCACCCAGGCTGGAATGCAGTGGCGTGATCTCGGCTCACTGCAACCTCTGCCTCCCGGGTTCAAACAATTCTCCTGCCTCAGCCCTCCGAGTAGATGGCATTACAGGTGTGCGCCACCACGCCCGGCTAATTTTTGTATTTTTAATAGAGACAGGGTTTCACCATATTAGCCAGGCTGTTCTCGAACCCCTGACCTCGTGATCCACCCACTTCGGCCTCCCAAAGTGTTGGGATTACAGGCATGAGCCCCCGCACCCGGCCAAGTCTATGCTAATCTTGTGTTAGACTTCAGAGCTGAGAATGCTATCCTGACTCCAGCTACACATTCCTGTGGAGTTACCGGGCTATCTTTAAGTTGTTTACAGTTACTTTCACTTATAGTTGTTGCCATTTCCAGGAATGCTCCTTTCCCCATAAGGCAAACTGAACTAGCTTTGTAACATTGTTGCAGGACTTTTCCTTAAGCTAAAGACAGGGTACTTGTCCCACAGCCACAGAAGTTTAGGCTTGCAGGCCGTTTGAAGGGTGAGTAAAGCAGGGTTTTATTGGTTGAAAGGAAAAAAAGGGGGGAACAGGGATCCTCCACAAAGCCAGAGTCCCTGCTGGTGCGTTTCCCACCTCCCGTTAGAATCCCAGATTCCACACAGGAAGAGGAGGGGCCAGGCTTCTGTAGCTCCACCCCAGTGCACATTCCCAGCGCAGGCTGGTTGGAGTTTTGCCAGGTACCCCCTCCCACCTGGCTGTCTCAACATGAAAGTGTGATACATCTTGATTCACATTATGAATATATCCCATGGGGCCTGGCACCTGAAGTATGTAGGCTGTGGAGGAGAAACGTTGTTTGAAATGTACTGAGTCAGAAACTACTCTGAAAATTCTTCCACTTATCACATACTAAAATTATAAGCTAAGGGTTTGATTCTCTTGACTGAGCTTTAGTCAAATAGAAACGTATCAATATGTCAGAGGCATTCAAACCAAAGCGACTCCATCTTGAACAGGGGCTGAGTAAAATGAGGCTGAGACCTGCTGGGCTGCATTCCTAGGAGATGAGGCATTCTTAGTCATGGGATGCGATAGGTCGACAAGATACAGGTGATAAAGACCCCTATAATAAAACAGGAGCGGTAAAGAAGCCTGCCAAACCCAACAAAACCAAGATGGCAATGAAAGTGACCTACGGTTGTCCTCACTACTCATTATATGCTAATTATAATACATTAGCATGCTAAGACACTCCCACCTGTGCCATGACCATTTACAAATGAAATGGCAATGTCAGGACGTTACTCTATATGGTCTAAAAAGGGGAGGAACCTTCAGTTCTAGGAACTCCCCACCCCAATCCCAAAAAACTCTGAATAAGCCACACTTTGTTTAGCATATAATCAAGAAATAACCATAAGTATAGTCAGTCAAGCAGTCCATGCCACTGCTCATGCCACTGCTCTGACTATGAAGTGGCTTTTTTTTTTTTTTTTTTTTTTTTTTGAGACGGAGTCTCGTGCTTTGGTGCAGGCCAGACTGCGGTGGTGCTATCTCAGCTCACTGCAAGTTCTGCGTTCCAGGTTCACACCATTCTCCTGCCTCGGCCTCCTGAGTAGCTGTGACTATAGGTGCCCGCCACCACGCCCGGCTAATTTTTTTTGTATTTTTAGTAGAGAAGGGGTTTCACCGTGTTAGCCAGGATGGTCTCGATCTCCTGACCTCGTGATCCACCCGCCTCGGCCTCCCAAAGTGCTGGGATTACAGGCCTGAGCCATCGCACCGGGCCAGAGACTTCTAATTTTATAAGCTTTAAGACCCACAGTATTTGTTTTTCAACAAAATGATTGACACAAGATAATTGATATCTTCCCTGAAGCTTGTTTTAATCCTGAGAGTTTTCTTTCTTCTTACTCAAATATATACCTTTGAAATTTCCCAGAGTGAATTCTTCTATTTATTTATGACCAATCTCCCAAGTTATATTTTGATCTGGGTGGGAAATTTCAGTAAGTGCTATTTTATGGCATAACGTGTAGTGTCAATCATTATTTTTTCATTAAAGCACTTTACATATGTAGGCGTCTTAGTCTGTCTGTGCTGCTATACCAAAATACTGGACACCGAATAATTTATAAAGAACCAAAATGTATTTCTCACAGTTCTGGAGGCTGGGAAGTCCAAGACCAAGGCACTGGCAGGTTCAGTGTCTAGTGATGGGCATGGACTCTGTTTTCAAGATGGTGCCTTGTTGCTGCATCTTCCAGAAGGGAGGACTGCTGTATCTTCATGGCAGGAGGAGAAGGGCAAGACACTCAAACACTAACACTTCATGAAGTTTCTTTTATAAGGACCTTAATCCCATTTATGAGGGAGGAGCCTCATGGCCTAATCATCTCTTAAAGGCCCCACCTTTGAATACTATGACATTGGCAATTAAGTTTCAACACCTGAATTTTGGAGGGGACACATTCAAACTATAGCAACTGGTAATGTATACAATTAATTCATAAAGGAATGACCTGAGTTTGTTGATGTATCTCTGACAACTGGCTTTAGTGCAAAAAATTCTCAGCTTTATAATCACAAAAGCAGGGATAGAAAAAGAACAATAGGTTGGGTACAGTGCTTGTGCCTGCAATCCCAGCAAATTGGGAGGCCAAGGCAGGAGGATGGCTTGAGTACAAGAATTCAAGACCAGCGTGGGCAACACAGCGAGGCACTCTACCAAAAAACCCCACAACAAACAACAAACAAAACAAACAAAAACCCCACAAAATTAACAAGTCCAACATACTCATAAAAAGAAAGAAGTCAAAATACAAACCTGCTTCCAATACCAAAGGAAAACCACAGCCCTCAATTCCTCTTTTAGGATTGTTTTCATGGTTGACCTTAAACTAGTTTTGCTGTTTTTCCAACTCATACCTCTCTTTACATTCTCTCCAGATAGGAGATTGTGGTTTTGTTGGGTCTGAAGGGCCTTAGTGGGTCAGGAAATAAAAGGATTGCAATGATTTAATACCTTTTACCTAGTCAAAGTTCCAACATAGGGTCATGATTTGAAATTTCAATTGGAATAATGTTTTGGAAGATTTTTGTAAATCATAAGTGTTGTACAAACATTACTTTGTTGATGTTACTGTTGTCATAAGCAGGATTGGTTACTTTGTATCAGAAGAGATTTAGCCTCTTAATGAAAAAAATCTCTGGTATAACATTAAAGATAACATTAAAACTCGGGTTTAACATTAAAGATAATTTTCTAGGCTTTGGCAGTAAAGGTTATGTTCTACTGTAGCATGGGGGAAAGGGAAGAAGACTGGAAGTAACTGTGTGCCCTTATTTAATCATAATTTGGTTCCTTCCAGTTTCTTTGCAGCTAACTCCACAAGTAGATAATTAAATAATGTTGATTATGGCTACAGAAATATACTTTGGTATGTATAAATTTAAGTCAAAAATGTAGTATAAGGATAACTGGCTAGGAGTGATGGCTCGTGCCTGTAATCCAAGCACTTTGGGAGGCTGAGGCGGATGGATCACTTGAGGTCAGGAGTTCGAGACCAGCCTGGCCAGCATGGTGAAACCCTTTCTCTGCTAAAAATACAAAAAACTAGCTGGGCGTGGTAGCAGGCACCTGTAATCCCAGCAACTTGGGAGGCTGAGGCAGGAGAATTGCTTGAACCCGGGAGGTGGAGGTTGCAGTGAGCCAAGATCGTGCCATTGCACTCCAGCCTGGGCAACAAGAGCAAAACTCCGTCTCAAAAAAAAAAAAAAAAAAAATTAGCCACGTGTGGTGGTGCATGCTTGTAGTCCCAGCTACTTGGGAGGCCGAGGCAGAAGAATTGCTTGAACCGGGGAGGCGAGGTTGCAGTGAGCCAAGATTGCGCCACTGCACTCCAGCCTGGGCTACAGAGGGATACTCTGTCTAAAAAAAAAAGGATGACTTACAAAGAAGGAAAGATTCACTCTAAGGAAAAAGCAAAGTATGAAAAGGAACCCCAAAATAGTCAGGCTTTCTACAGGGAAAATGTCTATCTAGCAATTAAAACAAAATTGATTAAAATATTCAATTACAGACATAAATACTAAAATGCCCAATGCCTTTTTTTTTTTTTTTTTTTTTGAGACATGGTCTTGCTGTGTCACCCAGGCTGGAGTGCAATGGCACGATCTTAGCTCACTGCAACCTTCACCTCCTGGGTTCAAGTGATTCTCCTGTCTCAGCCTTCTGAGTAGCTGGGATTACAGGCGCCTGCCACCACACCCAGCTAATTTTTGTATTTTTAGTAGAGACCGGGTTTCACCATGTTGGTCAGGCTGGTCTTTTACTCCTGGCCTCAAGTGATCTGCCTGCCTTGGCTTCCCAAAGTCCTGGGATTACAGGCCTAAATGCCTTTTAATATATGCTGTTAGACTAAAGACAAGTTTTGTCTGTAGCTTTGCTTCTTCCATATTTTTCTTTTTTTTGAGATGGAGTCTTGCTCTGTTGGCCAGGCTAGAGTGCAGTGGCATGATCTCGGCTCATTGCAACCTCTGCCTCCTGGGTTCAAGTGATTCTCCTGCCTCAGCCTCCCGAGTAGCTAGGCTTACAGGCACCACCACCATGCCCGGCTAATTTTTGTATTTTTAGTAGAGATAGGGTTTCACCATGTTGGCCAGGTTGGTCTTCAATGTGATCCATGGCACCCAGCCATATTAATTTACTTTTATTAAATATCTCACTAAAATAATTTCTTGAAACAATTTTATTAGGTTAAAAATATCTGCTGGGCATGGTGGCTAATGCCTGTAATCCCAGCACTTTGGGAGGCTGAGGTGGGCGGATCACCTGAGGTCAGGAGTTCGAGACCAGCCTGGCCAACTTGGTGAAACCCTGTCTCTACTAAAAATGCAAAACTTAGCCGGGTGTGGTGGTGCACGCCTGTAGTCCCAGCTACTCGGGAGGCTGAGGCATGAGAATCACTTGAACCTGGAGGCAGAGGCTGCAGTGAGCCAAGAATGCACCACTGCACTGCAGCCTGGGCAACAGAATGAGACCCTGTCTCAAAAAAAAAAAAAAAAGTGAATCAGAAATTGCGATTAAATTAATTAAAGGTATGATTAAGATTTGCTTTGGAGAATATTTGGGTGGTCTGAGGTTATCTATGTTCAGTAATATTAAGTTCTAGGATAAATTATATGTATACTTTTGAAAATAGAGGATACATTTTCAAATCTTGAACATGCTTTGGTTAAAAAAATAACATTTTAGATTGATCTGGGGTTTTTTCAAATTGCTATTTCAATTTGGTTCAAGCCACTTTTAGGCATGACCCCAAAGCTGCAGTGAAAATATTATTCCTGCAGAAAGAAAGAAGGGGAGTATTTATCATCAATAACTTATATTGCTACAAGGTTACAAAACTGATGTATTATCTTTAAACAAATGCCCAGCAAAACATAATAGGAGTAATAAAAAAACAGTTCAACATTATTAAAACCGAGGAAGACTTAATAACATATTCAACAAACAAAAGGAACTTCATGATCCTGCTCACTTCAGCTGCAACAAGTCTGTGACTAATTTTCTGTAGCAAGGCAAATTGTTCACTCTGGGTATATCAGCGTTGGGAGATCACAATGCTATGTTGATTTCATAGTTCAACCTTCCCTTCATTTCTTGGTTTTATTTTTTCACCTATAATATAGTTTTGAACTTTGTGCAGAAAAAAAGTGAGGAGGGAAATGCATAGAAATGAATTTCAGAAATTTCCTTTCAAAGTGAGTAGATAGGAAATTTGAAGGGAAGAGAGAATACATATGAACACAATCTATTATGAAGGAAAGCATTACTGATTAAGATACTAGTTTTGAAGACATGAAATGAAAGACAATGAGCAACCAGATTTTTCCTCCAACAATGGAAGGAATATTATAATGCATTTAGTTAACAGAGTATAAAGTATTAAAATGAGTCCTTGAAATATAGTGTAATATTTGGTATTTGCATATTACACTTTCTCCTTTGAAAAGCATTTTCACAATTAGTCCTTTCAATCTCTGCAACCAGGTGGGCTATCCTTTTAACCCAGAGAGGGGCAATGGACTCTGGGATAGACCCCAGCCACAGCTGCCGCTGGACCGTGGGGTCGTTCAAAGATCTGGGCAGAAGTCCAGTTTCCAGCTCAGCGGACACCAGCCTCTAGGGTCCCACAGCCAGGGGAAGGAGAGGCTCCCGAGAGCGACTGCTCCCGCCACCGTCCATCCCTGAAATGCAGTTTCCTGTTCACAACCCGCAGGGAGAATGCCAGTCACTGTCAGGAAATTTTAAGGTCCTGGGCGATGGAGGGTCAAGGGCACACTGGCTTTGTGGCATCAAAATGATATGGGTTTGAATCCTCAGACATTCTTTTACTGTGAGGGACCTTGGGCAGTCTCTCTGGGCCTCAATTTTCTCATTTGTAGAGCAGACATACTTTGCTTTATTCCATGGGGTTTACTGATGACTAAATGACACAAAACAATAAAGGTCTCAGCCTACCGCCTGAAGCTGGTGGTTATAATTAGCAGCTCTGGAATGGGTAGGGAACCATCTGTAACGGCTTGGGGAAATCTTCATCTGCAAGATGGGCACAGCGTAGATTCAAATCTGTCGCCCAGTGGAGAGCGATCCGGTCTCACTGCAACCTCCGCCTCCCGGGTTCAAGCGATTCTCCTGCCTCAGCCTCCTGAGTAGCTGGGATTACAGGCGCGTGCCACCACAGCCGGCTAGTTTTTGTATTTTTAGTAGAGACGCGGTTTCACCATGTTGGTTAGGCTGGTCTGGAACTCCTGACCTCATGATCCACCCGGTCTCCCAAAGTACTGGGATTACAGGCATGAGCCACTGCGCCCGGCCAGATAGTAAACATTGCTTTGAAAACACAACTGCAACCCACACCTCCCGCAACCCACACCTCCCCATCCCCCAATTTTTTTTTTTTTTGAGATGGAGGCGCGCGCCACCACGTCCGGCTAATTTTTGTATTTTTAGTAGAGAGTGGGTTTCACCATGTTGGTCAGGCTGGTCTCGAACTCCTGATCTCATGATCCGTCCGCCTCGGCCTCTCAAAGTGCTGGGATTACAGGCGTGAGCCACTGTGCCCGGCCTCCCACCCCCTATTCTAAATGACACTTGTTTCCAAAATATGGGGGCTGGAGGAGCAGATCCAGAACCCAAGGAAACGTGATCAACCAGGGCAATTAATCCAGAGGGCAGGACAGGCTGAGCCTCAGCTCTTCTCTGAATATCTGGGACCCCTGCGCAGCCAGGTGAACCGCCCGCGACCGCTGCTCCGGCGGGAAGCCTTCTCTGGGATCCTGTACGCCGACGCCCGGAATCCGGCGTGGTGCGCTGGGAAACTGAGCGGTGGAGGAAGGCGGAGCGGTTAGGGGCGGGACCCTAGGGGAGGGGTTGGGGGAGGGCTTTGACGTTAGGGCGGGGCTAAGGGCGAGACCTCGCCGAGTTCCACCGTTGCGCTCGCCACGTCTCCCTTAGCGAGCTCGCTGGGGACACGCAGGGGGAGGGAAAACTGAGCGGGGCGGGAACTATCTCCTCTCGCGAGAGCTGGCGACGGCGGCGGCAGCGGCAGAGGTGGCGGCGGCGTGTCCGTGAGAGTGGCGTGGGGGCGGGGAGGAGAGGCGGCGGCGGCAGTGTCCAAGCTACGCCACTCGGGCCGGGGCGTTGGGAGCGGGAGTGCAGAGCGTGGTCGTGGCGGCGGCGGTGAGAAGAGCGAGGCGGAGGAGGGGGTGCCATGGCCGGGCAGCAGTTCCAGTACGATGACAGTGGGAACACCTTCTTCTACTTCCTCACCTCCTTCGTGGGGCTCATCGTGATCCCGGCGACATACTACCTCTGGCCCCGAGATCAGAATGCCGGTGAGTCCCGCCGGCCTTTGCCCGCGAACCCGCGCAGGCCCCGCCAGCGCCCCCAGGCCCTGCGGCGCCCGCTTGCCCGGCCCCAGCCCGCGGCGTCCGGGATGACAGGGACGGTGCGGCCCGGCCTGTGTCCAGCGTCCGCCACTGGCGGGGCCCGGGTCAGCAGCGTTTCCCTCGGCGCTTCTCCACCTCCCTTCATTGTCCTCAGGAGTTTCGCTCGCTCCATCTTCTCCATTGTTGTGGACGCTCCTTGCAGCCTCCTCCTGCCTCTTTGTCTTCTCTGCCTTTGCTTTTATTGGGGATTTTTCTTTATGGAGGAAGCGGGATGGGGACTTGGGAGGTGAGCAAAGAGTTGGCCAAGAAGAGACTGAACGTGCGGGCACAACTCTCAGTCCGTCCAGTTCGCGGCCCTCATCCCCCGACTCCGGTTTCCCTGTTGCAGCTGCTCTTAACAGATGTTTTAGGGCATCTCTGAGCCGGGTGGCATGCTTAGGACTCCAATTGAGCTTTCCACCGCCTACCCCCGTCACTTCCTCCCGTTGCTTTTTCATTTGTTCACTCACTGTGGGGGTTGGAAGCAATGCCGTTATTCCTCTTAGCAAAAATAGGCTTTTTTCTATTTCCTTTTCTTCGGAGTTTCCTGTTTGTGACGGAAAAAGTGCAAGTATGAAGGATTAAGTCTCGTTTAATTAATCTTGTAGGGAATTTTGAGGTAGTGGGTCGATTTACTTTTGGTTCTAAGTCTTTTCACATTAAACAACATCGAATTAAAGCACAGAATAACAGATTCTTTTCATATTTCACTTGATGTTTGGGTAATGTTTGCATCCATTTGTTGCACTCTACTAGGACATATGGCAGATGGTATTCTTAAAGCTGATGTAACTGCGAGGGCCTAATGGGTTATTTATGGTAGTGTTAACAGTAAGGAGTGGGTTTTGAGTATTAACAACTTAGGGAAAGCTTTCTATTGCACAAGAGCTGTGCTAACTTGCTTAAATATCTTCTCTTCAATTGGGTGTGCTGGAGGTCTAGGTTGTCCAGGTTATATACTCTACTTGGAGAAGTTGTTAACAGTGAAGCCTTGAATCAGCTCAGAACTTGTTATACTTTCAGATGGATTCAGTGTCCTGTAACATTCTTTTTCCCCCCCGCCCCATGTGATCTGCAGGAAACTAACATTCTTGACTTGGAATAGAACTAAAATAAATTTAGGATAAATAGTAACAAAGGATTGCATCATTTTGTACGTTTGACAATAAGTTTAAAAATCCATTAGATGCAAAAATCTGTCCAAAGTTACTAGTCTTAATACTTTTTTTACTCAATGGGTAGTTTATGAAATTTGGATCTTGGACTGTTGTGCCTTATTTCCTAAGTGCATTTAAATTGTGTAGGTTCTTCCTCGATGTTGAAAAAGGAAAAAAAATTGGGTAGGTTCTTTGGGCAGTGATTGTGTATAAGTGAAGTCTTAATGCTGTAATGGCTTTTCTTATCTGCAAACCTAGGCCATTCTTGTGGTTGTTGTATTTCAAGTTAAAAGGGTACACTTTTCAGTAGTTTATTTTCACCTAACAGCCATTATGTGTGCAATTGGTAGTGTAGAAAACAAAAAGGTATTGGGAGAGTAGTCGGTGGGTTTGGCCAGAATGTGTTTTGATCAGGCAGAACAAAGGTATAAAAAAAAGTGTTTTGAGAAACTGCCCTGATTTCAGAAATTAGCCATCATTTTTTAATCTACATTGGATTTTTAAAGTTGTTCTTTTTTTCTTTTTAAAGCGGGGAGAGTCTCATTTACCCAGGCTGGTCTTGAACTTGCTTCAAGTCATCCTCCCGCTTCAGCCCCCCGAGTAGCTGGCCTTACAGACTTGAGCCACTGTGTCAGGATGGATTTTTGAAATTTGAAAGTCATATTTTCATGGTGAGTTTCGTATTATAAAATTCACCTGATTTCATAGAAGAATCATACTATTTATTTATTTATTTATTTATTTATTTATTTAGAGACAGAGTCTCACTCTGTTGCCCAGGATGGAGTGCAGTGGCTTGATCTTGACTCATTGCAGCCTCCACCTGCTGGGTTCAAGCAGTTCTGCCACAGCTTCCCCAGTAGCTGGGATTACAGGCGTGCACCACCAGGCTTGGCTTATTTTCGTGTTTTTAGTAAAGATGGGGTTTCACCATGTTGACCAGGCTGGTCTCCAACTCCTGACACCAAGTGATCTGCCCTCCTCGGGCTCCCAAAGTGCTGGGACTACAGGCATGAGCCACCACGCCCTGCCAACAAGTCATACTTGACCCCCTTCAGCATGTAAGTGTCTTTGAAAAAGTGGTGGTAGTTTAGGTGGAGGGAATTAATACTATTTGTAAATCATGGACTTCAACTTTTACTTTATTTAATCTTCTTAAAAATGCAGTGAGGTTGGCCGGGCATGGTGGCTCACGCCTGCCGTGGCTCACTTTGGGAGGCCCAGGCGGGCGGATCACCTAAAGTCAGGAGTTCAAGACCAGCCTGGCCAACATGGTGAAACCCCGTCTCTACAAAAATACAAAAAGTTAGCTGGGAGTGGTGGCGGACGCCTGTAATTCCAGCTACCCGGGAGGCTGAGGCAGGGAGAATTGCTTGAACCCGGGAGCTGGAGGTTGCAATGAGCCGAGATCGTGCCACCACACTCCAGCAATGCAGTGAGGTAGGTTCTATTATTATCTCCATTTACAGGTAAAGAAACTGAGGGTAGAGCATGTAAGTAATTTTCCTGTATGGTTGAACTGGGATTAGAACATTGGTCGCTTAGCTTCAGAGCCCTGTGTGGTTTCCATACTGCTAGATAGAAAGTTAGGTGAACTATTATGGGTGTCAGTTTGCCCGTTTTACATCCGGCTCTCTGCTTCAGGCTTGCCTTAGTCCATATGCATATTTTGATGTATTTGTTTGCTCTTGCTCAAAATTGTGTTATGAAAATTAAGGTGAATACTTAAATGCTATTCTAATCATTATGAAAATTGTTGGGCACCACTTGGACTTTTTTCTTGGATTTACCCTAATAACTTGAGTTGTTTCTGTGGAATTACAGTTGTAGTAAAAGGATGTTTTCATCATAGTGACTTTTTTTCTGCAGCCCAGTTGCAGTATCTTGAATATGAAAGAGAAATCTTGAATTACTGCCTCATTCAAAGCTCTGAATAAGGAACTTTTTTCAGAAGTTTGCTGCAAAATAATTTGCCGACTTGTACTGACAGGAGGCTACTGAATAATCTTTATCTCACTTAATAAATAGTTATGTTCTGTCTTGGAATATTAATTTGTTTGGTTATTGGTGCACTTTAGACCCCATAGGGTCTGTTTGAGTGTAAACGCTGTGTTACTTTTCTAAAATCTGAAAAATTCTTTTTTTTTTTTTTTGATTTTTTTTTTTTTTTTAATTGATCATTCTTGGGTGTTTCTCACAGAGGGGGATTTGGCAGGGTCATAGGACAATAGTGGAGGGAGGGTCAGCAGATAAACAAGTGAACAGAGGTCTCTGGTTTTCCTAGGCAGAGGACCCTGCGGCCTTCCGCAGTGTTTGTGTCCCTGGGTACTTGAGATTAGGGAGTGGTGATGACTCTTAACGAGCATGCTGCCTTCAAGCATCTGTTTAACAAAGCACATCTTGCACCGCCCTTAATCCATTTAACCCTGAGTGGACACAGCACATGTTTCAGAGAGCACAGGGTTGGGGGTAGGGTCACCGATCAACAGGATCCCAAGGCAGAAGAATTTTTCCTAGTACAGAACAAAATGAAAAGTCTCCCGTGTCTACCTCTTTCTACACAGACATGGCAACCATCCGATTTCCCAATCCTTTCCCTGCCTTTCCCCTCTTTCTATTCCACAAAACCGCCATTGTCATCATGGCCCGTTCTCAATGAGCTGTTGGGTACACCTCCCAGACGGGGTGGTGGCCGGGCAGAGGGGCTCCTCACGTCCCAGTAGGGGCGGCTGAGGAGAGGCGCCCCTCACCTCCCGGACCGGGCGGCTGGCCGGGCGGGGGGCTGACCCCCCCACCTCCCTCCCGGACGGGGCGGCTGGCCGGGCGGGGGGCTCACACCCCCACCTCCCTCCCGGACGGGGCGGCTGGCCGGGCGGGGGGCTGAACCCCCCACCTCCCTCCCGGACAGGGCGGCTGGCCGGGCAGGGGGCTGACCCCCCACCTCCCTCCCGGACGGGGCGGCTGGCCGGGCAGAGGGGCTCCTCACTTGCCAGTAGGGGCGGCCGGGCAGAGGCGCCCCTCACCTCCCGGACGGGGCGGCTGGCCGGGCGGGGGGCTGACCCCCCCACCTCCCTCCCGGACGGGGCGGCTGGCCGGGCGGGGGGCTGACCCCCCACCTCCCTCCCGGACGGGGCGGCTGGCCGGGCAGAGGGGCTCCTCACTTCCCAGTAGGGGCGGCCGGGCAGAGGTGCCCCTCACCTCCCGGACGGGGCGGCTGGCCGGGCGGGGGGCTGACCCCCCCACCTCCTTCCCGGACGGGGCAAATCTGAAAAATTCTGAAGCACATTTGTTCTTAAGGATTTTAAGTAAAAGATGAGGACCCCCGTAGTACAGTTTTGGGGAAACACAACAGCATATATAAGTATTTTTATTTTTTGAGATGGAGCCTTGCTCTGTCACCCAGGCTGAAGTGCAGTGGCGTGATCTCGGCTCACTGCAACCTCTGCTTCCCGTGTTCAAACGATTCTCGTGCCTCAGCCTCCTGAGTAGCTAGGAAAACTGGCGCGAGCCACCATGCCTGGCTTATTTTTGTATTTTTAGTAGAGATGGGGTTTCACCATGTTGGCCAGGCTGGTCTCGAACTTCTGACCTCAATTGATCCACCTGCCTCGGCGTCCCAAAGTCCTGGGATTACAGGCGTGAGCCACTGTTCCCTGGCCACAGCAGCATATTTTAATACTTGTTTTTGAGGCTTAGTTTATTTAGTTTTCCTGTGAAACAGTTAAGTAGCCAAATACAAAAATGTAGGCATGCGTTTGAATTTCAGACTTCTGACAGTATTTTCAGAGATAGCATGTGCATGAAAGCATGAAAAGGTTTGCTCTGGCAGTTACACAACCTTAAAGTTCAGTTTAAGTAATTTTTTTTTTGTTTGTTTTGGCATGAAGTCTCGCTCTGTTGCCCAGGCTCCAGTGCAATAGCAAGATCTTGGCTCACTGCAACCTCCACCTCCCAGATTCAAGCAGTTCTCCCACCTCGGCCTCCCAAGTAGCTGGTATTACAGGTGCCTGCCACTACGCCCGGCTAATTTTTGTATTTTTAGTAGAGACAGAGTTTCACCATGTTGGCCAGGCTGGTTTCCAACTCCTGACCTCAAGGGATCTGCCCACCTCGGCCTCCCAAAGTGCTGGGATTACAGCTGTGAGCCACTGTGCCCGGCCCAGTTTAACTAATCTTTATTGAGGTTTTTTTTTGTGTGTTTTCTGCAACACATTTGGGACTTTCAATTTTTAAGGTTGACAGTCGTTTCAGCATGGCTGTTTTGGAATTAGTGGGCTCTTGAATACACCAGAAAGCATAGCACCATTTCACAGCTTGTAAAGTCTGCGGTTTGAAAAATGGAAATAGTTCGTTTATTGGCATATTTGACATGTTAATTGAACGTACCTGTTATCTAAAACATTATTAATGGAATACTTTTGCCTTGATTTCTGCTTAACATGTTTAGCTAAGCGTACTTATAATTAATACCCCTTTTAGTAGTTATTTGTTTTACTCTCTTGGTTTGCAAATTGGCTGAATAAAATGAATATTTCTTCAGACAATTAAGGACAAAAGCTCTGTATGCAATGATAACACGGAGGGCTTAGATTTCCTTGGCATAGTGATTCTTAACCCTGGCTACACATTAGAATCACTTCGGGAACTTTTTTTTTTTTTTTTTGAGATGGAGTCTCGCTCTGTCACCCAAGCTGGAGTGGAGTGGCGCGGTCTCAGCTCACTGCAAGGTCTGCCTCCTGGGTTCACCCCATTCTCCTGCCTCAGCCTCCCGAGTATCTGGGACCACAGGCGCCCACCACCACGCCTGGCTAATTTTTTGTATTTTTAGTAGAGACGGGGTTAGCCAGGATGGTCTTGATCTCCTGACCTCATGATCCGCCTGCCTCAGCCTCCCAAAGTGCTGGGATTACAGGCTTGAGCCACCGCGCCCGGCCCACTTCGGGAACTTTTTAAAACACTTGTACCCATCCCCAGATACTCTGATTTATTTGGTCTGGAGTGGGTGTTATGTACTGGTATTTTTTAAATATCCCTATATGATTCTAAATTGTAGCTATGTTTGAGAAGTGCTGCTTGGAGGAGAGCTTCCTTAGTAATGGTCTTTTGCTGTAGTTGCCATTTTGGGAGGTAGTATATTTGTTTTGCTATGTGCTCTTTGCTAACAACAACAACAAAATCCAAAAAACTAATGTGTTAGCCTTTTTGTTTTACATAGCTAAGAAGCACTTACAGAACAGTAACGTAAAGTTCTGGGAGTTAAAAGCCAGATATTTTTGTCAAACAACTTTAATGATACAAGTTTACAATCAGTTTATCATAGTTGTCTATTAATGGCTTCCAGAGTATTTACCATTGTGCTATGATTGGAGCCTTATGTAATTTGGATATCCTTAACATTTTGAAATAATTGCACATAATTACCTTAACACTACCCATCTTTGGTATTGCCAACAATACTGTGCTGTGACCTTTTGTGTGTACTGCCCACTTTGTGCTTTCTTGTAATTGTTAATGTTTGTCTTTCCTAGTGCTTTTAAAATGAGAAGTGTTCTTAATGTTTATGTGGAATTTCAATCCAACCATTATTTGTAAGTGCATAATTTTGTTTACTGCTTTTTTGATTTACAATAGAAGAGTTATCACTTTAAACATTTTATATCATTAGGCTTTCATTGATATATTTGACAAGAGTATTATCTGACAAGAGAAAATAACTGATTGCTTGTAATTATTAGAATTTCGAATAATCAAAAGCATGCTTTTATTCTTTCCGTAGGTTATGGAAAGAATTCCTTTTGAATTGAGATAAAATGTATCATTTAAAAAAAGTTTTTGTTGACTCCTTGATCTTACTTTTGGGGCTTGATCTTCCCTTTTCAAAACTTACTTAACCTTACTTTTTCAAAATGCCTGGTTTTGAAATGTGGCTCTGCAGCCTACTGTAATTTTAGGCAAGTTATTTAACTTCCGTGTGTTTCAGTATACTCATCTGTATTGGTTACTGATTTAACTTCTGTGTATCTCAGTATACTCATCTTTATTGGTCATACTCATCTGTTACGGTCAGAGAAGATACTTTGTATGATATCTGTCTTTCAAAATAAAATATCTTGTGGCTTAACATATAGTCTATCCTGCAAAACGTCCCATGGCACTTCTGAACAATGTATGTGCTGCTGCTGTAGGGTAGTGAGCGTTGTATATGTCTGTTAGATCTAGTTGGTTTGTGTTAAGTCCTCTATTTCCTTATCTTCTTTTTGGTTGTTCTATCCATTTTTGGGGATGGAGGGTGTATTGAAGTCTGAAACTATTATTGTAGCACTGTCTGTTTCTCTCTTCAGTTCTGTTGGTTTTTGCATTGTACATTTTGATGATCATTAGATACGTAAATGTTTATAAATGTTATATCTTCTTGCTGTATTGAACCTCTTACTAATATGTAATGTCTTTTATCTCTTGTAATCTTTTTTGTTTTAAAGTCTATTTTGTCTTATAGTCACCACCCTGCTATCTTTTGGTTACTGTTTCCATGGAATATTTTTTCCATCCTTTCACCTTCAATCTGTTTGTGTCTTTGGATATAAAGTGAGTCTCTTGTAGATGGACGTAGTTGGATCAGGTGCTTTTAATCCATTCTGCCAGTCTTTTGATTGGAACATTTAACCATTTACATTTAAAGTAATTACTGTTAAGGAAGGAGGGCCAGGTGCAGTGTTTCATTCCTGTAATCCCAGCACTTTGGGAAGCTGAGGTGGGAGGAACACTTGAGTCCAGGAGTTTGAACCAGCCTGGGCAACATAATGAGACCGTGTTCCTACAAACAAACAAACAAAAAAATATTAGCCAGGCATGGTGGCACGCACCTTTAGTCCTAGCTACTCAGGAGGCTGAAGCAGGAGGATCACTTGAGCCCAGGAGATCGAGGCTGCAGTGAGCTATGATCATGTCACTGCACTCCAACCTGGATGACAGAAGGAGACCCTGTCACACACAAAAAGTAAAAAGAAGGACCTCTGTCATTTTGCTATTTGTTTTCTATAGGCATATATCCTTTTGTTCCTTATTTCCTGCATTACTATTTTTTTGTTTAGCTGATTTTTTTTGTAGTGAAATGTTTACATTTCTTTGCATTTTCTAATTTTTATTTTATTTTATTTTTAAATAGAGACTGGGTTTTGCCATGTTGCTCAAGCTTGTCTCAAACTCCTGGGCCCAAGTGATCTATGTCTCGGACTCTCAAAGTGCTGGGATTACATGTGTGAGCCACTGCTCACATCTCATTTTCTTTTGAGTATATTCTGTAGTTACTTTTTGTGTGGTTACCATGGGGATTACATTAAACATCCTAAATATTGTAATTTCAATTTATACCAGTTTAACTTTGACATATAAAAACTCTGCTCCTTTATAGCTCCTTTCCCACCTCTTTCAGTATTTGATTTCCCCTAATTACATCTTTATACATTGTGTGCCCCAAAGCATAAACTAATAATTCTTTTAAATGCATTAGTTTATTGTTTAGAAAACAAAGTGTGGATGTAGGGGCCAAGGGAAACTTCCCTTTTGCCCTCTGAAGATTGGCTGAAAAATCAACTCAGACAAGGTGGATTAATTGGAGGAAAGACATACACATGTATTTAATGTGAACATGGGGCGAACCACAGAGTGATTCCCCACATCCCAATGTAGTTCAGAAGCTTATATACCATCCTGGTGAAACAGGTTATGGGAAGGGGGAGAAGAGGAATTCTGTTGATAGGATTGCTAGGGACAATGGATCAGAGAACAGAGATTAACTTGTACATTATCTTGTGAAGGGTCTGTTTAGGTGTGGTTACCTTCTTGGTCCTACAGGAGGAGAAGAAAAGCAGTTGTTCGTTTTGGTGGGTCTGGATCTTAGGCAGATGAAGGCTTTGGGATATGGTGGGGGGCATCAGGAGGGCAGGGAGGAAAGTCAGAGAGACCTTGAGGCTTCTTCATTCAGCATGTCAAAATGCCATATTTTGGGTATCACTGAGCCCCAACATGGAGGTACAAACCAAGGAACTAAAATTGACCAACAGCCTTCGTAATTTACCCTCCAAGCCTTTCCCGGAAAGTTGCAAGCCTTCAGTAGACTCCAGAGTTACATCTAGACTCAGCTCTGTTGCTGTTCAGTGAGTGAGTGCTAGCTAGCCTGAAGGTGGGTAGTGCGGAATGCACTCACGGTAGCACTTTGAGCTAGATTCATGTATTATCTCATTTTATTCATGAGAAAACTGCGTCCTAGAGGAGGTTACCAACTTTCCTAAAGTCATACAGCTACCAGGTGGAAGACTGTTTGTTGGACTCAACTCTGTCTTATGCCAGAGCATCTCTTGTTAGCCACTACTCTCTGCTGCCTCCTGTAATTAAGTAAATATAACACATTACGATATGTGTTAAAATGGCTAGTGGAAGGTGCTTTGGGAGCACATAGGAAGGAGTAAATAATTATATTTTGGGATTTGGGGAAGTGTTTCATGCAGAGGAGGTGACACGAGATAGGTCTTAAAAGGTAAGTGGGAGAAGGGCATTCCATATATAGGGGAAAGTATATGCAAAAGCATGGAGGTGTTTAGTAAATGGTAAAGATTTGAATGTGATTGGCACTTACGACCAACTCAGGTATTTTAAGAGGGTTATACTTTATCCTGTAAGTTATTTGGTAAACAATGGAGGTTTTAAAGTATGGTAATAAAACATGGTCAGTTTGGCTTTTGTGGAATATTGTGTGGAGAATGGTTTGGTGGGTGGAGGGGGAGGTTGGTGATGGCTGGGTGGGAAACTAGATGGAGGGGGTGTCCATTTCAGAGGCTCTTTCCAGTGACAGGTGGTCAGATTAGAAAGAGAATTCTAAGAAAGCTTGGACTGTTTATTGAATATAAGTACTGAGGAGAGAATGAGAGTGGAGTGCAGATTTTGAATTTTCACTCATTTCTAGGATTACTTATTTCTTGTCCTCTTGAAAGCTTTTGGTGATTGGCCCAATGATCAGTTTGGGGATTTAAGTGCAGGGAAAAGAATGGGGATGAATTTTTTTTTGAGACTGGATCTCATGTTGTTACCCAGGTTGGAGTGCAGTGGCACCATCACTGCTCCACTGCAACCTCAATCTCCTGGGCTGAGCCATCCTTCTGCCTCAGCCTCCCGAGTAGCTAGAACTGCACGTGCACACCGTCACTCCCTATAGAGTTGTAATTACAGTAGGATGGGTTATCTCAGTCTCCTGTTGAGTGGTTTGGTTTTTTTGTTCTTTTTTTTGACAATAACTTCTTGTCCGATAGTGAGTGTTTTTGTTTTTTGTTTTGTTTTGTTTTTGAGACAGGGTCTCACTCTGTCACCCAGGCTGGAGTGCAGTAGCACAATCTTGGCTCACTGCAACCTCTGCCTCCCAGGCTCAAGTGATCCTCCCACCACAGCCTCCAAGTAGCTGGGACTACAGGTGCGCCATCATACCCAGCTAGTTTTTATAATTTTTGTAGAGATAGGGTTTCACCAGGTCACCAAGGCTGTGTTTTTTAACATTAGAAAAAACTAGCTTGTATCAGCTTTGTATTCAAAGGGATATGTCTTAATGTTCATATTTAGAGCTTATGGTTGATGTTTGGTTTGAGACAGAGTCTTGCCCTGTTGCCCAGGCTGGAGTGCAGTGGCATGATCTCAACTCACTGCAACCTCTGCCTCCTGGGTTCAAGTGATTCTCCTGCCTCAGCCTCCTGAGTAGCTGAGATTACAGGAGCCCACCACCACGCCTGGCTAATTTTTGTATTTTTAGTAGAGACGGGGTTTTTCCATGTTGGCCAGGCTGGTCTTGAACTCCTGACCTCAGATGATCCGCCCGCCTCAGCCTCCCAATGTGTAGAGCTTACAGTTTTCTCAGGCTTTAGCTCTTGAAGGAATATTAGCGATCTGATAAAACTTTAAATTGTTTTAAAAAGTTATTCCTTCTTTGTTCTATCCTGACAGAGGGGTGTATCAGACATGCAGCATATACACACTTAAGTCCTATACAGAGGAAAGCAGTTGGGAACTTGGCAGTAGGAATTACAGGACAACATGAAGGTTTTATAAATGTGGTGACAAACATTAGATTAATAACTGCATTATGTTGGCCGGGTGTGGTGGCTCACACCTGTAATCCCAGCACTTTGGGAGGCTGAAGGCGGGCAGATTGTTTGAGGTAAAGAGTTTGAGACCAGCCTGGCCAACATGGTGAAACTCCGTCTCTACTAAAAATACCTGTAATCCCAGCTACTCGAGAGGCTGAGGCAGGAGAATTGCTTGGACCCGGGAGGTGGAGGATGCAGTGAGCAGAGATTGTGCCACTGCACTCTGGCCCGGGCGACAGAGTGAGACTCTTGTCTAAAAAAATAAAAAATAGGTCAGGTGCGGTGGCTTATGCCTGTAATCCCAGCACTTTGGGAGGCCACGGTAGGCGGATCATGAGGTCGGGAGTTCGAGACCAGCCTGGCCAATATGGTGAAACCCCGTCTTTACTAAAAATACAAAAATTAGCTGGGCATGGTGGTACACGCTTGTAGTCCCAGCTACTCGGGAGGCTGAGGCAGGAGAATGGCTTGAACCTGGGAGGCAGAGGTTACAGTGAGCTGAGATCGCACCACTGCACTCCAGCCTGGGCGACAGAGTAAGACTCCGTCTCAAAAAATAAATAAATAAATAAACAAACAAACAAAATACAGGAAAAAAACCGCCTGCATTATGTAAAATTGCTTTTATTTAAACATCTTGTTGCATATCTGCTTGATCTTGGGAGGACCTGATAAAGATAGGCTTATTTTCTTTTCTTAGATGCCTGTTCCCTTAATCATACTTTTTATTCAGACATAAAGAAGGTGATTACAAATGTATTCATAAATTGCTTAGACTTCCTTTTAAAAATGTTTTCCTATTATTACCAGACTTTATTGATGACAAATGTTGTTACACTATTTCACCATCACATTGTTTCTTTGAAAGGCGATGCTGTTCATTCTTTTAAAAAGATGTTCTCGGCTGGGCTCGGTGGCTCACGCCTGTAATCCCAGCACTTTGGGAGGCCGAGGGGGGTGGATCACGAGGTCAAGAGATCGAGACCATCCTGGCCAACATAGTGAGCCCCCTCTCTACTAAAAATACAAAAATTAGCTGGGCGTAGTGGTGTGCACCTTTAGTCCCAGCTGCTCGGGAGGCTGAGGCAGGAGAATTGATTGAACCCGGGAGGTGGAGGTTGCAGTGAGCCAAGATCGCACCATTGCACTCCAGCCTGGGCGACAGAGTGAGACTCTGTCTCAAAACAAAAAAAAAAAAAAGAAAAGAAAGATATTCTTTACATTTTGGAATTCTGTTTATGTCAGTAGGAGTTTTCTCGTGTAGATTCCAACTCTTTTTTTGCTTTAGATTTTTTTTTTTTTTTTTTGAGACGGAGTCTCGCTCTGTTGCCCAGGCTGGAGTGCAGTGGCGGGTTCTAGGCTCACTGCAAGCTCCGCCTCCCGGGTTCACGCCATTCTCCTGCCTCAGCCTCCCAAGTAGCTGGGACTACAGGCGCCCGCCACTACGCCCGGCTAATTTTTTGTATTTTTAGTAGAGACGGGGTTTCACCGTTTTAGCCGGGATGGTCTCGATCTCCTGACCTCGTGATCCGCCCGCCTCGGCCTCCCAAAGTGCTGGGATTACAGGCGTGAGCCACCGCGCCCGGCCTAGATTTTTGTTTAGTTTTAGTAGTTACTGATTAAGCGTTCACTGTTTGACCGTACAGGTACAGCAGATGATACAATGATGAATGCAGTATAAACATAGTCTTATTTTGGTAGAATTTGTAACCCAGGTGGGGTGACAGGCTTAGGATTAGACTAATGCACAGACTCCAAAATTTCTATTTCCAGGCTAGACTTCTTTATTTTTATTTTTATTTTTATTTTGGAGACAAGAGTTTTACTCTGATCTAGGTTGGAATGCAGTGGTGTGATCGCGGCTCACTGCAACCGCCACTTCCCGGGTTTAAGTGATTCTCCTGCCTCAGCCTCCTGAGTACTTGGGATTACAGGCATACACCACCACCTGCAGCTAATTTTTGTATTTTTAGTACAGACGGGTTTCACCATGTTGGCCAGGCTAGTCTTGAACTCCTGACCTCAAGTGATGTGCCCACCTCGGCCTCCCAAAGTGCTGGGATTACAGGCATGAGCCGCTGCACCTAGCCCAGTCTGAACTTCTTTCCTCAGACTCCAGACTTGTGTGTATAAGTGCTTAACCCACATTTCCACTTGGATATCTAATAGAGATCTTTCTATGAATATGCACAAAATTGACAGGATTACTTTCTTCCCCTCCCCTCCAACCTTCTTGACCCATAACCTTTATCTCAATTAATCACAACTGTCTTTTCAGCTGTTCAGGAAAGAAGTCTTGGGAGTCATTCTTTATTTTTTATTTACATTTTTACCTTTAAGCTCTGGTGGACTGGATTAGAAGTTACTCTTGATTCATCTCTTTCTCATACTCCACTTTCAGACTACTAGTATGTTCTTTTGGCTCTACCTTTGAAATACATCGTGTCCGACCATTTCTCATCACTCCACCAACACCACTGTCCTGGTTTATTGCCTAGATTATCATTAGCTTCCTAACTAGTCTGTTTCTACCCTGGCTGAGTGTAGTCTTTTCTCAGAATATTAGCAAGGATCCTTTATAACAGAAGTCAGCTCATACAGTTCTGCTCAGAACTCTTCAGGGATCTGTCTCAATCTGACTAGAAGCTCAAGTCTTAGCGAGTATCCTGTAAAGTCCTTCGTGGTCTCTTTGATCACTTTGCTGTTTCCATTCCAGCCATACGTGCTTCACTGCACTTTTGAACACAGTGAAACACACTCTTTCAGTCTTTTACTGGTTGCTGCTCCCTTTGCCTGGAATACTTTTCCTCTAGATAGTCACATTACCTCTTCCCTCATCTCTGTTGTCTTTGCTCAGATGCCATCTTCCCTGAGCTTCCTATTTTAAATTGTAGTGTTTCTTACCCCTACCTTACTAATTTTCTCTCAAAAGAACCCTTCAACAACATGGGTTTGAACTATGTAGGTCCACTTATACGTGGATTTTTTTCAGTAAATATATTGGAAAACTTTTTGGAGACTTGTAACAGTTTGAAAATGTTTTGCAGAAGAACTGTAGCCTAGAAATATCAAAAAGAAATTAAGAAAAAGGTATGTTATAAATGCATAAAATGTATGTAGATACTAGTCAGCTTTATCATTTGCTACCATAAAAGAAACACATATCTATTGTAAAAGGTAAAATTTATCAAAACTTATTCACACAAACACTATAGACAGGACATGGAGCCATTTGCAGTTGAGAGAAATGTAGTATTAAATCATAACTGTGTAAAGTTAACTAGTGTATACTACTGTAATAATTTTATAGCCATCTTCTTTGCTATTGCAGTGAGCTCAGGTGTTGCAAGTGTCTGCTTAAAACATCGTGTGACGCTAATCATCTCTGCGTGAGCAGTTTGTCTCTTCAGTAAATTCCATATCACCATAGAAAGTGATCTCTTGAGGTTCTCTTGTATTTTTCTTTGTATTCAGTGTGATACCATAAACCTTGCAACACCATGGGACTCATACAGAGTGCCACTAGTGATGCTCTAAGTGCTCCGAAGAAGAAAAAAGTCATGATAATACCAGAAAAAGTTGAATTGCTTGATATATACTGTAGATTGAGGTCTGCAACTTGTAAACAGGTGACATAAACTTAAGGTATTAATAACAGTACTGTAAATATATTTTCTCTTCCTTATGATTTTCTTAACATTGTCTTTTTTCTAGCTTTATTGTAAGCATGCAGTATATAATACATACACAAAATATGTGTTAATCAACTGTGTATGTTATCCATAAGGCTTCCAGTCAACGGTAGGCTATTAGTAGTTAAGTTTTGGGGGAGCCAAAAGTTATATGCAGATTTGTGACTGCACAGGGGGTGGGGACAGGGCCCCTAACCCCAACGTTGTTCAAGGGTTAACTGTACTATATAATTTACTTTGTTTATTGCTATGGTCTTTGAGAGCAGGGTTTTTTGTTTTGTTTTTTTTCTATATCCTCAGTGTCCAGAAAAGTCCGGGTACGTAGTGGATATTCACCAAATATTTGTTAAATAAAGGAGTTCATCATTCTCAAGAAATATTTATATAGTGCCTCCTCTATTCCAGGGAACTGGAAAGAGGAGGGGTGAACACTGTGGGTAAGATACAGTCTCTGCCCTTGAACTTCAGTACAGAGGAATCAAATCGGCTTTAATACTGGCTGCTGAAGAATGGTGGTGCCAACGGGGAAACTGCTGAAAAGGATGTATAGTCCTGGCTTTTTTAGAAAGGAGTTGTAAAAGTGTTAAAGCTCTTAAACCTAGTAATTATACTTCTGGGGCTGTGTTCTAAGGATAGAGTGTTCTGAATACTTACAGGACCAAAGAGATCCACAATACCAAGAAATTAGAAACATTTTATATATCTAATTATAGAATGGTAGGTATATTGTGGTACCTTTATTCATTTGGTTATTAGTAGTCATTAAGTGATGTTTATAATGATCTAAACACGGGGAAATGTTTAGAAATTTTAAAAATTAAAAATTACTGCTAATGCGACCTTAACACAAACTTCAGCTTTTTATTTTTGTCTCTTTCAATTTGTACACTGATACATCATAGAAATGCTATCCTTAAGTGGGCTTTTATGTGTCCCGTTTTTCTCTTTGAGAAGCTCACTTGGGCAGCTGCTGCAGTGGAGATAAGCACCAGGTATCGTCAACACTGCAAAAGGGCCCTTACAGGCCCTGATTGAAGCAGCAGGGCAGCCCTCTAATTGAGTGAAGCTCATTCCTTGGGAAGTCAGTTGCTGGAGCTTCCTTCTTCACAGAGCTGTTTCTCTTCTGAGGGTGTACGTTCAACCTCGCCAACTCTCCTGTCTCCTTTGCTTTTCCAGATATTTTCCTAAATAGAACTAAAAAGGATACTACAATG
Source organism: Homo sapiens (assembly GCF_000001405.40). Classification (NCBI taxonomy): domain Eukaryota; kingdom Metazoa; phylum Chordata; class Mammalia; order Primates; family Hominidae; genus Homo; species Homo sapiens. The sequence goes on along the minus strand of NC_000006.12, from coordinate 107,941,599 downwards.
GTATTAATGATTACTATCTGGGTGTTGGATTGGTGGATTTTTTTCTTCCACTGTATGCCAAATTTTCTTTCTTTTTCCTTCTTCCTTTTTTTTTTTTGAGACACGGTCTCACTCTGTTTCCCAAGGCTGTGGATAGTGGCACAGTCATGGCTCATTGCAGCCTGGATCTCCTGGGCTCAAGGAGCTGATTCCTCTGCCTTCTTGAGGAAGCTTCTAAGTAGTAGGACTATGTAGCTGGACTATGGGTGTGTGTGGGTAGCTGGACTATGGGTGTGTGTGCCACCACACCCGGCTAATTTTTAATTTTTTTTGTAGTGATGAGGTCTTGCTATGTTGCCCAGGCTCAAATTTTCTTTATGAATTTGTATTAACACCCAAAATCTTATTAAAACAATCTCTGGCTAGCATTGCGATCTTGAGCAAGACACACTCTGCACTTATCTCCAGAGGCCCTTTCAGCTCAATGAATTGTTACTACTTTGGGGTATGTGGTGTTTAAAGTTCTGGTGGGACATACATCCTTGTATGTTAAGTTGCCTTTCCTTCTTAGCTAGCATTTATTTACTTTCCTAGTACTTGAGTTTCTCTTCCACTTTCTCTTTGTTTTACCTGTTTTTGGTTAACCTTTTACTTAGGCTATGGATTATCACTATAAGATTAAGACTAAAAGAAAAATAGGAGGACAGAGCTAACAGGGTGGTTAGTAAATTAATAATGAAGCTTCCCAGGTCCTCCTCTCCCTTCTTCCCTCCCCGCGTCCCAGGTAAGTACTCAAAGATACTGCAGCGAGTCTTTTTTTTTTTTTTTAAGAATACTTTTAAGGGAATGGGAAAAGACAATTGTTGCGTTTTCATCCATTTATTCTGCCAACTTTTCCTATCTTTCTTTTCCCTGTGTTCCTGATATGTAGGTCATATCGTTTAACTTGCTTTTCATGTACCGTCTGTAGCTGTGTGTGTGTGCCTGTGTATGTGTATGTGTGCGCGCACTTTAAATCAGGGGCAATTTTGTGTCCCAGAGGACATTTGTGAATTTCTGAAGATTTTTTTTGGTCTCCACTGGGGAGCTGTTCCTGGCATCTAGTGGGTAGAGATCACGATGCTGCTAAACATCCTAAAATGCACAGAAACATTGAATTATAAGAATTGTATAGTCCAAAATGTCAGTAGTGCTGATGTTGAAAAGCCCTGCTCTGTAGTACTTATTTCAGTACCATAAAAGGAAAAGAAAAAGAGATAATATATGATATAATTGTATGCTGCTGTCAAGTACCTGCTTAAGGAAGACAAAGCTCTTGATTTATTTGAACTACTTGGTTTGTATTGGTTTGCACTTAGATTGTTCAGGCATTCCTGAGAATTGTGAACTTTGGTGGTAGAGGGGTGGTTCTGCTGTGATCCAGTGTTTGTTTTTTTTTTTAGTTCAAGAACATTTTCAGTTGCCTTCTAGGTTCCCTCCTCCATTGCCAGAGTATGTGTAGTGGATAGGTGTAAGTAGGACCCACGTTTCTGTAACCCTTCTGATTTAGGTAATCTGTGATTGTGTATCCTGGGTGGTGGTGATGGTGAACAATATGTAATCTTATGAAGCCTATATTCCAAATCCAAATAGTTCTGAACTGGCCTTGGGAATGAGACATATGGCTAACTATTCAGATTCAAGTTAAGAGCATAATGATTAAGATTACTGGATGACTTTTATTTTTGGTCGTCTAGAGCAGTATTTCCCAATTTTTCACTTCCAAGTTATTTTCATGCCTTTTATATTCTGAAACATTCTGGCAAACAAACCACGGTTAAAGGAAAGATTGTTTTTAAAAATTTTTTTTTTTAAATTATTTTTATTTTTAACTATTTTTTAGTTTTTGAGACAATCTCGTACTTTCACCCGGGCTGGAGTGCAGTGGCGTGATCTTGGCTCACTGCAGCCTCTGCCTCCTAGGGTTCTCCTGCTTCAGCATCCCCAGTAACAGGTGCTCACCACCCACACCTGTCTAATTTTTGTATTTTTAGTAGAGATGGGGTTTTGCCATGTTGGCCAGGCTGGTCTTGAACTCCTGACCTCACGCGATCCGTCTGCCTCGGCCTCCCAAAGTGCTGGGATTACAGGCATGAGCCTTTTTTTGATAGTTCAATTTGGTTGGTTAGTTTAATAATGAAAACTGCCTTTGCCAATTAGGTTACATGGTATATGTTTTCTATACATCGAATAAGCTAATCTGCAGCTTTAGGTAAAGCTGTTTTGGAAAAGATTGAGCCATACTGGCAGAAGTGTACTTTTTGTTTTCAAAAATAAGTTTTAGTTGTTTTTTTTTCTTTGAGACACCGTCTCATGCCATTGCCAGGCTGAACTGCAGTGATGTGATCATGGCTCACTACAGCCTCGAACTGCTGGGCTCCGGTGATCCTCCTGCCTCAGCCTCCTGAATACCTGGGACTGTAGGTGTGTACCACCACTCCCAGGTAATTTTTAAAGTTTCTGTAGGGACAAGGTCTCCCTGTGTTGCCCAGGCTAGACTTGCACCCCTGAGCTCAAGTGATCCTCCTGCCTCAGCCTCCTAAAGTGCTGAGATTAAAGGCATGAGCTACTGTGCCCGGCCATTGTAATATTCTTTCAACTTTTATGATGACTTGAATATTTTCAAAACAAAAAAATTGGGAAAAACTTTATAGTCACAGGGAATTAAAAAAATAATTTTAAGAAGCATATTTCGGTATTATAAGAAAGGATTTACTAGGACTAGCTGGGCGTGGGCGGTGGCTCATGCCTGTAATCCCAGCACTTTGGGAGGCCAAGGTGGGTGGAACTTGAGGTCAGGAGTTTGAGACCAGTCTGGCCAACATGGCGGAAACCCCATCTCTACTAAAAATACAAAATTAGCTGGGTGTGGTGGTGCATGCCTGTAATCCCAGCTACTCGGGAGGCTGAGGCATTGCTTGAACCTGGGAGTTGGAGGTTGCAGTGAGCTGAGATCACGCCATTGCACTCCAGCCTGGGTGACAGAGTGAGACTCCGTCTAAAAAAAAAAAAAAAGAAAAAAGAAGTGACTTACTGGGGCCAGATGTGGTGTCTCACAACTGTAATCCTAGCACTTTGGGAGGCTGCGGAGGGAGGATTGCTTGAGCCCAGGAGTTTGAAACCAGCCTGGGCAACATAGACCTCCTTGTCTCTATGAAAAAAAATTAGTCAGGCATAGTGGCATCTTCCTGTAGTCCCAGCTACTCCAGAGGCTGAGGTGAGAGGATCCCTTGAGCCTGGAAGGTTGAGGATGCAGTGAACCGTGATGGCACCACTGTAGTCTATCTAGCCTGGTGACAGAGCAAGACCCTGTCTCAAAAAAAAAAAAAAAAAATTAACTCACCAGGATGAAATATATTAAATTAGGATAATATTATGTGGGAGAAGTAGAATGAAGGACTTTTCATAAATTTTTGTAAATGGATGATGATGGGTATGAAATTGCTGTGGTTTTTAGCTTTCTTTGGATGCATTTAAAAGAGATGGAATTATTTTAAAATATCAGCTTTACAGTTGCAGCAAAAGCAAGAATTGACAAATGGATCTAATTAAACTAAAAGATTCTGCACAGCAAAAGAAACTATCAACAGAGTAAACAGACAACCTACAGAATAAGAGAAAATATTTACAAATTATGCATCCAACAAAGGTCTAATCCAGAATGTATAGGGAACTTAAACAACTCAACAAGCAAAAAATATCCCCATTAAGTGGGCAAAAGTCATGAACATTTCTTAAAAGAAGAAATTTTTTTTTTAAGTGGCCAAGAAACATGAAAAATGCTCAACATCACTAATCAGATAAATGCAAATCAAAACCACAGTGAGAGATCATCTCATACCAGTCAGAATGGCTATTATAAAAAAGTCAAAAAACAGATGCTAGGGAGGTTACAGGGAAAAGGAAACACTTATACGCTGCTGGTGGGAATGTAAACTAGTTCAGCCACTGTGGAAAGCAGTTTGCAGATTTCTCAAAGAACTGAGAATTGTGATTTGACCCAACAATCCCATTACTGAGTATATATCTAAAAGAAAATAAATTGTTCTGCCAAAAAGACGTGCACCCATGTTCATTGCAGCACTGCTCACAATAGCAAAGACATGGTACCAACCCAGGTGTCTATCAATAGCGGACTGGATAAAGAAAATGTAGTGGCCGGGCGTGGTGGCTCATGCCTGTAATCCCAGCACTTTGGGAGGCCGAGGCAGGTGGATCACCTGAGGTCAGGAGTTCGAGACCAGCCTGACCAACATGGAGAAACCCTATCTCTACTAAAAATTCAAAATTAGCTAGCCGGGTGTGGTGGCGCATGCCCGTAATCCCAGCTACTTGAGAGGCTGAGGCAGGAGAATCACTTGAACCCGGGAGGTGGAGGTTGCAATGAGCTGAGATTGCGCCATTGCACTCCAGCCTGGGCAACAAGAGCAAAACTCTGTCTCAAAAAAAAAAAAAAAATGTGGTACATATACACTGTAGAATACTACACAGCCATTAAAAAGAATGAAATGTCCTTTATAGCACATAAATGCAGCTGGAGGGTATTATTCTAAGTGAATTAATGCAGAAACAGAAAACCAAATACTGCATGTTCTGACTTATAAGTGGGAGCTAAACATTGGGCACACATGGACATAGTGATGGCAACAATTGACACTGAGGTCTAGTAGAGGGAGGAAGGAGGGAAGGAGACAAGGGTTGAAAAACTGTTGGATACTATGTGGTAAGCAGGCAAACAGGTTTGAAGACTTTAGATCTGGCTAACGTTCCTTCACCTCTTTGGGTTCTATGATTATGGTGCTAAGAGTTCACTCAGTAATACTACTGACTGGCAGATCATGCAGCATGGACAGAGTGACTGTTTTAGCAAAGGCACTATGTGGTTTATGAAGCACAGCCATAACCCAAATCTAGATTATCCCTGCAGCTTTACTATATAAAGTTCGGCTGCTGACAGCAATTATGACACATTATTTATATTGTTTTATGATCTTAGGATTTCCTGTTTCTATAAATGTGGATAATTTCTTTAAAAAAATACAAGTTAAGGATACTCCTAACATAATTTTTAGTGCCCATGAAAATAGTAATTCAATAAGCAAGAAGTTTATAAGTGAACTTCATTTTATTCTGTTAAGTGTCTTATTAAAAAACTGTCTGGAAGAACTTGACTCATAATAGTTACTTTGACTTGAGGTCATTCATACAGAGATTTTGAATGTGTACCACGAATATTTAGTTTTGCTGGAAATCTAACTGCTACTATGTTAATGTGTAAACTGTGGCCTGTGGTACTTACTGATTGATTGAAATAGTCTCCTAAAAGGTTAAGATTTAATTTTTAGGTTGGAAGAGTGGGGCATACAAGGTCCATGCACACATTGTGTGGCCCCCAAGAATAAGGGGCTGAAAACCATATGTACTTTCTCTTGGCCAGGAACAGTAGAACATCATACCTTTGAATAGATCAAACTGCCTGCTTCATAAAGAGACTTCAGCATTGTTCTTATAAAACCTCATCAAATGTTTCCTTGATTTTATACTTGAAAGTGGGATACTGTAGAGGCTTAATTTAATAAAATACATATTTAAAAATCACTAGTGGTATTTTCAAAAGTGTTCTCTAAACCATGAAAATCAGAAAATTAACATTACCGCCATCTCATCGTCTGACTCCATTTGGGTTTTGTCACTTTCTCAGTGATGTTCTTTATAGCAAAATATCCAATTTAGAATCACATAACATTTAATTGATGTGTTTCTTTATTTTATTTTATTTTATTTTATTTTTTTTAATTGATCATTCTTGGGTGTTTCTCGCAGAGGGGGAGTTGGCAGGGTCATAGGACAATAGTGGAGGGAAGGTCAGCAGATAAACAAGTGAACAAAGGTCTCTGGTTTTCCTAGGCAGAGGACCCTGCGGCCTTCCGCAGTGTTTGTGTCCCTGGGTACTTGAGATTAGGGAGTGTGATGACTCTTAACGAGCATGCTGCCTTCAAGCATCTGTTTAACAAAGCACATCTTGCACCACCCTTAATCCATTTAACCCTGAGTGGACACAGCACATGTTTCAGAGAGCACAGGGTTGGGGGTAAGGTCACCGATCAACAGGATCCCAAGGCAGAAGAATTTTTCTTAGTACAGAACAAAATGAAAAGTCTCCCATGTCTACTTCTTTCTACACAGACACGGCAACCATCCGATTTCCCAATCTTTTCCCCACCTTTCCCCCCTTTCTATTCCACAAAACCGCCATTGTCATCCCGGCCCGTTCTCAGTGAGCTGTTGGGCACACCTCCCAGACGGGGTGGTGGCCGGGCAGAGGGGCTCCTCACTTCCCAGTAGGGGCGGCCGGGCAGAGGCGCCCCTCATCTCCCAGACGGGCGGCTGGCCGGGCGGGGGGCTGACCCCCCCACCTCCCTCCCGGACGGGGCAGCTGGCTGGGCGGGGGGCTGACCCCCCCACCTCCCTCCCGGACGGGGCAGCTGGCCAGGCAGAGGGGCTCCTCACTTCCCAGTAGGGGCGGCTGGGCAGAGGCGCCCCTCACCTCCCGGACGGGGTGGCTGGCCGGGCGGGGGGCTGACCCCCCCACCTCCCTGCCGGACGGGGCGGCTGGCCGGGCAGGGGGCTGACCCCCCCACCTCCCTCCTGGACGGGGTGGCTGGCCTGGCGGGGGGCTGACCCCCACCTCCCTCCCGGACGGGGCAGCTGGCTGGGCGGGGGGCTGACCCCCCCACCTCCCTCCCAGACGGGGCAGCTGGCCAGGCAGAGGGGCTCCTCACTTCCCAGTAGGGGCGGCTGGGCAGAGGCGCCCCTCACCTCCCGGACGGGGTGGCTGGCCGGGCGGGGGGCTGACCCCCCCCACCTCCCTGCCGGACGGGGCGGCTGGCCGGGCAGGGGGCTGACCCCCCCACCTCCCTCCTGGACGGGGTGGCTGGCCTGGCGGGGGGCTGACCCCCACCTCCCTCCCGGACGGGGTGGCTGCCGGGCGGAGACGCTCCTCACTTCCCAGACGGGGTGGCTGCCAGGCGTAGGGGCTCCTCACTTCTCAGACGGGGCGGCTGCCGGGCGGAGGGGCTCCTCACTTCTCAGATGGAGCGGCCGGGCAGAGACGCTCCTCACCTCCCAGACGGGGTCGCGGCCGGGCACTCTCACATCCCAGACGGGGCCGCGGGGCACAGACGCTTCCCACATCTCAGGCGATGGGCGGCCGGGCAGAGACGCTCCTCACTTCCTAGATGGGATGACGGCCGGGAAGAGGCGCTCCTCACTTCCTAGATGGGATGGCGGCCGGGCAGAGACGCTCCTCACTTCCTAGACGGGATGGCGGCTGGGAAGAGGCGCTCCTCACTTTCCAGACTGGGCAGCCAGGCAGAGGGGCTCCTCACGTCCCAGACGATGGGTGGCCAGGCAGAGACGCTCCTCACTTCCCAGACGGGGTGGCGGCGGGGCAGAGGCTGCAATCTCGGCACTTTGGGAGGCCAAGGCAGGCGGCTGGGAGGTGGAGGTTGTAGCGAGCCAAGATCACGCCACTGCACTCCAGCCTGGGCACCATTGAGCACTGAGTGAACCAGACTCCGTCTGCAAACCCGGCACCTCGGGAGGCCGAGGCTGGCGGATCACTCGCGGTTAGGAGCTGGAGACCAGCCCGGCCAACACAGCGAAACCCCGTCTCCACCAAAAAAGTACGAAAACCAGTCAGGCGTGGCGGCGCGCGCCTGCAATCGCAGGCACTCGGCAGGCTGAGGCAGGAGAATCAGGCAGGGAGGTTGCAGTGAGCCAAGATGGCAGCAGTACAGTCCAGCTTCGGCTAGACATCAGAGGGAGACCGTGGAAAGAGAGGGAGAGGGAGACCGTGGGCCGTGGGGAGAGGGAGAGGCAGGGGCAGGGGCAGGGGCAGGGGCAGGGGCAGAGGCAGAGGCAGGTGTTTCTTTAGTCTCCTTTAGTCTGAAGTAGTTATTCACTTTTCCCTCTGCTTTAAAGATTAGAGACCAGTTATTTAGTAAAATGGATTTGAATTTGGGTTGTACAGTGTTTTCTCATTATTAGAGTCAGGTTGTGTATCTTGGGCAGGAATTTCACAAAACTGATTCTGTGTTCTTGTATGCTGTCAGGTGGCATATGATTTTAGGTTGTCTTTTTTTCTGGCGATGCTCACCGATCACTTGATTGAGGTGGTGTCTGTTTAGGTGTTTTATATTTGTTTCCTGTTGCTGCTGTAACAAATTACTACAAACTCATTGGTTTAAAACAGCACAAATTTGTTCTCTTAATAATTCTGGAGGCCAGAAGTCCAAAATCAGTTTCTTTGGGCCAAAGTCATGATGTTGGCAGGGCTACTTCCTTCTGGAGGCTCTAGGGTAGAATCTGTTTTCTTGCCTTTTCCAGCTTCTGTAGATAGCCTGTATTTTTTTAGCTTGTGGCCCTTCCTTCATCTTTAAAAAGGGCATTAGTCCAGCATCTGCTTCCGTTGTCACATTACCATCTGTCTTTGACCCTTCTGCCTCCCTGTTAAAAGTACCCCTGTGATTATGGTCCTTCTATGATAATCTTCCTATTTCAAGATCCTTAACTTAGTCATATCTGTAAAGTCCCTTTTGTCATTCGAGATAGTATATTTACTGGTTCCAGGTATTAAGATGTGGACATCTTGGGGGACAGTTATTCAGCCTACCCCACTGCAAAGTCATTCGTTTCCCCTTTGTAATTAGTATTTTGTGGGAGGATACTTGGATTCCTGGTTCCTGTTAGTGGAGAATGGTATTTAGAAGCCAAGATCTGCATGCTAGATGTGCTCATTGCTACTAGGATTTTTCTGCTCCTAGGCCCACTTAGTAGATAGAGCTAGGGAGTATGTATATATGTATTTAGAACTGCATTTGTATTTCTTTATTAAAAGACATTCATTCGTAGTGATATTTTTAATTCCAGTCCAACAGTACAGGGTTCATTCTTGTTTTCTATTTTTTCACTCCTTTTTCTTGACAGTGGAAAACTGACTCCAGGTATCTTTAATATATTAACTTATTCAGTCAGTTCCTCTGCATATTATCAGTCTCCTTTTCTGCTACCATACTCTCCCCTACATGGATCTCTCCCTCTTCCTGATACTTGGTTTCGGTACTTCTTGCTGGGTAGTCCTCCCATGTGGATGACTTCATCTAAGCATGGTGGTAACAAGGTAGTTGGACTTCTTACCTGGTGGTTTTGGAACCTTCTATATGCCAAGTCCTTTTACTTACCTGTTACCTCATTTAAGAACTGCAGTTTTGTAGATTTTTTTTTAATATGGTAAAAAAAAATTATAATTAGCCAGCTGGACTCATTTTAGATCATCTCAATTGTGTTGGCAGCATTCAAAACATCGTTAAGTTACGAGCCAGTTGAACATACACCTTCTTCTCTCCATCAGACCTGATGAGTATGTTTACCTTGGCCATGCCAGTGTCATAGAGCTTCTTCACAGCCTGTTTGATCTGGTTGGCCTTGACATCCATAGTAAACACAAATGTGGTTGTGTCTTCTTCATGGCTGACTTAGTGGTCAAGGGGAACTTGATAATGGCATAATGATAAAGCTTGTTTTTTGTGGGGGTGTTCTTCCTAGGACATTTGAACTGCCTTTGGAGCTGCGTTGTCTTAGGCCACTGGAAGGTGGGTGGCAAGTCTTATTTTGTGTGGTTGTGGATGCCTTTCAGCACTGCCTTCTTGTTCTTTCAAAGCCTTTGCTTTGACTTTGGCTTTGGGGTGGGCAAGGGCTTCCTCCTTTGTTTTTGGTGCCATCTTCTTAAAAAGGCAGATTTTTGTTTCAAAACTTGATTTTTTTTTTTTTTGTTGAGACGGAGTCTTGCTCTGTCACCCAGGCTGGAGTGCAGTGGCGTGATCTCGGCTCACTGCAACCTGCCTCCCGGATTCAAGTGATTCTGCTGCCTCAGCCTCCCGAGTAGCTGGGACTACAGGCACGTGCCACCACGCCTGGCTAATTATTTGTCTTTTTAGTAGAGAGAGGGTTTCACTGTGTTAGCTAGGATGGTCTCTATCTCCTGACCTCATGATCTGCCTGCCTCGGCCTCCCAATACATTTTTTTTTTTTTTTAAACTTGGGAGAGTCTTTCAGTCCAAGTGCTTGGGGTGAATTTAGTAAAACAATACATACTATTTTTGCTTGGGCTTAATTTCTTTTTAATTGAGCTGCAAGTTTTTCATGAGGATTAAAATAATAGCTTTTTTTGTTGTTGTTGAGATGGAGTTTCATTCTTGTTTCCCAGGCTGGAGTGCAATGGCGTGATCTTGGCTCACTGCGACCTTCGCCTCCCAGGTTCAACTGATTCTCCTGCCTCAGCCTCCTGAGTAACTGGGATTACAGGCACGCGCCACCACACCTGGCTAATTTTGTATTTTTAGTAGAGATGGAGTTTCACCATGTTGGCCAGGCTGGTCTTGAACTGGCTGGTCTCGAATTCCTGACCTCGTGATCCGCCTGCCTCAGCCTCCCAAAGTGCTGGGATTACAGGTGTGAGCCACTGCACCCAGCCTTAAAATAATAGCTTTTGTCACAACTCTTATGTAAACTTAAGTTCTTTTTGTTTGTTTGCTTTGAGATGGAGTTTTATTCTGTTGCCCAGGCTGGAGGGATCTCAGCTCACTGCAACCTCTGCCTCCTGGGTTCAAGTGATTCTTGTGCCTCAGCCTCCTGAGTAGCTGGGACTACAGGTGTGCACCACCATGCCTGGCTAATTTTTGTATTTTTAGTAGAGATGGGGTTTTGCCATGTTGGCCAGGTTGGTCTTTAACTTCTGACCTCAGGTGATCTGCCTGCCTCAGCCTCCCAAAGTACTGGGATTATAGAGGTGAGCCACGGTGCCTGACCCCATAAACCTAAGTTTTACGGGTTTAGGAGACTTTTCCAGCTTAACACAAAATAATTAGAATTTATGATACTGAATTTTACTCTACTTTTTTTTTTTGTTTGTTTGAGACAGAGTTTCACTCTTGTTGCCTAGGCTGGAGTGCAATGGCATGATCTCGGCTCACTGCAACCTCCACCTCCCAGGTTCAAGCAGTTCTCCTGCCTCAGCCTCCCAAGTAGCTGGGATTACAGGCATGCACCACCACGCCTGGCTAATTTTGTATTTTTGGTAGAGACAGGGTTTCTCCATGTTGAGGCTGGTCTCGAACTCCTGACCTCAGGTGATCTGCCCGCCTCAGCCTCCCAAAGTGCCGGGATTACAGGCGTGAGCCACCGCGCCCGGCCCCCTTTTTTTTTTAAAATAAAAATTTTAAATGGTGCTTTTTTTGGGGACGGGGGTGCTCTGAGGCAGGAGGAGTGCTTGAGGCCAGGAGTTTGAGACCAGCCTTGGCAACATAGCAAGACCCAGTTTCTACAAAAAAAAAAAAAAAAAAAAAAAAGAATACTTTGCAAATTTGCGTGTCATCTTTGGGTGAGGGCCATGCTAATCTTCTCTGTATTGCTCCGGTTTTAGCGTATGTCCTGCTCCGGTTTTAGTGTATGTGCTGCTGAAGCAAGCACTCTACCTTTGTTTTAACTGCAAGTTGATTTTATGTTACAGCTCTAAATCTTACTAGTTTTATATCTTAAATAGATGAGATCTAAACTTTGTTGATTAGAAGACATTTTGATAGGCATTTATTTTTGTGTTTGAAGAGTATTATTTCTGCTTAGCTTCCTTAATAAACCATGTTTTAACTATTTTATACTTCTTGTTCCTTCTATAGCAGAGGGGAAAGAGGGAGAGAATTTCCCAGAAATTACTGATTATATCTGACTAAATATTTTGGGTGCAAGTCAGTTTTTGTGTTTTCATTAAGTCTCATTTCCAAAATGGTCACTTGGTAGTTGAATGAAATTTTCTAGATAGGTTGTTTGTTCTAAATGGCAGACAATTTAACCTATCTTGTAAGTTTTTTAAAGGCTATTTGAATAGGCAGTAATTTCATGTTCCATTAAACTATTAGCGTGGTAATGAAGGTTAGTTAACCAGTTAGCTGGTTTTACCTTCACTTGTGAAAAATGGTTTTTAATTCATCTTATTTTTCTTTCTTGACAGAGCAAATTCGATTAAAGAATATCAGAAAAGTATATGGAAGGTGTATGTGGTATCGTTTACGGTTATTAAAACCCCAGCCAAATATTATTCCTACAGTAAAGTAAGTAATGGATTTCAAGAAAAAAACCTACTTAATGCTTACTCTTTGCTAGGTCATACAACATATACGTGTAATGATGAATAAGTCATTGTGTCTGTAAAGAAATTGTAATCTATAGTAAGGGTAAGATAGGAGAAAATGTGGGAACAGTCTGAACAGATTGGTTTAGAAGTTCAAAGGAAGGGGAGTATACTGTTGCTGGAGGTCGGGGGTAGAAAGAGATAAGTCATATCTTGAGGGACCTTGTGCACCTTGTGCCAAGATTTGAATTTTATCTTAAAGACTATGGGGGAATCTTTAAAAGATTTCAGAAGTGGAGAGGTGACATGAACAAGTTAGCATTTCATGGTGATAATTAAAGTTTATTGAGCACATACTGTATGCTAGAATCTGTGCTAGGGCTTTATATGTTATCTAATTTAATTCTGTATTAACTTCAAAGTAGATGGTTTTGCATTTTCTCAGATGAGGAAACAAAGGCTAAGAATGATGACATAACTTGACCAAAGTCATGTAGTTAGAAGTGTTGGATCAGGGACCTAATCACCCTTTATTTTAAACAGGCCATTAACATGTTTAGTTACAGCAGACCAGTTTAATCCTGTGAGGCTATGGGGTGTACTGGTTAAACACAAGGCTTTGGACATTTATCCTGCGTCATCAGTTTAGAGGTAATAGATGAAACTGACAGGAGGTGAGAGAGTTACCATTATTGGACTACTATGTCTTGTGAATTACCTACATTTATCCAGTAGATTGGAAGAGAAGATGTAGCAAAAGAAATTAGTGAGAGTAGAAACAGTTATTTAGAAATCTTGGTTTAAATGATAGTTTTTTTTCAGCATAATTTCAGGGCGTTTAGTTTTTCTTTGTAAGGTTTTACTTTACCTAATTTAGTTTATTTTTCTTTTCTTTTTTTTTTTTTTGAGACAGAGTCTTGCTCTGTTGCCCAGGCTGGAGTGCAGTGGCACTATCTTGGCTCACTGCAGCCTCAGCCTCCTTGGGCTCAGGCATCCTCCCACCTCAGCCTCCTGAGTAGGTGGGAGTACAGGTGCATGCCACTACACCTGGTTAACTTTTTTTTTTGTATTTTTTATAGGGATGGGGTTTCACCATGTTCCCCAGGCTGGTCTCGAACTCTTGGGCTCAAGTGGTCTGCCTGCCTCGGCCTCCAAAAGTGGTAGGATCACAGGCGTGAGCCACCTTGCATGAGCCACCCAGTTTAGTTTCTTTGTAGGAGGAGGGAAATTCTAGCTTTGGTGTTAAGAGTTCTTTAATGATGTGAAACTAAAGGCAAAGTTAGTCTTGAAAAGAGTAATTTTCTCTTCACTGTTTATTCTTTACTGTTGGTTCTCATTTTGAATTAAATTTTCCTAAAGCAGCAAGACAGAAAACAATCCGCCCCTCCCCCCCATATCTGCGGGTTCCAAGTGGGAAGATTCACCCAACTGTGAATCGAAAATATTTGGGGGAAAAAAGCAATAAAAATAACAATACAACAATTAAAAGTATAAATGAAAATACAGTGTAATAACTGTTTCCACAGTGTGTATTATATTAGGTAATATCAGTAATTTAGAGATGATCTAATGTGCATGGGAGGATGTATATAGGTTATATGCAAATACTACATCATTTTATACTGCGGACTTGAGCATCCATGGATTTTAGTATCTGTGGGGGTCCTGGAATCAGTCCCCTGAGGATACCAAGGGACGCATGTATTTTTGGCCTCCCAGTCTCTTATCTGGCTTTGTTCAACACTTTGTGGGTATCTGAACCTGTTTTCAAGGAAAAAAACTTTTATGAAGCTTTTTTAGTGATTAATAAAGTGATTTAATTAAAGTACAGATTAAGGGAGTTTAGGTAAGGAAGAATTAAATATATACTGGTAACAATTTAGATAAGGTCATAAACCATTAAAACTTTTACTACTTAATCTTGAAGCATTCTTTCAAAGTTAAACAATTGGGTAATGCTTCTTTTCTGACACATGTGCGAAACTAAGGCATGTAATTTTTGGAAGTTGCTTCTAAAGATGACCCTTCAGGCTGGGCGTGGTGGCTCATGCCTGTAATCCGAGCACTTTGGGAGGCCGAGGTGGGCGGATCCCCTGAGGTCAGGAGTTGGAGACCAGCCTGGCCAACATAGTGAAACCCTGTCTCTACTAAAAAAATACAAAAAATTAGCCAGGCATGGTGGTGCGTGCCTGTGGTCCCAGCTACTCCGGAGGCTGAGGCAGGAGAATTGCTTGAGCCCAGGAGGTGGAGGTTGCAGTGAGCCGAGATTGTGCCACTGCACTCCAGCCTGGGTGACAGAGTAAGACTCCATTCCCCACCCAGAAAAAAAGATGACACTTGAAGTTAATTACTGAAGCCAAGTATGGGGAAAATGCTTATCTTTTCAGAGGAACCAAACAGGTTTTTTAAAAAAATTGAGCACAGAGCATGATGTGATCCGTTATGTTTCTATCTTTGCTTTGGCTCTCAGGAAACTGTAGAGCATGGCTTTATTGGTTGTGGTAATTTTCATCAGCCTTTGGATTCTGTTATGAGCTTCTCCTTTCCTCTTCTCATTCCTTGGCTTGGAGAACTGGATGCTCCATGTAAAACATACGGTTTAGCATATCCTAGGTGTTTTGTTCCTTTTGCCTTGCTTGGTTTTAAATCTTGCTTTTTTGGTTTCCAATTTCATTTTATCTTTGTTTTGTGAGCTTTGTTTGTTAGCCTTTTGGATGAGTTGGGAAAACAAAAGGGGAGTTAATTCTTGTGGGAATAAAGCATATTTTCAATTTTTGTTTTGTTTTGTTTTTAGCATATTGAGGCTATTACCAAATTTTGGGTTTAAAAAGTGTTAAAAAAAAGTTTGCTGTTGTAGGCTGGCCGCGGTGGCTCATGCCTTAATTCCAGTGCTTTGGGAGGCTGAGGTGGGAGGATTGCTTGAGCCTGGGAGGTCGAGGCTGCAGTGAGCCATGATCATGATTTAAAAACAAATCATTCCAATTTTGTTTAATTTGGCCTCTTAAGATTCATTTGATGTCTTTGTCTAACAGTTCTTGCTCAGTGTAACAAATTGTCATACAAAGGGTATAAGAAATAAAAGTCATTCAGTATAAGAAATAAAAGTCATTCATCACCTAAAGCTAGTTATTATTAAGATAATTACTTTATGCACTTATTTATAATAAAACTTTTATATACATAGAGTTTTGAAAGCTGTTTTGTAAATTTAACAATATAAGATAGATAGTCATCCACAGCAAATATTTTTAGTAGCCAGAAAGTATTTCACTGTAGAGGCTGGGCGCAGTCGCTCACCCCTGTAATTCCAGCACTTTGGGAGGCTGAGGCGAGCGGATCACTTGAGGTCAGGAGTTTGAGACCAGCCTGGCCAACATGGTGAAACCCCATCTCTACTAAAAATACAAAAATTAGCCGGGTGTGGTGGCATGTGCTTGTAGTTTCAGCTACTCAGGAGGCTGAAGTTGCTGTGAGCCAAGATCGTGCCATTGCACTCCAGCCTGGGCAACAGAGCGAGACTCCGTCTAAAAAAAAAAGTTAATCAAATGTACAAATGAACTAATGATACATCTCTACAGTGAAATACTTTCTCTTATTTACATCTGTGACCGCCATTTTAGACTTATTCTTTCCAAATTATTTGAAGTGAAATGGTTTGATAGAAAAACGGTATGTATTTCTTTAGGGCTTTTAATACCTTACTGCCAGATATTACTTTAGAGTGTATAGTGTATGAGAGTTTCTCTTTTTCTTTAACCTCTCCAGTGCTGGTAATGTTAATCTTTTACATAATTTTACTCACTAGAACACATTGGAGGGAGCAGAAATTAGTTTATTTTCAAATGATATGTTCTTTTATACCTTTATTTTAACCGATTATGAACATCCTTCTATAACTATTTATTGGCTACAAAATGTTGCATTGTGTGGCTGTATCATGGTTTATTTAATTATTTCTTTGTAAATAGTTTATTTAATCAGTTCCTGTGAGCCGTAATTTAGGTTGTTTCCAAAGTTTTACTACTATAAACAAGGCTATGTATTTATTTTTGCACAATTGACCAATTGTTTTTCCTAGTTTATCTTAATAAAAGTGTAATTGCTGGGTCAGAGCAATTCTTTTTTACATTAAATGGTTTACTTAGTATTTATTTATTTTGATCTAATTTAATGCGTCCAGTAAGTTAATAAGTTGAATTCACTTCTGTATTTAAAATTGTGCAAATAGTAACTGAGAAAATCTATGAATAGTAGACACTGTACTAGATTATAAAGAATGCAGAGGTAAAAAAGACACTGTCGTTGCTGTAACAGGAGTTTGTAACCCAGTGATTGTAGAATTTGAGTCAGTAGCATAGTGATATGGTACTACTGTAGAGTTTTTGCCTTGACCTTGCCATAATGTCTTTAGACTCTATGCAGATGTATTTGTTTATGATTCACTTACCTTTTTCCTAAACAGGAAAATAGTTCTGCTTGCAGGATGGGCATTGTTCTTATTCCTTGCATATAAAGTTTCCAAAACAGACCGAGAATACCAAGAATACAATCCTTATGAAGTATTAAATTTGGATCCTGTAAGTAGTATTTTTATATAATGCATATTAGTTTAATGGTCCCATGAAAATGCTATAGGTCCTCATTCTAAAAGAAATTGTCTATTCCTATAGAAATCAGACTTTGGTCAGTTTGTTTATTAAAATAAGATGTCTAATCCTCTGTTATTATAATTTAAGCTATAACTGTTGATTGTTATGTTATTAATAATTGGTTTTCAATTGCTAAAATATAAGAATATTTGAAGATGAGAGGAGAGGTTAACATTTTTTTTTACAGAGTCTCACTCTGTAGCCCAGGCTGGAGTGTAGTGGTGTGATCTCGGCTCACTGCAAGCTCCGCCTCCTGGGTTCACGCCATTCTCCTACCTCAGCCTCCCAGGTAGGCGCCCGCCATCACGCCTGTCTAATTTTTTGTATTTTTAGTAGAAACGGGGTTTCACCATGTTAGCCAGGATGGTCTCGATCTCCTGACCTTGTGATCTGCCCACCTCGGCCTCCCAAAGTGCTAGGATTACAGGCGTGAGCCACCGCGCCCGGCCGGTTAACATTTTTTAAAGGCTTTTTTTTTTTTTGAGACGGAGTTTTGCTCTGTTGCCCAGGCTGGAGTGCAGTGGCACGACGTCGGCTCACTGCAAACTCTGCCTCCTGGGTTCATGCCATTCTCCTGCCTCAGCCTCCCAAGTAGCTGGGACTACAGGCACCTGCCATCACGCCTGGCTAATTTTTTGTATTTTTAGTAGAGATGGGGTTTCACCATGTTAGCCAGGATGGTCTCAATCTCCTGACCTCATGATCCACCCGCCTTGGCCTCCCAAAGTGCTGGGATTACAGGCGTGAGCCACCGTGCCCAGCCTAAAGGCATATTTTTAAGAGAGATCTGTAATATTGGTTAATGCAAAGTTAAAACTGGGAGGATAATTTGTGTTAGTTGAATGATAAAAATCTTATGACCTTGTATTCATTGACACTTAAGCAATGTAAAATCTAGGTTGGGGGTCTTAGAAAGAACTAATATCAGCCAGGAACGGTGGCTTACACCTGTAATCCTAGCACTTTGGGAAGCTAAGGTGGGAGGATCGCTTGAGGTCAGGAGTTTGGGCAACATAGTGACACCCAGGCTGTATCAAAAAAAAAAAAAAAAAATTACCTGGGTGTGATAGCAACACACCTATAGTCCTAGCTACTTGGGAGGCCAAAGTGAGAGGATAGTTTGAGCCAAGAAGGTTGAGATGAGTGAGCCATGATCCGCACCATTGCACTCTAGCCTGGGCAGCAGAGTGAGACCCTGTCTCTTAAAACTAAAGTGAAACTAGTATCATTAATGTCATTGTCATGGAAATTTAGGTTAACCTTGAGTGTGCCCCTTAGGTGATTTTTTGATTAAACCTGATTAATGGGTTCTAAATAGAAAACTAGTCTTTTGGCCAGCCGCAGTGGCTCGTGCCTATAATATCAGTACTTTGGGAGGCTGAGGTAGGAGGATTGCTTGAGGCCAAGAGTTTGAGACCAGCCTGGGCAACATAGGGAAACCCTCATCTGTACAAAAAACTAACACAATTAGCTGAACGTGGTGACACACCCCTGTGGTTCCAGCCACTTGGGAAGTCAAGGCTGCAGCGAGCTGTGATTGCACCACTGCACTCCAGCCTGGGCGACAGAGCAAGACTGTCTCAAAAAAAAAATCTTTTGTGTTTATCAGTAGAATGTTAGAACTGAAATTAATGATAGAGATCATCTAGCCTTTTATAAAAATATATAATTTTTTAAACCTGGGAGCATATATTCAAGTTGCCCTGAATATATATGTATGTATTCCCTATTTATTAATTTTTTTTTTTTTAAAGAAAATGAGGCCTGGATAATTTGTGTCTTGTCTGGGGTTCCAAGCTTCTTACTTAGTAGCCAAGCTCAATCTAGTGCTCTTTCTATTTTCTCCCCCATGGCACTTACTTTTACTTTGAGTCTTTGCTCAGTAGATGGCTTGATCCAGACATTCATATAATACAAACTAAGGAGGGTGTGTATCATCTAGTTTTCTGTTTTGTAGAAGAAAAGTTTACATATCATGTGATTTTTTTCTTATTGCATTGATCATAGTCATTAAGAGAGATTTTAAGATTAGAAGGGCAATAAAAAACAGTGAAAAAATTATTAATAGAAATCGAGACTAAGAAACCATTAAGGTCAACTTGATAGACAAGCAGCTGAAACCAGGTATTCCTCAGATTATTCCTTAGAAAGTTAACCTTTGATTTGAGGATTCTTTGAGCCAGATTTAATTTATTGTGATTATTTTTTGATATTTATTTATTTTTATCTTCATTTTTTGAGAGACGAAGTCTCACTCTGTCAGCTAGGCTGGAGTGCAGTGGCGTAGTCTCAGCTCACTGCAGCCTCTACCTCCTGAGTTCAAGTGATTCTCCTGCTTCACCTTCCCAAGTAGCTGGGACTACAGGTGTGCATCACCACACGAGCTAATTTTTGTATTTTTTAGTAGAGTTGGGGTTTCACTATATGTTGGCCAAGCTGGTCTTGAACTCCTGACCTCAGGTGATCCGCCCACCTTGGCTTCCAAAGTGCTGGGATTACAGGCTGTGCCTGGCCTATTTTTTGATATTTAAATGTCAGTATTATTTTATGTAAATTTGTCATCTGTTTTCACTTTCAAATTATCAGTGCTTAGTTTACTATGTGGCACATAGTAGGTGCTCAATAAAATACATATATTGGACAATATAAGTGTTTTTATTTAATATATGGGATGAAATTTATGGGAAAAATATATAGGATGAAAAATGGATTTTGTCTTTCTCAAAATACTGAGTAGTTCATATTTTAAGTTCAAAATAGGATTGATTATTTCTTTACAGAATTGTGCTTATTTTTGCTAACAGAAAGCTTGTTTTTTTTTTTTGTTTTTCCCCAGGGAGCCACAGTAGCAGAAATTAAAAAACAATATCGTTTGCTGTCACTTAAATATCATCCAGATAAAGGAGGTGATGAGGTTATGTTCATGAGGATAGCAAAAGCTTATGCTGCGTAAGTATCAGGATCCATTACAAATTTTTAAGAATGGTACAGATAAGCCAGGTGCAGTGGTTCATGCCTGTAATCCCAGTACTTTGGGAGGCTGAGGCAGGAGGATCGCTTGAGCCCAGGAGTTTGAGACCATCCCTGGCAACATACCAAGACCCCATCTCTACAAAAAATAAAAGAATTAACCCTGTGTGGTGGTGTGTGCCTGTAGTCCTAGCTACTTGGGAGGCTGAGGTGGGAGCGTTGTTTGAGCCTGGGAGGTCAAGGCTGCAGTGAGCCGTGACCATGCCACTGCAGCCCAACTTCGATGACAGTAATACTCCATCTCTAAAGAAAAAAAAAAAAAGGATAGTTTTCTGTTTTAATAAAATATTAAAATAGTTGTCATACACTTTTTCCAAGTGCTTACTTCATGTTGAGTCTATCATTTAGGGGCTACACAGCAGCACTAACGTGGTAATTTAATTTAATTAAACTGTAATTTTTGCCATGTAAACTTGATTAAATTAAGTGGTGAATGATAAGTTAATTGAGCTATTTTATTAGCATTTTGATTAGAGGAGGGTATACTTAGATCTTACCATTTCTAGATTTTTTTTTTTTAGGCTTGATCTGTTTCTCTTGTTTTGGCAATGTGTAGCTTATCTCATTTAAACTATTTAAAGACAAGTTTAATTTGGACTTTTAAGTACTTCATTTTTGGTGTCTTTTTCTTTTTAGAATTTCGTCACACAAGATTATTCTTAGTTAATAACAACTGTACTTGTTGAGATGTGGATTTTTAAGGTCTCCTTTTTCACTGCTCAGAAACTGTCTTCACAAATCTTTTCAGAACTTCCAAATAATTTTCCTTGTTGGTCTTATGCCTTAGGTAAGGTGCATTGTTATTATGAGATACATATATTCACATATGCGTTATATGCACACACATATGTCTGTGTATTTATAAAGTTTGAGGAACATTTGTGCACCCTTTTGGGAAGCAGAATAGAGTGTGTAACATTAGATGCAGTGATCTCTTGCGTATTAATCTTCCAAGAGATAAAACTTAACTAGATTCTTCAGGACTCTTCATAAGTACATCCCCACATAGCTCTTACATTGAATGAAAGAGTGAAATATGAGATTGTCTGTCTTTTGAGGACTCAGTGATGTATAATTTTGTGAACTCAATTTAAACGTGTAAATAAATACAAGCATACTTTGGAGATACTATAGGTTCAGTTCCAGTCTCCTGCAATAAAGCAAATATTGCAATAAAGTGAGTCACAAATTTTTTTGTTTCCTACTGCATATAAAAGTTGTTTATACTACACCATAGTCTATTAAGCGTGCAGTAGCCTTATGTCTTTTTTTTTTTTTTTTTTTTTTTTTGAGACGGAGTCTCGCTCTTTCGCCCAGGCTGGACTGCAGTGGCGCTATCTCGGCTCACTGCAAGCTTTGCCTCCCAGGTTCATGCCATTCTCCTGCCTCAGTCTCCCGAATAGCTGGGACTACAGGTGCCTGCCACCACGCCCGGCTAATGTTTTTTTGTATTTTTAGCAGAGATGGGGTTTTACCATGTTAGCCAGGATGGTCTCGATTTCCTGACGTCGTGATCCTCCCGCCTCGGCCTCCCAAAGTGCTGGGATTACAGGAGTGAGCCACTGTGCCCAGCCAGCCTTATGTCTTAAAAAACAATGTACATACCTTAATTTAAAAATACTGTATGGCTAAAAAATGCTAGTAATCTGAGCCTTTGACAAATTACATTCTTTTTGCTGGTGGAGGGTCTTGCCTTGATGTTGATGGCTGTTGACTGATCAGGATAGTGGTTACTGAAGGTTGGGCTGGCTGTGACAATTTCTTAAAATAAGACGACAATTAAATTGACTACATCATTTAAATTCTTTTCATGAAAGATTTCTCTAGCATGTGATGCTATTTGATAGTATTTTATGGACAGAACTTCTTTGTTTTCTTTTTCTTTTTTTTTTTTGAGATGGAGTCTTGCTCTGTCGCCCAGGCTGGAGTGGAGTGGCGCGATCTTGGCTCACTGCAACTTCCGCCTCCCGGGTTCACGCCATTCTCCTGCCTCAGCCTCCCGAGTAGCTGGGACTACAGGCACCCGCCAACATGCCCGGCTAATTTTTAATATTTTTAGTAGAGATGGGGTTTCACCACGTTAGCCAGGATGGTCTTGATTTCCTGACCTTGTGATACGCCTGCCTTGGCCTCCCAAAGTGCTGGGATTACAGGTGTGAACCACCGTGCTCAGCCAGAACTTCTTTCAAAATTGGAGTCAATCCTCTCACATTCTGCCACTGCTTTATCAACTAAGTTTACGTAATATTTTAAATCCTTTATTGTGATTTCAACAATGTTCACAGCATCTTCATCAGGAATAGATACCATCTTAAGAAGCTACTTTGCTCAACTATAAGAAGCAACTCATCTGTTCAAGTTCGATCATGAGATTGCAGCAATTCAGTCACATCTTCAGGTTCCACTTGTTTAGTTCTCCTGCTATTTCTAGCACATCTGTAGTGACTTTCTCTACTGAAGTCTTGAACTGCTCCAAGTCATCCATGAAGGTTGAAATCAACTTCTGGCCAGGCGCGGTAGCTCATGCCTGTAATCCCAGCACTTTGGGAGGCCGAGGCAGGTGGATCACCTGAGGTGAGGAGTTTGAGACCAGCCTGACCAACATGGAGAAAACTCTATCTCTACTAAAAATTCAAACTTAGCCGGGTGTGGTGGGGCATGCCTGTAATCCCAGCTACTTGAGAGGCTGAGGCAGGAGACTCACTTGAACCTGGGAGGCGGAGGTTGGGGTGGGCCAAGATTGTGCCATTGCACTCCAGCCTGGGCGACAGAGTGAGACTCTGTCTCAAAAAAAAAAAAAAAAAAAAAAAAGGAAATCAGCTTCTACCAAACTCCTCTTGATGTTGACATTTTGGCCTCTTCCTGTGAATCACAAATGTTCTTAATGGCATTTAGAATAGTGAATCCTTTCCAGAAGGTTTTCAATTTACTTTACCCAGATCCATCAGAGGTATCACTGTGTCTGTAGCAGCTATAGCTTTACAAAGTGTATGTCTTCTTTTTGTTTTTTGTTTTTTTTTTTTTGAGATGGAGTCTCACTCTGTTGCCCAGGCTGGAGTGCATTGCTGCGATCTTGGCTTACTGCTACCTTTGCCTCCTGGATTCAAGCAATTCTTCTTCCTCAGCCTCCCGAGTAGCTCGGACTACAGGCATGCACCACCATGCCTGGCAAATTATTGTATTTTTAGTAGAGACAGGGTTTTATGTTGGTCAGGCTAGTCTTGAACTCCTGACCTCAGGTGATCTGCCCACCTCGGCCTCTGAAATTGCTCAGTGCAAGTCTTACTATTTCTTAAATAATAAGACTTAAAAGTCAAAATTACTTTTTGATCTGTGTGCTGCAGAATGAATGTTGTGTTAGCAGGTGTGAAAACATTAATCTGTTTGTACAGCTCCATCAGAGTTCTTGAGTGACCACGTGCGTTGTCAATGAGCAGTAATCTTTTGAAAGGAATCATTTTTTTTTTTTTGAGCAGGTCTCAACAGTGGGCCTAAAATATTCAGTAATCCATGCTGTCAACACATGCTGTCATCAAGGATTTGTTGTTCTATTTATAGAGCATGGCAGAATAGATTTAGCATAGATCTTAAGAGCTCTAGGACTTTTGGAATGGCACACCAGCATTGGCTTCAAGTTAAAGTCGCCAGCAACGTTAGCCCCTACCAAGAAAGTCAGCCTGTCTTTTGAAGCTTTGAAGTCAGGCATTTATTTCTCTCCAGCAGTGAAAGTCCTAAATGGCATATTTTTCCAGTATAAGGCTATTTTGTCTACATTGAAAATTTGTTGTTTAGCCACCTTCATTGTGATCTTAGCTAGATCTTCTGGATAACTTGCTGCAGCTTCCAAATCAGCACTTGCTACTTCACCTTGCACTTCTGTTGTAGAGATGGTTTCTTTTGGAAAATCTTGTGGACCAACATCTGCTAGCTTCTGCAGCTCCCTCACCTCTCTCAGCCTTCGTTAGGGCCTTGCTTTGGATTAGGCTTTGGTTTAAGGGAACATTGTGGGTAGTTTGATCTTCTGTCGAGACCACTGAAACATTCTTCAAATCAGCAACAAGGCTGTTTCACTTTCTTATTATTTGTGTGTTCACTTTTAAGTTCCTTTAAGCGCTGTTGCTCTGAATTCACAACTTGACTGTCTGGCACAAGAGGCCTAGCTTTTGGCTTGTTTTGGCTTTTGACATGCCTTCTTCACTAAGCTTAGTCATTTCTAGCTTTTGATTCAGAGTGAGAGACGTGTGAGTCTTTTTTCGTTTAAACATTTAGAGGCCCGCCGAGACCAGCTCGGTCAGGGAGACCCTAACCCAGCGGCCCTAGAGGAATTAAAGACACACATACAGAAATAGAGAGGTGTGAAGTGGGAAATTAGGGGTCTCACAGCCTTCAGAGCTGAGCACCCCAAACAGAGATTTACCCACATATCTATTAACAGCAAACCAGTCATTAGCATTGTTTCTATAGATACTAAATTAACTAAAAGTATCCCTTATGGGAAATGAAGGGATGGGCCGAATTAAAGGAATAGGTTGGGCTAGTTAACTGCAGCAGGAGCATGTCCTTAAGGTACAAATCGCTCATGCTGTTGTTTGTGGCTTAAGAATGCCTTTAAGCAGTTTTCTGCTCTGGGTGGGCCAGGTGTTCTTGCCCTCATTCCGGTAAACCCACAACCTTCCAGCGCGTGTGTTAGGGCCATTATGAACATGTTACAGTGCTGCAGAGATTTCGTTTATGGCCAGTCTTGGGGCCAGTTTATGGCCAGATTTTGTGGGGGCTTGCTCCCAACAGAGGCCATTTTAGGGTTAGTAATTTGCCCAATTTGAATCTTGTGTGTCTCAGGGAATAGGGAGGCATGAGGAGTGGGAGAGAGATGGGGGAATGGCCAGTGAGTGGAGCATTTGAAACACATATGTATTAAGTTCTTTTTCTTCTGCAGGTGCAGTTTGTGTGCCAGCCCCGCAATGATAATAGAAATGTCAAAGATCACATATCACTATAACAGATAAAATAATAGTGAAAACATTAGATATATTGTGAGACTTACCAAAATGTGAGAGAGGGACATGAAGTGAGCACATGCTGTTGGAAAAATGGCACTGATAGAATTGCTTGATGCAGGGTTAACACAAATGGCAGAAAAACACGATTATCTGCAAAGTGCAATAAGAAGTTTGCTTGCAATAGCATACTAAGTTATAATAGCAAATTGTGAAAGTGGCATGTAAATGACAGAAGTTTGGGAGATATCACCTTACTTATTTTTGTACTTAGTAGAGGATATTGACTATGTCTCTTCTCTCCCCTTGTTTTGTGGCTTGCTGTTTATCTATGTGAATTACTATATGATTCTGTAATAAAGCAGTGCCATTAGGACTTTTGAAGTGTGTACTACATTTTCTGCGTAGCAGTTGTCCTTGAGGTTACTGTCTTTCAGTTAGTGTCTCCTTCAAGCATTTACTCTCTTTTCACAAGTATTGGTATGCCTTGATTGCTGTCTTCAGGTAATTTAAAAAGACATTTCCAGAGGAAGTCAGGTAGCCAAGACTATTTAATTAGTAGTTTTTATTTTAGTGCTTTGGTGAAATCCCCCCACCCTATCCCCCCAGTCTTTAGGTATTTTAACATTTTCAAGTTTATAATTTTGTTCTCAGATTTCTGGAAATCTGACTATGATGTGTGGTCACTATTCTGAAAAATGCACAAGAATAATATAAGGTGTTTAGTTTTAACTCAGTTATGTGGTTAAACTGTAGAATATTTTATGTATAAAATGTCTTAAATAGTTGACGTTCTGTAAGACCAATGAAAAAGTGAAGTGATCGTGGGACCTAGAACTTTGAGATTATGTAACTTGCATAAATATAACTATATTAGATAAAGGTATATATTTTACCAACTATAAGTTCTAAGTGCTTGAGTTGAAGTTCCTATCTCATGAATAACTCTAGCAGCCTTGGAATGCAGTTATATAGGCTTTGATGTGCAAAGTTTTTTAGAACTTGCTTAGGTTATTTGAGATCATTTTTCTCTCCTTAGTTGCCTATTATAATAAACCAGCTGGGTCATT
Organism: Homo sapiens; assembly: GCF_000001405.40. Classification (NCBI taxonomy): domain Eukaryota; kingdom Metazoa; phylum Chordata; class Mammalia; order Primates; family Hominidae; genus Homo; species Homo sapiens. Next base: position 107,915,648 of record NC_000006.12, on the reverse strand, counting down.
TCATTTTTTTTTTAATCAGATTTTCACTCTTTCCTTTAGGAGTTATACCATTGAATTCTCTGGTTCATTATCTAGATAGAATTGAGATTTTGCTCTCAGATGTAAAACCTGTCTTTAAAGCTATTGTATAGCAAGTGGGCAGCGTTGTTGTCACCTTAAAGATATGTTAATTTTTATAAAAGCATATGGTTTTTACAGATGAGCATGTAACTTATAATAACTGTGCATAGCCAACTCATGGTCACTTGTTTACAGTTTAGTGAAAGCATTCTCTAGATCAAGATTTATGATCTGGAGTCCCTGAAATTGTATACAAAATTTATGTGTCTTTGTAATGTGCATTTTTCCCAGGGCAAAGGGGTCATAGATTTCCTTAGATTCATAAGAGAATCTATAATCGTCCTCTGTTACCCCCAAAAAATTAAGGGATATAATCATGTTTAGGAAACTACACTCACTGAATTTTCAAAAATTCTGTTAGCATCATTGATCTTGTTTAAGCTTGTTAAATGTGAATTATACTAAAATTACGCAGCTTTTAAGTACTTTAACTCTTAGAAGTGGTATTATACTGAAATGCTAAGTAACAAAAATTCATTTGCTTCTTAAACTGACTTTAAGTTGCTGACTTATTTTATTAGATTGAATGTTCAACATGGTTCCCATCACACAGCAGTTGTAGAAGTCAGTTTAATGAGTGAGTTAATGTAATCGTAACTCGTAGGTCTGTGTAGGTTGCAAAATCAGAGTGTCTCTGATGTGAGCTATGCTTTATTTGGCAAAATCTGGGAGTATTGTATAGAGGACAGAGCAGTTTGTTTTGCATAATCACAAAGGCAGAAGGGGACAGAGATGGTTATTTTGGGCAGAAGGATCCAATTAGAAGACAATAGTGAAAGAAACAAGCTAAAACTCTGAGTTGGGTGGACAGTTGTACAGGGGATCTAGGACAAAATTTTTGAGAAACATCCCTCAATTTTGAAAAGAAAATCTTAGCACTATTCCTTATTATCTTGCAACCTGTCTAGTAATGCTTTTTATTGGCTCCTGTATTTTTCTGTGGCCTTTCATCAAATAGTGTAAGTGGAGTTACAATTAAATAAGGATTAAAGACATCAAGGCACCTGTTTGCATAAATGACTAAATTGATAAATTTAAAAATATTTTCAAGTCATCGAAAACTAATGAATGTCCTTTTTGCTATTTTATAAAGGTATTTCTGCATTGCCTATCTCAGATTGGAGTTTTGTTAAATAGAAACTACATTGCCTCTTAAGTTTTGAGAAGTAGAAGTACGGTTAAAATTAGATTTGACCATATGGAAGATCTTTTACCAGTTGGTCTCCAAGAATGTCTTCCTTATTATGTTATTGGTCATTTTTGAGCGTGTGTGTTGGTGGGGTGGTTTCTGCCTTATATTCCTTAACTACATTGTATATTTTTGTAAGGAATTGGGAATTCATTTTAATGCTTTTTAACATCTTCACTGGGAACTGGAATAAAGTTATTCTTGACTCTGTACCTTGAGCCATTGTCAAAGTCAGGGGTTACATTTTAGGTATCTAAAAATTACTCTTTAACTTTCACATTCCCTGGGTTAGGAAGCTGCTGTTCAGGAGAAATTTTCCTGGTTCTTCTGGCAATTGGCTTAGGAGAAAATTGTGATCTTAGCACAGTGCAAATTACCTTACCCACAGCAATGGAGTTTTACATGTGGTGGTCATCTGTTTCTTTCAGAATGTGGTGCTATTGTTTTGTGGGGAAGCTACCATTATGAATTAAATTTATGTTTTTAAAAAATGTGTATTTATCATTACTAATGTATAAACATGCTCATTGAAGAAATTTTGGAAAATATATGAGAGTATAAGGGGAAAAAAATCGCCTACAATTCTCCCTGCCTTCTTAGAAAATGTAGTTGCCTTTAAAGTTTGATCTGGTTGAACTGAGAACCATCTGGTTGAACATGAGAACTGGTTAAGCTTGAGAACCATGGGCCAACCAGGAATTAGTATCAAGACGCAATAGTTAGCATTTTCTGTTAATGCGCATTTCTTGCTCCTCCCTTTCCCTTTCTCCTGATTTCAGAGAAACTTTTCTTGATTCATGGAATCAGTATCTTCTAAGAAATGAGTTGGTTGGCTAATGGAGTTTGTCTATATGAGTACTTGTTTTTCAGATGTGGCTTTCTAATTTTGCAACTTTGTTCTTTTGATGCTAGTTTAACGGATGAAGAGTCCCGGAAAAATTGGGAAGAATTTGGAAATCCAGATGGGCCTCAAGGTGTGGTAAATGATGATTTTAAAATATTGGCGATATGGTATATATTATAAAAATGTTAACCAGATTAAAGGAATAATATTATTTTCTTACTAAACTTATACTCACATGGAGTTTAACATAGATAAATTGAGCTCTCATTAATTTTTGCTTTATTTTTCTTTCTAAAGACTAGTTTGAAAGATATAATTTAAGTTGATCCATAGAGAAGAATAATCACTATCATTTCCAATTACTAGTTGATAAAAATTTGGAGGAAAAAATCTTATTTTTCTTTACAGACTTCACATTTTCTCATGTGTTCATAGTGTTTATGTAAACTCAGGACATATAAAATAATTTATATTTTCTTGAGAGAAGGAATTTGTACTTACAGGGTTTCTTTTTCCTTGAAAAATTTGAAGTTTCAGATATAAACTATATCCCTGAACTTTTGTGTAATGGGGGCCTACTAATAAGATAATCTTTCTCAAAGTTTGTTTTTGTGTTGTGGGGGAGAGTTCTGGGATATATTATAGATCCCAAATATATTTAATGTATTTATTAAAACTGAAAGTAGAGATTCTTCAGAAACTGATATTTTTTCTATTTCAGCCACAAGCTTTGGAATTGCCCTGCCAGCTTGGATAGTTGACCAGAAAAACTCAATTCTGGTGAGTGCATTTAAATAAGATACATTATGATGTATTAGACAAAATTTTTGTTATGTACAATCTGTCTTGGTAATACAAGAAGAACTATTACAAAGAAAATACTGGTGTGCCATTCATTCATTCATTCATTTGAGACAGAGTCTTGCTCTATTGCCCAGGCAGGAGAGCAGTGGCGTGATCTCGGCTCACTGCAACCTCTGCCTCCTGGGTTCAAGCGATTCTCCTGCCTCAGCCCCCGCTGAGTAGCTGGGATTACAGGTACCCACCACCATGCCTGGCTAATTTTTGCATTTTTAGTAGAGATGGGGTTTTGCCATGCTGGCCAGGCTGGTCTCGAACTCTCAAACTCCTGACCTCAAGTTATCTGCCTGCCTCAGCCTCCCACCATGTTGGGATTACAAGCATGAGCACTATGCCTAATTTTAATTTACAATAAATTGAATTGTATATATTCCATATGGTATTTCAGGAGGAGGTAGGATATCAGACTTCAATCACTGCAACCCTAAAATGTCAAGAATTATCTTACTCAGGGATACATTCCTACTTCAACTTTCTTGAAAATAATTGTCTAAAGGCTGTCTTTGAGGCAATAAAAACAAAATCCACATAGTCTGTAATTTGTTTTGAAAATGGCTATTAAGTTATTATCTGGCAGATTAAAATTGGTTACCTTGAGGGGGTATACAGTTGCTGCATAAGCTTGTTTGTCATGCTTCTGGTTAGTAGGAATAGTCGAGAAGGAATAAGTTACTACCAGATTTAGGATCAAGTAATAGGAGAAAAATCAGTAGGTAAAAATTGCTAGTCAGCATTATGAAGTGACTCCTTGATATTTAGCTAAAGGAACCTTTGGCCAGGGGCTTCTTATCTCATTTGTTCCCAGAGCACTAACTACTGAGAGGTTGTGGATATATAAATACCTGCCTGACTGGAAGAGAAATGTAATTTACAAAACTGTTTTGCTGGTGTTAATCTGTATTGTGTCAGTAAATAAAAAATTAAAAGGTAATTTATTATAGTGGATATGAACATAGGCTCTAGAGCTGAACTACTTGGGTTCAAATCCTGGCTGTGCAATTTGCTAGCTGTGTCCTAGGACAAGTTATGTAACCCATGTGTACTGCAGGTTTTCTACCTACAAAAGGAGGGTAATAATGGTACCTTCCTCTTGGAGTTTGAGAATAAGGATTAAACAAGATAATACATGAGGAATCCTTTTAATAGTGGCTCCCCCATTGTAAGCCTCAAAATAAATTCATGGATGTTGTTTTAATTTACCTGACGAAGGCCATAATTCTTTTTCTCTTCAATTTTAGGTTTTACTTGTATATGGATTGGCATTTATGGTTATCCTTCCAGTTGTTGTGGTAAGTTTTAGCTTTTTAAGTTAATGTTTTTTTTGGAAAGGAGATTGACATGTTTTGGAGTCTCCCTATAACATTTTAAATGTATGTTAGAATATAACCCATTGATCCTTGAATTTAAGAGTCTTGCCACTGAAGGTGAGGTGGGAGGATCGCTTGAGCCTAGGTGTTTGAGGTTGCGGTGAGCCATGACCCCACCTCTGCACTCCAGCCTGGGCCACAGAGTGAGACCCCAACTGAAAAAAAAATTATATAACTATACTTTTAATGGTCTTCTAAATGTGACATTACTTGAGCATGATGTGTATATCCTCCCAATTCAAAAATTACCCACAACTGACCGGGCATGGTGGCTCACTCCTGTAATCCCAGCACATTGGGAGGCTGAGGTGGGCAGATCAATTTAGGGCAGGAGTTTGAGACCAACATGGTGAAACCCTGTCTTTACTAAAAATACAAAATTAGTCAGACATGCTGGTTTGAACCCAGGAGGCAGAGGTTGCAATGAGCCGAGATTGTGCCACTACACTCCAGCCTGGGTGACAGAGCGAGACTCTGTCTCAAAGAAAAAAACAAAAATCACAAAAGTTACAACTGAGTTAACACAGATACATATATACATATGTATACATATGTGTGTATGTATATATGTATGACATATGTATATGTGTACATATGCATGACAGATGTGTATAAATGTATGACATGTGTATATATGCATGACACGTGCATATATGTATGACACGTGTGTGTATGACATACATGTGTATGACACGTGTATATGTATGACATGCATATATGTATATATGTATGACATGCATATATGTATATATATGTTTTAAATACAGGGAAACTGTCCATTTTAATTTTATTTTTGTTATTTATTTATTTTTGAGACAAGGTCTTGCTGTATAGTAAGGTGGTGCAAACATGGCTCTCTGCAGCCTCTACCTCCTGGGTTCAAGCAAATCCTCCCACCTCAGCCTCCCAAGTAGCTAAGACCACAAGTGTGTACCACCATGCCCTGCTAATTTTTAAATTTTTTTGTAGAGATGGGGTCTTGCCACGTTGCCCAGGCTGGTCTTAAACTCCTGGGCTCAAACGATTATCCTGCCTCGGCCTCTCAAAGTACTAGGCTTACAGGTGTGAACCACCATGCCTGGCTGACACAGATATATTTAAAGTTTCAAATGAAAGTCTTCCCGCACTACCACCCTCAACTTCATTTATTTAGGAATCATTGGGAAGTTGGGTGTTTTTTCTTTAAAATCTTTTTCTATGAATTTATGTACACACATTCATTTTAAAAAAAACCTTTAATGAGATTTTACTGTATGTGTGCATTATTCTGTTTTTTTGCTTAATATAATGGGGATGCAACATATAGAAAAGCCTCATTTTTTAAAACAGCTGTATAATACTATAATACGGAGATACCATACAATTTGATATTCACCATTTGTTACTTTTGTGACTTGTGTCCTTTCTGATCCTGGAGTTCCTTTTAGTCACATAGTGAGTCTAATAATTAAGTTGTTTGTTTTGCTTTCTTCAAAGGATTGTTGCAAGAATCCAATCATATTAAGTAATATGAATGAAAGTGTCATGTCAACTTGTAAAATTATGCCTACATTTGTTTATCAAGTATTTATTGAAGACATGCTGTGTGTCAAGAACCAGCTTGGTGCTTATAGCAGTGGGTAGTTTTATCCCTTTTTGGTCTTTAAGGTATTTCTATCCAAAATGGTAAATGTTTTGATTATATATATGCAGTGACTTAGGTTGGTGTTTAGGCTTCAGACAGTATAAATATTTGCTAAAGAAATCACTTGAAATATGCAAGAAAGAGGTCCTTGTTGTAAGACTCAGGTATTTTTATTGTTTTATGAATATTTAGAAGATTTGACCATAAACATATTCTGCCTCAAACTTAACATTTATCAGGGTTTTGTTTTGCTTTTTTTTTTTTTTTGAGACAGAGTCTCCCTCTGTCACCTAGGATGGAGTGCAGTAGTATGATCATGGCTACTGCAGCCCTGACCTCCTGGACTCTAGCAATCTTCCCACCTCAGCTTCCTGAGCAGCTGGGACTAGAGGCATGTGCCACCATGCCCAGCTAATGTTTGCATTTTTCTTTTTCTTTTGTAGAGACAGGGTCTCACTATGTTGCCCAGGCTGGTCTCAAACTCCTGGGCTCAAGCAGTCCTCTCACCTCAGCCTCCCAAAGTGCTGGGATTACAGGAATGAGCCATCTCGCCCAGCCTATCGTAGTTTTTATACTTTCTTTCTTGTTTAATTTTTTTTGTGTTTTAGGGCTCTTGGTGGTATCGCTCAATACGCTATAGTGGAGACCAGATTCTAATACGCACAACACAGATTTATACATACTTTGTTTATAAAACCCGAAATATGGATATGAAACGTAAGTAAACTTTAAGTAACTTTGCTATTAATCACATTGTTTTGTGACTTATGTGGGGTTGATATATATTCCTTAACTCTATACTGTTGAGATTCTATTGTACAGTTTTATAAATAGTTAATTTATATAATTAAAGCTAGAGAAAAATGCCAGCACCCTTTGTCACATTTCTTAATTTATATTTTCATTATTCACATTTACTCATATATTTCATCAGAAATTTTACCATAATCCTTATGCGTGCAAATTTTGTAATTCTAGCTAACATTTATTATTTGTTGTATGCCAGACACTGCTAGTTACTGTATGTGTCTTGACTCATTTAATTTTTGCTGTGTTCTCGTAAGTGAGTGCTGTTTTACAGTACATCTTATAGATGAGGAAACTGAGGCACCGAAAAGTAACACTCTCAAGGATACACAGTAAGTGATATCCAGGATTGAACCCAGGCAGTCTGGTTCTTGAGCCTTAAACCATTATGTTATAGTGTATTAATTGTAGTAAAAATAAAAAGTCTTAGGTGTGTTGAAAGAAAACTAGTGCTAGAGTATTTCATTCCCAGTTCTTATTTAAAAATTTAAGAAAAAAAATACTATTTTCACTTTCTTTGATTATATAAAGCAAACTTTGCAGTTTATCCTTGGGAGATAGAGTGTTACCTTTCAGAATGATGGCTCTGCAAAAATCATAGCTGCTCCTCCATCCCTCTTTAAAAAAAAATAAAATAAAAGAATGTAAGTTTTGAATTGTGTCTCCGGGACCAAAATGGACTTTTCTGCATTTTGGATTTGGCAATTTTACTAATTTTCTTAGTAATGAGAGAGACTTCTCATGGTCATATATGACTGTGTGTGAACAGATTTTACATTTCTGAATGAGTTAATACTACTTTGCCTTATCGAAAATATTACTCTTCCTAAAGCTGGATTGAAATGTTAATACAGAAACTTACTCCCTTATGAAAATGTTTCATGTTTATAATTTTAAGTGTGCTTTTTGCCTCAATCATTTTGATTTCTGTTTCTTTTCTGAGGGTGGTATCCTTACACAGCTTTGTCAGAGAAGCATTGTTTAGCTGGTGGATTTCTTTACACATTCTAGGTTATTTTAGCTGTTTTAGGAACAGTTGTTATTAAGTAAACATTTGAGGGTAGTAATAGTAATAGCTCACACAAGTACTGTGCTTGCTGTGTGTCAGGCACATATGAAGAAGCTGAGATACACAGATATGAAGAATATTGTCCTAGGTCATTTAGCTAGGAAGTGACAAAATACCAAGGTCTGTGCACTTAACTTCTATACTATCCTGCCTTTTGTGAGTACATTACATGGATTTTTTTTTCTCTGAGGCAAAGTTTCTCTCATCTCCCAGGCTAGAGTACAATGGCACAATCTCAGCTCACCACAACGTCTGCCTCCTGGGTGCAAGCAATTCTCCTGCCTCAGCCTCCCGAGTAGCTGGGATTACAGGCGTGCACCACTATGCCTGGCTAATTTTTGTATTTTTAGTAGAGATGGGGTTTCACCATTTTGGCCAGCTTGGTCTCAAACTGGCTGGTCTCAAATTCCTGATCTTGTGATTTGCCTGCCTTAGCCTCCCAAAGTGCTGGGATTACAGGCGTGAGCCACCACTGGCCTGAGGGTTTTAATCATGTGTATTTCCACAAAATCCTCTTGGGTTCCATAATAAAATTTTTTTGGAAAATTATAATGCATATTAGGTTTACAAAAGGCCTTGAGAAGTCATGTAGTAAAGAAACCTTTAACTCTTGTTTACATTATTTTCAGCTTTATTTAATCATAGGGCCCCCTTTTTTCACGTGAATTATTAATACCACACAGAATACTGATGTTCTATAGAAAGTTTCTGTGGAACTTTCAGTGATTTTAATGCCTCCAGTTGCTTTGGTGTGCTTTATTTGATCTATACTTCTGTTCACTTGTGGTGGTTGATACTGTGTACATTTTAAAAAGCGAGATGTTACTTTTTTTATGGAAGAAATAAATACTTGTCAGTGGAGTTCAGATAATTTTTAGCATTGTGCATGTTTAGAAAAGTGCTTCACTTTCAAGTGAATTAAGTATCTCAGGAGGGGGAATTAATGAATGAGCATATTTATTTACCTTCATATTTCTTTTGTTTTGTTAGGTCTTATCATGGTTTTGGCTGGAGCTTCTGAATTTGATCCTCAGTATAATAAAGATGCCACAAGCAGACCAACGGATAATATTCTAATACCACAGGTTAGGCTAATTTCCCAAATCCCCCGATGAGCAGTTAAGTATTAAAGTGAATACTTTTTTTAAAAAAAGCGTGTTTTTGAATAATTATTTTATTTATTCTAGCTAATCAGAGAAATTGGCAGCATTAATTTAAAGAAGAATGAGCCTCCACTTACCTGCCCATATAGCCTGAAGGCCAGAGTTCTTTTACTGTCTCATCTTGCTAGAATGAAAATTCCTGAGACCCTTGAAGAAGGTATTTGTGATTCCGGTATCTACAGAGGTTTAGTGGGATGAAAGCAGCAGAATTAATTAGACTTAATGGTGTGTATTAGTTTGTTCTCGCATTGCTCTAAAGAAATACCTGAGGCTGGGTAATATATAAACAAAAGAGGTTTAATTGGCTCATTGTTCTGATGGCTGTACAGGAAGCATGGCTGGGGAGGCCTCAGGAAACTTTTATTCATGGCAGAAGGCAAAGCCAGAGCAGGCAAAGGCAGAGCAAGTGTCTTCACATGGCCAGAGCAGGAGGAAGAGAGAGATGGGGGAGATGCCACACGTTTTTAAACAACCAGGTCTTGTGAGAAGTGTATCTCGAGAACAGCACCAAAGGGAGAACTCCACCCCCCTGATCCAATCACCTTCCACCAGGCCCCACCTCCAGCATTGGGGATTACCATTCAACATGAGATTTGGGTGGGGACACAGACCCAAACCATAGCATGGTGGTGCGGTGTGTTTTGTTGCTGTTCTTTTTTGGCCAAATAATTGCTCAAGGACTTTTTAAAAAAGAAATGTATATGCTACATAATTACTTCACAAATGGTTTGAAGATCTAAGTAAGTCAGACGTTTTGGCAAGTGTTAAAATTTAGTGTTTCAAGGTGAGAGAATGCTCTGTATAAGAAATGTTTAGTTAATTGCAGATCATACAAAAGTTCCTAATAATTTTTTTAAAGGACTTTGTAAGTTTTTGGAGGGAGCAAAATGGATTTCACAACAACCAACACCTCTCACCTCCCCATCTACAAGCTTCCTCCGACAGTGGTTACCAATAATGTCTGTTTTATAGTTATTTAAAGCTTCATAAGTACTTGAAGCCATGTATTCTGCTTAAAAGAAAAGTAGTTGATGGAGGCAACAGTGTTTCCAGGGATGTCATTAATTATCTCTTTTTCACCGACATTATTTCAGTTAAAGTTTTAAAAGACAGTTACTACCTCTAGGAAATAAATGTTCTTTTTGAATGATATCCTACCATCCCCCACCTCCTTTAAGGCAGTAATGCAGTTAAATGCTTCCGAAAACAAGGCCATGTGACGCTTAGTAATTGGTGATAGGACAGGATGCTTATGGTGGAATGAAGGAGCACTATTTAGGCAATATCATTGGAGTTGCTTTGAAATACTCAATTAACTAGTAATTCTGTTGCTAATGTTCTGTACAGATACATAAGCATCTCCATTTTTACTTACCTGTAAGAAGCAGGAAACAAATCATTGTTGAGTACCAAATCCATAGGTTAATGTGGTCTTAATAGTTAACTATTATATGCAGTATAAATGAAAGAGTCTTTCTCTTTCTGTAAGTTGCCCTCTTCTTCTCTTCTACGTCTCTTATCTCTCCCCCTGTATTTAGCTGACATATTTATTTTGACATATTTAGTTGATCTGCCTGCCTCAGCCTCCCAAAGTGCTGGGATTATAGGCGTGAGCCACCATGCCCAGCTGGGAGTTGGTTTATTAAGCCTAACATTATGATATTAAAAATTTGTCTTTGAAACGTCTAATCTGAGCTAGGGTTTTATGGCTGATTTTTGACATAGTGATACTGAGGAGAAACTCTTCCATTCAATCTGTAAAATTCTGAGATCATGTGAAATATTTGTGGCATAACTTTAATATTAGTTTTGGGCCACAGTGATAAAGATGCTTTAACTGTAAAATTAAAATGATCTGTTTCAGGTTTTTTATTGTTTTGCAGATCAGCAATTCATGCTAAAAAAGTGTCCTGCCCTACTTCAAGAAATGGTTAATGTAATCTGCCAACTAATAGTAATGGCCCGGAACCGTGAAGGTGAGGAGGAAATATAGTTAATTATGTTATACTTTTTCTTGCAAGCATATGCAGATTGTACTTCATATTTTAGGATTTATGGGTACTCAGACTTCTGTCGGCCAGTTCAGTGAGCTTCTTCAATTTTACTCATGTCTTTTCATATTTCTTTCCTATATTTTCTATTATTTAAAGTCTATATCACAGCTCACTGGGTTTTTTTTGTTCTTTTTTTTTTTTGAGATGGAGTCTTGCTTTGTCGCCCAGGCTGGAGTGCAGTGACAAAATCTTGGCTCTCTGCAACCTCTGCCTCCTGGGTTCAAGCGATTCTCCTGCCTCAGCCTCCTGAGCAGCTGGGATTACAGGCGCGTACCACCACACCTGGCTAATTTTTGTATTTTTGGTAGAGACAGGGTTTTACCATGTTGGCCAGGATGGTCTCCATCTCCTGACCTCGTGATCCACCTGCCTCAGCCTCCCAAAGCCCTGGTCACTGTGTTTTTGATTTTAATTCTTGTTTTTTTTTTTTTTGGAGACAGAGTCTCACTCTGTCGCCTAGGCTGGAGTGCAGTGGCGCGATCTTGGCTCACTGCAACCTCCGCCTCCCAGGGTCAAGTGATTCTCCTGCCTCAGCCTCCTGAGTAGCTGGCATTACAGGCGCATGCCACCACGCCCGGCTAATTTTTGTATTTTTAGTAGAGACGGGGTTTCATCAGGTTGGTCAGGCTGGTCTCAAACTCCTGACCTTGTGATCCACCTGCCTCAGCCTCCCAAAGTGCTGTGATTACAGGCATGATAATTTAATTATTTTATTGTTCAATTGTTTGCAAAGATTTAAAATTTCTCTTTCTTTGAATAATTTTTGAGTTAGGTCATTTTTTCTAACAGTGAATTTGAAATCTTTAACTGATATAAAAGTGATTCATATGTCATGTAATTTTTATTAATTAATTATAGACAGCATCTACCAGGGCTGGAGTCCAGTAGGGTAATCATAGCTCACTGCAGCCTCAAACTCCTGGGCTCAAGCAGTCCTTCTACCTTAGCTCTCCGAGTAGCTGGAACTACAGGTGCATACCACAGCACGGAGCTAACTTTACATTTTGTGTAGAGGTGGGATCTCACTTTGTCGCCCAGACTGGTCTGGTTTCCAACTCCTGGCTTTAAGCAATCCTCCCACTTCAGCTTCCCAAAGCCCTGGGATTACAGTCATGAGCCACATGCCTACAGGCACCTAGCCATTTTTTTTTTTTTGGTATGGAAGGAAAAGAATGAGGGAATTTCTGGTCAGTAATGGAAAGGAATGCCCTTAAAAAAGGATAGTGGTTATGGTTTGTTGTTACGGGTGATGTTGGTTCTTGTCATGGTGTCATATGTTGGTGATACTGATAATGTCTGATAATTTACTATTATTTGAGGTGAGGCAAATAATTTTTCTTTTAAATCAATGGTTGTTGCTGGAAAATGTTCATTAGATCGAGTTTGTATATTTTTAGTGTCTTCTCTGGTAACTTTTAAAGGAAAATCTTACTATGATCCTCAAATTTGAGGTGTTATGGATTTAGTGTGAATTTTGTTTTTGTGATGAATTGTATACTCCTGAACATGTAAAAAGTCCAGCCCTGTTTCTTTTTTTCCTGTTCTTTCTAAGAAAGGGAGTTTCGTGCTCCAACTTTGGCATCCCTAGAAAACTGCATGAAGCTTTCTCAGATGGCCGTTCAGGGACTTCAGCAATTTAAGTCTCCCCTTCTGCAGCTCCCTCATATTGAAGAGGACAATCTTAGACGGGTTTCTAATCATAAGAAGGTAATTCTTTGCTACTTTAAAGTCAGTTTTCAGCAGTTTGTCCTGTCACTTAAAGGTAACATGAATAAAAGTTTTCTGGAAATGGTTACTATGCATTTTTTAGATTTAGAATGTCTTAAATACTCTAAAACTTTCTCTCAGGTGGTTCTGTTAACATTTTCTTGACTAGGTAGCTGTGTTTTATAGTATTTTACTACTGTAAGTAGTTTTATTATTTTGGGGGTTGTTGCATTTAAAAAGTCAACAGTTAGTTCCTTATATTATGTTACCAAAAATAAATGTACTGTCTACTTTACAGTCATTTTATTCTTGGCTTAAGGTTGGGCAATTGTTTACTGGTTAAGCATGAACAACAAAAACATTTAATAAATCAAATAAAGACAGTTCTTATTTAGAATATATAATCTATAGTATAAACATGATAATGAATCTTAAGATATAACAAAAATTTGTGTAAATGAAAAACTTGAGGAAATATAAGAAACTGAAGTTACAATTCTAGTAGGAGATTTTAAACATTATTTTGTATATGATAGATAAAACTAGCAGAGAATAGACATTGGATTTGATAGTATATTAATGTAGAATTAATAAATGCATGTTGGAAATTAGTATCAGAGTTCTCTGTCCTTTTAAGTACTCATGTTCCCCTTATAAATTTGATTGTATGTTAAGTCATAATTAAAAACTTCAGAATCTAAAAGCAGAGATTTTACATGCCTCATGATCTAATCTGTGTCTTTGAAAGTGAAAAATAACTAGCACCAAACACCTGGAAAATTAAAGAACACGCTCCTAAGTAACCATTTTGCCAAGATGGATATTACTGTAGTAATAGCTATATTTTAAGAATAACAAAAATGAGAATATTGCATAGTAAAACTTTGAAGGTGCGTCTTTATTGAGGTTTATTTTTACTTTTATTAGGTAAAAGTAAACGTTTATTATTAAAGGTTTGTTAATAGTAAACCTATTAATTGCTAATTAAAGGTTTTTGTTATTAAAATTGAAAATAAACTGAGGACATCAATTGACAAAGTTCTTGGTTGAGTCAAGATTCTTATTTTTTCCCTCCAACTTTGTTTTTTCTAATTTAAAAAAATAAGCCTGTATTAACTTTATAATTTAAAAATTCTTAATTTAAATTTTCTTGGAGAAAAAGGTCATGAAATGCCATATCGTTATTTTGTACTTTGAAATGCACATTAATCAACACTTTTCTAAAAGTTGCTGGATTTTGTTGTGGTTAACATGTGAGTAATTTTCTTTTTATGAAAAGCTTTGTGAGTTAGGGAATTATGTATTTTCTTTTTTTTTTTTATTCAGTATAAAATTAAAACTATCCAGGATTTGGTGAGTTTAAAAGAATCAGATCGTCACACTCTACTGCACTTCCTTGAAGATGAAAAATATGAAGAGGTTATGGCTGTCCTTGGGAGTTTTCCATATGTGACCATGGATATAAAATCACAGGGTAAGTGGGAGGTTTCTCTGTTGAGCATTGCTTCCCTTTTGATAGATTGGTTCTCATTTATTTGACTCAGGATTCTCAAAACACTGTACTTAATAACATAACTTGTTATTAGACTTTGCAGAACTGTAGTTTACCTGTCAGATTTACTATGTTGGAAAATGATTTATACCTAATAGTTTGAGAACACTGATAGAGTCCTACTTTTATTATCCTCATAATGGGATGAAGTCTGAACACTCTGTTCTGTAGTTCAACTTTTAGCAATTTCTTAACTTTCCAAAGAATGATGAAGACTTCCAGGCATAATAAAAGAATGAGATATTTGAAGTATATTATTAGTATGAAAGAAATAGCTGCCTAGTTCTAAAATTAAATTTTTAAAACCCAACTTATTTATGTTAATTAAATGTTGAAAATTACTGTGTTTTATGCCACATTTCATGTGTTTTTCTTGCCCTACCTCTATATTTTCTTTGAGGGAAAAAAATAAAGGCTATTTTTCTACCTATATAATTGCTCTGTGTTTCTATTTCAATATCTGAATGGTCTTAGAATACTGAGAGAATTAGAGACTATCTGCTCCATTCTTTCATTGTGGTGGTGGTCTGAGCTTTAACATTTGCTAAGTTACTATTATGAGAACATTCTTTTAGTTACCAAGAATACAGGGATATATTAATAATGGTTTCTGTCTTTATTTTATTTATTTATAAATAATTTTTGAGACAGGGTCTCACTCTGTCGTCCAGGCTGGAGTGCAGTGGTGCGATTTTGGCTCACTGCGTCCTCTGCCTCCCGGGCTCAAGCAATCCTTCTACCTCAGCCTCCTGAGTAGCTGGGACTACAGGTGCACACTACCATACCTGGCTAATTTTATTTTTTGTAATTTTAGTAGAGACAGCGTTTCACCATGTTGCCCAGGCTGGTCACGAGCTTCTGGGCTCAACTGCTCCACCTGCCTTGGCCTCCCGCAGTGCTGTGATTATAGGTGTGAGCCACCGTGCCTGGTTTGTGTCTTTAAAGAGAGCTTATTGTCTAGTTGAAGCAATAGGCTTAAAAATAAGATAAGGGCTGGGCCCAGTGGTGTCATGCCTTTAATCCCAACACTTTGGGAGGCCAAGGCAGGGGGATCACTTGAACCCAGGAGTTCGAGACCAGCCTGGGCAACATAGTGAGACCCTGTCTTTATAAAATTAAAAAAAAAACACACACACACCAAGATAACATATGCTAAGTGTTAACGTGAATGACACAGACATTGTACCATTTATTTATACAGCAAATATTGAATGCTGTGCACTCCTCTAGGTGCTAGGGAAGCAGTGGTAAGACATACCCTCTGCTTATTGAGCTTGTATTCTAATAGGAATTCTAATTGGGAAAGGAAGGCAAACAGTGCAATCTGGTTTCAGTTTGGCTGGAGTGTAGCATATGTGTTGTGAAAACTTGGTTTGCTTTGGTGAGGAGTTGGGGTTGCCTTGTGGGGCCATGAGTTTTCAGACTTTAAAAATACTAATTTAAAAGCTGTATTTAGGACTGTGCTGATTTAATAAAACTGTCCAAATAAAAATTTTGGGACTTAGAGATACTTTGTGATATTAAGAACTGTTAAAAGTATACCCTTTTCTTTTCTTTTCTTTTCTTTTTTTTTTTGAGACAGTCTTGCTCTGTTGCCCAGGCTGAAGTGCAGTGGCACTATCTGGGCTTACTGCAACCTCCAACTCTAGGTTCAAGTGATTCTCCTGCCTCAGCCCTCCCAAGTAGCTGGGATTACAGGCGTGTGCCACCACCATGCCCAGCTAATTTTTGTATTTTTAGTAGAGACGGAGTTTCACCATGTTGGCCAGGCTGGTCTCGAACTCCCAGCCTCAGGTGATTCACCCACCTCAGCCTCCCAGAGTGCTGGGATTATAGGCGTGAGCCACCATGCCTGGCCAAAAGTACATGCTTCTTAGAAAAATGAATATTAGAAGAGATTTTCTTATAGAAAGTAGAAATTTAAGAGTGTTCGGCCTCACTGACAAATATTACCATGGATCCACTCCATAGCATCTTGGATAGACAGTTTATTTATATTTTTACAGTGCTGCCTAATTATGTAATAATAGTGCTATAGTTGGTGAAGGAGGAGTAGAAGAAATATAGAAGCAGGAAAGGGGCATCTGCATGATAATAATGCTGGAGATGGTGGATCTCCTTCCCTACCTTGCTAGAATCTGTAATAGAATCTCCTGTAGTCCTTTTCTTCACTTTAAAGCACCAAACAGCAGGTCAGCATTCATGTAGTTATTTCACATGACCTGCTTGTGCACATACAGCTGTGCAAAATGAAAAATGTAGATGAATATGTGGCCCAGATTTGATTTTTGATAATGGAGACTTCCAGGGTGAAGAAGGGATACCATACCCTTTGTTGATACCCAGCTGCTGCACCTTGTAGCGGGTAATGGAGATAGCAATTGCAGATTATTGGAGGCCATTCTTTTCAACTGATGGTATGTTAGTAAATGCCAGACCAGTATGAAAAGTAAACATAACAAACTTAAAACTGTAGGTAAAAACATGTAAGAAGAACTATCTTACATATAAAATCTGTAGAAAAAATGAATTAATGATCACATTTGAATGGAAGGTATATTTGAGTTATTTTATTTTTATTTATTTTGTTTTATTAACTTTATAGTAGAGTTTTTGGGGATATGTGTGGGAAATATGGTTTTAAAAATTAAATAATTGCAAAAACACGTATTTAGTACCATTTATTGAAAAAATACTTTTTCAAAAGTGCTTTTTAGTGTAAAGAGGATATATTTGTTCTTGCCTTTAAAAAAATAAGTCTCTTTAGTGTGGTTAGGAATACTAGCTTTCATTATTTTTTTCAGACAGACATTGATCATACAGGTAAAATCTTGTGAATGTAAGGTTTGCACAGTTTAATAGGGTGACAGAACCCTATTTTTATGTCACTGTGAGAGAACTGTGTTATGGTAGGTCTCACATTATACTGTGTTTTCAGAAACCTGGGTTTGAAGCTTAGTGTGCGAATGCAGGTGTTGTGTGGGTTTGGGTATTTTACTTTATTTCTGAACCTCAGTTTCTTTTTTTTTTTTTTTGAGATGGGGTCTCACTCTTGCCCTGAAGTGCAGTGGTACGATCTGGGCTCACTGCAACCTCCGGCTCCCAGGTTCAAGCTATCCTCCACCTCAGCCTCCCGACTAGCTGAGACTACAGGCGGGCACCATCACGCCTGGCTAATTTTTGTATTTTTTATAGAGACAGGGTTTTGTCATGTTGCCCTGCTGGTCTCGAATTCCTGAGCTCATGCCATCCGCCTACCTTGGCCTCCCAAAGTGATGGGATTACAGGCATGAGCCACCAAGCCTGGCTAAACCTTAGTTTCTGAAAGTGGAAATACTTTGTAGAGCTATTTTAAGGATTAAATGAATTAATTGTTAAAAGCATCTACTGGAGAGCCTTATACAGAGTAGTCAATCAGTTATTTTTTTAACAAATTTAAAATATAATATGCTTGAAATACTAAAGTGCCAAACTAATTTGGGTAAGCTAAGTTTTGCTGTTTGCATTAACATAGAACTTGATTTTTATTTTTTGCTGTTTTTTTTCTTCCATCTTAACAGTGTTAGATGATGAAGATAGCAACAACATCACAGTAGGATCCTTAGTTACAGTGTTGGTTAAGTTGACAAGGCAAACAATGGCTGTAAGTAGTCTATCTGTATTTTTATGCTTTAAGAGTTGTGTGTCAAGGCTTTTATATTTATTTCCCTCATTGTCAAAGTCAAAACTGTTGTAATACCAAGATCTAATTTTGCAAATTCTGTTAACTCTTTTGAAATTTTAAATTAATTTTCATGAGACAGTTTTCACATACACTAAAAAAACCTGGAAAATAATCCTTTGTGTGATAGTTTAATTCTCTATAAAACATAATCATAACAAAGTAATGTGGATATAGTTCTTGAGCTGTGAAGTGCTATACAGAAGTTGTTACTGATGAGAATTTCATCACCTATTCCTTTTTAGTCAGTTCTATAGAGAATTGACTTTTATTTTTCATTTCAAAATCTAAGAATTACAATAAAAATAACATTTTTTTTCCTGATAATGTGAAACATTTATGTTGTCTGGAAAAAATTTAAACAATGCAGAAAAGTATAGGAACAAATTAAAACTACCTAAAATCCCACCACTTCGAGATGATTCGTTTTGAGGCTCATCCCTGTATGTAGCCTAATGTATGTATACCTGTAGAGCTAAATGATGTTTTTGTCATGGATCCCTTCTCTCTCCCATTTCCTTCCTTCCTTCCCTCCCTCCCTCCTTCCCTTCTTCTCTCCTTCCCTCCCTTCCTTCTTTTTTTTTTCTTTTTTGACGGAGTTTCACCCTTGTTTCCCAGACTGGAGTGCAATGGCGTGATCTTGGCTCACTGCAACCTCCCATCTCCTGGGTTCAAGTGATTCTCCTGCCTCAGCCTCCCGAGTAGCTGGGATTACAGGCACACGCCACCACACCTGGCTAATTTTTGTGTTTTTAGTAGAGATGGGGTTTCACCATGTTGACCAGGCTGGTCTTGAACTCCTCAACTCAGGTGATCCACCTGCCTCGGCCTCCCAAAGTTCTGGGATTACAGGCGTGAGCTACCGCACTCAGCCCGTCTCTCTCATTTTCTTTAGGAAAACCCCTTGTCAGCCTCAAATGATCAGAGTGCATAATCTTGTTGTGTGTCGTCTTCTGTCTTTCTCCATGCTCATATTTACCATCTGGATCTTTATAGTGCATACGTACATATATGCACTTAAATGTAGATTGGTACTTGTCTCATGCTTTTTTGTTAAATCCAGTCCAATCATTTTGCATATATTTCCTTCATCTTTTTTTTGAGATGGAGTCTAGCTAGCTCTGTCACCCAGGCTGGAATGCAGTGGTGCAATCTTGGCTCACTGCAACCTCTGCCTCCCAGGTTCAAGTGATTCTTCTGCCTCAGTCTCTCTCTAGTAGCTGGCATTACAGGCATGTGCCACCACGCCCGGCTAATTTTTGTATTTTTAGTAGAGATGGGGTTTCACCGTGTTGGCCAGGCTGGTCCTGAAATCCTGACCTCAAGTGATCCACCCACCTTGGTCTCCCAACGTGCTGGGGTTGCAGGCATGAGCAACTGCGCCCAGCCTATTTTATTTTTTGTTGAGACACGGTCTCACTGTGTTACCTAGGCTTGAGTGCAGTGGTGCAGTCTCGGCTCACTGCAACGTCCGCCTCCTAGGCTCAAATGATTCTCCCACCTCAGCCTCCTGAGTAGCTGGGACCACAGGTGTGCACCACCATGTCCAGCCAATTTTTTGTATTTTTAGTAGAAATGGGGTTTCTCCATGTTGCCCAGGCTGGTCTCGAATGCCTGTCCTCAAGTGATATGTACCCCTCAGCCTCCCAAAGTGCTGGGATTACAGGCATGAGCCACCATGCCTGGCCTAATTTTTTTTTTTTTTTTTTTAATAGAGGTGCGGGTCTCTGTAGGCTGCCCAGCTGATCTCAAACTCCTGGGTTCAAAGGATCTTCCTGCCTTGGCCTCACAAAGTGCTGGGATTACAGGCATGAGCCACCATGCCTGGCTTTCAGTTTCTATTATTTATATTTTCTCCTGAGTCAACTGGTAGAGACTGTAGTATTTTGACTCAATTTATTCAACTAGTGGTAGATTTTAGCTTCTTTCTCTGAGGTTTTTGAGCATCTGCAAGAAATACATGCCACATTTATATCCCATGCCTAAAATTGCTGGTAGGAAAAACATATATATATTTTTTTCTTAGAGAGATGGAGGTCTCACTGTGTTGGCCAGGTTGGTCTTGAACTCCTGACCTCAAGTGATCCTACCATTTCAGCCTCCTAAAGTGCTGGGATTACAGGTGTGAGCCACCAAGCCTGGCCTGAAAATCATGTTTTGTAGTAGGATATATTGAATCAAAGATGTTGTTTTTATTATAGCAAGTGATAAGGAAGCATTTGTCATGGACTCTAGGTGAGAGAGCTGCCTCCTGGGAGAAGAGGAACTGAAACCAATGCTGAAATTGGGTTTAGAATCCAAATCTAGACTACCCATATCCTTTGGACTTCCCAGCCTGAAAAATGAGCAAAAATTTGGTCTTGAACTATTGACATTTCTGGAGTAATTGGTAGAAAAAAGAATGGAATGGAACTGCCCTGGAGTAAAGAAAAGAATTGTTTTTATCTTCCCATTCTTGTATGAACTGTACCTTGGAGTAATCAAGTATCAGAACCCAGCTAATAAGTGAAAGGAGGAAGTTATGATATAATTAGACTAGGGAGTGGCAACCTTTTTCTTTAAACATCCAGATAGTAAATATTTTAGGTTTTATAAGTCATACAGTGTTTGTAGCAACTGCTGAACTTACAGATGGGTGTGGTCATGTTCCAGTAAAGCTTTGTTTTAAAAAGCAGGTGGCAGGGCAGGCACAGTGGCACAGCTACTTGGGAGGTTGAGGTGGGAGGATCCTTTGAGCTCAGGAGTTCAAGACCAGCCTGGGCAACATAACAAGACCACTGTCTTTAAAAAAAAAAAAAAGGCAAGTGGT
This sequence comes from Homo sapiens, assembly GCF_000001405.40. Taxonomy (NCBI): domain Eukaryota; kingdom Metazoa; phylum Chordata; class Mammalia; order Primates; family Hominidae; genus Homo; species Homo sapiens. The sequence continues at coordinate 107,894,761 of NC_000006.12, read as the reverse complement.
GTGGACTGTTCAGAGTTGACTCCTGAATTAGGCTGTTTTTATTGTATAGAGCCTAAAAATTATAACTTTTTACTTGTTAGCTTTAATAATTCTAGGGAGTTTATTAAACACAGCCTGCATGTCATCTTCTAGTATAGATGCTTACTGGGACTTAAATCCTAAATTTACTGGTTCTGTACTGATTCTAAATGGATTGTATGGTTGGTGGATATAGCTTTAGGATATGTAGATTTTCATGGTGTTTTTTTTTTATAGATATGGGGTCTCGCTCTGTTGCCCATGTTAGTCTCAAACTCTTGGGGTCAAGCAATCCTCCTGCCTTGGCCTCCCAGGGTGCTGAGATTATAGGCATGAGCCACCATGCTCCACCTGTGATGATTCAGTTCTTAGTCTCAGGTCTCAGGTCCAATAAGCAGTATCACTGACAATAGTGAATAAACTAATACTAGTCTCAAGGGTTTTTTTGTTGTTGTTATTTCGCACATCACACTGACATATTGTCAAGGTTTTAATGCAGAAAATAGTATATATTCTCATAACATTAAAATACTCAACGTTTGCTTGCTAAGAATAAAAGTGAAATTTTAAACAAATATTTTTACTGTATGTATCCTTACTGTGTTTGTAAACTTGAGTAGACTGTACTTTTCAAAACTTGTTCAAGACAGATGTGAGATACTTTAGAAGGTATCTACCTGCATAGGCACACATTCATCAGCTAGTAATTGCTAAACGTCTCCTTCTTTGTCAATTGTAGCCAGTTAAAAATACTTAATAAAAATGCAGTTTGAAAGATTGCTTTGTTTGTCTGAAAGATAAATATAGGTTGACAGATTTTGTATTTCTCTTCTTGCCGCCCCCCAGGAAGTATTTGAAAAGGAGCAGTCCATCTGTGCTGCAGAGGAACAGCCAGCAGAAGATGGGGTAAAAACTTGGGTTTCCGAACCTATTTTTCCTAGTGAAAGAAATATTTTATTTACTTTTCCAATTGACTTATATTGCTCTGGGAGAGTAATTCAGTTTAGCTATTTCCACCTAAAAATTACTACAACCTTCAATTGAATCTGTTGCTATAACTTAAGAGTGTGACGTGTTATGATTCACAGCAGGGTGAAACTAACAAGAACAGGACAAAAGGAGGATGGCAACAGAAGAGTAAAGGACCCAAGAAAACTGCTAAATCAAAAAAAAAGAAACCTTTAAAAAAAAAACCTACACCTGTGCTATTACCACAGTCAAAGCAACAGAAACAAAAGCAGGCAAATGGAGTCGTTGGGAATGTAAGTTTATTATTATCGTTATTATCATTATTAAGCTAAAATATACAAACTAAAATGTTCAAGTCTTACGTGTACAGCTTCAAAAGTTTTACATAATTTATGCACCCGTGATACCCTAGAAAGCTCCCTTGTGCTCTTCTCAGTCAGTGAGCCCTTCATCCATCTCCCCATCCCTCTACCTCCCACTATTCTGTCTATAATCGCCATAGATTAGTTTTGCCTATTCCTAAAGGTCATATAAGTGTCATATTTTATGTATGGCTCCTTTCATTCAGCATTATGTTCATGATAATCCCTCTGTATTGTTTGTAGCAGTAGTTCATTCTGTGTGTGTGTGTGTGTGTGTGTGTGTGTGTGTGTGTGTGTGTGTGTGTATAGTATTTCATTGTATGAATATACCACATTTACCTGTTTTGTGGTGGTTCGACGTTTGGATTGTTTGTAGTTCTTAACCTAATATGAATAAAGGGTGCTATGCTTATTCTTATACATGGCATTTTGTGGGCAGTCATTTTCCACCTAGCAGTGGAATTGCTAGATTATAAAGTAGGTGCATGCTTAACTCGTTAAAAGAGCCTGTTTTCCAAAGTTGTACCATTTTATGCTCTTACCTACGTGTGAGAGTCTTGTTCTACGTACTCACCAACACTTGGTTTTACCAGTCTTTTAGCTATTTGGCAGATCTGTAGTGATATCTCTTTATGTGGTTTTTGTTTGCATTTACCTAATGGCTAATGATGTTGAACACCGTTTCATATGCTTGCTGGCCATTTGGATAACTTCTTTTTCTATTGGGTTGTTTGTCTTGTTACTGAAATTGTAGGAATTCTGTATATATTCTGGATAAGAGTCCTTACATTTTTACTCTTATTGGTAGCTTCTAATGTTTATTATTTTAATGAGGTCAATTTCATTAGTCTCTTTTTTTCGTCAGTGAGGTCATCTTTCATCGATGGCTAATGCTTCTGTGTCTTAAAAATTAAGACATCCTGACTGTTCCAAAGTCATAGAGGTATTTTTCTGTTTTCTTCTGGAAACATTATTACCGTAGTTGATAAACCTATCTTGAATTAACTTTTCATTAATGGTGCAAGGTAGGGGATACGAACCACTTATACCATCACCATTCATTGAAAAGGTCATTCTTTCCTCAGTAAATTGTAATGGCACTTTGTTGTAAAATAGATGATGCTGAGCTCAGCAAGGCTACTGCGGCCAGACTGCCTCCTCTCTGGGCAGGGCATCTCTGAAAAAAAGGCAGCAGCCCCAGTCAGGGAATTATAGATAAAACCCCACCTCCCTGGGACAGAGCACCTGGGGGAAGGGGAAGTTGTGGGCACAGCTTCAGCAGACTTAAACATCCCTACCTGGCAGCTCTGAAGACAGCAGCAGATCTACCAGCACAGCATTCGAGCTCTGATAAGGGACAGACTGCCTCCTCAAGTGGGTCCCTGACTCCCATGAATCCTGACTGGGAGACATCTCCCACAAGAGACAGCTCATACAGGAGAGCTCTGGCTGGCATCTGGCGAGTGCCCCTCTGGGACGAAGCTTCCAGAGGAAGGAACAGGCAGCAATCTTTGCTGGTCTGCAGCCTCCGCTGGTGATACCCAGGCAAAGAGGGTCTGGAGCAGACCTCCAGCAAACTCCAGCAGACCTGCAGCAGAGGGGCCTGTTAGAAGGAAAACTAACAAATAGAAAGGAATAGTATCAACACCAACAAAAAGGACGTCCACTCAGAGACCCCATCCGAAGGTCACTGACTTCAAAGACCAAAGGTAGATAAATCCACGCAGATGGGGAGAAATCAGCCCAAAAAGGCTGAAAATTCCAAAAACCAGAATGCCTCTTCTCCAAAGGATCACAGCTCCTCACCAGCAAGGGAACAAAACTGGATGGAGAATGAATGTGACGAACTGACAGAAGCAGGTTTCAGAAGGTGGGTAATAACAAACTCCTCCAAGCTAAAGGAGCATGTTCTAACCCAATGCAAGGAAGCTAAGAACCTTGAAAAAGACGAATTGCTAACTAGAATAACCAGTTTAGAGAAGAACATAAATGACCTGATGGAGCTGGAAAACACAGCACGAGAACTTCGTGAAGCATACACAAGTATCAATAGCCATATTGATCAAGCAGAAGAAAGGATATCAGAGATTGAAGATCAACTCAATGAAATAAAGCGAGAAAACAAGATTAGAGAAAAAAGAGTGAAAAGTAACGAACAAAGCCTGCAAGAAGTGTGGGACTATGTGAAAAGACCAAATCTATGTTTGATTGGTATACCTGAAAGTGACGGGGAGAATGGAACCAAATTGGAAAATACTCTTCAGGACATTATCCAGGAGAACTTCCCCAACCTAGCAAGGTCAACATTCAAATTCAGGAAATACAGAGAACACCACAAAGATATTCCTCGAGAAGAGCAACCCTGAGACACATAACCGTCAGATTCACCAAGGCTGAAATGAAGGAAAAAATGTTAAAGGGAGCCAGAGAGAAAGATCGGGTTACCCACAAAGGGAAGCCCATCAGACTAACAGCAGATCTCTTGGCAGAAACCTTACAAGCCAGAAGAGAGTGGGGCCTGATATTCAACATTCTTAAAGAAAAGAATTTTCAACCCAGAATTTAATATCCAGCCAAACTAGGCTTCATAAGCAAAGGAGAAATAAAGTCCTTTACAGACAAGGAAATGCGGAGGGATTTTGTCACCACCAGGCCTGCCCTTTGAGAGCTCCTGAAGGAAGCACTAAACATGGAAAGGAACAACCAGTACCAGCCACTGCAAAAACATACCAAATTGTAAAGACTGTCAATGCTGTGAAGAAACTGCATAAACTAAGGGGCAGAATAACGAGATAGCATCATAATGGCAGGATCAAATTCACACATAACAGTATTAACCTTAAATGTAAATGGGCTAAATGCCCCAATTAAAAGACACAGACTGCCAAATTGGATAAAGAGTCAAGACCCATCCGTATACTGTATTCAGGAGACCCATCTCACGTGAAAAGACACACATAGGTTTAAAATAAAGAGATGGAGGAATATTTACCAAGCAAATGGAAAGCAAAAAAAAGCAGGGTTTATAATCCTAGTCTCTGATAAAACAGACTTTAAACCAACAAAGATCAAAAGAGACAATGAAGGGCATTACATAATGGTAAAGGGATCAATGCAACAAGAAGAGCTAATTATCCTAAATATATATGCACCCAATACAGGAGTACCCAGATTCATAAAGCAAGTTCTTAGAGATCTACAAAGAGGCTTAGACTCCCACACAATAATAGTGGGAGACTTTAACACCCCACTGTCAATATTAGACAGAAAATTAACAAGGATATCCAGGACTTGAACTCAGCTCTGGACCAAGCGGACCTAATAGACATCTACAGAACTCTCCAGCCCAAATCGACAGAATACACATTCTTCTCAGCACCACATTGCACTTATTCCAAAATTGACAGCATAATTGGAAGTAAAACACTCCTCAGCAAATGTGAAAGAACAGAAATTATAACAGACTGTCTCTCAGACCACAGTGCAATCAAACTAGAACTCAGGATTAGGAAACTCGCTCAGAACTGCACAACTACATGGAAACTGAACAACCTGCTCCTGAATGACTACTGGGTAAATAACGAAATGAAGGCAGAAATAAAGATGTTCTTTGAAACCAATGAGAACAAAGACATAACGTACCAGAATCTCCGGGACACATTTGAAGCAGTGTGTAGAGGGAAATTTATATCACTAAATGCCTACAAGAGAAAGCAGGAAAGATCTAAAATCGACACCCTAACATCACAAAAGAACTAGAGAAGCAAGAGCAAACAAATTCAAAAGCTAGCAGAAGACAAGAAATAACTAAGAGCAGAACTGAAGGAGATAGAGACACAAAAAACACTTAAAAAAAAATCAATGAATCCAAGGAGCTAGTTTTTTGAAAAGATAACAAAATAGATCACTAGCCAGACTAATAAAGAATAAAAGAGAGAAGAATCAAATAGATGCAATAAAAAAAGATAAAGGGGATGTCACCACTGATCCCACAGAAATACAAACTACCATCAGAGAATGCTATAAACACCTCTACATAAATAAACTAGAAAATCTAGAAGAAATGGATAAATTCCTGAACACATACACCCTCCCAGGACTAAATCATTAAGAAGTCGAATCCCTGACTAGATCAATAACAAGCTCTGAAATTGAGGCAGCAATTAATACCCTACCAACCAAAAAAAAGTCCAGGACCAGATGGTTTCACGGCCAAATTCTACCAGAGCTACAAAGAGGAGCTGGTACCATTCCTTCTGAAACTATTCCAAACAACAGAAAAAGAGGGAATCCTCCCTAACTCATTTTATGAGGCCAGCATCATCCTGATACCAAAACCTGGCAGAGACACAACAAAAAAAGAAAATTTCAGGCGAATATCCCTGATGAACATTGATGCAAAAATCCTCAATAAAATACTGGCAAACTGAATCCAGCAGCACATCAGAAAGTTTATCCACCACGATCAAGTTGGCTTCATCCCTGGGATGCAAGGCTGGTTCAACATATGCAAATCAATAAATGTAATCCATCACATAAACAGAACCAATGACAAAAACCACATGATTATCTCAATAGATGCAGAAAAGGCCTTCAACAAAATTCAGCAGCCCTTCATGCTAAAAACTCTCAATAAACTAGGCATTGATGGAACGTACCTCAAAATAAGAGCTATTTATGACAAACCCACAGCCAGTATCATACTGAATGGGCAAAAACTGGAAGCCTTCTCTTTGAAAACCAGCACAAGACAAGGATGCCCTCTCTCACCACTCCTATTCAACATAGTATTGGAAGTTCTGGCCAGGGCAGTCAGGCAAGAGAAAGAAATAAAGAGTGTTCAGTTAGGAAAAGAAGAAGTCACATTGTCTTTGTTTGCAGATGACATGATTATATATTTAGAAAACCCCATCGTCTCAGCCCAAAATCTCATTAAGCTGATAAGCAACTTCAGCTAAGTCTTAGGATACAAAATCAATGTGCAAAAATCACAAGCATTCCTATACACCAATAACATACAAACAGAGAGCCAAATCATGAGTGAATTCCCATTCACAATTGCTGCAAAGAGAATAAAACACCCAGGAATACAACTTAAAAGGGATGTGAAGGACCTCTTCAAGGAGAACTACAAACCACTGCTCAAGGAAATGAGAGAGGACACAAACAAATGGAAAACATTACATGCTCATGGATAGGAAGAATCAGTATTGTCAAAATGGCCACACTCCCCAAAGTAATTTATAGATTCAATGCTATCCCAATCAAGCTACCATTGACTTTCTTCACAGAATTGGAAAAAACTACTTTAAATTTCATATGGAACCAAAAAAGAGCCCGCATAGCCAAGACAATCTTAAGCAAAAAGAACAAAGCTGGAGGCATCACGCTACCTGACTTCAAACTGTGCTACAAGGCTACAGTAACCAAAACAGCATGGTACTCGTACCAAAACAGATATATAGACCAATGGAACAGAGCAGAGCCCTCAGAAATAATGCCACACATCTACAACCATCTGATCTTTGACAAACCTGTTAAAAACAAGCAATGGGGAAAGGATTCCCTATTTAATAAATGGTATTGGGAAAACTGGCTAGCCATATGCAGAAAGCAGGAACTGGATTCCTTCCTTACATCTTATACAAAAAAATTTTTTTTTTAGTTATACTTTAAGTTTTAGGGTACATGTGCACATTGTGCGGGTTAGTTACATATGTATACGTGTGCCATGCTGGTGCGCTGCACCCACTAACTCGTCATCTAGCATTAGGTATATTTCCCAATGCTATCCCTCCCCCCTTCCCCCACCCCACAACAGTCCCCAGAGTGTGATATTCCCCTTCCTGTGTCCATGTGATCTCATTGTTCAATTCCCACCTATGAGTGAGAATATGCGGTGTTTGGTTTTTTGTTCTTGCAATAGTTTACTGAGAATGATGATTTCCAATTTCATCCATGTCCCTACAAAGGACATGAACTCATCATTTTTTATGGCTGCATAGTATTCCATGGTGTATATGTGCCACATTTTCTTAATCCAGTCTATCATTGTTGGACATTTGGGTTGGTTCCAAGTCTTTGCTATTGTGAATAATGCGGCAATAAACATACGTGTGCATGTGTCTTTATAGCAGCATGATTTATAGTCCTTTGGGTATATACCCAGTAATGGGATGGCTGGGTCAAATGGTATTTCCAGTTCTAGATCCCTGAGGAATTGCCACACTGACTTCCACAATGGTTGAACTAGTTTACAGTCCCACCAACAGTGTAAAAGTGTTCCTGTTTCTCCACATCCTCTCCAGCAGCTGTTGTTTCCTGACTTTTGAATGATTGCCATTCTAACTACACCTTATACAAAAATTAACTCAAGGTGGACTAAAGACTTAAGACTTAAAACCATAAAAACCCTAGAAGAAAACCTAGGCAATACCACTCAGGACATAGGCATGGGCAAAGACTTCTTGACTAAAACACTAAAAGCAATGGCAACAAAAGCCAAAATAGACAGATGGGATCTGATTGAACTAAAGAGCTTCTGCACAGCAAAAAAAAAAAAAAAAACCCAAAAAAACAAAAAACTATCATCAGAGTGAACAGGCAACCCACAGAATGGGAGAAAGTTTTTATAATCTATCCATCTGACACAGGGCTGATAGCCAGAATCTACAAAGAACATAAACAGATTTACAGGAAAAAAACAAACAATTCCATCAAAAAGTGGGCAAAGTATATGAACAGGCACTTTTCAAAAGAAGACATTTATGCAGCCAACAAACATATGAAGAAAAGCTCATCATCACTGGTCATTAGAGAAATGCAAATCAAAACCACAATGAGATACCATCTCACGCCAGTTAGAACAGCAGTCATTAAAAAGTCAGGAAACAACAGATGGTGGAGAGGATGTGGAGAAATAGAAACACTTTTACACTGTTGGTGGGACTGTAAACTAGTTCAACCCTTGTGGAAGTCAGTGTGGCGATTCCTCAAGGATCTAGAACTAGGAATACTTGACCCAGCAATCCCATTACTGGGTATATACCCAAAGGATTATAAATCATTTTACTATAAAGACACATACAGATGTATGTTTATTGCGGCACTGTTCACAATAACAAAGACTTGGAACCAACCCAAGTGCCCATCAATGATAGACTGGATAAAGAAAATGTGGCACATATACACCATGGAATACTATGCAGCCATAAAAAAGGATGAGTTCATGTCCTTTGCAGGGACATGGATGACGTTGGAAACCATCATTCTCAGCAAACTAACACAAGAACAGAAATCCAAACACCGCCATGTTCTCACTCATAAGTGGGAGTTGAACAATGAGAACACATGGACACAGGGAGGGGAACATCACACACCGGGGCATGTCGGGTGGTGGTGGGCTAGGGGAGGGATTGCATTAGTAGAAATACCTAATGTAGATGATGGGTTGATGGGTGCAGCAAACCACCATGGCATGTGTATACCTATGTAACAAACCTGCATGTTCTGCACATGTACCCCAGAACTTTAAGTATAATTTTAAAAAAAAACAACAGATGATACTGTAGGTCTGTTTATGGACTCTAGTTCATTCTATTGATTATTTGTCTATTCTTATGCCAGTGCCATACAGTTTTAATTGTTGTAGCTTTATGTTAAGTCTTAAGATATGGTAGTGTAAGTGCTCCAACTCTTTATTTTACTGATCAAAATTTTCTTAACTGTTTTAATTCCTTTACATTTCCTGCCAATTTTTAGAATAAGCTTAACAATTTTCCCCCCAAAAAGCTGCTGAAATTTACATTGGTATTGCATTGAATCCATGGTTCATTATGGGGAGAATTGACATGTTAACAATACTGAGTCTTGTTATTCATGATTGTGGTTTATCTTCATTAATTTGGATCTTCCCTAATTTTTCTCAGCAGTGTTTTGTAATTTCCAGTGGCAGAGGTATGGCACATCTTTCGTTAGATTTACTCCTATGTATTTGATCCTTTCTGGTATTACTGTAAATGTCATTAAAATTTTTATTTGGTGTTTGTTGCTGGTGTATAGAAATAGTTGCTTCTAAATATTGACCTTGTATCAAAGAGTCTTATTGGCAATAATTCTAACCATTTGTAGACATTTTAATAAAGATTTTCTACATATGCAGTGTTGCCATCTGTGAATAAAGACAGTTTTACTTTTTTCTTTTTAATCTTTATACCCTTTCTTTCTTTCTTCCTTTCTGCCTCACTGTGCTGGCTAGAACTGTCAGTGTAATACTGATTCAGAGTGATGATAGTAGGAACCTTGTCTTATTTTTGGTCTTAGGAAGAAAGCAAACATTATTTTACCACTAAATGTGATGTTAGGTGTAAGTTTTTTGTAGCTATTCTTTGTCCGGTTAAGGAAATGTTTCCTTTTATTTCCAGTTTGCTGACAATTTTTATCACTAGCAGATAGTGAATTTCATTAAAGGTTTTTTTTTTTTTCCACTTTTTTCCTTTCTGTTGAATTAGATTGATGGATTTAAAAAATTTGAAACCATCCCTGCATTCCTGGAACAAATATCATTTGGTCATAGCTTAGTATTCCTTTTTATATTTATCTGGATTTTACAGTATTTTCTTTGGATTCTCACATCTATTTTTAAGAGCAAATATTGGTTTGTCATTCTCCTTTTTTGTAATATCCTTGTCAGGTTTTGTATCAGATTTATGCTGGCATTATTAATCAAGCTAGGAAGTATTCCCTTTTTTGCTCAGAAGAGTTTGTGTAAGCTTTGATTTGTTTTTTTAGTCTCTGGAAGAATTCTCCAGGGAAACCATCTGGGCCTGGAGTTTTTAAAGGGAGTTATTCGCAGAGTTTATTTCTTTAATATATATTCTGCATTTTTCTTATTGATTTTAGCAAATTATGTTTTTCAAGGAGTTTGTCTATTTCCTCTTAATTATTAAATTTGTTGGCGTAACATTATTCATAATTTTCTTTTAATGTCTGTTGGATATAGTTACGCCTCTTGTTCCTAATATTGGTAATTTTTATTCTTTTTTTTTCTTGATCATTCTTGCCTAGGGGTTTAATCAATTTTATTAGCCTTTTCAAAGAACCAACTTTTAGTTTTAAGTTTCTTTTTCTGTATCTCTCTCTGCTCTTTTTTTTTTTTTTTTTGAGACAGAGTCATGCTCTGTTACCCAGGCAGTGGCTCACTGCAACCTCCGCCTACCAAGTTCAAGCGATTCTCCTGCCTGAGCCTCCCGAGTAGCTGAGATTACAGGCATGTGCCACCATGCCCAGCTATTTTTTTGTTTGTTTGTTTGTTTTTTGTATTTTTAGTAGGGACGGGGTTTCACCATGTTGGTCAGGCTGGTCTCAAACTCCTGACCTTAAATTATCCACCTGCCTCGGCCTCCCAGAGTGCTGGGATTATAGCATGAGCCACTGCGTCCCGCCTGTTTCTGCTTTCTTTGCATTTAATTTGCTGTTCTTGATTCTTAAAGTGAGCTAGTATTTTGCTGAAGATATTGCCTTTACTTACTGCATCATACCTTGTTAGTTAAAGAAAGTGATTCTGTACTTCCAAAGGAGTACTTTTCTTTATTTCTTTTTTTTTTTGAGATAGGGTCTTGCTCTGTCACCCAGACTGAAGTGCTGTGGCATGGTCATGCCTTACTGCAGCCTTAAACTCCTGGGCTCAAATGATTCTCCCACCTCAACCTCCCAACTAGCTGGGACTACAGACGTGTACCACCATGCCTAGTGATATATATATATATATAATTTTTTTTTTTTAAGGGATCAGGTCTTGCTGTGTTGCCCATGCTGGTTTGAACTCCTGGCCTCAAGCAGTCTTCCTGCCTCTGCCTTCCAAAGTGCTAAGATTACATGCATGAGTCGCTGTGACTGGCCCCAAAATTATACTTTTCTATAAACTACCTGTTTCCTTAAATAAAATATGATTGATGTTTTTGAAAGCAGAACCATCTTAGCCTTTGTGTTATTGGGCTTTGCAAATAGAAATACTTTTATTTGACAAATTATGAAGAATGAATAAAATAACTAACAATAGACAGACTAGCCAGATATTAAACTCTTTAGTCTGACTCCCACATCTTTATAAGTAGGAATGTTTATAATTTTAAAAAATTGTATATGAATAGTGAAATTGTCATCGAGTCAGTTTAGTTAAATTGACAATAAGTTAACTTCAGGGATTCAGATTGATATGTTCTCATTGAGATATGCAGAATCTTTGTGTTTGCCTTTCCCTTTTAGGAAGCTGCAGTAAAGGAAGATGAAGAAGAAGTTTCAGATAAGGGCAGTGATTCTGAAGAAGAAGAAACCAATAGAGATTCCCAAAGTGAGAAAGATGATGGTAGTGACAGAGACTCTGATAGAGAGCAAGATGAAAAACAAAACAAAGATGATGAAGCAGTAAGCCTTATAGGTTTAAATAATTTAAATAATTGGAATTATATCTCTGATGATAGCTTTGGGTTTTGTTGTTGTTGTTCATTTGTTTGCTTGCTCGCTTGCTTTCTTTAAATAATATCTGTATATTTTATAATTTTATTACTTTGAAGAACGTTTTTAAGGAATGGTAGTCAAGGTTATACAGAAAAATGATTTCTAACAAGGATTGGAAATCCTCGTTTTCTTAAATATTAAATTGTTAGGTAGAGTAGGACCTGGGTTTGAGGTTAGGTCAGTTGGTCTCATAAGGGGATTTTCAGTGTTGGGGATATCTCTGGGAATATGAGTAAGGAAAGGTGTTTGTGAAATGCATAGTGCTTACTTGGAAGGCTGTGTCACAAGCTCCAGTTCATGTTTACTGTAGAGAAACAGTACTGTGGACCCTGATGTCAAGAGGTTGGTTAAGGGAAAAGCTAACATTTATAGAATACCACCTTGTTTCATGGGTGTATATAAGATATATTAAGGACAGGGGAAGTCTTTACAGAATTTATTAATATGGTGTAAAAGTATAGCGTATAGGAGAAAAATCTCATGGCATTAAGTTGCACATAATTTATGGGAGAATTATAGAGAAGAATGGGGTCCTTAGAGGCTCACTGCAAATAAACTGCTCGGCCATTTCTTTTAGGTTTGTTAGCGTTGTTCTTTTTGAGTGGCCATTGATCTAAAAGTAACACTGTAGTTTGGGAGATAAAAAGGGATTGCCTGAATAGCCTCAGAGGCAAAAGGAGAGGCCAAAAAAAGAGGAAGAGGTAAAGGGCAAAGGATAAAAGTATAAGGGGTTAATAACACACTTGTCCTTGGGAATGGTAGAAAACAAAGATGTCTATTGTTAGCATTTGCAGGGCCTTGGCTGTTTTTGTACTTGGAGAATTAAATTGATTGCCAGGAAACTAAAATCTGTCAAATACATTATATCCCTGGCCTGACTTTGAGAAAGAATTGACATATTCCTAAGTATATTAGGGTAAGTAGCAGTGACTCTTAGGGTTTTGACAGACTAATTTCTTCATATGACCAAAAATACATTCATTAAATCAACAAATCATTATTTATTACCTGTCACATCCCAAGGCTGTCTAAGATTAAAGATAATACAAAGCCAAATGTGAAACAGCTTCAGGTCTTGAATGATAATGTAGGCTAGTGGGGCAGGCAGATTTGTAAATAAATACTATAGTACATATGAAATTACACACATCTTATGCAAGGTACATAAGGAGGGAGTGATCAGTTCAGTCCTGAGGTAGAAGGAAATTTATGGGAGGCTTTACTCAGGAGTTCATACTTTGGGCTTTAGTTGGTCCTAAATAATAATGAGTAGGCAGAGAAAGGGAGAAATCAAAGTCCAAACAGGGTTTAGGAGGAGTGAAATAGTTTGGTAAGTTCAGAGAAGTGTAGGTAGTTTGAAATGACTAGAATAAAAAGCACAAGGAGGGAGGCAGTGACAGGAGACCAAAGAGAGGCAGGCTAGGGTCAGATAATGAACGGCTATGTAGTTGATACTACAGTGGTTAGATTTAATATATTTAAAAAGGCATTGTAAGGATGAGCAGGGAGATGATCAGATTTGTGAGACTGAACTTGTTCTAATCCTAAGTAGTTAATTAGCATTGTCAGGAATAATACCTGGAAATCCTTAAAGTGATAAAACACATACTAGATTTTAAATATTTTAATTTTTTTGTTTACTAGGAGTGGCAAGAATTACAACAAAGCATACAGCGAAAAGAGAGAGCTCTATTGGAAACCAAATCAAAAATAACACATCCTGTGTATAGCCTTTACTTTCCTGAGGTGAGTTATATACAGGCTACTGTGTTCCTTATTCCATTCACTTTCTCCTCAGGGATTTGTCAGTTGACTTTTAGCCCTCTGTCGTGTGTATTAGTTCATATGTGCTAAATGTGGTCTATCCTGAGAGGCCATATTTTTAAAAGGGAATATTACAATAGGTATTATACTTAGTGAACGTGTTGCTTATAAAAGAGATTGTTAGCTTCTTAAGTATTTCTGTGGTTTTCTTTGCTTCTGTCTTTTCTGTGCCCTGATTACTGAGTGTTATGTGTAATGGTGATTTCTCATTAGCAGATTAGGCAGTCTTCATCAGACAAATGCATATTTTGCCTTTGAATACTTAACTATTATGAATCTCTCACCTCTGCCAAGTTTTAAATCGGATGAAAAAATTCTTAAATTTTCTCTCTGAGGATCCTGCTGGCGACATGGAACCATTAGAATTGCTCTGACCCTGGTCATTGTTGTCCCAGTCCATGGAAATGTGTGAGCCCATGGCTGTGGGACCAACTGTGTTCTTGGCTCTAATAAATAAAGTTCCATAAGAGCTTGATCATAACTGAGCCCCGGGCTCAGGACAGGTCATTATAGTGCTATTTGTTGCCTTGTCCTTGTTTACTTTGTAATTGCAGCCTGCTCAACTTTCGATCTCCTTGATAGCCTGTGTTGTTCATCTTTCAAATTACCTTGGGATTCCCTTGACATTTTGCATTAGAGTATGATTCTGTCTGGAGTAGAGGTCAAGAACTGGTTCCCCCAGTTCGGGAAACTGTTCCACAGACTGCCTCACAGCTTTGCCACAGAACCTTCTGCTCACCACTTGTGTTTGGCAGGTGATTTCATGTATAAATCTGCTTTCTGCTCGAGGATGTCAATCTAGAGTTTCTGGGGACTGCTTAAGGCAAATTCGTAAATAATTTGGCTCTCTTAGTAATAAATGAGTGGCTCTGCACAGACTGTTGTTTTGACTTGGAGAGAAGTCTGCCCAGGATTCCATCTTAATGCACGTGCTGATCTTCTGGCATGTCCTGAGCTTTAGTCCATCTGTTAGGGGCATTGTGCCCATTGCAGAGGTAGCCTGCCAACACCAAGCATCCTGAAATGAAGCAAGTAAATTCCATTCATTGATTGGTATAAAAAGTGCCATGGGGTGCTCAAAGCTGCCTAGTGTGTACCCATGTAACAGACAGTTTCATTTTAGACCATGCTTAGTTAATAAGAGAAACATTCATTCACTCCCTCAGAACATTTTATTAGTGGCCAAGTGCTGTGGCTCATGCCTGTGGTCCTAGGCTACTTGGGAAGCTGAGGTTGGAGGATCACTTGAGCCCAGGAGATTGAGGCTGCATTGAACTGTGATTGTGCCACTGAACTCCAGCTTGGATGACACAGTGAGACCCTGTCTCAAAAAAAAAAAAAAAAAAGATAAAAATCATTTTATCAGCAAAATGCCTTTTTCAAATTTAATCTGCATCTGCATGGTAAACATTTCAGATCATTATTTATCAGATAAAATGTATTTAGGGCCGAGTGCAGTGGCTCATGCCTGTAATCCCAGCACTTTGTGGGGACGAGGTGGGTGGATCACCTGAGGTCAGGAGTTTGAGACCAGCCTGGCCAACATGGCAAAACCCCGTCTCTACTAAAAATACAAAATTGGCTGGGCATGGTGTCACATGCCTGTAATCCCACCACTCAGGAGGCTGAGGCAGGAGAATTGCTTGAACCCAGGAGGCGGAGGTTGCGGTAAGCTGAGATTGTGCCATTGCACTCCAGCCTGGGCAACAAGAGTGAAACTCTGTCTCAAAAATAAAAACATTAGCCGGGCGTGGTGGCGGGTGCCTATAATCCCAGCTACTTGGGAGGCTGAGGCAGGAGAATTGCTTGAACCTGGGAGGCGGAGGTTGCAGTGAGCCAAGATTGTGCCATTGCATTCCAGCCTTGGTGACAGAGTGAGACTGTCTCAAACAAAACAAAACAAATGAACAAACAAAATTTATTTAGGATCTTTCTAACCTCTCTACCTGTCTACATTTCCGTGTTTCTTACCTAAGTAACCTAACTACCAAACTACCCACTTAGTAATATTTGACTTACATGTTAGTGAAATTCGTCTATTGTATTTAATGCGTTAAGAATGGTTAGGAATCTCACAAAAGAAAAACAATTTTGTCTAAAATACAGGTAACTCATAGAAATCTGTTTCACTTTTAACATGTGCATCACTAGGCACAGGTGTAGTGCTGTTGATTGATATTCACTGGCTTCTTAATAAATATTCTTTTTTTTTTTTGAGCTGGAATTTTGCTCTTGTTGCCCAGGCTGGACTGCAGTGGCGCAATCTTGGCTCACTGCAACCTCCACCTCCTGGGTGCAAGTGATTCTCCCACCTCAGCCTCTCGAGTAGCTGGGATTGCAGGCATGTGCCAACACACCCAGCTGATGTTGTATTTTTAGTAGAGACAGGGTTTCTCCATGTTGGTCAGGCTGGTCTTAAACTCCCGACTTCAAGTGATCCACCCGCCTTGGCCTCCCAAAGTGCTGGGATTACAGGTGTGAGCCACCATGGCTGGCCCTAATAAATATTCTTGAGTGAATCTCATTGTAATTAAATAGGCTGAGAGGTTGGAGGGAAAGGCATTCTCTAAGTGGGGAGGTAAAGAAGTGCATAATCTTTAACATAATCCTGTGCTGCTTACATTCCCTACTTGTTGTAATGATGTTTCTGACAAATGTCAAAATGACTTAAAAAAGAGGTGATATTGTACCTCATGTCACTAATAATCATAACTGCCACCTATTATACTGCATGTGCTAGGCTTTGTAACATATATTTTTATTTGTATTCTCTCAGATCATCTTTACAACATGGCCAGAAGTAGGCACTGATTGTTGAGAAGAAAATGAGATTTTAGGGAAGTGAAATAACCCAGGTTTCTGTGTCTTTAAAACAGATATTGTCAAACTGCAGTCTGCAGGCCAGATCTGGCTGCCTTCCTGTTTTTGTAAATGAGGCTTTATTGTAAATAAAGTTTTATTAGAACACAGCCACACTTATTTTTTTCATGCTGCAAGGGCAGATTTGAGTGGCCGCAACAGAGGTGTTATTCCACTTTGAGGCTGTTATGTATTTACACACATATGTTATGTATACAAATATGCCTACAGTGGTAGTCCTAACCCTCGGTTTAAGCAGAATTTAATTTTCTTGTTAAGTGCCACTCATGTCACCGTGTACTTGTCATTTATTTATTAGACTTTTTAATGTTGCAGTGCTTTATCTCCGAAGGTATTTAAACAGAAGAGTTTTTAGTTGTGCTTAGTAGCGTTTGAAAGATAAACCAAATTTTAATCTATTTTTATAGTTAAAATTTTAGCAGCAATTTTAGTTTAAAAACATAAATATGGGCCAGGCGTGGTGACTCATGCCTGTAATCCTAGCACTTTGGGAGGCCTAAATGGGAGGATCGCTTGAGCCCAGGAGTTCAAGACCAGCCAGGGCAACATAAATGAAATCTTGTTTCTACAAAAAATGCAAAAATTAGCCAGACGTGGTGCATGCCTGTAGTCTCAGCTACTTGGGAAGCTGAGGTGGGAGGATCACTTGAGCCCCAGAGGCAGAGGTTGCAGTGAGGTGAGCTGAGATGGTGCCACTGCACTCCAGCCTGGGTGACAGAGTGAGACCCTGTCTCAACAAAAAACAAAACCAAAAAAACCCACGTTTTCTCAAAGAAACTTTCAGTAAGATGATTTTTTAACCATTTCGGACAATTGAGAGTTTAGAATAGTCTAGTACTATTTTGGTTAAATAAATATTTAGAACATCCTAGAGTTTATTTTGTTTTAAGCTGTAAAACATTTTTCTTTAAACTGTTTTAGAAAGATACTTCCCTACCCAACTCTTAAAACAGGTGTTAATAAGCAGGTGACTAAATAGTGAACTGAGGTGTGCTGTAATAGAGCAGTTGTTGCTGAATGCACGGAGGTTTCGTGCTTTCAGACTTCTTGGCCTTCTAAAATATATATATACACACACACATATATGTATATGTATATATGTGTATATATATATATATACACACACATATATATATGTTCCTTCCACTCCAACTTTGTGGCTTTTGCTTATTACTAGGTAAGAGTACTAAGATTATTTGCTACATGCTATTGTAATAGTTGTATATATTTAGAATAATGCTTGTTACTTAAGGTTAGTCAGGGTTTTTAATATGAAGGCCAATCAATAGGTTTTAAGGAGCTATTGAAATCCCCAAAATTGCATACAAAATGCTTTTAGGCAATGGATCTACAAATGTTAAGAACAGCTTATTCTTTCAGTAAATATTCATTTGAATACCTATTTTGTACCAAGCAGTTTGTCAGTGCAGAGGATCTCTAAGATAAGAGAGGCCAAAATTATATTCTTTCTAGTTCTTTCTGATTATTTATACCCCTCTTCTTTTTTTTTTTTTTTTTTTGTTTCCAGGAAAAACAAGAATGGTGGTGGCTTTACATTGCAGATAGGAAGGAGCAGACATTAATATCCATGCCATATCATGTGTGTACGCTGAAAGATACAGAGGAGGTAACTATCAAGCAACATGATTTCAGTGTTTAACAAGGCACAGCTGTCACCATCATGCTGCTTCATATATCTTTTTTTTAAAAAGTTTATCATATTTAGCATATTGTATTCTATTCGTTGCCTGCATTTTGTAACTGTTCTCTATTTTGGGGTGAGCTCATTGGAAATTTATAAATAATTGTTAAAGGTAGGCAACTTAGTCAATGTTTTAAAAATTTGTTCTCAGCTTGTTTTGGGAGTTTTCACTGTTAGTGTCTAAGAACATACACCTTTCCTCCTCCTCTCCAGAATTTAGTGATAGAATTTTTGTTCTTATTGGATTAGTGTTGAGTATTAGATCTTTTGTCTTGAAAAATCTAAGAACTGATGATGTGGATTTCTTGAGTGGAATTTTTGATTACGTGGTATTCACTGTTAATGACATCAGTAAAGCAGCATTGTGATGAACATATTTACCCTTGGGAACTGCATTTTTGTTGTTGTTTTTCATGTTTTTTTTGTGTGTGTGTTTTTTTTCTAGGAAGAAGGTTCTGTCTGCCTGTACTTGGTGGACAAAAGCTTTTCAAGATAGCCCTATGATGTTGATTTTTAGTACATATTTTTTAACCCTTTATAATCAAGTGGTAAATGCATGAAATAGGTTAATAATAAATTTATAGAGGTCGAATTGATGGGCTGGAGGCTCTGTATGTTTGTAATTTTGGTCTATATTGCTAGATATTTATTTCTCTATAGAAAGAATGAATGTCTAAATATGCCTAATACCTCTCAGCATGTCAGACATTTTGAATATCATTGCTAGTTGGAAAGGTGAAAAATAGCATCTTAGATCTTCATGTTATTTTTTCCTCTGATCTTTTTTTTGAGACAGGGTCTGGCTGTGTCACCCAGGCTGGAGTGCAGTGGTACAATATCGGCTCACTGCAACCTCCGCCTCCCGGGCTCTCCCACCTCAGCCTCCCAAATAGCTGGGACTACATACGTGCACCCCGTAAAAATTAGCCACGCCCGGCTAATTTTTGTATTTTTTGTAGAGACAGGGTTTACCCATGTTGCCTAGGCTGGTCTCAAACTCCTGAGCTCAAGAGATCCGCCTGCTTTGGCCTCCCAAAGTGCCGGGATTACAGGCATGAGCCACTGTGCCTGGCCTCTCTGATCTTTTAAGTTTTAAAACCTATTGAAAAGTTAACAAGCATGGTATCATGAAACCTCCCTAGATCCCCACCCGTATTCACCAGTTGTTTACATTTAGCTGTTACTTGTTTTATCTTTCACTGTATATGTATGTACAAAACATGCACGCGTGTGTATTTTCCCCTGAACCATTTGAGGTACTTGTAGACATCATGACATGACACCCCTAACTACTTGACATGTATCCCTTAAGAACCAGGGCCTTGGGCTGGGTGCAGTGGCTTACACCTGTAATTCCAGCATTTTGGGAGGCCAAGGCGGGCAGATCAGTTGAGCCCAGGAATTCAGCAGCAGTCTGGGCAACGTGGTGAGACCCTGTCTCTTAAAAAAAACAAAAACAAAAACAAAATCCAGGACCTTCTCCATAGGCCTACTACAATGATTATACTCAGGAAATTTAACATTGATGTGGCATAATTATCTAATACGCAGTCTGTATTCAGATTTCCTCAACGATTCCACTAATGTCTGTTACAGTTTTTGGTTTTATTTTTAAACTCAGGATCTAATCAAGGATCACACATTGTAGCTGGGTGTGGTGACTTGTGCCTGTAGTCCCAGCCTAACTCAGGAGGCTGAGGCAGGAGGATCACTTGAGCCCATGAGGTTGAAGCTGCAATGAGCCATGATCATGCCCCTGTACTTCAGCCTGGGCAACAGAGTGACATGTCTCGAAAGAAAGAAAAAAAGAGATTTTTACATTGTATTTGGTTGTCATGCCTCTTTAGTGTTGAATACTTTCTTGTTCTTGTTCTTTTTTTTTTTTTTTTTTTTGAGACAGAGTCTCACTGTGTCGCCCAGGCTGGAGTGCAGTGGCATGATCTCGGCTCACTGCAAGCTCCGCCTCCCGGGTTCACGCCATTCTCCTGCCTCAGCCTCCTGAGTAGCTGGGATTACAGACGCCCGCCACTGCACCCAGCTAATTTTTTATATTTTTTTAGTAGAGACGGGGTTTCACTGTGTTAGCCATGATGGTCTCAATCTCCTGACCTTGTGATCCGCCCGCCTTGGCCTCCCAAAGTGCTGGGATTACAGGCGTGAGCCACCGTGCCCGGCTTCCTTGTTCTTTTTTAATCTTTGCATGCCGCTGACATTTTTCAAGAATCCAGGCAAGGTGTTTTGTAGAATATCATTTAATACGAATTTGTCTCGTTGGTTACTCATTATTCATCTTTGTGTTTTTGGCAAGCAAACTATGTTGGTGATGTAGTTCTTAGGTCAGAAGTACAGTATATGACTTTGCCCTATGTTGGTGATATTAATTAAGGTTGCTCATTTAGTTATGGTTTTTCTCTATTGTAAAGGTATTTTTCTCCCCCTCTAATCTGTGGGGTGATATTTAGGCCCTGTGTGAATGTCCTATTCTCCAACAGTGTTTTACCCAATCGTTTTAAACATATGTTGATGATTCTTTTCTGAATCAATTTTTACTCTGCTCATTCTATTCAGTGTAGTTTTTATTTCTCTGAAGAGTGAAACTTAACCTTCAGTGTGTTTGAGTTGTCTTTTTAATGTGTCTGTTTGTGACCATTGTTCACTTTTGTTGAGTCTTAAAAAGTTGTTTTGGGATCTTTTTTTAATGTTAAGAAATCAGCCCTTTGTGATATGTGTTGCAAGTATTTCTCCCCAGTTTGTTGTACTATTCTGGTTGTTTCTACCAGATAGAAATATAAATACCTATTTGTTTATCCATTTTCTTACTTATTTTTTGTAGTATGATTTAAAGAATTTTTTTTTAATAGTTTCTAGGTTTGTGTTATAGTTAGGCCAAACTGAGATTAATTTAAGAAAAAAAGATTCCTTCATGATTTTTTCTAGTTTTTTTAAAACTGGCATATTTTAATATTTAATCTTGACTGTAAAATCTGGATTTTGGAGATTGGAGCAGATCACTAGAGCAGATCACCAGAGAATACAAATGTCATTTTTAAAAAATTGTTCTTTTGTCCAAGTGGAATAGAAACTTTTTAAGAGTTTGTTACTATTTGTATTTGAAGTTTATGATTTGATGATAAATAAAATATCTTCTTGACCTTTGGCATTGGGCGTTTATTCTAGAAATAAGAAAATTTGGCAGGAAGTATCTCCTATCTAGTGAAGTCTGTTGTTTTATTCCAACATTTCATTTACTTATGCTTTTATACCTGCTTAATTTCTTCAAGATGATAGCATAGAATTTGGTTGCTTTAAGTACTGCTTTCTTGAATTGTGGAGAGACAAATTAACCTCATCAGTTCTGCATAATTTGATTTCCTCTTTGGGAGGTATTTATAATATGTAACATACATTTCGCTTTTTTTTATTATTGTTTATAAGGACTTTAGTAACATTTATTAGGACTTTCTGTATCATCTGCAGAAAAAACCTGGCTGTTAAATACTGTGGTCTAGGAATTTTAGGGAGTGAGCTGTTTCCTCCCCATAATACAGATTTTTAAGTGCTGATTTTATCTTCTAGGTAGAGCTGAAGTTTCCTGCACCAGGCAAGCCTGGAAATTATCAGTATACTGTGTTTCTGAGATCAGACTCCTATATGGGTTTGGATCAGATTAAACCATTGAAGGTAAGAATAGTGACTCTTCAATAAATAAGAGTTTTCTGTATAAATGTTTAATATACTAGGAAAACATTTCTAGTTTTGAAATGTAGAGTTATGGAAGGAAAAAGAAGTCATCTCATGCTTTATATATGATATACTTGATGGACTACTCTTTCAATAATAAACTTAAGGTTTTAGGTTTTTAAGGAGTGTAACAGTTTAGAACATTGAATATAAATTACTTTAGGGATGCATTTTAATGTGCTGTAACTTTATAAGGCCTCAGCAAATGGGTTCTTTTTTCTTTAGAAAGGCACTTTTTTTTTTTAAACCACAGATTCTATTTGGAGTGTATATTAATTTCTGAAACTAATTTATTTTTGTCATCTTAGAGCATACACTTCTGTAAGTATCATTTGCAGCACACTCTGATCTTTGTTTACCAATTCACTTGAGCTTTTTATAAAAGGTGTCCTATTGTATTAGAGAGATGGTGCTAAAAGTATTATTGCATTATAAAGGGTAAAAGTAGCCAGTAAATGCGAACCTCTTTTTTGTTCCATGAGGGTTCCATATTTCTTTTATTAACTGTAGAATTTTACATCACAAGTCTAGAGACTGCAAAATGTCTCGGGTTTTTCTTCCTTAAAGCAGAAGGCTTCTGTTAAGATATGACTCAGTGTTCTTGCTCAAGAATCACAATTATTTTATGCCATAGAAATACATTCATAAATAGTATAACATACAGAATCAAAATATCAAACTGTATTAGAAATTTAACTACATTTACATATTGTTAAATTTACTTGTTTTATTTCTGGGATGAAGTGTCTGTTCTAAATGAATGAGTTGAATTTAGAATTGTGTCCATAAAAAACTATTTCTTTGTAATTGCTGTGGTCAAAGAAAACCTTTTGTTTACCAAGATTTCTTCCATTATTTCTCCCCAAATTTCTGATGTCTACATTTAATTCTTCTTTCTAGTTGGAAGTTCATGAGGCTAAGCCTGTGCCAGAAAATCACCCACAGTGGGATACAGCAATAGAGGGGGATGAAGACCAGGAGGACAGTGAGGGCTTTGAAGATAGCTTTGAGGAAGAAGAGGAGGAAGAAGAAGATGATGACTAAGCAGTACTCTGAATGGACCACAGTGTTTGCACATATTTGCAATTTTTTGCTGTTTTGGAAGTGTATCATAAACCAGAAACAGTACAGAACTGATGTTGAGGGAGGTGTAGTTTTTTTACTCTTGAAATGGGTGCATAATATAACTAGGCAGTGGCGGTGCCTTGGTACAACCTGAAAAATGTTAAGGCTTATTGAAACCTTTCAAGTAGGGGATGGTACATTTATTTCATCTGCAAATGATAATAAATCCTTTGTTATTATAACTGTCCAGAAGTGTGGGCTATGTATTATCTGATCAGTCTATGGTCCCAGTAAAAGTAAAGATGCAGGAAACACAGTCTGTAAATGAGCGACTTTTCTTTGTTCAGCTTTAGTTTTAGCAAACACCACAAATATGTTTTAAGTAACATCGCTCAAGTTTAAGTAACATCGCTCAAGTTGATAATCTCTTGATAAGCTCTGTTGTTGACATTTTGCAGTGATACAACAGCTCCACTCATAGATTTAAACTTTTATTTTTACTTATCTTGGTCATAAGTTGGCATTCTCTCACATTCCACATGATATAGAGGGCTACGTTTTGGAATTTTCCTTTTCTTAATTGCCCAGAGTTATCAGACAGATTATAAAAATGGCTTTTAATGGCTTAAACCATTTCTAAACCTCTATCTTAGCAGATCAATGCAGGATCTAATTCTTTTGATAAGTTCTAGCTCTAAAAGTGATAGTGGGACTGTATGTTTTCTGATACTGGTGGCTTATGTTATTAAACCTTTTTTAAAAAAGGTTCACTCTAAAAGCTGAACTACATCCTTAGTTTTCAGTCTACTTGACTCTATCAGGAGCTTTTTAAGGAAAGTAAGTATAACATGCAAAGGAAGCTTTTTTTGTATTCATTTTGGACTCCTGTCAATAAAAATAGAAGTTTGTTGACTCGTTTTATGTTTCAATGGTGTGTGTCTTTTTACTATCAGGACATAAATAGGGCAATCCACTTCTTTATTTTTCAACTAAAGATTGAATAGTATTGTACATTACTGCTAAAGTGACTGCTATTTCTGTATACTGTAGAAAAACCCAGGAGTGAGAGGGATTTCCCCTCATAGTACAACTGGAAGGATAGTGCTTGTAAAGAGTAGAGATGTGTACATGATGAATCATTGAGGGAGGGTGGATATTTTTATTCCTAGATATGGAGGAAACATAAGTCTGTAGTATTATAAAACTGATTGTAATAATTCTTTCCTATCAAAATCTCCATAGGTCAAAATATTGTTGGAATACTAAAATTTGCAACCTTGTTTACTTTAAAAGGTTGCCACTTTCAGTGCAGAATACTACCGGCATCTTGTTACTGCAATAGTTGGAAATAAAATGTGAAAATTAGCAAAACCATGAATGGTTTTTTTGGTTCTAAATTTAAGATGTAATATTTCCTATAAAAGGGTGAAAGCAGTTTCTTTCTCTATAACCTCAATCACCAGTTTAGTGAGAGCCTTTCTTGGCAGGCAGGAGGCAGTGTCACTGAGGATTTTTTTCATTTACTTCATTGTACAAGTAGGAGGGTGGGTTTAATTTTCAAATCAGGTTCTGCTGTGAAGCACCAGTGTCTTGAGGCAGCTACTGATTACCTAAGTGTGGTGGCAGGGGGTAAGCCAGCTGGTGTCAAGTGAAAGGAGGGATTAGAGAAAACAGGTGTGGCACGAAGGCAAGGAAACTGAGCAGACAAGACAGAACAATGTGTAGAATGCATATTTCCTAGTTTTCTTGAAAGATTTCAAGAAAAGTTGTTTTTTTTTTTCTAGTGGCTACTTTGCCTTAAAGAGGCTTTATAAGTTCATTCACACAGCTGGCTTCTCTGGTTTTAAGATTCTGGAGAGGATGATAACCTAGTAACACCACAGTGCTTAAAAAAAAAAAAAAAAAAAAAACTACCATCACCAGAAAATTCCACCAGTTTGTTTTCCTTTTCTCTTTGTGTGATGTGTATGTACTTCCCAACTAAGTAAAATAAAATTTCCTCTAGTGAGTGCTTTAGGTAACCTCTTTCCATATGGCAGTAGTGAAAGAACTGAGCCTTCAGTTGATAGTTCTTCTCTCTCCAGCAAGTCGCTAAACTCCACATCCCTTCGTTTTTCCTCTGGAATGAGAATAACAAACTATCCTAGTTTGCATTTAATCTAATGGAAACTTGAGCAAAGTTTCAATTTTCTTCCTATAAAGAAACTGACATTTTGTCAACAATTGATGAGCCTATAGATCATACAGTGTATAGGAAGTGAAATTGAAACAGTTAAATTATGTGATATTTTTCTCTAATTGGTAAAGTACCTATTAAAATACAGCTGTTCATGAGGAGACTTACCACAATTCAAAGTGTAGCAGTTGTGTATTTTAGCATTATAATATTTGATTGAGGCCCTGAGGTGTTAATATCTCAATCTCAGAGTTAGATGTTCATGTCCTTTTTGAATTTTTTAAACATTTTTCATAATTTTTTTTTTAAGTTAGGGAGCACATTGAGTGAAGTTCTCTGTGTAGAACAATACCTTCTGCTCTGCTTCTCCCAGCTTTCACTGAGGGCTGGAAAAGGACAGGCCTGTCCAGCTGTACTGTCCCACTGTGTATGGGGAAGCTCAGGCTCTGGTGGAAGCAGGGGGCGTGGATGTCAAACAACTGATGTGGAAACAGGGAGGGAGAGATATAATGAGGCTCTCTAGGCATGTTATTTTTGACCACAAGTTTTGTTCAGTTTGCTTCAGCCAATCCAAACCATATACTAGAGTGTTCTGTAGTCACAATTCTTATTTCAAATGTAATTCAGCACCTTACATAATTTTTGAGAGGTTGTCATTCATCACATATTTACTGAGTTTCTATGTGCCAGGCTCTGTGACTGGATACTGGAGCTATCAAAATGAAAAAAATAGTGTTAAGAACTCACTCGCTGGTGTTAGAGCAGGTAGATGAGTGGCAATCCATTTAAATCCATTTGCCTTGGCTATTATTTGGAATGCCTTTTTTTTTTTTTAGTCTATCTACTGTAGGCAGAAGAATTATTTCTTTAGGGGCTAGCTGTTTATTTTGCTGGCCTTTTTTTCTCTCTTTCTCTTTTTCTTCTTAAGACGGAGTCTCGCTCTGTCCTCCAGGCTGGAGGAGTGCAGTGGCACGATCTCAGCTCACTGCAACCTCCGCCTCCCAGCTTCAAGCGATTCTTCTGCCTCAGCCTCCTGAGTAGCTGGGACTGCAGGTGCATGCCACCACACCCAGCTAATTTTTTAATTTTTAGTAGAGATGGGATTTTGCCACGTTGTCCAGCCTGGTCTCGAACTCCTGGCCTCAAGTGATCAGCCCTCCTCAGCCTCCCAAAGTGCTGGCATTACAGGCATGAGCCACTGCGCCCAGCCTGTTGGGTTTTTTTGGAAAAAAAACAAAAACAACAAATCATCATCCTTTCCTTTAAAATGTTTTTTTTTTTTTAAGAAACAATTTTCCCACAAACGGTCTGATTTAACTCCATGAAATCCTCTATTTAGACTGCCTTAAAGTGAAATAACTGTTGGTGAACCATAACATTTTGCCAGCTGTGTAGTGATTAGTCCAAATATGTCTCAAGAAGTTAGCACCAAGCATTCTCATCCATTTAAACTTGATGCTAGGGCTATTTTGCAAAACTTAAAAAGATGCGATCTTGTACATATTTCTGTAACCTGAGCTGAAAACCCAAATAACAATCATTGACATACTTTAGGGCTATTGTTTCAGGTGGGGGTGTATACATCCCAGGGGCGTGGAGATGATCAATCCATTGAGGAAGTATTAAGATGATTATTTGTATTTAATCTCATCCTTTTAAATTTCTATTTTTGTGTGTTTTATAATGTACATAATATATTGTACAATTGTACACTTCTATTATTTATAAATAAACATTTATTGGTGCATTAATTTTTTTTTTTCTGATTTGGGTCCATGATCAAAACATTTGGGCACCACTGCTTTGTGGTATTGATAGGGTGACATTTGACACTCACCACCTGAGATCACAGAGTGATATACTCTGGAGTTGGTGGGTTGGCATTCACTGTGTGCAGCCCTACTGTAGCTGCCAAGAGCAAAGTGAGACTTTTATGAGATAGAGCTGAGTAGGTCTGGAGGTGGGATTGATAGGCAAGGGGAGGGTTCTGCACAACGGTTGTCTGTGGAGTGCAGGTGGTGCAGGTATGGAGCAGCAGTGCTGGGGACGACTTGCTGGGACTTTGAGCAAATCACAGCCTGTTGCTGGTCCTGGCAATCAGTGACTGCTGCAAATGGAAGGTGAGTGTGGGAAGGACTGGCCACTCTGTTCAGCACGAGGTTGTTTAGCGTTAACCTATCAGCCTGGGTACACAAAGGGAGCTGTAGCCCTCATACCTTACCCGAAACACCTGAGGTTTACACTTTAACATCTGGATAATAGCAGCAATGGACTTCAGTGTGAACAGATTCCATTAAGAGTTAACTTCAAGCTATTTCTCTGTATTTTCCAGCCTCGTTCCAGTAGAGGGCGATAGGGCTGTAATTTTCTTTAACAAAGAATGGTGTGTTTCGTTTCAGACTAAAAGCCACGATTAAAGAAATGCTTTGTAATTTATTTGTATCTGCACCTTCTGGGATTTCCTCCCTCTCTTTTGATCTTTTATGTTTCCCCCTAACCTTTTTCTTCTTTACATGTGTCCTTTGTTATTTATTTATTATTTTTTTAGAGGCAGGGTCGTGCTCTATCGCTCAGGCTGGAGTACAGTGGTGCAATCATAGCTCACTGCAGCCTCAACTCCTGGGATCAAGTGATTCTCCTATGTCAGCCCCCTCCGAAGTAGCTGGGACCACGGGCACTAACCTGGCTCATTGTATTTATTTATTTAGAGACAGGGGTCTTGCTATGTTGCCCAGGCTGGCCTCGAACTCCTAACTTCAACCCTTGGCCACCCAAAGTATTGGCACTATAGGCATGAACCACCGCACCTGGCTGTGTGTCCTTTAACCCATTAAATTTACTGTCTAGAAACATTAAGTCCCTTTGCAACCAACTCCAAAAGACAATCCATATGTATTCATTGTGCTGGAATTCCAAATTGCATTTGTTTGCTTGAGAGAGGTGGACAATCAAATAGGACATGGTAATTCCTTAACTCTACAAAATCTAACCTGTTTGCCTGATAGGTGTCAACTATTAAGAGTCCAGAGTTTTTACATGCAAGCTAACAAGTTAACCTGCCAGTGTCATGGATGCCGACAAAACACAGAAGACTCCAAAGACACAGGCACAGCAGGTGGCATGAGCTTCATGTTCCCCATCTGTTCCTGTTGTCTTCCAAGTTCCCACGGAGGCGATGTGGAGTGGCCAGGCAGATGCTGTTCATATCACAGCTGAGGAACTCCAAGCTTGGGAGACCTAACCCTGTCAAGCCTGCAAGCAACCCTGTCTTGATCTTATCCTGGACAGCAAACAAACTCACCCTCTTTCTGGGAGGGAGACACTGCCTTCCAAGGCTGTTTGCCATACAGACACCCTTGAAAAGATAGTCTAGAACAAAAGCCTGTGTGCCTTTGATCACAGGTGTGCAGAGACATGAGAGACTCATGGAAAACTGTCTCTCAACAGCTGGAATTCAATACATATAGGACCTGTATTTACAAAGAGATATTATAGAACACTGATTTTCAAAGGGAATGAGGTCTATTTTGTGAAAACTAGGACCACTTAGGCAGTTTCCTTGAGAATAATATACATTTAAACTCCTTGGAAATGTTTTATTGTCAAAGATAGTTTTATTGTCAAAGATAGTTTTATGTTGCAACTGAAGATAATTTACTTACCCGTGCACCAACTAAAAAATATCCAGAATTTTCTAAGTTGAATCCAGTCCATTGTGACAGTGCAAAACAGGGTATCTACAAGAAGGAACACTATACCTATTCTACATGGTAACCATAAGAGATTTTGATTATCGCTTTCTGCACTCCTTCCCCAAACCTTCCACCCCTCCCCACAAAATACAAAACCCATACCCTTCCTTTCTGGACAAACTGAACATTTTCCTCCAAGGAAGTCTGGTTCCTTGTAGAATAGTTGCCATTTCTTTAGTGTTCTTTTTCCAATATGCTGCCCAAACTTAGGGAGGCCTTAGACCTTTGGTTGAAATAACTGAGGAATCTTTGAAATACTATTTTGAACAGTCTTCCTGGTAGGTAGTTGTCCTTTGGGGGGAGATGTGTTTTAAACTACAAAAGTTCATTTAGAAATGATACACAGTAGGGGGGATCCAATTCATTGATGGGTATTTTGATTAAAAAAGTAAGGCACGTGACAAAAATTCAATGAGAGACTTAAAAAATCCTTATCTTCCAACCAGGTCTGACGATTCCCAAGCAGACATCGTCATTCAGTAGTGTTCGTGGGATCGTGGTAAACTCCCTCATTCATATGCATTAGCCTGCTTCTGTATCTTTGTCCAATTAGTCTGTGTGCTTTATAATCACATCCAACGTTTCTGCAGCTTTTTTATTTCCCAATTCTCTGCCAGGTTCTTGGGACTCCAGTCATTGGCTAGGCTCTATGTCACTTTCCAAGTTCCTCCCAAAGCTTACTGTTCCTCTTCTTGACCTGACAGCATCTATTAAACAGGGAGAGAGCCAGGAGAGGTGGCTCAAGTTGAAAGATGGCAAGGCACCCCCTTTCAAGTATCTTAGAGTCACTGCTCTTCCTGCAGCCAGCTCCTGGTTCAGAACTCAGTAGTCACTCTTTTTCCCACGATCCCAATAAAATCTTGCCCCACCTACCCATCCCTACTCACAAAACACTGATCTGGGTCTATTATCATGGAAATTATAAAGATTAATGTGATTAGCAGCAAAGTGCTTTTGAGAATGGGGGATGAAACTGTAGTGTTATGATCCTCAGCATTATTTCTTTATACACTGAAAACCCCCACATCTTTCAAGTCTGCTGACTTAATGACAGGGTATCGCACTAAATGTCAGGAGTGACACTTCAGGAATAGCACACTGTAGACACAGTTTATGTTCGATAATACTAAAACTGGGTTTTGAGTAGAATTTTGAATGTTTCAGTGTGTTAAAAGGAGTTCTTTTTAGAGTGAGAAATCTTAAAAAAAAAACAAAAAACAAGCCTTTCTCTATGTCACTCAGTATGATTTCTAAAGTTTTCCTTGCATTTGCATCTGATTGAACCAAGTCCCTCCTCCCTAATCCCCTCCACAGCCTAATAGAAGCAGAGCTGGAACGTAGGGATAGAAACAAAACCCCTGACTTTAGTCTTGAGTATGCTACCCATGGAGGTCGACTACATGGGGTAGACTACTGCCTCCATGGGCAACATTATCATGGGAAAGGAATGAAAGCATGTATGTAAGTGCTGCATACTTGTATTTATGGGGCACCCATGCTACAGCTCTGATTTGGAGCAAATTGCATTCCCTGTTGTGCCCACAGAGGGTCAGACATTGATACGAAGGGGGGATAGAGAAACAAAGAACCAGAGACGAGGAGTGACTTGGCACTGCTGGTGAACTGGAGCTGGGACCCTGGGGTCTTGGATCTTCCCCTGCAGCGTGCTGCACCCTGTTCCACAACCCTCATTCTCCATCTTTCCATTTTGGAAGGTCAGGAAGG
This sequence comes from Homo sapiens, assembly GCF_000001405.40. Classification (NCBI taxonomy): domain Eukaryota; kingdom Metazoa; phylum Chordata; class Mammalia; order Primates; family Hominidae; genus Homo; species Homo sapiens. Next base: position 107,864,029 of record NC_000006.12, on the reverse strand, counting down.
AAACCAACACACACACACACACACACACACACACACACACACACACACACACACACACGCAGCCCTTATTAAAGTGGAAGCTGGCCAGATCAGGTCTAGTGTGACCACCTGCTCTATCATAGCCCACCACAGCCACTAATGTTCTTGGAGAATGGGCCCATGGTTATACTTGAGTCAGATCCCTCCCTCTATCTCAGAACCCCCATGCTGTGTTGAAATGAGATCCCATTGTGCCAAGATATGTGGGCTTCCAGGTTAGGTGACTTCATCTTAGCCAAAAGGGTGAAGGGGGACCAGGCATGGTGGCATGCACCTATAGTTCCAGCACTTTGGGAGGCTGAGGTGGGAGGATCACTTGAGCCCAGGAGGTCGAGGCTCCCATGAGCTGTGTTTGCACCACTGCACTGCAGCCTGGACAACAGAGCTAGACTCTGTCTTTAACACACACACACACACACGCGCGCGCGCGCAAAGGGACCTTTAAGATCCATCCCAATCTAAAGTGGTGCAGCTTATGCTTGCTGAAGAAAAGTGATTCAAAGTGTTACAGTTCTAGGTAACTGCCTTGACAGAAGCAATACATTCTTCCCCAGCCTTGAATGTGATTACCTAGAGGTAGAGCAGGGCTTGATCCCCTGGGTGTCCAATCTTTGACCTTACGAGGCCAAGATGGTGGCATAGACTGCCCAGTCTGTCTTCCTTGCATCTATTCACCCTCTTTTTTCTACTGAGTGGGGATTCTAAAGGATCTATTTGAGGTTCTAATTCTAAACCTTAGCAGGCTTCTCACTGGGCCAAATATGTGTTTCTTGGAGAATTTCTTTGATTGTATTTAAATATTACTTTTTACGTCAGGACTGAGGGCGGAAGCTGAGGGAAAATGAAGACATCCGTTCTGTGAAGAATGGATTTCTAGAAATGACTATTAGGTTTAACTTCGAGCACTCTAAAATTTCTTCTTGCAAATCTTTTCTGCTGCCTTCCAGTTACTAAAATGCATCCCAGCAATATAGCAACACACAATAAGATGAAAACACTTTGGAATTTTCCAGGACAGTGCTTACAGCCTGCCTGAATTTTTTGCATTTGCTTCTGTTTCCCACCAGTGTGGGAACTCTGAAAGTTGCTGAAGTCTAACTCGCTGGATGGCATATATTTATTGAATTGAAATTTGAGCAGGCATTCTGAGCTAGCAGAATGAATATTTGAAGGTTAGATTCCTCCTATTGCTGCCAATAAGCCTTTCCCATTCAGTCTAAATAGTCTACTATTTATTCACATGTGCACCCATGGTGGAAGAGTTGATGGACAAGGACTTCATTACAGTTACTTCTTGGATGTCACCTCTGGAGACAGAAATTTGCTGGGAAGTGCTCTTATCCTAAGAACAGGCAAAGTTTCTGCTTCAAAGAGCAACTGGATCATTGCCCAGTGTCTGGGGTATAACCTGTGGCTTTCTGCCTGGGCAAGGCAACCTAGCCTAGTGACCCAGTTGGCATCATGATAATTTCTCCAGCCTACTGTGTGCAAGTCATCCAACACCTCTGAAGCTGAAATCCCTGACCCCTGAGAGCCAGCATATCTCTGCTGCTGAGCAATTAAGGATGATACAGAGCTGGGGCAGGGTGGGGGAGGAGCCTGTGGTACAGGTGAACACTTGTGCTCAAATTAGCATATAAACCACAGCAAAATTCAGGGATATTGGTGAAAGAACTGATGGTCTTTCTCTGATTTCTCTAAACCTAGAGGACCATTTACAGACAGCATTTTTGCTGTGAGACCACAGACCCACTCCAGCATGACTAGATTCCTGCTGATTGCAGAAAAATCAACCTGAAGTTAATATTCTTAGGCCTTTTTATTTGGCCCATCTAAGTGGGATTAAAAGAGAATGAGAATTAATAAAACCAATATATAAAAAATACAAAGTGAACATAATGGTCAATGGTGAAAGACTGAGAGCTTTTTCTCTAAGGTCAGGAACAAGGCAAGGATGCCCACTTTCACCATTTCTATTCAACATAGTACTGGAAATTCTAGCCAGAGCAATTAGGTGAGAAAAAGAAAGAAATGGCATCCAAGTTGGAAAGAGAGAAGTAAATTATCTCTGTTCACAGATGTTATCACCTTATGTGCAGAAAAACCTAATGATTCCACACACAAAAAGAAAAAACTGTTAGACCCAATACATGATTCAGCAAAGTAGCAGGATACAAAGTCAACACATAAAAATTCAGTTGCATTTCTATACATTAACAATGAAAATCTGAAAAGGAAATTACAAAAATTATTGATATGGTTTGGCTGTGTCCCCACCCAAATCTCATCTTGAATTGTAGCTCCCATAATTCCCACGTGTTGTAGGAAGGACCCAGTGGAAGATAATTGAATCATGGGGGCAGTTTCCCCTATCCTGTTCTTGTGATAGTGAGTAAGTCTCATGAGATCTGATGGTTTTATAAGAGATTTCCTCTTTCTCTTGGCTCTCATTCTCTCTTGCCTGCTGCCATGTAAGATGTGCCTTTCACCTTCCACCATGATTGTGAGGCCTCCCCAGCCACGTGGAACTGTGAGTCCATTAAACCTCTTTTTCCTCAAAATTAAACCTCTTTTTCTGTAAAAATTACCCAGTCTCAGGTATGTCTTTACTAGCAGCATGGAAATGGACTAACGTGATTATATTTACAGTAACATCAAAAAGAATGGTGGGTGGATCACTTGAGGTCAGGAGCTTGAGACCAGCCTGGCCAATATGGTGAAACCCCATCTCTATTAAAAATACAAAAATTAGCCGGATGTGGTCGTGGGCACCTGTAATGCCAGCTACTTGGGGGACTGAGGCAGGAGAATTGCTTGAACGCAGGAGATGGAGGTTGCAGTGAGCCAAGATTGTGCCACTGCACTCCAGCCTGGGCAATAGAGCAAGACCCTATCTAAAAAAAAAAATAATAATAATAAAAAAAGAATAAAATACTTAGGAATCAATCAAAGAGGTGAAATACTTATACAATGAAATCTACAAAACATTGCTGAAAAAAATTGGGTTGAAAGACAAAATTATTAAGATGTCAATACTATCAAAAGTAATCTACATATTCAATGCAATCCCTATCAAAATCTAGTAACCTTTTTGTAGGAGTAGAAAAAATCATCTTAAAATTCATATGGAATTTCAAGGAACCCTGAACAGCCAAAACAATCTTGAAAATGAAGAACAAAGCTGGGGGATTCACGTTCCTGATTTCAAAACGAAATACAAAGCTACATAATAAAAACAGAGTGGGCCAAGATGGCCGAATAGGAACAGCTCCGGTCTACAGCTCCCAGCCTGAGTGACGCAGAAGACGGGTGATTTCTGCATTTCCATCTGAGGTACCGGGTTCATCTCACTAGGGAGTGCCAGACAGTGGGCACAGGTCAGTGGGTGCGCGCACCGTGCACGAGCCAAAGCAGGGCGAGGCATTGCCTCACTCGGGAAGCGCAAGGGGTCAGGGAGTTCCCTTTCCTAATCAAAGAAAGGGGTGACGGACAGCACCTGGAAAATCGGGAAAATCGGGTCACTCCCACCCGAATACTGCGCTTTTCCGACCGGCTTAAAAAACGGCGCACCACGAGATTATATCCCCCACCAGGCTCGGAGGGTCCTACCCCACGGAGTCTCGCTGATTGCTAGCACAGCAGTCTGAGATCAAACAGCAAGGCGGCAGCCAGGCACGGGGAGGGGCGCCCACCATTGCCCAGGCCTGCTTAGGTAAACAAAGCAGCCGGGAAGCTCGAACTGGGTGGAGCCCACCACAGCTCAAGGAGGCCTGCATGCCTCTGTAGGCTCCACCTCTGGGGGCAGGGCACAGACAAACAAAAAGACAGCAGTAACTTCTGCAGACTTAAATGTCCCTGTCTGACAGCTTTGAAGAGAGCAGTGGTTCTCCCAGTACGCAGCTGGAGATCTGAGAACGGGCAGACTGCCTTCTCAAGTGGGTCCCTGACCCCTGACCCCCGAGCAGCCTAACTGGGAGGCACTCTCCAGCAGGGGCACACTGACACCTCACACTGCAGGGTACTCCAACAGACCTGCAGCTGAGGGTCCTGTCTGTTAGAAGGAAAACTAACAAACAGAAAGGACATCCACACCAAAAACCCATCTGTACATCACCATCATCAAAGACCAAAAGTAGATAAAACCACAAAGATGGGGAAAAAACAGAACAGAAAAACTGGAAACTCTAAAAATCAGAGCGCCTCTCCTCCTCCAAAGGAACGCAGCTCCTCACCAGCAACGGAACAAAGCTGGACGGAGAATGACTTTGACGAGCTGAGAGAAGAAGGCTTCAGACGATCAAATTACTCTGAGCTACGGGAGGACATTCAAACCAAAGGCAAAGAAGTTGAAAACTTTGAAAAAAATTTAGAAGAATGTATAACTAGAATAACCAATACAGAGAAGTGCTTAAAGGAGCTGATGGAGCTGAAAACCAAGGCTCGAGAACTATGTGAAGAATGCAGAAACCTCAGGAGCCGATGTGATCAACTGGAAGAAAGGGTATCAGCAGTGGACGATGAAATGAATGAAATGAAGCGAGAAGGAAAGTTTAGAGAAAAAAGAATAAAAAGAAACGAGCAAAGCCTCCAAGAAATATGGGACTATGTGAAAAGACCAAATCTACGTCTGATTGGTGTACCTGAAAGTGATGGGGAGAATGGAACCAAGTTGGAAAACACTCTGCAGGATATTATCCAGGAGAATTTCCCCAATCTAGCAAGGCAGGCCAACGTTCAGATTCAGGAAATACACAGAACGCCACAAAGATACTCCTCGAGAAGAGCAACTCCAAGACACATAATTGTCAGATTCACCAAAGTTGAAATGAAGGAAAAAATGTTAAGGGCAGCCAGAGAGAAAGGTCGGGTTACCCACAAAGGGAAGCCCATCAGACTAACAGCGGATCTCTCGGCAGAAACCCTACAAGCCAGAAGAGAGTGGGGGCCAATATTCAACATTCTTAAAGAAAAGAATTTTCAACCCAGAATTTCATATCCAGCCAAACTAAGCTTCAAAAGTGAAGGAGAAATAAAATCCTTTACAGACAAGCAAATGCTGAGAGATTTTGTCACCACCAGGCCTGCCCTAAAAGAGCTCCTGAAGGAAGCGCTAAAATGGAAAGGAACAACTGGTACCAGCCGCTGCAAAATCATGCCCAAATGTAAAGACAATCGAGACTAGGAAGAAACTGCATCAACTAACGAGCAAAATAACCAGCTAACATCATAATGACAGGATCAAATTCACACATAACACTATTAACTTTAAATGTAAATGGACTAAATGCTCCAATTAAAAGACACAGACTGGCAAATTGGATAAAGAGTCAAGACCCATCAGTGTGCTGTATTCAGGAAACCCATCTCACGTGCAGAGACACACATAGGCTCAAAATAAAAGGATGGAGGAAGATCTACCAAGCAAATGGAAAACAAAAAAAGGCAGGGGTTGCAATCCTAGTCTCTGATAAAACAGACTTTAAACCAACAAAGATCAAAAGAGACAAAGAAGGTCATTACATAATGGTAAAGGGATCAATTCAAAAAGAAGAGCTAACTATCCTAAATATATATGCACCCAATACAGGAGCACCCAGATTCATAAAGCAAGTCCTGAGTGACCTACAAAGAGACTTAGACTCCCACACATTAATAATGGGAGACTTTAACACCCCACTGTCAACATTAGACAGATCAACGAGACAGAAAGTCAACAAGGATACCCAGGAATTGAACTCAGCTCTGCACCAAGTGGACCTAATAGACATCTACAGAACTCTCCACCCCAAATCAACAGAATATACATTTTTTTCAGCACCACACCACACCTATTCCAAAATTGACCACATAGTTGGAAGTAAAGCTCTCCTCAGCAAATGTAAAAGAACAGAAATTATAACAAACTATCTCTCAGACCACAGTGCGATCAAACTAGAACTCAGGATTAAGAATCTCACTCAAAACCGCTCAACTACATGGAAACTGAACAACCTGCTCCTGAATGACTACTGGGTACATAACGAAATGAAGGCAGAAATAAAGATGTTCTTTGAAACCAACGAGAACAAAGACACAACATACCAGAATCTCTGGGACGCATTCAAAGCAGTGTGTAGAGGGAAATTTATACCACTAAATGCCCACAAGAGAAAGCAGGAAAGATCCAAAATTGACACCCTAACATCACAATTAAAAGAATTAGAAAAGCAAGAGCAAACACATTCAAAAGCTAGCAGAAGGCAAGAAATAACTAAAATCAGAGCAGAACTGAAGGAAATAGAGACACAAAAAACACTTCAAAAAATTAATGAATCCAGGAGCTGGTTTTCTGAAAGGATCAACAAAATTGATAGACCGCTAGCAAGACTAATAAAGAAAAAAAGAGAGAAGAATCAAACGGACGCAATAAAAAATGATAAAGGGGATATCACCACCGATCCCACAGAAATACAAACTACCATCAGAGAATACTACAAACACCTCTACGCAAATAAACTAGAAAATCTAGAAGAAATGGATAAATTCCTTGACACATACACTCTCCTAAGACTAAACCAGGAAGAAGTTGAATCTCTGAATAGACCAATAACAGGATCTGAAATTGTGGCAATAATCAATAGCTTACCAACCAAAAAGAGTCCAGAACCAGATGGATTCACAGCCGAATTCTACCAGAGGTACAAGGAGGAACTGGTACCATTCCTTCTGAAACTATTCCAATCAATAGAAAAAGAGGGAATCCTCCCTAACTCATTTTATGAGGCCAGCATCATTCTGATACCAAAGCCGGGCAGAGACACAACCAAAGAAGAGAATTTTAGACCAATATCCTTGATGAACATTGATGCAAAAATCCTCAATAAAATACTGGCAAACCGAATCCAGCAGCACATCAAAAAGCTTATCCACCATGATCAAGTGGGCTTCATCCCTGGGATGCAAGGCTGGTTCAATATACGCAAATCAATAAATGTAATCCAGCATATAAACAGAGCCAAAGACAAAAACCACATGATTATCTCAATAGATGCAGGAAAGGCCTTTGACAAAATTCAACAACCGTTCATGCTAAAAACTCTCAATAAATTAGGTATTGATGGGACATATTTCAAAATAATAAGAGCTATCTATGACAAACCCACAGCCAATATCATACTGAATGGGCAAAAACTGGAAGCATTCCCTTTGAAAACTGGCACAAGACAGGGATGCCCTCTCTCACCACTTCTATTCAACATAGTGTTGGAAGTTCTGGCCAGGGCAATTAGGCAGGAGAAGGAAATAAAGGGTATTCAATTAGGAAAAGAGGAAGTCAAATTGTCCCTGTTTGCAGATGACATGATTGTATATCTAGAAAACCCCATTTTCTCAGCCCAAAATCTCCTTAAGCTGATAAGCAACTTCAGCAAAGTCTCAGGATACAAAATCAATGTACAAAAATCACAAGCATTCCTATACACCAACAACAGAGAAACAGAGAGCCAAATCATGAGTGAACTCCCATTCACAATTGCTTCAAAGAGAATAAAATACCTAGGAATCCAACTTACAAGGGATGTGAAGGACCTCTTCAAGGAGAACTACAAACCACTGCTCAAGGAAATAAAAGAGGATACAAACAAATGGAAGAACATTCCATGCTCATGGGTAGGAAGAATCAATATCGTGAAAATGGCCATACTGCCCAAGGTAATTTACAGATTCAATGCCATCCCCATCAAGCTACCAATGCCTTTCTTCACAGAATTGGAAAAAACTACTTTAAAGTTCATATGGAACCAAAAAAGAGCCCGCATCGCCAAGTCAATCCTAAACCAAAAGAACAAAGCTGGAGGCATCACACTACCTGACTTCAAACTATACTACAAGGCTACAGTAACCAAAACAGCATGGTACTGGTACCAAAACAGAGATATAGATCAATGGAACAGAACAGAGCCCTCAGAAATAACGCCACATATCTACAACTATCTGATCTTTGAGAAACCTGACAAAAACAAGAAATGGGGAAAGGATTCCCTATTTCATAAATGGTGCTGGGAAAACTGGCTAGCCATATGTAGAAAGCTGAAACTGGATCCCTACCTTACAACTTATACAAAAATCAATTCAAGATGGATTAAAGACTTAAACGTTAGACCTAAAACCATAAAAACCCTAGAAGAAAATCTAGGCATTACCATTCAGGACATAGGCATGGGCAAGGACTTCATGTCTAAAACACCAAAAGCAATGGCAACAAAAGCCAAAATTGACAAATGGGATCTAATTAAACTAAAGAGCTTCTGCACAGCAAAAGAAACTACCATCAGAGTGAACAGGCAACCTACAAAATGGGAGAAAATTTTTGCAACCTACTCATCTGACAAAGGGCTAATATCCAGAATCTACAATGAACTCAAACAAATTTACAAGAAAAAAACAAACAACCCCATCAAAGAGTGGGTGAAGGACATGAACAGACACTTCTCAACAGAAGATATTTATGCAGCCAAAAAACACATGAAAAAATGCTCACCATCACTGGCCATCAGAGAAATGCAAATCAAAACCACAATGAGATACCATCTCACACCAGTTAGAATGGCAATCATTAAAAAGTCAGGAAACAACAGGTGCTGGAGAGGATGTGGAGAAATAGGAACACTTTTACACTGTTGGTGGGACTGTAAACTAGTTCAACCATTGTGGAAGTCAGCGTGGCGATTCCTCAGGGATCTAGAACTGGAAATACCATTTGACCCAGCCATCCCATTACTGGGTATATACCCAAAGGATTATAAATCATGCTGGTATAAAGACACATGCACACGTATGTTTATTGCAGCATTATTCACAATAGCAAAGACTTGGAACCAACCCAAATGTCCAACAATGATAGACTGGATTAAGAAAATGTGGCACATATACACCATGGAATACTATGCAGCCATAAAAAATGATGAGTTCATGTCCTTTGTAGGGACATGGATGAAATTGGAAACCATCATTCTCAGTAAACTATCGCAAGAACAAAAAACCAAACACCGCATATTCTCACTCATAGGTGGGAATTGAACAATGAGATCACATGGACACAGGAAGGGGAATATCACACTCTGGGGACTGTTGTGGGGTGGGGGGAGGGGGGAGGGATAGCATTGGGATATATACCTAATGCTAGATGACGAGTTAGTGGGTGCAGCACACCAGCATGGCACATGTATACGTATGTAACTAACCTGCACAATGTGCACATGTACGCTAAAACTTAAAGTATAATAATAAAAAAATAAATTAAAAAAAAAAAAGAAAGTGAAAAAAAAAAAACCAACAAAAAAAAAACAGTGTGGTGCCGGTATAAAGACAGACATATAGACTGATGGAATAGAATAGAGAGCCCAGAAATACACCTTACATATATGGTAAAATATTTTTTTCACAAGGGTGCCTAGATCATTCAACGGAGAATGACAGTCTTTTTAACAAATGGTGCTGGCAAAACTGGATATTTGCATGCAAAAGAATGAAGGTAGACCATTACCTCAGACCACATACAGAAATTAACTCAAAAGTATCAAAGACCTGAATGAAAGACCTAAAACTATAACACTCTTAGAAGAAAACATAGGGCAAAAGTTTTATGACATTGGATTTGACAATTATTTCTTGGATACAACATAAAAAGCATGAGCAATAAAATAAAAAATAGACTGGACTTCATGAAAATTAAAAAAATTTGTGCATTAAAAGACACTATCAACAGAATAAAAAGGCAACCCATAGAATGGGTGAAAATATTTGCAAATCACTTATCTGATAAAAGATTACTATCCAGAATATTTAGTGAACTCCTAAAACTCAACACAATAACAACAACAACAAACCCACCTGATTAAAAAATGGGTAAAGGACTCGAATAGAAATTTCTCCAAAGAAGATATACAAATGACCAATAAGCAAATGAAAAGATGCTCAACATCACTAATAATTATGGAAATACAAATCAAAATCACAATGAGATAACATCTCACACCCAATACGATGGCTACTACCAAAAAAAAAAAAAAAACCCAGAAAATAACAGGTATTCATGACAATGTGGAAAAACTGGAACTTTTGTGAAATATTACTGGAAATGTAAAATGGTGTGCCTGCTTTAGAAAGTAGTATGGTGGTTCCTCAAAAAATTAAAATTAGAGGTACCGTAGGATATATGGTCCAGCAACTCTACTTCTGAGTATATACCCAAAAGAACTAAAAGCAGGGTCTCAAAGAGATATGTGTATACCTGTTTATATCAGCATTATTTACAATAGCTAAAATGCGGAGCAACCTAAGTGTCCATCGATAGATGAATAAATAAAACAAAACGTGATATAGATATACAATGCAATATTATTCATCCTTAAAAAGGAAAGAAATTATGATACATGCTAAAACACAGATGAACCTTGAGGACATTATGCTAAACATTATGTTAAGTGAATACACCAGTCACAAAGAGACAAATACTGTATGATCCCACTTACATGAGGTACTCAGAGTAGTCAAATTCATAGAGAGAAAACAGAATGGTGGTTGCTGGGATGGGAGGAGGAATGGGGCGTTAGTGTTTAACTGGTGTAGAGTTTCAGTTTCACAAGATGAAAAGAGTTCTGGAAGTGGATGTGGTGATGATTGCACGTTATGAATGTATTTAATACCACTGAACTGTACTTATTTATTTATTTATTTAATTTTGAGACCGAGTTTTGCTCTTGTTGTCCAGGCTGGAGTGCAATGGTGCAATCTCGGCTCACTGCAACCTCTGCCTCCCAAGTTCAAGTGATTCTCCTGCCTCAGCCTCCCAAGTAGCTGGGATTACAGGCACGCACCACCATACTTGGCTAATTCTTGTATTTTTAGTAGAGATGGGGTTTCATCATGTTGGCCAGGCTGGTCTTGAACTCCTGACGTCAAGTGATCTGCCCGCCTCGGCCTCCCAAAGTGCTGGGATTACAGGCGTGAGCCACCGCGCCAGGCCTGAACTGTACTCTTAAACCCAGTTAAGATGGTGAATTTTATGTTGTGTGTATTTTACCACACTTTTAAAAATTGGGGAAAAAAACCAATGGGTATTGGACTGTGTGGTATTGGGACAAAAACAGATAGGCCAATGATATAGAATGGAAATCCAGAAACAGACCCACATATGTGGGCAGACTCACACTTGATGTACGGGACGAGTTGGCATTACAGCACCATGGGGAAAGAAGGCATTTTCGAAATATAGTGCTGGGGCAATAGCATATCCAATTGGGAAAAAAATGTTACATGGTCCCAGCCTCACGCCTTATGAAACAATTAATTCCAGGTGGTGTATAAATGTAAATCTGAAAGGCAAAACAATAAAAGCTTTTAGAATATAATATAGGAGAATACATTCATAACCTTAGGATAGGAAAATATTTCTTAAACAGGATACAAAGAACGTATATAGAAAAGAAATAAATTGATAAATTGAATTACATCTAAATGAAGACCTTTTGTTCTTCAAAGACACAATAAAGAAATTAACAAGGCAAGACACATAGTGAGAGAAGATATTTGCCACACATGTAATTGACAAAGGACTTGTATCCACACTAAACAAAAAGCAGCAAATTGGTAAGAAAAAAACTAGACAACCCCACAGGAAGACGGGCAATAGGCCTTTTTTTCAAAAAGGCACTTCACACCGCAGATGGATTTCTTCAGAAGCAGACCCTGGAAAGGAGTTTGCGGTGCAAGATGTTTATTAGGAATCAAGATGTTTATTGTGAACAAAGAGGGAAGAAGCAGGATGGAGCAGAGAAAGGAGTTGAACTGCGATGTAGCCTAGCACAGCTTGGGCCAACCTGGTGGGGCTTGGGAGTGGAATTGCTTATCAATCCGCCCCATTCAGGCTGAACGGCTGTGCTTTGGCCTTCCCTTGCTCATTCAACACTCAGTCATACTCAGGAAGAGCATGACCTTGGACAAGGTGGTTCTCTGCTGTTCGGGCAGAACCTGAAGGAGCTGGTGACCGTCTGCAAACCACACTCCCCACAGCTGGGCTGCAAGTCCTTGCTGGAAGGAAGACTTGAACGCCCTAGCTCCACGTCTACTGCATGTCCCAAGACAGCATATCCTAATGGCCAAGAAATACATGAAAAGCTGTTCAAGCTCTTTATCCATCAGGGACACGCAAATTGAAGCCACGATGAGCTATTAATTCAAGCTCACCAGAATGGCTGAAGTTAAAGGGATGGACCATATCAAGTGGAATTGAGAACATGTAACAACTGGAAATCTCATATATTCCTGGAGGGTGTGTACATTTGTGGATCACTTTGTAAAACAGTTTGCCGTTAGTTACACTTCTAGATATTTACCCGAAAGAAATGCGTGCACGTATGCACCAATAGACATGAACAAGAATGTTCACAGAAGCTCTATCACAATAGCCCTAAACTAGAAACAGCCTAAATGTTTACCACTAAAAGAATGGGTACATTTTTCTGTGTTTATCCAAGGGTTGTGGTAGGCAGCCTTTCAGATGATTCCTGCCTCCTGGTGCTCACATCTTCATGTGGTTCCCTCCCATGTGGGCCAGGGTTCTCCTACGTGACCAGTGGCTTGTGGGCAGCAGTGATGCTGTGCCACGTGACAGGCAACGTGACATTACAGCTTCCATCTTGGGAGCTCTGTCACTCACACTCTGTCTCTTGGCTTATTTGCTCTGGGGAATCTATGTCATGAGCAGCCCTATGGAGAGGCCCAAGTAGTGAGGAACCCAAGTCTGTCAACAGGCTTGGGAGTGAGTTTGGAAGAGGCTCCTTTAGCCCCAGTTAAGTCTTCAGAGACGACAGCCTCAGGCAGCAGCTTTGCTGCAACTGCATGAGAGGACCCTGGGCCAGAGCACCCAGCTAAGCCACTCTCAGATTCCTGACTTTCAGAACGTATGTGAAATAATAAACGTTAGTCTAAAGCTGCTATGTTTTGGGGTAATACATTATGCAGCAGTGGATAAATAATGCATTAAGATTCCACAAAGTACTGGCCGGGCATGGTGGCTGATGCCTGTAATCCCAGCACTTTGGGAAGCCAAGGGGGTGGGGTGGGGGTGGGGGGTGGATCACAAAGTCAGGAGTTCGAGACCAGCCTGGCCAACATGGTGAAACCCCATCTCTACTAAAAATACAAAAATTAGCCGGGCCTGGTGGCGGGGGCCTGTAGTCCCAGCTACTCGGGAGGCTGAGGCAGGAAAAATCGCTTGAACCCGGGAGGCGGAGGTTGCAGTGAGCCAAGATCGTGCCATTGCACTCCAGCCTGGGTGACAGAGCGAGACTCCGTCTCAAAACAAAACAACAACAACAGCAACAACAACAACAAAAAGATTCTACAATTTAACAAAAACAAATGAAATGCAGTTATACATGTTGACATGGGTAAATTTTACAGATGACTCCTTGTGTTATTTCATTATCTGAAGATCAAAAAATGGGTAACAATGAAGTACAGCGTTTGGGGATGCATGCCTAGATGGTACAAAAAAAATAAATCAAGGAACTGATTATCATGAAGGTCAGGATGGTGTTTACCCTTAGGGGCAGATGGGGTGGACACTGGGAGGGGGCATGAGGAAGGCTTCTGAACTCTTGCCAATGTGCTATTTCTTGATCTGGTTGGCGGTTGTAAGGGTTTTGGAGAAATCATCAAACTGTATGTTTCTGGTTTTGCCCTTTTTCTCTGTGTGTGCTATATTTCACAATAAAATGACAGAGAATTGGAGGAGAGAACTTGGAGAAAGTACAGACTTTTTAGAGGAATTTTGTTGCAGACAGGACAAAAAACAAAACAAAAACTAGTAGTAGCTGGAAGAGAAGTGGGGTCAAGATTTTCAAGAATGAGAGAAACAACAGTTGTTTTCTGCAGAAGGAAATCACCCACTGGAAAGGGAAGGTGATAAGGCAGGAGATAGGGATTGCTAGAGCCATGCTCTGGAGTGGGTGAGGGGAATGGTCCTGGGCTGAGCTGATGCCAAGGCCCTAAGGACCTTCAGTCAGGGCTCTCCAGATAAATCGAACCGACAGGAGATTGACAGATAAACACACACACACGGATGTATATATATCTCCTATTAATAAATCTCCCTCTATTTCTCTAGATGGATAATCTATCCATATAGACATATAGATGTCCCTCTCTCTATAGATAGATAATAGATCTTTCTATCAGTAGAGACAGATTGATTGATTTTTTAAGGCACTGGCTCATGTGATTGTGGAGATTGAGTCCTAAATCTCAAGGGTAGATCAGCAAGCTGGAGACCCAGGGAAGAACTGATGCTGCAGTCTCAAAACCAAAGGCCTCCTGGAGGCGGAATTCCCTCTTCCTCAGGAAGGTCGAGCTTTCTCCTTTCTTAAAAGGAAAGGACCTTTAACTGATTGGGTGAGACCCACCCACATTATGGAGGGTAATTTACCCAATCTACTGGTTTAAATGTCTCTTTCTCTCTCTCTTTGAAGATTGGGTTTCACTCTGTCGCCCAGGCTGGCAGTGGTGTAATCTCGGCTCACTGCAGCCTCGACCTCCCGGGCTCAAGCAGTTAATAGTTTGGAACCACAGGTGGAGCCACCATGCCTGGCTAATTTTTAAAATTTTTTGTGGAGACAGTCTCATATGTTGCCCAGGCTGGTCTTGAATTCCTGGACTCAAGTAATCCTCCTGCCTCGGCCCCACCTTAAATGTTATTCTTATCTGAAAAATACATTCACAGCAACATCCAGATCAATGTTTGACCAAGTATCTGGGTACCTTGGTCTGGCCAAACTGACCAATAAAATTAGCCATCTTGAATACAGCGTTGGCTCTGACCACTCTGCCCTTAACTTGCTGGGGGACGGGCGGGGTGGGGGAAGAGCCGCGTGGGGCGTAAGCACAACCCTTGCCCTTGATTTTCACTCAGAACACCTGAGTCTGGATTCTTCCACCTCTTAGAGAACATTCCCACAGCCTTGAGGGAAGGGGAAAGAGGATGAAATCATTGTGTGAATAATGTAAACCAAGTCTTCAGACCTCGATCTTTTCATTTTGGGTTAGCTGCAAGAGCCTGAGGATGTTACTGCTGAGTGAGGAGGATGTTCACATGTATTTTTCCTACAGCTTGACAAGTCTTATATTTGAAAAGATGAGATTTCCGTATCACACAAGGTGGCTAACTGGTGGGGCCAGGAAAGCATTCAGTTCCCCAATGGCCTAATGCCTGCAGAGGGGAGTCGGCAAAGGTGTTCTCAGGAGCGACGGGGGATCTCCCCTGGGGACGTCAACCGGAGGCTTCGTTCTGCCACCAGAATTTGGTGAGCAGGTAGGTGCTCCGTGGGATTCACAGCTGGGATTGCTTTGCCTGTGAAGACACTGCACGTGGTGTCTTCGGTGGAAACGGCCACTGTCTTCTTCCTGCCCCACGAAGCCCTAGCTCCCCCGAGGACTCTGCCGTGTTCCCTTCCTCCTTCCGGTCCAGGCGCTCAGCCCCCGGAGTCCGGATTCCAGCGGCAGCAGGAGAAATGAGCGGGCGGCTTCTCCCTCTGTGGCCACCAGGGGGCGCGAGGTGGCCGACCGGGGCCCGGCCAGGCTGGTCAGGGACTGGGAGATCCGCTGCCTCTTCTTGGAGTCCCGGGCCGGCCAGTGGGGCTGGAGCGACGCTGCCGTGCCCCCGGCTCCCACAGACCCCTCGCAGCCACGTCCCGGACTCCACCACTCTGGAGCTCAGGGTGGCCTCCGGCATTCGTTGAGTCAGACCCAGAGTCCCGACCGTCTCCCTTAGACCCAGCTGTTTCTCCTTGGACTCAGACGCAAAAAAAGGGTCCCTGTCGCTTCTCTAGTTTCTAGCGCCTTGCCTCCTAAGGGGGCTCCCCAAGGCCCGACCCCCGACCCCCGTCCTGGGGGAGGGGAACAGCTGCAGTTATTGCCTCAGAGCCTCTCCTAGCCGGGGGACAGATATAACCGACCCGGGCCATCAAGCCCGACCCTCAGTAGGACGCCCCTCACACAGCCCGTGCGTTCTGGCAGAAAGAGGGTCTCCAGATCCAGCACACCCCAAAAAAGATGCCCAGTTAAATTTGCATTTCAGATAAACAACAAATGAATTTTTAGTATAAACATGTCCCATGAAGTATTTGGGATGTACTTACACTTTGAAAAAGCTTTCCTTGTTTTTCTTGAAATGCAAATTTGACTAGGTGTCCTGTATTTTTCTTCTAGCAACTCTAGCCGGGAACGGATTTAGGTGCAGGGAGGGAGGGGGAAGCTTGAGGAGAAATAAAAACATGTGGGAAGCCCTCACTATGCAAGATACTTATTTCTATTTGGTCTTTTGAAAATCTATCTATATAATTCCATTTATAAAAACCCAGCTAGCTTTTTAAAAATCCTACTTCTCTCTGTTTTGTTTCAGGTAAGATCAAGTACAACCTTGTCTGTGACTTTTTTTATTTTTATTTTTTTTAGACAGGGTCTCACTCTGTCACCCAGGCTGGAGTGCAGTGGCACCAACACAGCTCACTGCAGCCTCTACCTCCCCAGCTTAAGCAATCCTTCCACTTCAGCCTCCGGAGTAGCTGGGACCACAGGTGTGCATTACCATGCCCAGCTAATTTTAATTTTTTTTTCTAGAGACAGAGTCTCACTATGTTGCCCAGGCTGGTCTTGAACTCCTGGGCTCAAGCAATCTTCCTACCAGGGCCTCCCAAAGTGCTGGAATTACAGGCATGAGCCACCATGCCTGCCCCCTACCCCACAACTTTTTTAAAAAGTTAGCTTTCTTAACAGATTTTTAAAAGAAGTGACTGATCATTTAAGTCATGGCACGTAGCTAAAGCTGCTGCCCTTCATGTCTATAGAAAATTTTCTTCAGAGGAGCTGAATATATTTATATTAATTTCTCTTTATGGGCAAATGTATATTTTGCTATTTTTGGCAGGGATTTACTTTTTGACGGGGGTCCACACTGAATAGGAATGATTCTGTGGGGTAGACATAGGGACGTCATGATACAGGTACCACCTGTACACCACCCTGAACAAGACCTTGTTCAAGACAAGACCCTCCTGGGGACCTTAACTCCTGGGTAACCATTTCACACCCACTATCCTATGGGACACACACACATGCACACACACAACAAACATGTAATATGTTTCTATTACATTTAGATTTTGGACCAAGGGTCTCAATCCATCCTAAGGAACCCAGCCACCTATAATATTCCTAATAACACTGCCTGGCCCTGCTTGAGTTCATTGCCCTCACTCCAAAGATGGGTGGCTCAGATGCAGATGAGCTCCCCCTTGGCCCTGACCTGCCTGGGTCTCAGAGGAGAGGAGGCCAAGTGTATTCATCTGCTAGGGCTGATGTAACAAATGCCACAATCAAGGGGGCTTGGACAACAGAGCTTGATTGTCTCACTGTTCTGGAGGCAGAAGTCCACACTCAAGGTGTCAGCAGGGTTGGCTCGGTCTGAGGCTGGTGAGGGAAGGATCTGTTCCAGACTCTTCTTGGCTCTGGGATGGTTCTCGTCTCCCTGTGTCTTTGCACTTCCTCTTCCCTCTATGCGTGCCCATCTCTGTGACAAGTTGGTCCTTTTTATGAGGACACCAGTCACACTGGATCGGAGCCCACCTAATGATCTCCCTTTAACTTGTTTACCTCTGTAAAGACCCTATTTCCAAATCAGGTCACTTTCTGAAGTGCTAGGTGTTAGGATTCCAACATATATTTTTTGGGGTGGATACAGTTCAACCCTTAACACCAAGGAAACCCTGATGAATGGAGGAGGAGTTCATTGGTGCTTGACAAGGACCTTTTTCAGGATCCAGTCAGTTCCTCAGTGGACAGGCTGCTAGGCTAAGGCTTTGGCCAGGAAGGTCCTAGAACTTGGGGAGTGCTGGCCTCCTGGGAGAGTGGAGTCTGAGGCCGGCTCCGGGCTGCTGGCAGGAGGCTCACTCAGGGAGCGCCCTTCTCTCCCCACATCAGAGGCCCACTTGTCTCCTGTCACTGCAGGTGGGGACAGGACCTTCACTGGAACATTCCCCACAGATTTGCCCAACACGTGTGGCACCTGAGTTCAATGGGGAGCCAGGCATTTGTCGAGGAAAGAAACAAGGGCCCAGCATCTGGAAGATACGAGGTAAAAATGTAATACCACGTGTAGTAAATGTTCATAGTAATTTGGGTCTCATAAAGCCCTGTGTCTCCACACTGTATCCTCTTGCTCATAAAACCCTAATGTAACCCTGTGTTCTGTCATACACAATTGAAATCTGAGGATTCCAAAGAACACCCTTGCCCATTCCTTTCTGAAGGAGCGTTGTCCCTGAAGAGTTTCAAATTCAGACTTGGGTCACCTATCATCCTCTTAAGATTGTAATGTTCTAATTAGTAACAGGAAATCTCTCAAGCAAGTGAGAAAATCCCTTTTCCTCCATTCGTTTGAAAAGAAAAAAGAATCCAGGCAATCATTCTGTAATTTCCGGAGAACCGTCACCTTTCCAGTAGCTGCTAAGGCCAAGGTGAAAACAAGCTAACAGTAGATGCCATCTCCTCCTAGTGCCGGGCCCCGGAGCGTCTCTAGGCTCCAGTGATGTTAACTGGTGGTCGGGGCCTCTGGGTCCCACTGCATTAGGACAGACTGTTTGACCTCTAAGCCTAATTTCAGATGATCCTTTTTGCTGATGTGAACTCCTTTGTGTTACTATGTTGGGGATGAGATTTTTTTTTTGTTTTCTAGCTCTGTCGCCCGGGCTGGAGTGCAGTGGTGCATTCTTGGCTCATTGCAACCTCTGCCTCCTGGGTTCAAGCGATTCTCCTGCCTCAGCTTCCCAAGTAGCTGGGATTATAGGCGTGTGCCACATGCCCGGCTAATTTTTTGTACTTTTAATAGAGATGGGGTTTCACCATGTTAGCCAGGCTGGTCTTGAACTCCTGACCTCAAATGATCTGCCTGCCTCAGCCTCCCAAAATGCTGGGGTTACAGGTGTGAGCCACCATGCCAGGCCTTTTTTTTTTTTTTTTTTAATATACATATTTAAAATTAAACATTTTGTTGTTGTTGTTGAGTCGTAGTCTTACTATATTGCCTAGGCTGGTCTCCAGCTCCTGGCCTCAAGCAATCCTCTCAGCTTGGCCTCCCAAAGTGTTGGGATTACAGGTGTGAGCCACCATGCCCAGCCAGGGATATGATTTCTTAGTCTCCCTAAAATATATAATGAGTGTTAGAGGTACAGAATTTGATATGAGGACAAATGAGGTGGAGAATTGACTGCAGTGAGGGAAAGCTGTACCCCTTCCCCACTGGGACTATAGGCTCACTGTGACCTCGAACTCTTGGCCTCAAGTGATCCTCCTGCCTCAGCCTCCCAAGTAGCTGGGACTACAGGCCTGTGCTACCACGTTCAGCAAATTTTAAAAATATTATGTAGAGACAGGATCTCATTCTGTTGCCTAGGCTGATCTCCAACTCCTGGCCTCAAGTGATCCTCCAGCCTCGGCCTTCCAGCGTGTTGGGATTACAGGCATAAGTCACTGTGCCCAGTGGCAGATGATTTGAATCATTGACTTCTTGATACATTGTGAGCTCATTAGTAATTTTTTCTTAATACATTTAAGGTAAAAAGAGATTGTGATAGAAGACCATTCTACTTCTGTACTTGAGGACCAGCGCCCTTTTTTCTGCCTTCCGTCCTTGGCACTCTCCCTCCACAACAAATATCCCATCGAGTTTTCTTGCTGTCAGACTCATCGTCTCCCTTTCTCTTCCTTACACAAATTCATGTCTGTTTCCCATCATTTAATAGCTTTGTTGCATGGTTTACATTTTATTTTTAAATTCTCCTCTGTCTAGCATCTAGCTTTTCTTTTGCAAGCACATACTCATTTTGTTCTGTCTTTTCATACTGTATCCTTGATGATTTCTCCCACCCAATCTGCCATCATTATTTTTCTCTTTGCCTTTAAACTTTAAAAACATTTCCCCATTGTTTTTGCTTTGTTTTGCTTCTCTCTCTCTCTCTCTCTCTCTTCCTCTCAGTGGTGGAGAAAGCACAGTGCATTTTCCCAAAGCTGGCTAACAGTACATTGCCAGCAGCACTGGCCAACCTTCCCATCTCTTTATTAGGGTCTCCCTAATTCTGTGAACACCAGTGTGTGGCAAAGTCCCTGCCTACACCCTCTAACTGGTTTCTGGAAGTTTGGGTGGGTTATCCCTGCCTGGAAACATGTTCAATCTCCTTCTCCCGCAAAGTTGAATGTGTCTCTGGGGGCAGTGCTCTTCTACAATCCCAACTCTGCAGGGCCTGTGGGCGATGACAGCACAAATGTTACCGGCAGGGCCAGTGGGCAGAGCAGGCAGGTTGATGAAGATGTGGGTGGGTGACGGAAGTGTACTTGTGTGTGTGTGGGAGTTGTTTTCCTGGGTGATTTTGAATAAGCCACTTCCCTGTGCTTTGGAATTCCTGGTGGTCAAAGGGTACTTTACTGAAAGTTTTCAGATTGGTGCAAAATAGGTTGCTCTAAGTTTGGTGAAGCCAATTCTAGATTTGTTTTTAAATTTCAGGTTGGTGACCTTTAAAGGGGCAGTGGAACAATGTTTCTGATCACTCTTTGGGAGTCTCCTGCCTTTCCCAAAAAATATAATATGCCTTTTTTCCCTGGCTGTCTTTGGGATTTCCTGTCTTCTATTTTCAGCAGTTTGAAAATGATATACCTAGGTGTGACATTTTTGATCAATCGTTTGTTTGTTTTTGTGTTTCGCTTGATGTTTCTGAGCTTCTTAGATCTGTGGTTTGGTATCTGTCATGAATTTTGGAAGAAATCTTGGCCATTCGTTCTCCCAATATTTCTTCTCAATCTCTCTTCTCCTTTTGGTATTTTGATTGCATGCATATTAGGCGATTTGATATTGTCTCACATGAAATATAAAAATATATATTTATTATAAGTAGAAGAATGAAAAATAAACACCATGTAAGCATTAACCACAAGAAAGCCTGAGCAGCTTATAATATTAATATCTGACAAAGTACACTTCAGAATAAGAAATATTATCAGGAATAGTAATGTTACATAATAAGAAAACGGTCAACTCTCCAAGAAGACATAACAAGTGTGTACATACCTAACATCAGTGCTTAAAAAAACATGAAGCAAAAACTGCTAGAACAGAAAAGAGAAAGACAAATTCACATTTACAGATGGAAATTCCAACATTCTTCTCTCAATGGTTGAAAGAAAGAGTAGACAGAAAATCACAAAAGACCAGGCCGGGTGCAGTGGCTCATGCCTGTAATCCCAGGACTTTGGGAGGCCGACCTGGGCAGATCACTTGAGATCAGGAGTTTGAGACCTGCCTAGGCCAGCATGGCAAAACCCCATCTCAAAATAGAAAAATTAGCTGGGCGTGGTGGTACACACCTATAATCCCAGCTACTTGGGAAGCTGAGGCAGGAGAATGGCTTGAACCTGGTAGGTGGAGGTTGTAGTGAGCCAAGATCGCGCCACTGCACTCTGGATAACATCAACCAACTTGACCTAATTGACATTTATACAATACTCTACTCAGCAACAGAATACATAATTTTTTATCTTCTACATAGACTTTTCAACAAGGTCAAACATATTTTGAACCATAAAGAAAATCTTAAAACACTTTAAAAACTGGAAATTTCACAAAGTATGTGCTTGGCGCATAATGGAATTAAGCTAGAAATCAGTAAGTAAGATATTTGGAAAATTCCCAAATATTTGGAAATTAAACAACACACTTCCATATAATCCATGGGCCAAAAGGAAAGCCTCAAGACAAATGAAAAAAATACTGTGAACAAAATAAAAACAAATTATATCTAATTTGTGAATTGCAACTGAGGCAGTGCTTTAGAGGAAAATTTATGGCATTAAATGCTTATATTAGAAAAGAAGAAATGTCTCCAATCAATAAACTAAGCTCCTACCATAAGAAACTAGAGAAAGAAAAGCAATTAAACCCAAAGCAAGCTGAAGGAAGGAAATAATAAAAGGCCTACATCAATAATATTAAAACAAGAAAAACCTTCCTACCACTTCCCATGAGAGTCCTAAGTCTCTACAAAAATCAGTGAATGCAAATAGTGGTGTGTAGAGGAGGAGGATTTTATCCAATTACACAGGTCAGACTTGGAGGTGTGGGCCCTCTCCTAACCAGGATCTCTGTGAAACTAGATGTAGTAAATGTTTTAAAAAATACTATCTTCTATTTATGTCATTTTTAAAGCTGACATTTATTGAGTGCTTATGATACACCAGGTCCTGTTCTAAGCACTTTGCATATATTTGTCCATATAGTTCATACAGTCAATCTATTTTGATCCCCATTTTACAGACGTGGGAACGAAAGCATGCAGAGGTTAAGTAATCTGCCAGATTACTGCCTGGATTTGAGTCCAGGCAGTCTGGCTTCATAGCTCAGCTGTAAAGGAGTGTTTTTGCTTCTATCTGTGAGCAGGCAGTGCATGACGGAAGAAGCTATTTCCCCCGTGCTGGCACAGTGTCTGGCATGTGGAACCTCTGGATAAGTGGTACTTGGCCGATTTACAACTTGAAACCACTTTAGAATAAAAAGGGGAAGAATGTTAACCTATTAGAAAGGTGATGACTACAACTCCACTTTATTTATTTATTTAGAAATGAGGTCTTCCAGTGTTGGCCAGGCTGGTCTTGAACTCCTGGCCTCAAGCCATCCTCCCACCTCAGCCTCCTGAGCAGCCAGAATTACAGGTGCATCCCACCTCTCCCAGTTAGCTCATTTTTTTTTTTTTTTAGCAGTTTATAAGTTACTGCTGTTGGTCAATACCAATGACCCTTCATTTTATATTGTATGATGCAATATGATGGTTGACAGGAGGGAGATGGTGTTTGGGGATTGAGCAGGTAGGTGGGGAGAGATGTTTCTCTGATATCATCACAAAAATCATAGAGGAGAGCAAAAAAAATTCAGTCTCTAGAATCTTCATGTACTATTATATATTCTAGGAGTTAACGTTACTCCCACTCTGAGGGCCCCAGAGAAAGGTTGAGTAGCTTGCTCTGCTATGCATGGTAGATGAGGGGTCACAGAGCAGGTGGATACCACCTTACCCCCGTCCCACTCTCCATTGCCTCAGAGCAGCATGGGTTCAGATGGCTCCTCCCTTGCTGCCTTCAGGTCTGAATGCACCTTCACCTCCATGGGACTTTGGTGACTAATTTGAATTGCAACTCCTCTCCCCCTCATCACATTTCTGACATTCCCTGTCCCTGTTCGCTACTTAATTTTTCTCTGTAGCAGTTATCACTATGTAACATATACATATTTTACTTATTTGTCCTGTTTATTATCTCTCCCTACAGTAGAAATTAAGCTCCGTGAGGCTAGAGATTTGGGTGTGTTTCATACACTAAGCCTAGAACAGTGCCTGGCACTCAGAAGGCATTCATTGCATACTTGTTGAATAAGTGAATGAAGATTCCCTGTTTCAGCTATCATAGGTTAGAAGGACAATCTACTCAGGAATCTGTGAGATTTAATATGTTTGATAGCTCAAAAAGTGTCATATTTATTATGGAATCCCTGTCTGTGATAGGTGTGTGCCAGGCACCTGGTGGGTCACATCATTTACCCCAGACCAGAACCCAATCATTAATATGGCACAGTCTATGCATTCAATGAACTTGAGCCCTGAAGGTAGGATATTAGATGCTCACAAGTGTTTAGTGAATTAGGATTTCTCATTCACTCGTTTACCATTTCACAAACATTTATTGAGTTCCCACCATGTTGCAGCCACTGTTTTAGGCACCGTACTTTTCCTTGGATTTCTGTTTACAATAGAAACACTCCAAGAAAAAAATTATAATATCCAACTACAGAGCCATGATTAAGGATTTTCATAAAGCATATATAATAACAAATTTTTATTATGAGTAAAAAGCAGTCAAATTCGGTTTACATTTTTAAAATTGTGTTTATAATTTTTATTTTAATTTGTGATTAAATTTTATTATATATTTTAAAAATTACAACTTAGATATTTAAAAAGTCATATTGGATGGGTGTGATGGCTCAAACCTGTAATCCCAACACTTTGGGAGGCTGAGGCAGAAGGATTACTTGAGCCCAGGAATTTGAGACAAGCCTGGGCAGCATAGGAAGACCCCATCTCTATAAAGAAGAATATTTTTGAAGTCATATTTATAGTACTTGTGAGCTCTCTCATTCTCAGGGGTAGAGAACCAATGGTTTTCTCTTTTTCTACTTTTTTGTGTCTTCCACATTTTTTAATGAGGATGCT
This sequence comes from Homo sapiens, assembly GCF_000001405.40. Lineage (NCBI taxonomy): Eukaryota > Metazoa > Chordata > Mammalia > Primates > Hominidae > Homo > Homo sapiens. Next base: position 107,839,646 of record NC_000006.12, on the reverse strand, counting down.
TAAAAATTTTAATTTAATCCTTAAAAATCAGTTGTGTATGTGTCTAGCTTTATCAATAAGGAGATTAAAAAGGCAAATCATTCTATAAGATTTTCATCAGAAATAGTTGTTCTGTTCCTCCAACCCTACTTTCTAATGGCAACCATGTTTTTAGTTGGTTCTTCTGATATTTGCCTGTAAATTTCTTTTCTTTTCTTTCCTATTCTTTTCTTTTTCCTCCCTCCCTCTCTTCTTCCTCTTTCTTTCTTTCTTTCTTTCTTTCTTTCTTTCTTTCTTTCCTTCTTTCTTTCTTTCTTTCTTTCTTTTTCTCTCTCTCTTTCTTTCTTTCCTCTCACTCTCTCTTTTCTTTTCTTTTGACAGGGTCTGTCTTTGTCACCCAGGCTGGAGTGCAGTGGTACGATCATGGCTCACTGCTGCCTCAGTCTTCCAGGGCTCAGGTGATTCTCCTTCTTCAACCTCCCGAATAGGTGAGACTACAGGCATATTTCACCATGCCCGGCTCATTTTTGTATTTTTGTAGGGTTTCACCATGTTGCCCAGGCTGGTCTTGAACTGCTGGCCTCAAGCGATCCTCCTGCCTTGGCCTCCCAAAGTACTGAGATTACAGGCATGAGCCACTGCACCTGGCTTTGCCTCTAAATTTCAGCTAACCAGCATATACTGTTATTTCTGGACGATTTTTTGTTGTGGACATAGTTTGTTAACTTTCTACTTTGGAAGAGTTAAGAGGGCTTAACTCTTGAATGCCTCATTCTACCCTTCTTCCCTTCATCCTCCCAATAAAGTTACATAATAATTTTTAGTGAAATCAATCTTTAGTGATTATTTTTTCATATGCAATTATTAATATTTGCATGTGTCTCTATTTCTTGTTGTTTGGTTTTCTAAGCATCTATCACAAATTTATCCCCAAACCGTCCCCCGGAGATGTAACTCTTGTTACTTTCAAGCACTCCCTTACCTCTTTGTTTGATTTTTCCATCTGGGGAGATACCTCAAGGATGGGCAACTCTCTAGGTCCATTGCATATCGTGGAATATCAATGTCATTCTGGAATTCCTCTCACCGTTACTCTAGAATGAGTCACTTCTACTGACTGCCCTATGAGGGTGATGATTTAGATTTATTTGTCCATTTCAGACACTCCTGAATCAAGCCTTCGGGGACAATGGGGGAGGCCGGAAGTCTGGCCTGACAACGCGCCTGTCAATGCGGCTCAAGTTCCTGTGCTTTAGCTTCACGAAAGCCCCATCCAGAGCTCGGCATCTGGTTTCCTTTGCAATCCCTGGTGTTTTCTGCCTGGGGAGAAAGGGAGGGTTAGTGGTTACTCTGGGGCTCTGGAGAGCCACAGCCCTGACCAGGTGTGGTGAGCCCTGCCCTGTTACCTGTGAAGAGAAACTTAAGGAAGCCCCTACTATCCTCTTAATAATAGTAAGGTTGGCTGGGTGTGGTGGCTCACACCTGTAATCCCAGAACTTTGGGAGGCCAAGGTGGGTGGATCACCTGAGGTCAAGAGTTCAAGACCAGCCTGGCCAACATGGTGAAACCCCATCTCTACTAAAAATACAAAAATTAGCTGGGCATGGTGGCACTTGCCTGTAATCCCAAGTACTCAGGAGGCTGAGGCAGGAGAATTGCTTGAACCTGGGAAGCAGAGATTGCAGTGAGCTGAGATTGTGCCACTGCACTCCAACCTGGGCGACAGAGCAAAACTCCATCTCAAAAAAAAAAAAAAAAAAAAGAAAATCATAATAATGGTGAGGTTATTCTGGGACACACTGGGCTATGATACCAATTGGAATACAATGTAAGCCAAATAGCTTGTCCTATGTGGAGGGTCAGTTGCAACTGGAGGGGTAATTTAATCAGAACCAGTAGGCAGGGTTATGGCACTCCTAGGGCAGTCAGGACCACTGACAGTTGATCTATACTCAACAAATCCTTAGGGAAAATAGCTTTCCACAGAGTTGGAAAAAGACCCTGCACTCCAGAATCCCTGAGGGATGGGATATCATGGTGTCTGGTGTTAAACCAGGCAAGAGCCACAGGCCACCAGTTAGGCTGTTGGGTGACCTGTCTCCAGTGGAAAACCTCATAAATATCATAAATGAAGAGGAAATGTCAGGAAAGGCACCTGCCATTATGGGTGTTGGGGACAACCAAAACCCTGAACTCGAGGTGAAGGTGAAGTGATTGGAAGTGCATTCGGCCTACTAACTTTCATGCATCTGGGGTCAGGGACCATAATGCCTAGAATCTGAGCACTTAAAACTCATGACTGGCTTCCCAATCCCCCAAACACACCAAGACATGCACCCTTGTAAGGCTACTCCCTTGTTCAAGATACACACATTTCATAAACCCAGGAGGAGGTGGAAGATGTTCTTGGAACACCATGATGGTTCCTAATGGTTCCATACCATTGCCTCTCAATGCAGATCCTACAAGGTAGACTTGGTAATGGGTAGAGTGGTGGCCTGCTCCGAATTCTACCTACTGGATATATGTGCCATGTGATGTCTACCAGAGAGATGGTGGTGGTGGGGAGAACAAGACTGAGAGTCAGGAACTCAGGATAAGCTCTGGAACAGTATGGATATACAATTCCTAATGTATGCAGGGACAAAGGCCACATGAGAGATTGGAAATGGATCATAAGAATGATGGCTTTGAGAAATGTAGTACTCTAAAACTTTGTGGCCTTAGATCATATCCCAGCTGAGAAAGGAGGAGTATGTGACATCGGCGGGGATGACTGTGGCATTTATATCCCAGGCAACTTCCCAAATGTATAGGATTTAACAAGACATGTACACAAGGAAATGGCTAAATGTAGGCAGATTCTAAGTGAGCCCTGGAATATGTGGTCCTGATTTTTCTTTTTTTTTGAGAAATGGGAGCTTATGTAATACAATATGAATTATGTTTTGGTTTATATGAATTGGTTGTATTCAAATATTAATTAAGAGATGCATTACCTGTTTGAGGTGTCACCACAGCTGCCTGGAAAATAAAAAATTATTAGTGGGAGAGCCACCCTCATCACTGAACCAGGCGGTGAACAATTCTGTATGCTGTGACCAGGGTGTTGCTTGGGAAGCCCAGAGTCAGTGAGGATGCCCCATGGAGTTGGTAAGCTCTGGGTTGGAAAGACCCCAGGCCTTGTGGTGAGAGATTTAGTATCTGGACATTGGACTTGAGGTCTGAATGGCATGGCACCTAAGGTTTAGTTTTATTAGCTAAGTTGTGAATTATGTGGCCTCTGGGTGGGAGAGACAGAGAGCTCTGAGAGTAAAGAGACTTAGTTCCCCTCTGACCCAAGGACTCATCCCTGTGCTGGCTCCTGAGCCCCTCTGTATGTCTTCGGAGTGCTTCCCCTATTTAAGTATTTTCAAATGAGAACTCAATAGAACTCTTTTTCGAAACAGCCTGGTTTCTTAACAGGATGTATGAATTTGTTTTAAGAAATTTATTCTGTTCTTCTAAAATACATCTTAAAGCATGGGAACATTAACAGTTTTCACAAAAGGAAAAAAAAAACAGGAGCAAAAATTGCTGCCATCAAAATGTACTTTAGATTATTCATGTTAGTAAAATGGCAGAGCAGGATGCTCCAGCCCTGTTCCCTTGAGGAGACATCGAAATACAACCACAAACTGGCTGAAATAGACTTGTAGGAGGATGAAGTTCAGGCAGGACATAAATCTCACTTCTGTGGACACCTTAGTAGGTCCTGACCTGCCATACATACATCTCCTGTATTGATCCTTGAAGTTTTTCTATTTTCCTTCTTTTAGTTTTTTCCTTGACACTATCTTCTGTTCTTCTATCCTTCTAATAATTTGTTTTATTTCTGCTCTCTCTTTTTTTTTTTTTTTTTTTTGAGATGGGGTCTTGCCCTCTTACCCAGGCTGGAGTGCAGCGGTGCAGTCCCAGCTCACTGCAGCCTCGACTTCCTGGCTCAAGTGATCATCCCATCTCAGTGCACCCCACCTTGCCCGCCCCTCCCCAGCAAGTAGCTGAAACTACAGGTGCATGCCACCATGCCCAGATAATTTTTTTGATTTTTAGTAGAGACAAGGTCTCGCTATGCTTCCCAGGCTGGTCTCGAACTCCTGGGCTCAAGTAGTCCTCCTCTTTTGGCCTCCCGAAGTGCTGGGATTATAAGCGTGAGTCACTGTACCCAGCTTACTGTTGTATTTTTAATTCCAAGGATTCTCTTTTATCTTTTAATGTCCTTTTTATTTTTTTCATTTCATTTTTAAATTATTTATTTATTTATTTTTGAGACAGGGTCTCGCTCTGTCACCAGGGCTGGAGTGGAGTGGCACGATCTTGGCTCACTGCAACCTCCACCTCCCAGGTGCAAACAATCCTCCCATCTCAGCCTGCTGAATAGCTGGGACTACAGGCACATGCCACCACTCCCAGCTAATTTTTGTACTTTTAGTAGAGACAGGGTTTCACTATGTTATCCAAGCTGGTCTTGAACTCCTGGACTCAAGTAATCCACCCGCCTCGGCCTCCCAAAGTGCTGAGATTACAGGCCGCGAGCCACTGAGCCCAGCCTAATGCCCTTTTTATACAGCAATCTATTCTTATGTTATTGATGCAATATATTATATTTTGTCTTTTAAGATATTAGTAATAATTAAATAATTTTTTTCCTCCCTGAAATTTGCCTTTTTCCAAATTCCTTTTTTTTTTTTCAGACAGGGTCTCTCTTTGTCTCCCAGGCTGGAGTGCAGTGGCATATTCACAGCTCACTGCAGCCTTGACCTCCTGGCGATCTGCCCACCTCAGCCTCCTGAGTAGCTGGGACTACAGGTGCCTGCTGCCATGTCTGGCTAATTTTTGTATATTTTCTAGAGACAGATTTCACCATGTTGCCTAGGCTGGTCTTGAACTCCTGGGCTCAAGAGATCTGCCTGCCTCAGCCTCCCAAAGTGCTGGGATTACAGGTGTGAGCCACTGTGCCTGGCTCCAAATTCTTTTTCTTCCTGTTTGTTGGTTTTGGTCTCTGTCTTTCATACCAGAGGCTCACACTTAGTGAGGACTCTAGAATGCGTATTGTCACTGGTGGCCTTCACTGGAAGGACATCTTGCTGGCCTGCCCCATCTGAACCCCACTTCAGTGTGTGTAAGTCTTTTCTTGTGGGCTGGTCAGTTTCCCAGAGTTTTCCGAGGTCTCATCTGGGTGTATTTGCCTCGCTGCAAACAGTCTGGCAGTGAGAGAGCCAGGGGCTGTGGATCTCTGCTGAGGAGGTGAACTTTCTCTGAATTCTGTTTTCGGTATAGCACCTCTCCCCTCAGCTGTGCCTATGTCCTTGAGATCAGAGTAAACCTTCACTCCGTCAGGGTTAAGGGGCTGTCACCAGCAGCACAGGGTTGGGGAGGAGATCCAGTCTTGTTTTTAGTCCTCCCAACTTCTGCTTTTGGGGATTCCTGGGACTTCCAGTTTAAGAGACTTTCTGGGTTCTATGGGGTGAACTGTGTGCTTTCTGGGAACCCCCACTTGAAAAAAGGCCCAGTTTCTTCGGTCTGCCAGGTCAGTTACCTCTTGCTCATCCACTTTGCAGCTTCTACAATTTTGTTGCTTTTATTCCCGTTTCCTTCCATTTGTCACAGTGTATTTATGCCACTTAAATTCCCTTTTCCTTATTATGACACCTCATATATGTGCCAGGCACTATTCCAACAACTTTACATCATATTCAGCCTAACTCATTTAACCCACACACCAGTCTTAGCATCCCTGTTTCAGGCATAAGGAGCTGAAGCACAACGGGGTTGAGCTTCTGGACCGAGGTCATGGACATGGTCAAGCCAGAATCCCTGCACTGAGCCAGTGAGCTTGCCATCCAACTTGTACATTTCTTGTAAAAAATTTTTTTCTAATTTTTAGGTTTTGCTATTCACATTCCTTTTAGTATGAATATCATATTAATATAACTCTGAGCTGGGCCCTTTCTCACAAACTGGGGGAAGCCTGGACTTCCTCTCCGGAGAGTCCTCCAAACTCTCTGGGTTTCATACTTAGTCCAAAGGGGTCTTTGCTGGTTTTGGTCACTGGTAGGTCAGTCCAAGGATCCATTCCCAGATGGTGTTGCCACGTCCTGTTACTGCTGAAAGGAAGCAGTCCAGACACTCTTCAGGTGTCTCCTGAGCTCCTCAGCCTTGCAGAACCCACTCACCAGCTCCTCCAGCTACCCCATGGCTAGGTCCCCAGTGCTTGCCTGCAGCCTCCACAGGGTTCAAGCGGAGAGAACGGACCCTCCTACCAATTTCCTGATTCAGGTAAGGCCCGGCTCTTAACCCCTACCCAACAACACACACAGCGCGGACTTAGAGCCAGATAAGGTGGTCTGAGTAGTACACAGCACTTCTTTTAAAGACTAAGTTATTCAATCTTAAACAACGCATCTTGAGAATGTCAATATCCAGTCAAGCCTTCCTTTCTAGAAGGTCACTCCCCTTGTAAGAAAGAATGGAATTCAGCTAACTATATGACCAACTTACAGGGCTGCAGCCCCTTTGTCAGATAGCCAGCTTTCTGCCTCTTATATCCCAATATTCGCAACCCAGTTAAGTCCAGCCATTAAGTCCTCCCCGCATAGTGGCCTCCTTCCCTAGACTCACTTTCATAATCTTTTTGGTCCTGGCCCCTGGCTTGTCATATGCTAATGTGGTTTCACCTGCATCAACCCAGGATGCAAAACTCAGTCTCTTCATGAGTTTCTGCAAGAAATTCAACCACAGCAAGCATTTCCTAATTTCTGTGGCTCTTCCTGAAGATTGGTATCTGAGAGGGCAGGAGGTCACATGTGCGGCGCGCAGCACCCTATCCTCTACCGCTCCCTACGGCCTCTCTTCTTCCTGGTCTCCTCTGCCCCACCTTCTACTAGTCAGTTGCTTCTTGCTGATTTTGGCCTTTAGCACCAATTCCTCTTCCCTTTTGCTTAGTAAGAGCCCTGCAATTGTCATTCAGGTGTACATTTCTCCCCAGGCAGCTCCAGTGCCTGGCGGAAAGCAGAGGGTCCCCACCAGTTTCAAAGGTGAAATTAAGCCAGTCAGCATATCCGGGTGGCAGTCTTTGGTTCAGGAATGGGATGTGGCCCAATTCCAGCCAAGGAGATGGAGGGATGTTAGCCAGAAGTTCTAGGAAAGAAGCTTCCTTGCTCCTCTGTGGAAGTTACCTGGAGAGGCTCTCCCTTGTGCTGGGTGGGAAAGGGGGAAGCATGTGGCCTGGAAGCAGCTGGCAACAGAACTGTGACCATGAGGGAAGCCAGGCGTAAGATGATTCAGACCAGATCTTTGGTGACATTATTGACCAACTGTTGGGTCACCCTTGCCTAAGCTCATTGGACTCCCTGCTAATGAATGCCCTTTATTTTTATTTTTATTGTTTGAGACAGAGTCTTTCTCTGTAGCCCAGGCAGGAGTGCAGTGGCATGATCTCTGCTCACTGCAACCTCTGCCTCCCTTGTTCAAACGATTCTCGTGCCTCAGCCTCCCGAGTAGCTGGGACTACCGGCATGCACCACCACCCCGGGCTAATTTTTCTTTCTTTCTTTTTTTTTTTTTGAGACAGAGTCTCCCTCTGTTGCCCAGGCTGGAGTGCAGTGGCTCGATCTCGGCTCACTGCAAGCTCCACCTCCCGGGTTCACGCCATTCTCCTGCCTCAGCCTCCCGAGTAGCTAGGACTACAGGCATGCGCCACCATGCCCAGCTAATTTTGTGTGTGTGTGTGTATTTTTTAGTAGAGACGGGTTTCACCGTGTTAGCCAGGATGGTCTCGATCTCCTGACCTTGTGATCCTCCCACTTCGGCCTCCCAAAATGCTGGGATTAGAGACGTGAGCCACCTCGCCTGGACTAATTTTTCTATTTTTAGTAGAGATGGGTTTTGCCACTTTGACCAGGATGGTCTCGAACTCCTGACTGCAAGTAATCTGCCCGCTTTGGCCTCCCACAGTGCTGGGACCACAGGCATGAGCCACTCACTGCACCCTTCATTTTTAAAGCCAGTTTGAGCTGTTTTTACTGTTACTTGCAAACTTACTTCCCTCTTCTTTCCTCCTCTATTCTCCAGTCCCAGTCTCTAGGTTCACTTGTAGCTCATGTGGGTTTATCATAGATATGGTCCACACTGAAGTTGGCTGTCCTTAAGATGAACTGATCAATCAGTTGCTTTTTATTCACCAACGAGCTGGGTTTTTTTTTTTTTTTTTTTTTTGAGAATGAAAATTTCAGACTGCATCATCTCTATTCAGATTCAAGTTTTGTTCTAAAGGCAATGGTTGTATTCTTGCTTTTTTGTTACTAAGAAACCCATCTTGGAGATCTTCCCTCAAATAAAGGGAGATGGAACCTCAGGTGATCAACATCTTTATTCTAGAAACTGCAGGCAATCCCCCAAAACTATCTTCTACATGAACTTTAAAAAATGTAGAGTCTCTCTTTGACGGGCCTCTGTGTCCCCCTCCCCTCATCTCTTCCTTTTCCCCGTTACACCACTTTCATAGAAATTGAGCCCAGAAACAGTAACTGTTTTCAGCTGAAATTGCAGGTATTCATTACTTTATTTGAAGTCTGTTATTCTGGCTCTTTGGCGCACACATAGAGGTTTGACTGAGACTCACATTTGCTAATTCTAGAAGCTTCTCAGTACTCCAGGCAGAGTACTGAGGGTACACTGGGTTTGTTTCTCCTATCTAACTTGGGGGAAATATTGTAGGTGGGAAAGAGAAACCTAGTGCTTGGAGATCACCCATTTGAATTAAAGCTCATTTGTTACAAAGAAATACAACTCAAAGCAGAAGCGATCACAAAGAGATGACATTTTAATAGAATAAAGGAACAAAAAGTAAAGGGAAGTCTTCCTTTGAATTTTAATGAATGATTTTTTTTTCTGATAACAGACATCTGACACCAATCACTTCTGTGGGAGAAAGGAATCAGTTCTAAAAGCCTGTACTAACATAGATTAAGATGAGATCTCCCACTTTAACTTCTAGTTTCTTTCATTCATTCAGTAATAATTATTTGTTAATTTCCTACTACGGCCTAGGCTCTGCACTACATACTGGGGTTATAGTGGAGAAGACCTATTCCCTGCCATCTTGGAATTAACAGCCTAGTGACCAAAGAAAAGTCCCTGATGTTGTCCCTCTCAGTTCTTCCAGCTGTCAGTCACCTGCCCTCACCCATCCAACCCCTTACCAGACGCTGCCCCTGGGATAAGGGTCTCTGGGCTGTGCTTCCACCAAAACTGCCAGACCTTGAGAAAAATGTTTCCACTCAGTCAGTCCTTGAGTATCAGCCAGGGTCACAGGCCCAGAGCCACAAAGAGAGAAGGCCCTGTCTGAGAGGAGCCATGTTTTGGGCCCAAGAGAATTTGAGTGAGTCGTTTTTCCTTGGATGAGAGTGTTTTTTACTTGATTCAATCACCAACTTCCTATGTCTTTAGCACATGGCTTGACTAAAAACAAGACAGAGTATTATCAGCTCTGAGAGGACCCTGCTGACTTCAGAGGCCCTTGGGTGGGGAAGGATAGGGAATATGTCCCTAATTTTTGTATTGGCTGCACTAAGCACCCCACATGGGCTCCAGAAATATTCGTGATAGTGAAGCCCATCATGGAGGATGTGGGAGCAGGCTTTGGACTCAGGGCACTGGCTAAGGCAGGGGCTGAATGTAACCTATAGCCACTGGGCTGACAAAGCTTTTAGTTTTATTTTAATGATGAAATTTGAGACTTAACATTTATGAGAGCCATTATCAAATATGTTTGCCAATGTGACGAGGAAAAATTCTGTTACTAATCAATCAATTAATTCATACCAGTTTTTTTAATAGAACCAATATTTATTTATTTATTTGTTTGTTTATTTATTTTACTTTAAGCTCTGGGATACATGTGCAGAACGTGCAGGTTTGTTACATAGGTATACATGTGCCATGGTGGTTTGCTGCACCTATCAACCTGTCATCTAGGTTTTAAGCCCCGCACGCATTAGGTATTTGTCCTAATGTTCTCCCTTCTCTTGCTCCCCACCCCTCGACAGGCCCTGGTGTGTGATGTTCCCCCTGTGTCTGTGTGTTCTTATTGTTCAACTCCCACTTATGAGAATTCACACCAATTTTGATTATCACAAAAGAAATGGGTGTTCTTGGGCAGAACATATAAAGGAAAAATATTAAGATAAAAATTCTATCACCAAGGAATCATTACTATTTTTTCTTTTCTTTTTTTTTTTGAGGCAGGATCTTGCTCTGTCACACAAACTGGAGTGCAGTGGCACCATCGCAGCTCACTGCAGCCTCGCCCTCCCCACTGCTCAAGCATTCCTCCCACCTCAGCCTACCGAGTGGCTGGGACTACAGGCACGCACCACCATGCCTGGTTAATTTTTTTCTTTCTAATTTTTTGTAGAGACAAGGTCTCCCATGTTGCCCGGGCTGGTCTTGAACTCCTGGACTCAAGCGATTCTCTCAGTGCAGCCTCCCAAAGTGCTGGGAAGAATCATTACTAGTAACATGTCTTATATTTTGTAAATCATTAGTTTTTTTTCAAAATAAAATTTGATCCTGGATATTATTTTGTAAATTGCAATATTTTCGCAAACATTTATTAAGAACATTTTAAAAGTTTCATTCCGTGTTCTTCTATGACAACCTTTTTGGGGTGCTTTGTGTATTCTGTGATTTAGGTTGTTTTTTGTTTATCTTCACTACACAGAACGGTTTTGTCTTTAACTTTAAAAGATCCCTGCTTGAGTAGTTGAAGCTAAGATCTGGCCCCATGAAAGGCAGGCCTTTGGGTTGAAGAAGCGACAGACTGGGGAGTCAAGAGATCTGGCACCCACTCTTGTGTAGTCTGACTAATTAGGTTAACTATTTGCTGCAAAATGGTAATCATAAGCCTTATGCTTTCCATAGCCCCTAAGGTTCTCAAACTTGTGTTGAATGATGTGGAAGGGAAGCTGTGGGGCCTCTGGAGTGTGGGAGGCTGTTCTCCCTTCCTTACTACAGAAATGGAATCTTAGCTTTTCTTCGTGTTCTTTCTCCATGCTCTCTCCTCCCTACCTTTGCTCCAAATTGATATCCAAAGCTCTAGTTTACTAGGTCTTATCCTAATGAGAGAAAGGACACTTTTTGCCCCTTTGTAATTATGGCCATATCCATAATCACAACTAAGCACTCCTCCAACCCAAAGCGTCATCCTGTTTCAGCAGACCGATGTTTTGAGTTAGAGATAAAGCAGTTCTTAGGCTTGTGAAATGTCAGAGCCATAAGTGACCACAAAGATGATCTAGTCCCTTATTTCCTTGTCCCGTGTTATAGAAAGTCAATGATTTCACCCATGTCATTGGGTTAGTGGTAGGGCTGGAACAAGTGGCAGTGCCAGGATCCATGAGGTGGAATGATTAATTAGAGTATCTTTGGGCACAGACTGCCTGGGTCAGACCTGTGTCTACCACTTCTAAGCTGTGTGTCCTTGGGCAAGTTATTTAACATCCCTAAGTCTCAGTTTCCTTATCTGTAAGATGGGAATGGTATCATAATACCTACTTCATAGGATTGTCATAAATGGGATACAAAATGGGAAGGGCTTCACACATAATTCTTCAGTAAATGTTAGCTATCACTGTTATAACAAAGGTTGTTTCGGCGGTAGCACTGACTGCCAGTCCAAGACAGAATCCTCTCGATCGGATGCTTGTGTTGGAAAACACAACTCTTTAGGACAAAGGCCATTTTCAATGTGAACGGTGTCTTTACCAGCAGCTGACAGAAGGATTACTCTTCAAATGGAGGCTACTCTAAGTAGATTTGCATTTGGGACGCCCCCAAATTAACTTGCTCCCTCTGGTTGCCTCCTGCTAACCACCAGCCCAGTAGCACTCGTGTGGAGAGAGTGGAACATGCTGCTTGTGGTCTGAGACAGAAATGTAACCACAGTGCAAAGAAAATTAACAACGTGGCACAACCTAAGCACCCTTTTCATGGGACAGGGATGTACAAGACTTAGAGAGATGCTAGCTCAGAGCGGTCACTTTTCTTCTTAGCAGGTCCCTCAGCTAATACCAGTCATCCCATCAAATTTCTTTTTTCTTACATGTTTAACTTAAATTTTTCTTGGAATTAAAAACATTTAGGATTTTTTAAAATATTGATTTAAGTTATTAAAAGCTATGTTCCTGGTTGCATGAAGAAAGAAATCCCAGTAAGTTTAAATATATATATTTTAATAAATGTGTGTATATACAGATATATTTAAATAAAAAAATTTAAGTAAAAAATATAAAGATATATTTAAATAAAAATATACATTTAAGTAAAAAACAAATATATATTTAAATAAAAATGTAAATATATATTTAAATAAAAATGTAAATATATTTAAATAAAAATATAAAGATATATTTAAATAAATATATTTACATATTTATTAAATTTATTAAATTACATAATTTAATGAATAATTTATTAAATATCAAATATTTTGAATAACATATTTAAGTAAATAAATATTGTTTACTTAAATATATACATATATATAAAAAATATATATATTTTTTGAGACGGAGTCTCGCTCTGTCGCCCAGGCTGTAGTGCAGTGGCGTGATCTCGGCTCACTGCAAGCTCCGCCTCCCGGGTTCACACCATTCTCCTGCCTCAGCCTCCCAAGTAGCTGGGACTACAGGCGCCTGCCACCACTCCCAGCTAATTTTTTGTATTTTTAGTAGAGACGGGGTTTCACCGTGTTAGCCAGGATGGTCTCGATCTCCTGACCTTGTGATCTGCCCACCTCAGCCTCCCAAAGTGCTGGGATTACAGGCGTGAGCCACCGCGCCCAAGCAATCCAGCTTTTGTTGATTTCAATTTTAGGCTTTATTACCAAGTTGACCTGTTAGATGACAATGGGTGCTTCCCACATGCACCCACCTTGAGGACAAGGACAACAGTAGCCCATCTGGGAGGAGGCAAGGAGGTTGGGCCTGAGGATCAGAGTGAGAAACCCTCACAGAGCTGGGTAGGAAAACCAGCAACTCCTTTCTTATGGGTAGATTCTGCCAACCCTTTTACTTCTTTTACAGGACTTGGAGATTATTTCTGATTACTTAAGAAATGTTATTTTTTTTAATCCTAAGAAACATTTTAGAGTGAAAATTGGTCTAATGTCTCAGCCCATTCCAGGTGCTTTAAGCTCAGTGTAGTGTGGCATGTGTGAGGCCACGGGTGTGAGTATAATAACCGCTGTCGCTGGGACAGAGATGCTGTCCAAACTTAAATCATCCATCTTCTTTCCTTTTCTTTCCTTTTCTTTTCTTCTTTTTCTTTTCTTTCTTTTCTTTTCTTTTCTTCTTTTCTTTTTCTTTCTTTTTTCTTTTTTTTTGAGATGGAATTTCACTCTTGTCACCCAAGCTGGAGTGCAATGGCGTGATCTCAGCTCACTGCAACCTCTCCCTCCCAGGTTCAAGCGATTCTCCTGCCTCAGCCTCCCGAGTAGCTGGGATTACAGGCAAGCGCCACCAAGCCTGGCTAATTTTTGTATTTTTAGTAGAGATGGGGTTTCACCATGTTGGCCAGTCTGGTCTCGAACTCCTAACCTCAAGTCCAGGAGTCCCAAAATGCTGGGATTACAGGCATGAGCCACCACACCTAGCCCATCCATCTTATTTTCTTTTTTTTTTTTTTTTTTTTGAGATGGAGTCTCGCTCTGTCACCCAGGCTGGAGTGCAGTGGCACGGTATCGGCTCACTGTGAGCTCCGCCTCCCGGGTTCACGCCATTCTCCCTCCTCAGCCTCCCAAGTAGCTGGGACTACAGGCGCCCGCCACCACGCCCAGCTAATTTTTTGTATTTTTAGTAGAGACGGGGTTTCACCATTCACAGGATGGTCTCGATCTCCTGACCTCGTGATCCACCCGCCTTGGCCTCCCAAAGTGCTGGGATTACAGGCATGAGCCACTGCACCTGGCCCATCCATCTTATTTTCTTTTCTTCTCCTCTTCCTCCTTCTTTAGTGAAATCAACTTATATGAAATGAAAATGCAAACTACCAAACCTGCCTTTTCCCATACAAAACAACAAAATTTGATGATTAAATGAACTAAAGTAGTGAATTTCTTCTTGCTCAATTAATTACAAGGCTTTGACTTAAAACAATTTTTTATATTTTCATAATAAATTTCAGAGGAGAGATTTCTTATGTACTTCTAATGTGACTCTACACATATATTTAGAGAAACCTCAAGTTGTCCATTGCAGTTTTTTTCACTCTCAGTAACTGGCCAGGTTGTGGCCTAAGCCTTCGTTAGCCCTGGTTGATATTTAGTCCCGGCTAAATTTGTTTGCTGCTCATCCCTAGGAGTAAGCCACATGTTTGTAGAATGGATGTTTCATCTTGTAGGAAATACCTGTGAATATGCCAATATCCCAGAGTGGATGAAATGGGCAATGGGGAGCCCTGCTCCACTTTACAAAAAGAAAGGAAAAGAAAAGATCCCTTCGCCGATATATATTGATTTGCTGCAGAAAATGCAATGGGGCATGGGAATGAATAGTCACTCTTGCCCTGTTTCTATCCTGTGCAGGTCCCACCACGTTGAGGTGGGTAGAGATGCTTACACACACACACATACAGGCCTGGAGCCAAAGTCAGGGCCGGCTTTAATGAACTGTACACATATGTTGTGGGCAGCCGCTGATTTAATATGTACAACCATGGTGTGTGCACACACCTGGATAGGCACACTGCTCTGGGAATCACACAGGGTCTCCTGAACAATGATGCTATTGTAATATTTCTTTTTGTTTTATTTGTCCAAAGTCAAACATTCACTCTGTCAGATCACCAGTGTCTTATAAGCCTGGTGTTGGCCCACACTGCTGCAGGATTGGGACAAAGAGACGATGTTACAGTCTGGTTTCTATGGCAACAGAGGAGGGGTAATGAAAACTGAAATGTTGGAAACACCCATTCTAACCATTGTGACATAATTCAGGTTATTACAAGGATGTAACTACCAAAGAAGCAGAAGTGTCATTACCTTGCAGCTCATGTCGACAAAAAGCTACACTGCACATTTCTCTTAGGCTGCTAAGAGGAAGGAAACACAAAACACACACACACACACACACACACACACACACACACACACACACACACACACACAGAGGCCTCGTTTTCTGCATGTAAAATGTGTGTGTTCTTTAAAAGCCAGTGGTTGGCTGGTTTTCCGGACATGATGTGGTTGAAGCTGTCATCGTAATGGAAATTCATTGCTGTAGCTATGGTAAATCGAGTTTTCTGCCTGTGCTGAATGCATTAGTCTAATGAGATGTTTGCAGCTGGAGCGCAGGGCTGCTGGAGACTAACTGTGAGCTACTAACACGGGTGGAAGATAGCTTTTGCAATACTCGGTTTGCATGTGCTGAAAGTCATCTGTCTTCTGAGTCAACACTCCCGACCTGGTAAACAACCTGCTCAGGGCTCTGGTGAACAAGCTGTAGGTAAGGGAGATGCACAATTGGAGGCGTGCCGTTGACACGGGATCTTTCTCTTGTAACTGTCAGCATGACAGGTTACCTGTTTCAGTTTTTTCTGGGTTGCATGCCTACCTCTATGGCAACGCACAAGAGTGTCCTGCACTAAAACCACTGAGTCCAGTAGGTAAACTTTAGTTCCTCATATGCAAAGTACAGCATTTAATTTATTAACCAGATCTCAGAGGGGAAAATGTAACATTGAATTATATAGTTTATAAATTTGGGCTATATACATGTTCATTACTCTTTAACTCTGCATTTAAATACCTAGAAAGTTATTTTTTTCCAAATGTGAACTCAAGTAACCGGTTAGTTATTTTTTCCCTTCACGATAATTTTGCTTTGTTTTGCTTTTTAATTTTAAAAAAATTGTACTATGTCTTGGGATAAAAATATTTACCTAAAATTTGGTTATTAAAATTGGTATGTTATGAACATGTAAAAGTGTTTTTTTTCCCATTTAATTTTATTTCAAATATCCCAGGTAGAATATTTCACATGTCTTTGTGCTGGTTTTTCCTAATTTATGAGGCATAAATAAGAATAATATTTACTGCTAGTTTCTGGTTTTAATTCGTTTTTTGGGAAAAAAACTGGTGACTATGGAGTATTAGCGGCAGTTTTCCCAAGCTCAAAATCACCTCCTTCCCAGGTGGAGCACTGTGACTTGAACCAGCTTCCACGTGCTCCTCCCAAAGCATGAGGGGTCCTCTCCAGGTTGATTGCTGGCTGGACAGGAGCGGTGGATGAGGCCAGGGTGCAGGCTGCTGAGCTGTTTTGCTGAGTTGAGGTGCTTGAGTCAAAGTTCTTTCCACTATCTGTGATCGTGAACGAGAGGTGTCTCCTCGTGTTGTCTCTAGATTCCATGACGGTACTCATGAGGGTTAGACAATCAGTGGCTTTCTGAGAAAGTGGTTTTTTACTGATCTCAGACACTACAGTACTTGAGAAAGTAATCCAGGCACTTCAGAATCAGGGTATTTGTTATATGCTGTTTTTCTTTCTTTTCAACCAGAGGAACCATTTTTGAAGAATGAGGGATATAGCTGCTTTTTTTCTCCACTTTTTTTTTTTTAAAGCAAAATAGAATATCTGGAGTGAAAGCATAAAAATAACTACAAAGGAATTCTTAGTGTGTTAAACTATCTGGGGGGTATAATATTTGTGTGGAGCATTTTTTGTGTTGCTTGGTAGAACTAGTCTGATAAAATGAGGGGCTGTTTGAGCAACAGCAGCTGGGTGAAGATTACCTAGAAAATCGGTACTGCGTGATCGTCTAAACTCAAAAGGTTAATGTAGAATCTTCAGTTTTAGGGAAATTGGTGGCTTCACAAACTATAACTTTTAAACAGGCTTTTTGACAGAATTTTTAAAAAATATGAATGTGTTTTCTTTAGCTCTTTAAATTGTGTACGTAGATGAGCTCTGAAATATTTTGGTAAATTCATCAGTTTGCTTCATTTGTGGAATTATAACAAAAGTGCAAAGCCCACAAAAATCCAGTTCTTTCATGTATAACATGTTTACATTTCTTCCCTGTGTCCCCAAAATTACTTTTATTTTGCTGCAAAAAAAAAAAAAGAAAAGAAAAAAAGAAAAGAGTAAATGAACGGTAATAGAAAGACAAGAAAACAATAAGCGAAACGAGTAAGTTGCTTTTCATCATTTCTTTGCTTTTGGTGGTGTGTTTTCGAGGCGAGGGAAATCAGCAGAAGCAGTTTCACTTTCTGGTTCTTGACTCCTGGGGGTGAGGGTGAAAGGCTGTCTCCTCTAGCAAGCAGCAGGTAAGCTAAGCAGCTCAGCCCACAGAAAACAAGCCAGACCCAAATACTGTCACTTGCTGCAAGAACTTTTATAATGAGAGTTCAAAACAATATTGACTTTAAAAAAATACTCAGTAACACTTTCCTATTAAAAAATTCAAGCACTACCCCAAAGTACAAAGATAGACTTTTTTAATTTTTAAAATTTGAAATGATGAGAAAATCATCTCTGCTGTTTATGTATTTTTAATCTCAATTTTGGATCTCAAATACTTCAATACTTTTAAGGAAACATAACTGAAGTTCCCTGAAATCATAACAAGGAATGCTCGGAGAGGAATAACCTTTCTGGGAGTCTGGGGGCTTAAATGTTAGAGTGCTTCGTAGGTCTGTTTACAATTTTGTGTGGCCTGAGGACACATCACACATGTGTCCACACATCCTTTATGACACGCACCTTAAAGAACTTTTGGTCCAGGCAGAGGTGGTGGCTGGAGCTTGAAAGCCCTCACAGGGGCCCTGTTAGGGATCTGCAGGACAATTTTCCTCCCCAAGTCCCTGCCCTCGGAAACCTCAATATCACATGGGTAGATGCCAGGGAGCCGGGATGTGCCCATCCCACTCCACAAGTCCTGAAGAGCGTGGCAGGTGACACTACCCCTCATTGGGCTGGGAGCCTTAGGATACCAAGCATCTCCAGTGTCATTCTTCCCCTGAGCCCTCAGATTTTATGTGGGGATGGAATGGGAAAGAAGGGAAAGGAGATGAGAAAAGACCCTCTTTTAATCTGATTATCATGGAGCGTAAAATCTTGTCTAACATTTTGTGGATGAAGTTTGTGAAAGCAGTTGCCTTTGGTGTGATCACACAAGCTTCTTTCTTTTGGTGGGCACATCTGATGTTTCTAAGAAGGAACTTTTAAACAATGCCTCCCTAGACATCTTATTTCTTAATTCTGCCATCTCTCAAAAGGCTAGTTTTAGATTTACACATTTTTTAATGTTTTCATTGCCTTCAAAAGCAGACAGGTGAGGAGAGAAGAGGGGGATTAAATCAGCCCCTGGGAGAGACATTAAACGGCTTGGTACAGATATCATATAACAGAAGCCACCAGGGTATCTAGTAAATTACTCTAAATTTTAATTAATGAGTCACAAAAGCCACACCACAAGCTTTAAAAATTACCCTTTTATCAATAAGGTGATAATTAACTTTCTCTGGAATTAGCAGTTCTCTCAGCCCCGGGGCAGTACACAGCCTAGTAAGTTCTCTGGAATGCTGCCAATTTTTAACAATTGGTCTTTTGGCAAACCTACTGGATTTTAATTCAAACATCTATTGTGACATTTTCCAACGTGGTCCACAGACCATTAGGATCACCCAAATCGTGGTAAAATTTCTGAGGTCAAAAGAGCAGCTTGGAATGTTTGAATCGCATTTGAATATGTCACTTTCTCCTTCTTCTTCTTTTTTTTCTTTTCTACCTTTCCCCACCCCAAACTTCTGCATTTGCAAGAGCGCAGTGCTCCAGTCTGCTGTAAATCTCTACTAGAGTCTCTGCTGTAAATCGCTGTGGGGAACCCTGCATTTGTTGATACGCCCATACCAAGTCCGAACGCCCTGGCTGCCAGCCCGTGGGTTCTAAGCGTTTTTCATTGTTGCACTCGTCTTGGTTTCAATTCTGGCAAGGGCTCACTCCTTCATGTTTTTGCAAACTCTCACCCGTGGTTTGTCAAATGCTGATCTTTAGTTTGAGACTTGAAGAAGTGCTTTGGGCAAGAGGGCCATTTTGGACATGCTTACAGAGGCTTGGAATTTAGCTTCCTCTGATCTGCATATATTAATGTCTGAAGAGGCACAGACAGGAGCATTCAGCATTGCAGAGCAGCCTGCCCCACAACAGCCCTTCTCAGACATGCATACGCACACGCACACACAAACACACACCCCTCCCAGTGCGGCTGGTCACTGGTGGGTGGCATTCAGGGACAGCCTCAGGAGGGACACTGCTATTTGGGTATAGCATCTGGAGGGCAAGTGGTGATGGATGCAGATCATCCCTTCAAAAGTCAGCCTCCTCTCTTCCCTCTGGATCTTTCAAATGTTAGCATTGCTGGGCTCCTGCTTCTCTCAGCCAAGAGACGTGGCCAGGGCTGAATACCGGTGACAAGGCTTCCTGCTGGGTTAAGCAGGCAGTTCTGACACAGACAAGAACATCCCTGCCTTCAGGCGGATGGGGTGGAGACCAGCAGCAAGCTGCAATTGTGCATTCTGGAATAAATCAGCACTTAGCAATCAGGAGAAGCCCTTTGCTGCCGCGGAGGAGATAAAACACCTCTTACTTCTTGGGATGATTATTTCTTGGGCTACTATTTTAGGACAGAAAGGAATTTATTACCCAGTGGCAGTTCTCACTTTGCATTAAGCTGAAAAGTCATTCCACTCAGTCCATTTGACACTCTGAAGTAATGGGAGTAGATTTTGATATCCACATTGCATATTTCCCGGGGTGACTATTACTATACCAGTTTTACTAGTTGTGTTTTAGTCCAGTGATAAGAAACCATATAAACTCCTCTTACTCTGCCACTAACTTAGACACATGCTACCTAAATTTTCATTTGTGGGGAGGCAGATGTGCTTTTTTTTTTTTTTTTTTTGGCAGTTGCATTTTTTGATCAGATAAATGCAACCCACCATTGCTGATTTTCAAGAATGATTGCACATTCCTGCAGCCAGGCTGTCTTAGCCTTTTGAGAAATTGGCTGGGCTGAGGAGGTCTTACTTTCTCCAGAAAACATGCAAGACAGAAGCAGAGGAGTGGAGCAGGCTGTTATGAGAAAATTAGTATGCCAGGAAAAAATAGTGTCAACACTGTGCTTTGAAAGGTGGTGATGTTGTCTGCTTAGCCCCGCGATGGTGACTCAACTTTGGGGAGCTGAATATTTGGTAACCAAAGCCCTTGCCCTTTTCCTCTCCCTGTGCTGATCATTATAGAGAAGCCCTCATTGTTTCAAAACAGAAACATATGGCCTGAAAGTAATCCTAAAGACATGTGCAGGCTCCCATAAAGATGAATACTCAACTTGGCTGGGTCTAAATCCAGCCAGGGGAAAGTGGTATGGAGCAAAGAGGCAGTAGGATAAAACAAAGAGAAGGGAGCCTGTTCCTTCTCCCTTCCAACCGAGCACTAGACCTTCACTCTCCCTCTTGTACCCCCGGTGCAGTTCAGAAAGGATTCAGTAATAGCTATGAGTACCATACAGCTGTCAGCTCATAGACCATAGGGGCCTTTTCTTTTGAACTGAAGAAAATATTTTCTCTTCTCCCGTCCTCTTTTGTCCACAGGTCATCCTGGGACATCATTGCTCTGATGAGAAAACCAGGGTTGAACACTAAGGAGTATGTTTTTCCCTGGTGTCTAGAGCCAGGGCCTGCCCCTCTCACCAGGCCCATGAAACACTTGGAGCTGCCATGTCTAAGGCCCTGCCTTAGATGCAGACTTCAAGTCGGCCAGGGGCTGGCCTCAGGATTTTAATCCTGTTTTGACAAGCAGTCTGCCTTGGTGAATGAGGAAAGGAAGAACCGAAGAGAAAAACACAAGGCGAAAGCCTATTCCAGGGCATTCATGCTTTTGGTTTTGGAGACAGGATTTGGAGGTCATGTAACTTAATTCCTTTGGGCCTAACCATTTCTGAGTGATTATAGGACTGTAAGAATCATTCTCATTCTTTGTGGCCTTCCAAAGAAGAGGCTGACCTCTTTCCTTCACAGTTCTTTAGGATTTAGTGCCCTCATTATTGGGAAATTTTGGTGATGTCAAGGCTTTATCAAACAATTAGCTATTAAGACATGCTGTTGATTCCAAAGAGAATAATCACAAATGTTGCACAATGCATTGGGTTTATTGATCAGTAATGAATTCCACTGGGGGAATAGATTTCTGTTATTTTTTCAGTCGTGAGGAATCTGTGGTCATTTGTTGGATTCAAGCAAGATTTGGTTCATGCTGTTGCCACTGTGGCCTGTGCTGGGGGAGTTTGCCTTGAGACTTAGGAGTCAACCCAGCAGCCATCTGCGCACTGCCCCTTTTATTGGGAATTTTCCCTTTCAGATGCCAAAGGTGCCCGAGCATATTCGACTATATCACTTTTAAGACCTCATTTGCAAAAAAACTTCAAGTGGAAAGCTGTAGATAGCTTTAAATTTGGGTATGCAAATTACAAAGCATAGAAACAGTGGGGGGAAGAAGCTGGTTCTAATGCTCGAAATCACCATCCACGGTGTGAAAATATAGCTCTTGTTTTGAGTGTCTTAACATAATTAGTACTAGAGACTTAACATAAATAAAGAGGGCAAACAGCATGGTGGGGTTGTGTTGGTGCCTGATGTGGAAATGGTTAATTGGTCCCACAGTGAGAAACTGTACAACCGTGTGTTGCTTTAATGAGACCAGGTGAGTATAAGCTCTCTCCAGGGATGTGAAGTTAGTACTCGATTTGGGAGGTGATATGTGTGAGAATGTGTGGGGGCCAATGATATGATGGTATAGAGGATTGGTTCTTTCTTTCTAGGGCCCTCTCTTTTAGTTAGAAGTCATTTGGCATGAACCCAGTAAAGAAGAATAAATTAACTAAAAGTGATCTGATAGTAGAATAAGAAAAAAGTACATTCAGTGATTTTTTTTTTTCTTTTTTTTTTTTTTTGAGATGAAGTCTTCCTCTGTTGCCCAGGCTGGAGTACAGTGGTGCGATCTCAGCTCACGGCAGCCTCTGCCTCCCAGGTTCAAGAGATTTTCCTGCCTCAAGTAGATTCCCAAGAAGCTGGGATTACAGGCACCTGCCACCACACCTAGATAATTTTTGTATTTTTAGTAGAGACAGGGTTTCACCATGTTGCCCAGGCTGGTCTCAAGCTCCTGACGTTAGGTGATCTGCCCACCTTGGCCTCCCAAAGTGCTGGGATTAAGGCGTGAGCCATTGCACCTGGCCTAGAAAAAGGTACATTCAGAAAGGTTTGTCTAATATGCATTTCCCTGGAAGCAGCCCAAATCTCTGTTCAGGTCAAATGCTGAGAAATTGAGTTCTTATTCATTGGCTTGGGACCACGGTAGTGTGAGATTAACTGGAAGTATAATTGTTTAGAAATCATATTTCTGGGTACAGGCTAGGTCATTGTTTTTATGACTATATTTGACATTTCCATGCCTGAAGAAAAAAAAAATTCCATTGGACCAAAGACCCAGCTGGTCCCTGTAAATTTTTAACAGCAGATAACACAGGTTACGGAACTTCCAGGACAAAGTTAAGAAAACCCAGGCCACGCTTTGGCAGAGATTTCCTGTGTTCTGTGTGTGTACTTTGTGAATCGAACATCAGTTTCAGGGGTTTTCTTTCTCATCCCTGAGAGTGCAGATTTAAAACAGAGTAAGGAGAATTTATGCTGAAACCATGGTGCCACTGAAGTCCCAGACCATTTTCCAGCTAGCTCACTCATCTGTGGAAAAGTTAAAATGACAACTGAAACAATATGTTTGAAGGAAAAACATCTAACATTCAAGGAAAGAGTTAAAAGCAAAAACCTGTACTCTGAGAAGTGATCTCGAAGTGAAGCCTGGATTCTTAGACTGAATGGGTTTCAAGGCCTCTCTCCCAGGTCAAGGCCCAAATTCCCTGCTAACGTCTTGGAAGGAGGCAGACAGCACAGGACTCTATCCTTCCATTGTTAGCAAGCTCCAGTTGTTAGCAGTTTCCTACCTTTCTTCTCCAGTAGCTTCTTCCTCCTCTGAGAGCCTACTTGTGTCTTCAGAGCTGCACAGAATCCATCTAAATGGAACCGCACGGATTCCAGTTCAGAAAAGCCATTTTCATGGCCACCAGTGTGACCTAGGGCAAGTATCATGGCATCCCCGAGCCTCCTCTCCTCCCTGGAGATGTTCTTCCTGTCAGTCCCCACTGCTGAATGGTTCAAAGGAAACAGTATGTGGAAAAGGGCTTTGTAAACCATAAATGCTGTATGGATGATAATACACATTTGCATCAATTGAGCATTATGTGCTCAGGGATGTGGAGGGAAGCATGAAACATGGTTTATCTTACTTATCGTGTTTGATCCACACAGGAAGTCAATACAGGAGGGGCTACTTTTACTGCCAACATACAAATGGGGAAACTGAGGCTTATATTATACATAACTAACTTATTGAGGGCCACATGGCCCTAGGAGTCTGTGAGTCTTTCCTCCTTTGGTTTGAGCAGTGGCCGGGGCGTCCGTGTCTTTTCACCTGTGAGGGCTGAAGAGAAAGAGCTCTTTCATGCTGTAGCGCCAGCCTCTCCTGCTCTGCCTGGCAGGGCTGCTGCAGGTCCGGCAGGTTCCAGAAAGGAAATGATTCCCTGGTGTTTCCACTTCGAAAGGCATTTTTGATCCATAGAAAATTTCTTTTAAAGCAGTAAGCTTTTAGGCCTGTCAGACCCAACCCCCATTTTTATTGCAAATATATTCAAGCACCTGGTTTACAATTCTGAGGTGAAATTCCTGGATAATATGACTCACTCACACCCATAATTTTTAAGAAAAATTAATATAATGTCATAACTGAAATATAAAGAAGAATGAGACAAAGTATTTGCTGATTACTTCCAACGCAGGCACCCGCCTCTGGGCAACAGAAAGAAGTGATCAGGGGCTGACACCTGCCCCAAGAAGCTCAGGTTGGGCCACCCCTCCAATGCAGTTGAAGTCAGAGGAGTGGGATTGGTGACTCAGATAACATGAGCTGCTGCGGGTGGTGTGATTTTCCAAAATGATACACAACTCTTGGAATTCTGAAGAAAATAAACAGTCTTCCTTTGATTTATGCACTAATGGCATTCCTGGAAAATAAAGTGTAAAGTGTCTATTACAGCTGAGCAGAAATACATATTGCTTTTTTGTAAAATAAGTTAGTCCCAGGTTCAGAAAAGCCGGGTATTTCTATATGGCAAGACAATGCTTTCATTGTGTGGGACTGCTCCATCCACTGAGGGACACCCAGCATCCCTGGTCTCTGCCCTCTAAGTGGCAGGAATGCCCACTCTGCCCCCAGCATTGTATCAGATACAACCATCACTGACACATTTCCAAAATGCCCCTCTGCAGAAGCTGTTACCATCACTGTTGAGCACCTGTGGATCAGAGCTGCCAGTCATTTTACCTTCTCCTGCCTCCCCGAACACTCTGATTAATTAAGGCTTAGAAAAAAGATGGTTCTGTTTTGCCAGTTTCCTACATGATCACTATGCAGAGCCCTCTCAAAGATCATGGTAGGAACTTTGGGGTGCCCTTAACATTCTAGGAAGATGCTTGCTAGTGAATTTCTTCTGAAAACTGTAGTTTTAAGCTAAATGAGAAGACCCTTTCTATCATGTGTCAGTCTCCTTCAGATTATGCATAGGTTTTTATCACATATATGGTATTTTAGAAAGCACCTTTGTACGGCCTGGCACGGTGGCTCACGCTCGTAATCCCAGCACTTTGGGAGGCCGAAGGCGGTGGATCACTTGAGGCCAAGAGCTCGAGACCAGCCTGGCCAATGTGGCGAAACCCCGTCTCTACTAAAAATACAAAAATTAGCCGAGTGTGGTGGCACACACCTGTAATCCCAGCTACTTGGGAGGCTGAGGCATGAGAATCTCTTGAACCTGGGAGGTGAAGGTTGCAGTGGGCCAAGATTGTGCCACTGCACTCCAGCCTGGGTGACAGAGTAAGATCCTGTCTTAAAAACAAACAAACAAACAAAAAAACATGTTTGTAAAATCCTCACTCTTCTGTAGGTTGGCTTAAAATGATTAACACTACTGAGGGACTGTGATGTTGCAGACATTGTGGGTATCCACACAGCAGCCCAGAAACATCACCATTCCATGTCACAGGCCAAAAGGCAGAGATTCAGTGAGCTTAAACAACTGTACCAAGATCACCTGTTAAGTGGTATAACTGGGTCTCAAATTCAGGTGTGTCTGACTCTAAAACTCACACCTTTTTTCCAGTCTGACCTGCCACTTGAATTAAGTGGCTCCACGGTTAACTTTTTTATCCATGATGTTGAAACCCCATTCTGAGGACTTTCTCCTTGTTCAATACGTAAGAACGAGGTAAGGGAATAAAGATGGCTACAAATTCTTTGACATTCCTTCCATGGAGATGTGGGGTCTAACTCCCCTCTCCTTGACTGGCATGTGTTGCTTGGCTCTTAGGATTGGTGGAAGTGACCTTCCAGGATGGATATATGGAGCCTTGCAGCTCTACTGGGTCTTTGGATGCTAGCTCTTGGAACCCTGAGTCACCACGGGACTGCCCTGGGCACCACTGCCCTGAGGCTGCCATGCAGTGAGAAGCCAAAGGCACATGGAGAGGCTCCGTAGGAAGAGACACAGAGAGAAAGAGGCAGGAGACATGGAGAGATCAGACACATGGGTGAAGAACCCATCCTGGATGTGGACCACCAAGTCCCAGCCACCCTAGCTGCTGCCACACTGACCACAGACAAACTGCCCAGGCAAGCCTCTCTGAATTCCTGACTCACAAAATGGTGAGCTATGAGAAGCTACCAAGTTTGAACTTGTTTTTAAAGCAGCGACTGATAACCGCAGCATGTAGTCATGGCATTCTTTCTGTTGTATTGTGCCTTATTTTTGATGCCTAAGGAAGAACGATCTTCCTCCCGAAAAAGTAGCCAAAGATTCGCTATAAAATATAGTTGACCTCCATTTGGTAGAGATTGAAATGAGAGAGAGAAGTTTTGTTCCATGACCATTCTGTAAACCATTCCCCACCTCCAGCTTCAAAATGTATCCAGTCACACCATCTGAAGCGTGTTTTCAGCGGACACTGTTATTTTAATATGTATTTAATTTTACAGTTTTATATATATATATATATATATATATATATATATATATATATATATATATATATAATTTTTTTGAGATGGCGTCTCACTCTGTCACCCAGGCTGGAGTGTAGTAGCACGATCTCAGCTCACTGCAGCCTCTGCCTCCCAGGCTCAAGCCATCCTCCCACCTCAGCTTCCCAAGTAACTGGAATTACAGATGCCCACCACCACCCTGAGCTAATTTTTTGTATTTTTGGTAGAGACGGGGTTTCATCATGTTGCCAGGCTGGTCTCGAACTCCTGAACTCAAGCCATCCTCCTGCCTCCACCTTCCAAAGTGCTGGGACTATAAGCATGAGCCACCATGCCCAGCCTATATTTATATTTTTAACAATAAACATGATTTGAATTTATAAATGTGACATAAAGTTTCATTAAAATGTATTTATTTAAATAGACCATTTAAAGATTTAGTAAATATTAGGAATGCAGGAGGTGTACTAGTTAGGGTTCTCCAGAGAAACAGAACCAATAGGGTATGTGTGTGTGTGTGTGTGTGTGTGTGTGTGTGTGTATGTGTCTGTGTGTAAAGAGCTCTACTATAAGGAGTTGGTCAAATGATTATGGAGGCCGAGAAGTCCCGAGATCTGTGATTGGAAGCTGGAGATGCAGGGGAGTCTATGGTATAATTCAGTTCAAAAGCCAGCAGACATGAGACCCAAGAAGAGCTCATGTTTTAGTTTGAGTCTAAAGGCAGAAAAGAAAATGTCCCTGCTGGAAGGGAGTCAGGCAGGGGGAGGTCCCTCTTACCCCACGGAGGGTCAGCCTTTTTGTTCTTTTCAGGCCTTCGATGGATTGGGTGAAGTCCCCCCACGTGTGGGTTGCCATCTGCTTTACTCAGTCCACCAGTTCAAATATTAATCTCTTCCAAAAACACCCTCACAGAAACACTTAGAATAATGTTTAACCAAATAACTGGGCACCCACGGCCCAATCTAGTTGAAACATAAAATTAAACATCAGAGGAGGTATCGGACATGGCAAATATCACAAAGGTGGCACCCCAGGTCTGAAGCTTGGTAAGCACTGCTTTGAGCTAGGGCTCTCTGGTATGGAGGGTTTGGAGCTGAAACCCTGGTGGTATTGTTCAGTTCATCTGTGGGGACTGTGATCCTCTGACTGTCTTCCATAATGTCTCCTGGGAAGGTTATCTTTCATTTTCAGAGCACCTTTTAGAGACTGTCCCTGGTGGTGACTAATTCTGGGAATGTTTGAGCCGGGCTTCAGAATTCCAGCTGCCCTCATGGGAGAGGGAGTTTCCCGGCAATCCACCACTGGTGACTGTGTTTATTGTCAGTGCCTCGGCTGCCCATAGATCTGCAGTTAAGCCTCCCTGCTGGCTCCCACACAGGATCACATGTCACACCAACTTGGTCCTCTAGTGAGAGAACGTCTGCCCTGGAAGTCAAGGTTGTTGGAAACCCTCTCACTATTTAGTGTTAAGTCTGGCTCAGTGGTGACACAGATGAAACTGCTCAACAGTTCAGATGGGATGGTTAAAATATGACATCATAGACGCCACGACTGGTCCATGTCTCACAGCCATAAAGGAAGCTGGACGTTTTCATGTCCCCCTCTGGGTTCTGCTTGTTTAGATGATGCTGTTTGGCACCATCAATTTCACTTCCCCACTGCGCACTCTGTGAATTTGTGCCCAGACTGCCCCCAGGAGCAGAAGAAAAAGTCTTTAGGTCAGCAGTTTTATCTCTTTGGCCTCTTTGACTGGAAATGTCATTGCAGAACAGAAAATCATTGAGGGGAACTTCAGGGGGATTGAAGAAGACACATTTTTTCCCATTTAGGCTGATGCCTTTTGATGGGGGCATTTGGGGCAGCCCTCAGCTTACACAAAGTGCTGCAAATCAGTATACCTGTTATTGCTCTCACTCTGTCTTCAGCTGTCTGAGACAGGGATGGAAGCACCCACTGCTTATAAATACAAGATGTGGTAGGGCTGGAGAGAGGAGTAGGGGTAGGCTGATTCAGAAAGTAATATAAAATACACCAGGAACCACAAAATGCAATCAAGAAAACAGGCAAGTTCACAAAAACAAGTTGTATTTATTTTGCCTGTATATTAATAGGATGGAAACAGTGGTGATCTGGCTCCTGTGTAAGAGAAGAAAATGTTTTTATAGTGCTGTATCAGTTTGCTAGGGCTGCCATAACAAAATCCTGCAGACTGGGTGGCTTACACAGAAGAAATTTATTTTCTAACAGTTCTGAAAGCTAGAAGTCTAAGATCAAGGTGCCAGTGGCTCTTGTTTCTCTGAGCCCTCTCTCCTTGCCTTGCACGTGGCTGCCTTCTCACTGTCCTTATGTGGCCTTTCCTTGTTATGCTTCCACTCCTGATGTCTCTTACTTATAAAGACACCAGCCCTATTGGATTAGGGCCCCATCCTTATTATAATACCTCATTTAGGCTTAAGTATCTCTTTAAAAGCTCTATCTCCAGGCAGGGAGTGGGGGTTCACATGTGTAATCCCAGCACTTCGGGAGGATGAGGTGGGATGATTGCTTGAGCCCTGGAGTAGACCAGCCTGGGAAACATAGTGAGACCCCCATCTCTATAAAAAGATAAAATAGCCTATCTCCAATTACATTTCACATTGGGAGTTACGACTTCAATATATGATTTTTGGGGTTGGGGGGAACAATTCAATTTATAACAGTGTTTATTTTAAGATTTCATCTGACAGTTTAATCTATTTCCCTATAAGCGATCAATGGTAAATATGTTTCATAATGGCCTATTATTACTTACCAAACATCTACAGTTTCTTTAAATTTTAGGCCACTCACATTCCTGCTGTACTCACTCCAGATAGCCAAGGGACTTCAGGAAGGTTTCAACTCTACCCCAGGGCAGAGGAGATGATCTGATGTCTCCAGATCCCTTTTAAAGAAGAACTGGAATCTCCACCTATCTCTTCCTTTCTGGCTCCCACTCAACGCCCCTCTCTGCCTTTTTCCTGCCCACAGTGGTGCAACTTCACAAAGTATATCCCAAGCGATGAGAGGAGGCACCAGCAAACAAACCTGCCTAGGACCAGTGATTTTCCTGGGGCTTTGCTGGTGGCATTCTCTATCCACATGTCACTTGATGCCCCTTGACTGAAGATTTCCAGGTGATTCTGGGCCCTACCCAGTATGGCAGGCAGTGTGGGGAGGGCCAGAGTGAGAAGAGCGAGCCTGGGCACCCTTGGAGTTGGACTTCTTACCTAATAGCCACAGACTCCTCTTCTTCACAGCTCCCAAGATTGTGTGAGCCTCCAGGACAGAGGCTGATGCTCACAGTGGCCAGCACCAGGGCTCTTCTCTATCTGCTCACGAGCAGCCAGCCTCTCTCTGTTTGCTAACTGCCCTCTCCCCTGACCACATGAGCACAGTGCCTGGCACAGAGAGACGCCCACAGGTTTTTCAGAGGGATCGATGAATGTAGAGAACACCAGGAAACACAAAATGCAATCAAGAAAAATAGGCAATCCTCCCACCTCCGTCTCCCAAAGTGCTGGGATTACAGATGTCGGTAGAGAGAGAGAGAGAGGTGCATAATTATGTGAGGGGTTAGGCACTTGAGGGCTTCCTCGACTAGGCTACCTGCGTTCTGGTTTTGAATTTCAACTGTTTTAATGGACATCTCCACCTACCTGTTCCACAGGCATCCTGAACTCAACGTTTCCAAAACTGGACTCATCATTGCTCCCTTCCCCATATCTTCCCCTTCTCCTTTATTCTGTCTTCATTGAAGGTATCACTGCTTCCCCAGCTATCCAAGATAACAGTTTTAGAATCCCAAACTCTCCTTACCCCATGCCTTCCAATTGGGAAACAGGTCCTGATGGATGTTACTTTCAAAAAAGTTTTCTGCATTCTCCCTTTCTCCATCTACCCCTTGGTGGCCCTTCCTCAGACTCTCATTAGCACCCTTCACAGGGACCACCATGATGGCCTCCTGCCCTGCTTCTCTGCCTATATTTTCTCCTCCCTTTAACCCGCTTCATACGTTGCACCAAGTTTATCTTTATAAGATGCAGTTCTGATAGTCTTACTCCATTTGTGTTGCTATGACAAAATACATCAGACTGGGTAATTTAGAAACAATAGAAATTGATTTCTCAAGGTTCTGAAGGCTGGGAAGTCCTAGACCAAGGTGCCAGCAGGACTGGTGGCTGAAAGCGCTGCTGTCTGCTTACAAGACAGTGCCTTGTTGCTGCATCCTCTAGAGGGGACAAATGCAGTGTCCTTACATGGCAGAAGGGATGGAAGGGCAAGAGAGTGCTCCCTTCACCCTCAAGCCCTTTGATAAGGACACTAAGGGATCTGCTCTCATGACTAATCATCTCCCAGAAGCCACGCCTGTAAATACTGTTGCATTGTGAGTTACATTTCAACATGAATTTTGGAGGGGACACTATCATTCAAACCATAGCACTGATGTACTCACTCTAGTGCTTAATAATCTCAGATAGATTCCATTGCTCACACTGATGGTTGCCAAATGTTTTGCCTGTGTTCTCTGTTAAATCATCCCAATACACATATATGTTATTTATAATTACTTAATTATTAAAATATTCTTGAGTACACATCCCCAACATATGTATATTGATAGATTATATACATACTACATTAATGCATTATGCACATTATAAAACATATGCAAAAATAGAAATGAAAAAGGCCACATGAGCCTTTTGCCCTTCCCTGAACATTCTCAAAGCCTCTGTGTTTTTCCCATTTTCTCTTCCCATGTCCTGGAGTTCTCTTTTCTCACTTCTGCATGTGATGAAGTTCTGTATGTCCTTCAAGACAGCACTCTAGGCTGGGCATGGTGGTTCATGCTTGTAATCCCAGCACTCTGGGAGGCCGCGGTGGGAGGATCACTTGAGGCCAGGAGTTTGAGACCAGCCTGGGCAATATGGTGAGACCCCCATCTCTCCAGGAAAAAACAAAAACAAAAACAAAAACAAAAAACAAACCAGCACTCTTCACTTGACTCCTGGGACCCTGGCTCCCCACACAGACTGCCTTGGTGCCATCTTTATATATAGTGTTTAGAACCTTCACCTTCTCTTGCTGCATGATTTGATAATATCTTTCTGATGGGCAAGGAGGAAGACGGAAGGTTTTGGGGTGTATGTCATTGTGGTTGCCAAGAACAAGTTGTCATAGTAACATATCTTTCCTTCCTTGTGAAACATTCCAAAGAGGTTTTTTCCCCCTTTGGCTTTCCTCTGACTCTGGGGAAAATACATCCCATCCCCTGCAGAGGAGTGCAGAAGCAGGCAGTCAGACAGACACAAAGGGTGGGGAGTAATTGGGCGAGATGTGCAAAAGTCAACTCAATTCCTAATATCAAGCAATTAGGCTAATGTGATTTAGAACAACGTGATCAGTGAAGTTTGTGTTTATGCTCCCCTCAGACTGTAATTAATTCATGGAAGTGCTGTAGGTTGTTAAATTTTGTAAACGGATAATAGAACTGTTCTTTGAAATAAAAGCAGTGGCAACAACCTAGTCATTTTACAGTAGCGTGAATAGAAGATAATTACAGTTTGAGAGAACATAGCCCCCTTTCCGTACAAGAACAGGAATGGATTGTCTTCGGCTGGGAGTTGCTGTGAGCACAAATTGCAAACAAAGTTTATGTGCTCTGCGGGGAAATGGCAGGCATTTTCCCCATATAGTCAAGGAGAGTGCCTAACTCACTTTTTAGATATTTCTACCAGTGTCCTACAGGGAATTGTGCTAATAAATATGACAATAACATTGTAATGGGACCAGAAAGGCTGACCCAGCGTTTTGTTAATTTGTGTTCAGCATTTGCTGGGAGCTTTGTAACCCCTGAGCAATGAAACAGGAGCATATTGGTTGGACTGTAGGCATTTTAATTAGAGGTCCTGGGAATAACTCTGTGCTGTGGCAGCTGGATAAGACCTGGCCCCTCAAAGTTTACCCATGGCGAGCTTCCCTCCTGGCCCTCAGCGGCCATTAAAAGGTCTTGCTAGAGGAAGGGACCTGGGGGAGGGAGTGCAAAATTTCTAAGGAGAGGAGGAAGATGCCTGGTGGGCTGGCGTCCAACAGCAATTAGCTACTCAGCTGTCAGTGCCCAGAGCCCTTGCTTTAACAAAGTGGTGGCAAAGATTGACAGAAATGGCTTGACCCCATGATGGATCCCAAAGCATTTTGTAAAAGGGTCTTTTTACTCTTGCTACCTTTTCATCATCTGGCTTAAATACAATGCAACAATAAAGGCATCATAAATCAAAAGCTGTTAGCACACATGGCCCCTGCAATTTATGGGTATTAAGCCAAAAAAAAAAAAAAAAAGCTTAGGAACATTTCATCAAATTATTTTTCCAGTCCCTTAAGACTCATTTAAATTTCCCTCCTCTCCCTACCCTGGTGCTGCCAGCTATTTCATGCACAGGAGCACCTGAGCCCAGGGTGGAGGGAGCCAACTCTGCCAGCGGGCAGGCGGTTCATTCTCATGGGGTGGGGCCTGAAGCTCTGCCCAGCTGCAGGCACCATGTGGGCAAACAGCCAAGAATCTAGAGAAACAGATGGCAGCTGCCCTTGGGTCAGTGATGCAGCTTTGGGAATGGCCATGTCCATCCACACTAAACCTCCATCCTCACCTCTTTCACCATGAGTCCTGGGGCTGGGGTGGGAGCTCCAGTGGGAGATGGCGGGATTATTTGGAGGTAAGGGGCCCAATGCAAGGTTGGGTTGGGGACTAAATACTCAAAGCCAGCCACTTCTGTGATGGTCCAGTGCCGGCTTTGGAGGCCCAATGCTAAGTCCTGGAAGGCCCGGTGCAGAGTAGTGGGCCCACCAGAGGCCAGCATTAAGGAGCAGAATCCCCACTATGCTCTGGGTAGTGGCTGATAGATCTCAACATGTCAGTGGAGAAGTAGAAACCGGTTGGTGGCGTTACTTATATTTGTTAATTAGTGAGCCCGACACATAATTATTAAGCATCGAGGATAGGCAGGGCACATGGAACAATTCACCCCGATGTGCAGAGACACAAAGTCAGATGAATGTCCAAAGGGCCAGAAGTGGGCTTCCTGCCCTTCAAGGATCACCTCCTCCAGGAAGCCTGTACAGGTTGCTATGAGGAGCAGATGAGCATGTGCTGAACATTCTGAATACAATATGGATTGTCAGGCTGAGCCCTTGCTCATTGTTTATTGGGGGGGGGGAAATCTCTGTTTTGATTGTCCTTGAGTTGAGAAGGGACTCTTAAGTTGGAAGCTTTCTGGACCTTTGTTGTGTGGGAAAAGTAGAAGGCAGTTGGCACAGGTGCCTCTGTGGCATCACCTGGCCCCGTGGTAAATCCTATCTTATTCAATGAGGAAACAAGGGAAGAGAAGTGGTGTCTCCTTAGCCACTTCTCTGAGCTTGATGGGAATATATGGCTTAAGAACTCATAACCGTGGCCTCCATGACAATCCCTTGGCTCCCAGGCTCTGTGACTCCCCAGTCCATCCTGGCTCTCTTCAGAGGTAATGTCTGTCAAATTTCAATGTCATTGTTCTTATTATAATTAGGAATATTGTATTTCAGAACCAGGCTGGTTTCTCATCAGGCCTCATTGCCAGTATTACAGCTGCTTTGTGCTCTTAGATCTGAGGGCCTATAAAACAGCTCACCACATATGTACAACTTTACGTCACTCTTCGCTGAGCTAAGTTGGAAAATTTATAGTTCTAAAAACACAGAGTCAAGTTGAAAATGTGGCTTTGGCTGAGTCTGGGTGTAATTGGGTTTTTCAAGTGTAGTTTGACAGCTTTCATGTAACAGAAACACCAGGGCCCATAAAATCAGGCCAGTGTCAGGATTTCAGGTGTATTAAGTATTTCAGCAGTGGCTGCCATCCTTCACTTTCATTTAAATGGGGGTATGAAAATGGAAGGACGTGATGCTTTCAAAAGGCCACAATCTCAGTCCTCCTCACAATTAGTGAGAATAAGCATGCCACTAAAAAAGATGATATCTGATGTTTTCTCATTTATTCATTTAGACTTTGTTATCCCTGTATTTTAGGCACTGTCTTAGAATAAAAGATAAGTAGGGTGTGATCCTAGCCTTCATGGAGCTGATGGTGTAGTAGAGGGGTTAGCAAACATTTTCTATAAAGGGCCAAATAGAGAACATTTCAGATTTGGGGGCCATATGGTTTTGATGGCACCACCCTTGACAGCCACCCCATGCCTGCTCCACACCCCTAACTCTCCAGTACTCACTTCCTGCCTCAAGCCTACTGATCCCTCTTTTTGCTTCCTATAGCCATTTTTTCCTCACCTGCAAAATAGGTAGGAATGCCTCCAGCACAGGCTTATTGTGAGGATGAGCTGAGTTGACTGACTGTGTAAAGCCCTCATTTGGGGTCTGGCTGCCACTTTATTTGTTTAGTTTTGAGACAGGGTCTCACTCTGTTGCTCAAGCTGGAGTACAGTGGTGCGAACACAGCTCATTGCAGCCTTGAGCTCCAGGCCTCGAGAGATCCTCCTGCCTCAGCCTCCCAAGCAGCTGGGACCACAGGGGCACACCATCACGCCTGGCTAATTTTTTAATTTTTGTAGAGTCTCACTATGTTGCCCAGGCTGGTCTCAAACTCCTAGGCTCAAGCAATCCTTCCGCCTTGGCTTCCCAGTTGTGCTGGGTTTACAGGTGTGAGCCCAGCTCTGGCTGCCACACTTTATCCTTTCCAGAGATTTTTAAAAAGGGACAACTGGATAATATTCTCTGCTGCTAGGAGAAGATGTTTGGAGAGCTAAGCCATATTTAAAAATTAAATAGGTGTGTGTGTCTGTACATATATACACATAGGTATAAAATATTGTGTTTTGATTCTGAAAATTAGATATACTTGGAATGCAAATTGCAACATATTGCAATTTGATTCTGGCCCACATTCTCTCCTGGCCCCTCCAGACTCTCCTTTGGGCACCCTGCATCTGAAAGGCTGAAATTAAAATTGAGAATGGAGACCTGGATCCCATCTTGCCTTCCCAAGGGGGCCTGGCCTTGGGGCCTGGCCTCCAGTAACTATGGGCATCCTGCCAGGGCTTATTTTGTAGCAGACCTTTTTCTTTAATTATATTTTTGAGTTGTACAAGTTGTGCACACACACACACGTTTCATGTTTAAAATGTAAATTAGCAAATTAGTACAGAATTCACAAAGCTGTGCTCTCCAACTAGCAGCCAGAGTGAGCCTTTTTAAATGAGTCAGATCACATTTCTGCTCAGCTCAGAAATGCCCAGTGACTCCACATCTTGCTCAGAAAAAGAGCCAATGCTCTTTTTTTTTTTTTTTCTTTTTCTTTTTTTTTTTGTTATTGATCATTCTTGGGTGTTTCTCGCAGAGGGGGATTTGGCAGGGTCACAGGACAATAGTGGAGGGAGGGTCAGCAGATAAACAAGTGAACAAAGGTCTCTGGTTTTCCTAGGCAGAGGACCCTGCGGCCTTCCGCAGTGTTTGTGTCCCTGGGTACTTGAGATTAGGGAGTGGTGATGACTCTTAACCAGCATGCTGCCTTCAAGCATCTGTTTGACAAAGCACATCTTGCACCACCCTTAATCCATTCAACCCTGAGTGGACACAGCACATGTTTCAGAGAGCACAGGGTTGGGGGTAAGGTCACAGATCAACAGGATCCCAAGGCAGAAGAATTTTTCTTAGTACAGAACAAAATGAAAAGTCTCCCATGTCTACCTCTTTCTACACAGACATGGCAACCATCCGATTTCTCAATCTTTTCCCCACCTTTCCCCCGTTTCTATTCCACAAAACCGCCATTGTCATCATGGCCCGTTCTCAATGAGCTGTTGAGTACACCTCCCAGACGGGGTGGTGGCCGGGCAGAGGGGCTCCTCACTTCCCAGTAGGGGCGGCCGGGCAGAGGCGCCCCTCACCTCC
The DNA here is from genome assembly GCF_000001405.40 of Homo sapiens. Taxonomy (NCBI): domain Eukaryota; kingdom Metazoa; phylum Chordata; class Mammalia; order Primates; family Hominidae; genus Homo; species Homo sapiens. Next base: position 107,803,464 of record NC_000006.12, on the reverse strand, counting down.
CGGACCGGGCGGCTGGCCGGGCGGGGGGCTGACCCCCCCACCTCCCTCCCGGATGGGGCGGCTGGCCGGGCGAGGGGCTGACCCCCACCTCCCTCCCAGACGGGGTGGCTGCCGGGCGGAGACGCTCCTCACTTCCCAGACAAAGTGGCTGCCGGGCGGAGGGGCTCCTCACTTCACAGATGGGGCGGTTGCCAGGCAGAGGGTCTCCTCACTTCTCAGACAGGGCGGCCGGGCAGAGGCGCTCCCCACATCTCAGACGATGGGCGGCCAGGCAGAGACGCTCCTCACTTCCCAGATGGGGTGGCGGCCGGGCAAAGGCGCAATCTCGGCACTTTGCTGGGCCAAGGCAGGCAGCTGGGAGGTGGAAGTTGTAGCGAGCCGAGATCACGCCACTGCACTCCAGCCTGGGCACCATTGAGCACTGAGTGAACGCGACTCCGTCTGCCATCCCGGCACCTCGGGAGGCCGAGGCTGGCGGATCACTCGCGGTTAGGAGCTGGAGACCAGCCCGGCCAACACAGCGAAAACCCGTCTCCACCAAAAAAATACGAAAACCAGTCAGGCGTGGCGGCGCGCGACTGCAATCGCAGGCACTCGGCAGGCTGAGGCAGGAGAATCAGGCAGGGAGGTTGCAGTGAGCCGAGATGGCAGCAGTACAGTCCAGCTTTGGCTCGGCATCAGGGGGAGACCGTGGAAAGAGAGGGAGAGGGAGACCGTGGGGAGAGGGAGAGGGAGGGGGAGAGGGAGAGGGAGAGGAGGGAGAGGGAGAGGAGGGGGAGGGAGAGGGAGAGGAGGGAGAGGGAGAGGAGGAGCCTTTCCAATTTTCTTTCCTTCCTTCCTTCCTTCCTTCCTTCCTTCCTTCCTTCCTTCCTTCCTTCCTTCCTCCCTCCCTCCCTCGAGCCAATGCTCTTAAGTGGCCTGAAAGACACTCTATGCTCTGCCCCCACCTCTCTCCCACACCATTTCCTACCCCGCCTTCCCTCTGTCACTCTGCACCCAATACCCTGGGCTCCTGACTGTCTTTGAACTGTCCACCACAGGACTTTTGCACTTGCTGTTTTCTCTGCCTGGAATGTTTTTCACTCCCATATGCCCATAGCTTTAAGTTCCTTGAAGTCTCTGCTCAAACATACCTTAGTGAGACTGGACCATCAATGTCAAATAACATGCTCACTGCCATCATGCTCTATCCCCCTTAATCTAATTTATTCTTGTAATATTTATCATCACCTGACTTGCTGCATATCATTTGGTTGTTTATTGTCTGTCTCTCACGAATATAAGTTCCGTGAGAACAGTGACTTTTTGTTGTTGCTCGTACTGTATCCTCAGTGCTCAGAACACTGGCACGTAGGAGGCACTTGAGAAATATTTGTTGAGTAAAGAAATGAATAGGCCGGGTGCAGTGGCTCACGCCTGTAATCCCAGCACTTTGGGAGACAGAGGCGGGCAGATCATGAGGCTAGGAGATCGAGACCATCCTGGCTAACATGGTGAAACCCTGTCTCTACTAAAAATACAAAAAAAAAAAAATTAGCCAGGTGTGGTAGCGGGTGTCTGTAATCCCAGCTACTCGGGAGGCTGAGGCGGGAGAATCACTTGAACCTGGGAGGCGGAGGTTGTGGTGAGCCGAGATCCAGCGTGGGTGACAGAGCAAGGCTCGGTCTCAGGAAAAAAAAAAAGAAATGAATAATGAAGACTGTAGTCAAAAGTCAGAATTTCTGTCTCCACCCTCCATGTGCTAACCCCCATTCCACATTTCTCAGTCATACGCCCTGTCAGCAACATATCCTTCCAGGAACTTTGCATATGTAAGAATACCTAGAAGCTTCTGCTTCCAGTTAGGATGTAGAAGGATGTGAAAGACATTTGGACTTGGGAAAAACCTGGAGAAATTAAAACCATACTTTTCTATGAGACTAGTGAAAAGTAATGGACACAAAAAAATCTCGATGGACTCTATTCTGGAGAGAAATGAGCTCATTGTAGGATTAGCAGAGTTATAGGTTCCATACCTGGGGTGGGGGGCAGGTAGGCAGGCATAGGTGGGTGGAGGACTGGAGTCTCGCCAAGGAGACGCCCTCTGAGCCATCTGGGAGGATGACTTCGTATGTACCTAGCCAGAAAAGGGAGGTGGGGAAGGGATTACAGGAGTTGGGAATCGTGTGTATAAAGATAGTGCTGTCTGGAGAACAGTGAGAGTGTGACCTGGGTCTGCAATGGAAGAGTGGGCTTACCATAGACAGAGAATTTACAAGGAGAAATCGGTTGGGCTTTACATAACAGCATGTGCTACTAGAAGGGACTGGAATCTGAAGGACCCTCTGGTTCAGTCAGAAGACATAAACCACATTGGCAATTGGAATAGGGAAGTTTTAATATAAAAAACTCTTAAAGTAGTAAATGCAGAGATCAGTAACTACTCTGAAAGTTCAAAGAAAAGTAAATGATGAAGGAACGCAGAAACTTGGAAGAGGGGAGCCCCTGCAAGGTTAAGATTCGGACTCTTGTCAATGGACAGGGCAAGTTGACTGATATTGGGGAGCACTTGCTCCCAAATCAAATAACTGTCCTCCTCTGTTTAACACTGCCAGGACCCTTGCTTATTGATCTACTTGCCACCAAGTAGAAAAATACAACACTGGAAGAAGAAAAAGTCCTTTTTTCCTCTTCCAGACTTGCAATGTGTCTCCAATGCCCTCTATTGACAGGACCTAACATTAAGCCAACTGGCAAAGAAGTAATGTCTGTAGAATTGGGCCCCAGTATAACAGAGAGGGGGAAAGAAAGATGGATTTGTTGCTGAAAAGCAATAAATTCTTAAGTGGCACAAAACACATACACAAAAAACACAAATTCATTTTTAAAATACCCCAAACCTCCCCCTTTCTGAATTTTGCTGAGAAAGGACCAGTGAAGGAAAGGCTAATAGGTAGATAAAAATCACATCTTTTCCAACATTCTTCTGGTTTTTGCATCCTGGGACTCCTGCAGGAGTTGAATTCAAAGGTAAACAAAAAATAGATGAGACTGGTTGGGTATTGGGCAAACAACAGGTAAACTCAATCTAAATAAAGCTGCAGCTCAGCACTAGTTCAACTCAATTGTAGGCAAATTTGAATAGCCCCTAGATAGAGAAAAGGGCTTGCGATTCTGGGAAATAAATAAAACCAAGCAAAAAAATTAGTATGTTACATTATCCACTGTTAACACAATTTTTGGAGTTTAATTTTTGTTTAATTAGACATGTAAAGAAGGCGGAAAATGTTACCCATGGTCAAGAAAAATATAGACAATAGGAGCATATCCATGCTGAGGGCAGTGGTGTGTGCCTATAGTCTATTCCAACTACTCGGGAGGCTGAGGGGGGAGGATGGCTTGAACCCAGGAGTTCAAGACCAGCATGGGGAACAAATTCAGACCCCCCCATCTCAAAACAACAAAACAAAACAAAAAACCACATTCCCACTGTGGATTCAATACTAGAAAAAAAAAAAAAGGAACATATCCACAGTGGACCTAGATATTGCAATCATCAGATAATGGGCTTTAAAACAACTATTTTAAATATGTTAAATAATTTAAGGAAAAGAGATGGATATTTTAGAAAAGAAATGGAAACTCTAAAGATAAAAACAAGTAGAAATTGAAATTCTAGAACTGAAAAATACAATATAAGACATAAAAATCACTGGATGGGGTTAGCAACAGATTAGCCACTGAAGAACAAAGTATAAGTGAAATTGAGCCAAGAAAGAAAGCAATGATTTACAGGCAAAAAGCAGAGATGAAAAGAAATTATAAAAAAACTAATTCAAAAGAAGGCAGGAAAAGAGAAAAAAGGACAAAACTAAACAAATAGAAAGATGGTAGACTTAAACTCAAGTCTATTGTCTATCAATAATTACATAAAATATAAATGGAGCAAACACATATTAAAAGGCAGAGATTATCAGACTGAATAACAAAAACAAGATCCAACTATGTTGGCTACAAGAGACAGACTTTTTATATAAAATTGCAGGTAGTTTACAAGTAAGAGATCAATAAAAGATACTGTGCAAACATTCATCATAAGAAAGAGGGAGTGACTATAGCAATATCATACAAAGTAGACTTAAAGACAAGCAGTTTTATCAGAAATAAAGAGGGACACTCATAATAATAAAAGAGTCAAATCATCAAGAAGATATGAAACTCTTAATGTATTTGTACTATAATAACAGAGCTTCAAAATACATGTAGCAAAAACATACAGAAATAAAGGGACAAATAGGCAATTTCACAATTATGGTTGCAGATTTTAACACTGCAGTTTTAGTAACTGACAGAACAACTGAAATACTTACAAGGGTATAGAGGATTTGAAAAGCACTATCAACTAACTTAACTAATAGGTATTTATAGAACACTATAGAACTACAGAATACACCTTCTTTTCAAATGCACATGGAACATTCACCAACATAGACAATAAGCTGGGCCATAAAACAAGTCTCAATACATTTCAAAGGACTGAGATCATACAGAGTGTTTTAGAAGTCAATAGCAGAAACGTCAGGAAAACCCCAAATATGTAGAAATTAAAACATACTACCAAATAACCCTTGGGTTAAGGAAGAAATCACCAGGAAAATTAGAAAATATTTCGAACTGATGAAAACAGAAAAGAAAGCTCAGCATACTAAAATGTGTTGGATGTGACTAAAGGGACGAGTAGAGGGGAATTTGTGGTTTTAAATATTCACATTAGAAAAGGAAAAGGTCTACAAGCAATTATTTAGGCTTCTACCTTAAGAAGCTAGAGAAAGAGGAGTAAATTAAGTCCAAAGTAAAAAAAAGGAAGCAATCAAATTAAGAACAAAAATCAATAGACTAAAAATCAGACAATAGAGAAATATTGGCAAATCAAAAGTTCTTTGAACAGATCAATAAATAAGATTGATAACCCCAAGCAAGATTGATCAAGAAAAAGAAAGAAAAATGCAGATTACCAGCAGAGGAATGAAAGAGGAGGCATCTCTACATCACTAAGAATATTAACATAATAACAAGGAAGTATTATGAACAATTTATGTTAATAAATTCACAACAAATTTTTTGAAAAACACAACTGACCAAATCTGACATAAGATGAAATAGAAAACCAGAAAAGCCTTCTATATTAAAAAAATGAATTTATAATTAAAAACTTTTCCATAAAAAGACTTTCAGACTCAGATGACTTCTGTATGAATTCTATCAAATACTTGAGGGAGAAATAATATATCTTATATATGCTCTTTGAGAAAACAGAGACAGAGGAAACACTTCTGATTTCTTTGTTATTGCTTTGAGGCCACCATAATCCTGTCATCAAACTTGACAAGGATACTATAAGAAAAGAAAATTGTAAACCAATATCCTTCATGCATGTATATGCAAAAATCCTTAAGAAATTATTAACAAATAAAATTCATCAACTCATAAAATGGATAGTATGTCATAGTCTACTGGAGTTTACTTCAGGAATGCAAGCTTGTTTAGCATTCTAAATCCATCAGTGTAATTCTGCATAACAGAATAAATGATAGAAATTATATGATCATCTCAATAGATGTAGACAATGCATTTGCAAAATTTAATGTCTGTTCACGATTAAAAAAACCTCTTAGGATACTAAGAATAGAAGAAAGTTTCTCAATTTGATAAAGAGCATCTATGAATACCTAAAGATAACATCATACTTTAAATATTTTTAAAATTTAAGCTAAAATCAGGAACAAGCATGGATGTCCTTTCTCACCACTTATATGCAGCATTATCCTGGATTTCCAACCACTGTAACAAGGCAAGAAAAGAAATTTAAAAAATTAAAAGGCAAAATGATTGCAAAGAAGTATGATTTTTAATTCACAAACGATATGATTATGTATATAGTAAATCTAAAGGAATGTACAAAAAGCCTTACTATATATGGTCACTTAGAAGTAGTTTACTAGTCGTATACAAAGTCATTGTACAAAAATCAATTGTATTTCCGTGTAAAAGCAACAATTAACTGGAAAATGAAGTAAAAGTACTACTCACAATAACATCAAAAACCCAAATAGACTTAGTGATTAATTTAACAAAATGTGCAAGACGTCTACACCAAAACCTGCACATATATTTCTAAGACAAACTCAAGAAGTCTTAAGTAAATGGAGAGATATACCATATGTATGGATTGTAAGACTCAATATTGTTAAATTTTCAATTCTTTCCAAAATGAATTCAATGCATTCCTAATGAAAATGCCAGCAGGTTTTTTGCACTTATATGGAAATTCAAATGCAAATTACAAAACAATCTTGAAAAAGGAAAATAAAGTTGGAGAATTTATACTACATGATTTCAAGACTTACTATAAAGTTATAGTAACCAAGAGAGTTTGGAATTGGCATAAGTATAAACAAAAACATCAATAAAACAGAATCAAGCGTTCAGAAATAGATTCATGAGGTTCATTTATTTTGACAAAGGTGCCAAAGGAATTCAATGAGGACAGAAATGTCTTTCAAACAAATGATGTTGGGATGACTCTATATCCATATGCGGAAAGAGTGAACCCTCAGCCTTATCTCACATCATACACAATAATTACCATGAATTATTGTGTGATAATGTGATAAGTACAACAACAAAATAATGTGATAACTTGTAATGTGATAAGTACAACAACAAAAAATTAGAAGAAAACACAAGACAATATCTTCATGATCTTGGGGTGGGAAACATTTCTTAGAAAGGGCAGAGAAACCACTAATCATAAAACAAAAGGTTGCTATCTTGAACTTCAAACATTTAAAACTTTTGCTTATTAAAAGACTGTATTTAGAGAGTGAATAGATAAGCCACAGACTGGGAGAGAGGTTTTCAGTACTTATATTTGTCATGGGACTTGTCTCTAGAATATATAAAGAACTCCTACAGCTCAATAATGTAAGAGGCAAACAACCCCATAAAATTTGGGCAAAAGACTTGAACAGCCATTTCAAACAGAAGATATGTAAATAGCCAATATACACATAAAAACGGGCTCAGCATCTCTAATAATACAGGAATTGCAAATTAAATTCCACCCACTAGAATTGCTAAAATGAAAGACTGACAGCTCCAATTTCGGTCAGGATATGGAGCAACTGGCCCTCTCTTACATTGCTGGGAGTGAAAATGGTATAACCATTGGAAAATTGGCAGTTCTTTATAAAGTTAAACATAACCTACCCTACGAACCAACAATTCCACTCCCAGGTAATTATCCAGGAAAATAAAAACATATGTCCACAAAAGACTTGTAGAGAAATGTTTCTGGCAGATATTTTTCAAAATAGCTTAAAACTGGAAACAATAGGAAGTCCATCAACAGGTGAATGAATTAACAAATTGTGGCATATTCACATAAAATGGTCTACTATTCAGCAATAAAAAGAAATGAACTGCTGGTATACTTACAAATATAATTATGAGCTAACAAAGCCAGATGCAAAAGGGTATACATTATATGATTCTATTTATGTAAAACTTAAGAATGGACAAAACTAATCTATGGTGATAGAATAGTATCTGCCGTTGGAAGAGTAGGACTGACAGAGAAGAGGCATAAAGAACCTTTCTGGCTGGGCGCGGTGGCTCCAGCCTGTAATCCCAGCACTTTGGGAGGCCAAGGCAGGTGGATCATGAGGTGAGCAGTTTGAGACCAGCCTGGCCCACATGGTGAAACACCATCTCTACTAAAGATAAAAAAAATTAGCCAGGTGTGGTGGTGCGCGCCTGTAACCCCAGCTACTTGGGAGGCTGAGGCAGGAGAATCACTTGAACCCGGGAAGTGGAGGTTGCAGTGAGCTGAGATCACGCCATTGCACTCAAGCCTGGGAGACAGGGCAAGACTCCATCTCAAAGAAAAAAAAAGAATATTTCTAAGGTGATGAAAATGTTCTATATTTTGATTAGGGAATGAGTTACGTTGGTGTATACATTTGTCAAAACTCAAAACTCAAACTGTACTTTTAAGACCTATGAAATTGACTGTAGGTAAATTATACTGCAATTAAGAAAAATATTTTAAATTGGAAAAAATCTAAATTTACAGGGAAAACTTTAGTTGCACAAATTAGCAGGGAGGTTAAAAAAAATGGCAATATTACAAGAAGGGCTATTAGATTTTCTTCATCTTCCCCAAGGATATAGCAAGAAAAATGCTTTTAAATGACAGCAAAAGACTGCTTTAAATTTATGAGTTAATTAACACACCACTATACCTAATAAGATAAAAGGCAGCATTTTCCCCAATTGAAAGGTTGATGTATACTATTTGTACAGGGTTGAATAGTGTCCCTCCCAACATTCATGTCCACCTAGAAACTCAGAAGGTGAACTTATTTGGAAATGGAACCTTTGCTGACATAATTGGTTAAGATGAGGTCATAAATTAAGGTGGGCTGTAAATCCAATGACTAGTGTCATTATAAGAAGGCCATGTGGTGATACAGAGACACATAGAGAGAGAATAAGGTCATGAGGCCATGGAGGAAGGGACTGGAGTGATGTAGTTGCTGGCCAAATACCAGAGGCTAGGAAAGGGACAGGAAACAGATTCTCAGATCCTCCCTCAGTGCCCCAAGAAGGAATCAATCCTGCTGGCACCTTGATTTCAGACTTCTGGCCTGTTAGAAAATAAATTTTGTTGTTCCAAGCCACCAAGTTTGTGGTCATTATGATAGTGTTAGGAAACTAACACATATGCTACTCAGCTAGGTTATCGAAGTAAGTATTCAACCATCTGCCTCGCACACTCAGGTAGATTTGAATCAATAAACTGAACAAAACGTGCTCTAAAAATTATATATATATGTGCATATATATATATAGACACACACACATATACATACGTATACATATAATATGTTCTTTCTTGTATACAGTTTGGATAACATACAAGTGAAATAACTGTACATAATCACTGGCTACTTCTTATTAGTGTTTTCCACCAGACTAATACATTCTGAAGACATTTCCTTGTTAGTACATAGAGAAGCCCGAATGTGCCCCTCCAGGCTGCTTTGGGACCAGGGAATGATTGTTTCTAAAGGAGGAAATTATATTCCAGGATATGAATTTATCATGATTTATTTGGCCAGCCCAGTTCAATTAGATGAAAGTTTATTAAATGTCTCATCCTGAGCATTTCCATTTTAATCTGTTTAATTCAATCCAATCCAGTGCAAACCAATTCAATAAGCATCTATTGAGCACCTTCTTTGTAACAGTCACTCTGCTGTGATCACATCTTTTGGTTTCATCTTAATTGACTACCTCTGCCCCTTGGGTCCATAGCAAAGATACTTTTTGAAAACTTGTTATGAAATATCACAAGAGACTGATGATAAGACCATAATAAGAGAGATTGATGGTTGGGATGAAGAAGATATTTTTCTTTTTCTATACTGGCCTTCTTCTTCTTTTTGTTTGCTTGTTTTTTTAGTTTAGTTTAGTTTTGTTTTGAGACAGGGTCTCACACTCTGTCGCCCAGGCTGGAGTGCAGTGGTGTGATCTTGGCTCACTGAAACCTCCCAGGCTCAAGCAATCCTTCCACCTCAGCCTCCTGAGTAGCTGGTACCACAGGTGCATGCCACTATACCCAGCTATTTTGTATTTTTGGTACAGATGGGGTTTCACCATGTTGCCCAGGCTGGTCTTAAACTCCAGGGCTCAAGCGATCCACTCACCTCAGCCTCTCAAATGCTGGGATTACAGGCGTGAGCCAATGTGCCCGGCTCCCTTGTTATTTCAATAGGCTGTAATATCCTTACCAAATTGGGCTTCTTAGAGTTTAGGATCTGCCTCAGGAAGAAAAGAGCAACTCTCACCTTATAAAGAAGCGACAGAAAGAATGAAAGCAGAAAGAACAGGATTCCACTGGATTCACACTGAGAAATACACACTTCTAGAACAGTGAGAATGAACCAACAGGTCCTGTTCTGCAGGTGTTCAGCTTGTTTTAAGCATTTGTTTGTCCTGTACGCTTCCCAGTTATTGGTTCTGTGTCTCATGTGCATGCAGGGGCTTCCTGTCTGTAGAATAAATACCCACTGGCTGTGATACCTGGTATCTCATTTAGCTCTTGTTGCTGCTGAGGTAACAAAGAACATTAATTACTGCTTTCCTGTTTTTAAGTTAGACCGGGTCTTAGCAAGAATTCTGAGTAATCATCCTCTGAATTAATAATTTCATAGCTGGATACCCTCACCCTTCATACAGGGGGAGAGAGGGCTACACAGGAGATGGGGATCATTGGGGGTCATTTCTGGGGGCTGCCGACCACATTGTGCCTCCACCTTGTGCTGCCACATGGAATCAGCCGTCTCTGTCCAAGCTAACTCCCTTCAGTTATTTAGACTGTTCCCCAGATGAAAGTTTTATATGCCTTTCTCCTTCCTCCTTTTGGATTCAATATTTGTCTTAGTTCTTACCCCCAGAAGCAAGTGGAAAACTCCAGATATTGTAGATAATTTGTTATTGTTTCCCTTGATCTGGATCCTATACAATCTATATTCCCATTAGCTTTTTGATAAAATGGCCCACACCAAAATCTAAGTGAGGTTTGTCATTAGCAATATTCTCAAATCTTTTTCAAATAGCAAGGCTTTCCTGTCAAGTCTCTTTGGTACATTTGGGGGTGATATTTTATCCTTTTTATCTTTTTTTTTTTTTGAGACAGAGTCTCTCCCTGTCACCAGGCTGGAGCGCAGTGGTGGGATCTCAGCTCACTGCAACCTCTGCCTCCCAGATTGTAGCGATTCTCCTGCCTCAGCTTCCCGAATAGCTGGGACTACAGGCATGCACCAGCATACCCAGCTAATTTTTTTGTATTTTTAGTAGAGATGGGGTTTCACCATGTTGGCCAGGCTGGTCTCAAACTGCTGACCTGGTGATCCGCCTGCCTCGGCCTCCTAAAGTGCTGGGATTACAGGCGTGAACCACAACGCCCGGCCCCCTTTTACCTTATAAAGTTTTCGTCTGATTGATTTGGTCTACCTAACTAAAATTTTCTGAATTGCAATCCTGAAATCTGTAACATTAGCCATCCCTCTCAAACTTATGTTGTTTGCTTATCTGATGATAGGCCTGCCTTCCAAATCTTCATTCATGTTATTGGGTAGAATAGAACTAAAACTAGAGACCTGTGGCATGCCACTGGAGATCATCTGCAGGTTGGTGCTGTCATCAATCATGCAACCAGGATCCTGGGTGGTGTCTCATTAGTTACGATTCTACCCAACAGTGTTATCCTTCTGCTCACGTGTTCCTATCTGATCCATGAAATAATCTCGGGAAATTTTATCAAATACTTTGCAATCAAGATGGCCCATGATTATAGCAGTCCTCTGATTTCCCACCTATTTGTTCCCCTCCCCTTCCCCCAAAGTAAATCTAGTTAGGTGAAGCCTTAAACTTTATTTGTTTTTGTTTGCCTGTTTTTGAGACGGGGTCTCACTCTGTCACCCAGGCTGGAGCGCAGTGGTTAGATCAATGTCTTACTGCATCCCCTACCTCCTGGGGCTCAAAAGATCCTCCTGCCTCAGCCTCCTGAGTAGCTGGGACTGGGATTACAGGCACGAGCCACCACGCTCAGCTAATTTTTATATTTTAAGTAGAGATGGGGTTTTGCCATGTTGCCCAGGCTGGTCCCGAACTCCAGGGCTCAAGTGATCTTTCTGCCTTGGCTTCACAAAGTGCTGGGATTACAGGCATGAGCCACTGTGCCCAGCCTGAAGCCTTAAACTTTAAAGTACAGTAATTTGCTCTTAGGGAGACAATGTTCCAATATCAGTAATTACCACATTCTTTAATAAGTGTTACTAGCTTGTTTAATAATCAGTTCTCTGATTATTCACATCCCAAATCCAACCTCTTTTGGAAATTGGGATAAAATATGCCCTTCTCTGCTCTTCCAGTACTTCCCTTCTTTCCTAGGTTTCTCAGACATTTTCCAGTGGCCACTCTGAGACTCTATCTGTAAACTCCTGCTGCACTTGAGGCTGAGTTTTGTCTGCACTGAGAGAGATTTGGGCTCATTAAAGTGATGAGCTGCCGTCACTATCTCTACCCCTCCTGCAGACCAATTTCTTAGCATGCGTCTGCCATCTCCAGTTTGAGACCCTTCTCTTTTCTGTCCTAAACTGAAACTAAATAGTCCTGAGGCATTTTGGGAGTCTCCCTGTCACTTGCTAACCTCCAGTATACTTTAAGCAGTAGGCTAATTCCATCCCTGTTCTTCTTGCTCTGGAAATTAAGAATTAGCCTAATGACACATCCCTGTTGCCTCTATTTTTAGTGACCCTGGGCTTGTTCAGTGCTTTTTTTTTTTTTTTTAGACGGAGTCTTGCTCTGCTGACCAGGCTGGAGTGCAATGGTGCAATGTCCACTCACTGCAACCTCCGCCTCCTGGGTTCAAGCAATTCTCCTGCCTCAGCCTCCTGAGTAGCTGGGACTACAGGCATGCACCACCATGTCTGGCTAATTTTTGTATTTTTAGTAGATACAGGGTTTCACCATGTTGGCCAGTCTGGTCTCGAACTCCTGACCTCCCGTGATCCGTCCGCCTTAGCCTTCCAAAGTGCTGGGATTACAGACATGAGCCACCATGCCTGGCCTGTTTGGTGCTTTGACCTTTGTGGGACTTGTTGGTTCCTGCAGTAGGTGTGGATGGTTGTCCTCGTCTGGCCATTCCTGATGCTGTGTGTGCCTTTCTGTTTGCACGCTTGTTTGACATCCCTTTGTATCTTCAGGGCCTGGGACAAATGCCTTGCATTTAGTAAGCGTCCAATAAATATTCATACAGATATGGATTTTCAAAAGGTAAACTGTGAAAGCTAATTAAGAATTGACTTAACGGCTGTTGCATGGCCCCAGGAGACCTTTGCGAAGGGGAGAAGACCTAGAAAATAATCCGGTAAGCCCCTGTTTGCTGGCTAACCCCCGAGGGAGAGAAAGCAGGAAAAAAGTGTTGTTATTTTTCCTTTTCTGACCTTTCTTTTTGCAACTAAGAAGTGGAAGTCCTCAATTGTATCATTGTATTGCTCTCTCTCCCCCTTTCTTTCTATGAGTCAATCAAACCATATTGGCGGAGGATTCACTGTATGCAAAGCCCCAAGAGGTCACATAGATTTTCACCAGGCAAGATATTGTCCATGGTAATACTACTGTTGACTTGTCTCAGGGTGATTGCAAAGCTTCCTGGCTTTTTGATCTTGAGAAGTCAGCTGGTAAAATGCAACATCTCCCACCCACCTCCAGCTAGAAACAGAAGCGCTGGGAGATGAAACTTCTTGGATCTCTCAGCAGCTAACCTCTCGTTGACCAGGTGCCAGTGCTGAAAGGCTGGACTAGACTGGACTTGTGCCACTTTTCACAAGATCTGGAGCCTTCCTGAGCTGTCATCTGTATAGATTTGACAGACTCTCCATCTATACGGTGGGAGTACGTAATAATATTTGCCTTAAAGTCTTGTAGTGAGAATTTAATAAAATAATATATGCATGTATGTACGTTTTATTAATTCATTTATTCACCCACTATTTGTTGCTTTGCTGGTCCTGTGAGCTGGGCCCTGTGTGCAGTGGTGTGTGTCAGGATCAGTGCCCACAGCCCGGGGGACATGAGTGTGAGGGGAGAGGCCACCAAGGCTGGGAATCCTCCCTTCCACAGGTGTGGTGCTCTGAGGGAAGGAGGACTTGTTCAGGGACGACTCAGAGATGAATCTGGTGGTTTTGCTGTGGGCCGGCAGGCCTGGTCTCCAGAGATTCTGTGTTTGTGATTATTGGCCACTGTCTTTGTCTGGACTAAGTGTGTGTGGTGGCTGTTTCTTCCTGTGTGACCTGCCCATGTATCCTAGGCTCCTCGATTCTGGGAGACTGCGATGGAGAAGCTGTGTGTCAACGACGCAGGACATAGGGAATTCAGCCGTGCGCTGTCTGCACACCACAACATGCCAGAGGAACCCGCCTGGAAAGGGACCTGTGTTTATGCGGGGCAGTGGGGAGGCAGGATGGGCTGGGACTCAGAGGAGATGTGATGACCAGAGGTGCTCCGCTTCCCTCCCGTCTACCCACAAACATCCAAGGAAGGGATCTTTCTGGGTTCATCTTCACGTCCCTGTGCTCTGCTTAGTGTCTGGCCACTCTAGGTCCCCAGAAAATATTGTCAAATGATTGAAGGGATGATTGAGGAGAGAAAGAGAATAGTCCACTTCTGGCCAGTACTTCCCTTTGAGGGTTAAGAATTCGCTTTTGACCTTGGTCTTGCAGTACTTGTGAAGCCTGCGGAACCAACAGGCTGTGTAAGAGTGGCCACTGAGGGACATGGGCCAGAGAAGTAGTGACCTGCCCACAGTGTCCCTGGTGGAGCAACGCTGGGACTGTGCCTATCAGGACAGCTGAGAAGCCTTTGTGATACTTGGTGACCAGAAGCAAATTAGGCTGCATTTTGTCTTCTTTCCTGTAAGTCAGGGAAACACACACTGGGGGAGAGTTTTCCTATGCTCCTTGCTCCAGCCCCCACTCTTTCACCCATTCTGTTCTCAGACCTGGTGACATTTTACTTTCCTAGTATTTGAAGACCCTGGGCTTTTTCTTTGTGAAATAAGAGGGGAGAATAAACCGGTGTGTAGTGACTGTACATACAATGATGGCGACAGTGTCAGGCACCACCAGTACCCTAGCCTTCCTCCCTGGCTCACAGCTTTCTAGAGAGCTCTAAAACCCTCCCTAATACCAGGGTGTTGGTAGCAGCTTCACCCCCATGAGATGGGCATCATCTAGATGGGAGACAAGACTAACGTGATGCTCTGTAGAAAAAGATGAGGAATGTCGCATTGTCTGGATGGGTGTATTTCTTTTGCTTGGCAAATAAAAAGAAATGATCTGTCTTTATGTTGCCTTTAGGGACACTGCAAACAAGATGGTTGGAAATAGAGTTTCTATTGACTCTCTGTTCTCTACAAAGAGAACAAAAGAAAATAATTACCCAGGAAGAATAGTAATTTGTATCACACAGGGTTTACCAATTATGACAGGATCTCATGGTCATTTTCTCATGGGATCCTTATGGCAGCCTGGTGACATGGCTCTGGCAAGTACTGAAGTCTCCGTTTGACAGGGCAGGACACTGATACCCAAGAGTCACTCTGCTATTCTGCTTACTGCCCACTGCAATGCAAAGCCAGCTTTCCTGGTCCTTGCAGAAACATGGTCCTTGTCTATTGGGGAAGCAAAGCTTTCAGCTACCAAATGTGGAGAAACAAAATCAATTTCACGATAACTGTGCACTTGCTCTTGCCTTTTACCTCTAAATGCATCTTTCCTTGACCTGCACAAGAGGTGAAGGCATTGGTCCTGGTGCTGTTTTCATGTTTATTTTCTGCTGATTGTTCCCTGGGTCCGAGGTGGTATCTTTCTTAGACAGTTCTTGGAGGGCAAACATTGGGTTGCTATGTGTCATTACATAGCAGTAACAAAGTGTTTTAGATACTTCAGTGTTTTCCAAAGAGTATCATATGAAGGTATCATAGTTACACATTTCTGTACTTCAGGATGAGCATCTATATGCCTGAAAATCTGTGTGAAAATGTCTGTTGGAATTCCTTGAAGAATTCACAACCCCACCCCCGCAAGACTGGTGAATGGATTCCTACTTGGCAAGGTGCCGACTTGGAGAGTTGTGATTTGTGTTATTTGAATCTTGTTGCTTTATTGTTGAAGTTGTAAGAATTTTTATTAGCAAAGTATGTGAAAGGAATCTAGCTATACTGTTGGTTTATATTACAAAAAATCATCTTGAAAAGAGAATTTGCTTTATAGATAAAGATTGAACTAGAAACAACCCAAACACCAAACCACCAGCGCTTTCTCAAAACTAAATGTAAAGTATAAATAGAGAACAAAACAGGAAATAGTGGTTTGCAAAAATATATATATATGTGTGTGTGTAGCTGCATTCTAAGGTGTCTTTCCTTACACTGTGGGATGTGAGTGCCGAGGCTGAGTGACAGTCGCAGCTGCTGCCTCCTTAGCAGAGACAAGTGTCTCGCAGCAATTGCTGTCTTACTGCTGCCTGCAACCACTCTTTAGCAATCTTCAAAAAAAAATTCGGATCAGCTCTGTAGGCAATAAATAATTATGTTGTTCTATTCACCCGGTTATTTCATGCCCAGAGAGTTGACTGGGTTACTTTATACCATCCAAGCTTTCATGTTGTATCAGTCCCATTTCTTTATATCCTATAGAGACATGGAGATGTGGCCTGAAGGATCAGATTTCTCTCCTGTCCCCCAGCCAGCTCTGTTGCCAGCTCTCTGAATTCTGTCCAGGGCCGACACAGGGAGACAGCTGTAGGGAGTTATGCAGAGAGCTCTGGGGTGGAATCTACCCTCTGCCCACTAATGGGTGATCTCATGTAGCCTCTCTGGGCCTTAGCTCCTCATCTGGAAATCCGAGGACAGTAATGCTTATCTCAAAACCATTGTGAAAATTAAAAGAGATGAAGTAGGCGAAGAGCCATCTTGGCAGCATGGGATGCTCTGCGTCTTATTGCAGTGGCCTTGTTGTTGGAAAGTGGTTGCTGAGTCCTCTGCAGGTAAATTTCTGAGCCTGGTGGCCACTACTAAAAACAAAAGACAAGTACCCTGGGCTGGACTCTGCTGCCTCAGTGCTAAGGAATAGGAGGAGTCCTGGAAGAGGGCTGGGACACTGATCGTCCATTCATTTGTTCATACATCATTTATTTAATAAATATTTGTCAATCCTTAAGATGTGCCAGACACTGAACCAGGTGGGGATAGATGGAAGAAGACACAGAGCCTTCTCCAAGGAGCTCAAGCATATTAGAACAGAGAGACAGGGATGCCAATAAACAGAATAACATGTTGTAGGTGCTGTGATAGAAATGGGTCAATTACAGCCACAAGAAAGGATGTAGAATAGAAAGATTCTGTCCAAGTAGCAATTTTCAGGCAAGACTGTGGGGGAGGAGCCTCTGGAAAGCCACTTCCTTGAGAAACACAAATTTTTGTAGGTGGCTCCTTTTCATCTAGCCAGGGGAAACCACTCACATTTCAGGCAGAAACTGACACTGGTGGGAGAGAGGATAAGCTCCCTCTTGCTGAGCAAAGAACAAGTAATGCCTCTTCTTTGACTCCAACCTTAGACAAAACCATGAGTGGGGGCCCCAGATTAGAAGCTTCTGAGACCTGCTGCGATCCAACTCACTTGAGTTCTCATTGTAGCTTTGATTCAGATTAGAAGCAGGTCAGTTTCATTATTCCAGAAGACTTTCTTAGACTTGGAAATAATAATGAAAGCCTTCTGGAATGAGCTAGGAGTAGGGAAAGTGGGACTGCAGGGCTGCACACAGGGGAGCCTTCAGCCTAGCTGTCCTAGATGTCCTCTAGGGTTGGTAGCAAAATGGGAGCACCCCAAGGCCCCCTTGGAGTACTAGGCTGCAAGGAGCTAGTGAGGGTGAGGTGCGGAGGAGCTGTCAGGCAGGGTATGCGCCAGGCTCTGCCCCTCCCTTGGCTGTTTTGTGGCCCTGGAAAACCTCAGCCTCGTAGGACCTCTCTTTTTTTCTGAGCATCCTGGGCTCTTAGGTCATTATCCGTGAGATACTAGTTGCTTCAGAACTGTCCTCCTGCCATATCATGTACAGATGTCTCCTCTCCCTTACTAGCTATTTAACTTCTCAAAGTCAGGAGGGGAGTGCAGAGGACAGGCTCCACCACAGCACCCCGGTGACCTTGCACATCTCCACATGGGCCACATAGGCAAGGCTGGACCACGGCTGATCTCAGTCCTGGAAGAGTGACCTGTGATCCTCTCTGAGCATGAGAGTGTGGGAGGCTTGGGAGGTGCTACTACAAGGCCATTGGCCACTCACCCCTCTATCCACCCAGGAGGCTGTCACTAGATGTTTCTCACTGCCTTCTGGGTGCTTAGGAGATGGGAGGCTTTCTGCCTCACCCTGTCTAAGGGCACAGCTGCAGGCTACGAAACTGATTCGCTGCAGCCTGAGATCAGCTCCTCAGCAGTGGGGCGCAACAGCACTCGGATCGCAGTCACCTTGTTCCTGCAGGTTTTGTGTTGTCCTCTAGGACAAGGGACACAGGGAGTTGGTCCTCTTCTTGCTTTTGCTGTCTAAGTGAGAAACTGAGCCCTTAAAGCGTTTGTTTAAAGTCCTACTCATAGAAGAAGAATGCACTCCTTGACCCAAATACAACTCTGGACCGGGAAGATACAAATAAGAAAATTAGAAAATAAAATAAAGAAAATAAATAAACCAGGCGTGTCTGTCAGCTTTGTTTAACAGGGAGTTGAGAGATCTGAACCTGTACAGTATGGGGCCGAGGCCCAGAATGGTGAAGTGACTTGTCTCTGTCTCAGCTAGCTAGGAGTAGAGCCAGCACTAAAGTCCAGCCCCCTAAGTCCAGGGTCATGTCCACTAGCACCTGGTACTATGCCTCATGTGCCATAAACACCCACTGAAATGGTTGCTGGTCTGCTCAGCCAAACCACTGGGGTGATTAGGATCCCAGTCAGGGCAAATGCACACACCACGGGCCGTGATGAGTGCAGCCCCCACATATGGGCTTGTGATTTGGAGTCTTTTCAGGGTCCAGAGTACCTGACTCATTTCACCTCCCACGCACTAGGGCAGCTGGCCCTGGCTGATCAAAAGCTGAGGATATCAGAGCCACTCACTCATTTAGATTGACTTTATTGGATTGTTTTTATTTTTTAAAAATATACAACATTCAAATGGTAAAAAAGAGTATGCAGAGAAAAAAACCGTTCCTCTCTCTCCAGTCCTTAGAACCTCATTTCCTCTCCCCACCCCAGCAAGAGACAATTGCTACTATTGTAAAAATGCTTCCAGTGGTATCTTATGCATCCATAAGCATACATGCATGTATAGATGTGAAATGCTTACATGCATCTTCTTTACCCACTGTATGATAGCATGCTATACATGCCACTGTGTAAATTTCCACATTTATCTTAAAAGTCATTCTCTCTCATTTCTTTTATCCATGATTCTGCTGACCACATCAGTGGCAGAGAACATTGCATCTTCCCCATCCTCTGGGTCCCTTCTCTTGACTTACGGGTTTTGCCTGCAGGTGTATCTCCAGGTGTGGCCACAGAGAGACAGACTCCATGCTTTAAAATAATAGGAAAGATAGGAATTTCCCTTTCTTACAAGTTTTCCCATTCTGCCCGGTCACGAACTGGTCTCAAGGGCAGGCAGATGCTGTCCTTTTCATGTCTGTCTGTTGGGGTCTAAGTAGGAAATCTCTTTAGTATTTAAGGCATTGAGTATTTAATGCAGGAAATGGTCGCACAGTGATGAGCCAAAACAAGAGACTGGGCACTCAGCCACTGTCCCTGCAGCTGCAACCACCCCTAAGCTTGAGGGGCAGGGGCAGGAGGTGGCAGGACAGAAACGAGGACCAGGTCGCCCAGCAGAGCTTGGCACTGTTTGGGCCTGTTCAGAGGGAGCTGGAGCCATGGACCAGGAGCAGTTTCTAGTAGGGACCTAGCCAAGCAAAGATGGGGATTTCACCAGAGATGGGAATTTCACCAAAGATGGGCTTCACCCATCCCAACCTCTACCTCCAAACTCAGACCAGCACCTCCCATCAGGCAAACTCAGACCAGCACCTGCCATCAGGCAAACTCAGACCAGCACCTGCCATCAGGTAAACTCAGACCAGCACCTGCCATCAGGCAAACTCAGACCAGCACCTGCCATCAGGCAAACTCAGACCAGCACCTGCCATCAGGCAAACTCAGACCAGCACCTCCCATCAGGCAAACTCAGACCAGCTCCTCCCATCAGGCAAACTCAGACCAGCACCTGCCATCAGGCAAACTCAGACCAGCACCTCCCATCAGGCAAACTCAGACCAGCACCTGCCATCAGGCAAACTCAGACCAGCACCTGCCATCAGGCAAACTCAGACCAGCACCTGCCATCAGGCAAACTCAGACCAGCACCTCCCATCAGGCAAACTCAGACCAGCTCCTCCCATCAGGCAAACTCAGACCAGCACCTGCCATCAGGCAAACTCAGACCAGCACCTCCCATCAGGCAAACTCAGACCAGCACCTGCCATCAGGCAAACTCAGACCAGCACCTCCCATCAGGCAAACTCAGACCAGCACCTGCCATCAGGCAAACTCAGACCAGCACCTCCCATCAGGCAAACTCAGACCAGCACCTGCCATCAGGCAAACTCAGACCAGCACCTCCCATCAGGCAAACTCAGACCAGCACCTGCCATCAGGCAAACTCAGACCAGCACCTGCCATCAGGCAAACTCAGACCAGCACCTCCCATCAGGCAAACTCAGACCAGCTCCTCCCATCAGGCAAACTCAGACCAGCACCTGCCATCAGGCAAACTCAGACCAGCACCTCCCATCAGGCAAACTCAGACCAGCACCTGCCATCAGGCAAACTCAGAGCAGCACCTCCCATCAGGCAAACTCAGACCAGCACCTGCCATCAGGCAAACTCAGACCAGCACCTCCCATCAGGCAAACTCAGACCAGCACCTGCCATCAGGCAAACTCAGACCAGCACCTCCCATCAGGCAAACTCAGACCAGCACCTGCCATCTGGCTAACTCAGACCAGCACCTCCCATCAGGCAAACTCAGACCAGCACCTGCCATCAGGCAAACTCAGACCAGCACCTGCCATCAGGCAAACTCAGACCAGCACCTGCCATCAGGCAAACTCAGACCAGCACCTGCCATCAGGCAAACTTATCCAGCAGCTGACAGTCACAGGAACTAGGGGAACAACACCTGCTTTGGTGCAGAGAAGAGCAGGAGAAGAGTAAGAAATGCAGCTGAGGGAAACAGCCCAGGGCCCCACGTGCAATCTCCACAGTGCCGGGTAAGGCCTGTTAATGTGGGACTTGATTTAAAAAGAAGGGATGGACATCTGAGACAGGGAGGGGGCACACTCAGCCCCCCGGGACCGGATCCCTCCCTTCTCATGCTCCCTTGAGCTCACCTTCTAAGGAGCAGCCCCAACAAGCAGGCCTGATGGCAGGACTGGAGTTAGAAGCAGTCTTTCCTCCTCTTCCTGTGCCAACTGAGGAGACTGGTGGGCCCCAGAGAATACGTAGATTTAGGGTACAGCTGAGCCAGGCCAGGAAAACTTTTCCTACCTCTGCGGCATGCCTATTGCTCATGCTTCAAAATGTTCTAAAGCGTTTCCGAATCCTGCAGGCTGGAATGGGTGTTTTTCCCGCTTCACTGTGCATATTCTCTGTTCTTACTTCATTTATCTTTCCTCCTTGTCCTTAAATATATGAATCTTGGCTTTCTGTCACCCTGGCTGTTGTACCCCTCTTGGGGGCAGGGAAGGTTCTAGCATTTGAAAATAGTGATAGCTTTTACAGGTTTAGCCAATGGTGGAATGGATTTGACAGGCTTTCAGAGTCTTCCCTCACAGCGAGGGCCCATTACTAGGACCTGAGGAGCTCCTTGTACCCCCATCCAACAACAGAGTTGAGAGTTCTACATCTGGAGAAGGAGGAGCATGAGCCTTGGTCTCCATATACTTATGAGACACATCTAGAAGCTTCATCTACTACTGGCTGAAGAAACAAGTTTGCACCTTGCAACTCCTGTAAAGATATTTGGTGGATTTATCACCCTTGAACGTTCTGTTGAACCTCTTTTTTCCTTTCTTTCTTTTTTTTTTTTTTTGAGACAGGGTCATACTCTGTTGCCCAGGCTGGAGTGCAGTGGCACAATAACGGCTTACAGCAGCAGCACAATCACAGCTACGGCAGTGTCAACTTTCCAGGCTCCAGCAATCCTCCCACTTCAGCCTCCTGAATAGCTGGGAGCGCAGGC
This sequence comes from Homo sapiens, assembly GCF_000001405.40. NCBI lineage: Eukaryota > Metazoa > Chordata > Mammalia > Primates > Hominidae > Homo > Homo sapiens. The sequence continues at coordinate 107,781,519 of NC_000006.12, read as the reverse complement.
ACACACCACCATACTAGGCTAATTTTTGTATTTTCGGTAGAGATGGTGTTATGCCCTATTGCTCAGGCTGGTCTTGAGCTCCTGAGCTCAAGCAATCCACCCGCCTCGGCCTCCCAAAGTGCTGGGATTACAGGCGTGAACCACTACGCCCGGCTTGGGGAACCTCTTTTGGCCTGCTTATCATGTGGGACGACTGAGATTGACTAGCCAGTCTTTTTGTTCCTGGGTCAATTCCTATTTTTTTCAGGACAAGCTGGTTTACTTTCAGTTTCTTTGTATTCAGAAACTGGGTTTGTTTCTAATTTTTGTTGCTAATTTTTGTATTTTTTGTAGAGACAGGGTCTCACCATGTTGTCCAGCTGGCCTTAAACTCTAACTTTCTCTGTTTAGACTGTGCATATCAGTACTCAACAGAACAAAATACCTATACGTAAGCTCTCCTATACTTACTAAAATCGCCTAAATCACTTTTATTCTATTCACCCTTCTTTTGTGTTAAAACAACTACAACCATAGTCTGGTGCGCCTTATTTAAGTCTTTTGAATATAAAAAAAAAACCATTGCTTATCACAAACAATTTATGTCAATTGACTACATTGCTATGGTTACTATTATTATTGATTCATAAATTGTTACAAGTTGCTTCTTTGTCCTCTTAGCACCGATGATATTCTCAAAATTATCTTTGTTCTGGTAATAATAATATGTTACAAGCTAATGCCGACTCTTCTCTATCCCCAAGATATGAAATCAGTCATCTCTGACGAGTCCTGGTTTTTTTTTTTTAAGTTTTATTATTATTATTATTATTGGAGACTGGGCCTCACTCTGTCGCCTAGGCTGGAGTGCAGTGACGAGATCTTGGCTCACAGCAGCCTCAACTTCCCGGGCTCAGGCAATCCTCCCACCTTAGCCTCCCAAGTCGCTGGGACCACAGATGTGTGCCACCACGCTAGGCTAATTTTTGTATTTTTTGTAGAGACAGGGTCTCACCATGTTGCCTAGCTGGTCTCAAACTCCTGGGCTCAAGTGATTCGTCTGCCTTGACCTCCCAAATTGCTGGGAATACAGGCATGAGTCACCACACTCAGCCTCCTGGATTTATTTATGGTGGAGAATAGTATCCAAGGGAAAAATTTGACGCTAAGAATGAGTACATGTGAGTCTTGGCTTTAGCTTCTGTTGGTCAAATTTTAGTATCAGAATTGGAAAAAAATGTGTGTAAGGGAATTTATTTTTTTTCACTTTAACAGATTATATTGGTGGCCCTATTCTTTTAACGGTATGAAGGTTTCGTTCTATCAAAGGCATTCTATTATATTGATGTATTTCTATCCAAAGATTTAAAATACAAAGGCACCTCCGACTCCAGCTGTGGGCCATCAGCCTCAGTAAGATGTCTAGACTCCACAGTGAACAGGTTGTCACCGGTGCCAGGCGTGCTCTGTGGGTGCAATACTGTACCAGGGGCTGTAAGGAGCAGAGTGACATGTGAAACACGGCCCCTGGCCTCCATGGATGTACAGATATCATTTATGTGTTCAAAACAAAGGGAAAACTGTATAAGCCATCATGTAATCAGTGCTTGATGAAACTGGAAGTGCACACAATGGGTGGTAAAGGAGTTGAGAGACCAGTGTGTGGACGAGGAAAGGCCTCCAAAGCAGGAGAGTTTGAGCCACCTTGGAAATGGTGGAATTTCAGACAGATGCCAAAGTGCATTTTGATCCTTGGGAACCACCTCACAGACAGCCCTAAGCAGCTTGCAGACACACGAGCATTAGGATGAAACTGCTGGCAGAAGAATGACACTGGAGACATTGGCTCACAGTGAGGGCAACATGGCGTCCCAGAACAAGAGAAGATAGGGTTGTGTTTTCGAAATGACAGTGAGTTAGAACATTACCCCAAGGTCAGGAACACACTCCATGCAGTTAATAGAAGGAAACAACTTAGAGTCCAGCAGAGGCTAGGCATCCTTAAAGCTACCTCCGTTCACTTACAGAAACAACAGAAGCCTTGATCCTGCTTCCAGTTGGGCTGGCTTACCCCTTCTCCATGCACCACCAAACATCCCTGCATCATCACCAGCCCTGTGCCTCTATCTTGCTCTGCTCTGCCCGGGAAAATCCTAGCTCTGATATCACCTGCTCCTACCCTTCCCAACCTTACTAAAAGAATTGATCTCCCTCCTCCTTGGTGTTCTCATAGCATTTCATACAAAACCTGTTAGACCACCTGTCTTGCATGTTATTATTGCCTCTTTGCTTGTTTGCTTCTCTGTAGACAATGACTATCTGAGGGGATGTGTCTTATTTATTTATTTATTTATTTATTTTGAGATGGAGTCTCCCTCTGTTGCCCAGGCTGGAGTGCAGTGGCGCGATCTTGTCTCACTGCAAGCTCCGCCTCCCGGGTTCCCGCCATTCTCCTGCCTCAGCCTCCGGAGTAGCTGGGACTACAGGCGCCCGCCACCACGCCCGGCTAATGTTTTGTATTTTTAGTAGAGACGGGGTTTCACGGTGTTAGCCAGGATGGTCTTGATCTCCTGACCTCGTGATCCGCCCGCCTCGGCCTCCCAAAGCGCTGGGATTACAGGCGTGAGCCACCGCGCCCGGCCGGGATGTGTCTTATTTTTATTTGACATCAGAGTACCTAAGCATAGTGTTTGAGCCTCACTGTCTATTCAACAGAAATCTGTTGGACAAATTAGTAAATGAATGAGTAAATACATGAATACATGTCTCAGACTAACTCTTGTATGACCCAGTGGCTCCATGGGATTGGAGTATGCTTTGGATTTGGTTATTTCTTGATCTTTATCTTGATGAAGCATGATTCGCCAGGACCTTGGTTGATATGTGTTAGATTTGCAAAGCTAACATGTAAAATGTCATTCCAAATTAATAGAACAGATCTTAGTTACTCTTGCTTTCCGTTGTAGTATTTCTAGCCAAGTCTTGGCTTGATAAGAAGAGGGAGACTTAGGAAGCCAGCGGAAAATCACTTGATTTAATATTCCAGGCCACGATTTGACAACTGTTTAAAGGTTATAACTTGGAGACTTAGAAAGTTGATGACTAGGCTGTTTTAGGGACAGACTCTTTTAATGACTACTAAAGCACTGTGCTTCAAGATGGCTTTCAAATCTGACCTGAACTGAGATAGTATTCACTGCACTGAAGTCCACAATTGAAAGCAGAAAAATTCAGAGGTTTCATATATCCCTCTAGGATCCTGGGCATTCTCAAGTTATATATATATATATATATATATATATATATATATATATATATTTTTTTTTTTTTTTTTTTTTTTTTTTGAGATAGAGTCTCGCTCACTCTGTTGTCCAGGCTGAAGTGCAGTGGCGTGATCTCCCGGATTCAAGTGATTCTTGTGCTTCAACTCCCGAATAGCTGGGACTACAGGCATATGCTATCATGCCTGGCTAATTTTTGTATTTTTATTAGAGATGGGAGTTTCACCGTGTTGGCCAGGCTGGTCTCGAACTCCTGACCTCAAGTGATCCACCTGCCTCAGCCTCCGAAAGTGCTGGGATGACAGGTGTGAGCCACTGTACCCGGCCTGATTTATATATTTGGATGTGTTAAATTATGTGTCTATGGGTAGAATATCTTTGGACAGCATTTGAGGTCTTTGAAGGTCTTTGGAGATGGGGGAATCTGGGAAAAGAGCAGTGGCCCAGCTGCCACCTGTGGGGAGGTGGTGTCAAGGACGGGGAGGTGGTGGCAAGGAGGGTGATGGTGGCAAGCTGCTACTTTCTGGGGTCTGGTGAAACACTCCTGTCCATCATCTGTTTATAGATGTGCTTCTTAGCTCTGGAACAACTTTTTCTGATATTTTTGCTGATTGATAAAGACCTTTTTGCCTTTTTGTTACTTTTGTTTGCAACGTTAACATAGTAGCCACTGAAGTTCTGTGGCTCAAGAACAAAAACTGTTAGAAAACAAGAAAACAGAAGGCCATTCCAGGAAGCAAAAATTTTCAGTAGAAACTTTCAGAAAATAAGAATCATCCATTCATTGCTTATTTTTCTCTTTATCCTATTTTTCTAATTCTGATTTTAAAAATTCTGACAATGTGGCTGGGCGTGGCAGCTCATGCCTGTAATCCCAGCACTTTGGGAGGCCGAGGTGGGCAGATCATGAGGTCAGGAGTTCAAGACCAATCATGCAAACATGGTGAAACCCCGTCTCTACTAAAAATACAAAAATTAGCCAGGCGTGATGGCCAGCACCTGTAATCCCAGCTACTTGGGAGGCTGAGGCAGGAGAATTGCTTGAACCCGGGAAGCGGAGGTTGCAGCGAGCCGAGATTGTGCCACTGCACTCCAGCCTGGCAACACAGCAAGACTCCATCTCAAACAAAACAAAACAAAACAAATTCAGACAATGCAAAAGTGTACAAAGAGGAAAGGAAGAGCATCTTTTAGTATTTTCCTGCCCAGACACAATTGTCATCAGCCTTTTGATGATTACTTTCCCCAGACCTTTTTATGCTTAAACATGTGCAGATTTATCTTTATCTATATACATAAAATATATGTAGAGAATCAAGGTATATATGCTATTTTGCAATCTTCACATATGCATGTATATGTACATATATACATACAAATATTTCATTTTATGAATGTGAAATAATGTGCTAAACCACTGTTGTTTTGAGGGACATTTTGATTGCTTTCAGTATTTCACTATTACAAAGAATGCTGCAAAGAATATCCTTGGCCATATATCTTTGTGCTCTTGTCAGATTCTTTTTTTAGGATAAATCCTCAGGAGTGATAAAGTTGGATTAGGAGGTGTGGCTGTGTAAATTTTTACGTGCTTTTCAAATTGTCCTCCAGAAAGGCTAGCCAATTTGTACCCTTGCCAACAATCAATGAGAGTGCCCATTGCATCAGCCCCTCACCAACATGAGTATTGTCAGGGTTTTTCACATTTATCAATCTGGCAATTGACAAATGATACCTTAATTTACTTTTTGGGGGAGTTGGCAATAAAGTGCAGAATCTTTTCTTGTAATAATTCACCTCTTTCCTTCCTTCCTTCTTTCCTGCTTGTCTTTTTGTATCCTTTGCTCATTTTCTACTGTGTGTATTGGGTGAGTGAGTTTCACTTTTATTGGGTGGGTGCAAAAGTAATTGCGGTTTTTGCTATTAGTTTCAATGGTAAAAACCGTGACTACTTCTGCACCAACCTAGTATTTTTATAATTTGCAGTTCTTTGTATTAACCTTTTGTTGTTCCCATATGTGGCAAATAGTTTCCTTAGCTTTATTTTCAATCTTTTTTATGATTTTACATTTGCTTTATGAAAGTGTTTGAGTTTTACGTGGTCATGTCTATCAATCTTTCTGGTTCTGCTTCCCAAGTTTTCTAATATCCAGTACTTAGAAAGCTCATCCCCATTCCGAGAACATACAAATGTTGACTTATATTGTCTTTAGGACTTTTTAATGTTTCTTTTTTTATGTATATTTAAGTGTTGGGAATTTCTAAAAATATTTTTTTAAAATATAGGTAAAATTTTATTTATTTCTAAACGCCAGTTGTCCATAAATCATTTGTTGCACTTTCGTGTCTTGATGTGAAATGTTCCTAAATTTTTTGAATGGAAATTTAATATTCATTTAATTTCTGGACTAACTTTTCCATTGACCCAATTGCTACTCCTATACCATACTGCTGCCATGATTGGAGATTTATAGCACATTTTAATAACTAGGAGGGCAAATCTTCCTCACTAGACTTTGTTTTGCCCTTCTTTTTCTAAAGTCAGTTTGGATTTTTAATGTGATTGCATTTAATTAAAATTATATTTTAAAAATACCCATCTGTCCCAAAATAAAATAATCTTATTTATTCAAATCTTATTTAAGGACATTAGCAAAATTTTAAGAAACATTATTTCCTTCATTGGAATCTTTCTACTTCTTATGAAATCTATATGAAGAACTGTGAAGGGTCTGAGATTTTACCCTCTCTGACAGCAAACAAATTAACCGGCCCTGGCGTCACAGATGCTGGCAGAAGACAGATAGCTCCTAGGTCAGAGATACAGCAAGTCACACAACTTCATGTTCTCATGGGCTTCCCTTGTTCAAGCTCCATGGTGGATACTGCACATGCAGTGGGTTTGTGTCTCAGTTGAGGAACTCTAAGCTCAGGAAACCCTAGCGGGGTCAGAGAAAGCTTCCTTGAGTTAACTGAGGAAGGAGAGGCATGGACTAGAGGGGGAAGAAAGAGCATTCCAGGCAAAGGGAACTGCAAAAGCAAAGGCCCTGTGGTGGGTGCAAGTGTGTCAACAACTATAAATAACAGGAAAAAAATGCCACCATGGTGACTCCATTATCTTCTGGCTGATGGTGCTGAAGTGAACTGGCCTGTTTATTCTTTCCACTGTAAATGACCTGTTTATCTTGCCTAAATGCTTGTAGATGTTTTCATGTGAGTGCTGATTTGTTGTTCTTTTCTTTCTTTCTTTCTTTTTTTTTTTTTAGATGGAGTCTCACTCTGTCACACCCAGGTTGGAGTGCAGTGGCGCGATCTTAGCTCACTGCAACCTGCCTCAGCCTCCCTAGTAGTTGGAATTATAGGCGCCTGCCACCATGCCCAGCTAATTTTTTGTGTTTTTAGTAGAGACGGGGTTTCCCCATGTTGGCCAGGCTGGTCTGGAACTCCTGACCTCAGGTGATCTGCCCGCCTCAGCCTCCCAGTGTGCTGGGATTACAGGTGTGAGCCACCGCACCCAGCCTGATCATGGGTTTTCTCTTGTTGACTTCGGATCTTGATGTTACTGGATAGGTTGTCTTTACTCCTCAGTAAAGACAAAGTAGTAAAGCAGAGAAGCATGTCCCAAACTAGGAAAAAAATAATTCCTGAGTTTAAAGTCTATAAAAATAATAAGGAAGAAGCAGAAACTTGATGAGAATAGTTCAAAATTAGACTCGGACCAACTTTCACATAGCGAAAATCTTATTAAATAAATTTGGTGGTTCTTCAATGTTTTTAGTAGCCTCTTTTTGGAAAACAAATATTTTGGATATTTATTGGCACTAAGTCTAGAAGTAGGATGATTTTTTTGTTCACATGTTAATGAGCTTATAGTCCCTCATCCTAACTGATTGACTTTAAGATACCTTTAGTTATATCACCTGTCATTATTTTATGTACTACTAAGATAGAAAAAAAAATGCTCCCTATGGAATTCTGACACACTGTAGGGTGCACCCTGATTTCAGAGATGTTAATATATGAAAAATATGCTTCTTAGAATCAATGAGACCGAGTATTTTTCTTAAACTCACAAGAACAGAAAAAAAATTCGTATCCAGAACACCTTGTCTGTCTAACAATGCATTGTTTTCTGTTTAACAGTGCATTCAAAAAATAAATTTATACTTTAAAATTCTATTTACTACATATGGTATTTCCAAGAACAATCAAGATTATTGATAGAATACTGCTCATATTCAGAAAATTAACAAAGTGACCTTAAATCTATAAAGGATACCCAATATTTCCTATCATGTTTTTAAGAACTTCCACTATTTTATATTTTCTGTCCTGAGCAGAGCAATCTTGTCCTTGTAGACAAGGCCCAGGCCAGGGTGTAGGGACTGTGCCCATCGTCTTCCCCAACTTCTTCTACAAGCTTTTGGGCAAAAGCCTCTCATTTCCACTGTAAGGTACCACTAATCCTTAAAAATGAATTTTATCACCCCTGAATCAAAGTCTAAAGTTCTGCCTCACTCATCACATTCCTGAACATTCCAGGAAGTCTGACCCCTGAACTCATGATACCACTATGTTCTTTGAGTCAAGTTTGATCAACTACCTCTTGCTTCAAGGTTTAGGCAATTCTACCTGAGAAGCTTATTCTTTTTTTTTTTTTTTTTTTTTTTGAGACAGTCTTGCTCTGTCACCCAGGCTTGTATGTAGTGGTGCGATCTCAGCTCACTGCAACCTCTGCCTCCCTGGTTCAAGCAATTCTCCTGCCTCAGCCTCCCGAGTAGCTGGGATTACAGGCATGGGCAGCCAAGCCTGGCTAATTTTTGTATTCTTAGTAGAGATGGGGTTTCGCTATGTTGTCCAGGCTAGTCTCGAACTCCTAGGCTCAAGTGATCCAGCAGCCTCAGCTTCCCAAAGTGCTGGGATTACAGGCATGAGTCAGTGTGCCTGGTGTGCCCGGCCTTATTATTCATATTTTTAGTGCCATGCTAAGATTATTGTAGTGTGTGTGGTATCTGTACAAAGGATTGTACATGCTGAACAATTACCCATAGTCCTGCCATCTTTGCCTTGGTGGCATTTTAGCATGTCTGCTTCCACTTTTTGACCATACAAATTTTTTGCATAGTTGAGGTCATTTTAATGTGCGATGCTTTTTTTATTCAACATCATGTTGTTCAAAAAGTGTCATTAAAGGCTTTTAACTAGTTGATTGTTTTATTCTGCAGATATTAAGTATTCTCCTATTGCTTATTATTTGGGTTGCACGCATTTTAATTTTGCAATTCTAAATCATGTGAAAATGAACAAATCATGTTAAAATGAACATACCTGTATGTAAATCTCTGTCCACATTTTGATACAAGGACATCATCAACTTTCATACAATTGATTTGATCAATTTAAATTTCTTAAATTTCTTTCAAGAGAAAAAGAGGTCATGACAATTTATAACTCAAGCAAAGAGATAGGAGTGAACATGAGAGAGTGGCTTTGTTTATTTAATATTATTGTTACAACAGTTCAAAGTTGAACTAACTGAGGAAACTGAGACACAGACAAAGTCATTTTGTTGCTGGTGACATTATCAGCTGTGTTTGGAGCTGGGAAACTATTGTTTTCTTTGCCTAGCCAGTATCTTCCCTACTTCACTTGCCCCATGGAAATTCAACATCCTTGAAATTACACCAGTTAACTCCCCCAGAGGCCCAACAGCATCGTAAATGCATCTAGTGGTACCTAGCTCCTTCATATTTGGTCTTCCCCTCCAATAAGTGGTAGGTATCGCCAAAATCACCAGACAGGATCATGTTTGCCTTGCAAACCAAACAAACCCTTCTGTTTTTGTTTTGCTTTGTGTCTGGACTAATTCTTAGCACCTCTTCTGCCTGTGAGCGATTTGTCACCTCATTCTGTAAGACTGGCACCAGCAGAAATGCAGTCTCAAAGGATCCCGGGGAGAAAGCGAGGCCGACCCTCACTTCACTCCACGCCTATGAAGATGGCAGTTCATAACCTTTATTCTGCTTCAGCTGGCTCTTTACCAGCAGTGAAGATCCCAAAGAAAAGAGGGCGGAAACCCGGGTACAAGGTACGGCTCCATCATCTCCTTCTCCAAAGTGGTATTGGGCTGGGGCACGGGTACTTGGTCAGACCTGCACTGCAAAATGCCACTAGAGGTTGGGAGCTTGGTAGAGACAGGATGAGAAATAAGCCTCCCTCGGTGAAGTATGTGACGGATGAGGTCTCACTGTTACAACATGGCCATAATGCATGCTGTCGTGTGCATTTTTCCAAGTGGAGAAAGCAAATTACACCAGATGGGGAAAGTTGTGAGTGAGTAGATTTTAGGGTCATCGCTAAACACACATTATTAAACCTTGCATCTAAATTAGTGTTTCAGACACTGAGCTTTCCCCTGACTGTTCCTACTAGGGTAAATCTTGAAGCCACTTTCCAGAACTCATTTGTCATTTATTTTAGCAGGAGCAGATGATGTTCCTGAGACATTTAAATTAATAATGTGAGCAGGCCAGTGTCAAAGGACATGGGAAAGTCTTCCCAAACAGAACCTCAACACAGAGAGTCATAATGAAAATTCAGCGTGTTAATTCCTAGTTTCCCACTTCTAAAAGGTGCTGATGTCGAGTTTGGCTACAAGGAGGCATATCAGGCAAAATTACATTCCTGTGACCCTTATAAGAATTAGCAGTGATTTGGAGAGGCTGGGGTGGAGAATAAATCCTCTGATGTAACCACAATCATAAACCAACTCAAACTCAAGGGAGGGCTGCTTCTCTTAGTTGTTTTTGAATAGGCTATTAGAGAGGAAAAAAATGTTACACTTGTTCTTCACAAACCTTTCGGGCATTAGAAAATGAGCTTCAGGAGTTTTCCTTTATCTATTTTTCGTGAAATAAAGGCTTATGTTTCCATCTTGAGACCTGAATACTGAAACCAGAATGCAAATTGGCAATTAACTCCCATATATTTAGGAAAATATATGGAAATTATTTCAGGTCAGTAGAAAGAGCTTCTGGAAGAGTTGGTAATGAATTCAATCTTTATCCCTTTGGTTCTCCATAGTTCTTCCAAATGCTGGAAAATAAAATCAGTAGGTGGGAGGAAGGCTCCTCAAAGTTATTGTGGGGTCATTGGTTTTAGTAAAAGAAGCTTTTACTCAGCTATCTCATGAGGTAAAGTCTTCTCTCACTGGTTGTTCTTCTAACAACAAGAATCTCCTTTCTTTCATGTGCATGCCAGCTTTAGAACTCTCTCTTAAGCTGGCGTAGGGCCAGTCTTACCCACTCACTACTGTGCAGTTGTTGGCTTCTGGGAATTGCATCTGGAGGGCTGGAGCAGGGCAGCCTTTCTGTTTATAGATGCATCGAGCAAATCCAGGATTCGAAGAAACATACTGAAGACTTCTGTCTCCTATTTGGCCTTTCTCCTACTCTCCTGGAGGCTGTGACCCAAGAATGAAAATTACCAACAGACTCAGCATTCCTGGGGCCAGGAAGAATGGAAAATTCATTCCATGAAAGGAACCTGATTTCACAATTTTCCTGTCTCCTCAAAAGGGTAGTTTTCAGCACTCATGACACTCAGAGACAACTCAGGTCAGGAAGAAATCTTTGGGTTGGTTGGCTGATAATACAGAGCTCTGCCCAAAGCAGGCAGTCTTTTCCCATTTCCTCATAGAGTTTCTCTTATGGGAAGTAGGCCACTCCTCTTCCTTGAATCTACTTCCCATATATTTAGGAAAATGTATGGAAATTATTTTAGGCCAACAACTCCCAGAAAGCTTCCCAAGCTATGGGCGTAATGTTCTAGAATAATAGTTCCAAACCGGGTGCCATTCTGTGTGAAGTTCCCACCCATCCGTGGTGACATAAGAAAAACAAGAGCCATTTGAAAGTCTTCATGAAGTTCAAATGATTCCCCTTAAAGGATGATCCTTTATTCTGAAATATCTGCTTCCTACTATCTTGGTGGTAAAATGTTTTGTTTTATTAAATGTTGTATGTTAATAGGATTTAGTAATTTTTAAAAATGTTCTTAGTTGGCAAAATAAAGTTGGCAACCTATTAATCTCCCCAGTTTTATTTTGACAATTTCCTAGACCTGGACACCCCATTTTACCATTAATGACAGGACTTTAATTGTGAAGAAGCCAGCTCAGAAATTGTACAGTTTCACTCCATTTGCCAAATGTCAACTAATTTGATGATTTTAACTCTCTGGGACACAGCTGGGGAGCCAGAAATTGTTAAAAAAAACCCTGACCAAGCAAAGTAAGATATTACTTGGTCTAACTTTTAAAGATCTTGTATTTCATTGCTAAGAAAATGCTTCCAGGCCTTCCATCAGAATTTGTTTACATTTTTTGTTAACATGTTTCTTGCAAGCTCAATTATAGCTGGTTAGTAGCCTTAGATTTGGAGGGGAAGGTATTTTTGGGGAGAAGACTCCATACACAGCTGGACACTGGAGAATAATAACTTTTGTAGTGAGATGATAATATACTAACAAGAGAGAAATAATACAGTAATGTCAATCTTATAAAATAAGATATAACATAATTTTATTATATCAATAATAACATTATTATAATGATATATTGATGTTAATAATAGCATCGTAATAAAATCATATGTTTCTGAGCCTTTGGCAGGCTCTTCTCCAGGAGATTCTGAGGACGCCTCATTGTGTTGACTGTATAACAAGTCTATGCTGGTTGACATTTGTCACTTCTTGCCTGATGCTTCCCCAGCTGCTCTGTCAATCACCTCTGTGCATATGTGGGAACTCTCTCTGGTCCAAGACCTGCCTTCAAGACTCAAGAACATGTAACACAGGCTGTGACACTTAACTGCTTCCTGAGGATAACATGAGTGAATTGCAGGCAGATAAGGGAGGGTTACACTGGCGGTCAGGTGTCAATGCTCTAGAGTTCATAGGTCAGGCCCCCTCCCAGGGCCCATCTGGCCATCTCCCTCTTGGCCCCAGGCTCGCAGCCACATGACTGGGGCAGACTCACAGCTGGAAGAGTATCACATTTTATGGTGCTACTGCCCCCTTCTTGCCCTGGTCAAAGAAAGCAAAACCTCTGAACGTCGTATGTTCTATGAAGAGCCACACTCTGACTACCATGAAGATAGCCTTGTTCATGATCAAACAGAGCATTTACCTCTCCATTTGAAACATCTGCTATTGGTTGAGGTCCTTAGTTCAGAGACTCCCCAAGATCAATAGGTAGATTTTCCTTACATTTCATGACCAAAAAGACCACCAAGGTATTTTTAAAGAAACAGAGGGGGCTGCAGTGAGAACAAATCCTAGTTTCCATTCTGTTGAGCCAGCTGGTTATAATGCCTCTAATAGTGGGATTTCAATCTTCTGTGTCTTCCTGGTTGGGATTTTTATTTAAGCAGAAGAAACAAGTTCTGGGTTTTGAAAAGTAGTTGTTTGTCCCCAATAAAAGGTAATAATAATACTAATAGCAATCATAATCATACAAAATATTTATTGAATACTTTTACGTTTGAGGCTCCGGGTGGAAGCATTTTGTGTGTATTTCTTATTTGATCCTTGATAGTTTGAGAGTGAGAGGAAAGAAGTGTAGAAAAACTGCAGGACTTAGGCATGAATGAACCAAGCCCACAGGAGGCAGCAGCCCTCCGCTCCTCAGCCATCGCCTTGTATTATTGTTCAGAATAGCAATTATGCTTCTCAAGTCAAAAAAGAGAAAACGATGTTCTGTCTGCTCTGTTTAATGAGTTAAGAAAGGTGTGGCATGTTCTAGAAAGGCTATCATCCTTGAAATGTTAAAAACAAAATAGTTAAAATGACTTAAAATGTTGGTAATTGTGTCATTCGGGATACAAATTCAGCTGCTGTAACAAGGGCTAAATAACAGTGACTTTAAAGAAGAAAGAAGCTAATTTCTTTCTCATGTTAAAGTGTGGGAAGGCTGGTATGATGGCTCCATGGGGTGGGGACCCAGGCTGTTCCTGTATTGTTGCTTGTCACCTAGGCTGGAGTGCAGTGGCACCCTCACAGCTCACTGTAGCCTTGACTTCCCAGGTCAAGCAATTGAGTTGTGGGGAATACAGATGCACGTCACCATGCCTGGCTACTTTTTTACTTTTTTTTTTTTTTTTTTGTACAGATGAAGTCTCACCGAGTTCCCCAGGCTGGTCTTGAATGCCTGAGCTCGAGAGATCCTCTCGCCTCAGCCTCCCAAAGCGCTGGGGTTACAGGCATGAGCCACCGGGCCCAGCCAGTTCTGCCATTGTTAACACACAGTTTCTACCTCCTGGTCTGACGTGGCTGCTCCAGGTCCCACTGTCCCACTGTTTTAGACAACAGAATGGGAACACAGAGCTAGCAGAGGGCACGCCTGTCTCCTTGAAGGGCTCAATTCTCGAAGTCACACATCCATTACAATTTGCATTCCTCAGGCCAGCAGTTAGTCACTCAGCCACCCGTAGCTACAAGGGAAGCTAGGAAACGCAGTGCTGGTTACCGAGTGATCAGCTAAAATTTAGGAAGTCCACTATTAAAGGGAGAAAGGAGAATGGATATTTGGGAACAGCTAGCAGCTTCTGTTGAGTACCTAAAGGACAGGCTTCTGTTAACTGGAAAATTCGCTTGCTGAAGTAATTTTCTAATTAATATGGGTAAATGCAATGTTTTGTAATCCTTCAGTACGTTGGATTGTTTTGTTCTCTCTTCCTTTTTCTTTTTCTGAAAAAATAGGTGTTCTTTGCCCTGTGTAACAAGAGAGTCAAGTTCACAAAAATCTCAAGCAAGAGAACTTAAGTAGAAACTTGAGTATTCAAACTTAAGTAGAAAGGGTTTTCGTTTGTTTGTCTCAACATTTGTTTAAAGCCTCTTTCTAAATGTGTTTTCATTAGAACTGTTGAATTGGCATCACGGGTTCTGTGGCAGTCCAGATGTTGTATTGCTTGGAGTTGTATTACAGACATTAAAGATAGCTTAATAGGCCGGGTGTGGTGGCTCAAGTCTGTAATCCCAGCACTTTGGGAGGCCGAGGTGGATGGATCACGAGGTCAGGAGATCGAGACCACCCTGGACAACATGGTGAAACCCCGTCTGTACTAAAAATACAAAAACTAGCTGGGCATGGTGGCGCGTGTCAGTAATCCCAGCTATTCATGTCAGGAGAGGCTGAGGCAGGAGAATTGCTTGAACCAGGGAGTCGGAGGTTGCAGTGAGCCGAGATCATGCCACTGCGCTCCAGCCTAGTGACAGGGCGAGATTCTGTCTCAAAAAAAAAAAAAAAAAAAATAGCTTAATAGTACAGATGGGAAGAGTGGCTACCTAATACCCTTCCTGTGTCTCTTTCCAGGGTCCCTCTCTTGCTGATGGTAGGTATGGATTGCTACCTGTGGTCTGTGGGGGAAATTATGACACAGTCACAAGGCAGGGGCCATTTCCTCGGGTTGAACATTGAGCAGCACCTAGGGTAGGGACTGTATCCCCTGAGTCTTCTGTTGCCTACCCCCCAGTGCCCATGCACCCAGGGCTGGAACAGGGGTCAGGGGTGAGGCTCAGAGGTGGATCTGAGGCAGTGGTAGGCTGGTAAATGTTTTACAGCTGGCATTCTGAGCATAGCTCTGACATGAATGTTAGTTGTTATTTTCACTCATGTTAAAGAGTAAAATGAGCGTAAACAATGAGGTCTTATGTCAGAGCTTTCCTTGTTTGTCAAGACTGAGAATGACTTCCTTGCTAAATTCGATAATAGTTTTGTTTTTTATCTGGACAGGGTTTTATTATACTATGTTGCCCAGGCTGGAGTGCAGTGGTTATTCAGGAGCGAGATCATAGCTCACTGCAGCCTTGAACCCTTTTTTTTTTTTTTTTTGAGACGGAGTCTCACATTATTGCCCAGGCTGGACTGTAGTGGCGCAATTTCGGCTCACTGCAACCTCCGCCTCCCAGGTTCAAGCAATTCTTCTGCCTCAGCCTCCTGAGTAGCTGGGATTACAGGTGTGCACCACCACGCCCGGCTAATTTTTGTATTTTTAGTAGAGACGGGATTTCACCATGTTGACCAGCCTGGTCTTGAACTCCTGACCTCAGGTGATCCGCCCACCTGGGCCTCCCAAAGTGCTAGGATTACAGGTGTGAGGACTGCACCCGGCCAACCTTGACCTCTTGGCCTCAAGCAGTCCTTCTGCCTCAGCCTCCCAAACAGCTGGGACTACAGGCATGTGCCACCATGCCTGGATTGGATAATAGTTTTTGAAGACAAAAAAGAATTTAAGTATTTTGTGCTATTCACATTGTAACAGCTATAGACATGACATGCTTTTAAGTTTAATCTGCATTTTTAGTATTTTCTCCATCATTTTTTAAAATCTATAAATCAACACAGCTCTAATTCACAGCATTTCCCAGATTCTAAGGTGTAAATATTCCCTTCATGGCCAATATTGAGCCACCAATGAATTCACATCCCTGAATATGGATTTGGGAAAAGATGTACAGCAGCAAACCCTTGGAAATACAGATGGAGTCGTAAAATTAGCAAGTGATGAGTTGTCAGTATTTATTACTTTTGTTTTTAATAAACTTTTTATTTATTTGTTTGTTTGTTTGGTTTCACTAAGTAAAAAACGACTTGTGAATGGGGCAGCCTCCTGAGCCAGAGTAGGTTCAGAGACTCCCTACAAACTTTATTAACTTGTAAGTGTATATACTGTAATTTTTATTTTTAAAATTTTTTTGACACAGAGTCTCACTCTGTTGCCCAGGCTGGAGTGCAATGGCGCAATCTCAGCTCACTGCAACCTCTGCCTCATAATTTTTAATAAGGGCTGTGTTTAACAATCCACTTGCAATACTCCTGAAGATGTAACAATCCTCTCTCATGGACTAGTACAAGCCGGCTCCAGCCCCTGGGGGATCAGAGTTCTGCTGAGCTCAGGATGCCTGTACCCGGATGGTCCATGTCCCCATTCTCATCAGCTGGGCTGACAGTTTTGATCCCATTGCCACTGATGCACAGAACTTGACCCCCTCACCAGTTTCTGTAAGACACCCAATCACACCAAGCAGTTCTTGACATGTATGGTTTCTGCTAAAGATTGTTGGTGTTGCAGGCCATAGTGGACAGCTTCTGTTAAATGACTGTCATGGATAGATGTTTTTCTGAATCCTACTTTATTTAAGGATAGTGTATTAGTCTGTTTTCACCCTGCTGATAAAGAGATACCTGAAACTGGGTAATTTATAAAGAAAAAGAGGTTTAATGGACTCACAGTTCCACATGGCCAGGGAGGCCTCACAGTCATGGTGGAAAGCGAAAAGTATGTCTTATATGGTGGCAGATAAGAGAGAACGAGAGTCAAGCGAAAGGGGTTTCCCGTTGTAAAACCATCAGATCTGGTGAGACTTATTCACTACCACAAGAACAGTATGGGGGAAATTACCCCCATGATTCAGTTACCTCCCACCGGGTCCCTCCCACAACACGTGGGAATTATGGGAGCTACAATTCAAGATGAGATTTGGGTGGGGACACAGTGAAACCATATCAGATAGAACTTTTTTGTTTTTCTTTTTCTTCCTTCTCTCTCCTGGTACCCATGGAATACTGGCTTCATTGTCTCCTCTCTTGGGTTCCTTCGGTGAGGAGGAAATGAAACCATTCCTTCCCACCTCAGGCAGAGCAGGAGCCCTCCCCACCTCATCACCAGTCTCAGCCCCTCTCTGGATACAGACCAGCATCTGAACCCATAGGATCCGAATCCTGTCCCACATCATTTGCATCTCTGAAAGGCACAAGAAAGGGTGGGCCATTCCACTCCCACCTCCAAGCATCCCCTTCTGCTTTCACTGTGATGAAGGCAATCTATTTTATTTGGGTAATTTTACTTTCCTAAGAAAGTGTTAGTGCAATGATTATTTAATTAGAATCCCAGATTTGACCAAAGCAGGCCTCAAGGCCAAAAGGTACCAGCCCTTCCATCTCTTGGGTGTTTAACATCTCCCCCAAGTGCAGAAGGAAAAATGTACGAGTAGACCCAGTTACAGGCTGACTCCTAGGAATGGAATTAGATCACTGGCCACAAGCTTCTTGTTATTGGAACCAATTTGCATTTCCAGCAGGCAAGTTTTTAGACTAAAGTCTGTGGTTAAACATGGTGAGTTATTCAATGTCTTCTAACTTTGTTCCCCTGGAGCATCTCCTCAGAACCCCAAGGGAGTTTTGTATGAAGAAAGAATGTGAATTCCAAGGAGAAATGTGTCCACAAGGAAAACTATGGGCAGGGACATGGACAAAGCTAGTCTTCCTTAAATAGAGGTGGGGAGGTGTCTTAGCTCGGGCTGCCATACCAAAATACCATAGCCTGGGTGGCTTCAATATGGAAATTAATTTTGTCATCGTTCTGGAGGATTTAAAGTCCAAGATCAAGGTGCAGCAGGATTCAGTTCTGTGAGGGCTGTCTTGGCAATGGCTGCCTTCTTACTGTGTCCTCACATGGTGGAGACAGCGAGCAAGCTCTGGCCTCTCTTCCTCTTCTTTTAAGAACACTAATCCCGGCCAGGCGCAGTGGCTCACACCTGTAGCCCCGGCATTTTGGGAGGCAGAGGCAGGCAGATCACTTGAGGTCAGGAGTTTGAGACTAGCCTAGCCAATGTGGTGAAACCCTGTCTCTACTAAAAACACAAAAATTAGCTGGGTGTGGTGGCGGGTGCCCATAATCCCAGCTACTTGGGAGGCTGAGGCAGGAGAATCGCTTGAACCTGGGAGATGGAGGTTGCAGTGAGCCGGGATGGTGCCACTGCACTCCAACCTGGATGACAGAGCGAGGCTCTGTCTCAAAAACATACAAAAAAAAAAAAAACAAGAACATGAATCTCTTCATGGGGCATACCGTCATGACCTCATGTAAACCTAAGTACCTCCCAAAGGCTCCACCTCCAACTACCTTCACATTGGGTGTTAGTACTTCAGTGTATGAATTTTGGAGGGTACACAAACATTCAGTCCATAACAGAAAGGAAGAAAAGGAAGGAGAACATAATTAAAAAAACAAAAATCTAGGCTGGGCATTGTGGCTCATGCTTGTAATTCCAGCACTTTGGGAGGCTAGGCAGCAGGATCACCTGAGCCTAAGAGTTCGAGACCAGCCTGGGCAACATAGCACTACCCTGCTTCTACAAAAAATAAATGAATTAGCCAACTGTGATGGTGCACACCTGTAGTCCTAGCTACTTGGGAGACTGAGGTGGAAGGATTGCTTGAGCCCAGGAACTCAAAGCTGAAGTAAGTCATGATTGTGTCACTGCACTATAGCTTGAGTGACAGAGTGAGACCTTGAACAAAAAAAAAAAAAAAAAAAAAAAAAGAGTGCATTTATTTTCTAGGGCTGATATAACAAAACACAACAAACTAGATAACAAACAACAGAAATTTATTGTCTCAGAGTTTTGGAAGCCACAAGTTCATGATCAAGGTGTAGGTAGTGTTGGTTCTTTCTGAGCCTGTAAGGAAGAATCTGTTCCATGTCTCTCTCCCAGCTTCTGATAGTGTCAGGCTTTCCTTGGCTTGTAGACAGCTTACTCCCCATGTCTTCCCATCATCTTCCATCTGTGTGTGTCTGCCTCTCCGTCCATATTTCCATTTTGTATAAGGATACCAGCCACATTGGATTAAGACCCAGACTTATGACCTCATCTTAACTCAACCATCTGCAAAGACTGTATTTTCAAATAAGGTCACATTCACAGGTACTGAGAGTTGAGATTTCAATATGTGTTTGAGGGACACATTTCAACCCATAACATCTAATATGACAATCTTTGTCTTTTAATTAGGTGTTTAGTCCAATCGTATTTTTAAAAATTACTAATAAATTTGGGCTTAAATCTATACTGATTTTTTGTATTCTATATATTCCTTTTACCTGTCTTTTCTGCCTTCCTTTTGAGTTATTTTTTATTATTTAATTTTTTCTTTCCCATTCATTGGAAGTCAAGCGTTCTGTTTTCTGTTGTATTAATGGCTACTCTAAAAATTACAGCATGCTTACTTATTAGAGTTGTCTAAAGTTAACCATACTTTTGCTTCTTCCTAAATAATACAAGGACTTTAGTACACTTTAATTCCATTTATATTCTGTCCCCCACACTTATATATTATTGTTGCCATGCATTTTAATTTTTTCTTTTTTAGCCCCTCCAGTCATCATTATTATTGTTTGATACAGTCATTTTCATTTAAATTCACCTGATTATTTACCACCTCTAAAAAATTCTTCATTTTTGTATATCAGACCTTCCACCTGGGTTCCTTGTCATTTTGCCTGAAGTAAAATGAAAAGAAGCTCCTCTAATATAGGCCCTGTAGTGATAAACTCTCAGTTTTTGTTGTTTAGAAGTATCTTTATTTTACCTTCACTTTTGAAAAAAAAAAAGACTTTTTTTTCTGGGTGTAGAAGTCTAGATTGTCAGTTATTCCCTTGAAGCACATAGACGATATTATATTTTGCCGGGTATAGTGGCTCATGCCTGTAATCCTAGCACTTTGGGAGGCCAAGGCGGGCAGATCACTTGAGGTCAGGAGTTTGAGACCAGCCTGGCCAACATGATGCAACCCCATTTCTACTAAAAATATGAAAATTCGCTTGGCATGGTAGCGCCTGCCTGTAATCCAAGCTACTTGGGAGGCTGAGGCAGGAGAATCACTTGAACCCAGGAAGCAGTGGTTGCAGTAAGCCGAGATTGCGCCATTGCACTCCAGCACGGGTGACAGAGCAAGACTCTGTCTAAAAAAAAAAAAACCAAAGATATTATATTTATATTCTGGGGTTCATTGTTGCAGAGAATTCAACTACTTTTCTAGCTTATTAGGGTGTTTCTTGGAAAGTAATCTGTATTTTTAATTTTAAGATTTTTCTCTATGTCTTTGGCGTTTTATAATTTCACTTCATTGTGTTGACGTGTGGATTTATATTTTATTCATCCTATTTAGGATTTGCTGAGCTTCCTGAATCTGTAAGTTGAAATCTTTCATCAGTTCTGGAAAATTCTCTGCTATTATCTCTTCAAATATAATCTCCTTTCCATTCTCCATATTCTTTTCTTCTGAAACTCTTATGTTTCAAACTTCTCATATTCTCCATTTCTTTTAACCTCTTTTCCATAGTTTTAATCTATTGGTTTCTGTGCTGCTTTCTGGGTAATTTCTTCTGACATATCTTCGAGCTCATTAATTTTCTATTTAGCTATGTTTACAATGCTGTTAAGTCTATCCATTTACTTCTTAATTTTAGTTACTGTGTTTCCCACTTATAAAAATTCAATTTGCTTCTTTTTCAAATTTACTGTGTTTTTTAAATCATTTTTTGTTCCCCAGATATATTTTCAAGCTTGTCCTTTATATCTTTATACATAGTATCATAGTTGTTTTTATAATCTAAGTTCGATAATTGAAATATCTTAATATTTGGGGGGCTTCATTGCTGTGTGTTTTTATTGCTTATTCTTTCTTTAGTTATTTGCTTCCTTGTGTGCTTGAGTATTTTGGACTGTTATTCATCAACCTTGAAAAATTATTTTTGAGACTTCTTTGAAACCTTTCTCCAGAGATGATGTGTTTTCTTTTGCCTTTCCAGTCACCTGAGACACTGTCATATTGAGTAATTTTTTAATTAAATTCATAGCCTGAGGTTTTCTTGATCACCCAAGTTCTGTGAATTTGGGATGCAAATATATGTGAGGTCCGGCTTCTGGTAATATCTTCTCAGAGATTCTGCAAATCCCCTCCCTCAGTGTCAAGGCAACTTTTCTTGTAGCCAGGTAGGGGTGGGAGAAGATGGGACAAGTCTACAGCTGGAGTGCCTTTATTGTAGCTCTTAGGGTAAGCCCTGGGCTTCATAGCAATGCCCATGGCCCAGATTACACCTATATGTTGGCCTGGTTATTCTTTATATATGTCAATTCCTCCATACTTTTAATCATTTTTGCATTTATTCATTATTTGTAGTAGTTTCAATTGACTGATCCTAATAACCAGTTTTCCATCTTACCAGAAACAGGACTTCAAATAATTTAGAATGCTACATTTCTTCTAATTAACATTCCAAATATGGTGCTAACACTGGTTTTGACTCAAATTCTTTAATGTGTTCAAAAATAATCTAATGAAAGTTACACACACAACATTATGAGTTGGGAAGAGCTTAGAAACCAACAACTGTAACCCATTTAAAGGCTTTGGAAGATGAAGCTTAGAGGAGCTGAGTGAGTTGCTCAGAGTCCCGTGCGAGTTGGCAGTAGAACCAGGACTAGCGTGTCATTTGTTATCTCTAAGACCTGTATTCTTGCCACTGCCCTGCAGTGCAGTGGCAATGCGTAGTTGACTGAAATTATGTCCATTTCCCCGATGAGGAAATATGGATTATTTCCTTTTCTTCATGCCCTCTCCCAAAGTTCTGCACAGAACTTTTGCTGTCTCATTCTGAAGGTTTATTACTTTAGTATTACAGAAGGAATGTTTTGAAACTTAGAGACAAAGCCAGTATTATTGCCCAATAATAAGTCTAGTTAGTTAACCAAATCAGCAGTAAGTAAATACATGCTAGTGTTTTATAACTAACATAATAAAAATGTACTATTAAAGCAAAGATTTTGTGAATAGATGTAGATATTGTCCTAGATTTTGTGCTTTCTCTCACCCGTCACTTCAGTTCCATCTCAAAGTACACCCTGAATCCAATCAATTCTTTCCACCTCCCTACTTCCACCCTAGTTTAGCCACCAGTGTCTCTCAGCTAGACCACGTGATACCTCCTTAGTAGTGTTCTTTTCTGCACTTTGCCTCCACTTCCCCATCCATTCTGCCTAACAGCAGCCTTATGTATGTATGTATGTATGTATGTATGTATGTATTTTGAGACAGGGTCTGGCTCTGTCTCCCAGATTGGAGTGCAGTGGCGCAATCTCGGCTTACTGCAACCTCCGCCTCCCAGGCTCAAGCCGTCTTCCTACCTCAGCCTCCTAAGTAGCTGGGACTAAGGTGCATGCCACCACACCCAGCCAGTTTTTTTTTGTTTTGTTTTGTTTCAGGTTTTTTTTTTTTTTTTTTTTTTGTATTTTTTGTAGAGATGGAGTTTTGCCATTTTGTCCAGACAGGTCTTGAACTCATGAGCTCAAGTGACCCTCTTGCTTCAGTCTCCTAAAGTGCTGGGATAACAGCACTCAGAGATTCTGATGTGAGCCACTGGGCCTAGCACCATATTTATTTTTATAAAATGAAAACTAGCTTGTGTGTTTCCCCGCTTAAAATCCTGTAATTATTTCCATCACTCATAGAATAAAATCCAAGCTTGTTATCCTGACTGTATTTGTTTCCTTAGGGCTGCTGTAACAAAGAACTACCAACTGGGTGGCTAAAACATCCTTTCTGGAGGCTAGAAGACTGAAATCAGGGTGTCAGCAGGGCCATGCTCTCTTTCTGAAGACTCCAGGGGAGGGTCCTTTCTTGCCTCTTCCTAGCTTCTGGTGGTTGCCGGCTGTTTCTTGGCTATCAACACATTACTCCAATCTCTGCCTCTGTCGTCACATAGCATTCTCTCTAAACAGGTGTCTGTGCCTGTATCAAGTTTTTTTCATCTTATAAGCACACCAGTCATTGGGTTAAGACCAACCCTAATGCAGTATGCACTCATTTTAACTTAATTACCTCTGCAAAGACCCTATGTCTAAATAAAGCCAATATTTGCAGGTACAGGGGATTAGAACTTGAACCTATGTCTTTTTAGAGAGACACAATTCAATGCATAACGCTAAGTTAGAAAACTGCCATTATCTCAACCTAACCACCTAACTTGACCTCTTCTTGCACCATTCTGACTCTTGCCCACAGTTCCAACCACTCTGGTTTCTTGAAGAAGCCAAGCTTTAGAATGTTTGCACAAGCTGTTCTGTCTGCCTGGAAAGCTTTCTCCAGTCACAACAGGCTACCTCTAGCCACTCACATCCTGACTTCAATGTTACCCCTTTATAGGCCTACCCTGGTCACCTAGTTGCTTGCATTGAGAACAAGAAGTTTATCTTCCCCATTCACAGCTGAATCTTCAGCACCTAGAACAGTTCCTGGCACATAGTAGGTGCTCAAGAAGTTTTTGTTGAATAAATGTCTGTCTGATTGAATGAATGATTTTTTTTCCTTTTTAGATTTGGCTTAAATGATGCCACTTGGAAAGGATAGGTATTACATAAGCAACACTTAGGAACCATTTCAAGATGGATTGGAAGCATGTTTCACAGAGGGGATCATCTGCGAGGTGTGAGGAAAAAGGGTCGATTTGCAGAGATTTCTGAAGATGTGATCCCAAGAGATAAGCATGGAAAATGTAGATGGGTTCCAGGAAAGATGGGCAGTTTCCTCCTCCTGCCATCACTTCATGAACAAGAAACTTGGGACTTATTTGCATTTTTGGAATTTCTAAAAGTAACAATAATAATACTAACACCAATAATGACAATTAACTTTTATTGAGTTCTCACTTTGCATTATGCTAAACTTCTGCATTTAATTCTAACTACATCCCTGTGTGAGGGCTATTATCTTTACAGATGAGGAAAGGCAGGCTCTGAGGGCCTAAGTACTAAGCTTCAGAATCAGCGAGTGGCCACGCTGGACATTCAATCCAGATCCAAAGCTGGTATTCCTTTGCATGTGCCCACTGCTGCCCTAAACACATTTTAAAATCTTGCTTTGTTGGCTTACCCTCTGCGGATGTGCCAGCAGCCTCTATACATCCTCATCCTTCCCCAGCCACACTCTCCATCCTCAGATTATCCACCTCTTGCTACCAGTCTGTCAAACAATGTTTAGTTGGCATTTCTGTTACTGCCAAAGCCAGATGTTTCTAGAAAAATCCTTGAGTTTTATATCAACCGATCCTCTCCCCTTTAGTGTGCTCTTGACCGCACATCTCCGTTTCCCCCCAAATCCCCTCCCAATTCTTTCCAGTGATGTTCTAGCAAATGTCTTAGACAAGGTCCTCCCCTAAATGACAGCTGGAGCCAGAAATTCCCCAGGCCCATATTTTGGTTCTATAAATGGAAAAGAAAGATGAGCTGATTCCAGATTCCCCAGCCCCCCTGGTGGAGACTCCAGCTGGTAGGGACACTTTGCCCTACCGCTTTGTCCCAGCAGTATTCTCTAATGAGGCAAAGCACAGACCTTGCCTTGGATGAGGGGTCGCCACACCTGCTGGGTTGAGGTTTTGAATCTCAGGTAAAGGTGGCAACTGCACTAGCATTTGGGCAGGGATGTTGGCTTTGAAGGCCCAGGATTAGCTCCTGTATGTCAGAGCATGGCGTCCTGCACAGCAAGCTGCTTCCAGTTCTGTGCTGCCAGGAAGAGGCCTCTCTTCTCTCCTCCTCTCCATTTACCCAGTTTATTCTGCCACATCCTGTTTTTAATATTTTGAAAACAAACACTATTTTAGAATAGTTTTCAGTTTACAGAAGTATTGCAGAGATAAAACAGAGAATTCTCACGTACCCCGCACCTGATTTCCCCCCATTTTTAACATCTCATATTACTGTGGTATGTTTGTCTCAACTAGTGAACCCATCATAATACTTCATTATTAAATAAAGTCAATATTTTATTCCGATTTAATTAGCTTTTCCCTATTCTATTCTATTCCAGGATCCCATCCAAGATACTACATAACATTTAGTTGTCATGTTTCCTTAAGCTCCTCTGGGCTGGGAAAGTTGCTCAGAATTTCCTTTTGTGATGACTTTGGCAGTTTTGAGGAGTACTGGTTGGGTATTTTGTAAAGTGTTCTGCAATTTCAGTTTGTCTAATGTTTTTCTCATGATTAGACTAGGGTTAGGGGGCTTGGGGAAGAAGATCCCAGAGGTGACGTGGCATTTTCATCATATGGTGAGAGTACATGCTAGTGACATGACTTATCACTGATGATGTTGACCTTGATCCTATGGTTGAAGTCTTATTTATCAGGTTTCTCCATTGTAAAGTTATATTTCCCCTTCATTTCCTTACTGTACTCTTTGGAAGTACTCACTGTGCACAGCCCATCCGTAAGGAGTAGGGAATTGCACTTCACCTACTTGAGGGAGGGGTGTCTACATAAATTATTTGAAATTTTTATGCATGGGAGAGTTGTTTGTTCTTTCCCTTTTATTTACTGAGTCAACCACCTATTTATGTCAGTGTGGATTCATGAATATTTATTTCATACTTTGAGTTATAATCCATTACTACATTATTTATTTGTTGTTCCTCTTGGTCCGAATTTGGCCACTGGGAGCTCTTTCAGTTGGCACCTGTGTCCCTGTAACCAGTCCCCACCATTGTGTGTGTTTTGTTTCCTTAGTGTTGTCTTACTTTCTGGCATTACAAGATGCTCTAGGCTCCCAGTGTGTAATCCCTACCCTAATCCTAAAATCAGCCATGTCTGCAAGGAGTTTTTTTTCCTTACATTGAAGAATGGTGTTAGAAACCACTATATCAGAACTGTGTTTTATTTTGTCCATTTAAAAAACAAAATAGACAGCTTTTTTTTTTTTTTTAGAAACCTAAGGCAACAACAAAGACAAATGCCCTGCCAGAGAACAGCTTGGATAGGTTGCGACAGGCAGAGAACCCCCCCATTCCACTGGAGAGAGGTTTGTGCTGATGGACTGGGCCCTGCATCACACTAGAGCAAAGCTTCTAGCCAGTGGGCTCATATCCGTGCTCTTCTTTTTTAGGACTTTTCCAAAATCATGGGTGACTCCCTTTTCTACACTAGGCTACTTTTTATTCTTTATATTAAGCAATGAGATTGAAATTTCTGAATGCTAAGTCAAAAGGGTATTTCTACTCGTGATTTTTTATCTAGCGAAGGATATTTTTAAAAAGCCATATACTACCCATAGTTGCTCGTGACTTTTTCTTTCATTCAAAAGTTCTAGCAGTTGTTTTAGAGACTGGATAAATACAGGAGGTTTCCTTGCAATCAGGCAATTTAATCTAATCCCTGTAATTTCAGTTGGGCAGAAATGGACAGAAGTAACAGCCAATTATAATTCCATTACTTCATTTGAGGTGGGTTCAGTGAACAGATTCCTCTCTAGTAATTTTTTTTTTTTTTGAGACAGGGTCTGTCTCTGTTGCCCAGGCTGGAGTGTAGTGGTGTGATCATAGGTCACTGCAGCCTCGATCTCCTGGGTTCAAGCAATCCTCCTGCCTCAGCCTCCTGAGTAGCTGGAACAACAGGCATATGCCACCACGCCTGGCTAATTTTTAAAATTTTTAGTACAAAAGAGATATCACTATGTTGTCCAGCCTGGTCTCCAGAGCTCAAGCAATCCTGCCGTCTTGGCCTCCCAAAGTGCTGGGATTACAGGTGTGAGCCAATACACCTGACCTCTAATAAATATTAAAATGGTGAGGAAACATTAGATGTTAAAGTCATTAGGAGGTCTATATGAACAGTAAACAGTGTCTGGATATTTACGTTTTAGTCATCATCATCATCGTCATTTTTCTAGGGAAGAATCACAAGTATCTTTGTGTGATTTGCTTAAAGACAAGAGGAAAAAATAATTTGCCAATTCCATTTTTCCCCAGTGAGCATTATTATCTCTGTGTTGGCAGTTAAGGGCTTTAAGCTTGTGAAGGAGGATTTAGCCAGGGTTATCCCAGAAGTCACTGCCTGAAGTCCTCAGGGACTCTGTCACCACCAGCCTCTCCATCACAAGACATGGAAAGTGGGATATCATTCCTAGAAAGGCAGTTAGGGGACCCTTGGTGCATGGCCTCCATAAATAGGCATGGCAGCCGCCACCCTCATGACACTTGGCAGATGAGGAAGTCACACCAAAGTCAGAGTCACTGAGTCAAAACAGGTTTATGATCTCCCATTCCCATGACTGAGGTTTCTTTTAAATTATGTTTATAATATTTAGCAGTGTATTCCTACAGGATATGTCCTTTAATTTTGAAATGTGACACTCAGAATAAGACGAAATCTCTATTGTTAATTATAGTTTCTGATTAATATAGAGGTTCCCTTGAGAGCCTCAAATTCAGCACCCATTTAGCACTGTGCAGCCAATGTGCTTGCTGTTGACTGATCTCATTTCACATTCATTTCTGCACATCCCAGTGCCCCCTCAGTGCTGCTCAGCAGCCGTGCTCCATTCCCCAGGCCTCCTACTCTCCCAGTTCATGACCACACCCACCTCCTCTGTCCTCCCACTCAGCTTCCATATCTTGGGGAAATTGGAAGCCATGGGAAGAGACCTTCTGCAAGCTCCCACCTCCACATCCACCCACCCCAGCATTCAAACCTTTGTATTCTGTCTTCCTTCCTGTTGCAATAGATGGAAAGTATGTGCGTCCTCTTAGGCCACGGCCTCCCTCATGCACTAAATCTCCTACCCTCTCACCTACTCAAAGCCCTTTCATGTGAGCAGTTCTCCACACACTCTTCTGTACAATCAATTTTTCTCTCTCTACTGGATTATTTTAATCAGCATTAAAACACTATTTTTTCTCCCATCTCAAAAACAAAAAACAAAGAATCCTTAAAATTAATTTTTTAAATTTTGCTAAAAAACACACAAAATTTACCATTATTTCTAAAATTTACCGTTATTGAGTTTGCCATAAAACTCAATAGTGTTAAGTATATTCACATTGTCATGCAACCAATCTCCAGAACATTTTCATCTTGCGAAATTCAAACTCTCTACCCACTAAGCAATAACTCCCCATTCCCACCTTCCCCCAGTTCCTGGCAACTACCATTCTACTTCCTGTCTCTATGCATTTGACTTTTGGCTATTGTAAATAGTGTTGCCGTGAACGTGGATGTGAAATATCTCTTGGAGACTCTATTTTCAATTTTGGGGGCTACATACTCAGAAATGGAATTGCTGGGTCATATGGTAATTTTATTTCTAATTTTTTTTAAAAACTGCCATACTCTTTTCCATAGTGGCAGCACTATTTTACATTTCCACCAATAGTGCTCAAGGGTTCCAGTTTCTCCACATCCTTGCCAACATTTACTATTTTCTGGGGGGTTTTCATTTTGTTATTTTTTGTTTTGTATTTTTTAATAGTATCTATCTTAACAGCTACCAGAAAGGTGGTATCGCATTGTGGGGCAAAAAAATATTTTAATCCCACTTTGTTCCTTTGCTATGGCTAGTTCTCTGCTCCCTTTTTTGACAAAACTCCTTGAAAGAGGAGTTGACTTTACTTACTGATCCTAATGCCTCTCTTTCCATTTTTCCAATCAGGAGCTACCCTATTTTAAAATCTCAACTCAAAGTATAACTCCTCAATTGCATTTCCCATGCCCTTTGCTTCTTTATTTTCACCATTGGCTCTTATCACCTTCTAACATACTATATCATATACTTATTTATTCATTTATTGTCTCCCCACCCCCGCTGGCCATTAGAATGTCAGTTCCACGAGGGCAAAGATTTATTCTTATCCCAATTCAACCCACTGTGCCACCACCTTTCTTGTTGATAAACTGCTAAATCTAATGGCCACTCCTAGTCTTACTTGTCTAATCAGAGCACTTAGCATGGTTAACCACTATCTCCTCCTTGAAAGAACCTTTCCATTCACTCCCACACTCCCACCCTCTCCCAGTTTTCTTTCTACCCCATTGGGTGCTCTTACCTGATTTCTTTTGCTTGCTCCTTTCTCATTTCTCCAGGCTCTTCGTGTTGGAATCTTGCAGGGCTCAGTGTTTGGATCCTTCTCTTCTCCATCTACATTCACTTCTCTGATGATATCTTCCATTATTATGGTCTGACATACCAACTCTATATTCATGATTCCCAAATGTACATCTTCATATAGGCTCTCCCCCAGAACCATATACTCTACTAGATGCAACTGCCTAGTAATATCTCCACTTGGATGTCTAGCAAGTATCTTAAACTCGACATGTCCAAAACTCACCCCTGATCTTCTCTAGCCCCCTCCACTCTATCCTCCTTCCCTTCAAAATAAACAACAACAACAAAAAAACTACTCCACCTAGAGCCCTCCTGGTGTCAATGCTTGAAGTCATCTTTGACTTCCTTCTTTCTCTCATATACCACATTCAATGTGTTGGTAAATTTTGTTGGTTCCACCTTCAAAACATGTCCAGGATCTGTCTACTTCTCATCACCGCCACTGCTATCATCACCACAATCCACCCTACTGTCATCTCTCAGCTACTGTAGGTTAGTGGTCCTCCCACTTTTGCTTCTTTCAGTCTTTTCTCAATACCATAGTCAGAAAGACTGTTGGTCGGGCACAGTGGCTCACGCCTGTAATCCCAGCACTTTGGGGGCCAGGGCAGGCAGATCATGAGGTCAAGAGTTTGAGATCAGCCTGGCCAACATGGTGAAAGCCTGTCTCTACTAAAAATACAAAAATTAGCTAGGCGTGGTGGCGGGCACCTGTAATCCCAGCTACTCGGGAGGCTGAGGCAGGAGAATCATTTGAACCTGGGAGGCGGAGGTTGCAGTGAGCTGAGATGGTGCCATTGCACTCCAGCCTGGGCAACAAGAGCGAAACTCCCTCTCAAAAAAGAAAGAAAGAAAGAAAGAAAGAAAGAAAGAAAGAAAGAAAGAAAGAAAGAAAGAAAGAAAGAAAGAAAGAAAGATTGTTAAAATGTTAGTTTAAATCCTATTGTTTCTCTGCTCAAAAGAGTTCAAGAGTAATAGCTAAAAGCCTGACAGTGTCCTGCAAAGCCCTGCCCAACCTGGCTTTATTACCTCTCCTGTCTCACTCTGGCCTCCCTACAGTTGCACAAACCCTCCAGGCATACTCCTGCCTCAGAACCTTGGGGCTTGATATCGACATTGCCTGGAATATTCTTTCCCTACACACTGTATGACTTGCTCCCTCACCTCCTTCAAATCTTGGGTACAATTTCACCCAAGAAATGCCTCAACCTCCTTATTTAAAAATGTCAGCCTAAAGTACAACTCAATTGCACTTCTCATGCCCCTTCCCTCCTTATTTTCATCATCAGCTTTTATTAACATGTAATCTACTATATCATTTACCCATTTATTCTGTTTATTGTCTGTCTCCCCCCAACAGAATATCAGTTCCATGAGGCCAAAGATTTTTGTATGCTTTGCTTCTGCTGTTTCCGTAGCAGCTGGAAGAGTGTTGGGCATGAAATAGGCTCTTGGTATATATTTGTTGAACAAATAAATGAGTGAATATAGAATGACTGGGGAACTAGCAGTTCAAATACTATTTCTCCATGACTATTATTAGTATTCTATCCTAAAAATCCAGGACGAAAGTGAAGATATAGATGAGGACTGCACACATGTTAACAATAGGACATACAACCTTGCTACTCGAAGTGTGGTCCATGGACCAGCAGCATCAGTGGTACCTGGGAGCTCATAGAAATGCAGAATCTCCTGTCCCAGACCAGAACTCCTGAATCAGAATCTGCATTTTAACAAGACCCTCTAGAAGGTTGATTGCAAAAATTGAAAAGCTTTGGTGTTGGGCAAGGGTCCCCAGCCTTAACTGTGTATTAGAATCTCAGTATCTTTAAAAACTCCGGATGTGTGAGTCTCACTTCCAGAGACTGACTTAATCGGTCTAGAGTGAGGTCTAGATATAGGTCAGAGGTGAAGACAGGGACATGACTGACTTTCTTCATTACTTTTGGGTAGAGAGCTAAGATTAAAAGCTTGTCTCTGTACTAGTCTTGATATAAAGAGTAACTTGTTAATATGGATATCAACAAGTCATCAACTATTCATCTTCCCCTTACTCCATAAGAGCAAATTTTAACTCCTCCTTTGTGGTTTCAAGTGAAATCATCAAAGTGGCTGCTGCCCACTCTTGTGTCCACATCCAGCCTAGTTTTGTCAATCTGCTGCAGGAAATAAACACAGTGGTATGTCAGCCTCTTGGAGGAATGGCTCCTGCTCTCTTTTCCGGCAGGACCCAGTGATTTTTGTGAGCAGAGAGCTTGGGAGACAGTGAAGGGTTGGTCTCTGGTTGGGTGGATACAGGGAAAGCCCTGTCCACAGGATTCTAGGGAACACATGGGCTGCAGGCTGGAAACTCTCCTATCCTGCATTCTGCACTCAAAGCGTTCATGGATGCCAACTCTTCACACCTCTGTGTGCTCCTGCACTCACTGCCTGACACTGTCATTTCCTGGGTGGCTCTTCTGAAAGGGTGGAATGAGAGGTGATCTGAGTGTGACCCCAAATATGAATCCTGAGCATGAACTTGAATCTGCAGCTCAGGCCCCGAAACTGCAGGATGGAAAGGTGTGGAAGCATGATAGAAGAGCAATGGTTAACTGCCGTCTAGGACAGAATCTGGAAGAGTGTAGAGAGAATTGCCAGATTCTCATTGACCAAATGGGCTCTCTCTTCCAGATCAAGTCTCGGGTTCTCATGACTCCCTTAGCCCTCTCACCTCCGCGGAGTACCCCAGAGCCCGACCTCAGCTCCATCCCTCAGGACGCAGCCACGGTCCCCAGCTTGGCGGCCCCACAGGCTCTCACAGGTAGGTCAGCAGAATGAACTCCAAGGCTGTGATGGTCTGTAGAGAACAGGGCAGCTACCATCTAATTGTTACTTTGTGGATTAAAGAGTTGTTGCTGAGATGGCTCAAATGAGCGATTTAGTGTGCTAGCTAGGCAGCAGACAGGATGACCAGAGTCTTTGAGAGCACCAGTTTATATGTCCCACAGCTTGGATTATTTAAAACTTGGTTTTCAGTGCAGCTTGGGTTTAGGTGGTTGCTTTGGTTGGAGGGAGGTGGATGACAGCGGGGCACAGGGTGGCCAGATGTTTCTTTTAGGAGCTGGGGTGCGCTGATCCATTGCACTGATCTAAGCCTGCTCACCTTAAACAGTGCTCTTGTTCCTGTGTTTGCTCTTCCAGATTTCCTAAGGATCCCATTCGCCCTCAGTCTGACCCACTACCCTCCAACCCAGTCAGGGTAGCAGGTATCCCAATCTCTGTCTATGGTGGGGCATCCACCAACTGACAGTTTCATCATAATAGTAATGACAAGCTGATGGTATCTCTCTCTCACACACACGCACATGCACACACACACACGCGCACACACACAGAGAATCCTATGTCACAACCCCAGCCCCTCTCCCATCCCATTTAAATCCCTTCAGTCCCTCCCATTGCTTTTAGATGAAGCCCAGACTTGTTAATCTGGCCGACAAGGCCCTGCAGGCTCCACCCTGTGGGTCACCCCACTGCTCTTCTCTCAGTCCCCAGGACTGGTCATGGGGTCTTAGCATATTGTCTCCCTCCATCTGGAGTGATCATCCCTTCGGGCCACCCTGTTCCTCCCTTATATCTCAGATCAAGCATACTTCTCCCCAGAAGGTCCTCACGAACTTTCCTGCCAGGGTCCCCCAGATGGGCTCTCTTAGCCCCTCCCTGTGTTTCTCACAGCCACAGTTTCACATGGTCTCACATCAGCTCATGGGATGATCTGAATAGGCTTACTTCCCCAACCAGGATGTAGGCTCTGTGAAGGCAGGGACTGCTTCATTTTGTTCAAGCTTTCTTTGTAGGGCATGGCATAGTGCCTGTATGAAGGTCTCTTATTAGATTTTTCTTATCACCTGGGATGAGACCTGGACTCTACCAGAGTGTCTTCCAAAAGACTTGATCCAAATTCCTTTGCATCACTGGCTACAGTTTTTGAGCAGTCTACTAACTTCTTTAAGCCTTAGTTTCTTCATTAGTAAATCAGTAATAATACCACCAAACCCACATGCTTGTCTTGAGACTATAGCAGGTGCTCAAAAAAACAAAAAAACAAAAAAACCTATTTCTTCACCTTTGCTGTTACTACTTAGCCTTTCCAAAATGCCACTGGTCTCCTCTTAAAGTCCCTCTTCAGCACTCCTTTGCACCAGTGGCCTCTAAGGTAAGATGCTTATGGGAGGATGATGGGGAGTGAGAAGGCAGATACACAAGAGGGGTCATTAATGTATGGAAGAAAATATAACACCTACTATTCCTATTCATCTTATCTCATCCTTTTACAATTTCTATTTCTTGGCTATGTTTTACAATGTATGCAATGCTTATTAGACAATGCTGTACCATGTCATTGAAAGTGAAGGAAATAACTTTTGTGTCTTATTTCCAAGTTTTGGATAGTTTTTTTCTCAAGAGGTCGGCCAGGGCACTCTTCATTTATTAAGGAATCTGGCTTGATGTCTGAGACAATGAAAAATCTTAAAGCAAATAGTCTGAAGACAGGCTGACCAGTTCAGCAACTGTTACCAAATTACAGGTGGCATAGGTAGTTGGGGGTTGGAATTTATTCATTGTCATAGAATAGAATGAAGTTGAACTTGTATAAACTAGGTCTGAATCCCTCACCCAACTAACTGAGCTAATTTTACTGATGATAACTAACCCTTTGGGCAGTCTTCTCTGTACAAAATCTTCCTGCTAAAAAAGGATTTATATTTCTTTTTCTCTTTAATTGCAAAATTCATAAAGATTCCACTTGATTTACTGAAATCTATCATATATGAAAACCAGTTTTGTAGACATTCTAACATTTTTATGTTTATATATATAATATTATGTAAATAACATTTATATAATATTATATTATATAAATTAGATACTTTCCTGTAAAAAATTCACCCAATACATTAATACAGTTAAGAATGTATATAACCTATAAATAAATAAACATGGTTTGGGACAGGTGCCCCCCCAATTTTTTATCAATGGGGTCTGTTACCTTAAAAGTGTGGAAACCATTGACTGGGTTCACCTAAGCGGGTTGTTGAATATTTATTTTCTCTGAGATTGTAAATAGCACTGTCTGTAGAGCTTTGTTGAATATATAGTCTCTGGAGTGATAGTGGCATCTTGATTTTTTTGTTCGTAGACGGTTAACAAAGAAATGGCAAAAACTGTCTATAGCTTGACAGCTCCTTTGGAGGAGGGAGAAGAAGTTTTGTATGTACATTTTCCCAGCATGGAAATACCTTTTTACACACGGTCCATGTGGGCCACCATAATGGTCTTTAATTCAGATTTCAGTAGATCAGAGTGGACCCACCTATCCAACTGTTTCCAACCAAGAAAGCCCCCGAGGTCAGGCCCTGGCACTTGGGGTGTCTAACTCTTTTGCCTCTTTTACTTCTTAAGTTGGGAAGAATCCACCCCACTTTTGCCCTTGCCAGCTTTCCCAAGGCCAGGGCCAAAGGGGCATGGCTGAGGCATCCCCCGTGTACACAGAGGCCGCCAGCTGGCCTGATGCGCGCCTGATGCCGAGGGCTTTGTGACCTCTGTCTCCGCAGTCTGCCTCTACATCAACAAGCAGGCCAATGCGGGGCCCTATCTGGAGAGGAAGAAGGTGCAGCAGCTCCCGGAGCATTTTGGGCCCGAGCGGCCATCGGCGGTGCTGCAGCAGGCCGTCCAAGCCTGCATCGACTGCGCCCACCAGCAGAAGCTGGTCTTCTCCCTGGTCAAGCAGGGCTATGGTGGTGAGATGGTGTCAGGTAAGGCCTGGGGCAGGTTGCATGAGGAGGCCATGGATGTCTCTCTGCAGAGGAAGCAGCCATACTCAGGCCTGGAGACAGCAGGTGTGGCCAGGGTCTGTCCTTCATCTGCTGGGCTCCTAGGGTCTTTATGAGCCTGTGAGCTAAAAGCCTCTCTCAGGGCTCAGGGAGAGGATGATTCCATGCCCGGGTAAGAAGACTGGATTTCTGATCCTCATCTTGACTCTTCTCCTTCTCCCACTTCCCACTTCCAACTCACCGGTTTTTGCTTTTTTTTCTCCACTTCAAAATATATCCAGAATCCTTTCGCTCCACTTCAAAATATACCCGGAGTCCAACCACCTTTCACCACCCACAGCAACCTCCCTGGTTCTTTAAAAATCTAAGTCAGATCATGCCCCTCCTCTGCCCTAAACCCTCCTCCAATGTCTCCCATGTCACTCCAAGTAAAAGCCCAAGTCCTTACAAAATCCCACAGGCCCTGTGTGACCTGGCCCTGGCTACCTCTTTAATTTCTTGGTTACTTCTCTCTTGTTCCCCACTCTGTTCTAGCAGAGATGACCTCATGGATGTCCTTTAGGTTCTACTCAAATGCCACTCTATCCAGGAATCCTTTTCTGACTTCTTGTCTAATATATAGCCCTTGTCACCCTCCATTCTTTTATTTATTTATTTATTTATTTATTTATTTATTTTGAGACAGGATCTCACTCTGTCGCCTAGGCTAGAGTGCAGTGGCACAATCACGGCTCACTGCAGCCTCGATCTTCCGGGCTCAAGCGATCTTCCGACCTCAGCCCCACAAGTGGCTGGGACTGCAGGAACTTGCCGCCAAGCCTGGCTAATTTTTTACAATTTTTTGTAGAGATGAATGCCTCACTATGTTACCCAGGCTGGTCTCAAACTCCTGAGCTCATGTGATCCACCTGCCTCCCAAATGCTGGGATTACAGGCATGAGCCATCACACCCCGCCTCTCTGTACTTCCTTACTCTGCTCCATTCCTTCTTCATAGCACTTACCACCATGCAGGGCAGTGGGGAAACATCATGGCTTCAACCCCATCTCAGGGCATGTCTTGTTACTCAAGATCCTTCAGAGTCAGAGAAATCCCTTTTTCCATGGTCACGGCACTCCTCCAGTTTTATCCCCTGATGTGATGTGATAGAAAGGGTACTTCACCTCTGTGGTCCCAAAGAACCCATAACCCTAGTCTAATCATGAGAAAAAAAGACAAATCCAAACGGAGGGACATTTTACCCTGAGCAGTACTCTTCAAAGCTATTAGAGTGATGAAAAACAAGGCAAGACTGAGAAACAGTCACAGACCAAGGAGACGAAGGAGACGTGACAACTAAATGTAATGTGGTGTCCTGGGTGGGATCCCCACCAGAAACAGGACATTGTGAACAAACAGGTGAAATCCAAATATAGTCTGCTTAGCAACAAAACAAAAATGAACAAACGAAAAATCCTCACCACGGCCGATTGACTTGCGGTTTTCTCCAGTGCCCGGCTCTAAGCTGACATCTCTCTGGTTTTCCAGTCTCGGCTTCCTTTGATGGCAAACAGCACCTGCGGAGCCTGCCTGTGGTGAACAGCATCGGCTATGTCCTCCGCTTCCTCGCCAAGCTGTGCCGAAGCCTCCTGTGCGATGACCTCTTCAGCCACCAGCCCTTCCCCAGGGGCTGCAGTGCCTCTGAGAAAGTCCAGGAGAAAGAGGAAGGGAGGATGGAATCAGGTAGGCCTTGTCCTGCTTCCCCCACCTGCAGGGACACCTCCCTGTCCCAGGTGTCTCTGCCCTTCCACTATGGAGGGAGCCATTGTAGCTCCTGGCAGTTCTGCCACTGGAGCCCCATGGGCTGCCTGTCTGGGTGCCTGGGAAATATTTGTAGCTGGCTGGAACAAAGGGGTGCCTGGACAGTCCCCACCCCAGGCTGCAGAGGGAAGTGGTCCCTCCAGCTATTAAGAGCTGACATTATAACTTTTAGGTCTATATTATTAGAATTTAGACAATGAGACCACATCACATCATATGTAACAAGTAAGTTTCTGCACTCTCCTCTCATTGAAACTCTGGGCATTTGTCATTGTTGAGTAGTAGCAGGACTACAAAACTAAGGAACTCATCCCAAAGAAACTAGAGCTATAGAACTGATGATGTTGGTCCTGCCTGGGAGTCTCAGACACCTACCCATGTGAATTAAAGGTGCAACAAAGTGTCTATTATTGCAGGGATTTGACGGGGCCATATATTAAATATGTCTTCCAGCAAGGGTTAGTGTTTCGTTCTCATCACAAGATGGAAAGTGGCCTAGGGGTTGAGCACCTTTTTGTACCATTAGCCACAGAGTAGCTCAGGATGGAAAAGTGGCCCTTGGGGAGGGTAGCAAGGCCACACAGGCATACATGACACAGTGTTGTCTACCCAAGGGGCTAGATGTCAACAGGAGGTGCTCCTTCTCCGCTAAGCAGCCCTGAGTTATAGATCTGCAAAGAGGTGAAGGTGAATCTCAAGGATGGGTAGAAATGTTGCTTTTTTTCTTTCTCTGAACACAGGGTTGTTGGTATATGAAAAGCACACAGGCAGTACAACTGGAATCCAGTTATTACGTTAGTCTGCAAACATTTGGTGAACCCTCTTCTGTTCCAAGCACTGTGTGAGACCCTGCCTTGGATAAGTCAAATGCATGAGCTTAGGAAAGTAGAGTAACTGCTACAAATAATAAAAAACAGATACATCTGCAGGTATGTGCTCGCAGACAGGTTTAGCGCATTCAACAAAAGGATACTTATCATAAGAGAGGCTGTGTCTCCAATTCAAGAGGACAGCAGGGAAGGATAAATTTAGATTCTCTGCATAGCTTTTCTTGGATACTATCAAAATCTTTCCTACAATTTTGCTTTTATCTCTCTGAGTCCTGGGAAACAGGAAGAAATTTGGCCTCTGCAAAGGAAGGTACCTAATTAAATATGGTTGGTGTGAGCAGATGCTATTTACTTTTATGTTTTTCTTGATGTCTCTGCATGTGTGAGCTTGGAGAAGTCTCATCTCTCTCCGGGCCTAGATTTCCTATGGGTAAATGACAGGTTGGAGTTGCTGATACAGCACGTTCTTCTGGTTCCAACAGTCTATGAATCTGGCCTCACCTGTAAACCCTAGTTGACTCACAAACATATTCTTAAACTATTTATCTTCTAGTGAGTGTTGCAATGAGAATAGCAGAATCATGTGATTTCACTTCTCAGATGCTTGCCTCATTGTTACATTGAACACACAATGACCCATGGGACATCATCATAAAGCAGCATAACCCGTATCTCCCATTGTCCTCTAATTGTATCCTGCGGGACTAGTTCTTCCCTGACTACGGATGAAATTCAGAACAAGTATTGGCTTTTCTGGCTCCTTTCAGGTTACAAAATGTTCTCTAGTCAATAATTGATATGTCCAGGTCAGGGTGATAATTGAACTTTATTCTTAGTGAATCTATTATAGGTTTTTACATGTGGTTGCCATGAGGCTTATAAAAAATGCTACAGGTATAAAAAGTTACTTTAAAGAAATTACAACTTATTTCAGATCACACAGACAAGAATAGAAACAAGGAAAAAATGAAAAAACAATCCTGCAGTTTAACTCCATCCCCCCTACAGTGGACTTTTAGTTGCCTCTATTTATATGTTTTGATATTACCTATCTCTTAAGAGATTGTTCTAGCTATTATTGCTTTTAATAGCTTTGTCTTTTGGGCTTCATACTAGTGTTATAAGTGGATTATACACAGCAATTACAGTATTAGAGTGTTGTGGGTTTGTCTGTGTACGTAATGGTACCAACAGGCTTTGTACCCGCAGTGTTTTTTTTTTCTTTCACATTGAAAAACTGCCTTTAGCATTTCTTGTAAGATGCCTGTGATGGTGGTGAATTCTCTCTGCTTTTGTTTGTCTGGGAGAAAATTTATTTACCCTTCATATTTGAAGGATAACTGCTTGATACAGTAGTCTTGGATAACAGTTATTTTTTTTCTTTCAGTACATTGAAAATGCTGTTCCATTCCCTCCTGGCCTATATGGTTTCCACTGAGAAGTCTGTTGCCAGATGAATTGGGGTTCCTTCAAATGTCATTTGCTTCTTTTTTGTTGCTGCTTTTAGGATTCTCTCTTTGTCCTTGGACTTTGAGAGTTTGATGATTATAATATATGCCTTGGGGTAGTTTTGTTTGTTAAAATCTGTTTGGTGTTCTCTGCCCTTCCTATACATGCATATTTGACCCTTCTCATCTTTTGGAAAGTTTTCTGTTATTATTTATTTGAATGAGCTCCCTACCCCTTGTTCTTGCTTGACTCCTTCTTGAACACTAATAATTCTTAGATTTTGTCTTTTGAGGTAATTTTCTATATCCTGTAAGTGATCTTCATTAATTCTCATCCTTTTTCCTTTTTTCTCTTTTGACTATATTTCCAAATAGTCTATCTTCGAGCTCACTAATTATTTCCTTTGCTTGATCTACTTCACTATTGAGAGTCTCTAATAATTGTTTTAGTTCAGCAAATGTATTTCTTAGTTTGAATATTTCTGTTTGATTTTTTTTAATTATTTCAATCTCTTTGTTAAATTTCTCTGATATATTTCTGAATTGCTTTTCTGTGTTATCTTGGAAATCAGTGAGTTTCCTTAAAACTACTATTTTGAATTCTTGGTCAGAGAGCTCACGTGTTACCATCTTATTAGGGTCGGTTTCTGGTCCCTTGCCTTGCCCATTTAGGGAGATCACGGTTTCCTGTCAGCCGTTGTTTCTTGTGGATGTGTCTATGTCTTTGCATTGAAAGAATATTTATTTCAGTCTTCTCTGACTTGTTTGGCTTTTATTGGATATATTTGCTTATAGGTTCTTTACTGCTAGGTCACTGTCTTTGGTTTTTTGGCTCTACATGGCACCTTAAGCCCAGGTTTGCCTTAGCTCTAGTGAATGATTGAAGCATTGCCCTTTCCAAATGCAGAAGGTCCCAAAAAGGTATATCCCAGCAGTGTGGGAAGGCTGGCTAGGGGCTTGTGCCCAGGGGATCTGTGGGACAAACCTACAGTGTGGTACTGCGTAACAGCCACACTGATTTGAAATCTCCCTTGGGCAAGTAACTAAGCAGAGTTCCCAGGGCTGGGGATGGTAGTTCTACCTCCCTGCTTTGTCTCTGGCTGTCCTCAGGGATATTTCTCCCTTCGGGCACTCTCAATGCTTCCTATGGATTAAGGCAAGGACAGGCCTCCTGCCATGGAAACCAAGATGGTGTGAAAGCTGGTTGTACACCTTGATCTCACTTTTTCTAGTGTAGAAACAGTGAATTGGGAGACATTTTTCTGCATGCTTGGTGCTAAGCAGATGGAGGGAGGGACTTGAACGTGGAAGTCAGATTCTCTTACCCTCTGCTCAGAGTTTTTTCATTTCTCTGTGGCCCCAGGCACTGTCTCCTCTTCATATTTGAGTTCTGGGATATTTCTGGTTATAATCTCGGTGCTGTACATTTGTTTTTGATTTTCTGTGGTGGGGACTGAAGCCAGCTTGCTTCTATGCCACCAGTTTGGAACTTGAAGTCGGCCTCGAAACTTTCAGTTTCACTCAAAGACATAATGACTGCCCCACACCCAGCTCAGGCTTGCTTCAGGCCAGTTGCCTGCAGCAATAAAGAAGGGCATGGTTGGCTTCTCCCCCAACCTTCCCCCTTTTGTTATTGCCTCCTCCCATAGCTCGCTAACCTTGATCCCCTTCACAGTGGATGGGGGAAGGAGGAGACGCAAGAGGCAGGGGAATTTGTACGTGATGAATCTTGCTGTGAGTTGGCATCATGCTCTCTGCTTCTAGCCGATGTTTAAAGCTGATTCTTCATCCTGTGGGCTTTTACATGTGTTCTTTGGTGACCCTACCATCTCTCACCTGCACTTGCATGGGCATGGACAAATGCAACTCTTCTCTAGCTGGTCATTTACAATTCTTTCCACAGTCCAAGGCCTCTGGGGGTAAATCTCTAGATTCAGCTGAAGCCCTCTCGCACCTCCAGACTGCCCTGTGGAAAGGATCTAAGATGATCCTGCTGCAGATCTATGTCTTCTGATGGCCCACATCTGGTCCTTGAGAAACACTCGCACATCCTCTGACCAAACAAACTCTGGATGTATTGGCTGATCCCTGCAGGCACCTCTCCTTTGTTCTGCCAGCCAAGGGCCATCTTTTAGAGCTTGTCTCTCAAGCTCCAGAGGACAGATCTCAAGCTATTCATGTGTTCACACTGAAGCCATGCACTGGATCATTTTCTCCAAAATTTCTCTTCTAGTTAAACTGTTTCTCCGCCTCTACAACCTCGTTTGCAGGATGGATGTGGGTGGTCATCTGTTGGTGTAAAACTGGCTTTCCACCATCTCTTTTTACAAGACCCGCATGGTGGTCTCACACTTTATTGTGGTATATGGTGTCTGTTGTCTTGCAGCTCAGCTAAAACTGAGCCTAAAATGGTTTCCTTTTAACATCTTATTCCAGGAGGATGACAGCCTTCCTTCCTAAAAGCTGATGTCCCCATCTGAAAGCTGGTTTTCCTCCCAGTCAGCTGGGAGGTTTGGAAGTAATGACCCCAGTTGTTCTCTTGAGCCCTTTCCTAGCTCATAACTACTTTGAAAAAATAAATTGCTCTAAATTATCCAACCTTGTGGCACTGATTTCTCAGCAGAGCTGAGTGCTGTGAATTTTGCTTGTCAGGGAGCCTTGGGGAAAGTGGAGGAAGCAGCGATGGCATGGTAAGCTCTGAGCAGTACCCTCACCCCACATGTCTTTCCCACCAGTCTGTCATGAGCCCTACAATGACGCCATTAGGGAGTTTGCCTTTAGAGTAAGACATTGTCTCTTTAAGATCGCCTTGTCAAAGTTTCTTTAAATAACATGTCAAGTTACCAGTATGTTAGAGGATGAATTAGTTTATCATCCATTTTCTCACCATTGTGACAAGAAAGGCATATGCATTTGTATGAGGGAAGGGTGGAGGTTTTTTTTTGTTTGAGGCTCCATACATCCATAGGACCACATTGTTCCCGAACAGGATTGTAAGGTCATGGGCTTATCTGCATCAGGACAATGCCTGGTTCTGCTTGGCCCCAGGGTTGTTCTGTTCAAGTTGAAGAGTTCCAGGATTGGTGCCATGCACCTAAAGGGCTTGTCAACACTCACTGGAACATTTCCAGAAGACAGTTAATCACATGATAAGAAGATGCAAAGCCATGACAGCTAAGGAACTATGGAAAGAACTGGGATGTTTTTGGTAGAAAAAAAGAGAAGATTTGGGAAAGATGTGATTTTATGTTCCAGTATATGACAGCAGGTCAGGTGGCTTTGTTCTCTGTGGTCCTGTAGAACAGAACTGAGACTAAATAAGTAAAAGGTAGATTGAATTAAATCTAAGGTCTTGTCCCTCAAACTCTGGTCAGGGGCATTGTTATCACCCACCAAAGCCAAAAATCTCAGTGGCCCTGCCAAACTTTCAAACAACAGATCCCCAGGTGCTTTGAAGACACATTAGAGAAGCATAGATTTAAGGAACACTCTCCCAGGTAGAGAACTTAGCAGTTAAATAACCAGATGGAACTCTCAGAAGATAGTTCCCTTGGGAGTCAGGTGGAGTTGACATTGTAAAGAGCTTTGAAATGTCAAAGCCACTCAGAATTTGAAGGGGCTGCTTGGAAGGTAGGTGATAATGATCTCCCCATTGTTGGTGACAAATATGTGTGACTTGTTAGGGTCATTAGTGGGAATGTTGGCCACCTGGAGGAGTAGGAGCAAGATGTTCTCGCTGGTCCCTTACAGGCTGACAGCTCCGGGCTGGAGGTGGCAGAGAACAGCCCTGTACAGCGGGAGGGCAGGTTACCTTCAAAGCATTAGCAAGGGCCTCCCAGAGGTGAAGGTATGGGCACCAAGACAAAGTGGCTGTATTAGAAGCAAGACCTCTTCCCTTGAAGAAGAGGGAGGGCTTCTTCCACATCTCTTCCTCAGACTTTTGAAATATAAACTCTCGATCCTTTTTTTTTCAAGATGGACTCTCTCTCTGTTGCCCAGGCTGGAGTGCAGTGGTACGAACTCGGCTCACTGCGACCTCCACCTCCTGGATTCGAGCAATTCTCCAGCCTCAGCCTCCCAAGTAGCTGGGATTACAGGTGTGCACCACCACACCTGGCTAATTTTTGTATTTTTATAGAGACGGGATTTTGACATGTTGCCCAGGCTGGTCTTGAACTCCTGACCTCAGGTGATCTGCCCGCTTCGGCCTCCCAAAGTTATAAACTCCCTATTCAAATGATATTTTTCCTGTGCTTAGGGAAAATCAGCCTTCAGGCTTCCCTGCTGCCTGAATTCAGCCTGGAAGTTAGAGTTCTTGGCCTGAGACCAGGAACTTAGTTATTTCCCTCCAATTCTATTAGCTGACATCTGAAGGTGGTTTGTGTTTGGGGAAGTAACACAGCTCCCTGGGTGTTTTAGGAGAATGGAGGCAGAAAGATGGATTTGATAACACTGGTGGCTCTGTCAGAAGTCATGAGATGACCACGGGGAAAATTGTTGTTGCCTTTGAGTGTTAAAATTTAAAAAGACCCAAGTATAAATATGCTTTAGCCAGTGCTTCTCAAACTTTAATGTGCAGAAACCACCTGAGTATGTTGCTAAAATTCAGATTTTGGTTCAGTAAAGCTGGGGTGGGGCCTGAAAGCCTGCATTTCTTTTTTTAAAAAAAATTAATTAAGCTAAATTCAATTTTTTATTTGTACAAGTTTTTGGGGTACAAATGTAATTTTGTTACATGCATAGATTGCACAGCGCTGAAGGTAGGGCTTTTAGGACACCCATCACCCAAATAATGTACATTGTACCCATTATGTAATTCTCCTCTTCCCTCCCACCCGGCTCACCATTACAAGCCTGCATTGTCTATCATTCCACAAGACAGTCTGCCTTTTAACAGGTGCCCAAGTAATACTGGTGCTGCTGATATTGGTGCAGCTGATAGGGCGGGGGCCACACCCTGAGTGATAGAGTGTGGGTGGGCTGGCAGAGTCCTGCTCACACAGAGAAACTTATTCCAAGTTTTCAGTACAGGAAGTCTGTCTGTGCTAAGATGGTTCTTCTCTGCTATAAGTGTGGCCCCTGAAGATGATCCAGTGTTGAGTGGAGGTGTTTTGTGGGCTGGAAGGGAAGAGAAGGGCATGAAGGGCAGAGTGGTTGGATCGAGGTGGCACTTGTATAAATCCAGGGGAGAAAGACAAGGCTTGCATATCTGGGGAAGAGGGTGAAAGATAGGAAAGAATGATGACAAACAAACAAATTTCTCCCCATGGCCAGCAAGCACCTGAAGCATGGTCTCTGGTGCCCTGTAAACCTTCCCCAATCCGAAGAAGGTATCCCTCTGTTCTCCCCAGATCCTTATTTCCACGTCCACAATGGCATTTGATTCTGCTTTATATTGCAGGACTCTGCATCCAGATCTCTTCTTCCTGCTAGATAGACCTGGGGGTCCCCAGCAGAGCCTGAAACACAGCAAACACGCAGTAAATACCTACTGACTTGAATTCTATGCAACACGACAGAACAAATTGTCTGCTCACCAAGAGTAGGAGATCTTTGGAAACCACAAATGTGAGAGTTGAACTATTCTGCAAGATCTAATTTAGTTGCTGGTTTCCTGCCTTTTGAAGGTTTAGCATAATGGGGACAGATTGTTTACTTTTGCTGAGTAGCTTCTTTGATATACAGATGGCAGGGGGTGGAA
Organism: Homo sapiens; assembly: GCF_000001405.40. Lineage (NCBI taxonomy): Eukaryota > Metazoa > Chordata > Mammalia > Primates > Hominidae > Homo > Homo sapiens. Next base: position 107,736,891 of record NC_000006.12, on the reverse strand, counting down.
GATGAGAACGGACATTTATTCTTGAGGCTTACTGTTTCCTTCCTTGGCTGGTGGTCTTTGAGCAGGCACCAGAACACCCTCCCAGTAATAGTCACTCACAGTGTTCCATTACGGTTGAACCTATACACTCAGCATTGAGAAATGAAACCTGCTTCCTATCCAACAACACATTTATCTAGTAGAATAACATTACAGAGAATATATGGAGAATGTCTATCTTTACAAAAGATCATTTATTTTTAAAAGGGAACAGAGTTCATCAAGAGGCATGAGTTTCATTACATGGACCCATCCATTTAGTCAGTTGGCAGATAGTGCTGAGCTCCCCTGTTGGTAATGCAGCGAGGCGCACAGGGCCCAGGTCACTTGTTTAGAGCCACACACACAGCAAGATAGCAGCAGGGAGGAAACCGAGAGCAGGTCTTCTCATCCCCGGCCCTTTGCTTTTCCTCTCCAAGTTTTTCCTTATTCCAAGTTTTTCTGCTGTCTGTAAGGCCCGTTATCCAGCACTGGCTGCGTGGGGTGTGCATCCCTGTTTCTCAGCTCAGAGGGCTGACTGCACACAATAGATGTCCACAAGGGGCTTGTGGTACACCTGTGTTGCTTCTAGCAAAGATGTGAAAGAACAGAACAAACCCCAGCCCTCATTTAGCAAAATCAAGGAGGAAACTACACTCTAGGAAGATCAATTCTCTTCTCCTCCTGGGTTTCCTGCCTTTCCCACACGGGATGTTTTCCCCGTGTCCTTGTGTTCTGGCTACATCGGGGCTGGATGACAACCACGGGGCAGGCACAGCCCATCATTCCAGCTGCCAGGGAACTTCCTCATTTCTACAAAACCCACACAAGTAGCCTACTCCACCAGACAGTGGCAGAGTTTGATCTAGTGTTTGAATTAATATGTGGAATGATGGGTAGAAAAAGAAAAGAAATAAAGGGGGAGTTCTTGATTAATGGGTATAGAGTTTCAGTTTTACAAGACGAGTTATGGAGATAGATGCTGATGATGGTTATGCAACATTTTGAATGTATTTAATATCACTGAGCTGTATGCTTAGAAATGGTAAAGATGATAATTTTTTTTTTTTTTTTTGAGACAAGGTCTTGCTCCATCATCTAGGCTGGAGTGCAGTGGCGTGATCTCGGCTCACAGCAACCTCCACCTCCAGGGTTCAAGTGATTCTCCTGCCTTAGCCTCCCAAGTAGCTGGGATTACAGGAGCCTGCCACCATGCCTGGCTAATTTTTGTATTTTTAATAGAGATGGAGTTTTGCCATGTTGGTCAGGGTGGTCTCGAACTCCTCAGCTCAAGTAATTCACCTGCCTCAGCCTCCCAAAGTGCTGGGATTACAGGAGTGAGCCACTGTGTCGGGCCATGACTTTATGTGATATGTGTTTTACCACAATAAAAAAAACTTGAAGAAAAAAAAACAGAACTGGAATCCCCCCGCCCTCAAAAACAGAAAGAAAGGAAAGGAATGAAGAGAGGTGCGTTCCTGCAGATGCCTTTGCACCTGCTTGTGTCCCAGTGCAGGCCACATGACTGGAACATTGTGGAGCTGTGTTTGTCACAGCCAAGGGCCACATGGACAAATGAGCTGTCTCATTCTCAAGCTGAGCATTGGAAAGGAGGTCATTTGGAAGGAGAATAAACTATTGACAAGCTCTGGTCTTAAGAATCCTTGCAGAAGGTTTTGATGAAAAGGTTGAAAAAGAGGCTGAGCTCGGTGGCTCACGCCTGTAATCCCAGCACTTTGGGAGGCCGAGGTGGGTGGACTGCTTGAGGCCAGGAGTTTGAAACCAGCCTGGCCAACATGGTGAAACCGTGTCTCTACTAAAAATACAAAACTTAGCCAGGTGTGGTGGTGGATGCCTGTAATCACAGTTACTCGGGAGGCTGAGGGAGGAGAATTTCTTGAACCCAGGAGGTGGAGGTTGCTGTGAGCTGAGATTGTGCCACTGCATTCCAGCCTAGGTGACAGAGCATGATTCCTTCTCAAAAACCACAACAATAACAACAACAACAACAAAAAGAAACTAAAAAGTGTCCATCAGTTTTGTAGAAAATACAAAAGCCTTCATATTTTTCCTGACACTTAGGGCCATAGAGGCCAAGCTAGAACCCTTACACCATGGAATAGGGAGTGTTCTCCAGGGTAGGAGTCCTCATCCTAATTCTCCCCATGTGCCTATGTAAATTCATTTAGGAAAAGCTTTATATTTTCAGTGATATCTTTCATTAAATTATGATATCTGTACATATTTTAAAATATTGAACTAAAAGGGAAAAATGTAATCTCTTTTTTAAAGAAGGTGCCTCCAGAGAAAAGCCTGCATTTCGTAGAATTTAAAATGGATTCTCTATTATGTCCAGCAGTTGATTGGATCCCTTTGCATTGTAAGGCTCAGGTTCTCTCTCATGTCCTGTAGATACCGAGGAAGTTATTTACTCCATAACTATTAACCAATGAATGAATGTTCCAATTAAGTTGTTTTAATCGCCCAAGGTATCTTCAATATGAACTAGAGTAATATTGAGTCACGTTGACCCCTTTGATAAAATTTTGGTAGAAAGTAACTGTATTCAAACAAACAAACAAAAGAAGTGAACACTCTTCTTGTCTAAATCACAATTTATTTTGTGGATTAAAGATGCCAGCACCTGAGACTTGAGGAGTAGAATGATGCTGGTGGTAAACCCCTTGCAGGCTTTCTACTGTTTGGGGGTGTGGAGGAGATAAAAAGCCTGAAAAAAAGAGGCCAAATGGACTCCTTCTTCCTAGAAGGCTGACCCCAGGAATCCTCTGAAAGACACCCCTACCTCTACCCTATGCCCACTCCTCAAATAACAAAATCTACTGGAAATCTCCTGTGTTCCATGAGGCGAACAGTCCCTCATGTGGCGCCCCCACTCCTCGATTCTCCGTGAGCCATTAGAGCTGGCCAGATGGCCGGGGGTCTCCCAGCCTCTCTATCAAATAGTTGTGTCTGTGTCCACTGCAGAAGATGTTCTGTTTCTGATGAGCCTGTCCAAAGAGGCTCCTGCCTCTGACAGAAGAGTAGGTCCGGGAGATGGGCCAGGCATCTAAGTAGATCCAAGGGGTTGGAAACCAAGTTCTCTGATTATACCTCAGAACAGTGGAAGCACAAGGACTGGTGGAAACAAAGGGACAGGGTATGTGAGATGCAGCCATTCGAGGCCTCCAGGACCTGCACAGGTTGTATTAGAGACCCCTTCTGGTTATTCCCCTGGACCACAACCCTGAGCCCCTGTGGCGGACCCTAAGGTACTGCTATCTGCAGGCTACTCACACCATTATCTGTTGTCCATGCTTGAGAACTAGGGTTAGAATGGCAAACCATGCCAAGAGGAGCTGAAGCAGCTTAGGAAACCAGTAGGCTTCTAAGATGAACTTCATGAACTCTCTCCTAATAGTGGTGCTTTCTGTGTTTCATTCATAAGCAACAAACCCTTTGCTGAAAAAAACTACAACAAACAAACATAAACTCCCTGGCAGAGAAGTGGGCAGATACTCTGTACCAGATCTATCCTAGCTACTGCTGAGTTAATAATGACAACTTCCAATCTGGACATGCAGAATCAAGAGGAATGAAACGGCTTCCTTTCTTCTGTCCACAATAGTTATCTTTTGCTGTGTCATAAATTACCCCCAACACTTAGGGGCTTAAAATAACATTTAGGGTCTCACAGCTTCTGTGGGTCAGGGGACCAGGTGCAGCCACAGGCCTTCTGGTTCTGAATCTCTCACAAGGCTGCATCTCAAACCTCAACTAGGGCAGGACCCACTTTTCCAGCTTTTTCACATGGTTGTCAGCAGGACTGAGTTTCCAATGAGCTGTTGGTTTGTTGCCAGATGGGTCCCTTTGCAGAGCATCTCACAGCACAGCAACTTGCTCCACCAGAGTGAGCAATGCTAGGAGTGCTGTGAACCTCTCTCAAAGTCGAGATGTCCATTTAGAAAGGAAACTTACAAGGCGTCCTCTATTCCAGGAACTTCAGCATTTTCCTGATTAAGGACCACTTTTAATTTCCCCAAGGTTCTATGAAAGACCAAAAAATTGTGGGGGCTGTGGAGGAAACAGCGTGACCACAGGATGTCCCACCCACTTCGCCTCCCCCAGCTCTCGGGAATTCTCATAAGCTTGGCGTGGAGGTTTGGCAAAGCTGCGAGATCATATGGAGGGTGGTATGGAACCTGCTCTCCTCCCGAGAGCACAGAAAGGCCATTCATTATCCCAAACAGATGACTTTGGTCAAAAATGCCTTTGGTCAAAATTTCCAAAGGAGGAAATCAACCCCTAGGCTTAGAACAAAGTCTTAGGCAAACCAGAAACATCTGAGAGGATGTAAGAAGTTCAGGTGTCAGGCATTAAAATTATGGTCGGTTGCTGTGCATCTCATTAGGGGAGAAAAAATAGAAATGTACTTAAATGGACCAGAGGGGAGTCATAAGGTTGATTCTCAGGGCTGAGTGATCTGAACTGCAGAGACAACCTTAGAGAGAAAATCCATACTGGCCAGAGACCAAGTTAATGGAAAATTTAATTGAAGCAAATGAAATGCTCAGCCTCATAGGTAGTATGGCCCTGTGCCCTTTGAACCAGAAAGGCTGGGCCAGGAGGCCACAGAGGGCCCTAAGGGAAAACTCCCTTATCTGCAAGAACAAGGGGCGGGACTGAGTTTGAGAAAAGAAAATCTGCAAACCTCCACAGGAGCCTCAGTGAAAGGCTGCATGCAGGGGAGGAAACCTTCAGGTTTTGGTCACCAGGAAGTCCGTTAGAGATTCACAGCAGAAGGCCCCTCTGCATCCCACAGCACCAAGCACGTGCTGGAAACCGGCGGTCCCCCAGAGGACAGTGGGAGAGGCTGCCGGGTGGCAGAGACACAACCACCAAGGTAGGCACCGAAGCACCTGTGTCTGGGCTCTGAGTAAAAGAGGTGCAGCTGGCACGAGCACCTGCTACTGCTTCCTGCGCCTTCTCCCTCCTGCCCCTCTCCTCGCAGGTCTCCTTTTCCTGTACTATCTAGGTGATGGCACCTGGCTAAGCAAAGAGGGGTAGCTGCTCCACAGCTCTACAAATCTGCGAACTGCACTCCTGCCTTTTCTAATCTGGGTTTCAGGGCTAGGAATCTCTGATGTTGCCATCTCTGTCAGCAAGCCGAACCAAACTGTTCACACACGGAGGCCACAGGACACTGACCATTGCCTGGGCAGGGTGTGGGGGTCGGCAGGGCTGGGCAGACCGGCAAAGGGGTCAGGCAATCAATCCTGAGCAAGGCCAGGGCTCCCAGTCTGGAGGAAGGTGGTCGTGCTGATTGTGGAAAGGGCTCACTCTGCAGCTGCTCCCTCAACTGGGAAGACTGATGCGGGAAGTGGGGGGTGAGAGAGAGAGAGAAAGACAAACAGGCAGAACTGTTTAGAGATGACAAATAGTGTCTAAGACTAGATGTTGTGGTTCTTATTGCCTTAATAGGTATTATGTGAGAATAATTTTGCATAGTGGAATTGTTGTGTTTCAGGACTTCATTTGGTTAGTGAATCCAGGTAAAATGCCAGTTTAGTTTTTAAAAATAAAATCAATAGTCCGAGCCCACTGGGCTGTAAGCAGTTAAGCCTTGTGTCCTAAGTGAGGAGAGCTGACACTTGGTCAGGAGCATCTATAGTTTTATACATAAGGTCCGTTTTCCCCTCCCTGCCGCTCTGTTTTGGGACTTTCTCTTTCTCTCTCTGGCTCGTGGCTTTCTCCTGCACCTCTTCCTCTTTCTGCTTCTCTCTTTGGAGGTTCTCTACATTTCAGGGGCTCACACCTGACCCTCCAGGACTGTAGCAGAAATGGGCTGCACCTGGGTGTCCTGGAAGCCATGGATGCAGGGGCATTACCTAACCCTATCTCCACCCCAGGCTTCAGCAAGGATCAGGGAGCAAGGGAGGAATCCACACACTCTGGACTCAGAACCCTGAAGCTTTGATCCCTAAACCGGAAGGCTTAGGCACAGTTCAGGTTCATATGCAAACAGGTATGCCTTGAGGCTTGAGTGGGTTTACATGCTTCTAGAGTGTTCTTTGGCCTCACTAATAGGCAGGCTTTATACACAGTGGCTGGAGGGAACCATAGTCCACAAGCAGGTTTAGCGATGGTGAAAAAGGACCATCAGTCTGTCCTGAAAGCTCCCAGGACGCCAAACCTTGAAAATGTGGCAGATTTCTTTGATGGGGCCACGTGTGTGTTTTCCTTTCTATTTAAGCATGCTCTCGTGACTGTGCAAAAGGCAGATCATTCTTTTTTTCTGGAGGAAAAGATTTAATGATTCTTAAATGGCAACATTAGTCTCTTGGCTGGATGCAGAGGGTTACAGAAGTGAGTAAAAAGCCACTCATTTACCTTGCTTTGTTAAGCTGGCATTCTCCACTGCAATTAAATGGCCTCACACAGGCTGGGTTGGAGCCTCTTGTTGATGAGCAGTGCCAGGGTGACAAGACAGCTTCTTTCAGATGGAAAACGATTTTGTATGGACACAGGAGGAAATTTCGACCATGAGTGCCTTCGCCTGTGAGCCCTACGGTCTGCCGGGACTCTGTGTGCAGGAGTTAGATCCTCCAACAGGTCGGCTGGCCCCATCTGGTGTTTGCTCACCAGTCAGCCACAAAAGCGCTTGAAAAGTGGGGGTTCCCTCTCCAGATACAGACTTGGTCCTTTCTTTTTACTGACTTTAAATATTGGATTTAGGTAAGAAACATATGTCACAGTTCAATTAAATTCTTAAGCTCCTAGTAGTTCTGCATACCTAGAATTCATCTGCCTCATGTTGGATGTTGAGGTGACCTAACATGTTGGATAGTGTAAAGGGTACATGTCCAGCAGTCATGTGTTTTAACTGAAGCAAGAAGAATTGAGGCTAGATGTAAGGAGGAACTTTTAGGCAATGAGATTCATAGCACAATGGCCTCACTCTAAAGGAGATTGTAAAATCTCTTTGGGGAAGCTTTCAAATAAAAGACTCAGTTATCTACCATAGTTTCTTTTCTAGACAACACCCTGCCTGAAGAGATAGGTTGGGGCTAGCTCAATGCATTCCAAATATTAATTTACCACCTTCACAATTTCTACTGTGTCTGAGTAACACTTATAGAACTGTCTACTCAAGATATTCCTTTACATTAACTCATGTCTTTTAATCTTAGCCATTAGTCAGCTTAAGCAATCATACTGTATCAGTGAAATCATTTTGTTTGATGTGCTAATTATATGTCGTGGATGTACATTGAAATACATGACAATAAAAAAACATTTACTGGTTGTCGTAGGCTGAATCGTGTATGTTCAAATTCTCGGGTATCTGGAACCCTTTTTGGAAATGGGATCTTATTTGGAAATAGGATCTTTGCAGATGTAATCAAGTGAAAGGGAAGTCATACTGAATTAGGGCTCTAATCCCATGACTGGTGTCCTTAGAAGAAGAAGGAAATTTGGACACAGATCGTGACACACAGAGAAAACACCACAGTGGAGGCAGAGATTGGAGCGCTGTCTCCAGCCAAGGAACTCCAAAGATTGTTGGCCACCAGGGGATGCTAGAAAGAGGCCAGGAGGGATTCTCCCCTAGAGTCCTGAGAGGGAGCCTGGCCCTGTGGACACCTTGATTTCAGACTGGTAGGCTCCAGAACTATGGCAGAATAAATTTCTGTCGTTTTAAACCACCCGGTTTGTTAGTTTCTGCAATCCTAGGAAATGAATATACCCATGTGGTTCCCTGTCCCGCCAGTGGAAAGCATTTAACATTTGGGGAAATGCTGGGCTGGGTGCTTGTGAAGGTCCTTTTCCTTCCTGCCACCGAATGATGAGGGCCATCCATGCATCTGTCACTTTTACGCTTAGCTATGATGTATCAGAACCCCTCTATAGAAAAGTGCGGAAAATGCAGTTTCAATCGGGTTTGAACAGATCCATTTCATCAATTCTGGAAGCCACCACAGTGTGTGCATCTGAACGTGCTGTTCACTCGCGGCCACCCAGGAGCCACTTTACAGAGCCACATCTGGGGCTTGGTTGATTTGTCTTGACAGTTGTCCACCTGGGCAGACTTTGGAACCACCAGCACATCCTTTGCCTGGGTAGAAGGTATTGCTTGATGCCCTCCGAAGCCTATTTTCCCTTCTGATAATTCATTTGGATCACAGCCCAGAGGTTAGCTTTTATTACCTTTGATCTCACCCACGGGCATCAGTAGTTTCTTTCTTTATAATTATTTATTTATTTTTGAGACAGAGTTTTGCTCTTGTTGCCCAGGCTGAAGTGCAGTGATGCAACCTCAGCTCACTGCAACCTCCACCTCCTGGGTTCAAGCAATTCTCCTGCCTCAGCCTCCTGAGTAGCTGGGATTACAGGCGACTGCCTCCACGCTTGGCTAATTTTGTATTTTTAGTAGAGACGGGTTTCACCATGTTGGCCAGGCTGGTCTTGAACTCCCAACCTCAGGTGATCCGCCCACCTTCGCCTCCCAAAGTGCTGGGATTACAGGCATGAGCCACGGTGCCTGGCCGCTGTCAACAGTTTTGAAATCCATTCAGTGCATGTTCCCTTGTTCCCCATTCCCACACTTTGCGATAAGGGAATGATCTGCCATCTGCGTCTGTATTTTCCAACTATAGTGCCAGTCAGTGAATTATCTGCATTCTCTACCTTAGACTATCAGAACTATGTAGGCATATTTAATTTAGACTTAAAGTGTTCAATAAGCAGTGTACTGTTTTTGTTAAATCTTTTTTCATTGTTTATCACAAATCTACCTAAAGAATTTATATATAAGCTCTTTATAATATCAATTTTAATGAGTCTTCTGTGTAACGGCAGCCTTACAGCTAACATTGGCTCAAATGTTTACTCAATAAATATTTATCAAGCACTTCCTCTATTCCAGGCATCATGCCAGATACTGCATGTAGCTTCCTCACATATACCAAAGCACCTGACATGTGGGACACAAAAAGGATTGGTATCCCAGACTATGAGAACTTTCCAACAAAAGGAATGTAATGGCAGCCTTACTGCTTACTGGCTTTAGATCGTAGATAGTAGATAGTAGATGTTCAATACACGTGAGTTTTCCTTTCCCTCACTCCATTCAGAAAGCAGCCTAGTATATAGCTCCATAGCCAGGTCCTTTTTAGAATCTCCCTTCCGAAGGCTTCTGACCCAGAGGGAAGAGATGCAGCGAGGCCATCAAGGCAAAGATGTAGCGTTCCAGGGTCCTGAAGACATCTCGCAGCACTTCATTGGCTGCATAGCATTCGGCACAGAGCATGCAGACCCTTTGGCTGCTTAGGTTATGTGTGTCCTGGTGGCCAACGCCGTGTTTGTTACACTTGACTGCACGTAATTCTTGAGAATATGTTCATAGCCTCATCTGAAAAGCACTGAACTTCTGCAAACGCCTTTTAAAAAAAAACTTTATTGAGATATAATTCATATATCATACAATTCACCATTTAAGGTACCATTCAGTGACTTTTAGTATATAGATATGCGCAGCTATCAGCACAGTCAATTGTAGAATACTTTCATCACCTCAAAGAAACCTCCCACATACCCTTTAGCTATTACCCACCCCACACCCCAACCCCAATCCCTAAGCAACCACGAATCTACTTTTTGTCTGTATAGATTTGCCTTTCCTGGACATTTTATATAAAAAGAATCATTTGACATGTGGTCTCTTGTGGCTGGATTCTTTTACTTTGCATAATGTTTCAAGGATCATTCACACTGTAACAGATATCAGTACTTCATTCCTTTTTATGGACAAATAATATTTTGTTGTATGGATATAACAGATTCTTAAATTTTATTCATTCGTTGATAGCCACTTGAGTTTCTTCCACTTTTTAGCTATTATGAATAGGGCTGCTGTAAACATTCATGTACAGATTTTTATGTAGACATTTGTTTTCATTTCTTTTTAGTACATACCTAGGAGTATAATTGCTGGTTCTTATGGTAATTCTACTTTAAGCATTTGAGGAAGTACCAGGCTGTTTCCCAAAGTGGCTGCACCATTTTCTATTCCTACCAGCAGGGTGTGGGGGTTCTAATTTCTCTATGGTATCACCAACACTTGTTATCTGACTCTTTGATTATCACCTTCCTAGTGGGTGTGAAGTGGTGACTCATTGTGGTTTTGATTTGATTCGACTCATGATGTGGATCAGCTTTGATGTGCCTACTGGCCATTTGTATATCTTTTTAAAGAAATGTTTATTCAAGTCCTTTATCCATTTTAAAATCGGGTTGTCTTTTTATTGAGCTAGAATAATTCTTTTTTTTTTTTTTTTTTTTTTTGAGATGGAGTCTCGGTCTGTTGCCCGGGCTGGAGTGCAGTGGCACGATCTCAGCTCACTGCAAGCTCCACCTCCCGGGTTCACGCCATTCTCCTGCCTCAGCCTCCCGAGTAGCTGGGACTACAGGCACCTGCCACCATGCCCGGCTAATTTTTTGTATTTTTAGTAGAGATGGGGTTTCACCGTGTTAGCCAGGATGGTCTTGATCTCCTGACCTCATGATCCACCCGCCTCAGCCTCCCAAGGTGCTGGGATTACAGGCGTGAGCCACCGCGCCCAGCCCAGCTAGAATAACTCTTAATACAGTCTAGTCCCTTACACAGGTTGGTTGTATAAGTCTAGCCCCTTTTACAAGATATACAAGTCCCTGATCAAATATATAATTTGCAGGTATTTTCCCCCAATTTGTGAGTTGTCCTTTCACTTTCTTGATGGTGTCTTTTTTTTTTTTTTTTTTGAGACTGGGTCTTGCTCCGTTGCTCAGGCTGGAGTGCAGTGGCGCCATCTCGGCTCACTGCAACCTCTGCCTCCCAGGTTCAAGCAATTCTCATGCCTCAGCCTCCCAAGCAGCTGGGATTACAGACTCGCATCACCATGCCCAGTTTATTTTTGTATTTTTAGTAGAGACGGGGTTTCACTGTGTTGGCCAAGCTGGTCTCGAACTCCTCATGTGATCCACCCACCTCTGCCTCCCAGAGTGCTGGGATTACAGGCATGAGCCACCGTGCCCAGTGCAAACGTGCAAAAGTTTTTAATTTTGATGAAGTCTAATTTATTTTATTATTTTATTGCTTGTGCTTTTGGTGTCAAATCTAAGAATATTTTGCCAAATCCAAGGTCACAAACATTTACCCCATATGTTTCTTTCTAAGAGTTTTATAATTTTTGCTCTTACATTTACATTTTTTATTCATTTTGAGTTAATTTTTGTATATGGTGTGAGTAAGGGCTTTCCTTTAGTCTTTTACATGTGGATATCCAGTTGTCCCAGCACCATTTGTTGAAAAGACTATCCTTTCTTCCATTGAATGGTCTTGGCACCCTTGTGGAAATCAGCTGAACATATACACATGGATTTACTTCTGGATTCTGAATTATATTTCATTGATCTGTATACCTATTCAAATGCCAGAACCACACTGTCTTTTTTTCCCTCTCCAATGACATTGGCTTTATTTATTTATTTTTTTAAAAAATTTTTAAATCAACGCATAAGAGATGTATGTAGTTTTAGGGTACATGTGATAATTTGTTACATTCATATAATTTGTAAAGATCAAATCAGTGTACTTGGGATATCCATCGCCTTAAATATTTGTCTTTACTGTAGAACCATTTGAATTATTCTTTTCTAGCTATTTTCAAATGTTTAATAGATTGTTGTAAACTATAGTCACTCAAGTGATTTCTCAAACTCTAAGTCTTATTTCTTCTATAAAACCATATATTTGTAACTTTAATCAACTTCTCCTCATCCTCACTGACCTCTGCCCTTCCTGGCCTCTGGTAACCACCAATCTACTCCCTATCTTCATGAGATCCACTTTTTTAGCTCCCACATATGGGTGAGAACATGTGATATTTGTCTTTCTGTGCCTGGCTTATTTCATTTAACATGATGACCTCCCACATTGTCTTGATTATTGTTGCTTTGTACTAAATTTGGAATCAGGAAGTGTGAGCCTTCTACTTTGTTTTTGGTTTTCATGATGGCTTTGGCTATTCTGTGTCCCTTGCAATTCCATATGAGTTCTGGAATTAGCTCGTTATTTTCTACAAATAAATCAGTGAAGATTCTGACAGGGATTGTGCTGAATCTGTAGATCAATTTGAGGGGAATTGCCACCCTAAAAATAAGCCTTCTGATCTATGAACATGAGATTTTTTTTTCCATTTATTTATATCTTCTTTAATTTCTTTCAACAATGTTTTGTAGTTTTCAGAGTATGTTTGAACTTTTGTTAAAGTTATTCCTATTTTATTTATTCTTTTTCATACTATTATAAATGGAATTATTCTCAATTTTATTTTCTAATTGTTAATTGCAAATGTGTAGAAATACAATTGATTTTTGCACATTGATCTTGTATCCTACAACCTTGCTGAACTACTTACTAGTTCCAACAGTCTTTTAAGTAGATTCCTTAGGATTTCGTACACATAAGAGATAGTTGTACTTCTTCCTTCCTAATCCAGATGGCTTTTCTTTTCCTTAACCTAATTGCACTGGCTGGAACCTCTAGTACAATGTTAATAGAAGTAGCTGGAATGGACCGTCTCTTTTTGTTCCTGATCTTGGGGGACAGCATCCAGTCTTTGACCATTAGCCATGATATTACCTATTGGTTCTTTGCAGATACCCTTTGTCAGATTGAGGAAATTCCCTTCTGTCCCTAGTTTGTTGAGTGATTTTATCATAAAAGGGTATTGGATTTTGTCAAATGTTTTTCTGCATCTGTTGAGGTGATTGTGTGATCTCTGTTTTATTATTCTATCCATATGGTGTATTACATTAATTGATTTTGGAATGTTAAATCAGGCTTGCATTCCTGGGATAAATCCTACTTGGTCATGGTGTATATATCTTTTTATATGTTGCCGGGTTCAGTTTTGCCAGGTTTTTTGTTGAGGATTTCTGCATTCATATGAATACCAGATATTGGTCTATAGTTTTCTTATGATGTGTCTGTCTGGTTTTGGTATGAGGGTAATCCTGGCTTCGTAGAAGTATTTGCCATAGAAGCTGGGAAGTATTCCACCCCCTTCTATTCTTTGGAAGAATTTGTAAAGAATTAGTATTATTTTTTCTTTAAATGTTTGGTAGAATTCAACCGTGAAGTTATTCAGGCTTGGGCTTTCTTTGTGGGTAGTTTTCTGATTACTAATTCAATCTTTTTACTTCTTACAGGTCTACTCAGATTGTCTTTTTCTTCTTAAGTCAGTTTTAGTAGTTTGTTCATTTTATCTAAGTTATCTAATTTACTGGCATACAACTGTTTATAGAACAGATGGTTCCCTACTTAAGATGGTTTGACAATGATTTTTTTCACTTTATGGTGGTGTGAAAGTGATACACATTCACTGAAAACCATGCTTCAAGTATCTATACAACAATTCTGTTTTTCACTTTCAGTAAGTATTCAGTAAATTACATGAGATATTCAATACTTTATCATAAAATTGGCTTTGTGTTAGATGATTTTGTCCAACTGTAGGCTAATGTAAGTGTTCTGAGCATGTTTGAGGTCAGCTAGGCTAAACTATAATGTGTGGTAGAGTATGTATGCTAAATGCATTTTCAACTTATGATATTTTTAACTTATGATAAATTTATTGGGATATAACCCTATTGTAAGCAAAAAGCATCTGTATTTCTCAATCTTTTTCAATTTCTGTAAGGTTGGTAGTAATTTCCTCTCTTTCAGGTTTTCATTTCTGATTCTAGTAATTTGAATCATCTCTCTTTCCTTCTTTACGTTTTATTTGTTTATTTTTTTGTCAATGTAGCTAAAGGCTTGCAATTTTGTTGGTTCTTTTTCCAAAGAACAAGCTTTTGGTTTTATTGATTTCTTCTATTGTTTTTTAAAATTCTCTATTGAATTAATTTTTGCTCAAATCTTTATTATTTCCTTCTTTGCTTTTTTTTCCAGTGTCTTATGATAGAAGATTAGGTTATTCATTTGAGATCTTTCTTCCTTTAACAGAAGTATTTACAGCTGTAAATTTACCTCTAGCCACTACTTATCTGTATCACATCTTCAAAGACTTTTATTTTTAGTCAAGCTCCACATCCATCCCCAACTATGAGAAGATCTGCTAGCTTCCCTAATAAAATCAAGTCTTAATCTTCAATAATCTTCCTACATTGTGGAAGAATCCATGTATGGAGAAGACATTTGGATCTTGTGGCCTCAAATTTGTTTTTCATTGCCAATCATGGAGGATCCATTGGTTTTTGTTGTTGTTGTTGTTTTGTTTTGTTTTTATTTTTCATATTTTTGCTGATTGCATTTTCTTTGGGCATACCAAGATCTGTTTTGATGGTGTCTAATATACAGATAATTATTGCTGGGGACAGGTAGACATGATCTTGTCCTGGTGGGAGGGACTAGAATAGTTTCCTTCTTTCTATCACCGTAATTTCTCTGGACTTCCCCCACCCCCCAAAAGAAAAACTCCACATAAAAATAATAAAACAAACAAAAAACCCACCATTCGGCCACAGGTGTAGCTCACAGGGAGTTCAACAGGCTCAATGTTGAGCTTTAAAAGTATAGGACTGTAATCCCAGCACTTTGGGAGGCCGAGGCAGATGGATCACTTGAGGTCAGGAGTTTGAGACCAGCCTGGCCAACATGGTGAAACCCCATCTCTACTAAAAATACAAAAATTAGCCGGGTATGGTGCTTCCAGCTACTCGGGAGTCTGAGGCAAGAGAATCGCTTCAACCAGAGAGGTGGAGGTTGCAGTGAGCCGAGATCGCACCACTGCACTCCAGCCTGGGTGACAGACTTATTGATTAAAACTCCATCTCAAAAAAAAAAAAAAAAAGTATGATAAGTCCTGGTTTACTTAAGAGGCGCTGATGATGAGGTTGGCAGACTTTCTAAGTCCTCTCCTCCCTCTGCACTTTAGCTTGGCTCTTTAGCTCTCCTGTGAAGGGTTTGGGGAGGATTGTGGGGCTATCCAGATCAGCACTTGCATCCCTGCTTGTTAGCCGTGGCGGAGGATGGCTGCCCTCATGTGTTTGTATCAGGACTAAAGGTGTGGGGAGAAAGCACTGTGGCACCTGGGCCACCACCCAGGCCACAGTTGTCTCTCCTGACTCTGGGACATTGTGACTCTTGCTTGATCTCTCCCAGGAGTCCTGAGCCAGGTGAGGGGGGCTGTGCTGGTGGGTGAGCAAGAGCAGGGAGTACAGGGAGATTCTGAGAAGCCAGCAGAGACTGTGAGGGCAGAGCCACTGCAGAAGAAAGTCTTTGATCTTACTCTTTTTTTTTTTCTTTTTTTGAGATGGAGTTTTGCTCTGCAACCTCTGCCTCCCGGGTTCAAGCGATTCTCCTGCCTCAGCCTCCTGAGTAGCTGGGATTACAGGTGCCTGCCACCACATCCGGCTAATTTTTTGTATTTTTAGTAGAGATGGAGTTTCATCATGTTGGCCAGGCTGGTCTTGAACTCCAGACCTCAGGTGATCCACCTGCCTTGGCCTCCCAAAGTTCAGGGATTACAGACGGGAGCCACTGCACCTGGCCTGATTTGGGCTTATTAAGTCATCAATGGCCAAAATATCAATTTTCCTCTAAGCACCGAGGAGCACACCTCCTAATTCCTATTACAATATGCTCCTGTGGGCAAAGCAGCTCTCAGCCTGCTGACAGGTATGCTATTTGGAATTATGTTGTGAGGTTCATTTCTCCTCTCTGCATGCTCACAAATACTGGCTACTGTGTTGGCAGGGCAGGGTTTGCCAAGACGGAGGGTCTGATAGCTTCCTGAACTGCTCTCTGATATCTGCTTCTCTGTACTGCCTTATTGCTTAGTCAAGACAGTCACCACCGAAGAGTACCTGGTGAACCCTGTGGGCATGAACCGCTACAGCGTGGACACCTCCGCCTCCACCTTTAACCACAGGGGCTCCTTGCACCCCTCCTCCTCGCTGTACTGCAAGAGGCAGAACTCTGGAGACAGCCACCTTGGGGGTGGTCCTGCTGCCACCGCTGGTGGTCCCCGCACTAGCCCCATGTCTTCTGGTGGCCCCTCGGCACCTGGGCTGAGGCCTCCAGCCTCCAGCCCCAAGAGAAACACGACCTCTCTTGAAGGAAACAGATGTGGTAATGTAATGCATGCATCAGCTTCCCACTGACTTAACATCCCTTGCCCTTGCGCGGGGAGCACAGCATCTGGGGAAGGGGGAGTGTGGCTGTTTAAACGTGGGACTGCTGGGAGATCAGAAATTTCCACAAGTCCTTTCATGGATCTTGAGGTTCTCAAAAACAGCCAAACTCAACCTTTGATAAGCAAAGAAAATCGTGTATTAGGGCAGGCTAGGCCACAGGATACGTAGACTCCAAAATGTACACAGGCTCAAATACCATAGAAATTTTTGTTCGAGAGCCAAAGGTGAATGTTCCTGATTCATGGATGCATCTCAATATAGGGACATAGGCTCCATCTATTTTGTGGCTCTGCCACCCTCTACAGCCTTCATGCCCCATGCATTAGGGAATAGAAAGGGAAAGAAGGTGTGGAGAAGACACAGGTGCTTCCCTGCAATCTGAAAGTGATGCTCATCACTTCCACTCACATCTCATTGGCAAAAGCTGGTCATTTTGCCACACTTAACCATAAGGGACTCTGGAAGCTGTAGGTTAGCTCTGCCCAGGAGAAAGGAGAACCAGACCTTGGTAAAGAATTGTCTCTTGCATAGGAAGTGTCACCTTCAGGATACAAATACATGAGCAGAGGCAGAGTTAGGCAAAATTCCCCCAATGCTGGTTGTAATGCCACTTCTGTCTCATCCACTAAAGAAAGCTTGTTGGAATGCAGTCTACAAAAGCGCTATAAGGGCTAAAGGATTATAGTAATAGCTTGAAGGCCCTTCTGATTGATGTTTTAAAAAATCATTTTCAAGCTTCAGTATTTTGATAGTGCCTAAAGGCCATAGAGTATAGTGGATAATCACTGGGACTAGAGCCAGACAGCCTGGGCTGAGATGCTGGATCTGCTGCTTCCTGCCTACCTTTTGCAAGTCTTAACTTACCTGTGCTTCAGTTTCCTCACCTATAAAATTGTGATAATAATAATGGCAGCACCTGCCTCATAGGATTGTTGGGAGGATTAAATGAGTTCATACATGCATTTAGTACAAGACCTAGGAGGTAACAAGAGCTCAATAAATGTTAGTAGTTACAGCATAGATCTTTTTAACACATCCCTTAACAGATCACAGCCCATCAGCTCCACAGCTGAGAACTGCTGAAGAAAGAAGGCCCCAGGCCAAGGAGTCTGGGAGTCTTCATCTTGCCACCCTGTAGCCCCTCAGTGGGCAGGCTCTGTCTTCTGTGGCAAGTCACATTTCTCCCCTGAGCCTAGGATCCTTCCACCAGTGACCCCAGCAAGCCGCACACGTGAGCTATTTTGTATGATTCAAGACCCTCCACACATTCTCTTCCAAGAGCCTCATCCAACCCAGATGAGCGTGGCCCTGACCAGCTTCCCCTGGCCAAGGATGGAGAGGTGAGAAGGGGCCCCTTGCCGGAGAGGCGTTCTGAGGGGTAGAGCGCAGATTCTCCCTCCACAGCAGCTCTTACCAAATGTAGAGATGCCCTGCAGGCCACTTTCCAACACTGTCACACAGGGCCATGAGCCAGGCAGATTAAGTGAGCAGAGCCCTATTTTCCAAAGGAGAGCAACATTGTTCCATTTGATTCCTAAGAACAAGAGAAAGGGACAAGATCTTTCACGAACCAACACTGTAAAGTAAACCAGGGGCAGCCTTGATTTCATAGGTTTGTCCCCAGTGTTAGCTTAATATCTGGCATGTGGTAGGTGTTCAATAAACATGCATCATGTCTGTGCCCTCACGGTGTCCCTTTGTCTTCTTGTCAAAACACTCATCCTTATGTCCCTCTTGAGTTTAAATGTCTTTCTCTCATCCTCTTCTCCTCAGCCCCATTCCCCTTTTCTCAGGGTGGTGATCACAGGACACCATGCTGATTGAATTGACTCATAATCCCAGAGTCCCACTTTTTAAAAAGGAGATATTTACTCTCTCTCCCACTCACGTTGGTGCAATCTCAGCCCTATGTCTTAAATGCAGGATTTCCAGCAGTAAGAGGGAGGCATGATTTGGTTGGAGAGAACTTCTATCACTCACTCAACAACAGTCTGCCCTGTTCAGTCCAACTGGTGACCCAGGGCCAGGGAATCCAGGGCTCTTCAGAGGGCTTCAGCATAGCTCCTGTCCCCCAGCCCCTCACACCTCCTTCCAGTTGAGCCCTAGGATGTCCTCCTGTCCTTCACTTTCATCCCCATACCGGCCCTTTGTTCTCCTGTGTATGAGTCTGTTCTGCTAATAAAGACATACCCGAAACTGGGTAATTTGTAAAGGAAAGACGCTTAATGGACTCACAGTTCCACATGGCTGGGGAGGCCTCACAATCATGGCAGAAGGCAAAGGGAAAGCAAAGGCACGTCTTACATGGTGACAGGTAAGAGGGCTTGTGCAAGGGAACTCCCCTTTATAAGACCATCAGATGTCGTGAGACTTACTGGCTACCACAGGAACAGAATGGGGGAACCAAACCCATGATTCAATTATCTCCAACTGGCTCCATCCTTGACACATGGGGATTATTACAATTCAAGGTGAGATTTGGGTGGGGACACAGAGCTAACTCATATCATCCTGGAATCAGGCCCTGACAGTCTGAGTAATCTTGCCAGACGACTGGCCGAGGGGCAGCCCAGACCCTTCCTCAGCCTCCAGCTCTGAGAAAGCCTCTCTGCTGGAGCCTGGTTGCACCCCAGGAGAGGCCCCCTAGCTCAGGCCCTTCTGCCTGTCAGGATCTGGGATGAGATCAGAGACACGGAGTCCACCTGTGCCTGCTGCCTTTCATCCCAAGAACATCAATACCTGAACCCTGAATCCTGGCTGTCTTTTTAATAACTTAGAAGTATTAGAACCAGCCAGGCACGATGGTTCATGCCTGCAATCCCACCACTTTGGGAGGCCAAGGCGGGTGGATCACTTGAGGTCAGGAGTTTGAGACCAGCCTGACCAACATGGTGAAACCCCGTCTCTACTAAAAATACAAAGATTAGCTGGGTGTCGTGATGCACGCCTGTAATACCAGCTACTTGAGAGGCTGAGGCAAGAGAATCGCTTGAACCCGGGAGGTGGAGGTTGCAGTGAGCAGAGATTGCGCCACTGCACTCCAGCCTGGGCAACAAAGCTAGACTCTGTCTCAAAAAATAAATAAATAAAAATAAATATTAGAGAGAACTTTGCCTGAGACCCTGAAATCCAGTTGTCCATAATCAGCAGGACCCCCACCACGGGACTGTGGGATGTTTAAAATCGCAAAGCCACCTAACCTCTTTGGAGAAAAGCTGCTATGTGATGTATCAGTTGAAGTTCACTGTTGAGCCTTTGTGATACACTGAAGAAAAATGAAATTATTCATCCTTTGTAGGTCTGTTAACACTTTAATTCTCCGAAGATTCCTTTTTTTTTTTTTTTTTGAGACAGAGTCTCGCTCTGTCACCCAGGCTGCAAGCTCTGCCTCTTGGGTTCATGCCATTCTCCTGCCTCAGCCTCCTGAGTAGCTGGGACTACAGGTGCCTGCCACCACACCTGGCTTTTTTTTTTTTTTTTTTTTTTTTTTTTTTGTATTTTTAGTAGAGACGGGGTTTCACAGTGTTAGCCAGGATGGTCTCGATCTCCTGACCTCGTGATCTGCCTGCCTCGGCCTCCCAAAGTGCTGGGACCACAGGCGTGAGCCACCCCGCCCAGCCGAAAGATTCCTTTTAACCAGTGCCTTCCTCAGGGTGCTAAATAAAACCGCAGGTACCAGAAACAGCCAGTCAGCCATGCACATTCTCAGCAGTGAGACAGAGGAAGTGGGTGGGGAGAAGACGGAAGGAAGGATAGCACCAGTGTCTCTGAAAGAGGTTTCCGTTTCTGCTTACATTTCATTGACCAAAATGTAGTCACATGGCCACTTGCTGCAAGGGATGCTGGGAAATGTGGTTTTCATTCCTAGCAACCATGATTCCAGATGGAAGTTAGGGCTGCTATTACAGAGGAAGAAGTGCAAAGTAACGCTGAGTAGGCAATGGGAAGTCTGATCAGAAATGCTCACTCCCTCCTTTTTCCTCCCATGGCACTTTGTTTCCTCATCTATAGTTCTTACTCTATCCTAGAGAAAGGAACAGACCCTCAGCTTTGTGAAGCCTCTTATTCATATTTGAACCCCCCACAGCCCTGGCAAAGGGGGGCTTGAGGCCTGTATCAGACTGTTATTTATTGAACACCTACACTCAAGGGGGCCAGACAGTTTCCGACTTATTATAAGTTATATGTTTAGGATTTAATATTTATAAAAAGGTATTGGTATATTTGATTTAAAGATAAAGAAAAAGAGGTTCAAGAGAAGGTAAATCAAGTGTTAAGCCAGGATCTGACTTCAGTGGGCTCCAAAGCCTGTCTTTCAAAACAACCCCAGGGGTTTTCAAATCATGCCTGATGGCTTTCAAGGTTCTAAGAGATGGAGAAGATGGAACAAGAGCAGACAGGACTCCAGGTGCCCTCCCTCTCTTTAAGCAGGGCCTTTTCACATTTGCAGAGTGGGGTTCTATATGTGCTTTGCTTAAACAAAATTTGCACAACTAAAAATGTTTGGAAACCATGGAGATAAAAACCATGCTGACTTGAGTGGCAGGATGTTAAAGTGGGAGAGAAACCGCCAGCGTCCTCACCCATTTCTCACCTAGCTGTCAGCCTAGTGCCTGCTGTGGGTCCCCCCACACCCCACCCTCCCACCCAAATGACTGTTCAATATTGCTCTGAAGTTCCATCCCAAGTAAAAAGCAGTTATCATCAAAAAAACCATACCTCTTTAAGGGAGTTTGACCCAAGTCATAAACCATGGAAGAGACTTAGAAATGGCATTTTCCCCATGGTACTAATCAAAATGGTTTAAAACCACAAAAGCCAGAAAACTGCATGAGGCTGCAGGCAGAAGGGTGGGTATTGATGACTTGACAAACTCCTCAGCCTTCTCTCTCTGGCGGTACTTACCTTTAGCTTCCTGCAGTTGTGATATATCACGTCTGTCTCCGCTGCCAGTGGGCTCCAAGGGGATGTGTTCACAGGGCACATTTTCCTGGTGTCTGCTGATGCTCTGGTGAAAGTTTGAGAGCTCTTCCTTGTCTCTCATCCAAGATATAATCACCAAGAGCTATAAAGAGGTTTTGGATAACAAAAGCTTCCTGACTTGGGCATTTAACAAGACACACTGTAGAATTCCCAACCACAACTAGGTCCAAGATTCAGAATCAAGAAACGAAGTCAATCTGATATTGCTATTACAACCCAAATGCCTCCTGTGGTTGGATTTTTATTTGATAGGGCCTGGCATTGGGTGAGGGATGGAGACAATTTAGCTAGAAAAAGAAGAATGAGAACAGCATTGTATGTGAGGAGGTGAAGCGGACAAAAGCATGGCAAGAGCTGATTAATTAAAGAGTTTGTGTAGGGGCCAGACGCAGTGGCTCACACCTGTAATCCCAGCACTTTGAGAGGCAGAGGTGGGCGGATCATCTGAGGTCAGGAGTTCAAGACCAGCCCAGTCAATATGGTGAAACCCCGTCCCTACTAAAAATACAAAAATTAGCTGGGTGTGGCGGCACATGCCTGTAATCCCAGCTACTCGGGAGGCTGAGGCTCGAGAATCGCTTGAACCTGGGAGGTGGAGGTTGCACTGAGCCGAGATCATGCCACTGCACTGCAGCCTGGATGACAAAGCGGGACTTCATCTCAAAAAAAAAAAAAAATAAAGGGTTTGTGCAGGGACACCAGGGAAACCATGCTGGGAGGTTTGGGATCCATTTCAAGCAGATGGGGCTTTGCTCTGTAGTAACTGTAAACCAGACATTTCTGAACAGGGGAGTGAGCTGGTGGCCCTGGGATTTAGGAAAACAAATCTACTGGCCATTTATGGAATGACATCATCATAATAAGAAGAACAGCAACTACCTAATGAGTAATCCTGTTTAATGCTTTACAACATTATGCCATTTAATCCTTGCAACAGCTCAACGAGGTGTTTTATAGAGCAGGCAGTTAAGACTCAGGTTTTGGTTGGTCCTAGCCAGCAGAGACTTCCTGGGCACAGTGTGCCAGGGGCTCTTCTCACATCTGAGGACAGAGCTGTGAACAAGATGGACACCGGCCCTGTTCTCTGAGGGTTTGCAACTCCAGGGAGACAAATGTCAACAAATTATTACACTAATTTCATTACAATTGTGATGATTGCTGTCAGGGAGAAGTGTGGATGCTGTGGGAGAATCAGATGGGGAGGGAGTGGCTGAGCCTACCCTTCGGAGTCTGGAAAGGCTTCCCAGAGAAGGGGCAGTGGAGCTGGCTGGAATAAGCAGGAGGAAAGACAACCAGGGAGGGTCAGTAGGGAGGAGGGATGGCTGGAGGCTTCCCAGCAGAGGTAACAGTGCTTGCTAGGAGGTCACAGTGTCTTCTGGTGGCCAAGAAGGAATCTCGCTCAGCTCAGCTTGACTTCAAGCCCATGGTCTCTCCTTGTTTCTAGAGACATGCTCTCTCCTCACACAGGCAGGCCAGCTGGTCTCAAATAATTGAAAAGAAAAATCTGATTAAACTCTAAGGATTGAGTGGGCTCTCTTCCCTCTCATCTCTCTCACCACATGGCATCTTGAAAACTCTGGATAGAGTGAGTGATGCTTGCCTATAATCCCAGCTACTCGGGAGGCTGAGGCAGGAGAATCACTTGAACCTGGGAGGCGGAGGTTGCAGTGAGCCGAGATCACCCCACTGCACTCCAGCCTGGGCAACAGATAGAAATAATGAAAAACAGCACTGTTTCAAGCCATGTGATTTTGCCATAATCGTGGGCTAATCTGGGCATGTCACACATTTGATATGGCATTGTATCTAGAAAGGATGCATCTAGTGGGAGCAGGTCACTTGGAGATGCTGAGAACAGATCTCCCTCCCCTTCCCCTTGCCAGCCCCGGTCCTCCCAACCCAGTTCCAGGTGCCAGAAACCAAGAGGGCCTGGGCAGCTCACAGGCAGCCTGAGGACACAGGGGTCCCTGTCGGAGACAATGACCTTCCTGTCTTTAAGATTCTTATGGTCAGGCTCCAGCCCTGAGACACATTCTCTTGATTCTTAAAATATTCTTAAGAAGCAGCAAATAATATTCACAATTTATAGATGAAGACAATGAGGTCCGTAGAGAATGATCAGAGCCCAGGAGGGACGGGAAGCCTGGCTGTGGCTGCACTCGGTGTGTTTTGCATGTGGACACACTGATGCAGCCTTCAGCTGTGGGAGGAAGTGACTCCCTTAGTGGGAACAGCCTGAGGTGGGAGGGGTTACACAGTGTCATAAGGGGCTGGCAGGGGCTTAGAGATCAAGCCCTTTTATTTTACAACAGAGAAGCAGAGAGTCGATCACATGGCTGGTGGGTGGCAGGGGTTTCTGACTCCCAGCTCACTGCTAATTCCGCTCCTCCACATGACTCTGTTGTTAGCTAAAGAGTTTCTCCTGAATTATGAATGAGTGAAAGGAAATTATGTACGTATGGATGTGCTCATGGGCATGTGTAAGGCAGAGGGAGATTCACAGAGAGTGTGCAAGTACCTGTGCTGTGAGAATCAGGATTGCTTTGAAACACTGACTCATAGTCATCCTAGCTCTGGTAAATGTGAGTTCAGCTTTAGAAACAAGCATATTTAATCCATTCATAACTAGGTTTCACTTTTCACATGCCTCTGGCAGGGAATGACAAGACCAAGCACGATGTCCTCATTGGAGAACTCTGCCTGCTCACAAAGGTGTCTGGCCAGTGCTTCTTGGCATGCTCTGTCTGCTTAGGAGCAAGACTTTTCCACATCCATCATGTCTTACTGTTGATCTATCACATCTGCCTGCTGCAGCTGCACCAGGCTCCACCCATCTGTCTTCCTGACACCTTCGCTGCAGCTGGAGAGGGAGTGGCTAGTGTATTTATTATTTTTGTGAGCACAGACCACTGTGAGGCTCTGCAAACCTGCCACTGGAAAGCTCCATTTTTCTTCCTTTCTAAAGCGAATCTATGTGCTTTGGATCAGGAGCAGCTCCCGAGGTGTGACTTAGGCTGCCTGCTGCCCTCTGTCTTGTATGACTAAAAGGCCCCCTAAGAAACACGCCCGAGCCAGGCCCCTGCTGCCTCTGCTCCATCCTGGAAAAGTGAAAAGTGCCCACAGCAAGCCCTAGGTACCAGGAACAGAGCCCACTTTGCCATCTCAGTTATCTCTTTCCCTCCACAGCAATCGTCCTGAGAGCCTCCTCCTTAAAGACAAACCAGCCACCTGGCTCAGCCCTTCAACACTGTAGTTGAAGGGAAAGTGTTTCCCTGACCTAGCTCAAAGGACTCTAGGTTCCTGTGAATGATGCTGTTAATTGGTCTGGGTTTTCCCCCCTTCCTGTCAAATGCAGGAAATTAGATTTGACCTCTGCTCTGATCACTCTAAAATTATTCTTGGCACTAAAGACTTCCAGCCTTTGTAATCAGAGCATCTATTTTCACCCTGATTAACGCCAATGTTCTGATGGGGCAGGATCCAAAGGCAATGTGATTTCCGTGATTCCTCGTCCCCATGTTGAGTGCAGATGTCTTTAAATGGAGTGAAATCATCTTTAATAAGTGTGGATCGGCATTCAGATGGCTCCAGGGTGCATTAACAGATTCCCAGAAAAATGCCCCGTGCCAAACCACCTTATGGGACCCTTCCAGGTCCCACAAGGAAGAGGCAGGGAAGATCTCAAAGTCAATCCAATTCTCAGCCAAACCATTATGTGTTTAGGACAGACGCAGAAATGTGATGCTGTATTCTCCTCAGTGCTAATGGAGCAGCATGCACGTCTCAGGCACATTAAAAGGAGGAAGGAGACAGAGACAGCAGAAAGCCACTGTGCCCCGAGATCTAAAGAAGGGAAATAAAGTGAAGGCTTCTCAACTTCTAACTAGAATTCTTCTGTAGGAAAGCCGCTTCATTGTTCAGAGCCTTGTCTTTTTTCTAGCCTTAAAATAGAAGTAAAGATTACACACACAGGCTTTTGTATAAGTTACCGAGACTGTGTCTGCAGAGTATATTGATTCATCTCACATTTATCAAGTCCTATTTATAAACACAGTCATGCATCACTCAATGGGATACATTCTGGGAAATGCATCCTTAGGTCATTTCAATGTTGTGTGAAAATCATAGGTTGTACTTGCACAAACCTAGATGGTATAGTCTACTACACACCTAGGCGGTGTGGTACAGCCTATTGCTTTTAGGCTACAAACCTGTACAGCATGTTACTGTACTGAATACTGGAGAAAATTGCAACACAAATCACTAGGCGATAGGAACTAGAATCATTATCATCTTATGGGACCACCGTCCTTAGGCGGTGCATGACTGTATATGTACTCTGAGCCATGGAGGAGTCAATGATTATAACCCCTGTCATGAGAGGATCACATTTGTATTTTTCACCAAACGCTTCACCTAGCACCTGGTACAGAAAAGGTGCTCAATCAATGTTTGTTTTTATAGAGCAGGCAGTTAAGACTCAGGTTTTGGTTGGTCCTAGCCAGCAGAGACTTCCTGGGCACAGTGTGCCAGGGGCTCTTCTCACATCTGAGGACAGAGCTGTGAACAAGATCATGCCACTGCACTGCAGCCTGGGTGACAAAGCGGGACTTCATCTCAAAAAAAAAAAAAGAGTTTGTGCAGGGACACCAGGGAAACCATGCTGGGAGGTTTGGGATCCATTTCAAGCAGATGGGACTTTGCTCTGTAGTAACTGTAAACCAGACATTTCTGAACAGGGGAGTGAGCTGGTGGCCCTGGGATTTAGGAAAACAAATCTACTGGCCATTTATGGAATGACATCATCATAATAAGAAGAACAGCAACTACCTAATGAGTAATCCTGTTTAATGCTTTACAACATTATGCCATTTAATTCTTGCAACAGCTCAACGAGGTGTTTTATAGAGTGAGTGGGAGGCATGATCTCGGCTCAATGCAACCTCCACCTCCCAGGTTCAAGCGATTCTCGAGCCTCAGCCTCCCGAGTAGCTGGGATTACAGGCATGTGCCGCCACACCCAGCTAATTTTTGTATTTTTAGTAGGGACGGGGTTTCACCATATTGACTGGGCTGGTCTTGAACTCCTGACCTCAGATGATCCGCCCACCTCTGCCTCCCAAAGTGCTGGGATTACAGGTGTGAGCCACTGCGTCTGGCCCCTACACAAACTCTTTAATTAATCAGCTCTTGCCATGCTTTTGTCCGCTTCACCTCCTCACATACAATGCTGTTCTCATTCTTCTTTTTCTAGCTAAATTGTCTCCATCCCTCACCCAATGCCAGGCCCTATCAAATAAAAATCCAACCACAGGAGGCATTTGGGTTGTAATAGCAATATCAGATTGACTTCGTTTCTTGATTCTGAATCTTGGACCTAGTTGTGGCTGGGAATTCTACAGTGTGTCTTGTTAAATGCCCAAGTCAGGAAGCTTTTGTTATCCAAAACCTCTTTATAGCTCTTGGTGATTATATCTTGGATGAGAGACAAGGAAGAGCTCTCAAACTTAGCTCTCATCCTTAGGAAATAAAAATCTAACTAGAGGTTATAGAGAAGTTCATAAATAATTGTACTACAAAGTGGAATGTGAAAGCACCTTAAGAGATAGATGAACAAATAAAGATGTAGGAATAAAGGGGTAGGAAGCCGGGTGCTGTGGCTCATACCTGTAAACCCAGCACTTTGGGAGGCCAAGATGGGTGGATCACCTGAGGTCAGGAGTTCCCAACCAGCCTGACCAACATGGTGAAACCCCATCTCTACTAAAATACAGGAATTAGCTGGGCGTGATGGTGGGCGCCTGTAATCTCAGATACTTGGAAGGCTGAGGCAGGAGAATCACTTGAACCCGGAAGGTGGAGGTTGTAGTGAGCAGAAATCAGGCCACTGCACTCCAGCCTGCGCAACAAGAGTGAAACTCTGTCTCGAAAAATAAATAAATAAAATACAATAAAATAAAGGGGTAGGAAGGTGACATGCAGGCTGCAGGAAGCACAGAACATTTCTGTTCACGAAGGCATCAGGTGGAACATGAGTGGGAAGGAGAGAGGGTGAATGCCTTCTAGGTTGAAGTCAAAGCACCAGCCACAGGCAGAGGAAGGAAGCTGGGGAGACATTCGGTCGGTCACAACAAGTGTACCCAGACAGACAGGTGGTGCACAGGAGAGCAGGGATGTGGGGAAGGTAGGGAGGCTCCCGCCCTTGGCGGAGCACCTGACATAGGTCAGCCTCGGGGCAGGGCACTATCCCATTTCCATCCTTACACCTGCCCCTCCAGGTAGAAAGCACTGCCATTTCACACATGATGAGCTACATCCTGGTCCAATCACCAGCAAGGGGCAGCTCCAGGATCTGTCCCTAGGTCTCTCTGGCACCAGAGCTCTTCTCCCCCTCCATTAAGAAGGAAAAATATTATTAAGACCAAGAGAGCCCTTGACCTTGAGGTAGAATGAGGACTCAGTGTGTTGGTAAGGGAGACCCATTGGGAGATGGGTCTTAGGGAGAATGTGAGGCAGTGGCAGTTGTAGGCAGTAGGAAGAAAAGGACATGGCCCAAAAATACCCATTAGGAACCCATGGCAGGGGGTTAGGTGGCAGGCTCTGGGGCTGGGGCAGCAGGGGTGGAAGGGCATCAGCATCAGAGGCATTCTCCCAAGAGCTTCAGAATAATTAAATGTGGGAAACACAAAAAGGGGAGGACAAAGAGGTAGGT
The DNA here is from genome assembly GCF_000001405.40 of Homo sapiens. NCBI lineage: Eukaryota > Metazoa > Chordata > Mammalia > Primates > Hominidae > Homo > Homo sapiens. The sequence goes on along the minus strand of NC_000006.12, from coordinate 107,708,942 downwards.
TCCTAAAATGGGGGAGATAGGAAGAGGAGCTGGCTCTAGGGAAAGAGGATGAATTAGTTTGGGACATACACACACAAAAAATCAACCCTAAATATTGCCGGCCATTGAACTCATTGCTGTCTTCCTCCTTCACTGTCCTGAGCCTTTTCACCTGCTGCATGGGAAATGCCCTATGCAACCATTTCCCAGGAAGCAGCTATGGACCAGATATAGGTTAGGCCCTTTGCGGTCAGGGAGTTCACAGTGCAGTGGGGGAGACCCGGGCAAATGCTCTGACAGCCCCAGAGGGCCGTGCAAGGACTCAATGTGTACCTGGGGCAGTGAGTGAGGGGACATCTTCTTTCTGCATGTGTGACCAGGGATGGCTCTGAAGATGCTGAGGCACACTTGCATTCTGCAGATACCGTGGAGAAGAACGAAAAGCCACCTCAATTCTACCATGCCTCTATCCTCTCAATGTGAAGGCCATGGAGGCAGAAAGGACCCCAAGTCACTGGCCTCACTGACGCGATGAGGCTCATTTGGGCACTCATCTTAGCACACTTGCCCTGGTCACCAAGTACCCAGGCTCAGGAGGCCCTGGGCCTGCCGAGAAAGAACTGAGCAGGAGAGTCTTGAAAACTCCAACGAGGGTGGGAATTCCAGCCTGTTGAAGGGAATCCACTGTCTAGTGCTTCCTCTCCTGGGAGAGCAGAGAGCTTTGGCATACATGGGGAGGGTAATATATCTAGGAGTGGCCTTCTGCACTCTGGGCTGCTGATAGAGCTGCCACTCACAGCCTTTCCCTATGACAGGAGGTCACTTGGGCCAGGTCCTTGGACTCATGGGCACTGAGGATCCCCCTTCCAGGCTAGGTGGGGGCAGGCAGCACCAGGTAGGTGCAAGGCCCTGTCCCACTGGCTCATGGTCTCCCTCTCTGTGCCCCATCCAGCCTCAAGCCCTTCTCAGGATGCGCAGGATGCCAGGCGGCCACGGAGCAGGAACCCCTCCGCCTGGACTGTGGAGGACGTGGTGTGGTTTGTGAAGGACGCCGACCCACAGGCTCTGGGGCCTCACGTGGAGCTCTTCAGAAAGCACGTATGCGAGTGGTGGGTTTGACCTTGGGGGGGATTGAGGGAGCAGGCACAGAAGGAGAGTGAGGTCCAGGGAGCTGCGGGATGCTGCCAGGGGAGGTGGTGGAGGGGTGCTCTAAACTAAGCCCTAGGGGCACCCTCAAGGGAGCCAGAGATGAGAGGGACAGGTACAACCACAGGCTCCTCAGAGCAGAGTGACCACTTAATTTGTTTTTAAAGGAATATTTGCCCTATCTCTTCTCTCATGTTGGCCTTCGTCAGGAGTGCCTGTTTCCTGCCCATCCAGCCGTCTGTGAATGCAACAAACATTCACAGCACACCAACGACATGCCAGGCAAACCGCAGTAGCACCTGTTCCTAAACCACTTCGAGGATTAAATAAGAAAATGCACAAAAGGTGTTCAGCACGGTTCCTGACTCGGATAGCCTTCACTGAGCAGATAGCATTATAATGATTTTGAGATATGCTAAAATATAGAGATGGTAATTTTTTTAAAGATAAGAATCAATAATTTACCTGCCAGGCTTACTATATGCATTTTGTTTTTGTTTGTTTTTGTTTGAGACGGAGTCTCATTCTGTCGCCCAGGCTGGAATGCAGTAGTGCGATCTCAATCTCGGCTCACTGCAGCCTCTGCCTTCCCAGTTCAAGCAATTCTTGTGCCTCAGCCCACCCGAGCAGCTGGGATTACAGGCACCCACCACCACGCCCAGCTAATTTTTATATTTTTAGTAGAGACTGGGTTTCACCATGTTGGCCAGGCTGGTCTCATCCCAAAGTGCTGGGATGACAGGTGTGAGCCACCGCGCATGGCACTGTACTCATTTTATATTGTGCTGTAACAGATTACCACCAACGTAGTTGCCTCACACAATATACATTCTCTGTCTTACCACTCTGGGGATCAGGAGCCTGGCATGGGTCTCAGTGGGCTCAGCCAGCAAGGCTGCCTTTCCTTCTGGAGGTTCTAGGGAGAATCCGCTTGGTTGTCTTTTCTGGCTTCTAGATCCACCATCAGTCCTTGGCTCCTGTCCCCCTGCCATCATCTTTAAAGCCTGTAACATCAAGCTGAGGCCTGTTCGGCTGCTCGGGCTGCCATCCCTGGTTCTCACTGCTGATGTCCTCTTCCACGTTTAAGGAGCTTTGTGATTACACAGCCGCCACTCCCCCCACCCACCTGGCCCCATAATCCGGGATAATCTCCCTACTTTAAAGTCAGCTGATTAGCAAGCTTAATCCCATCTGCAACCTTAATTCCCCTTCACCGTGTAACTTGACATTCACAGGTTTGGGGACTAGAATCCAGACGTCGTGCATGGAGGGGAAGGAGCATTATTCCGCCTTCCACAGTGACCATTATTTTTGTTTCCTGTTTCTTATTTTATTTGGTGATTCTGTCATAGAAATCATGCTCTCCAATCTTAGGAGGATTCTCATCTAACTCAGCACTTGCCTTTTATTAGGCATATGTTGACCTCACCTAACAATGGGGACTTAAGACCAAGAACCACAGAGTGGGTTATGCTTGGACAGATTTGGGCAGGGGGAGTCTGGCTGTCTTCCAGGGTGGGAGGAGACAGTGGGAGTCCAGGAGGTGAGGGAAATAAAAGACAGTAGAAAATGAGGCTCCTGGGAGTGGCCCACAAGTAAGCCTTGCCCACTGCCATTTTGCCAAAGACATGGAGAGTGACACAGAGTGGGTGCTCCATCAATACTGGCTGGCTGGGCAGATGAATGAGAGAGCTGGTGACCCTGGCACCATTATATGAATCCTGTAACTATGTCTTTTCTCCCTGCTTGAGCACCTGAAATTTCTACCCTTTGTCTCCAGTGACCTGAAAATGGCACTAAAGGTGACCATGGAAGCCCAGCCTTGCTAGGTTCATGAACTCCACATGCATTCTGGAGGGTGACCATTTTCAATGACCAATGGCAGCAACACCGGGACCAAACCTCAAAGGACTGGCTCATCCTCTTAGTAGTTCTTTGTGCTGAACCCTGAGATGAAGCAGGGGCATTCTTTAGTGTATTCCATCTAGTGGAATAGACAGGGCTAAACACACCTGAAATCTTCCATAGGTGGAATGAGTTGCTTTGTTATCAGCTAAAGGTAGGTGGGCCTACTAAGAAATGAGAAATTAGGGCAATAGGTGGAGGTTTGGAATGGAAAGACCCTCTAGTTCCAGGTTCTAATGGATGACGGTTTTTGCCCCTTTAGCCAAGTTTGGATGAGGAGATAAACTTCCTAAGTGGGATATTGGGAACACACATGAGGTTGTGTTTGATTCCTTCTATGAGGGGAGGGCAGGAATATGAAACACCCCGTGTATCAAATGACTCCAGGGAGATGATGGGGAGAGGAGAACACAGTATTTGTTTGCTTTAATATTTTAAAAGACCTTGCCCCAGGACCAAGAGAATATGCTGCCTAAATCAATCCATATGCCCTGAGCACACCCCTTGACCACACCTTAACCTTAGCCACTGTTCGATGACTCTGACCATCTTCTGGGTTTATCTTTCTTCTGATCCTATCCCACCAGGAGATTGATGGCAACGCTCTGCTGTTGCTGAAGAGTGACATGGTCATGAAGTACCTGGGCCTGAAGCTGGGACCTGCACTGAAACTCTGCTACCACATTGACAAACTGAAGCAAGCCAAGTTCTGACTTTTTTAAAAAGACAGAAGCGAAACCCAAAACAACAGATCCCAAGATTATCTTCTGCCTTACCAATATCCCGCCAACATCACAAACTAGACTCTCCTCTTAAAATTAACAGCCACAGAGACGTGGTCTTTTTATAAAACTTGTGAATCTTTGCCTTTTGAAGAATTTAACATGGACCTTTTCGAGAGGCTCCTCTGTGTTCATAATTTGCCAAAAAATTACAAAAGCCTGTGATTTTTAACATCCCTGTTATGCTGGTTTCTCTTAAAGTGGGTCCTATTTGCATAACGAGAGAGTGGGGAACTGAATGCTTATGCCCAAGGAGAGTTCTGGAGGGTTCAAAGGATGAAAGAAGGACCTTTGTCCCTGCGGTCTCTGCAGGGACAACCCCCTCAGCACCATCTGCCTCTAACTCTGACCTGGGGACCTATCCATGTGAGCCTTGTTTGCCTCAGCTCTGGAAGCTGACTTCTGAAGATGACTGCCTCACCTTGCACTGTCTGGAAAACTTGAATTATTTTACGCCGTGAAAGAAAAAGGAAAAAAAAAAAAATCTTTTCTGTTCCTAGAAAATCTGAAGTACTGTGTTTCTCCGCTAGAGGGCAGACTGCTAATGAAATTTCAGGACCCTCACTGACTGCAGTAGCAGGATTGTTCAGTACTGAGTGGATGGGTTAGGGTGTCTGTGAACAAGATCTAGCCCACACAGAAACAGGGGATTTATTCCACAGTTAGCACCACAGATTGCGACTTGGGAAGAAACCATCAGCTAGAGGGGTCTAGTTCGTATCCAATCATTATTGACTGACTGACTGATACTCAACTAGCAAAGGCAAGAATTTGGAAGCACGCTCTACCCAGATGGGACTTTGGAGTTCCTTCCCTTCCAGAGTCCTTATTGAGGTGTTGAAGTGTTGGCATGCCGAAGAATCTTAGTGACATTTAGCCATGGGTGTTTCTTTAAAAAAGGAAAAGAAAATGTCTCAACGAAGCTTTGAAATGGGAGAGTGTTGATTTCTAGTTACATTGCTGGGTTATGTAGTTGTATCTGTGGCTAATTTTTCTAGTCCTCAACAAATACACAGACATGCTATTATGGGGTTTAATTCAATTTACAAATAGGTTTTCCTTCCTCACAGTGGAGTAATAGAAAAAATTGATTTTCTGCTCCTTTGCAGCTGTGTCCAGAGACGGACAATGAATCCACAATTTATTAGGCAGAGGCACAACTTCTCCACCATTCGTTTTATCCTTCTCTTTTCTCTGTTTCCCTCCACCTCTCTTCTTCTTCTTTCACACTGAGCAGAAAACATATCTTCAAAATGAATTCGCCTTTGCCATGTGCATATTCTCTTCCTTAAAAGGACATCAACAGTGTTGGAGATGAGGAGATGAACATTAGATTTTGGAATTTCTGGGAGGGAGAGGGTTAGGGATGACTCAGGGCCTCCCTTCGCCCAAAGGTGAATCAGAAAAGGCACCCCTTTCTCTGGGATACAACCTGAGCAGGGGTCTCAGCTGGCAAGTGGAGCAGGGTGGGGGCTCAACCTCCTCACCGCTTGATCAGCTGCCGTTGTACAGAGCATGACCTGTATAACCTTGAGGGCAGCCCTGGGTAGATCTGCAGAGTGACCCTCTATATAGTTAGAATCCAGATGAAGGCCATAAGAAATAGTCCATGCCATGCCGTTAGGCCCACTTTCATGTGCAGTACTTGAGAAAGCACATCGTAGCCTCCTTTTCAGACACACAAATGGCGGCTGGACTGAGAGCATGGCAGAGAAGGGGAGGAGGAGAATGTACTAAACTTGCTCACTGAATTGAGCTTGAGTTATTAGATTGTAGAAGAGCTTGATGTCTGGTGATTTTGTTACAGGAAGGGGGTCCCGATCCAGACCCCAAGAGAGGGCTCTTGGATCTCATGCAAGAAAGAATTCAGGGTGAGTCCATAAAGTAAAGTGAAAGCAAGTTTATTAAGAAAGTAAAGGAAGGAAAGAATGGCTACCCCATAGTCAAAGCAGCTCTGAGGGCTGCTGGTTGCCCATTTTTATGTTTATTTCTTGATATGCTAAACAAGGGGTGGATTATTCATGCCTCCCCCTTTTAGATCATATAGGGTAACTTCCTGATGTTGCCATGGCATTTGTAAACCGTCATGGCACTGGTGGTAGTATAGCAGCGAGGACAACCAGAGGTCACTCTCGTTGCCATCTTGGTTTTGGTGGGTTTTAGCCAACTTCTTTACTGCAACCTGTTTTATCAGAAGGTCTTTATGACCTATATCTTGTGCTGACCTCCTGTCTCATCCTGTGACTCAGAATGCTTTAGCCATCTGGGAATGCAGCCCAGTAGGTCTCAGCCTCATTTTACCCAGCTCCCATTCAAGATGGAGTTGCTCTGGTTCAAATGCCTCTGACAGGTTCAGCACCTGAGAAAAGTACCTTGAATCAGGCCTTGGGGCAGAGTCTTCAAGATTTTAAGGTGATAGGGCCTGTCTCTTAAGAATTTATTAATCGTAAGTGCTCACTGCTGGTTTAGAGTTAGATACATTTCCCTCAAAACAGCCATGGGCAGGTTATGTACTCAGAACTGCCAGGGTGAAAACAATGAGATCCAGAAAAATCCCACAACAATCCAGGTTTTTCACTCCTCTTTTTTTTCTCAATCTTCCGATACTTGTGGTACCTCTTCCATCAACAGATACCTCATGTAGTGACTTCCAGTATCAAGTTTTCAAAACTTCCTACCCACCCTCATCAGTGCCTCCTTCACTACAGAGTCACAAACATTGGTGCTCTCAAATAAAAATCAGCCCCAAACAATGTCAAAGAGATCCCTTGAGTAGTTTTCAGGCGAGAGATATGTTCTCATTTCAAGTCTTGGAGAAAACTGGATCCATGTTCACGTGGAACTTCTCTCGCGGAGGTGCTATCTCATTTTGCATTAAACTTTAAGCAGGACAGATTGCTGAAGCCATGATATTTAAGGTTTGACTTTTTAAAAATCTCATTACTCTTAAAATAAATGCTGCCACATCAGAGAATAACCTGGGGAGGAAAATCTTCCTTGACTGTTTCTGCACTGAAATGCAATTAGCCAACTAAATTATTGTAGCAATACTGCAATTATAATTAATTTTCACCCCTCTCAAAAATCTTGTCAAACCAGGAGGCTAAATAGCTTCACAAATGTAAAACACACCAGGCCATTTCCTCTAAACAGACCTTAAAGGGTTAGGCCACGTGGGTCACCCTTGTCCAAATGAGAGCCGACCTGGGGGCCTCTCACTTGTACAGATGTGGTACTTATTATTCCATTGCAGTAGCTTTGCTTCAGGTTGTAGTGAATAATGATATCGTTTTGCATAATTCCAAATTAGAGTGTGTGTGTGTGTGCCTGTGTTCATGTTCCAAACATTTCCAATTACACTTGTCTGTTAAACACTTGAAAGAAAAAATCAAGAGACAATTCTATTGCCTAAGGCCTTTTAAATATTTCATGAATCACATTATTCCCTGTGCGAAGACTTTAGGTGAAAGCTGTGGGTCTTGTCTGTGTGTGTGTGTGTGTGTGTGTGTGTGTGTGTGTGTGTTTCCTGACACTGTAGCTGGAAGAGCCTTAGGAAGTGAGTGCTTGGGAGTATATGAGCCATTGCCTTTGCTTGGTTTGCAATATGGAGGCAGAACCCACTGTGGTCTGGTTGCTACTACTAAGTGTCCCCTCTTAGGCTACTAGGGTGTGCCCTGGAGGCAGCTGGGTGACCAGGGCTGTTCTGGGGCTCTAGGCCTGCCCCCTCAGGAGGATGATTGTATGTGCCAAGCCTGGGCTCCAGGTGACTCTCGGGAGACACATTGCCGGGGAGCCCACGGAAGGGAACAATTGTCTTGCGGGCGTTTAGCACCTACCAGAGAGTACACCAGACTCCCACCATTTCCCTGCAGCAGGGCTGCTACCAACTATATTAAATACATTGGGAAGGAATATGGGACTAGGGCCGGTTTACTGCAGAAGAAACCAGTGAGAAAGGGAGGCCTACACCATAAGTTTCTTAGGAAAACAATGAAAGCAGCAATTCTAACAGCCCCAACCCTTCACGCTGCAATAACCTATTTTTGTATCTATGTGCCGTATGGAATATTTCTTATTTTTTTAATTAAAATTCTTTTTAAATTATTTTTGAGATGGTTTTAGGAGAATTTTCTCAAATCTCTGAAGATAATTGGAGATGCCCATAGGTGACCAGGGACTCAAATGTAGTCATTGTCAGAAGGTCTCAAAAGATGGAAATATTCTGCTCTCATTCTAAAGAAACAACCAGGTTTACATATATGTAAGTGGTTGGCAGGCACTGTCTGACCTCTGCTCTGAAGGGGCCACTTCTCAGCTCTTCTCCACTGGGGAGAGAGGGGAAGGGGATTGGACTCACTTTTTTTTAAAACCTCGGATAACAAGACATGGGATTGTGAAGGAGTAGGTGATTTTTTTAAAAACTGCAATTTTTTTTTTAAGGAGAGGGCTGCAAACCTGTCCATGGGGCTGATTTTTTTTAGTTTTGTTTTTGGTTTTTTTTGGTCATAAACACTCCAAGAACTGAGCACCTGCCAGGCTCTCCTGTTGCCTTGCCATGTGCCCCTATCCCTCCCCTGTGGCAAGAGAGGACCACACTAAGAACCCTGGGGATGGTCCAGCAGACGGTCAGACATCCAGGGGAACAAACCTCCCTGTTTCCATTCTGTGATGTCAAACCCAGCTGCATCACCCCCATCCACCCGCAGGCAGCTTCTGTGTGTTCCGCCCTGCTCCTGCAGGTAGAGCGCTGGGCACCTCAGCTTCTGGGGTATCATCCACTCCAATGGTTGTCCTAATCCAAGATGATCCCTGCACAGAAAATTAGAAGCTGGATTTTTGGAAATCTAGCATTTGCTTGAAAGAGAATGGCTGTTATTTACTGCCACCAGTTAAGGATCATGAAAACATGTCTGCTAACAATGGACTTTGTGTAATTGTTCTAATGCTAATAAGCAACTGCTGGGACACTTCCCGTGGTAAATTCCTTTGTGGTTTCGGTGGTCTTATCACACATGGGCCTCACCAAGATGCTGGGCTGGAGAGAACGCTCACTGTGACTCTCCCAGGCTTCATGAAATTCCCCCGACTTAGAAGCAGTTCTGGGCAAAAACACACTGTTAGAGGAGGATTTGCTTTCTTCACGGTGCTTTCGCAAGTGAGGCCTCAGATCTGCGCTCTTCAAATCCTACATAAAGAGCCCAGAGGTTCTCCCCATGCTCAGCACTGGGCTCGCTTTCCTGCAGAGGAAACGATGGCAGGTAGAGCTTAAGAATGACGTTCTCCCCCAGGTCGGCCGAGAGTGCTGTGCCATGAATTGATAGTGGCAGGACGAGAATAGTAGAGACACGGGTGATTAAACAGTGATGCCAGACAGTGTGGGGACAGCAGCATCTTTCCATTTGAAGGGTCTACATATACCACACAGACCACCTATACCTCAGCTGTCTTCCCACCCTACCCTGCTCTGGGGCTTGACCACGTGGTCTGAGCCTTAGAGTCAGTTCCATGCACTAGGCGCTTGCACAGGCCAACAGCAACCTCTTCCATTGGCTCCAACTTTAGAATACACCCGAAGCCTTGCTTCTCCAAACAGCTCATTGTGAAATAACAGCGCCTCACTAGGTGTCGCTTTACAGCAATGATGTATGACTGAAGGCTACCTCTATCATAAATGTAGCATCCTCAACTACATTCTTTTCAAAGTGTTCTTGGAAACCCATCATCATCCCTTGAGGGTGGATTTTTTTTCTTTTTGGAGAAAGCCAAAGCCACTGGGCTCATGCCTGGTGCATGACATGGGTAATCAGTTTCAGGTTTCAAATCATGTGTTTTCACACACATTCGTTTGTCTTTTCCTTGCGTGTTTCCTTACTTGGTACAAATAGTTTGAACAATAACAGCCACAATTCACTGGTTAACTTAAATATATTAGGCAGGTGTTAGAATAAGGAGCTGCAATGTACGGACTACTTTGAAGGACAACAGTATTTGGATGTATAACGTTCAACATATTCATTTTAAAGTAATGTTACTGCTATATCCTTAGGCACGGTAAGCTGAGGATATTGTGAGTGTTCGCAAATATACAGAGACCACCCTCACATGTAGAACCGTAGAATCCTAGAGTTGGGGAAAAGAGGTCTTGGGGGACATCTGGACGGCTCCCCTCCAGAGTAGAACCTTCTCCCCCGTGGGTTCCACATTGCTCTGTGGGGGGCAGAGCATGGTACGGTGTGCAAGAAACAAGCTCTCCAAGTCACCTCCCCCCATACCTCCATCTCCTTATCTGGAAAAGGAGGGGAGTCATCCACATGACCTTTGAAAGCATTTCCAGCTCAGTTACTTTGGCCAAGGCCAGTGGGGCTGTGCTGCCGTAATGGTTATGGGCTGTTGGCTCATCTCTTTTGTTTCATGGCTGCTGGCTCCTGCCTCTCCTCCTTTGCAACCTCATCTAGATATTTTTTGATCCTCTTCCCTCATGAGCCCAGAACTTCTCAAGGCCATGTAAGCACCACTTGACCATTCTTTCCCACTCGTTTTTTACTTCTCATTCTATTCTTTCTTCCTGCCTCCATGTTTTTTTGCTGGTTTGTTTTCTTTTCTGTCTTTCTTCATTCCACTAGCTCAAATGCCTTGGGGATGGAGACGGGGTAGAGAAAGAAATAAGAATAAGCCAACTCTGTCCTCCCAGGCCCAGCAGTTCTGACCTCTGCCCAGCTGTCACCCACCCACAGCATTCCTTGACTCTGCCCCACTTCCTGTCCAATCTCCACTTGTTCTATTTCTCAAGGTCTAGCCCTCTCAGCTCGATGCCTGAGGTTGGGAATGAGAGTCTCTGCCCTTCTGAATGTTTCATCCTGTGACTCACCCTGATGTACCACCGAGAGGCCTCTTGAATCTTCATCAAGCACAATGCCCTTCTCACTAGCTGTCCCTCTTCATTCAGCCCTGAAGGTTAAGTGACCTGGTGCCAATTCGATGTACCTCTTGAGAATCACAAGCTGCTTCTCCCACCGTCCTGCAACATGCACGGAGTCACTCTGCAATCCAGCAGCAATTCAGATAATGCCAAAGTTCTTTATAGAACACAGAACGTTGTCCAGACCCAGTTAGCACTGACTGTACAGCCTCATGACCAAAGCCGGGCCAGAGCCTTGTGTGTAAGTGAGGAGGGTCCAGCCAGCATGAAAAATGAAGGACAATGAACTACATCGGAAGTATTTCTGGGGTGAGGTATTGTTTTTGGACATTTATAAGACTACTGAGACGTATGCAATATTAAGTGGCTTGTGTCTGAGTAGGGAAAGATGATGACATATTTCCCAAAAGAAAATGTGGTTTAGAGGGAGGAGAAAGGCAGCACAGCTCTGGAAAAAAAATGTTTCCATTCCTGGCCTTTCTACAGCACAATTGCACACCTCGAGGTCTTTCTAGAAGTCAAACATGTTTCCTCCTCAGGAACTGAAAGTATTTCTGTCCAAGTGTGAGAGACTTTGAGGGAGTTTGATTTCTTTTATTATTCATTGTGTTCTAAGCCATAATATTTAATTTTCTGTCATCTTCTAGCTATATCTTTGATCACTTGGGGATTTAAATAGAAGAACTCCTCTCATTTTATCCTCAAGAAAATATGAAATATCATTTGCTTTATAGAGCAAATATTTCCATGTTACAGATATCTGTTGATTAGATTATTTCTCTACTGTATATACCTAGAAGTAATTTCATTAACATAAAAATTTTATACTTTAAATACATTTGTGGATAAATTTGCTTTTCATTCTATTCACATGCAAGAAAACTAAACTGATTGAATAAAATCATTTTATCATAATTGTCTTGCTGCTATTTTTTTTTCACTAACAGTGAAAACTTTGTGTTAATGAAGTATGACTGTAACACCATGAATCTTCTCCCTTCATGGGGCCAAAAGGTGTGTTTTACTAGCTACGCTAGGCTGTCATTATCCAACAAGACTCCTGCTAACAAATGAGGGCCCATGAGTTAGTGAAATCCATGTTCCCTAAGCTTGTGAGGTAGAATGACGATGACCGAAATGTTATGTCTTTGGTTTTGTAAGTTGATGGGCTTATTTTCAGAATCTTTCTTTCAACTCAGCCTTAGTTAATCTCATGTTTCCACCTGTTTATGCTACTTCCGTACCCCATATACCCACTCGGGAGGCTTCCCGATCTCGCCGCATCTGGGAGAGCGGCAGCTGCACCTTTTCCCTGGTAAAACGTCTTACTTTACTCGCACACTGCATGAAACAGCCAGAAACCAAGGGTGCAAATAGGTCATCTCCTTATCCTGGGAAGATAAAAACAGGGTTGACTACCTTCCCTCTTCTCTACTGAGACAGTATTTCCTCCCTTCTAATTAAGGATTTTTAGAGGGGGTGTGCGTGCATGTTCATGTGTATTTCGATTGGGTTTGCAAACTTAAGAGAAAGGTCATTAGTGAAAGTTTGCACATCATTTGCTTGTGCTGAGGCACGTGTGCAAGAAGGACTCGGCGTATGTACTGCAGATATTCTAATTGTATGAAAATTCATTGTGCTTTCATTTCTTATGAACGTAATGGAATCTTGGAACATTAGTTCAACTCCATCTTTTACTTGGAAGTGCTCGGGGAGACAGAAACTTTCAGCTTAGGAAGTGGTGTAATTTTAGGTCCTAGCTTCTTTACAAAACAAAACAAAACCAGTGGATCTAATTTTGCAGACTAGACATTAGTGAATATAGCTCATTGTAATGGTGAGTGGCATTTACATTGGAGAGAGACAGCGGTAAAACCTGTTACCTGAGGAAACAGCCTCTCCTTAATCTTTGCTCTTTGCAAGCATGCTGAAATCAGTGTTTCCTAATACTGGGACAATCCTTTCACCTCAAAGTGTTCCTATGTAATTGTGTTACATAATGGGAAATTGTAATAGGCAATTTGGTTCTGTAATTTAGTTTGCAAAGCATGCAAACATAAGATAACTAGGTTAAATGCAAATTGGCATTACACTAAGGTACCGAGATAGGAAAAAAAATATGCTGTGTCTATAACTTAGAAACAACATGAATTTTATTCCCCATGCGCCTCAAAATGTAGAGTTTATTAAAGTTATTTATCCTCTAGTTTAATTTCATCACATACTGTGCATACAGATACATTATCTGAGTATGAACCCACGTGTATTCTTACTGCATATATTTACAGATCTCTCATTTGTCATAAGCAGGCTGTAAGTGTAGCGTGTTACTTAGGAGTGAGTTGGATGTACTTATTTTTATCATATACAGTGTTTTCATAAATTGACCATTATATATAAGACACTACATCAAAATGTGCTTTGAATCTTTCAAAGCCTGTTATTGTTTGTAACTTTTGCAGGAGGGCTATTAGTTCATTATTTAGAGGTCAATTTTTCTGTTTTTAATGTATTCTCTTAAACAGTGATTGGTATGTACACCACAGTCAGGTATGTACAATTTAATTAAACAACCACTACTGGCCTTAATGATTTTAATAGTTTGAGGTGGTTTTTGTTTGTTTGTTTTCATTTTTGATACAGCTTTTTTTTCTAGTACAGTGCATCATGGGCCTGTGTATGATTCAGTGAGATTTCTAAATCTTAAGATTTCAACACAATGTAGTACTTTCTGTTCATGCTGTAAAAAGTATTTCTGTATTTTAAATAAAGAATAAAATTTATGTGAGCCTGTATATATTTTATCTGATCAACTTTTCTATGTTGATTACTATTTCATTAGGACTGGTTCCCACAGGTAGAGAGCAAGGATAAGCCTTTTCAAGGTGGTCCTTAGACTACTGAAGCCACAAGGGCTGATTCACTGCTGCCTGGAAGGCCCCTGTCACCTGGAGACCTGCTGCACTTCAGGGCAGCCAGCTCAGCTCCCACACTGGCTCAGGAGAGACTTTTTTTTTTTTTTTTTTTTTTTTTGAGACAGGGACTCACTCTGTCGCCCCGGCTGGAGTGCAGTGGTGCAAACACAGCTCCCTGTGGCTTCAACCTCCTGGGCTCAAGGAATCCTTGTGCCTCAGCCTCCCAAGTAGCTAGGACTATAGGTGCACACCACCACGCCTGGCTAAGCTGTGTATTTTTTGTAGAGACAAGGTTTCGCCATGTTGCCCAAGCTGGTCTTGAACTCCTGGTTTCCAGCAATCTGCCCTCCTCAGCTTCCCAGAGTGCTGGGATTACAGGTGCGAGACACTGCACTCGGCCTGGAGAGACTTATTACAGGAGGCCAGGGTTCTCTAAGAAGCTTACTCTGTCCCCCTGACCTTCCTATGACCACAAAGGGGCGGTCTGGTGCAGGGAAGAAATGTGAGATTTGATCAGAGTCCCCAGAGGAGTGTCCACCCAGGGTCATCTTGGGCCAGTCTCTCCTCTAGGGTCTCTGATATGGTTTAGAACTGTGTCCCCACTAAATCTTATGTTGAAATGTAATCCCCAGTGTAGGAGGTAGGCTCTGGTGGGAAGTGTTTGGGTCATGGGGGTGGATCCTTCATGAATGGATTAGCACCATCCCCTTAGCTATGAGTGAGTTCACACAAGATCTGATTGCTTAAAAGTGTGTGGCACCTCCCACCCTCTCTTGCTCCTGCTCCTGCCGTGTGATGTGCAAGCTCCCTCTTTATCTTCTGCCAAGAGTAGAAGCTCCCTGAGGCCTCCCCAGAAGCTGAGCAGATGTCAGCGCCATGCTTCTTGTACAGCCTGCAGAACAGTGAGCAAATTAGACCTGTTTTCTTCATAAATGACCCAGTCTTGGGTATTTCTTTATACCAATGCAAGAATGGTTAACACAGTCTCCTTCTTGGTCAGTAATCAGAGACAAAAGGGCCTCCCTTCTCTGTTAGTGAGAGGATTAAAATAAATTACAGTGCTTGTCAAAGGCCCTCAGACAGTGTCTGCAGAATCTGGAGTCCTACTGCAGGGGAGTCTACTCCTGTCGGTTGGTTGTGGCTCTAGTTTGAGGATCATGATTCCTTCTGGATTTTGATCCAACCCCAACCCTGACCTGCCAATTTCCTACCCAGAGGCCTCTACCCTGTCCTAATGCTTAGCAATGATCATTGGCAAAGGCAACGTGGTTCTCAATGAAAGCAATTCAGGGGGTTAAAGGAGGTAATCCTCCCATATCAGTGTCCTCTATGGCTGGGTGAGGCCAGCAAGGAAGGCCAGACTTAGGGAGTGTTGGGGTGCAGGCCTCCAAAGCCTTCTCTCATCATCTGCCCTTGGTTTGCTTACAACTTAACAGACTAAAAATTTTAATCTTGCTACTTGCCCCGCCTTGAACAAAACGATTTCCAAGCTCATATCCATCCTCTCTCCCCCAGCACGGGTCCACACTGAATGACCTCTCTCATACATCCAAGAAGTCTAAGTCTCTGAGCCAACACAAGAAAATACACCTACAAGTGCCCTCTCTCACCCAGATTTAAGGGTGCCTTCTCTGAGACTGCTCTCCTCCAATATTTAGACACAAGCTCTCAAAACCCAGCTTCTTTTACTAGTTTTTTCTCATTATAGTTGTACAAACAATAGTATCCTACCTATAAATGATCCAGGCAAGGAAGAAATCCTGACATAAATGTTATTTTTTCTGTCAAATCTGAACACCGATTTGGCCACCTGAACACCTGAACACTTTCAGGCCTAGAAAAGAAGGAGAGAAGCGGCTGGGCACGGTGGTTCACGCCTGTGATCCCAGCACTTTGGGAGGCCAAGGCGGGTGGATCATGAGGTCAAGAGATCGAGACCATCCTGGCCAGCATGGTGAAACCCTGTCTTCTACTAAGGATACAAAAATTACCTGGGTGCGGTGGCAGACACCTGTAGTCCCAGCTACTCGGGAGGCTGAGGCAGGAGAATTGCTTGAACCCAGGAGGCATAGGTTGCAGTGAGCTGAGATCGTGCCACTGCACTCCAGCCTGTGGGACAGAGTAAGACTCCATCTCAAAAAAAAAAAAAAAAAGAAAAAAAGAAAAGAAGGAGGGAAGCATCTTGCCTTGGGAAAACAGTCGTGCCGTGTGGATGGTTAGACATCATGAAGAGACGGGATCAGCATGAGGCTCAAAGCTGATGTACAGGTGTGTGCACATGGGAATGTGCCTATGCACGCGCACTGCCCCCCTCACTCCCTGTTTCTCACAAGCCAGAAGACAGACTGGACCGGAAGCCACAAGCCCAGATTTAATCCTGGCTTTCCCACTGACAAGATGAGGGCTTTGGGCAAGTCAGTTCACCTTTCCAGACCCCAGGGAGTTGGACTAGACAAGGTCCATGTTCCGCAGCCCCACCCTGGCCTGCTCTGATAGCCCCTGGGTCTATGACTTAGCTGCAGAACAGGCCGTTTATGACTAGACTCATGACCTTGAGAGTCCTGAGCTGGTGGGACTCACTGGGGCTCTGTGGGGAAGAGAGGAATTACAGGAGATATATAGCTAAGACCAAGATGATCTACCTCAGGGGTCTCTCTCCTGATTATCTAAGTAGTAAAGTATTTCTTAAGACCGGAATGGAGTTGATTTTCTTAGGCAAGTTACGGGAAAAGAAAATTTCCCACATACTATGTGAATCACTGTGAAAGAGATATTGCTCCATTCTAGAAATTTAAAGTGCCATCACATATGTTGAGCATGGCCGGATCCTGCCTTCTGATCTCTGACTAAGAACTTCCATTCATTCTAGTGCTCAATGAACTCACACAGTTTCCCATTACCCCTTTCATTAAAAAATCATTTTTTAAGTAGAATTGCTTTTCTCCTTGAACTCTTCACCAAGGTTGATTCGACATCCATCTAGGAGTGGCTCCTAACTTATTGTTAGCCTATTAGTGGAAGCAATAAAAAATACTGAAAGGTGAAGGTTATTTAAATGAGAAATATCTCTGTAAAATCCCCACAGGGTTGGTGGGATGGAGAAGTGGTTCTGACAGTAGCTCTGTTGCCGGTTTCAGACTATCAGGTTTGGCAACAATGTTTTGTTAGCAGCAGTTAATCAGCGAATCCCGTTACTTAATAAGGTTATCACTCTGAGCAAAAGCTGCAAATTACACGTTCTTTCTCTCCAGGCTGAAGACAACATCCTTAACATTTTACATTTATAAGTAATATCTCGTTAGCAGAAACAGGGTAAACAGAAGCACATGGAATATGTCTTTTGTGTGTAATTCAGGATGATATTTTTATTCAGAAATTTCAAAGTCATGTAAACCTGCCCCCCTGCCAAACTCCTCCATTATTTGGTGCTGGTTTGGACTGTGTATCCTAAAGAGGTAGGAAAACACACCTTTTTTCATCATCAGCTGCAGAAGACACCCTGTCATGGCCACCAAGAGTAAATTCACAGGCTTGTAAAAGCCTAACTCAAGTACTGCCAACCGCAGGTGGCTCTGCTCATCAGCCTTGTCCAGTGATTTAGTGATGGGGGGAGGGCCCTTCTCTGTTAACAAAACCATCTCCATTAACCCCTGTGACTCTCACTTGCCACTTCAGCACGGAATAGTCTATGAATTCTGTCTCCCCACTCTCTCACCCCTCCCTTTTCCACCCCTTGACTCATGCTTGAGTTTGAATTCCATAGCATCAGTGGCCAAATTTCTTCTGTGTGAGTTTATGCATATCCACATATCCCTTTCCCCGTGGGGCCCAGGAACCTCCGAGAAGTCTCAGGTTGTGCTGAACTCATTGGCGTCAGCCTTGACCTCCCAACCAAGATGGCACCATTGTCCCATGTGGCATAATGGTGAGAGTGTCTTGCAGCTGACAGGAAGTGCTGTGGGAGCTCCTTGCTGTCGGTGGAGGCGGGGAGGGGGGAGGGGCAAGGGAAGCTGCTCCCTTGGTGAAAAATACAGGAGAGGAGGTTCTTGGACAAAGGCCTCTGGGAACCAGGAGGGTATGCAAGGGAGGCTTTCTAGACGGCATCACCTCCAGAGGGGCGGGGCTGTGTGTGAGCACATCCCCTGCACTCGCAGCTGCGTGACCCTGCAGACCTGCTCTTCCATCTCCATCGTCTCTCCAGTTCAGCAGTTGTTGCCTTTATTTTTTCTTTTTGGCTCAGAAAGCTGCAGAGGGGAGGAACTTGAGGGTTTTGTCTTTTTTTTTTTCTGGCATGTTTTCTGTGTGCATGTACTGTCTCTACCTCATTCCAGTTGTTGATGACATTTTCCTTCCCGCCCTTTCTCTCCCCTCACCCCACCCCTCCCATGCATTCTCCAGTCCGTAGCATTTTTTAGAGCTGCATATAATTTCCCCAGGGAGAGACTCTGTGTTTTCTGGCTGACTTATTCTTTATATATTCCCAGTCAAACACTTTTCCCCTTTCGGTTGCACCTCTGCATCCTTCCTCCACTTGGCTCTTGAAGCGTTTTTTTCTTGGTGTTTTATTTCCTCCTCTTGCCTCCTCCACTCCCGCCCCCAGTGAGAACATCTCTGTGCATGTCTTACAGCCTTACGTTTTCCACCAAAAAACACATTTCCAAGGGGCCTTAGTGACTTGTGAAAATTCCTTCCAAACCTGTCTCCTGGAAACAGGATGGCAGATGAAAGATTTCTTCATTAAAATTAGACACTTTAAAGAGGCATCCAGTAAAAGCTCTGAAAATCCCAAGTGGGCCTTTGTCTGCATCGTGCTGGTGTAGAAGCTAGCGGGGAGGCCAGGGCTTCGGGGAAGGGCCGGGACAAAGGGCTCCGGGGTTCCATTAACCCATTTGATGACAAAGAATCTCTCCCGCGGGTGGGGAGCTTTGAGCCCGATGGGTTGTGCACTGGCTTTCTACCCCGTAGCTCACACTACCATTGCTGTTTGCAACAGCTCATGTTGAGGTGCCTGGAGGTCCTCATGACCTGCCCTTTTTGGAGAAAGAATATGATTTACGACTTGAAAAGCTGGTCAAGGCTCTGGACCTCATTCCAAGCTGTGATTTCTCATTTGGGCTTCTAATGTTTGATTATGCAGCTGGGCGGTGTCCTCTCTAAAAAGCAGCTTTTGTGACATTAGCTAGCTCCCCGCTAGGGGTTTTAACTGGACCAGCAGAGTGCAATCAGAGCTTGCAGGAAAATCCTGGGCAGGGCCTTAGGAAACTCAGGGCCTGGGAAAGTGGTTTTCCAACTCTGGCTGAAAGTATGAGAGAAGGAAGACCAAGGCCGCATCCTCCTGGGAGCCAGGCCAGGCACTGGGTGCTTCAGGCACAACATCTGACTGATTTCTCGATTACCCTGCACTGTGGGCACCTGACGGGGAAGGTGAGTGCATGAGGATGGCTCAGACATCCCCGAGGGGCTGGCAGGAGCTCCTGTGTGGAGGCCTGGGTGCCTCCATGAGGACAGAGGCTGGGCGTTGAGAGGACCCGATTCTCCTTAGTGTGGTTGATGAGAATCGTGGGAAGACCAACCCCATTTCCACTGGGTTTGGGTCCTCAAAGAAGAGGCCACCATGGCCCCTCCAACCTCAGACTGAGCAATTCCAGGCTCTGCTCCTCCTGACTCGCAGGTGACAGTCCTACCAGACGCTCTCAGGTGTTTCTGCGCTGTCACAGCTGAGAGCCACTGAATGAGAAAGCACACCTGGCCCGATGGCCTTCAAGAATTGCACCCAACAGAGGGAAAGACTGTTCTGAAACCACGTGAGACCTCAGCCTCCCACCCTCACCCATTTTTGGAGGTTTCTGCTGAGTAACTTCACAAACTGGGCCTCTGTTTCCTCATCTGTAAAACAAAGGCATTGAATGAGGCCTGGCTTTTGAAACTGTGTTCTGAGGGGCCCTGAGGGTTGCGGGGACAGACCAGCCCTCAGCCTCCTGCTCCCTCTCATCTAGAACTGCTCCACTTTGATCTACTTCATATGTTGGAGTGTATGATTGTGTTTGAAGAAAGGAATCCACTGTTGTAAAAATTGTCTTGGAAGCCAGTGGTTTCTGGGGGCCCTTTCAGATCTGTTGTTCTGTCCTCCCAATAATCTCATATCACCTGCAGGTGATGAATCATTATCATCATGGTCATCGTCATCATGATCATCACCGGCTAAACTTGTTTTATTATCCAGAGAGTACAGGCAAGATGAGTGTAGAATTACCTAGACACAGCCAGGTGCAGTGGCTCACTCCTGTAATCCCAGCACTTTGGGAGGCTGAGGTGGGCGGATCATGAGGTCAAGAGTTCGAGACCAGCCTGGCCAACATAGTGAAACCCCATCTCTACTAAAAATTAAAAAATTAGCTGGGCGTGATGGCAGGTGCCTGTAGTCCCAGCTACTTGGGAGGCTGTGGCAGGAGAATCGCTTGAATCCGTGAGGTGGAGGTTGCAGTGAGCCGAGACCGCACCACTGCACTCCAGCCTGGGTGACAAAGTGAGACTCCATCTCAAAAAAAAAAACAAAAAAAGAATTATCTGGACACTCCTGCCCTTGTTTCAAACTGGCAGGGCACAGAATAAATATATTATCATTTCCTCTTATTCCCCAGCAAGAGGAAGAACTTTCAAGCTCTGTGCAAAACCCCAAAAAATCTGTTTCTTATTGATCACCTCCACAAAAGGTCTTAAGACTCCCTGAGATGGGTGGGCTATTAGTAGCCCAGACTTGGCCAATTTTACCTTTCACTTTCACTGTTATCCATAGAAAGTAAATTGATTTTACAGGGCAGCCCTCAGAGCCCACAAAGAACTGACTTGTCCCTGAACAATTAAAAAGTATGGGCAGGGCTCAGTGGCTCACGGCTGTAATCCCAGCACTTTGGGAGGCCAAGGCGGGCGGATCACGAGGTCAGGAGATCGAGACCATCCTGGCTAACACGGTGAAACCCTGTCTCTACTAAAAATACAAAAAATTAGCCAGGCGTGGTGGCAGGCACCTGTAGTCCCAGCTACTAGGGAGGCTGAGGCAGGAGAATGGCGTGAACCCAGGAGGCGGAGCTTGCAGTGAGCTGAGATTGCGCCACTGCACTCCAGCCTGGGTGATAGAGCGAGCCTCCGTCTCAAAAAAAAAGTATGGAGGGCAGCCAAAGTAGAAGGAAAATAATGGTGAATGATGGCATTCGTATTCCAGAAAATTGAATATATTTATAAGAGTGAGGAGGTTCCAAATGGTCACTAAAAAGCTGATCACTTTCATTAAGAAACAAGCCCTACCAAGAGAATCCTGAGAGAAGGAACTTTGTAGCCAGGGAGACCAGTGTTCAGACTCTATTTTCTCTTCCAAGCCCCATGACTTTGGGCAAGCGACATCCTCTCTAAGCCTTAGCTTGTTCATCTGAAACATGAACATAATAATCAGTAGTAGCTTTTATAAGTGAGAATGGAAGAAGATAATAGACATAAGCCCCCAACCGTTTCTTCCTTTCTCCAACTCCCAGTGTCACAGAGGACTCACCAGTTCCAGGAGTCTGGGCCAGTGAGACAAACAGAATGCTCTCTATCCTGTGATTAGAGACTAGATAAGTTCCCAGGAAAGGTGAAAGAAGTCACCAGGAAAGGGCTAGGCAGGGTGATATGGTTTGGCTGTGTCCCTACCCAAATCTCATCTTGAATTGTAGCTCCCACAATTCCCATGTGTTGTGGGAGGGACCCAGTTGTAGGTAATTGAATCATGGGGGTGGGTCTTTCCCATGGTGTTCTCATGATAGTGAATAAGTCTCACGAGATCTGATGGCTTTATAAAGAAGAGTTCCCCTGCACAAGCTCTGTCTTTTTGCCTGCCACCATCCATGTAAGACATGACTTGCTCCTCCTTGCCTTCCATCATGATTGTGAGGCCTCCCCAGCCATGTGGAACTGTGAGTCCATTAAACCTCTTTCCTTTATAAATTTTCCTGTCTCGGGTATGTCTTTATCAGCAGTGTGAAAACAAATTCACACACAAGGCTTCCCTTTCTGGATCAAGATTCAGGCCAGCTTTCCCTTCTGAACTGGTCCTCACTTGGTTACTCAGTTAACCTGCTGCCCAGATTCACACATCTAAGAGGAAGTAGAGTAGGCTAGGCCACCCTCCAGCCTACTGCACATGGGACTGGATAGGACAAGGAGAGGAAAGAAAGACAAGATGTCTTTCATTGAGACTACCTTACTCCTGTAGTGAGGTGTATGGGGTGCACAGCTTAGAGTTGAGCCCAGTCTTAAGAAATTGGAGTCACTGGGACAAAGATAATATTTTAGTAGCTCTTATAACTTTTCTTTTATAATCCTCTTGCTATGATCTGCCTCATCCACAGGATCCTGCAGTAGTCAGTTCCCAGTAATGAATGCAGCAGGAAGGCCAAACATGGGGATTTGGGAGCCAGACTACAAGAATTTGATGCCTGACCCTGTCATTTCCTAGCTGCGAGTCTTTGGACAAGTTATTCCACATCTTTGCATCCTCATTTGTAGAACAGGGGTGCTAGTAGTAGGCCTATCTCATAGGATTGTTCTAAGCATTTAATGAGTTCATGCATGTCTAATATCTGTCATAGCATAATCACTTGTATTAGTCATGATAAGTAAAGCAAGCTACCATAACAAACAACCCAAAATATCAGCAGCTTAACATAATACTTGTGTTTCATTTATACCAAAGCCCAATGTGGGTCCAAGTGTTCTCCTTGAAGAAGATACCATGGCAGTTGCCATGGGAGGAAAAGAGAGAAAAGAAGGATTGCTCAGAGGGAACTATACCAAGCCTGCAAACTGCATACATCACTCTACCTGCATTGACCTGAACCCAATCTAATTACAAGGGAAGCTGAAAAATATAATTGTCTTCCTGGGTATGCAGGCAGAAAAAAAAACGGGATTGGTGAGCATCTAGTCATCTCTACCACTGTACATATGAAGTTTAGCTGATAATAGTGCTGTTATGGTTATTATCTATAGGAATGAGCATGGAGGGTGGGGTAAATTAATGCACAGGCAAACCTAAACTTCAGAGGAGGAAACTCAAGGTTAAGCAAAGGATACATTCTCCATCTTCACTTCCTTCACCTTTTGCCTGACCAGCCCTCTTGGGAGCAGGTGGGCCGACTGCTTTGAACCTCACCTCCGCTGGACACTCCTACTTACCTTCTGGCAGAGGAGCTCCTGGCTATCAAGCAATCTAAAAGGCAGTTGGCAGAGTGACCAGAGAGAAACCTGGAGACTAGATTATTTAAACGAGTCGATCACTTCCCAAATCAGTGACCATTAGCTTCACTGATGACCTGCATAATGTTCAGCTCTGCAACTGGTGATCACAGATGGGGAAGGGGGTCAAACCTAGGGAGTTACATGGATCCTGATGACAGTCAGATGGTTAGAAGTCCCTTTGCCATTCTTTTTCCAACTTGATGCCAATGCTGGTTTCCCAAAACACCTCCAGCATGTATGCATGCCTTAGGTATCTGCAGAAAACCTATCCAGAAGACAAAAATGTGATCAGGCCTCTGCTTTAGTCAAGAATGGACTCTCACAGGCCCACTCCTCTGTCTAGGTGGACCTCTTTTACTTCTTTGAGAGACTCAGGATATAAGCCTCTGAAAAGCTACTGAGACCCCAAGAACAAAAATGGACAGAGATTTTATTTTGGCCACCTGAAGAAAGCCATGGATAAAACACCTTCTCAGCAGGCAGATATACCTGTATATGCCATGTGCAGTAGCAGTGGACTTGCCCACCTTTTACTGCAGACTACCATTGTATCTAAATTTCAAGCAAACTATTAGGCTCAACATCCTTGTTAGAATATCGAATCCTAAGGCACAGATGTGGGACCCATGTCAATGAAGTCTTTTATAGCCAACCTTATGGTCCACCTTCCTCTGTCCATCCTCCCAAAATCCACTTTCACATGTGCTTCTGTTGTTTCTGCCAACAGACTAACCAGGTCTTGCAATGCCTTGGCATGCAGCACTTCCATCCTGAGGCAGGGACTATAGTTCCTCATTTGGCTATGCTGAGAACTGACCCTAGCTAATGGCCTAGAGGCAACGGCGATTGGGAGTGTGGGTGAGGCAGATCTTGAAGAGTACATACACCATCTTGTGAGGCTTCAGAGGAAGTCTTTACATCATCTCCAAGCAAAGGGAAGCTGTTTTCCTGTATTAAATAAGAGAGGCCTGCTTCTGCTGGCTTGGAGAATTATGGAGGATTGGTGGCTAGAGATTCTTAGGCATTTCCAACATACTGTCCCTATCCCTAGTCTCAGGGTACCACTCTTTCACCTTTAGAACTGTGAATTTGACATAGGAGACCCAACCATGCAAATTCAGTATGCTTTGCAGCTCTGCTACTATTATTATCAGATCCTGGGCCTGATTTTCAGCAGTTTGTTCTACAGATGCAGAAGTTAGGGGCTCCCATAGAGGCTCTCTGGCTTTCCCAGAATGCTGTAAGTTAGCAATAAGCTGTTTTGAATTTTTTTGTCAAGTATTCCAATGTCATCAAAAGCAGCTTGTACCTACTACAATCCTTATAATTAGGATCACCACATTCCACCAGTCAAGAGCCATAGTCAATACATAGTCCAGTGGTCCCCAAATTTGCTGCATATAAGAATCACCTGGAGATTTTTTAAAAAGTACTTACTGTCACCTGGCCTTCACCCATAGACACTTTGATTTAATTAGTTTGGGATGAAACCTAGGCAAGGGGATTTTTTTTAAAGCTCTCCCCATGATTTTAATGTACAGCAATTTAGAAACTATTGGCATCTCCGAATGCCTCATCTTCTACTTGTACTTCATCACAATTAACTACAGGCAAAAGCCTGGTGATAGTGATGCCAACGCACATCAGGGGTTGTTACCAGTCCACTTGCCACCAGCAATGGGGGCCCTCCACCTTTAGACTAGTGGGCAATTCAACTCCAAATCCCATCTTGAAGGTCTGCTTTCTAAGGCCACTCTTAAAACTATCTTTTTCCAGGTTCCCTAGAAAACAGAGACTGAGCAAATCCTATATGCTAAGGCTTTTGGGGGGAATGAAATTCTAGGAAAGCAGAAGTGAAGAAAAAAGATAAACAGAGAAAGAGAGTTAGCAAATATAAAGTGCATTACTGGTTGGGTGTGGTGGCTCACATCTGCAATCCCAGCACTTTGGGAGGCTGAGGCGGGCAGATCACTTGAGGCCAGGAGTTTGAGACCAGCCCGGCCAACATGGAGAAACCCCGTTTCTACTAAAAATACAAAAATTAGCTGGGTGTGGTGGCACACGCCTGTAATCCCAGCTACTTGGGAGGCTGAGGCATGAGAATCACTTGAACCCAGGAGGCAGAGGTTGCAGTGAGTCAAGATTGTACCACTGCACTCCAGCCTAGGAGACAGAGCGAGACCCTGTCTCAAAAAAAATAAATAAAGTGCATTACCAAGCTGGCCACAGCTTAATGAGAAACTGATTCAGTCCTGCAGGATGTCTTCAGAGAGACCATATGGGACTACCCACTCTCAAATAGTACCTCTCAGGAGAGGCAGACAGAAGGATTTTCCTCTAATTCCCATCTCCAACTGGTCATAGTTTGCTAGTTGCCATTCCTGGATTTGTGTGTGTATGAATACCAGATGGATCCCATAGTATCTTGAATCTCCATAGTAAAAGGAAAGTCCCATGCCAGCAAATGAGAGGCAAGAGATCTATGGCACAGGAATTGAGGAGAGGCATTGCATCAGTTGTCTATTGCTGTGGAACAAACCACTCCCAAAACTCAACGGCTGAAAACAACAACCATTTTATTTGCTTATAATACTACAGGCGAGCAATATGGACTGGGCTCAGCTTAGTGGTTCTTCTGTTGATCTTTCCAGGGGTTACCTACATGGCTGCAGTCATCTAGTGGCTTACTTGGGGTTGAATGGTCCAAGATGGCCACAGTGACATGTTGGGCACTTGGTGCTTCCTGATGGCACCATCTCATCATAGGGTCATCCTTCATGGTTGCTTCTCTTCATATGATGATTCACCCTCTTGGAGGCTTTCTAACATGGCAGCATTGCATTCCAAGATGAGGAGACAAGAGGCTGCAAGATGTCTTGAAGCTGAGACTCAGAAGTCACACAAGGTCATTTCCACACATTCTGTTGGTCAAAGAAGTTACAAGGCCAGCCCAGATTCAAGGAGAAGGGAAATACACATCTTGATGGGAGTAGAGTAGGCATACTGTAATGCGGCATGCACATGGCAATGAAAGGGGTCATTGCAGCCACCTTTACAAATATTCTACCATGAGCACTGTGACTTTATGCTTACAAGCAGGCTGCTGTTTCATGGCAACAGTGGAGGCAGCAGTGGCCAACTGGCCCCAAAACAATAGCACAAGTGGTGGTGAGAGCTGCTCCAGCCAAAAACCAAGGAGAATGTGTAGATCTTGTGGCCATAACCTGAATTCATTGCAGAGTATAACAAATGTTTTAGAAAACAATGTGGCAATATTTAATAAAAAGTCGAAGATGCGCCTGTACTCCCACCTCAAAATTCCGCCTCCAGAAATTCTCACAGGTGTTCACAAGGTGAGGACAAATATGTCCATGGTAACATTGTTCGAAATAGCAAAACATAGAACAACCTAAAAGTCTATTCACAAAGGAATGGATAAATGAACTCTGATATATTCATTCAATGGTAGTATACAGTAACTAAATGATAATAGATGTATCGCATGCATAAATGTCAGAGATATAAAGGTGAGTACAAAAAAGAAAGTTTTAGAAGAAGACACACATATTAATATAATTTGTTTAAAAATTTTTTAAAGGCAAAAAATGATACGTTGTATTGTTTAAGTATGCATACATACATAGAAAAATATAAAAACATGTATGAGAGAGACTAGGAGCTTGACACCAGCTGGGGTGACAGAGCAAGACCCTGTCTCTACAAAAAACTTTTAAAAAATTAGCTGGATGTGGTGGCGCATACCTGTGGTCCTAGCTCCTCGAGAGGATGAGGCAAGAGGATCGCTTGAGCCTAGGAGTTCAAGGCTGCAGTGAGCCATGATTGCACGACTGCGCTCCAACCTGGAAAACGGAGTAAGACCCTGTCTCTAAAAACAACAACAACAAAACCACATGTAAAAAAGTGTGATGGTTAATTTTATATGTCAACCTGACTGGGCCATGGGGTGCCCAGATTAATCATGATTTCTGGGTATGTCTGTGCCAGTGTTTCCAGATGAGATCAGCACTTGAATCAGATGGTCCTCCCCAGTGTGAGTGGGCACCACCCAATCCATTAAGGGCCTGAATAGAACAAAGAGTAGAGGAAGAAGGGCTTTACTCCTTTTTTTCTGCACCTCTGCAAATATATATATGTCCTATCAGTTCTTTTTCTCTGGAGAACCATAATACAGAAAGATACTCCCAACTTCAGGATTATGGTTAACGCCAGGAAAGAAAAATGGGATCAGGGAAGAGTATGGGGTGGGCGTGAGGGATCAAACAATCTGCAGTATTGTGTTTTTTAAAACAAAAAGTCATCCAAAGTAAACAGAGTAAATGCTAAATTTTGTTATATGTGGGCTTTGGGTCCACGGCTTTTTATCACATTATTTTCTATAATTATATTTTAAAATGTCATAATAAATAAAAAACAAATATCCTTAAAGGCATCAAAAGACCCTAATTCTGGTCTGGAGTCAGCTTCTAATCTTGCCGTTTGATAGAAATATATATGGGAGAAATACACCAAAATATAAATAGTGCTTATCTCTGAGTGATAGAATTTTAAATGATCTTTGCTTTCTTAATTTTTATTGAATTTTAAAAGAATTGCTTGTACTTTTTTTATCAGAAAAATTAAGATATTTCTTTAAAACTTTGTTCTTTAAGGCTGAGTGCAGTGGCTCACGCCTTTAATCCCAGCCTTTGGGAGGCCAAGGTGGGTAGATCACCTGAGGTCAGGAGTTCAAGACCAGCCTGGCCAATACGGTGAAACCCTGTCTCTACTAAAAATAGGAAAATTAGCTAAGAGTGGTGGTGCACACCTATAATCCCAGCTACTTGGGAGGCTGAAGCAGGAGAGTCGCTTGAACCCAGGAGGCAGAGGTTGCAGTGAGCCGAGATCACGCCATTGCACTCCAGCCTGGGCGATGGAGACAGACTCCCTCTCAACAAAAACAAAAACAAAGAAAACCTTTGTTCTTTGGCCTTAGAGAAATCACGCAACTTTTCTGCTAACCTTGTGCAGAAATGGTCTTTAAAGCTATTACGCATCACAAGAAAAAATAAATTGAAATCATCATTTTGTTCACTGGACATATGCCCCAGCCTTTGTTAGATCACATCATTCTCCTGCACAGAGCATGTACGCTTGGACGTTAAATCCAGCTGTCCTCCAGCGTGACTGCCCTTCTGGTGGGAAGAAGGACAGGGACATCATGTGCAAACAAGGCTCTCTCTTACTGAAAAGTAGACCTCCCTTCCCTATTCCCTTATTAAATAACTCTCAGCTACAATGGCTTATTTTGACGGAGAACCCCCTTTAAGATATTATCCTTTTCTAAGCTCACCAGGCAATAAATAAAAGGACACCAACGTCTACATACCCCCTCCCATGTGTGCTGATTTTACAGTGTCACTTTCCATCAGTTGAGGTGTTCATCACTATCATAGTACAGAACCTTGAGGTTTCTTTATACTAACTGGGCTGGGGTCTCTTTTAAGGGGTCCCACCTGCTTCCTGCCCACCAGTGAATGAGGATAGCTGGTTTGAGCCATCACTACCAACAGCCACAGCTGTGTCACGCTGTAGGTGAGATTAGTAAACTGAGAACACAGAGGCAGCACAAACTCCCTCAGTCCTGACCTGATTCAGCAGATACAAATCTGTCAGGTGGCCCAACTCGAAGTAGCTTAAGCAAAAAAGGGGAGTTATTTATAGCTTATCTAATTGGAATGAATAGCGTGGATCTGGAGACTCAAAGTATACCTGCAGTTTGCATCTCCGCTTCTCTCTTTGTGTTGATCTCATTCTGCCTTTCCTCAAATAACTCCCTCCAGAGGGTAGGACCAAAGAAAGGAAAACTGGCAGTAGGCAGTTCCAGACTTACCTTGCTCCAGCTCAGGATCTGCAAGGAAAGAAAGGGAGCGCATTCACCGTCTTGAAAGAACTCTGATTGGACCAACTTGAGCCTCCTGTCCACCATGAGGACCAGTCATTAAAGCCAAGGAATAATTGGCCAAGCCTGGGCCATGTGCCCATTTTTGTAGCTGAGGGATGGGGCAGGGTACAGGGAAGGAGGCCTCATCAGAATCTAGGACACAGGCATGGAGGAGCAATTCTCTAAAGGAATAAAGTGTGCTGTCATCTAAGGAGAGAAGAAAGGAAGGCTGGGCAAACAAAAACAAAAGTCCACCCAGTGCACATACGACAGGAGCTCTATTCTGCCACAAGTCTGTTAGGAAAACAGTATAGAAGCAGCTCCAGTGAAGTTTGTCTTCTCCTCCTGCCCCATTCTAAGGATGTGTGTGGATTGCATGTGAGGTGAGGGGAGGGCCTCTAGAGTAAGATGACAGAGCTACTTCCAGCTGTATGGTAGGCGGAGCGGGGGTGGGAGTTCATCTGGAACTAGCCAAAACTCCTCCTCCTCTCCAGCTCTGTCACCCCTCCCTCTCCTTGTTTCTCTGTTCTTTTACTCATCTCCTTTCTTTCTAAAGGCAATGACCTTCATGCTTATAACCTTGCGTAGTGATAATTAAAAGATATCCTGGCTTCTGAAGAGCAAGCCCTTGAATTTCAGGGGCAGAAAAACAGTGAGTGACAGGAAAATAATAAGCTAATCTCTTATGAACATATACACAAAAATCCTAAACAAATCACTAGCAAACAGAATTCAGCAATGTATTTGATTGCCAATTTTTGATGTACAAAAAGACAGCAAATTCATGTACTTCAATCTAATAAAAAAGAGTTCTATGACCGAGTTGGATTTGACCCAGGGATACAAATAATTTAACATTTCATATTGTCATTTTGACATGTTATATTATCATCTCAATAGACGACTGACTAAAATATATGATTTAATAATTCAAGGTTAATTTTTTAAAACAAAATAGCAATAGAAGGAAACCTCCTTAACCTGGTAAGGATAGCTAACAAAAATCTTCATCAAACTTAATGACAGAACCTTAAAACTACTGTCTTTATAAGTAAGCAGATGGTAGATGGTGGAAGCTAGGTTTCTTCCTGTTAGAGAGGAAAATTACAGTTAATAAAGGAGGAAGTCTAGAATGAACCATGTTGTACTGGATTACAATCGGAGACATTGTAATCCAGTTGAGCTCATGTTGAGATTAATAAAGATGCAAATGGCTAGATTCAGACATAATTATAGGTATGTGCATACATGAGCTAGTATATATACATATATTCTTAGTTCTGTCTGCTGAGAAGACTAGAAACAGTGATATCCCAGTTGTAAGGAGCACACAAATCACCGAGATCTTGGTTTCCAAATTCCATTCTCCAATAAAAGGAACCAGAGCTCCTTGGAGAAATGGCTGATTCTAGGTCTAGGGCAGGGAAAATATAAAATGAGTGCGGATCTTGTTATATAGCCAGAAAGTAAGAAGATGCCAAAAAATAAAAGTATAGGGGCATGTCAAAGGGACACCAGAGCCAACCTGAAAGAGCTCCAATGCCCAAACTGGAAGAATTTGAGCAAGAAAATAAATAACATACTATAAGCCAGAGTATAAGAAAATACATGAGTCCATACTGATATAAATAACTGATTGAATAAGCAAATGGACAGATAAATAGGAAAGACAAGTCTTTCTTACAGAAGGATTCCAGATAATACAGCATATGAACATACTCCATCCTCTAGGAGGTGAAACTTAATCCTCACCGATATGGTTTGGCCGTGTCCCCACCCAAATCTCATTTTGAATTGAAGTTTCCATAATCCCCAAGTGTAGCGGGAGGGATGCAGTGGAGGTAATTGAATCATGGGAGTGATTACCCCCATGCTGTTCTTGTGAGAGTAAGTGAGTTCTCACGAGATCTGATGGTTTTATAAGGGGCTTTTCCCCCTTTGCTCAGCACTCACTCCATCCTGCCACCCTGTGAAAAGGTGCCTTCTGCCATGTGATTGTAAGTTTCCTGAGGCCTCCCCAGTCATGCAGAACTGCAAGTCCATTAAACCTCTTTTCTTTATAAATTACCCAGTCTTGGGTATTTCTTCGTAGCAGCGTGAGAACAGACTAATACAATCCCTCTCCCCTTTCCCCCTTCTCCCACTTAAGGATGGGTTGCAATTGTGAATGGAAAGGGCATAGGGGAGGTAACTTTCCTATGGAAAACTCTGGCAAACATTGCCTTAGTCGGGTGACTAAGGCTAACTTCACCAGTGATGCTTCATGTTGACAGCATGTACTCTTGGATACAACATGATAAGAAGGACACTGCTCTGATATTATTCCCAAAAAACCATAAACACATTCTATTCATGAGAAAAACATCAGGCAAACTCAAAATTGAGAAACATTCCATAAAATACCTAACCAATATGCCTCAAAAGTGTCAAGGTCATGAAAAAGAAAGAAGGAAAAACTGTCATAGACCAGGGGAGACTAAGAAGATATGATGACTAAACAGAATGGGATATCCTAGATGGGATCCTGGGGCAGAAAAGGAACATTAGCGGAAGAACTAGTGAAATCTGAATAAACTCTAGAGTTTAGTGAATATTGATACATCAGTTTTGGTTTCTTAGTTTTGACATGGGTACCATGTTCTATAATTGTTAACAATGGAGGACACTGGGTGAGGGGTCTATGGCAACTCTATGTACTATCTTTGCAAGTTCTTAAAATAAATTTAAAATTATTTAAAAATAAAACATTTATGCCAAAAAATTTCCCTTGAAGTCAGGACAAGTAGGATGACCTCAAGATGCTAACTGACAGTGTAACAAAACAAAAAGAAACAAAATATATCAGGATTAAAAAGGAAAAGCTGAAATGTGCATTATTCAATATCATTGTTTACACAGAAAATCCAAAACAATAAACAAACCATTAGAACTGATAAGGCTTCAGTCAATTTCTATCAACACACACACACACACACACACACACACACACACAAATATTTACCTACATAACAGCAACAATAACAAAATGTATTTTTAAAGATTCCATTACAATAGCATGAAAAAGCTTATAATTTATCTAGAAATTAATTGAACATAAGATGCCCAAAGCCTTTACACAGAAACTTAAAAGGTTTCTTTGAAACACACAAAAAAGAAATCGAATAAACGGAAAGATACACCATGTTCATGGATGGAAAAACTTTATATCACAAAGATGACACTTTTCCACAAATTAATATAAACAGTAAAATTACAATCAAAATCCCATCAGAGTTTTTCATAATATACTTTCCAGGTAGTTTATTTCCACCAAGAAACAGGCCACATGAAAAGCTCCACAGAGCAATGACCAGTAGCAGCAGCCTCATCTCTTCTTTGCCAACATCCCAGCATGATGGGGCCTGTGCCTTAGTCCCCACTCACTCCAAAGGTGATGAGTGGGATGAATTTCAAAGCCAGGTGAGTTCTATTTTTTTTTTTTTTTAAAGCAGAGCAATGGAGAAAATTGGTTCCTGCTACTTCTATTGCTCAGGGACCAAAGCCTCTTCCTCTCTGGGATCTGTCCAGCCAGGACATAATAAATAACCCCACCAGTGGAAAAAACACTTTCATTTGATTCCATGAGTTTATAAATCAGTATGTTACTCAGTTATCCCCTGACTTCATCTAATATTTTTCTCCATCACTCCAGGGGGGATAGTGTCCGGCAGGAAAAACTTACATTCTGAAATGTGTGTTTCATCTTCTTCCAGTATGGAAAAGCGGGCTCAGTGAAGAGGGAAGAGCGAGCATCCACTGCCAGCTTTCCAGTTGGACACGAGCCATGCAAAGGCATCCAGGAAGAATCTAGTTGGAAGATGACTCTATCAGGCTGGATCGGAACTTGATGGCTGGCAGCTCACACGGAGACTGCACATGACCCGCTCGGAAGAGTCAGCCATCCGTTTGTGCTTCAGTGTCTGTTCCTCTAGTCAGAAGGAAGCTCTAGGACACAGCTTGGGCCAAAAGATAAGCCCCAACAATCGCACCCACGTGTGTATAGTACCTCATAGTTTGCAAATTACCTGATCTCATTTGACCCACATAAGAAGCCTGTGGATATCGTCGTTTGAAAGATGGGAAACATGCTATTTTACAGATGGGGATGCAAACCCAGACTTCAAATTCACACCTAGCGCGCAGGCAAGCCAGAACTCATATCCAATTTTTTAAAAAGGAGTGTCCTGAACTACTCCGTCTTCATACACCTCCTACATCATTGCTTTGTGTGGTGTTATCCCCAAATCTCCACCTGCATCCAGCTCTTCAAGCTGCAGTTCAGGCTTGGTTGAGGTGTCCGGCGGCGGCAATTTTACCCAACTGAAAGCAGAGAGAGGCATGTGGCTGGTCCGCAGGCAAGGCAGAGAGGGGTCTTTTGGTATCGTAATCATCAGGCCCCCACTAATAAGAAAAGCAGTCTCTGCAAACTAGGAACTTCAAAGAGCAACCAGCAACACCCTCTCAGCGTGCTGCGGCTCCTCCTGGGCCTGCTCGCAGAGCCATCCCCTGGCCAGCCCGCTGCTGACACCTTGTGGCCGACAAACAGAGTTCTTGCCCATTTCCTCTCAGAATTACGTCAAGCAAGGTGGCTGAGTGCTAGGAACCAGGCCCACCTCCTATTGTTCTTCCCGGGTTCCCCGACAGCCCCCTCCTCGGACGCCCAGGGCTTCAGGGTGGCTTAGTGTCAGGGCTGCTTAGGGGCCTGTGTGACCCTCAGTGGATGTCCGCTGAGTTTCCTCAGGACCCAGGCTGCCCAGCCCCTGCCAAGCCACGGTGGCAGTCACAGGGCCCTCTAGGTGGCACCTGCTGCCCAAGGCAGGAACCAGCACACACAATGCTCACCAAAAGACTGGCAGGTGAAATAAGGTTTTGCTCATAAAAGCGGGCATGAGCCAGATGCCTGAACATTGTTCTACTTTGGGGCCCTATATCTGCCACCATAAAGTGTGGGTGTCAGAGGGGTCAGAGGACACCCTGCTGGAAATAGAGCTTGTGGCAAACAGCCTCTGGGGACAGCCATTGAGGCAAATGACACCTTGGAGGCATAAATCACCCTAGGGACTTGTTCTGTTGTCAGTGGAAAAACAATTCAAATTCTAAGGAGACACTAATGGCAGCAGAGGGAGAGGGTGCCCCGTGTCTGCATGCCTACGCTTTGAGAAAAGGGATCTAACTAAATAGTAGAGAGTCTTGTTACTATTTTTTTTTTTAATTAAAAAAAATTTTTGAGACAAGACCCAGCTCTATCATCCAGGCTGGAGTGCAGTGGCACAATCTCGGCTCACTGCAACCTCCGCCTCCCAGGCTCAAGTGATCCTCCCACCTTAGCCTCCCGACAGCTAGGATTACAGATGTGAGACACCGTGCCCAGCTAATTTTTGTATTTTTTGTAGAGATGGGGTTTCACCATGTTGTCCAGCTTGGTCTTAAACTCTTGACCTCAAGGGATCTGCCCACCTCAGCCTCCCAAAGTGCTAGGATTACAGGTGTGAGCCACCATGTTAAGCCTTGTTATTATTTTAAAATGTGGTATTCAATGATTTTCGTTCAAGGCATTGTTAATATTCCAAACAATGATCATCACTGTGACTGTGATGAGCTTAATTAGATTAATAAAAATTTAAGATAGTTCTATCTGAAAGCACCAGGATCTCCCATTACATTGAGTAGTCAAGAGTCTGAAAGCAGCCCTCTGTTAATTAATCTCCAGCCCTCTGTTTCCCCACCTATAAAATGTTTGAACAAATTTGTATTTCTCGAAGTGTGGTTTGTGAACATGAATGCCTCAGAATCACACAGTCTTATTAAAAGATGCAGATTATAAGATCACTAATCTGAGGTCTGGGGATCTGCAATTTAACCCATTCTTCAAGTAATTCTTATGCACACGTATTTGAGAATCATTAAAGTGATGCAGGGCCTAAGATCTATTGAGACCTATTATGCACCAGGCACTGACAAGAGGTCTTTTCTCTTGAAGAGCCCACAGTCTTGTTGAGAAGATAGACAAGTGAATAAAAAGGTCCAGTAACTTACAAATGCTGTGAGGGAAAGGAGGAGAGAGTGGGTGACTGCCTGGGGGCATCATCTCTTCTGCTACCATTCCAATGTTTGTCTCCTCAAAACTCATGTTGAAATTCATGCCCCAATATAACAGCACTGTGAGGTGTGGCCTTTGAGAGCTGATTGGGTGGTGAGCGCTCTGCCCTCATGAATGGACTAATGGTCATCACAGGAGTAGGTCAGTTATCGCAAGAGCCAGTCTGTTACAAAAGGCCAAATTGGCTCTCTCTGATGAGGCCCCTCTCCATGTGATGCCCTGGGTCGCCTCAGGACTCTGCAGAGAGGCCCCATCAGCAAGAAGGCCCTCACCAAATGTGCTCCTAGACCTTGGACTTCCCAGCCTCCAGAACTGTCAGAAATAATTTTTTTTTTTAGCTTTATAAATTACCTAGTCTCAGGTATGCAGTTACAGCAACAGAAAAAGACTAGGCAGCTTCACAAAGGAGGTGGTACTGGAGCTGAGTCAGGAAAAATGGGTTCCCCAGGGCACTGAGTTCGGCTGAGGGGGAAGGAGAGGCCGTCCCAGACCTCAGGGGCAGCATGTGACTTTCGGCCTCCCCCTCGGGCTGGGACTGTGAGGCATCTGATGCCCCGCCCCTGGGGTGAGGCCAGCATCTGTAAGAGGAGAGGGACGCATTAAGGATTAGCCTGCGGTTTTCATTTGATCCAAAAATGGATCCAAAGCTCTGGTAATCTCATCCTCTCCTTCCAAAGAAGTAAGAGGTCAGGTCCTCAAACAGGGAATACCCAAGGGGCCCCGCCCCATGTCCACCACAGTGCGCGCCTGTGGGAGGCTGCAGGAGCGATGGGTCAGGCAGCTTCCGCAAAAGCAGGCCTAAGTTCTGTGTCAGCAAATTATGTTTTTAGTAAAAAGCGTTTACTATTTAATCAGGTTTTCTCCTTCTTATTTCTCTTTCTTCTTCTCCCCTTGTTTCCTTTCCATTTTCTTGACAGTCTGATATTTAAAACTATTTTCTATAGTATTTGGAAACTGCACCCCGAAATATCTTTAGTTACCTAGTACATGGGATCTAATTCTTGTTCTTAAATTTACCCCATCCCTCAGCATGAGTTCGGCCCATGCCTTCTTACCCAAATAGCCATCGTCCTGGCCTCCTCAGTCTAGTGGCCTTGGGTATACACTGAGAAGAGTAAAGCCAGGCTAAGCACCATCCCATTGATCTTCTGCTAGTGACACGCTGGAGGTTGCTTCTATCAGCTCACAAGAGCTGATTCTAAATTTTCAGAAATTTTCTGAGAAGCTGTTAAGTATAGACATTATTAAAAGTTAAATTATACACACTTAAATAAGTTATATTAAAAGAAAAGGTAATAAATGCTAAGAACATATCGTTTCCATTATTTTACTACATTATATTATCATCTATTCTCTTGAGGTTATTTACATCTATTATATCTGCATAGTAGAAAATTATATAAGAATGTGTGGCTACACATGTCTTTCTAATTGAGTTCTGTGACATCACAGTGTTAGCTTGAAATCTGTCATGGTGAGAATATTTACACCATGGATGTAAATTGGCAAGTGCTGGGAATCAGGTCTTGATTTATTGTTTTGTTGCTTGTCTAGACTTAAAGTGATGGGGAATGTTCATAATGAAGATTAAACTCAAAAGAGTGCCACGTCTGTGTCTGTGGCTGTTACATTGTGAATAACATGAAAATTTGAGGAAATATTCTCCCAGTATTTGATTTAGAAAAGAAGTCACTCATGTCGTTGATGAATGAGTGAGGTTTCAACCTATGTCTTCGTGGTTTCACTTTTGTCTAATACATTAACATACAAGAAAATATCATTCAACATTTATATCAGAACTACACTCATTCAGCAATTGCAACCAGGTAGTTACAAGAATTCAACAAAAATCAACAAGACCATGCTGTGAGAATCTATTGGTTCTATGGAATTTATAACAAAGAGTGTTATATATTTTATCGTTATTATAAATTGCATGTTCCACATCTTTCATAACAGCAAAATGTATAATAAACTTACGTACTTATGGATAATCACGCTTTTTCCCCTCAGAGAGCCCACAGTTAAACACGTTCCAGCACACCATTAATCCACCGAGCTCTGTGTCTGTGGAACACAACTCACACCCCACATCAAGGCAGCAAACACTTTAATCGGTTCTAATTCCAAAGTAACTGCTGAAAGAAGCATTCGGAGAGTTCATGAAGACCCGGGTTCCCATCTTGATCCTGCTACTCACGAGCTAACTGCCACTAGACAAGTCACTCCGCCTTTCTCTATACCTCACTTCCCACATGTGCAAAAATGAGGGCATTGAACAATACGAACAATCCTGTCCTTTCCAGCTCTCAAATGTCATGGCTTATGCACATGTGAGAAAGGGACGGCTCCGAAGTTGCAGGAATTCAAACCAACCTAAAGGCTTCCAAATGTCATCTCTGAGGTCATGTTCTTTACTCACTGTACCTTCAGATGACATGAAAATCAGGCAGCTAGAAGGGCGAAGAGAAGCCTTCTTTTGAGCCCTGTCCATTTGAGATGACATAGCCATGGGCATGGGAAGGGAGTGAGAAAGATGGACTAAATTTGCTCCGTAAGCAGGGCCCTGCCGTCCTCGCTTCCTCAGCTCCTGCCCCTCTTCCTCTGGACTCAGGCTTTTCTGCTCCATGGAGCCTCTTGGGCACTGAGTTCTCCCCACACAGCAGAAACGAGCCCAGCACAGAGAGCTCCCTAACCTGAGGGATGGCCTACAAGAGATTAATAGCGAACTTGTAGGAAGGAAGGATGCGAAAGCTCACACAGGTCTTTCGTAGCCTTCACAACGTTGGGCAGGAAATGGTTAATCAGGGCCGGCCCTGAGCCTGGACGGCTGCAGGCAGGGAAGGGGCAGCGATTAATTACACTACACAGGAAGTGCAGGCCTCCATCCCTCTGCCCAACGGGGAAATCCATTTTCAATTCTGACCTCAATGTGGAAGTGACTCTTCCTGCCAAAAGGAGAGGAGTACAAGCGTCCCCTCCCCCACAGCACAGCAGAACCAGAAGACAGAACACAGGCAGATGCAGCACCAGGGGTAGGCAAAGCCCAGGCAACGTGCACAGCAGGCAGCTTGATGGAGAAAGTTTTCCTTAGTGGCACCTGATGAGACAACTCTTCCTGTACATGCACTGAAACAGGGAATAGGTACAAAAAAAAAAAACAAAAACCCAAGAAAATGCTACTTGGTATGGAACAGGAATAACAGGAGACACAGACAAGGTCAGCAGAACCTAGAAGGAGAGTCCAGACACACGAGACATTGCCTATAGTTCCATAGCAAGGAGTGCAGCCTGGGCAGCCTGAGACCCTTTCCTTAAAAAAAAAAAATGGTGTTTTTTGTTTTTTCGAGACAGAGTTTTGCTCTGTCACCCAGGCTGCAGTGCAGTGGCACACTCTTGGCTCACTGCAACCTCTGCCTCCCAGGCTCAAGCAATTCTCATGCTTCAGCCTCCTGAATAGCTGGGATTACAGGCATATACCACCACACCCAGCTAATTTTTTGTATTTTTAGTAGAGACGGGGTTTCACCATGTTAGCCAAGCTGGTCTCGAACTCCTGGCCTCAGGTTGATCTACCTGCCTCAGCCTCCCCAAAGTGCTGGGATTACAGACATGAGCCACCGCGCCCAACCAAAAAAGGTTTTTCTAAATTAGTCAGGTATGGTGGCACAGGCCTGTAGTCCCAGCTACTCAGGAGGCTGAAGCAGGAGAATCGCTTGAGCCCGGGAGTTTGAGATTGCAGTGAGCTATTATCATGCCACTGCACTCCAACCTAGGTGACAAAGTGAGAACCCCCATCTCTCTTTTTTTTTTAAAGCAAAGAATAAATGGAAGGCATACCAGAAGCCCACTGCATATTTTTTATCCATATTTTTAATGAAACTAATATATGATTAAAAAAAAACATACATAGTTGCTATTCCATTTTTCTGTTTGTCTAAAGGCCCAAGCTGAAGAACCCCTTGGGGAATGGTTTCAGATAGATCACCTGACCTACGGTTAAGCTCCAGGTTGTGATGCTCAGGGTGGGAAACACGAGGTGAGCTGCACCGTCCTTCCTTCTGCTTTATGGACTGGGGTCTTCGGGGGTTCTGTCTCTGTCTTGGTGTGCGACACGTTTACATGTTCACATACTCTATCGGCCAAGGCCCAGCCAGGAAAACAGAGAGCACCTTAGGCCCTTGCAGCCAGGGGAGCGCAAGGAAGGGAAGGGGGTCCACAGTGATGGAGAGCTGAGAAGCTGGGCAGGGGACAGTGAGAAAACCCTGAGGCTGAAGGAACAAACATAGGAAGACTTCATGGGAGCTGCAGCTCCTAAGGGCTTTCCAGAGGGAACTGAGGAAGGTGGCTGAGGGAGAGAGAGAGGGAGAGAAATCCCATCTCCCATTAGCTGAATACAGCCAGGGTGAGGGCCCTGCCATGTGGAGCAGAGCAGGGAAAGTTGAGAAATGGATCTCAGAGCAAACAGGCCCAGAGCCAGCACACTTGCTATCATCTAACCCTGGAAGCAACCCCAAGAGTAGGTCTCATCATCTCCATGTCACTGAGACAGAAATCAAGCCTTGGAGACATTAAAGACCAATGCGGCCAGCAGCGCACGGCAGGAAGTGGCGGGGCTGAGAGAGAAACTTTGGTCTTCCATCTGCACACCCACACTGTTCATTCTTCCGTGGCCCTACAGCGGTGTGGAGGTGGGGGTGGCTGTTGAGCAGCACGGCACTTCCAAGTTGGTTCCACGGTAGCCGTCCTTACCCTCCTGCTCGTTCCTGTGCCAGGAACCACGGTCGGGGTGCCACATGGTGCTCTGGCATGAGAGGAGGCCATCCTGGCCAGGACTGCCAGCCAGGGAGGTGGACTCACAGAGGGCCTCTCCAACCTCTCTGAGCCCCCATTAAAGGCCTCTGTGAGCTCTTCAGAAGGACAGAGCGATGGGCCAACACGAGGCTGTGCCAGCTAATTATTCAGCCCTCCTTCTGCTCCCTGGAAGCCCCAGCCCTGCTGGACGGGCGGCCTTCTGTGTTCCTCGTGTTAGATGGCCTGGTTCCCCTCTCAGAGGGGCTGGTATTTGGTTGATCCTTCAGGCTCCCGTTTGGCTCATAAAACACAAACATCTGCTGGGGTTCTGGTTGGCCTGCGGCAGCCTTCGGAGCGAAGAGGGATGGAGGAGAGGTGAGGAGAGGGAAACGAGGACTCGGGCAGCCTTTCTGGGGGGGTTAATGAGTTACTCTGCGACGTGGGGGGGTGGGGGATGGGCTTTATCAAGCCAGAGCCCTGATCAGCTCCCCAAAGAAGAGAAAGGAGAAGAGAAGAGGATTTTCCCGGGGTTTCTCTGGAAAGTCTGGGGGAGTCTGCGATGCTTTCCTCCATTGCCGCGCTGCCTCCAACTGTTCCATTTCTCACCAGTTGGCTATTATTTTCTAACGCATTTTGATCATTACTTTATCAATCAAGACAGATAAACAAAAGCCTAAAAATACATCTGAGTGAATGCGTTCCCAGAGCCAACCAGTCTTCAGTACTCTGATTTTTGTGACTTTTTTTTCAGAGATGCTTGGGAAACAGTTGAAGGGCTCCATTCCTTATTAATGTGTGGCCCAGTAGAATACACTAACCAACCTCTGCCCTCCTGGCTCAGATGTATAGGGTCAAAGGAATTCAGTTAAGGAAATGGTTATCTAAGCGAAAGAAGGCCCCTTAAAAAACTCGCCTAAAGCCTTTTTCTTATGAGGATGGCTCTTTGCTTTTGATTTGCTTATTAAATCCACAGATGCCTGGGTCAAGAGTTGAGAAAGCCCTTCATGTGGCACCTTTTAAAGAAGTAAAACGGAGAGAGTTGTATTATATCATTGCAACTGTTTAGAAAGAAAAAGTGCCAGTTACTCAATGAATAGAGCTCATATTTCAGAAGCCAAATGCTGTCTAGTTATACCCTGTGAGCGCCTGGACATAAACCCAGCCCATTAACCTCATCTTTATCTCACAGAGTGGCCCCGCCCAGCCAGGCTTATTAAGAGCCTCAAGGGAGAAGCCAATGAGCATGGCATTTGAGAAGAGGCACCAGCCTCAACTCCTGCCTTAGTCCTAATCTAAGATTTTGGAATGAAAAATTCACTGGGGCACATGACCCTCCTGAGCTTCCAGGCTTTTGCACCACGTGCCACCCTACCCCCTTCTCTAGTTTTCATTTCTCAAAGTAATAGTGGTCCCTCCCAGGAGGGGGTCTGGGCCTTCTTTCCCCCAAAGAACGGCACAGGACTAACATATTCAGTGACTTTCCTG
Organism: Homo sapiens; assembly: GCF_000001405.40. Classification (NCBI taxonomy): domain Eukaryota; kingdom Metazoa; phylum Chordata; class Mammalia; order Primates; family Hominidae; genus Homo; species Homo sapiens. Next base: position 107,667,664 of record NC_000006.12, on the reverse strand, counting down.
ACAATCCATGGCAGGTACTGCAGGATATCAGACCTGAAGGAAACCATCCAATTTATAGCTGCTCACGTAAAAGCCATCAGGAGGATCATGAAATGATTCTCCATATGGTGCCCTGAAGCTTCCAAAAACTATACGAGAAAGGGGCTTGGAAGGAATTCTTTCCCTTTTGGAGACAAGGAGGGTCGAAGCCAAGCATCTGTGGCAACCTGGAAAAGACACTCCTCCCCGACACCCACCTCCACTGCATCCCCTGGGGCAGCCCCGAGGATCAGTCCTTGACGGCCCAGGCCCACAGGGTCACTGCCATTGGCCACTTAGGCTTGTCCATTAACCAAGCTTATGTTCTCTAGCATAAATGAACTCTACAGTCACATTGTGTGGAGGCTTCGGGACATGGTTTGCCAAATGGAAAAACATTTGGAGGTTGGGAAAATATCTTGCACATAAATTACTGAAGGCACAGAGAATCTAAAAGAGGGATGGAATCAGAAGCCAAGGAAAAGCCAGGAGGGAGCCAAAGAAAAACGGAGAGAGAGACAGAGACAGGGAAAGCGATGTAATGATTTCTCTTAATGACCCGCCTTCAGACCAAAGGCAAGGTTCTAAGCCGTGTTTGCGTCTCATAAAAGCCATGTGCCTGAGTATTAGGAAAGATCCTTTAAATGGCCGGATCAAGCCTCCATTTTTCATCCTTTCTGAGTAGAGTTCTTCATTGATTATGTTAAGTGCCGGCCCCCAGTTAGAAACACAAAAGGCTCATTGTCTTTGACTGTGGCAAAGGCCAGTTACACACTTGTTAATTTCCTGATTTATAACACTGAAGAGACGGAACTGAGAGGGGTGCTTCCTCTCTCTTTCTCTATGTCTCTCTGTCTCACTCTCTTTCTTGCTCTCAGTGGTGGTGGTGGAAACTATTAAAACAGAGGCAGATCAGGAAGTTTGTGATAAAGAAAAGCCAGGCTCTGGTCTGACATACAATCTCTCTCTTGGCTTAAGTAAACTTGCTTCTTCAAGGCTTGCCATCAACAGAGTCCGGCTCACGTTTCACCACTAAATCTGAGTCAACAATCTCTAATCTGGACACTGGGTTCGGAATCCAGGCTCAGGTTGCACTTGGAAGCTGACAGCAGGGACAAGAGCAGAGAAAAATACGGCCTTTGTTTCTGGTTTGATCGTCCCCACCGAGCTAAGCTGAGGTCATGCGTCGTTTTCTGTCATCAACAAGATAAAAGTTTGCACCTTTCTGGCCCTGAAATGTCTCTCCTGCCATTTATATTAAGGCCAAGAAGCTCTCTGGCCCAGAATCGGAGGGCCAAGTTTGTGGAGAGCTTAGATTTGGAGTCCTTTTCATCTTTCTGACATGTGATACCGTGACATAGGCAGCCCTTGCGGGGTTGCTATGCAGATATACAATTTCTGAAAAGTTACACCCGGAAAACGAAAACCCTGGGCTGGATTAGCATTTCACAAAGAACAGGGAGAAAATGTGTAGCAGTTAGGCTAAAAAGCTAAAAAAGAAAAAAAAAGTGAATTAAAGTTTCATGAAAATGAACTCTTTTTTAAAGGATCAATAAGTATAAAAGTATCTTATTTCATTCCTGGCCTTCGGTCCGAGCCCTAATCCAGCCACTGTGTGCGAAGGAGATACTGTGAGGCCTGTGATGGAGATTGGGAAGGGAGGTCTTGGTGTGGGGTGAGGTTCAGTCATGCTGGGGAGTGTGAAATTAAAGGGCTTAGGTACGGTCCTGCTGTTTTATAAAACTCTTCTTTTTCCCTCTCTACCATTGTTTTCATTGTTTTTACTTTGTACCAAGCCTTCTCTTTTGTTTAAGTAAACCTAGAAAGAAGAATAAAAACAAACACATAGTCTAAAGGTTCTAGCTAAATAAGTTTCAGTTTCTACCTTCCTTTTCTTTACCAATGTCAAAGGCATGCCTTCCAGAGCTCACTCACTCACAACCTAGCCTTTCCTAAAAAGTGTTTTTCTCAAGTATTTCCAACACCAGAAATCATTTTACATGAAACATTAAAATGGAATGTGATTGTTTGCATGAGACGTAGGAGACTGGAAATAATGAGAGGTTTTTCCTGTTATCCCTGAGACCTAGTGACTTCCAGCTGAGACCCTTACATGCCGTCCTGTGAGCCAGCCATGTCCACACAGCTGGAGAGGCGGTGGCCCCTCGCCTGCTGCTCAGGACTCCAGGACACCCCAACAGTTTTAACTGCAGAAGGTCTGGAGGGAAGCCCAGAGCAGGAAATAGGAAAGGGGGTTTTGAAGGACACAGAGGACATGGAGAAGATTCAAGGAACTCAACTGATACTGCTCCAACGGTGGATGAGAGGCACAGCAGCCAGGGAGCTAGACGCCAAACAACTCCGCCTGTCCATGCAGAAGGCAAAGATGCCTTACCCTGACCCTTGCATTCAGGAGCTCCAAGGCTGGTTAGAGGAAAGCAGAGGAGGGGAAATAAGAACAGTAAAGGGCCACAGAGTGGATCTCCTTAGGCATTCTTACTTATTAGATTCTGAAGCGGCAATGTTTGCACAGAGTTCTCTCATAGAGGATGGGAATTTATGGGAAGTTTGTTAGGTTAAAAAGAGATGGGCAATTGACTTTTTCTGTAACTCAAGAGATGAGAATCACTGTTACGCTCCTCTGTGTCACCTCCAAGGTTGATGCTCTCCAAGATGAACTGACACGTGTGAAAGTGAAATGAGGTATTCAATAAACTGGCTCTGTTCTCATGTACACAGCACGTAGACATCCATCCATCCACAAGAGAAAGGCCCAAATGGGAGTGTGCAGTGAAGTGTGGGCTCCGAGCTCACACTCCCCAAGTATAGTTCCAGGCTGTGCCACAACTGTGTGCTCAGTTTCCTCATCAGTAAAATGGCAATACTAATACCGACTTCATAGGGTTGTTGTGAGGTATAAATGAAGTAATGCAACTAAATGATGTTTAGCAATCCTTGGAGAAATGTACATTACAATTAACAGTGGTGTCTATTCCTTCTTGTAGGAGTTCACTGTCTGTTGATTTGGCCCGAATCTGCATGTGAGGAACAGATGAGGAAGGAGAGCATCATCTGTTGCCTGAGGTCTGAAGCAAGATGGAATGGCATTATCAGACATGCATCACATTGGCTGATTGAGATCCAAACTGAGTTATGAGCTGAGTTGATGCTGGTATTTCTGCATCCATCAAGAGCACCGACTGCCCTTGGGGGCAGTGGGTTCAAATCTGGGCTCTATTACATCCTAGCTGAGTGGCTGAGCAGATCACTTAACCTTCCTGGACTGTATTTTCCTCATCCAGAAATGAGGATCACACTGCCTGTATCACATGGTTTTGTGAGAACTGCCTGAGATAGTCCAGGTGAATGTTGTGGTGCCTGGCACGTGGAGGTTCTCAGCATGTATGTCCTTTCATCCAGTCTTTCAGCTGGTCAACTGGGGATCCGAGGCATAGCCCAAAAGTGACCATGGGGCTTGGAGTCAGCTCCCTGCACTCTGGGCAAAGTGACCCCACGTGGGTCCCAGTCAGTGCGGCCCCGGCAGCTCTACTGGTGCTCCTGTTCACCGTCCCATCTCAGCAAGTGCCGGGGGGGAGGCTCGGTGTGCAGTTCAAAAAATCGGAACAATGGGAAGTGGAAAAAGCCCCTGGCTCACGTGCCGTCTGCTCCCTACCCCAGGAAATGGAACACATGTGCCAAAGTGTCCTCACTCCTCTTCCCTTCTCTGAGCTATGACACAGGCCCCCAGCCCCTCTCCTTCAAGTGTTACCTACAGATACCTTGACAGTCCTATTTTAGATCTTGTCCAAAACCAGGTGTCAGGAGAAGTAGCAGTCATTTTTTTTTCTCCAAACCTAATATGATAGTCAAAGATGTCTTGATCTCATTTGGTTGGTTTAGGCACCAACTAAACAATCATAACTCTGCCCTATGGCCTCAACTGCCAAGCGCCTCAGGCCATAGTGAGGCAGCTTAGCCCTGGAACCCACTGCTGGGTCCTGCCTCTTACTATTTGTAACGCCTTGGACAGAAAACCCCTTTGTCTTCATGCCTCAGTTTCTTTGGCTATGAGACGGGGATGATGATACTATCACTCCCTCACTGGGCTGACGTGAGAATTACATGAATGACTGTCAGCAAAGCCCTTAGCACAGGGCCCTGCACAAAAGAAGCACCTAATGGCTGGGAGTCACCTCTCAGCCAAAGTCCCCCTTCGCTAGAAGAATGACATACACAGGTGGCAACTGTTCTTTCCACCCACAGTCGAGAGATAGAAGAAGAGGCATTTTCTGGGTACTGAAGACTATTTTCCATCTATAAATGTGTCCAAGGGTCAAGGAATTATCTCATCTCAAAGGCACTTTTGGCAAAACGCGTAACAATTGCATGACCTGGAATCAGCATTCAGCACAAATGCAAGGGCAGTGGCTGAGTCTTATCCCATTTGTGTTGCTCCCAGCACTTAGTACTGGCCTTGCATTCAGAAGCCCCAAGTGTGCTGCTGACTGGCTGCCTTGGGAGTAGCACTGACACCTCCCTCAAGGACTGGAAACAAAAAATGAAACTCCGGAGTCTTTCTGTGTTTGCTGCACAACTGCTCTGATTTCCAGGGTCTTACTGTCTTCTACCGTCATTAGGCTAGTAGAATAAAAGTGGTTCAACTCAGCCAACACTTTCAGTTCCAAGAGCAGTGAGTAGCTCTTCAAGGATGCAAAGTGAAGAGGGCCACGGTGCGTCCCTCCAGTGAGCCGGGCAAGGTGGGAAGACTGTTCAGCACAGTGCCAGAAGTGGCCTCTGTCCATTTAAACATGGGTCATGGAAGCCCAAGGGAGAAGCAATTAATTGCCCCTCAGGGATTCAAGTTTGGCTTCGTGGAGGGGTGGCATGTAAACTGATCCTTGAAGGAGATGGCTTATTAGTTTTTAAAATAAATAATGACAATGAGGGCTTTCCGGGGGCTGTGCATGTGCTCAGGAGATGAGAGGCAAATAAGACACAATCCCCATCCTCAAGGACTTTGCAGACTGGTAAAGCGCACAGACAGATGAGCGGCTGGAAAAGCTGAGTATGATCTGCATCAGGGCAGAGGTCAGCACAGAGGGGGCGCCTGCCCCAGCAGGGGAGGGGAGGAGCTGGTCCATGCAGCTTCCCAGGGAAGACCTCATCTGAGCAGCTGGGCTGCAGAAATTGCCCAGGGAAGAGGAAGGAAAGACATACCATGTGCAAGGCACAGGAGGGAGAGAGAGCAGGGGCATAGGAACAAGTTCCTAGTTCTAGGCAGGTGTTATGTTGGCAAGGCTGGTGACAGGGAGTGGGAGTGGACTCGGCTGGGAGGCAGCAAAAGCCAGAGTTGGGAGGGCTTTGCATGTTATACCCTGCCCTTGACTTTGACTTCGTAGGCTACAGGGAACCACTGAAAACCTGCAAGGAGGTATTACATGTCTCAGGGAGGGTCCCTATTGAAGCTGTTAAAGGAGGCTAAGCATCTGGCCCTTGGGGTACACGGGGTGGCTGAGGAGGGGAAGGACTTCGCCAGAGTCTTCAGTGCCTATGTACCTGAGCCTCAGTCTGGTCTTTTGTTGTGCCATCTGGGCGGCATGGCCTGGTACTTACAGGTCTACTTGTGGCTCAAGGTGCCCATCCCTTATCAGGGGAGCACCTACCTGCAGGGGAGGGCAGCTTTGCAAAGTTATGAATCCAGGCTCCAAACGTGTGATTACATAAACCCTGGAAAACATTGACAGAGTGTCCTAGTGAGACCAAGAAGTGGTCCATCTTTTCCACAGCCCTATCCTCCCATCAAGTATAAACCACTAGGGCAGGGACTGTGAGTTTTCTTCCTCTCTGGCCTCCCCTCAGCATCAGGCATGGGGCTTTGTGTTCTGCGGGGGGTTGATAACCACCAAGGAAAATCCCGCCTGACTCATTTTTCAGAAAGCAGAATGTCCTCTGCAAGTCCCCGCATCCAGTAAGGTGAGGCGTGCACTCACCATTAACATGCAATCTTCTGGCTTGGTTTAAAATGAGGACCACTTTTGAATAAAACTGAATCACTACCACACATTTACAGGAAGTCGAAGACTCTTCATGAAGATGTCAACAGTTTTTCTCCACACTGGAGGTAGGGGCTGGGTACTGGTGCCAAGCCTCCTGGGCTTGAATCCCATTCGGCAACTCACTAGCCCTGTGACCTTGGGTGATTACTAAACTGCTGAGCTCCAGGTTCTTTGTATTTATAATAAAGAGAAAATAAAGGCCCTTCCCATAGGGAAGGTTATTGTGAAGATTAAATGAGACTAATGTGCAAACGCTCGACACGTATTCACACTTACATACATTATTGTTTCTATTTCTCTTTATATATGGTTTTGATATCCCAAGAGAATTGTGCATTCAGACAGCAGTAAGATCGTGAGAAGGAAGAGGAGGAAAAGGGGTGCTGATGGCTTATGAGATGCCACAGAATCTTTCTATGCTGGAACAAAGGTACCTTTTGTTTCCAGAAGGGTCAAAATGTTTGCTTGACAATCTTGGACTACAGACAAAAGCAAAATCAATATCCTGGATGACTGTCTCCATGGCCAAGACCAGATGAATAATGCTATCAGGACAACCACAGCCGGGTGCCTCGGCCGCTGGCACGTCCTTGGCTGGGCTTGCCTCGGCAGAGTTCAGACGGAGTCACCGCCATAAATATAACTCTGCACCAGGAAGCCTCCAAGATTCTCTCGGGCTCCATGGGAGAAGAAAATCAGGTCTCCGGAATCCACAGGATGATCACTTCAAGGGAGCTGCTCGTGGTGCCTCAGATTTTAATGAACATTCATTTTTTTGAGAAGCTAAATCAACTAAGTGCGAGACTCTGAACAGGTCGAGTTGCTTTTCTAGGCTTCTGTTTTTTCATATGTAGAACAAGAGAACTGAACTAGATTTACAATGACTAGAACTAGATATTAGCATACTTTCCACCTTAGGAACTTTCTGATATTTAACTCAGGTATCAAAGAGCCAAACGGACCCACCCCATTCACATAAGGCTGAAATAAAAGTCTCTCTAGTCAGTGGGGTGAGATGGTGTGTGGATGTGAGTGGAACCCGTGGAGCATGTTTGCCTCCATTTGATGGTGCTTCTTGAACCTCAGGCCTGAACCCTTGGAGCCAAAAAAGATCAGGACTTGAAGAGCACTTGGAAGGGACACCACACCTGGGTCTACAGCCTAAACACTCACTTCCCATGCACTGTGTGCTGTCAGTGATGGGCATGGTTAGGAAGCAGGCCCTGGAACGGACGGAGTGGGCTCTTGTCTGCAGACAAGCGTGGTCTAGCAGGTCAGGAAGAGACAGTGCCATCCCAGTAGCTTACCATCTTTTAAAACTCCTTAGTTCTATTTTTTAAAATGTTTCCCAGGGGGAGAAAAATGAACACCTCTGTAATAAAACAAAAAACAAAAAACAAAAAAAAACAGTAGTCATAATAATGAGAAAAGCCAAATAAGCACATGTAAGTGCATTTTTTTTCTTCGAGATTTATTTTTTGTTTGATGAATCTGACACCAGTCAGGGAGAGGAGAATGTTGTGACCCAGCAGAAAAATATGGCCCCAGAGGAGGGGCGGCTTCTTCCTGCCTGGGTGGGTTTGGTGCTGGGGTTGATTTGTTATTATTTTTTAATTTGTTGCTGGAAGGTTTTCTTTTGTTTACTTTTATAAATCTCTCCCCGGGCTTGCGAGCTTCCCCTCCCTCCCGCCTCCCCTTCCCCTGCCCCCAAATTTCATTTTTAAAAAGCGAGCTTGCTCGCCAGGTGTGTCCCCCAAGCTCTCACAGCTCTAATAAATAAGGAGCACCTGTAAAACAGTAGCTTGACTTGTGAAGTGACTCTGTACAAAGGAGAATCTAGAAATACAGTATGTACACCGCATCCTTGGGCCGTGGTGCTTCAAGGCTGGCGCCACACCGTCCTGGCCCTGCCCACCCGCAACTCGCCACCCCTCCTGCTGAGGCTCCGCGGCCTTGTGGGGCGGGGGCACCTGGACCCCTCCAGAGGGAACAATTGCTTTATTTGAGTTAGTAAACAGATACACTGAATCACAAGGTGATTTGATTTTTTTTTTTTTTAGTTTTCTTCCTTTTTTGATTTTTTTCTTAATTTTTTCTCTTCTTTTCTTTTTCTTTTTTTTTCTGTACTCATCAGAATGGGATACTCCACAACTGTCTCACCAACTCAGTGCCAGTACACATGCTCTAGAGGACTTCTGGACTCGCAGCTACAACTGTACAAGTGCACACAAGTGAATCTACCCTGTTATCCTCCACCCACTGATTGAGGATCGAATTGCACATTTCTCTTAACCATGACAGGAGAAAGCAAACAGTGAAACAGAATCATGGGTGATCTTTCTCACTTTCCCTCTTGTTTTCATTGGTTTGTCCATACCATTCTAATTATCATGAAAGGGCTCTGCATATAGAGAGATTGTCTCACTGACTTCCTGGATCACCGAAAACCATCAGGGTTGAAATTTCATCTGAGTCTTTCCTGACGCCCAGCAAATATTCCCCCTCGGATTATTTTACACCTTGAGGGCATTTTGGTCTTCAGTTCAACACTCTTGCTCTGTTCCCAAATGGGGCGCTATTTAGGGGAATTTAAAGAGAAAGCTGAGAAGAATAAACATTTACCGAGTTCTCTTGGCATTCAGTCTCTGAAAAACCACAGTATAAACTATTCATGCTGCTTCTTACATCTGTCAAATCGAAAATTAAAAGCCATAAAAGTGTAACACTGAAAATATGGCATCAAAAAGGATAAAGGTGGCCTTTGTAAAAATAACAAGAAAAGTATATTAGCCAATAAAATATTCTAACTCTTCATTTAAAAGTGCATCCCGGGCAGGACAGAGATGACTCTGAAGCATTGGGCCTCCAGGACCACCCCTCTCCGCCATCAAAACGTGAACAATATAGGTCCAAAACCGTACAATGCAAATCACAATTCTTAGTGTAGCAGCAAAACCACAGCAGTTTTTAAAAAGATTAAAAAAAGATTTTTTGTGTTCCAATCCATATCATCTTCCAGCCTCAGTCGCTGAGCCTTGAAGATGGGGCGGGGAGAATACCTACATTGGTCCTTGTGGCTTGTCGGTATTTCGTTTTTTTTAAAAGCCAGGGGTGAAATCCCTAAGTTCCTCTGGGGAGAAGCAGAGATGGTGGCAGCAGGAAGGCTGGGCCTGCTTGGTGGGTCCAAGATGCGCGGGCTTCTCTGGGCTAGAGGCCATCGAGGGAGGGCTGCTTCCTCTGAGATGCTTAATGACAGGAAGCGGCTTTATTTGCTTGAGTTTTAGCCAGAGGGGGTGGTGAGCTGACCAGCTGGTGTCATTGGATGGCGTGACATGGTTTGCTCTGCGCCCTCTCTCCATGAGCGTACCCTGTGAGTGAACGTTCCTGGAAAAAGAGCAGAAGGGGCTGTCAGAATCCACTGGACCGATCCCCCTCCCTCCGCCCAGCTGGGGAGAACCCAGGCATGAGTCAGACAGCAGCACACTCTCCAGCCGCCAGGGCAGACCTAGGATGAGCCCCAGAACCGCTGCAGCACAGCGTGATTTCAACAGGAGTTTCATTCACGGTCTGCTCAGGTCAGCCCTGCCAGCTTTGTGTGAGGAAATGAAACTCAAGTCGCTTTTTGGAATACCATAATGAGTAGGGTACACCACGCCCTCACCCAAAGACCACAGCATCCTTTGCAACCCAGCAACCCTCCCCCTCCACATGACTGCATGCTTAACCAGCAGGAGGCTTTTTTTTTTTTTTGAGACAGGGTCTCGCTCTGTTGCCCAAGCTGGAGTGCAGTGGTGCAACTGGCTCACTGCAATCTCTGCCTCCCAGTTTCAAGTGATTCTCCTGCCTCAGCCTCCCAAAGTGCTGGGATTACAGGCATGAACCACCGCATCCAGCCCCAGCAGGAGGTCTTTTGAGTCACCCAAGGTCACTCCAAAGCCAGGCAAGGTCACGGAGGACCCTGGAGCTCCTGACCTCACTCCTGTAACCCCATGTCTCAGCTCTGGTATTTGCTGAAAAGAGGGCCAATAGATTCACTTTTTGGCAAGTGGAAAATTACCATGGACACATATACCTATCTTCAGAAGTTTCCCACAAAGGCAACTAAGCTGGAAGAAATGCTTGCTTTTCTCCGTGTGTGGGTCTTGCCTGTAAAAGGTGAGCCATTCACATCTCTTCACATCCAAAACAAACAGTAGCACTGGACTGGAAGAAAATAAATCAACCAAGAGCCTTGGGGTCCCAGGGCAGAGGCTCTGAACAGGATTTTCCACCAGGAAAGTCAGTTTCTGGGGAATGCTCATCCCAACATTCACCGAGATATGAGGCTCTGCCTCTTGATACCTGCAGCCTTCTTTCATTTGCCGCCAGTCACTTGGTTTGAAATAGAGCTTCCTGAGGCCACTCAGTCAGTTCTGGGAGCAGCCACTTAGAAGTCTGCCAACTGCATGGTAAAGCCCCAGAGGTCAGGGGCTTGTCTGTTTTGCTCGTGTCTCTACACCCAACTCGTAGCTCAGAGTCTGGCCCGCTGTGGGCGCTCGACACACTTTGATCACATGAGTGGGTCAGGCGCCTCTCTTCTGCCATGCCCCAAAACAGCACCTTTTCTTCCTGCCAATAAATGAGGCTGTCAGAAATGTGAATGGGTAAAATTTGGCTAAGGTGAGGTGGTGACAGAGGACTTGTAAACATCTTTACAACTGTTGAGATTATTCTTAGAACAATGAACAAATAACTTCAGAGAGGTGATAGAATGTAGGACTTGAAGGGACCCCAGAGATAATACAGTACCATTTCCTCATTTTATAGTGAAGAAATGGAGCCACAAAGAGACCTGGAAGCTTGCTTGGAGTGTTTATAACATGAATTTAGCAAGAGCAAGAGGAGGTCAAATGCCCATTGGGAGGACTAAGTGGAAGCTTGTGCTTTGAACCCTGCTATCTAAATCCTGGTGTTAATGGCAACAATAATCAGCAGCAGCCAAAAACAAGGTTTGAAAGTTTCACTGTGCACGACAGGAAATGCCTGAGTTCCCCCAATCACATTAAATCACCAGATCTGTGTGTACTTAATATGTATATTAAATAACCAAAGTGAAAATGCAAAACACCACAAATATGTAATGGGGGTGGAATTACAAGGCCATGGAAACCTTTTCATTTGGCATGGTCAGATTTGGAAATGTGGATATTTATTTCTGAATAAAGAGCTCACATTTGACTTACTTTCTTTCTTTCTTTCTTTCTTTCTCTTTCTTTCTTTCTTTCTTTCTTTCTTTCTTTCTTTCTTTCTTTCTTTCTTTCTTTTCTTTCTTTCTCAAGAATAAGTGACAATGGAGAGAGGGGATACAAAAATAAAAGCACCAAGAGCCACTATCAAATGTGAGGCCACAAAAATTGAGGAGCTGCAGAGATGACAAGTGGATCCAAAGACACCGGGGTCACTTCTTCTGGGAACAATTCTTTTGCATTTAGCAAGCACAGCCTGGAAGTTGCTATGGAGGGAGGGAAGCCATCCCCACCTCTGGGCCTGGAACCAAGAGTGACTGAATCTTGTAGTTAGAGGGGGCCTCCTTCTTTCTTTAAAAGGGAGGAGGGAGAATGTTTAACATTTTCCTCCAGTAAACTGGGAAACACCGCCATTTTGAATTGCTTACTTAGGGATGCTGCAACTGCTTTTTTAATAATGTAGCTTTTTTCTTTAATGCAATCACTATTTAAAAAAATGAATGTTTCTCCAGTAAGTTTCTTTATATTCAAATCACCTTTGGACAAAGACCAAACACGGACAGCATCAGCCTACTTAAAGAAAATTTCCAGGCTTTCACAAGAGACTCGGTAAAACGGGATTATAATAAGAGCCATTCTGGAACCTTAACTACAGCATTTGCCATCCCAAACACTATAATAATCATTATTATTCTCTGGTATCTATTATTGTCTGGTAAATAATATGTGTTTTCCCCCAAAGTTCTGAAGGGTGCAGCTGCACCACACTCTATTTTTCGCAGCCCTAGTCCTGCTGCTCTGAAAAGCTTGCTCACACGAAGCTTATTTTAAGAGAATGGTAAAGTAGACAATTTGTGCTGTTTCCTTCCCTCTCACCACATACTTGCTGTGTCTGGGACACCCACAAAGGCCAGATGGTGGCAGTACAAGTCCCTCTCTGCTGATAACATTTGAGGAGGGGGCGGTATTGAAGGCATCCTCATTTGTCCTTCTGGCTCTGGCTGGTTCAGGGCAGCCCCCTTGTTGGTGACACAGGAAAAGACTCTGGAATCGATGAAAATGAAGAACCAAGCTTGGGCTTCACTTTTCTGATATTTATTGGTATGGAAGGTATGAAATCCAACAGAGTGGGGAGGAAATAAGTTTGGATTTTTAGAAAGTGATCATGGCAGGAAGTTCCAGAGTCTGGAGCTGGTTCTGTTTTGTCCTTGCCAAGCAGAAGAATCTTACGAAAAAACTGTCCTCCATGTCTAAATGTCTTCATCTGTGCAAAGGGGAAATTACTACAATAAGCGAAACAGAGACCCGAGTTACAGTACAAATGCCTCTGACTGGCTATGTGACCTTGGACCTGTTTCTCAGCCACCCTCCCCCAGAGCCTCGATTCTTCTACTATGTTCCTCAGTCACCCTCCCTCAGAGCCTTGATTCCTCTTCCATGTTCCTCACCCACCCTCCCTCAGAGCCTCAATTCCTCTTCCATGTTCCTCAGTCACCCTCCCCCAGAGCCTTGATTCTTCTACTGTTCCTCAGCCACCCTCCCCTCAGAGCCCTGATTCCTCCTCCATGTTCCTCAGCCACCCTCCCTCAGAGCCCTGATTCCTCCTCCATGTTCCTCAGCCACCCTCCCCCAGAGCCTCGATTCTTCCACTGTGTTCCTCAGCCACCATCCCTCAGAGCCTCGATTCTTCCTCTGTGCAGTGGGGGCCTGGGTGAGCTTCAGTATTAAGTCTTCCATTTCTCACATGCTCAGATTGTGGAATCTTTCCACAAAATCCAGTATCAAATATGTAGAATTATAAACTTGAACAACTGAATATTAATCTGTTACCAGTATACAAGGAAGCCCATGAACTTCTGGACCCTGAACTCCAAAATTTCAGAAAGTCTCCTTCTCTCAGTACACACAAACATACACACACATCTATGGCAGAGGTTTGTGGAATACCCCTTAAAGCAGGGGATTCTGGGGAAGTGGCCACAATTGTACCTCACACTTGGGTTTTCCTCTGATTTGGGCATTTGTCTGAAGGCAGGATAACCCACCCCTGCTACATGAAGCATCAGACACACACAATTACATACAAATAAAAGCCCATTTCTTATGCTATATATGTATCATACATGTACTATGTATGTACCATACACACACGCTGGCACCACAAGGCATGGTCTCCATCGGGCATGTATGACCAGCTATCTTCAGAATTCCAGGCCTGCCTGCCCCTTTTGGCCAGAGGAATGAAATATTTCTCTTCATGGAATCGTAACTGCACACCAAATGCATTGAGAGACTCTCTGTTCACCTGGTGAGTCACTTTTCTGTTTTATCAGGGAAGCATGGCCAAGAATGTGATCTAGATACTCATCCACCTTTATAACACAAAATTTTCCAGAGAATTATAGATAGCAAAACTGTGTCTAAATACATTCTCTCAATGTTGATACTGTCAAAATATGGCCACTCTCACCTTTACTTCTTTGACCTTTATGGCCTAAGACTTTCACTGTTAGCATTCCATAAAACTTCCAGGCAACCACTCCCAAAAGTAAATGTGTGTTCAGAGAAAAATGTCTGTCTTATTCTACATCCCAACATTTCCAAACTAGCTCTTCTGTGGTGGCAGATTCCACTTCTACCAGGAAGCCTGCCTCTATTAATCTAACCCATTTTCTAAACTTGTATTATTTCCTTCCTCAAATACTTTTGTAATTAGCATAATCAAAATCCAGTAGGTCTGTCCTGTCTTCCTCATTTAGAAGGCAAGCTCCCCATGTCTGTCATATTTATCCCCAGGAGTCTAAAACCCTGTGGCATCAATTCTATGATGTGCAAGAAATGCCTGCTGCCAGCCAGCTTGCCTTTGTCCAATTACCCAGGCCCTACCAGAGATCCACTCACTCGGGCACGTCTGCCCATCACTTATCACAGTTAAATACAGCCATTACGTGCTGGCTGCGGCAACGCTGTTTATCTGGGACAATAACGAGTCCCTGAGGACTGGATTGCTCTCAGGTAGCCGCAGCTATTCTGGGACACTCACAAGGGTAGAGCCCTGCGGTCAATGAACAGAGCCGCCTGCACTAGCTGATAAACTCTGAGTGTGATGCCAGATAGTGGTCCCCACACCAAACCCATCCCAGGAAGGAAGGTTTTTACCAAAACACGATTCCTTCTCTCCTCCATCAACCATTGCTTCATGAAGAGTTTTTAAATGGCTTTTGCAGGATAGAAATTGTTCTCATTTTTGAAGAGGATGACATCTCTTTTCTTATAGCTCATTAACTGATGAAGATACGTGGGAGATACTGGAGGTTTGGTTCTAGACCACTGCAATAAAGTGAGCATTGCAATAAAGCAAGTCACATGCATTTTTTTGGAGGGTTTCCCAGTGCATATAAAAGTTATGTTTATACTATACTGTAGTCTATTAAATGTGCAGTAGCATTATGTCTAAAAAACAATTTACATTTCTTAATTTAAAATACTTTATTTGTAAAAAAAAAAAAATGCTAACAATCATCTGAGCCTTCAGCAAACCATAACCTTTTTGCTGGTGGAGAGTCTTGCCTTGATACTGACGGCTGCTGACTAATCAGGGTGGTGGTTGCCAAAGGCTGGGGTGGCTGTGGCAATTTCTTAAAATAAGACAACAATAAAGTTTGCCACATTGGTTGATTCTTCCTTTCACAAAGGATTTCTCTGTGTCATGCCATGCTATTTGATAACATTTTACCCACAATAGAACACTTTCAAAACTGAGTCAATCCCTGCTGCTGTTTTATCAACTAAGTTTATGGAATAGTCTAAATCCTTTGTTGTAATTTCATCATTGTTCACAGCATCTTTACCAGGAGCAGATTCTATCTCTAGAAACCAATTTCTTTGTTCATTCTTAAGAAGCAACTCCTCATCTGTTCAAGTTTGATCGTGAGATTGCAGCAATTCAGCCACATATTTAGGTTCCCCTTGTAATTCTCTTGCTATTTCTATCATATCTGCAGCTACTTCCTCCACTGAACTCTTGAACCCTTCAAAGTCATCCACGAGTGTTGGAATAAACTCCTTCCAAACTCCTGTTAATGTTGATATTTTGACCTCCTCCTATGAATCACAAATGTTCTTAATGGCATCTAGAATAGTGAATCCTTTCCAGAAGATTTTCAATGTACTTTGCCCAAATCTGTTAGAGGCATCACTATCAATGGCAGCTAGAGCCTTATGAAGTGTATCTCTTAAATGATAAGACTTGGAAGTCAAAATTCCTCCTTGATCCATGGGCTGCAGAATGAATGTTGTGTTAGCAGGCATGAAAACAATTAATTTCTTTGTACCGCTCCATCAGAGCTCTTGGATGACCAAATGCATTGTCAATAAGCAGTAATGTTTTAAAAGAATTATTTTTTCCTGAGCAGTGGGTCTCAACAGTGGGTTTAAAATATTCAGTAAACCATGGTATCAAGAGATGTGCTGTCACCCAAGCTTCGTTGTTCCACTGACAGAGCTCAAGCAGAGTAGATTTAGCATAATTCTTAAAGGCCCTAGGATTTTCAGAACAGTAAGTGAACACTGGCTTCCACTTAAGGTCACCGGCAGCATTAGCCCCTACCAAGAGAGTCAGCCTGTCCTTTGAAGCTTTGAAGTCAGGCATTGACTCCTCTCTATCTATGAAAGTCCTAGTTGGCATCTTCTTTCAATATAAAGCTGTTTTATCTATATTGAAAATCTATTGTCTAGTGTAGTCACCTTCATCAATGATCTTAGCTAGATCTTCTGGGTAGTTTGCTGCAGCTTCTACATCAGCACTTGCTGCTTCACCTTGCACTTTGATGTTATGGAGACAGCTTCTTTCTTTAAAGCTCATGAACCAACCTCTGCTAGCTTCAAAATCTTTTTCTGCAGCTTCCTCCCCTCTCTCAGTCTTCAGTGATGAAGAGAGTTAGGGCCTTGCTCTGGATTAAGTTTTGGATTAAGGAAATATTGTGGTCGGTTTGATCTTCCACCCAGACCACTCAAATTTTCTCTATATCAGCAATAAGGCTGTTTTGCTTTCTTATCATTTGTGTCTTCACTGGAGTAGCATTTTTATTTATTTGTTATTTAGAGACAATATCTCAGTCACTCAGGCTGGAGTGCAGTGGCATGATCACAGCTCACTGCAGCCTCAAATTCCCAGGCTCAGGTGATCCTCCCACCTCAGCCTCCTGAGTAATTGGGACTACAGGTGTGCACCATCACACCCAGCTAATTTTTCATATTTTTTGTAGAGACAGGGTTTTGCCATGTTTCCCAGGCTAATCTTGAACTCCTGGGCTCAAGCGATCCGCCAGCCTCAGCCTCCCAAAGTGCTGGGATTATTACAGGTTTGAGCCATTGTGCCTAGCCATGGAGTAGCAATTTTAGTTTCCTTCAAGGACTTTTTCCTTGCATTCACAACTTGATTGGCACAAGTAGCCTTGCTTTTGGCCTGTCTTGGCTTTCAATATGCCTTCCTCACTAAGTTTAATCACTTCTAGCTTTTGATTCAAAATGAGAGACATGGGTCTCCTCCTTTCACTTAAACATTTAGAGGCCCTCCTTTCACTTAAACATTTAGAGGCCATCATAGAATTATTAACTGGCCTACTTTCAATCTTGTATCTCAGGAAATAGGGAGGCCCAAGGAGAAGGAGAAAGATGGGGGAACAGCCAGTTGGTGGAGCAGTCAGAACATACCCAACGTTTATTGACTAAGTTTACCTCTTACATGGGTGCAGTTCATGGTGTCCCAAAACAATGACAATAGTAACATCCAAGATCACTGATCACAAATCACCATAACAGATATGATAATGAAAATGTTTGAAACATTGTGAGAATTACCAAAATGTGACACAGAGACATAAAGTGAGCACATGCTGTTGGAAAAATGGCATTGATAGACTTGACAGGGTTGCCACAAACCTTCCATTTGTACAAAGGCAATATTCGTGAAGCGTAATAAAGCGAAGCATGATAAAGTGAGATATGCCTGCAACTGAAAAACATTCCTTCTCCTTTCGAGTCTATAGCTCATGGTAAGGAGAGGGTATGGGAGCCAAGGGTGAGTTTCATCTTAGCTCAGTGTTAGGCTCTGGTCTGAATCGCAGCTTCATCACTGTGATGCTACTCACCCTATGGCTCTGAGAAGCTAAGGTTCCTGAGTACTAAAAATAAAATAAAAATAACAATAAAAATTAACCAATTATAAGGCCTTGTTTTCTTTAATTTTTAAATAACTTTTTCTTTTAGCTATATCCCTTATTTTACTTGTTAATCAGTAAAAATTACAACCATGTAAGACTCCCTACTGGGATAACTCTATCTTTAAGTCTTCATTTTACAAATGAAAATGTTGTTTTCCTTTGCTGGTTCTATGGGTTAGGGGAGAGCAGTCTGTTTTTTCTTATAAGTGGTCATTGCTATTTCTTGCTGACCTCTAAAAGTTTCTGAGGGGCGAAGAACCCAGAACTACGGAGCCCCTTCTTGTGCACTCACTTAAGTAAGTCCTTATCTTCACCTTGGACAATGGATCCTCTTTACTAAGTTCTTTCCAGAACCTGGAAGTTTAAGCAAACCAAATGACCAGGTCTCTGGTAGGCCCTCTTCCAAAACCATGGAGGGATTCATGACTAACAGTGTAGTTTTCTTTTTTCTTTCTTCTTCTTTTTTTTTTTTTTAACAAACACACTATAGCAGATGGCTCTGTTCACTCCCAAAAAAGAAAAATAGAATAAAGAAGAATTACATGATAGAGCTGTTCTGCAGGAAATTTTGAACAAGAGCCTAGGTCCTATGCCCTGGCTTTCAGAACTAAGTACTTCCCATTGTGGTTTATGTCTTCAATGAAAGGAGTTTTCTTTTTTTTTTTGAGACAGGGTCTTGCTCTGTCACCCAGGTTGGAGTGCAGTGGCACCATCATGGCTCACTGCAGCCTCAACCTCTTGGGCTCAAGTGATCTCAGCCTCCCAAGTAGCTGGGACCACAGGCATGTACCACCAAGCCTGGCTAATTTTTTTCTGATTTTTTGTAGAAATGGGGTCTCCCTGTGTTGCCCAGACTGGTCTCAAATTCTTGGGCTCAAGTGATCCTCCTGTCTTGGCCTCTAGGCCTTGCAAAGTGCTGGGATTACAGGCATGAGCCATGGCTCCTGATGGTTTTTTTTTTTTTTTTTTTTTTTTTTTGGTAGTGGGGGCGGGGCAAGGTCTTGCTCTGTCACCCAGGCTGGAGGACAGCTGCATGATCATAGCTCACTGCAGCCTCAAACTCCTGGGCCTCAGCCTCCTGAGTAGCTGGGTCTACAGGCATGCCCAGTTAATTTTTAAATTTTTTGTAGAGATGGGGTCTCAAACTCCTGGGCTCATGATCCTCCCACCTCAGCCTTCCAAAGTCCTGAGATTACAGGCATGAGCCGCTGTGCCCAGACTAGGAGTCAAATTTTATTGCACACCTAATTTACATCAAATACAGCACCAGGCATTTTTATATACTTATTTCACTTGGAAGCAAACAGCAATGCTACTGAAATATTTATTACTATCTCCATTTTACAGATGAATAACTTTGCCAGGAAGGGTTGCCAGAAATAGGAAAAGGTGGATGGAAGTCCAGCTTCTAGAACCCCAAAGTCAAGTTTCCCCCTCCCGCTGGGAGAGCTGACCCCTAGCCTATGTTCCATCTCCCCCCTTCTTTGCCCTGACAGTAGGGTGGCAGGGTCACAATGTCAGAGCTGTATAGTGCCTTAGAGACATACATGGCCTAACACCCTGCATTTGCAAACAAGAACTCTGAAAAGTTTTTCATAAGAAAAAAAAAAAACCACACATTTTCATCAAGTCTCATCCAACACACGAACTAGCTGATGTCAGTTCATGGAACTCAGCAGGCCCCTGGCCCACAGCTCTGCTCCCCTCTCCCCACTGTGACTACAGGAGCAGGTGTCACTGTGTCCCTGTTAAAGTGGGAGATGCTAAATCCTAGATGAATTTAGAGACTCATTCAAGGGGTCAGTGGAAAGGACAGGGTCCTTGTCCTTTTCTGATTTCTACCACCCTGACTCTCAAGACTGCGGCCTTCCAAAAATTCTGCCTGTGACAAAAAAGCCAGATGTTTACTGTGTTAAGATTAAGTGTGTTACTTCTCTATGTTATATGAACAGAGGCATTCTAGGTAAAAGAGAAAGAATACAGAGAAAAAAGCAGCTTCATGTGGCAAGTAGCTTTGACCTGTGGGTCAACGGCAGATTTTAGGATTTAGATGAGGTCTGGGAAAGCAGTCTTCTCCACACTTGATTCATTCTTTATGACCAGCCCATTAGCAGAGAGAGGGAGGGAGAAAGCTTCATATTAGTACAAATGCCATTGCAAAATGTAAGAGCTATAATACTGATTTCTCCCCCAACAGCAAAAATGATGGAGAGTGTGGTTACTAACTGCTTTCCTGCAACCCTTTAACCTCTCAACCCTAGATGTTCAGGCACAACCTATTTTCTCTCTGGAATTGGCTTCCTGATGTGAGGAAGCCATGCCGTGGGTGGCAAAAATATGACTCTGGTGCTTGGCACAGGGCATGTAACTGAAGCAGCTGCGGTCAGATCCCATGTTCCACCGAGAGGAAAGGCAGATGAGGACTCAGGTTCTAATCCTGGCTGCGCCACCCTGTGACCTTGGGCACTCGCTCTCTTTGTTGCAGTCTCGACTTGTAAAAGTGGAACCAGAGATTTTATGAGAATTTCTGGAATGGTTTCCCTAACCTCTGAGGTTGACAACGTGGAAGTGTTTCATTATTTTCCATTACACATCCAAGGGAAGAAGTTCTGGGCTGTAGGGGCTATCATGACAATTTTTGTAATAAGCATCTACTACGAGCCAGGTAGCTCCCGGACATTTTAACTTGTTATTTACATTGGAGCTGATAACTGCACAAAGTAGGGGTTATTATCTTCATTTTTTACACATAAGCCATGGACAGTGGTTTTGCATGGAAACTCTGGAGCCAGGCTGCCAGTCGTATCTCAGCACTGCCATTTACTGGCCACATGACTCTGGGTGGCATACTTAACCTCTCCAAGCCTCAGTCTCTTCATCTGCAAAATGGGCTTAATAATGCTAAGTCTCATGCATTGTTGGTATGTAGCATTTAAACACTGCCTACATGTAGAAAGTGTTCAATAAATATTAGCTATTATAATTATTTAATGAGAAAATGCAGGCCCAGAGAGGTTATAAAACTTGTCCAAATCCTCACAGCTGGTAAGTGACCCAGCCAGTTTTCAAACCCAGGCAGGTCTCACTCCAGCCCCAAGCTCTGTCCTTAGGCAATGCATCCTTTCTAACAGGATGGCAACTGCCATTTTAGGGCATCTGTGATGAGCCACACTTTATACATTTCCTTACCTGTCTCTTACAGCAATCTCATTACTCATGACATAGAGACTGAGGCTCAGAGAGCTGAAGTCCCTTTCTCCCTCACCTGGTAAGTGTCTCTGCTGGGATACGAACCCAAGCTGGCCCAACTCCAGAGCAGATATTCTTTTCCACTAAACCACACTGCCACCTTCCTTCACCACCAGGAGCCCACTGGCACCACATGTGGAAGCTTCTGAAGGTTTACAGCCTGGAAAGTCAAAAAAGAGAAGAGGACATATCCAAAAGGTTGCCAAACTTTCTTAAAAGTAGCCGCAGGCCATGGGAGGATCTGATTCTGATGCTGAGAAAATCTCCGGAGATGTCTAAGGAATATAGAGCAAGCCCCCTGAGCCTTTCTGCTGCCCTTCGGTCTAAGGACAGACAGTCTAGGCATCGCTGTGTAACCTCCACATTCCACATTCGTGAAGTCCGCTGCTGCAAGAGCCAGGGCCTGCCTCTGTGCATGCATGAAACAGCAGCCCACATCTGCCCTTCCCTGCTGGCTTAAGGCTCAGAGCTGCTGGTTGGTCAGAAGGGTGGGGCCTCTGTTTCTGTGGCCATCTGGAGCCAAGCCAGCATCTTCCTTCTTTAGATCCTGGAATGGTCTGTTGATTGTGAGATTTCCTTCCACCGTGCATTGTGACATTTCCTTAGGCCCACTTAGCACAAAGAAAGTTCTTCTCACTGTCCAGAGACAATGGCTTTCCATACTTAACCCATAGATCTGGCAGCGCATGTCCCTCGCACTCCAGCGATGACGTTCTGCAATGTTTAGAATCAACTGCTGGCAATTAGCCTGCCATCAGAATGCAACCATCAGCTTTAGCAATGTCAGTCTTTCAGTCTACAAAGAGCTGCTCAAGTAATTTTCCTCAAACACAGATTTCATCTTGTCATTCTTGTGCTTGAGGCCACAGTGACGTTGCCCAATGTATTGAGTACAAATTCCCCAAACTCCTGTTCTACCACCTTCCCACTCTCCTCCAGCCTCATGCTTCTCACCCTCTGTGGTCAAGCCCTTTGTTCCAGCCAAGTGAACCGGAAGGTCATCCCTAATACAGCTTGCTCTTTTCTGTGTCTGTGCCCTTTAACATGCTACTTCACCCCTCATTTCTCCACCCCTGATCGCCAGCCCACATCCCTCCTCAGGTTCAGAATTCAGAATTCATCGACCAGAAGGCACTACATCAAGGCAGCTTCATTAGCTGTTCCTCTATGGAGACGCTTTCATTCATGTGATCACTGAATACTTGTGTGCTCATTCTTCCAGCCCCTGTGCTAGGCACTTGGTTACAACAATGAGTGAACTGGACCCGGTCCCTGCTCTTGCGAAGCCTACTGTCTGCAGTGTCACATCAGTTTGCAGGTTCTGCATGTTGCTTGTAAAAGTGACCTTGGCTTTTTTTTTTGTCTCTCAGTAGGTTATTAGTTCTTCAAATCAAGTCAAGGACTCCTGCCACACACCCTCCCCTACTTTTTTTCTTTTCTCTCTTTCCCTCTCTCTCTCTCATCTTTTAATAACACAGACCTGAGCAAAGTCAGCATTAGATATTGTTAGTGCAAAATGGATATGTTTTACCCTCTAGGGAAATAAATGAAGACTATCTCTGAACTATGAATGAGCAAAAGGGGACTGCTTCCCTCTGTTTGGATATGATGAGGAGTTATTAAGTTTCGCAGATTGTAATATATGAATTAAGTATACATTTAGGATTTATAAAATCCAAAAATAGGATTTTAAAAGTTATTATTGCTATGCATAGGCCACACACACACATGCACACACACACACCCAGAGCTAAGACAAAGGACAAGTTGATCACCTGATCGGACAGTGAGAAGTGCTGTCAAAATCAGGATGAGAACCCTGAACCAGTAGCCCTCATCTTCATTTGCAAGGTTATAATGTTTTTCCACCAAAAATTTTTCATAGTCTTTCAATCAATATTTAAGGTCCATGTTGCCTAAACCTTGGGGATTATGAAAATAGCCACTAAGTCCCATGTTTATGATGCCATCTTATTTAATGGGAGGATTGAAGAGATCTGCATGTATTTTTGGTTTGGCAAATCTTAGAATTATTTTTTCAACATTTGGGTTTGGATAAAACCAAAACTTATTTTGCCAAGCACTTTGGCCTTAATTTTCAAACCCATGTGTATTTTAAAAGAAATTTGATCTATGTGTTTCTGACTCATTTACACTTAACTCATGAGAATGCTGTTTGGTAAGAGCTATTAGATGTCCAAGCAAGTTTATGAGCCTTTTAAAGCCTTCTTTTCCCCATTCTTACCAGAAAGTTGTATTTTGCCAGCCATAAAAGAGTGTGAGCCCCAGGGGCCTGTGATCACTTTGAAATTTATAACCTCCAAAGCTTAAATGGATTCTGCGTTTGGAAAAAGGGTTTCCCCCTCCTCTTTTTCATATTAAGTGCACAAACAGGCTACCTATGATAAAGACAGGATCCTATGTCTTAGCTTCCAAGATGGCTGAAGGCAAATAGTAAAGAATTCAATCCAACCACCAATAAATTGTCCCTAAGACATTTCAGAGGAACAATATGACACTTTAAGTTCATGTGGACACAGACTGAGATCCAACACTCTAATGGGAAGTTTTTTGTTTGTTTTTTGTTTTGAGATGGAGTCTCACTGTGTCGCCCAGGCTGGAGTGCAGTGGCACGAATTCGGCTCACTGCAACCTCTGTCTCTCAGGTTCAAGCTGTTCTCATGCCTCAGCCTCCCAAGTAGCTGGGACTACAGCCATGCGCCATCATGTCCAGCTAATTTTTTATATTTTTAGTAGAGACAGGGTTTCCCCATGTTGGCCAGGCTGGTCTTGAACTCCTGACCTAAGTCTGATCCACCCGCCTTGGCCTCCCAATGTGCTGGGATTACAGGAGTGAGCCACCACGCTCACGTGTGGGACTCAATACGGTTCAGGTTAGAACACTTTAGCTTTTGAGTGCTGGGGAATTTCTTTGTTTTAAATCACAGACAACCAATCTTGTTTATGATTTTTTAATACATTTAAAAAATAATAAAATAAGCTGATTCTACTAAAAATGACATTTGAATTAAAACCAGAAAAGCAAGAAGAATGTGAATGCATGCTGCAGCAACTTCATCTTGTATCTTCTATAATGATGCTCAGATACTACTCAATTATAGTATTCTAGTGGGAGAAAGCTTTTGGGTAAATTACTTAAAAATGGCTTATAAAGGCTGGGCATGGTGGCTCATACCTGTAATCCCAGCACTTTGGGAGGCCTAGACAGGTGGATGATGAGGTCAAGAGATGGAGACCATCCTAGCCAACAGGGTGAAACCCCATCTCTACTAAAAATACAAAAAAAAATTAGCTGGACATGGTGGTGCGCGCCTGTAATCCCAGCTACTTGGGAGGCTGAGGCAGGAGAATTGCTTGAACCCAGAAGGCAGAGGTTATAGTGGGCCGAGATCGCGTCACTGCACTCCAGCCGGGCAACAGAGTGAAACTCCATCTCAGAAAAAAATAAAAATAAATAAATAAATAAAAGCTTATAAATATTTAAAGTATGAGCATCTAACACATTATAAGGACAAAGTTTTACATGTAACCACATGTGCTCCAAATATCTTGAAATTACTCTAAATACGGGTTTAAAATATCAAAAGAGCTTGTTGATGGGATGCAGAGCTTTGCAGAGAAACTTAAACCTGATCATTCTTGCTCCCACAACACCCAAGCTGCACAGTTTTTAAAGTGTGTGTGTGTAGATTTCTTTAGAAAAAGATCACGTTACAGTCTGAATTTCTAAAACAAGAGTTGAAGGATGAAATATAGGGTTTCCCCTTCTCTCTCCAAATGCCGTTTAGCCACTTTGCTTCTAGATAATTTGTTATTGTAGGTTGGTTCAAATTTAAGACAGTAACATTTTAGAAACACTTGCAGAACTAAGCCAGCTGCAAGGAGGATATCATTACAAATTGAGACACATGTTGTATGGGAATACCATTCATTTTCAATACCAAAAACATATCTGGGGAAATAAGCCATGCAAATGAGGGAAAGATCTACTTTTTAGTTGTATTTTTTTGGATGTTAGGTCAATGTTCCATATCAAATGAATTCATGAAGCGTTTCTCCCTTTTGTTCTTTAAATACTATCAGTCACATTCTTACTTCCCTTTTTACCCAAAACAAAACACAGCTTACTATATCAAAGACAGACAACAAACCAGAGGTTCAGAGGGGAAAATGATGAGACAACTAGTGCTGGTGCAGCCAAATATCTGGATGGGAATGAGGCTGGGAGCACTGGAAGCTTTGATTTGCCCCAGCCCTGACCCCTTGGCTACCTGGAAAGCCAGGTCTGCTCTGCCCCCATCTCTCTACTCAGGGCTGTACATCTGGACCACACAGTACAATTGCACAAGCATTTTTTGCTTATGATCATTAATTCAGTCCAAGGAGTGGCAGAGTTAGGTAACTTGACTGATTTCCAATTTTAAACTATGTAGTACACTTGGGACTATTTTAAAGCATTAGAGAATAATTCCAAGTTTTTGTTATTGTCATTTTCTTTTGCTCCAGTCATTTTTCACTAGAATCTTTTCGATGACCCTTGAAATAAGTTTTGTGCATGTGTGTGTACTTCCCCTCCCTGTTGATGGTCTCATGTTCCCAATCCTGACCCCACCCTATTTTTTTTTTCTGTGCTGTGGAAATCCACAAATCTGGAGAAGAACTCTCTGCAGTTAGTATTCAGAGCTGGTGTCTGAAATGGCATTTACCCCATTTCCTTGAGAATGGGACCCTGTTAAACGATGCCAGTGCTAAATTGTTTATTTTCTAAAGCTAATTTCTTTCTTTCTCTGAATGAATTTCGTTTATGCCCTTTGAGGCCCTAAGAAAAAGTTTACACATGCAGAATGCATTGCCTTAACATCCATCCACATAGAAAGTGCTATGCACTTAAAACGGCAACGGAAGGATACAAAATAAGTTGTGCAGGACACGGTAAGAGAAAACAGCATGGCCACCCCCGTCCCTTTGGCACGATCTCTTAGACAGGAAAGTCTGGAAAAGGCGGGGCGTTCGGGTGAGGGTAAGTGTTCCACAACATGAGGTAAGTGTTCCACGGTGCAGCGTATTTTGGTCCTCAGACATCTCTGCCCCTCTGCAGCACTTGTCTGCATGAAGGTAGGTGTAAATGATTGAACATGGTGCACAGGCAGCAGCTTAGGCTGGCAAGGGAGTGACTCATTGGAAACCAGTCAGGGAACTGATTTCCAGTGCCCTCCTGGGCAACGGCTGGTTAATAGCTGGCCGAACGCGTCTCTTTCCAAGTGCAGTCTCTCCAAGTAAAGAGGCATACTGGGGAGCTAGGGAGCATTGGCAGCGCTCCCAGACACTGCCACATCAATGCCCTGGTGTTCACCGACCTGTCCACCTCTCTGACTCTGGCCATTCTGCTTTCTTGGCCTCAGTGGCAGAGTAGAAGATCTTTCCACAGAAGAACAGTGTCTCCCTGTATCGTACAAATTTTGAAGGTCCAAGTGCTGGGGAAGTATCTAGCTTATTTCTTTTCTTGCTTCTCTTTTCTTCTTTCATCACAGGCCCTTGTGGGAAATGGTAACTTGAAGAAAAGTCTGTAACCTTTTGCATTGTGTCACTAAGGCAATCTTATTGAGGCAAGTGCTACATGATGTAGCTCCAACTTTGATTCTGCAATATTAGGCCCACAGCAGAAATTGCCAAACAATATATTCTAAGTTTTAAGAGAAACTTTCCATTAATTCAGCTTCCTCAGAGAAACAAGAAAAATTTCAACTCAGATATTGCTCCATAATAAGGTAAGATAATCCTTCAGAGATATAGAGCATACTTTTTCTGGAGCCAAAATCTATGGACGTCTTCTCCCATGAAAATGCCTCTGTGCATAGGCACATAAAACTTTCCATGAAATTTCAGGGGGAGTTGCTGAAGGCCATCCAGGGACGAGTCCAGGGGGCCAGGAGACCAGCTTTAGGGAGCTGCCATATGGATCTGGAGACAGAGCCAGGACCAGTGCTGCACTAGCATGACCCTGAGTGGGTGCCTCCTCAAAGTCTCTGCCCTAAGCCCTTCCTTTGCTTCACTCTAGTCCCAGTCCTGCTGAAGATGGAAGGTTATGGGTACATCTGAAAGTAATAAATATCCAGTCACAGATGTCATTTCATATTCCATCATAACCTGATTGACATCATATATAAAAGTTGGATGCTTGTACATTAAAACCTTCCCTCCAAGTCCCTGGTCATAAGGGTTAACATGGTCCCAGCAGCATTGAATTGGGACATATCTCAGGCCAATCTTGACACCATTCATTCCAGAAAACTTTCCTCTACAAGTCTGAAATGATCACAGGAAGCACACTCCCAGGTCCTCCCACTCACATGTGTCCATGACACAGACCTGGTGTCTTCTTTCTGGCTCTCTGAAGTACCTCTACCTAGAACTATATGTGCCAACTGCATCCCAACAGACAAGCTAACCCTTAACTTAGGGACTGTCACCAATTAATATTCCCAATAGTCAAGTACTGGACCATTAGATAGCACAAGTCTGACACAGGATCCGAGCACATCCCATTCATACTGATTTCCTTTTGTCACTCTCAGTTTTCCTTCTTTTCCTTGTTTTAAAAGTAGGCACCTATAGTATTGTTTCGAATGTATGGACTGACTTCCCAACCTCCTCCCAGACAGCCTCCTCTCTTGAACTTCTCAGTTTGAGAAACTAAATTGGCAAAAAACTTTTTGGGACCTCCACCCTTTTGGCTTCCCCAATGAAGTGAACTCCTTGCCTTGGAACAGTTGTTTCTAGGACTGTGGCTCCATGACCAGACTAATAATTAAACTCCAAAAAGCCAAACTACAGGTGCCTCCTCCAGCTTTCCCTGAGAAAATAAGATGTCAAGTCCCCCCTGCTGAGCCTGGAGTAGTATCATGGAATTGGGACCAGGAAAAAGGGTCTTATATTTTCTTTCTGGTTTTTGAAACTTAGAAATTTGGGAGCCACAAAGGTGGAAAAGTGAGATGAAAGGGTTACTCCTTGTACACATTTTTTCCATTGATTATTTTACTTAAAGAGTCTATGTCATTTCCCTGGAAAACTGAGGAGGGGGAATATTTTCTTTTGAATATCTTCAAACATTTGCAAATGGTTACTCTGAACTCCCCAATGTACCATAAACAAGTGTAAACTGTAGAAATTCAGAAAATGTACAAATACAAACAGCTATCCCTCAAGCTCCTAGGCAAAGACAAAGAAGGGAGTATTCCATTTATAAATGGAATTCTTTGTGGATAGAATAGTTCGGAAAATGTTTATACATTGTTTTCCTTATTATTCGGGGGGATATTTTTTCCAGCTTACAGAAGCTGCAGAACTGGCATTTGGAGTCTTAAAAGTTGAAGATCAAAGGAAGTTTACAACCTTTTAAAATCTTCAACTAAACTTAATTAGTTCTGCATCTGGGGAAAATAGTTGTCCACTGAAATCATTTGTAATCATATCAACACACAAGAATGCATAAAGGCAGGTAACCAGGAACAGAATAATTTCCAAATGGGGAAAAAAAAACCCTATAATTTACAAAGAACTAGCAAATAAGACTTCCTTGAAGACAACTGTAGCTGCCTCGGTTGCTAATTTCTAGATACTTTGGTCTGCTTTTGATCTATTTTAAATGATTTTTTTAAACAGTACTACAGACTGGGAGCGGCGGCTCACACCTGTAATCCCAACACTTTGGGAGACCAAGGTGGGCAGATCACTTGAGGTCAGGAGTTTGAGACCAGCCTAGCTAACATGGTGAAACCCCATCTCTACCAAAAATATAAAAAATAGCTGGGCATGGTGGCATGTGCCTGTAATCCCAGCTGCTCAGGAGGCTGAGGCAGGAGAATTGCTTCAACCCCGGAGGCAGAGGTTGCAGTGAGCCCAGATTGTGCCACTGCACTCCAGCCTGGGCAACAGACCAAGACTGTCTCAAAAAAATAATAAATAAAATAAAATAAAAATAATAAAATAGTACTACAGTATGAAAAAGGCAGACATAGTGAGAAGAATGAAGAGCTGACTGAAGTTATTGACAGATTATCCTATATAATATATAATGAATATATATGAGAAATAATATATAATGAATCACCAACAAGCACACGGAGAAATCATTCACCTGCACCTCACCCACCACATCTCAGCCTGAGTTTTGCTTTTGGTTTGTAACACTTTCCACTTTGGCTTTTAACTTGTCACCAGTGTTCAGCATCAGGGCACAAAAGCCATACGGTCCTTTATTTAGTGGATACACTTCCAATTTCCCCAACCATATGAACGGTCTGGGTTTCTGAAGGCATAGAAGAAAAACAGCACCACATGTGCACAAAAAAACAGGAAGGGGCCTGGGCACGTTGGCTCACACCTGTAATCCCAGCACTTTGGGAGGCCGAGGTGGGTGGATCACCTGAGGTCAGGAGTTCGAGACCAGCCTGGCCAACATGGCAAAACCCTGTCTCTACTAAAAATACAAAGATTAGCTGGGCATCGTGGCGCGTGGCTATAACCCCAGCTACTCAGGAGGCTGAGGCAGGAGAATCACTTGAACCCAGGCAGCCGAGGTTGCAGTGAGCCAAGGTCGCGCCACTGCGCTCCAGCCTGGGTGACAGATTGAGACTCTGTCTCAAAAAATAATAAATAACTAAATAAATAAATAAAACAAACCAGGAAGGGCCAGAGAATGTGAGTAAATTGTGGCAGGTTGAGACTGTGCTGTGAGGTGACACGGAACTTCTGAGGGCAAGAGGAAATGTGATTTAGTGGAGGAGAGGTGGTTTTTCCCCCATCTTAAATCACTTGCCTTGTCACCCTTTCGTAGCTGACAAAGCCTGAGTATTTCTGTATTTCTGATTTTAAAGAAAAGCTGTAATTTCTTGGGGGACCCATCATTGAAAGAACTCTTCAATCTCAAGAGGTAGTGGGCAATTTCATCACCACATCTTCTGAAATTGGCTGGAGCCAGGTTGATATTTTTAATGATTCTGGTCCACATACAAGACTGATTCTTTATTCAGAAACATATATCATCCAAATAGCCATCGTGTATTTTATGTTTTTATGTTATTTTGGTCCCAAGCTACTCATATGTTAGTGTCACTATTCTTGACCTGGTCACTTCTCACTCCAATGATGGTATAATAGTAAAATCTCTCACCCTCCCATTCTTCTTCTTTTCAGCCTCACCTGAATGAGTGATATTAGAATGTGTTTAAAGTGACAATTCCCAATGCTTTCTGACTTTCTGAAGGCCGTCACTTTTTTTGTCACACATCTTCCCATTACTCACAGCTTTGTCAACCAGATTAAATTACTCTCGTGAAGAAATCAGGGGCATTTTCAATTGAGGTGACTGTGAGAAGGCTGAGGCCATCTGTCTTCAGGCAGCAGAACTTGTAGATGTAAAATCAAGAAGGAATGGTGAACTCATTTTTAGTATTCTTCCTCTACTGGCAAAGCCATCAGAGGAAAAGGAAACCTCGAACGATGGTGGCTGAGAAACCTTTCTTCCTCAACTGACAAGTCTCCTTGCTCTGGTCTGTGCTTCCCAAGCAATCTCCTGGCTATGCTAGGGGCCCAACTTAGAGACCAGGGACTGGACACACCACAGCAAGTGCTGTGCTCCACGTTTGTATTTCCCACTGTGGAGTAATGGGTTGGTAATTTAGGCTTGTTGGTGCTGCAGAAACAAGAATTCAACTGTCTGAACACTTAGAGAAGTTAGGAGGTAGACTCAGTTTTTGTTTGTTTTTTAAGAAACTTTCCCCTATGACAACTGAGGGTTGTTTTACCCACTGAGGTGGGTAAAACAATTTTAGTATGTAGGGTAATAAAGAAACTAATTAGCCTATTCTCCTACAGTGGTTTTTTAAAAAATGCAGCTCTGGAGTCAGACAGCCTGGATTTGCATCTCAACTCTGCTAATTTGGTAAAATCTTGGGCAAGTTACTTTAATGTCTCTGTCTTGGTTTCCTCATCAATAAAATGAAGACGATAATTGTCCTATGGACCCAGATCCAAATAAATACTACCGAAAAACACTTAGAAGACAGCCTGCATACAAATGTGAGCAATTATTCATCTTACGAGATCCACTCTCCTGGCCCCCGCTTCCTTCCTCCTGGAGTTTGCACTCCCACCAGATGGGGGCACGCCATCATTTACCTTTGTATCTCCCTAGTCCCTGGAAGGAGCAGTGTACAAGTTAGGTGCTCAATAAATGCTCATCTCTCCTCTTCCTCTCCATAAGAAGTTGATAAACTCAACTGAATTTTGGCCTGTTTGATGCCCGCTTGGATAGACGGGAGAGCTTGGGCTGTGTCCAACAGGCCTGAGTTGAATACGGCTTCCCCACGTACCAGCTCTGCTTCGGGCACAGTATCTAAGCTTCATCTGCCTCCTTGGTGAGATACAGATGATGCCTATTCCACCAGAATTGGCAGGAGGAGCAAATGAGGCCACCTCTGCCTATGACAGGCACACATGTTAGTTCCCCTTCCCAATATTGAAAAATTTAACTCACTCTTGGCGGCTCACTTGGCATTAGGCAGGAGTCTGTCTATGAGGTCAGAGATGTGCAGTGTCACTCACTTTAGCAATGCCACCCTCTTCCCTATCGAAGCCTCCCATTACCTGCAAAGGTGAGCAACTCATCAGCTAAGCCGCTGGGCCCCAAAAGGGGGAGAGAGCAAAGCTGGTCAGTGACGCTTGAGGCCTACCCTGGGGGATGCTGCTTGGTGCCAAACTGCAGGAAGGAGACCCCATGAACAGGAAAGACACCCTGCCAGGCAAATAGGACTCAGTGGCCTGGGTTCAGTTGACATATGCATGTAAGAGTTAGGTTTCATTCTCACTTTACAAATGGAATCCCGTCCTTATCAAGAAAATTTGGTGACATTCTGCCAATGAGGCAACCAGCTCTATTTAGTAGGTGGCCCAGCTCATGGGTTCACTGGACATTTCACCACTGCCCTGCAACCTCATGATCACACATTTAGGTGTCCCAAGTTAATCTCTTCTCCCTCCCCCCATCCTCCTCTTCTCCAATAGGGTGATTTACGGAGATGAGCATGATAATAAAGTGTAATTGGAGAGACAATATTTCATGACAGGTTGGAGACTGAGCTCTCCCCTCAAGTAAGTGACCCGGGGCTTGGCACTCACATGCTGTGGCTCAGTTTCCTCGGCTGTAAAATGGGAATGATGCTACTGAACAACTCAGCATCAGAGCTGCTGGCTCAGAATGTTGATAGCGTGACCACACCGTGTGCAATATAAAACACACACGGTAAAATCATGACTATAATTACAACTCTCCCCTCTGCCTTGTCAGAAGTAAGGAGAGGTGCACTGGCTGGTGTGGAGGAGCGCCCGGCGGACATACAAACCTTTTACTTATTCTGATTTCTAATTCGGAGGCACCTCCTTTTGAGCGGCGGCTCCAGGTCCTCAGGCCCGGCGCTGAGCATGGGCGAGGAGATGATGCACGGTGCCATGGCAGCCTTCTCCGCGGGTTTTGGCACAGGCTGGATCACGCAGCCGGTCTTGGGCAGCATCCGCAGAGCATAGGCATGGTCCTCGTCCGCGGGGTTATTAAGGTTCGGGTCTGACTTGTCGCCCCCCGCCAGGGCCTCCTCGCCCATCAGCTTTTTGGCCGCCTCCCCGTCCAGGTGGCAGTTGGAAGCACAGTTATTCTCCTTGACCGACTCTAGCTCGCTCACCGCCGGTTCCTCAGGCGACAGCAGCTTCTTGGGGGGCGCGGGCGGCGGCGGCGGCGGCGGCTGCTCGGGAGGCGGCTCCGCGCTCTTAGCGCCCTCGGCGGCGGCGCCGCGCGTGCCGTTCACGATGACGTTGCAGGCCGCGGCCGCCTCGGGGCCCGCCGGGGCGCCCGGGCCTGGGTCGCCGGCGGCGGGCGGGCTGCAGTGGCCGTCCCTGCAGCCGCCGCAGGTCCTGCGCTCCGCGGCGCTCGGCTCGCGCTCCGCCTTGACGTGCGCGTGCAGCGCGCGGTGGATCACGTTGTGCAGCCGGGCTCGGTGGCCCACGGTCAGGTCGATGACGCCGTCCTGCGGGCCCTGCAGCACGCCTGGGAAGCCGAGCTGGCCGCCCGCGCCCGGGGGGCCCGGGGGGCTGCCGGCGCGCCGCGTCAGGTCCACCACCTCGCTCCGGCCATGCTCGGCGGGCGTGGGCGCCAGGCTCAGGGCCTGGCCCGAGCAGCCGGGGGGCGAGTCCGCGGACTTGGACGAGCCCTGCTTGGAGTCCCGGGGGGACAGGGAGTGTCCGCTTGGCTTGCCGCCCGCCGCCGCGGAGTCGCCAGGGGCGTTCGGAATGAAGTTCTCCCCGTTGCTGGAGAACCCGTTGGGGGGCTTGGAGTCGCTGACGTGAGGGATAGGGATGGGGATGGGGATGGGCACCGGTAGGGGCACGATCACGGGGTACGGCACGAGCAGGGTCGGGGGCGGCACCAGCGGGGCAAGCGACGGCAGCCCGAAATTCATCATCTGGGGCACCGGCATCGGGCCATTTGGCATCATGCTCACTGGCGGGAAGGGAAGACTCGGCAGCGGGGCGCCCGGAGGCGGCGGGGGCAGCAGGCCTGGGGGGTTCCCGGGCATGGTGGGGGTGCTCGGGGGGTGGATGTGGGGCGATAGCATGGGCCGGTGCATGGGGCTGGAAGTGGGGCCCAGGTTTCTGGGGCCACCGGGCGGGGGCCCGATGCCGGGAAGCATGGGGTTGGACAGGGGGCTGTTGGGGTTGGAGGCATGGTGCGGAGGCCCGCGGATGAAGGGCGGGCGGATCTGCTGCATGATCTGCTGCTCCATGAAGATGGGCAGCGGCACCGGGCCGCGGTTGGTCATCACCATGGGAGGGCTCCGAGGCGGGACGCCAAGGGGAGGCCCGATGCTAGCAGGTGGCTGGACGGAGACAGGAGGGATATTTGGAGTCTCGCTGATGGGGATGGACTTGGGCACTGGCGTGGGGATTTTAGTGACAGAGCAGTTGGCAGTGTCAGATGGAGAGACGGTGGTGGACGCCGACGGGCCAGGGCCCTGGCTTTGGCCAGCTGTAGCCACCGGGGAGGGGGCCTTCCTCCGAGCATCTGTTAGCGGGATATTCCAAGAGTCTGGAGTGAGCAGCTGCACCCCGGTGCCTTCTGCTTTATTTTCCATGGGAGGGTGTAATGTGCTGCACAGCCCAGCTGGAAGATTGGCCTGGGTCTCTTTGTAGAAAATGTCCATTTTGTATTGATTGAGACATTTTGCACTGCAGAACTGAAGCCTTCTTTCCCCGTCCCCAAAATCCAGGTATTCTTTTGTGTGTCTTATGTGCTTACACCAGTCACATACCTACAACACAGTAATAAAAAACCACAACAGGTAAGACAAGCAATTTACCTGGGTAGATGACGTTTCGTGTTTCACATAAAGGTTCTTTTAAACTTTACCAGCACTTCTCAAACAGGCAGAACTGTTTCCTTCTAAAAGGTAAAATTCTGAAATGTTTGTAAAATGATGGGTTGGCTTTATAAATATGAGCTCTTCAGAATACCAATTATCACAACCTCCTATTCTTTTTTCTTAAATTGTGTTGTCCCCTTTAAGCATGACTTAAAGATGGTTCTGAGAAAAGGGAATATATATACCTGTCCAATGTACCTGCCCACACATTTTCACTTGTCAGAGAGGCTCATTGTAAATGCAAACCTAAAGAGTTTTGGAGGGAAAGGTTCTCCAGAAAGTTCAATGGGCTTGAAATATTACCCCTTACAATTCTCCTCATGCGAAGTCACTTTACACTGTTGACTATGTTTGATAATGCAGTTGGAAAGAGTGTACTGTGTTAACCAATAACACAAAGCGCTGAACATCATTATGTCTGGCTTCCAAGGAGAAACTTGGAATTAATCATGAAGTCTGTGTGAGGTTTAGCTATTCCCAACCTGTGATGTTGCAGCAAGCTAGAATTATTTTTTGAGCTGTTTGCCCACTCTCTCTCAGTAGTCAGAATTTTTGGTGACATTTCTTGGCAGGCAGTCTTATTTAACAACTTTTCAAACACCAGAGAACATTTTCCAAAAGTTGTTATGGCTTTTTCCCCCCTTCAAATCTACTCTTGGCAAAAGAAAGACATCACCAAATTTATTTTAAAGTTGGGCTGCAGAACTAATTAAAGGCTGAGAGCTTTTCCCAATTGGAAATCACTAGACATCAAAGTTCAAAAAATACTCATTCTCAGCTTCAGAACCCATTACTTTGGAGAAATTATTGTGATTTCATTAACACATTAATTTTGCAACACCATCAGCTCTCACAGATGGTGAAGACATGATCTACAATTCAAATATGACTCTTGTTTGCACAAATGTCTTTCCTTCATATGGCATTTTAAACAAGAATTAATATGAGTGATCTTGCCATAGCTATAAACAGATAAACAGATGTCAAAATTTTCAATAGTTCTTTCAGTGCCTTACTTTTTTTTGACAGAGTTTTACACACACAATCTTTTTTCTTTTTTTCCTTTTTTTTGGGGGGGGGCCATTTTCTCAGCACTCAAGCCATATATAGCAGCAAAGAAAGAATTGTGAAACAGTGCAATGGTGAGTCTATTGAATTTGAGTCTCTCCCCCAATAAAGCACTGGTTCCAATATTGTTCTAAATGAGAGCCTGTTTTTGTTGAAGAGGCTGTCTGTTGTTCTGTTGTTGGTGCGTGTTGGTTTTTTAAAAAAACTATCATAAACTGATATAATTAAAAGATGATAAATTTTAATAATGATTGGTCACATAAACAATGCAAAAACAACATATGCTGGGCATTTGATTACTCATCTCATTTAACTCTCAGCTTTCCTTGATTGTAAACAGTGGTGGCATGCTGGTATGTGATCATGGGCGAACACGCACTTGGCAGATGTGGGTCTGTATGTGTAAATCCACTCTTTTCCTTCTCGCTTTTTTTCCACTGATATTTGCAGGTAATAAACTTGATAGTGTGAGACTGAACAACATGTTGGCACACATTCGTGTTTTGTTTAGTCTCATCAAATTGCCCGTTCAAACTACTTCTTGCAAAAAATTTTGGAGAGTGAGAAAACTGCTGAGTTACCTTTGATGATTAGAAAGGCATTCTTTCAATTTAGCTATCAAAACTGTTGCAGTTATTAAAGTGGTAAAAAAAAATTTCAGTGCTAATATACTCCTGTGTTTCGCTATAGTGTTTCATGTTCCTCCTGAATTAAGGGAAGCTTTTATCTTAATTGAGATGCCCAGTTTACAAAAAAGTGCAGAATTGCCTCTGATGAGAAGAGACCCACAGAATCCATCAGACCCTCAAATTTTTCATCTAGATAAAGGTTAAGTAAACAAGTATTAGAAACATGATGCATGTAAGTTATTGTTTTATAAACCTGATCATTTAAATAAAATTAATGTATAATGATGTGGCACTTAAATTCCACTATGAAATAAAACCACCTGCTTCTGTTTCAATATTAGGCATCCATAGAAAGCCTGCAGTGCAAATTTACAAGCTTGAAGTGAAGGATCAAAAATAGCTTCTTTAATCATTGACTAAAAAAAATTATCAATGAATTAAGCTAATTAAAATAATATACCCATTTTCTGGCATATTTTTTTGGATCTTATTTTTTAGCCATAAGGGAGAAGGGTTTTCTGAAATCCTTAATTGGTTTTTAAATTGCCAGATTGAATTATTTGCCTCCAAAGGATTCCTGTTTCCTCAAGCCAAATAAATATTTTCAAATGGAGTAAAAAATAATAATAATCTAAATATAATTTATATGTTCTCCCTTCCCTTCCTTCACTTTCAGTAATCCAATGATGAATAAGGAATGCTCATAGATCTATCCCAATTGTCAAATGAGAATTCTCCACCATATCTCATCGATTTTGACATAAAAAGAATTACAGACATCAAAGTTAGAAGCAAAATCCTATTTCATCAAACTTTCCCATTAAAGCAAAGGCCTATGGTTAGCTGCTTGATTTTCAGCAGCATCCCAAAGTGTTCAAGTAGTAGTGTGACAGTTCATGACTATCTTGTTTTCGGTAACGTGAGAGAGAGAGAGAGAGAGAGAGAGAGAGAGAGACAGAGTGTGTGTGTGTGTGTGTGTGTCCTTGCCTTATTAAATTTCAATTCAGAATACTGATCTAAAAATACAGAAAAGCAATCTTTCTGGTGAAGCAAAAAATTATTAGAGGAAAAACTGTCACTTAAGAAATAATGAATCAAGTCTGTCTTACAGGACTCATCATTTAAGATGAGGTCAATGAATTTATGGCACAAATGGCTATATCATGTGAGGCAATAAAACACGGTACTATCATTCATTCTACATCTAACTAATGACACACTTCTAGTAATTAAAGATTTCATCATAAGAGCCTGAACTGATTACTTAAGATGTGGTAGTTAGATGAAAATATATACCATATCCCTCTCTCTTTAATAAAACAACATTTGCATATCCAGGAAAACACAATGTGTGTCTCATAAACTCTGGTTTTCTGAATTGTGGTGTGGTGGGTTATTCTTTCCTTCTTTCACTGACAGCTTTACATTTTATTTCACTTTTTAACTTTCTGAGGAATTATTTTTTCCTCATTATGCCAAGAAGTACCAAAATTCCTTCAGATATTTTAGAAGATAAAGATTAAGAAGTGCAGGGATTTACGCACTGAGCTCTGGAATGATTTCCCCCTAATTTCACCCCAGCTTTGTTTCTGTTGGAATCTGGCCTCTTTGGTTCCACTTCTCTCACTAACAGGTCCTAGATTGGACAGAGGCTGAAGCTGTTTAACGATGCCAATCTGGGGACCCAACAACCAGCAAATGCAATGCCATTGAGCGAGACAGCTGAAATGCTTCCTATCACAAATACATAATGTATCACCAGGAAGACAAAAAGATCACAAAGGAGATAAACAAATGCGTATTCCATTCAACCCTATAACAGCAGTCCTCAAAAAGATTAAATTTACCTTCCTGGGATGGGTCCAACTCTAAACAACAGAATGAACATTTCCTTTAGTCCATTTAGAGTATTTATATTTGGGTGGCTGACTGCCAGAGTAGTACTTATAAGCTCAGTGGCCTGATGGATTCACTCCTTTCCTGTGAAATAAATGTGTGGCAACCTACACCGCTCAACTGCTCCAAAGACACTGCCTCAGCACATATATCACTTGCTCCTGATATAAGAAAGCCGAAAGGCACGACTTGTGGTTCTTATAACTCTTTCCATCTTGTATTTCCCCAGAAAGAGAGAAAGCTATTCATGTTGGCAACTGAGCCTTTATTTTTATATAAACGTCAAAGTCAAGGCCAAAGTATGCCATGAGGTTACCCACATGGGCACGATATACAGGTTCTTCTGGGCTTAAGAAAAAACTCAGGCAACTGAGGGAGGGGGACAGGGTTCCTAATTAACACATTCATCAGCTGTTAGCTGTGGGAGTAAAGTTCAGCCTTTAATGGAATCCACCACTGCCTTCTGAGCAGTAATCTGGCATCAGGCAATATTTAATTAAGAAACCCTTTTGCTGAAATCTTTAACTGGGCAAAGATGTTTGTAGCAATGGAACAGTAAAAAAAAAAAAAAAAAAAAAGATATTAGCACCTCCGTGAATGCCATCAACAATTTGAAAAATAAAACAAAAAAAATCTTCACGTGCTTTCCACTTCATCTGACTGTCTACTAATGTATCTCCTAGGTAACAGCTCAGACGTTGTAGCTCCTTAAGCAAAACTGTAGCTTATCATAAAAGGGAGGTTCTCTGGGCCTTGGCATGTTGACTGTGGCACTGATCTTGTAGTCTAGGCCAGCTCAAAAATCATGAACTCATTCAAGTGAAGCAAAGGAGGATGGAGGGATGTGGGCAGGGGTGCTCAGTGTTTTGAAGGCTTTGGGGTCTGCTCTGCCTGTAGACAGTCACCTCACAGCATGAGCTGAGGGCCTCAGACTGACCCACCTGAGCACTTGCTCCCAGCCCTACCCTGGAATGCCGTGGTCCCAGTATCAACTGTTCCTTTGGGTCTAGACACTGCCACCAGCAGGGCCCTAGTTCAGTGTCCCTGAGTGGCAAAAGAGGCTATGGAAATCACATGGGATTTAGAATCAAAAGATGTTGGCATGAATCTGGGCTTTATTCCTTATTAGCAGTGCAACATTACGAAAATCTCAGCCTCAGTTTCTTTATCTGTAAAATGGAGCTAACAGTCTAATGATTGTGTGCTAGGCATATCACTAAGCTTCTTACAGAGTATATATTTTCAATCCCCAGCCTGTCCCACATGTTTTACATGTGTTTTATGGGGAGGATGCTTCTATGGCTGCAGGAAGAGGGAAAGGGAGATTTTCATCCACTGCTTTCCTATGAGCCTGTGTGTCTTTGAGATAAAACAGGGCACGTTTCTCTCTGGGCAAACTCATGCTACACCTCACAGATACCAGCCCCCACCTTGCTCCCTAGGAGGCTCTGTCCCCAGGGCTAACAGAGGAGCTGTCTGCAGGGACAAGGAACCAGCCCACAATTCTATGTGCATCCCAGCTGCCCACCATCCTGAAAAGCCTCTATTCAACTCCTGCTGAGCCCTCTTATTTTTCCAAGGCCAGTCATTTTCTAATTCAGGCAAAAGCTTGATAAAGCGACATGGCTGCTTGGAAATGAGCGTTAGAACCATTAAAATGAATCATTCCTCTTCGGCTCAACTGCTG
Organism: Homo sapiens; assembly: GCF_000001405.40. NCBI lineage: Eukaryota > Metazoa > Chordata > Mammalia > Primates > Hominidae > Homo > Homo sapiens. Next base: position 107,628,122 of record NC_000006.12, on the reverse strand, counting down.
TTTGAATAGTGGAAGCCATAAACTGTGCCATGCATATTGTATTAAAAAACAGAGCTGATGGACGATCTGCTTGACTCATTACATGGCAGAACTATCTTCCAAAGGAAAGGCCAGAAGCCACAGTATCAGGTGCCTTTTAAGACTGGATGACCCCAACCTGCCATGGCAGAATGTTCACTTGAGGGAAGAGCCCCCACAAAATGGGGAAGGGCACACCAACACTAAGCTCACCATTCCAAGTTTTTCTTGCAGAGCTGGATTTGAGTGAAGGAAGGAAAAAGATGACCTAGTCATAGACATGCAAAGCCATACGGAATTGAGAGAGGAATTTAAAGTAGAAACAGGAAGGGCTCTTATACAATAAAAACAAATGCATGAAGAAGTTCATTTTCAAAACAAGAAACTTTCTGCAGGTTTAGATTCCAACATGCTGGTGTTTGCTACATAGTTCTTTTTATTTGGGTTTTTTTGTTTGTTTGTCTGTTTTGCTTTGTATTTTATTCATTCTCTAGCTTGCTCTAGCTCTCTCTCTCTCTTAAATAAGATTTGGAGCTCAAGGAGAGGCTAAAGAACATCTTTGTTAGAAGTGAAAAAATCTCATTAGAAAACTGCCCTGTAGGAACTTTATACCATGACTCAAGTTCTACTTATCTTATAAATTTTAAGCTGGGTTCTAGAAATCTTGGCCCAGGTCACAGGAGCAGATCCTTCCTTCTCTTTCTCATGTGCCATGAACTCTGTAAGGCAGAGCAGAGATGGGCTTGGTTTTCAGGATCTCAATGAGCTTTAACAAATGGCTTATCATGGACCCAAGTCTCTGATTCTACAGCCAATGCAAGAGATGGAATCCTGGCCTGTATTCAGTGACTGCAGGCCCACCCTGACAGCCAAACACATGATTCAGAAGACGATTTTTCTCTTTGGGGTGATGTTTTACGTTGCTTAAGAGTATTAATATACCATGACAAAACTCTCTGCTTCATTTAAGGTGGATGAATGCAACTTACACCTTCACAATACAAATCATCCAGATGGAAACTAAAAAATTCAATCGTACATCAAAAAACCTGGTCTGCCTGGTACCAAATGCCTGCCTCTTTGTTTTCCAGTTATTTGGTCCTGAGAGGGCACAGAAATCACCTAAGAAATCTCAAAGCAGTGAAATTAAGCCCTGAAAGGAACCTCGGTGATCATCTCATCCTCTCCTCCAACCTCCAGCTCCCAGTGGAGCCAGGCATTTAATCCCTCTGAGCCTCAGTGCTCAGCTGTAAAAGGAGATCATCCACAGTGACGACCCTGCCTGGGGAAACATGTGAGAAAGAAAGGAAACTGGGAGGGGACTACAGACATGGAAAACGTGCCTCCTAAGAAGGGAGCAACGTCCTAGCCCATCTCCCATTGCCAGGCCGTCCCATGCCCATTTTATCAGCTCCAAGTATCACAACTACTCTCTGCCCTGAAAAATTTGCCATCACATAATCCAGTTTACTCATTGAAAAGTGAACATTTATTCAGGGCCCATCATGGGTGAGGTGCTGTGCTAGGAACCTGGGACATGAGTAAAATGAAGCTCCTGCCCTCATATGAGGTAGAATCTGCCCCAGGAAACTGGAGGCACAAGTTTTTGTTTTGTTTTCATTCAAGCATCTCTGCTTCAAACTGAAGCTTAAGAGAAAACCGATCTTCTATTTGTAACACTTTTATTCATTCAGAAATAAGTACTGCGCTGTGCTCCAGAAGGCAATGGGCTGTGGAACAGGGCAGGAGAGACTTAGTACACCTGCCCTTGCAGAGTTCAAAATCTGTCTATTAGCAATAAGTGGAAAAATTAGCACACACTCTCCTCTATCAACAGATTTGTTCTAAAGGTTAACATGCAACTAACAGCTTTTAGCAAAAAAAATCCTTAATATCTACTGTCTCAATGTCAAATTTCCCTTTGTTCTTCTAACCCAATACTGTGACTCCTCTTTTTTTAAAATGTATTATCTGAATCTTTTTTCAGATATGTATTTACCTTATTTACTGTAACTTTTTGTTTTTCAAGTATATATTTGGCTCTCTTTTTGTGTCACTGTTTTTCTTCCTGCTTTCTAATGAATATTTGAAGTTTCATTATTTGTGACTATAAGAGTTTAAGAAAAGTTGCAGGGAAGGACTTTGGGTTGTACTTGTATATAAGGGAAACCCATCAAACTAATGTGTTAAAAAGTGAAGTATGCTAGTTGCCCAGCTTCTGTCTGTGGTCACACACCTCATTTCTTCTGTCATGCAAACTTTTTTTTAGAAAATGGCAAAAATCATATTCTAAAATATGTGGTTTTAGTTCCACAACACAACTAAGCAGACATCAAGTAAGAGGACTTTTTGGAAGGATTGCTGTGATTATCAGTGGCATCTGGAGCAGTCCCCCCAACCCCCACGCCAGGGACTTTGAATCTGCCTTCCAGCCTCCTCACTCCCTGGGTTGTATCTCACCCTGGTGATGGGTGGTACCCCTGAAACACCACAGGGCCAAGCTTACGTTGTGTGCTGGTGGCCCAGGTCAAGGGCACTGCTGAGCAGAACTAATGGCACCTCTGATAATCCCTCATTGTGTCCACTACCTTAGCCCACTTTCTGGCTGCTTTTCAAAAGTCTGCAGCTGCTCCTAGTGACATCACATCCACTCACCAACTACATACTGATTGCTTGGGCTCTGCCAGGCACCTGGCTATGGGCTTTACTTGCATTGCTTCATTCAGTTCTCTTCTGACAGTCTCTTGCACATTTTCTGCACCCTGGGCCATAGCCTGAACCTACCTGTGGGCACCCTAAGTTGCCCAACTCAGCCCCTGGTATCCATCTCTGCCCAGTCCTCAAATATCTCCAGGACACTCTAATGAAAGTCATGGCTTTTATTATTGTGACTACTGCAAGCCCCAGTTTGATGTAATACTAATAAATTATACACTAGTAACAATAGGTAGCTTTATTTAAGCTCTAGTACCCATGCTGAGCATGCTACATGAATTTCCTCATTGAACCTCCACAAATACCTTATCATATAGGTAACTGGGGGTTAGATAGGTTAAATAACTTGCTCAAGATTACCTATGCAGATAATAGATGGCAGATCCAGATTCTAAGTTAAATCTGTCTGGCTTCAAAACTCATACTGCCCCACTATCTCAAGGGTTTTTTGCACTTTCCTACAAATTACAGGATTAAGATAGGTGACTAATATTTGACAATAACTTTCTGTTTTGAAATTCCAGAATCACTGACATTTAGAACTCTAAGGAACTTCGCAGGTGAAACCCAACCTATCTCCCACAGCAAGCTTGGGTTTCCTTCTACACATAGGTCATCTTCCAGGTGGCATCCATACTTCCTGTGACAGAGACAAACATTCATACCCATCTACACAGCCAAAAGAGTGATTCATACCATAGCAATCTTTCTCCTTTGCACCAATTTTCCTGGTGGCTTGCTAAAGAGGGTTGTAATACAACTGCAGGTCTCTATGCAATATAATTGAGGCAGTCTATTTTGTTGTCAACCAGCATTGATTATTAGAAAGTTTAACCACTCCACCTCCCTGTCACTTCTACCTACTGTTTGCCAGGGTCTCCCAGCACAGATCAACTCCTCTTCCAAATCTCAGTCTTTGAAAAAATTAAAAGGAGTCATCATATTTGCTCCAGATTGTTATTTTTAAACGTCCCCAGTTCTGGCACCCAGTTCCCAGGGCACAAGTTCCCAGGGCCCTTCTATGCTGTCTGTCCTCCTAGGGACATGCTAGTGAGACCAGCTGCCACTGACCCAGGAATACACTTCACCTTGTTAATGCCCCTCTTAAAGGGTGGAGCCCAGAATGGAATGCAGTAGCCTGACTAGCAGAGAGTCCAGTGGAATTCTTCCTCCCTCATGTAAAACACTATACCTCTGCTAATGCCACCCAAGAATGCATGTGCTTTTCAGCAGTCAAGTCCCACTGTTAGGCCTTCGCTTTTTATATTTTATTTTTTTATTCTTTCCTCTGTGCATATGCTTACGCAAGGTCTTTGCTTTTTAAAAACAAACATTTATTGACTCTTCGTTATATTCCAAGCTTGAGCCTTTCACTTCTCTCTCTTAATTCTGGCAACAAACTTGTAAAGGAGCTACTATTTTTCCCATTTTACTTAAAAATGAGAAAACAAGGATTCAAAGAATTGACGTGGTTTCCCTAAACCCTCTCAGCCTACAAATAGTGAAGCCCGGATTCAGATCCAGAACTTCAAACCCATCCTCTTTTCACTCTACTATGCTGCCTACTTCACTCTGAGTTTCTGGTCAACCGAAACCTTTTTCTTCTAAGGGCTCATCAACTATTTCTTTAATAATATATTCAAGGTCTTTTGAGGGTAAGCCATCAAACTACTTGTCTAGAGTTTCAGAAATCAGAAACCCTTTCCCAATTTTAAAAATTTGGTCAACATTTGTCCGTTTCTGTATTTTTTACAGAGCAAAGATTAACCAGAAGTAGATATGAAATCATCTACCAATTTCCTTTTGTGAGCTGGAAGATCTAATTTGCTTAGCATAGCAGATGTTCTCTGCCTATCTCTCTCTCTCTCCCCCTGACTTGGGATTGGTACCCTTCTTTATGGTATTCCCTACTCTTTGCAGTGTAGAGAACATTCTCTTTACGGAGACAATGGAAACCAAATAAAATTTGCCGAGCCCTGCCTTTTCATCCTCTTTTGTTAAATATTACATGACTTGCTCTAAATACGGATCTATCCACTTCTACTTCTTTTTCCTTCTATGAACATAGCGTTACTAGCTCCTTTTATTAACTTGGGCATTCCCCTAAGGGTTCAGCTCCTTTTGCAGCCTAGCCTTCCTGATCTAATTTCATTTTCAGAACTTTACACAAAGCCCCAAATAACTCCCCAAATGCACTGAGCCTCTGATTGTCGGACCAAATCCACCTTTCCTTGGCACTTCAAAAAAATCTGCTTTTCTAAACTCCAGGGAATGTGGCTGATCATATCCAGCATTCTCCCCCTCTGCTATCACGTATTCCAAGATAGTGCCACTTCCCCACTCCAGCCACATTCCAAGTAGCTCTACCCTAGATTAATCAGATGGTGGTCAAAGTAGGATTCCCTTCACTGCTCCTCCACCTTCTCATAACTCTTCACAGGGCATGGGGGGGAATTATTAACTGCTCTGTTTTGAAGAGAATAATATTTTTAGTAGATAACAAGATAAATTATCCCATATCTTGCTTCTTTGCTAATTAATGTATTTTTTAAATGTCTGCTCCATATTTTATACTAAATATCCCCACATTATTCTTTTGATGCTTCCTTTTATATTCCTAAAATTCCTGTCTTGCATTTCCCCCTCAAGAGTGTCAACTGCTATACAAGGATATATTTTCAAGCATTTTACCTACCTATTAGATATGTCTGTGGGGTGTGTCATTTTATATTTTAGTTCTCTGTGTTAGCTCTAGTCTAGGCACAAGACACTGCCAAGTCTCAGTGGGATCTCTGAGACTGTTTTCACCTTTTTGTGCCCATAAGCCAGGGCAACTTGGTCCTTCCCATTCTCTGCATTGGCAGAGAGACTTTGGAAGTCAATTGTTTGTTCCTGCTAATGTCTTTGTTTACTCTTGAGAAGAACTGGCTCTTCTCCACAATCGCATCTCTTCTTGTATCATCCCAGCTGCCTTTATCATGTCCAGTTTTCAAGTTTATTGGGATAGTTGTTGCCTCTGCTAGCCACCTAATAGTTGAAAGTTTTCTTGATGAGATTAAATCTGTAAATACATTCTTCCCAATTTTCAATCAGTGCCTCAGGCTTTGATTCCATTTGGCTCAGAAGACCCACATGCTGCCCACTCTGCAACTTTGGGTCCTGCTCCTGTGCCCTCTGGCACCCCGTCTACCTTCAAGAGCTGCTGGGAGGATCAAAACAAATAGTGCAAATGGAAGCATTCTAAAAAATAAAAAGTGCTGCATAAATACAGATGTTTTTACGTATTATTACAAAGGTAAGGTAACACATTTTCCTATTTAGAAAAACAGGGCCAACTGTTTTACCTATACTCTACTCTTACTTACCCTTTATTCTGTTAAATCTGTTATTTTAAAAAAAGAGAGGGAGAAAAATACCCTACTACAAATTTTCCTCTGATGTGTACTTCAAAGTAAAAAGCACACTGCAAAAATAAAACCCAGAAACCCAAACCAACAAAACACTTGACCCCCAAATTCTTTACTATGCTTCTAATGGTTTGTGGAGTGTTTGACAGCAATATAATTGCAATAATGAGGAGGTTTTTGGGCCAGGCTGTGGTCTTAAGCTCACTATGGATGTTTTAGCCCTAGGCTCAGCTTCAGGCCAGCACCAGTCACCCGGGCCAGAGTTACCAATGGAATCCCTTATGCTCTGTCACACACAAATGTGACATTTATGGCATCTGGTATATAATGCTGCAAATTCAAAAGGCTCCGTGTGTTGGGCTCATGAACCTGGGGAGAAGGAATAATTTGGATTGCCTATCGTCTTTTTTAGTTAATTAAAACCTGTGTGAGAGTGACTGCTTAGTGGCAATTTCCTAGATACGTGGGAGGGATGTGCTGGACTGCTTCTGATTTCTTTGGATATCCACACTGGTTCCTTTGTCTCTGAAAAGCTTATTTCCTGTTTGTGGACTGCTGATTTGCCTAGTTCTTTTCTGTCTTTGTTCTGTGAATTTAGCCATCCTGCTGTGCTAACTACCTGGTTGAAAACCAATGCTCAACAAATACTGGATTCTCCACTAAGGATCCCTCTTACAACTCCATCCTCATCAGCGAATCCTGGGTTCGCCCAACTGAATCTCCTCATCCAGGCCAAATGCCTGAACTGTTAAATGGTGTGAACCAAGACAACCCGGGACACAGATAGGTATTCATATATATTTAAACACACCTGTTATTTATATAGCTCCTTTCCTCCAATAAATTCAAGTGGCTCAATAGTACTATCATAATATCACTCACCAGAAATCTGTAAACAGACAAGCAGCCAGATAACATACCTTATTTTAGAGCTAAGTAAATTAAGACTAGCAACAATTACATATCAGTTGTCAGTATTTGGGTAGAAACCCCCATTTCCTAACCTCTGTATGACTAATGACATCATTCTTTGGCCTACTCTGAAGGAGGAAATGAGATGCAGAAGAAAACTGTACTGCCATCTGACCCTTCATACAACTGGACTCTTGGCTCCCGGGTAAGAGGAGAAATGAGCATAACAGAGCTGCCTAATTCAAACAGCCTGCATAACATGCCCTGGATCTGGTGAGACACAGAAAAAAGAAATATGGTGGATGCTCTAAATATGTGAGGGCGGGCCTTTCTTTCAGTGCTTAGTATCTAAGAGTGAAATAAAAGGTGTTACTGGGTATTTCCTGCTGTATCAAGGCATGCCTTTGATACAGATTGGCATGTTCCAAAAGTGGGCAGGAACAGGAGAGGGAACAAAGAGGAGGAGGAAAAGAACTGTGTGCTAACTACTTCTGTATCAGAACAGAGCCCATGAGATGCTGGTGTCTGCTGTGGTCATGGCCCTGCTGTCTCATTGGCTGTAGCTGCCTGGACCCAAAGACACCTGAAGATGTTGGTGTGGGCTCTGCCTAAGAGGGACAGAGCAACTCAATGGACCAATTAGATGTTCTTATTTGGGAAGTTTGGAATCAATATAATGCCAAGAGACTAAATAGTGGTGGAGAGAGTGGTCATAGGAATAAAGCCAGAGGACCACAGAGGAGAGAGGCAATGTGCAGAAACCACAGGGAAGCATAGGTCACAAATTAGAGAGTGGGGAGAAGGGAGCTGGAAGTGGATGGAGTAGAAGCCAAACTGCAGGGAACTGCAAATCTTTAACGGCCTCGTGCTAAATCAGGAAGCAAGGATGCCTGCTCCTTGGGAGCAGTAAGGCAGTCCAGTGGCTCAGTTATTAGCACTGTGGGACCATTCACTGCCAGCACAATTGCTCAGACACCACAGGGATGAGTGGCAATGGCTATTCCCACCTTTCTGATTTCCCTGGGCTTCTTTATGGCAAGCTTCCATAACTTTAGGAAGACCAAAAGTCTCACCCAGCTTGACAGACTTTCTCAGATTTAATCCTTACCATAACCTTCCAGGTATTACCCTCTGCTAAAAAAAATGAGGAAAATCTAGGAAGGGGCAGTGACTTCAAGGTCCCTGCCTAATCCCGTAATACTCCCTCCTGGTGGTTAATGACCCTGTATCTTGCTATGGGTGTGGCGTACCCAGGACAGCCTCAGTCTGGGTGGACCTACTCAAATCCAAGGGCTGGGAGGCCTTGTCTTCTGCTGGTGCAAAAGCATAAAGTTTACACCAGGACATGCCTCTTATAGAAGCCTGCATACACCTGCACTACTATTTCTGAGGGTCTCCATAGAAAGGAAATATGAATACTCTCTCAGGTTCTTGTCTATTCCTAAACCCATTCCAACTGCCCCCCACCCCACCGACCCTACCACTGACCAATATGCCCCAACTCTCTATTTCCTAAAGTATATGCTGAGAAACACTAGATCCACCAATAAATGCTCTGTCCCCCAAAAAGGATCCCATGGCCCAATAAGCTTGGGAAATGTTGCATATTCTATGCTCTTCTTTGGAGGTTCTCAGTGCAGGCTGCCATGCCTGAGCCTCTGAGGAGATCTGCAGAAAAGAAACATACTTAAACTTCATTCATCCAGAGTTTCCCCAGCTTTTCAAAAACAGAACTCTTTTATTTTTAAAGTAGGCTTCTATAGGAAAACACTTTGAAAAATGCTACCTTAATCACTTGGATGCATAAGATGGGGCCAGGAAACCTAAGCCTTATCATGTTTTCTTTAATTAAAGCTTTCTTTTGTGGTACTGGGCCTGGATCTCATGGCACCTTTACACCCCAGAACCCCATCCTGCACATGATAAGGGTTCAGGATGCAATTACCAGTTGTAACTGAACTGCAGGAGAAGGTGAAGGTGATTCCTACACATGGGCCCCTCCGCATGTTAACAGGCTCTGTCCAGAAATCAACGTTACTCGTCCCCTTGTGGCACTTTTCTCAGCCTCAGTGCTCCCCCGCCCCTGCTCACCTCTAATCAGCTTCCTGTGCTCACTGAGGCCTAGACCCTATTACATTTCACCTTGTGGTTTCAGCTTCTGCAGTCACTACAAACTCAATTTCTGTCCTCTCAGTTCTAGTTACCCTACGCAGCCCACAAGCCCGACAGGATGTCATGAATACCAGTACCTATGGCGTGACCTTCCAAACCCCGAGGCTTCACCCAAGAGCATTTTAGGTCACACAGCTGCATTTTCTGCATGACAGATGAATTCCTGAGCATTACATGAGAAAGGGGCCACAACTGAGCAGCCTCTTCACGTGCACTTAAACCAAACAACAACAAATGGCATATCGCTATTTTTTGTATTTATACACAAAGGACTGTCCTTAACTGTCATGCTAAATAAAAACATAAAATCAAGAAAACTACTTCAAACAGCCTTGCTGGCACACTGATTTTGAACTAAATCCCATTGGTCTATGGATGAGGGTTTATTCTAGTCATGTTGATCATTTTATCTCTTCCTTTGGCCATTCTCTGCCACAGGCCTCTGCGCAAATTCAGCCTTATCCAGAGTAAGTGACACATATGTCCTAAAGGGCCAAAGAACTATGGTCTCAAGAGGAGAATGGGTGATCAGCTACCCCTAGACTAAGTAAACTCTTCTAACCAGACAAATACTTCATGGCCTAATAAACCCAAAGGAACTATGAATGCCCTTAATACTATGATTTCTGGAAGGTCACCTAACTTTCCTGAATTGTACCAGTTAGAAGTTATGCAAATTCTTCTCTATTGTCCTGTTCACACTGTACAGTCATTTACCCATTAATTTGACTAAAAAGGGCTGCAACAATTATGTAATAAGAAGGCATACGGGCCGCGCACGGTGGCTCACACCTGTAATCCCAGTATTTTAAGAGGCTGAGGCGGGCGCATCACCTGAGGTCAGGAGTTCAAGACCAGCCTGGCCTATATGGTGAAACCCCATCTCTACTATAAATACAAAAAATTAGCTTGGCTTGGTGGCGGGTGCCTGTAGTCCCAGCTACTTGGGAGGCTGAGGCAAGAGAACTGCTTGAACCCAGGAGGTAGATGTTGCAGTGAGCTGAGATCGTGCCACTGCACTCCAGCCTGTGCGACAGAGAGACTCCGTCTCAGAAAAAAAAAAAAAAAAAAAAAAAAAGGAGTCATACAACAACCCAAGCTGCCCACATCTGTGTTGCCAGGCACTTTAAGAGAGAGCATGGGCTTGGCCCTGGGATGATCAAATCAAGCTGTGGGGTGGGCAGGCTCCCCAGCTAATTGAGCTTCTTTGCTGAACACCAGTGAGATGTGAGAGATGAGTTTGGATTGGAATTCCATTATGGGTTTTCAATAATTAAACATTACATGTTTGGAACCTCATTCTTCTGTATTACTTTTTAAATATTAATCTATTTACATCAGCTGGACTTCCTGCAGCTTGATACGCAGTAAACGGGAGTCACACTGAGAAAGACAACTGTGTTCTTAGCTTAAGACATCTTTGATGATCACCAACAGTAAAGGCGACACAAACCCTCTGTTCAACCCAACCCTGTATAATAATTACCCTGCCTTTTAGAGGGTGGCTGGTTCCACTTTTTTCAGCACACTCACACATTCCTCATGACTACACTGACTTTCCAAATTAGCAAGAATCCAAATTAATCTTATCTCGAGAGTTTTATAATGCCCCTTAAGACCACTGGGGCACGCTGCCCTCTTTAGAAGCGGGGTTAGAAAATGGATGTGGAAGGTATGTGAGGGTTTCCTTGGAGATAACCCCACACTGCAGTGACACTCCAGCATAAAATTCAAAAGCCAGCGCACACATCAAAACCTCATTAAGGGATCACCTGTTTTATACCATGCCTGCATGCTGTTAGGACTTTAGGTGTGCGGGTGAACCCTGCTGCTCTGAAGCCTTCCCTGCCTCCTCCCATTTCATCATGCCTGGCAGACGCTCGAGCAGCAGCCCAGCAACTGCCCGGGAGCCCCTGTCTGCTGCCTGTTCATCCTCTCTCACCACAAACACACGGCACCCTGAGGACACAGAGGCCCTCCCCATGCCTGGATGCAAATGGCACTGCCCAAGAAGACAGCCTGAGGCCAGACTTCAATGGAATAGGGATTCTAGGCCAGGCAAGACAGCCAAGGGCTGTCTAAATCAAAGGACTGGGCCAACCGTCGCTGTGAGTGTCCGCTGCTTCGGAGATTACAGCCCCCACTGTTTCTGCAGTCAAAGTAATCATCAGACCCGAATCCACGCTCGGCCCCTCGCAGAGAGCGCCATAGAACCCTCTCCGATTTGCTTTCAATTTAAGAATTTTATTCCCTTTTAAGACAAAGCGAGCAGTGCAGACCAGCCATATTACAAGGCTATTTTAAAGAGCAAAACACCATTTAACTTAATACAAAAAGATGTAAGATTCAAAGTGGAAAATTACAAGGGAGCTACCCCAGTAATAGAAAAGTCCCCAGCTGTCTACCCTTGTGACCAGAGAGGAAGCTAGATGTACTGAAAGTCCCAAGAAAATCTTCCCAGATTTTAGTATCTTGTTCTATTGTTTTACTTTTCAGTGCTATCAATGGCATATGCAAAATACCTGAATGCAAATGTCTGTTCTTAGTCTCAGAAGGGAGCCTGGGTCCGTGCATACCATCCAGGCAATGCATGGTGCCATCAGGGCTGGTCCAGGAAAGCTAAAGTCCTAAAGCTGTGACTGGTGGTCCCAGGATGCTAAGTGTCTCCTTCCCCATGGGAGAGGTGGCTGTACTAGACTTTGCAAAGGACAAGTAGATCCCAAGAGTGCACAGGAAAGGCTCCAGAGGGAAAGAAAAGCTCCTGATTTATTAGAGACTCCACAATGGCTGAAGCCGCCCCCCCGCCCCCCCCCCACCCCCCTTCCTCAATGAGTAGGCATCCTTTTTTTTTCTTTTTTTTTTCTTTTTTTTGCCCAGAGACAGAGTCTCGCCCTGTCACCCCAGGCTGGAGTGCAGTGGTATGATCCTAGCTCGCTGCAGCCTTGATCTCCTGGGCTCAAGTGATGCTCCAACCCCAGCCTCTTGAGTAGCTGGGACTACAGGTATACACCACCATGCCTGGATAATTTATAAATTTTTTTTTAGAGACAAGGTCTCACTCTGTTGCCCAGGCTGGTCTCTAACTAGTCATCTTCTTTTAACCCAGAGTTTCAAAATCCTTTCCCGTCCATAACTGGAATTGATTAAATTTTGCCTCCTCTTCCTGCTCTCCAGAGGCAGAACTAACAAGCAGAAATCAGCCTGCCCAACCTCAGGGCAGGTAGGAACTCTCCCCAGATTCTCACAATCAGATTTTTCCCTTGGGGAACACACCATCCTTTGAATAATTCCTGGTCTGAACAAAAAACCAAGCACATTCTATAGGTAGACAGAAGTAATTCAGAAGGGGACTGCCCACTGAGCTTTTCACATTTACAAGACAGACTAGGGGCAGGTGAGGGACAAAGTGAAGCCCTCTCATTTTGCCCCATACCCAAAGGCTGTCGTTTCCTCAAGATTATCTCAGCCTTTGTCCCTCTGATTTCCAAGTGACTTGGAAAACAGAGTAATAATCCCTAGAAAATACCTAAAAGCTTAATAAATCTATTGCTTGGAAGTACCCCACTAATATTCAGTCTAAATCTTTCTTTCCTTAATTTTATTTCATTACTCCTACCCTAATTATACCCCTTGTTCTGAGCTAAATAAATTCCTTCCTTCCTCTGTGTTTATGTCCTTCAAATGTCTGAAGACCATGATCATGCCGACCACCCAAATCCTCAAACCTCACTAATGTGGCTGCATGAAATATAGAGAATAACACAAACAGTCCCCATGGGTGCCGCAGGCTCCAGCTGGATCTCTCCTGCTTTGCTAGAACCCAAGGTCCTTACTCAGGGAGTGGCTCCATTTTGAGTTCTCTAATTATCAGCATAAAAAGAGAGACGCCAGTAGGTCAGAGCAGTACACAGTTATCAGGAAACATTCAAAATGATGTTCCCACTGAATTTATAACCAGACGGAAACAAATCCCCAAACAGTAATTAACTCTAAATATTTCAGAAATTTACGTCAATGATGCTTAGTGATTTTTTTACAAGGAGGGGCATATTTTAAAACAGCTAACACAATAGATCAACATCAAATTCCCTTTTGATACCGGTTTTGCATTCAGCAAATAACAATCCAGCAATTTTTGAAACCTCAGGGTCATAACACCTTGGAGTAGATCACTGGCACCAGGGGTCATTTCATTGCACTTTCCAGTCCATGCAGGCAGCCCTGCTGCCATACGCTTGGCTGCTCATCTTAGTCTACTGTGATGCTTCTGCCAACGGGGAACTCACTACTTTATAAAAGTGTTCATCCTACTCTTATTAGCAGACTTCTGATACTGAGAAGAGAACTGCCTTCTTGCAAACCCTACCCATGGGCCTGGCCCCCTCTCTCTCGAAGCTACTTAGCACAACATCCTCCTCCAGACGGCAGCCCTTCATAAACCTGGCAACAGTGTCATGTGCTCCCTGGCCTTTTTGTCCCAAGGGTAACATCTTCAGTTACTCCTACTGTCCTTTCATATATATATTTTTTAAGAGATGGGGTCTCACTCTACTGTTCAAGCTGCTTCAACCTACTGGGCTCAAGGGATCCTCCTGCTGCAGCCTCCCAAGTAGCTGGGACCACAGGTGTGCACCACACCCAGCTAATTTTTAATTTTTTTGTAGAGATGGGATCTCGCTATATTGCCCAGACTGGTCTCTAATTCTTGGCCTCAAGTGATCCTCCCGCCTCAGCCTCCCAAAGTGCTGGGATTTTAGGCGTGAGCCACTGCGCCTGCCTTACTCCTACTGTACTTAAGGCATCATAACATCCAGACCATCATGGGCCAGGCTGCTCTGCCTTACACTTCCATTTCATTCTTAACATGTGACACAAGATGAAACACAACATACTTCTGAACCTGCACCTCAGAGATTGCTAGAGCTGAGCTTGCAGATTACATGGATCATTTTGTGATTGTTGAAAAGGCCTCCCCTTCCTCTGCCTTAGGTATATTCTACCTTTGAAGGCAGATTTCTTCAGGTTAAAATATGATATATCCAGGAGTCCCCTGTTAAAAACCCAAATATCTCTGAAAGGCATACTGTTTTAAGCTTCTAGAAGCCAGTATAAATTGATTTATTCAGCAACTTTGGACTTAGACCTGGATTCTAATCCTGACTTTGTCATTTCCTAGCTGTAAAACTGCAATAAAATTATTTAACCTTTCTGAACATGAAGGAATTAGTTAAGAAGGTCTTTGAACCTGGAAATTCTTATACAATCATAATCAAACATAAGCCAAGTATCTGTGAACTTATAACAAACAATTTTTTCTTTCTCCTTTTCCTCTCACTTACTACTTCTATAATTCTCAGAAAACAGACCTGATTTCTCTACATAAAAGTAGAATGAGTCATTCTTATATCTAATATCAAGGTAATCATGGAGTAACATAAAACATCTGAGTCCAGACAGTCTAGTCAAAAACAACTGAATGGCTATGTATTTTTAATAAATGTTTTTCTGCCATCCCTTTGAAATATTTTGAAACATCACCTTGAAACAAGGTCAAAGAGAACCCTTAATCCAGAAAGGCATTTTTCTCCTGGGTCTAGTCTTAGGACCTTCGAGAAACTCTAAATGTTGATCTTGGCAGCAGAAATAAGATGTAAGTGGCTACAGCCTTGACCCCTGGCTGGGATGCAGAAAGCTGCAGTAGGGCACACAGCCTCCACCTAGCGTTCTGAGTTCCTGTTTAAAAACAGCACTTGGTCTCTGGAAACTTCAGGGCTTCTCAAACTTCAGTGTACATCAGAGTCACCTGGAGAGCTTGTTAAAAGACAGACTGCTGATATTTGTATGCCAGTGTTCATTTCAGCATTATTCCCAATAGCCAAAGGGTGGAAACAACACAAGCATCCATCAACAGATGAATGGATAAACAAAACATGGTATAGCCATACAATGGAATATTATTCAGCCATAAAAAGTATCGAAGTATTGCTATATACTAAAACATGTAGGAACCTTGAAAACATTCTGCTAGGCAAAATAAACCAGACTAAAAAGGCCACATAATTCCACTTGTACATAACATCTAGAATAGACAAATTCATAGAGACAGAAGGAGATTAGAGGTTATCTGGGGCTGGGGATTGGAGGGAGTGAGGAATTATTGCTTAATAATTACAAAGGTTCTGTTTGGGGTGATGAAAAAGTTTTGGAAACAGATAGTGGTTATGGTTGTAAAACACTGTGAATGTCACTGAATTCTACAGTTAAAATAGAAAATGCTATGTTTTATATATATAACTACAACATTAAAAAAAAATTAGCCCACAGATTCCTGGGCCCCACTCTCCAGTTTCTGGTTCAGTAGGCCTGAATGGGGCACAAGAATCTGCATTTCTAACACGTTCCCAGGTGACCTGATGCTGCTGGAACTGAATTTTGAAACTGCTGCTCTAAGTCTACAAAGAGGAGCCTAAACAAACCCTTCAAACTCTCTTCTCATCTTGCTTTGTTTTGCTGATTATCTAGAAAAGTTCAAACTTCTGTGAATGTATAGCAAGGTCAACAAGCTGGAAATAATAAAAACAGCTGAGTCTTTCATTCTGCACTCAGACTGACCTGAAGCTATCAGTTCTGCCCTTTGGTTTTCTTCTGCCTTTTCTTCTCACTCAGTGTTGAGCCAATGTTGACCATTTGGAATGCCAATAATTAACGCCTACTCAAGCAGAGTGGGAACAGGTGCAAGTCAGAATGGGCAGTGGAGAAGTCAGCCTCCAGGTCTTGTCCTCAGAAATCTTGCCCCAAATTGTCCAATCTCACTATGCTAACGGCAAATTATTTTCTAATAGGCCTTAGAAAAATGCTTGCTGCTTAAAGGTTCAAAAGAACGTGTGTGCCAGCCCTCCTGATATTGATCTGGGCAAGATATTCATGAAAGGTATAGAGGATGTAATGCATATGTCTCATTTGGGGTCTGGTAAACTGCTCCAGAGCTCACGTTTCTGGGATTCTCTTTTTTTTCCATTCTTGGGTTCACCTCAAGTTCACCAGTTTTCCCGATGGAATTAGTTAACTCCTTCAAAAGTAATCTATTTTTATTCCTGCTCATTTGACTGTTGTATTTCTACACGTACATGCTTAATTGAGCAAAGTCTGCTGGACATTTTCTCTACAGAGGTAACACTGCACAGCTTCTTGACCGGAAAGAACAGCAACCATGTCGCCACCATTGCGTACCCTGACATCAGTGGCTGACATGTAAATAGTCATGGCAACAACACGGGTGAGTCCAATGCTGGCCCGGCCACACAGCACATACAGCCGGTCCTCCTACTGGGCTGAGGAGGAAAGTGATAGCTTCTACTCAGCAAGCAGAAAGTGTTGGTTCTTTTCAATTTGCAGGGCTGTCATGTTTAAATATGAAAATGTTGCTTATAGTCAAATGTTAGTGACAGCAGCCTGTGGCATCTATCATGGTTTGCACTCTTACTCCTGCTAAAAATAGGCTTGCTTTCTCTGGATTCCTTCAAATTCCACATCTGCAGGAAGTTTTTGTTGCTGTTGCTGGCCTTTTCCTTTCTTCCTGAAAGATTACTGTTCTTTGGCTCCACCGGGGCCCCCTCTTTCTTCCCCTCTCTGGGAGAAAGCCATTCAGAAGGATAATAAACACCCCAGGCTCAAACAGTCCCACAAAGACCTCATGTCGGTTCTCAGTTATTGGCACAGGCCTCCGCCTCTGAAGCCTTTAGTGAAGAGGGAACTGGGGCAGCTACAAGGGGCAGAACCATTTGACCTTCAGAAGTAAAGGAACGGAGGCTGATGGGGTTGGCTGGGGAGGGTGGAAAGCACAACTGGACAGCAAGTCTTCTGGGTTTGGGCCCCACTGGGCAGCACCTGCTGAGCAAACAGCCTGCTCTCTCCAGCCTGCCAGAATCATTTTGTTTTCCAGGTATTAAATTCATACTCTACAAATGGTAACTATGGTAGTGATGCATTTATTTAAAAATTACCAGTGGAACAAATGTTCAACTCTTCTCAAGGCAAGTATTCAATTGCCTTCATTAAGTCCATGGTGTGTGTATGTGTGTGTGTGTGTGTGTGTGTGTGTGCGTGTGCACACACGTGCGCACACACACATGCGCAAAGAAAGAGAAAGATGGGGAGAGAGTGGGCATGTGGTTGGAGCAAATGGTACTATTGCTTTAGGTTATG
Organism: Homo sapiens; assembly: GCF_000001405.40. NCBI lineage: Eukaryota > Metazoa > Chordata > Mammalia > Primates > Hominidae > Homo > Homo sapiens. The sequence goes on along the minus strand of NC_000006.12, from coordinate 107,610,693 downwards.
TTCAGAACCAGCCAAACAATCATGTTTGGAACAAGACCTGAATGCTTTGAAATGCTCAAGAGCTTTAAAACACATTAGAATCACTTGAAGAGCTTCTCCTCAGGCTCCCACTCTTGGGGATTCTGATTCAACTATTCTGCATGGGCTGAGCCTCCCAAGGGTTTGCATGGTAGCCATGTGGCACCTGCGAGGACCTTCCGAGCAAAGGCCACACATTAGCATGTGGATCCCTGGGCTGCTCAGACCTACTGTGTCCCTTCTTTCCCAGATCACTGCCTCTCACTCCCTGCTGCCTCTGTGGGCCAGTCCCCTCTGGTACACCCTCCTCTTCAGGAGCTAGCAATGATTCTGGCCATGAAACGTCTTACAGGAGACAGTCCAGAGAGGTCCCCAGAAAGGAAGACAGCCAGTTCTGCAGCCCTGGGTGGGCTGTCTTGCTCACGGAGACCCCAGAGAGCTCTGGACCGAATAAGCACTGTGGAAAGGGAAGAATCCATTTCATTCCCCTTCTACTCGCAGCTCCTCCCAAATGCCTGACACCTGATGCATGCTTGATAGAAGTTTGTGGAAGTGTCAAGTGTTTTCTGTTTTCCCCAGAGTTTACAACCTATGTGGCAGTACAAGGGGCCTTCAACTGGATAAGATGTGACTAAGAAGAGGTGGTTGTAAATGAGCTCCTATGAAGTGGGCCCTATGTGGGTCCCAACTTGTCTTAAGGACACTGGATATGTGTATTTAGAGTGGGAAGAGAGGTCCTCGTAGAACTAGAAATCCTCAGTCAGGAATGGGTGAAAGAGCACCAGATGACTAGGAGCTGGCAACACTTGGGTAGCACTTTAAGATCGTGACCCCATTGCCCAGTCCTGACTTAGTGCTTTGCTCCCACTTTAGCGCTCCCCTAGGGCCAGTGATGGTCTGGTGGGAGTAGGGCTTTGTCAGCAGGCCTTCCTGGAACCTCTCTCCTCTTCCTAATATTTAGGACTCCTTATGCATAACGGAGCTAGGCAACAAGATTACCCCCTCACCAGGGCTGCCAACACCACTTACTACCTCAGCCTGAAAGACCCTCAAGATCAAGCAGGAAGTCCTGGGAAATGTATCAGTTACTGACTTGTTAAGTACAAATTCTACACCATGAGTTGACTTAAGACAAAGAATCTCTGCATTGTGCTCCATGGCTGTTCTGTAATTTCTCTCTACTATCCACAGACACCAACTCATTCTTGGGATTTGCTGAGGAGCGGGAAGTGTAGCCTAAGAGTATACAACCTGGGGCTTTTCTTGTCTATAAGGGCTATTATTATAAAATCCTATCTCCTTTGACAGCCTATACATACCTCTCTGAAGTGGTGGTCTTCAAGCTGGGGTGGGGTACCCCAGGGGGTGCAAAGATCATTCACTGAAGTAAGGGAAGAAAATATTAGAATGCCTATTTACAGTTACTGTTAATCATTTCCATTTGTGTGAGAATTTATAATTATATAAAGATACTACAACAATAGTACATCTATACAATTTACAAATAAGTACACAGTGTGGGCATGTGCTCAAAAAATTATTTTAACTGATGAGGTGTGTGATCAAAAGCCTGCTGAGATCATGGATCTAAGTGACAACAGTCTGGCCTCATTTTCATTTACTGAAAGTATCAAATTAGGGTGTGAATAGCTGGGGACATATTTGATGACACTCCCTAGATTTTTCTTTGGTAGTGGTGGTTTGGGGCGGGGGAGTGGTATTAAAGAATAGATCAAAAGTCTCTTGTTTCTGTGTCAGGCTAAGGGGCTTTCTGATGCCAAATCGAACAAACTCACTGGATTCCCTCTCCCCAACAGGATGTGATCTGTTCCTCCTTGGGACCCCTCTTCGATACTTTTTCCCTTGCTCAAAGCACAGGTCACTATAATTTCTGTTGTCTCTTGAGTTCCTGTCATATCTGCCCTTGAGGGCAGTATCTGTCTCTTAACTCATCTCGTGAGGACCTTGCACGTAGTATAAGATGGAGAATACTTGGAAACATAATTGAAACTTTCATTTTAAAAGAGATGTCGATTTCTACAGCCAGGTCACTGGGCACAGTGCAGCATGCAGCACTTACCCGGCTTTAGATTCCATAATCAGCAAAAGCTAAAAAATAGCTTTTAAACTTACCATCCTATGTCAGTCCTCTAAATTATTTCTGCCTTATTTTTGAAATCTCAAAAATAGTAATTCATTTCATTTTTTTTAAGGAAAAGAAAAAAGACATTCTAATACCACGCAACTATAAAAGACATCATCTCAGAAAGAAAAGAGAATCCTTCCCAAGAAAGGACCGGGACCTTGCACCTCCACATAAAGTATATATCTAGCCCCCCATTTTTTTCATCTCATTCATCATGCCCCAGTCCATACATCACCAACGAGGAAACTCAGAGGTGAGGGGAAACAACACCACACAAATTCCAACCAAATCACTGGCAGCATTTTGCCCTACCAGGTGGTCAAAGGAGAGACAAGCCCAGTTCTGAACAAAACCATGGTGTATAAGATGTAAGATGTTTGTCCCACCTTCTTCATCTCTGTCTCCTCGTTGGTTATCTATCCTTCCTTCAGGACCCTAGTCCTAGGCAAATGAAACTCAAAGTGTCAGTCATCATAAGGCTCTTACCTTAGATGGCATTCACAACCCAAAGAAAGTAACCTCTAATAGTGGAATTTTGTGTGAGTGGGTAGCCCATCCTTTCCACTTGAGTAGCCCCTCAAATCACAGCACATTCATGGCTACAAACCAACTCACCTCTCTCTAGAGCTGGCCCCGTAAAGAGGCCCATAGCTCCAGCAGCCATTAAGATTCTGGATTGACACAGTGTGTCTCATACCTGGTAAGGGGCAAAGCTCTCTATGGAACCCCATGAAATGCTGATATGGTTAGTTCTATATTTGAACTGAAAACAATGTTATACCCCCAAAATATAATTATACTGATTATATTGCATGTGCATAATCAAGAAAACCCAACCTCAAGCCACATACTCCTCACATGCACACAAAAGGCTGCTGAACTACACATGATCAGCTCTTTCTGAGTTCAGCAGTGCTCATTTTTTCCTATTGCTTATTCAGTTTGATAAGTGCTAGCATATGCTTGCTACAATAGGTACCAGGTGCCAAATGCGTAAGAAAAAGTAGGAGAGAAACTCTTAAATGGAAAAAAATTATATTCATTAACTTAATTTTTTTCTGCAACAATGCCAGCGTTTGACATCAGCAGCAAAGCACGAGGGGCCAGCTGGAGGCGCACCAGTGTTCCTTGGGAGCTGAATGATAACAGACCAGAATATTTCATGTTGGGCCTGTCCCAGAAATTCCAGGTGGCTACAGACATGATCCTTTAAGTTACTGTCCACTTCCTGTTGTGCAACAAATTGTCACCAATTGCCTGAAAAGAATCAGGACACATTATCTGACCAATGTTTGTTCTGCTGTGGGTGGGGTATGTAAGGCAGACTGGGATGTGTAGCTGGAGCCCCAAGTCCTCTCCATGATTTATAGTGTGACAACAGGCGGAACATTTAAAACCAGGTGTCCTGGAAAATGTATGTGAGCCATATCAATAACATCACCCAGAGCACGTCCCTGGGACTGGACTTAAGGTCAAATGCTCACCAGCCCCAGTGCTTTGCCACACACACCTTCTTCCCAGTCCCCTTTCTCAGGACAGATTCTCTCCCAACAACAGGCGAAACCCAAGGCCAAGGAGTCTACCAGGCACAAAGCTCCCTCACCTGTTCAAGGGATGGGGGTGGTGATAAGCTCCACGTTGGACATCACTATAGGCAGTTCCTTTGAAGTCATGGGGTGCAGGCTGGGATTGCCCCTGGCTACCTCTCCTCACAACACACATTCATCTGCCTGAGCAGAGGGAGGCCAGTCAAGTCCAGCCTCTCCTGCTCCTGTAGGCAGAAAGCAAAGTAGGAGGAAGAGGGGATCCCAGTGAGGGCGCTGCCGCCCTATCCCCCACCCAGACCTTCAGTGTAGGAACCCCCTCTTTTCCTTCCGGGGATTAAACAATAGAGCCCAAATTCCAAGCACACAAAGGCAGTTTGGGATTTAGATAGCTATTAGCTGCCTCGCCTTTTCCCCCACAGCTGGAGCCCTAAAGCTCAGACATCAAATATCTAGAAGCAGTGAAGAAGGGGGCTGAACTTCCTGGGGAGCTGCATTCCCTTGAATGCTGCATCCCTGCTGCACCCCCACTGCCACCCACCCCAACCTGTTACTTTTTGTGATTCCAGCAAGACATTCTGTCAGCTGTGGATAAGAGTGCTATCTAGGGGCCAGGCGCAGTGGCTCACACCTGTAATCCTAGCACTTTGGGAGGCCAAGGCGGGTGGATCACCTGAGGTCAAGAGTTCGAGACCAGCCTGGCCAACATGGTGAAACCCTGTCTCTACTAAAAATACAAAAATTAGCTGGGCGTGATGGTGTGTGCCTGTAATCCCAGCTACTTGGAAGGCTGAGGCAGGAGAATTGCATGAACCCGGGAAGTGGAGGCTGCAGTGAGCCGAGATCGCGCTACTACACTCCAGCCTGGGAGATAGAATGAGACTCCCTTTCAAAAAAAAAAAAAAAAAAAAAAAAGGAGCCTATCTGATCTACACAATATGTTTCTCAATGGCTATGAAAGAGTTTGGGGGTGTGTGAATGTGTAGTGGGTATGTGTCCTATATTGATAAGGAGTTCACTGAAGCTGTCCTAAATTTAGAGGCTAAAAATCATCACCCCCTAGCCTATAGCGTCTCCAACTTTAGTGTGCACAAGAATGCTATAGCGATCTCATTAAAATGCAGCTGAGATTCAGGAGGTCTGGGTGGGACCTGGGATTCTCCATGCTTAACAGGGGCCCAGGCAATGTCCCCGCTGCCGGTGGGTGGGCCACATTTTGAGCAGTGAGAGGCTACAGACAACTTGGACATGAAAGAACGGGCCACAGCCATGAGAGCTGTATTTCGTGAATTTTGAACCAGGGCACAGGGTCTGAGGAAAGGTTTGGGTTTTGTTCCTGGAGCCAGAGGCAGTCTGGGAGTCACATCAGAATGCTGAAGATTCATGCTTCCTGGGACATTCTAAGACAGCAGAGACAGTGGGTCCCAAACTCAGCTTCTAAGGACACACTGTTGGTAAACTGGATCAGCTGAAGCTGCTACTGCACTCAAATCTCTTTTCTCCCAGACCACTGGAAAGAAATGTTAATGCACTGATTTAGCAAATTTGTTTTTCGCCTACATATTTTCCTTCCTTTAATTAGAAGCCATAATCTCTTGTTAGGATAAGGGCAGTTAAGAAGCCGAGGCCCCTGAACCCCAGCACCTCTTGGGTTCCCCACTTCAGTTTGCTAGCCCCATGGGGGCCTGGAGATGGGGTTGCCTGGTCTTTAATATTCTGGTACAAGTGTCAGCCCTCCTTTGACTTGCTCTATTCCCACTGGGACTTTGAAAAACAGATATTGTAGTATGTATATAATATATGAGAACAAAGGCGAAATGTATCCAGAGAATACAGGAAGCACAAAGACTGTCTGGTTGATGGCTAATCTGTTCAGCATCAGAACTTGTGGGAAATTTGAGCATGGGGGATGAACATGCAGAGTGGAGGGGGGAGGAGGAAGAGGGCTCTGAGCAGACTGACAGGTGACTGGGACCTGAAGGGAAGTGAGGCCAGGGAGAAATTCCAGGGGCCAGATGGGCCAAAGAATTTTTATGAACTGAAATGTCATATTTAATTTTAAATTTTTCACAGTGCTGTGACATAAATGCCCTTCACTAACTTGAATCTTCAGCGAAACTTGCTGCATGTACATGCACGCACCCATGAAGACGCACACATGCCACTGCCTGCTGAGAGATTCGGAGGCTCCAAGGTGCTGACACAATTTGCAGGTCTGGGTCCGGAAACCTCACCCCGCTTCAGGGCCAACTTGAAGGGTGTTATTATGCCACGTCACTGGGGGCGCCCTCACAGGCATATTGCAGTGAAGGTTCAGAGAGCCCGCCTGTCCCCTGACCTCACCTTCTTAGCTTCCAAAGAGAAGGAGGTGGGGAGGGGAGATGGGTAACAAGGAGCAGGGCTGTGGGGATGGGATGTGGGTAGAGGTGGGGTAGGGGTAGAGGTGGGATAGAGGGTGTAGGGGGATTAGGGGGTGGGGGCAGGAGCCACTCTTCATAAAAGGAGTGGCCAGGTCTCTAGAACAGGACGAGCAGTGAAACGAAATTATATCACAAGACAATAACCACAGCATGCATAAACAAGAATTACCCAAATTCACTAGGCAAGGATTTATCTCACAGACCGAGGCTGCTGTATCCACTAACAAGCATTCACAGATGACAAAACCAACAAGCAAGTGGCAAAGGAATACTAATAGGATACCAGAAACAGTCCATACTGCTTAGACAGCTTGATTATATATTTGTGAACCTGTTGGCTCTTGTTTATGACTTTTATTTGATAACTGTATTAAAGATGGCAAAAATTACTCTCAGTTCACACAATGGGAATTAAATATGTCAATAATTCACAGCATTCTCAAAAGACTGGCACATTTCCAAATGCTGGGCCACCTGAACTCATTTGAAGACCATTGATTTATGAAAACAGACAAAATAGGTGAAACAGAAAAGGGTGTGCAAATCTTGGGACATATGGTCATCACATGATAGCCAAGGTGCCCATGTCTGCCTGTGAGTATAATGCCACCAACAAAGGATGCCCCCAGTACAGCCCTGAGTCCCAGCCAGGAAATAAGAAAACTTTCCCATGGAGATCCAATTGTTCAATCCAAAGTTATTTCCTTCCCCTTCGTTTTCTGAACATTATTGCAGGGGCTGGGGATTTGGGGAACTCTAGGTCCCCAAAGCATGAGAGCCACAGGCACCCTCTGAGTCTAGCCCTGCTTTCTCAGAAACTTATGATGAGACCTCATGGTATCTCACATCTCAGGGAAAAGGGGCCTGCCATGGATATGCTAGCTTAGTACATCTCTCTGAGCATAGAGGCTTCCTTCATGCCCCCAAAGTACTTTTTGGGGGGCTTCCATTACATCGTACTTAAGCTGCTTTTGAGACAGTTTTCCACTGTGTTTTAAAAGTCAGTCCTGGCATGTCTGTAAACATCAGTTCATATTCCTGGAATAAATCTTTTTTGTGTTCCATCCTGCTACCCACAGGGGTACAGATGGCATGTTTTATGTGGCGGCCACTATTTACAGTTCAACCCCATGGAGGCCCATGAGATGCCACAAACGTAGCCCACACAGGAAGACAGCCCCTTGGGCAGAGACATTTGTCCTGACAGGCCAGGAGTGCCAGGAAAGGACACACCTTGAAAGTACACGGGGTGCCTCTGCCACTGACACCCATTCTCCATTCAGGGCATCCCCAGAAGGCACACTGGGAGGCAGGCTTTGCCCAAGTGTCAGCGGAGTGTCCATGGCCAGTGGCCGTAGCAGGGAAAACAGCACACAAAATGCCCAAAATTGGCTGCAGAGTTTAAAACATCAACAAAGCAAATCCTTCCTGACCAGGAAGGCTTACCACATTCATTTGCATGTTCATGAGCATCTGCTAGCTGAGTATCAATGTATCCTTCTTTCTATTCTGATGGACAGCCATTAATCACAGTAGATCTGCCCTTGTCAGTACCTCAGTAAACAGATAATGGAAGCAGGGTTTTTTTTTTTTGTGGGGGACGGGGGAGGCAAGGGGAGAAGAATCACTTTACCCAGAAGAATATTGTGAAGAAGCCCACTGCTGCCTCTGTCTCAGACTAAGCTAGCATTTGCTGAAAATGTCAACAGATTGCTTCTTGAGTTTTGAGTTGTGCAGACATCAAAAGCTTATTTTGCTTAAAATCACTTGGTTGGTTTAGGCATTTAGAATGTCTCTGACTATGTAATTTGGATTAAGAGGTTCTTGTTGGGTTTTACTGGTTTAGCATAAATCAGGACATAACTGGAATAGACCCCTTCACATAACCTGAGCCTTTAGGCCATTAATGAAGTAAAATTTGCTCTTTGTGTTGCCTTTTTAGTGGATTCTCCTCCTTCTTCCTTTCCTTTCCCTTTCCTTTTTTTTTTTTTTTTTTTAACGCGGCTTAGTTGCTATGCAGAGGCTTAGCGCTCCTGCATGGGGATCAGTTCCAGACTTTGGTTTGATTTGAAACAAGCCAAGCAAATTTGCCTGAATGTGATTTCAAAAGGTTTTCCTGTTTTCCTATTTCTCTCATCAGGAGATTGAAGGAAGCTGAGAAGCAAGTCACTATTTGAGTTCAAATAAAGCTGGTCTGATTTTCTCAAGTATTCAGTATGATTCAGGAGACACTGCTCGGATAGACAACCCCTGCTCCTCTGAAACACTTTAACAGTTCTCCAATCAGGACTGAGTCTCAGGAAGCTAATTTCAAAAGGCAGATTACTTATAATTGCAGATCAAATCTTTTTCTTCCATTTTTACTTCTGTTTCAGTCTTTCTTTTACCCTTTCTCTATATCATGTGGACTAGATGTGACTCAAAAAGTTAATGGAAATTGCTCTCATCTTAATTTAGGAAAAAAAGAGAAGGAGAGAGAGCAATGAGTATAATTTGCAGATCTGAGCACAGGTCATTACAGGTGTGTTATAGTAGTGTATTCATGAGCCTCCTGGGACAGGCATGCTGAGCTATCCAATAACTTTCTTAATGTGCAATTACACACCACTGGACTATAATTGATTAATTGAAAAGAGAATGTAGGCAGAGGTGAGGGCAAGACTTCTGCTGCTCATTAAATGAATATGTCTTTGCTTCTCTTTAATAAATTAAGTGGAACTACTCAAAAGCAATTAAGTCAGTAGTGAAATTCATTAAATTTTAAGTAATTATTGGTATTAAATTCTGTAATAAAATTCAAGACTTTGCATAGTTCCATTTCAAAAAGAAGTATGATTATTCTATGTGGTCAATTTAGCGGAATGGGGGTTCCAGAGAAAACTGTATTAGACCCAGTGACATTCTGTGTGGAAATCACACACAGAGAGAGGAAGAGACAGAAGGCGGAGAGGCTCTGGAGGCACTGGCCTGCCCTGCTGGACCAGCCAGGGCAAATGTGACACTTAAATTTAGGAATGGAGTCATGTTTCCAAAGTAATTTCGAAAGTGTTTCTTGCATTTAAAATTTAATCTAAATAGTTTCAGAAAGATGACAAACACTTATTTTTAAACCTAATGTCTTGCTACAATATTTGATACCTTCTCTAGTAGCTAAATTCAAACATACACATGAATATGCGGAGTTGAGAGCAAATTGGAGAAAATTCTTTCCAGGCCCTACTCTCATATGGGAAACAAACCTGGGCTATTGGGGTACAGGAAGAGGACAAGATGTGCCATAGTTTAGGGACGGGGCCACAGAGAGCTGTCAGAGCCCATAGGTGGCTGCCACAGCTTCTGCTTCTATTCATTCTGCCCAAGAAACTCCGCAACTCAGAAATAATGTCAGAGAGGAACTCAACTGAGCCAATGCTGCCGCATTCCAGACATTCCTGACAACTCCCTAGACATAGGAGAGACCTTGGAGTCTGAGCCGATTGGGGAAAATTGCCAATAGAGAGCCACACCGGTATGGTTTGTTCATTCATTCATACAGCCAATATTTCTTGAGTGTCTATTCAAAGGCTTTATTAAGATTATTTTATACACATTATATAATTTAACAATATAACTTTAAATAATTTAATAATATAAAGTATATAATGATCTTGTAAAAATGAGGGGTAGAAATCTGTAAAAATCGAGTTCATTTCATGCCCATCCAAAATGATTTTGTGCCCTGCACATAGTAGGCACCCAATAAAAGCTTGCTGACTAGATAGATGGCATTGATGATGTGGATTCTGTGGTAAACATGATGGTATGTGGCACTTGCATAAAGTTCTCTAATTTATGGAAACTAATATCTTGGCCAGGATACACCAAAGAGCTGATGATTATGGCAGCTGACACTGAAGGAGAACTGATTCCAAGGCCTTTATCCTCAGGCTTCAGCTCCAACCATCAGTGTCCTTAACAGTCCTGTCATTTCTTTCTTGCAATAGAAAACTTAAAATGCAAACCCATGAATTTTGGTCTTTTTTTTTTTTAACAGTAGATTCAACCACATATATATTTTTTAACCTGCACTTCAAAATCTAAACATAACTTTGCATGGTTAGTTTCATCATCTAAAAAGTAATCCTTGTATTGTCATTGTTTGCAGGGGCTACCACTCGAATGAAGTGAGAACCAGTCTCCTAGCAGCAAGGCTGCAGGGCCACTACATCCTGGAAGCACATTCACATCATGGGCCCTGTGAGAGGCTCCACACTGCAGCCTTGACCAGGCGCGGCACGTAAGGAGGTATGTGGCTCTTCCCATTCCCGTAGGAGGAAAGGCATTTTACATAGACCCTAATTCCTGTTGGAAGACAAAAATTCCAATCCTCACACACATTGTAATTTTAGAAAGCATAACTAAAGCTAAAACTAAATTAGACAAAATAGGTATATTAGGCTCAGAAAGAAAAAAGCCAGGACAGAGGAAAGACATTAGGTCTCAATTTCTGTTTGCATGTTTTCTTACCATAATAGGCAGCTTATTGTCCCACAGCTCATTTTAATCTTGAACATGACCTTGATAATCTGTGTATGGGCAACCCAGCTATTTCAAAGAGGAGCTCTAATCAAGGGGAGATGCACTTGAGTTTTGACTAAACGACATTTTGCCCACATTCTTGTGGATTTTTGTTTCTTTGTTTGTTCATGTTTACAACTGAAACAAGTCCCAAATGTATTCCAGACATCTAAGCCAGAACAAAGGAAAACTGATTTATCAAATCAATAATAAGTGCCTAATTGATATATTCTGAAACTTATCAGCATATGAACAAAAAAGATGACCCCAAAAAGTAGGTGGTTGTGTTCACTTCCAAAAGAAAGTCAGGATTTTAAATGGTCAGGTAATTAGAAAAATTAAGAAATGTAGGATTTTAAGAAATTTAATTTGGGAGCTAGCAACCTTTTTTTTTTTTTCTCAAAAATCATCTTATGTTAATCCAATGTTCTACCTTTATAAACCCAGCAAATTAAATAAAATGTTTTTTTTGATGAAGATCTTGAAAATATTTAGGATTATAATTGGATAAATACCAGTTTTCTGTCTAGAGTCCTATACATGTGCAAAGTGTAAAGAATAAGCTAAATCCATATGACCGAAAGCTGTATATCATAAGATGGTTCATTTTTAAAAAACGGATTCGGACTACTCATATGAGTTTTATTTGTTAGTATTTCCTTCTTTCTCTTAAAAAAGTTGAGTCCAAAAGGATTTATCTTTATTAGTTACACTTTATTGAGCACTTGCTAAATGACAAGCACACTATATATATTACCTCATTTAGCTTTTACAGCAACCCTAAATGGCACACACAGTTATTCTTTCTGTTTTACAGATGCAGAAACTGACCATCTCAAGACCACAAAGCCGGTAACCCACATAGCCAGGAAGTGTTTCCAGGGTATACACACTAGATGGTCTCTATGCTATTTTCAGGGGGAAGGGGTTGTTGCATTCCTTGTACTGGAGACTCTATCCACATTTAAGAATCTTTCGTTCCTACTTTGCATTTGTGTAGTTTAAATCGTACTGATCCCTGAATCACTCTGGATCACAAATATTTTTAAACTTCAGTTTCTTGCTTCTACTTTGATCTTGTTTTTCCCACTGCACACAACTAGCTACTTAAGACTGTTATCCAAAATCTAAATTTACAGGAAAATTGGCTTGAAATGAAATCTTTGCCAGTTATTTATATTAAGATGATCATAAAAACTTGATGACCAATATTTTTGGACAGTCATTTGCAGAGTCACTTTCTTGCCTTTCCAGCTGTTAGAAGTCTTTGTCCTCATCACAGGGTGCCTGGACTGTTCTAACCGCCTTCTAGAAGTCTCCCTGCTCCCCTCCTCCAACCCATGAAAACAGTGCTTTCATAACAGTACTTCCTGGCTCAGGTACCTAACAGAGATTCCTATAGCCAAAACACCAAATGTAAAATTAGCTGTTTGGCTGTCACTGTTTTTATTATCTGACCACAACCTACTGAATTCATTTTATTCTCGCCACTCACAGAATGACGCTAGCACAGGCTGTCTCCCAACTGGCCCCCATATGCATGATGCGCACCCCTCTCATCATCATTCCACATCTTCTCTTTCTCTGGGATGCCCTTCCATCGCTACGCACCCTCCAAGGGCAAGCCCAACCTTCATCTCTTCCAAGGACCTATTCCTGATGACTCCAGGCCATCATTTCTTCCCTATTAAACGGCCTTTACTTCCTTATTGCACACATACATATTTTAATACGTATTCCTATTGTCTAGTCACCATGCCACACCATCTGGCACTTTATTATACACTGGAAGTACATTGTTCATATAAGCGTAGTTTGTAAACTTTTTTTTTTAAAGTTCTCTTTGTCTAGCCCAAATCTGTAAACTTCTTATGAGAAGGATGCACATTTTACATTATACTTTGTTTGCACTGCAACACATGACTTTTAAGCCCAGCCCTGGGGAGACAGCAGGTACCTAATAAATGCATGTCGATTGAAAGACAAATGTCTTAAAAATCTGGGTAACACACACACACCCCATAACCACCTGCTCTCATGTGAATTCCACTTTTTGGGATGTGTCCATGACATTAAATACCCAGTTTTTTTAAGGCTTTAAATCTCTATAGACATTGTCTTCATGCAGTGTATACAAAAGAATAAATTAGAGCTATGAGAAACAACTCAGACCAAATAAACCAGGGAGAATATATCCCTCGAGAAAAGGTCTTTTTGGTTTGAATTATCAAGACCGGCTGTCTCCATTGATGCAGCTCAATTTTCAACTTGGCTGATTTGATGACAGTCAGAACATTGTTTAAAAATCAAAATGCATGAAGGCTAAGGAAAAATGAAAATAAAAATTCCATTACAACTTAATTTTTCCATGTTATTTATTTTTATGCATTCATATATAAACATTAAATTAGTATAGAAAAAACACTGCATAAATGTTTGAGATGAGTTAAATGCCATAAACTCATAAATACTTCAGTAATGCTTGTTTATTTTCCTTTTCCTATATATAAATACCCACATTTCTACATGGGATATGTAAATCTGCCCTCATATATTGTATTTTATATGGTAGCTATGTAATAACATTGCATATTTTCAAAATTCATATACTTACTATCATATTCATAATTATATACTTACTATCTGGTAAGTATATAAATATTTCCCTAAGCCAAAAATGGTGTTTCACTGGAGCATCTTTACATAATTACCAGACAATTTGGAACTTAAAAGCATCACTGATTGAAATAGCTATCTAATGAAGGGCCCCAAATATTTCACATATCTTAATATCTGAACACTTTTTATATGAAAGCCTTATCCTAGCACACGTTCAATATTGCCTCCCTTCCCATCTCTGGTTTTGCCATTTAAAAATGTTCACGTGTTTCTTTTCCCCTCCCTGTTCACACAGAGAAACAAATAGCAGCACATCCTGCTCCAATATCAAAATCAGGTTCAAATTTTCCATTCAAAGGAAACCAAACTAAAATGAGATCAGAACACCAAAAAACAGCAGAGTACTTCACATGGTTAAGTCTGAGGCATAACTTCTATGCAATTTGATATACTGAATGTGGATTATGAAATTCTAAAGTATGGATAATATACCTACATATACTTTGTCTCTTCTGTAGGTTGGGAAGCTCTCTAAGAGATGGTGGTGGTGGTGGTGGTGGTGATGGATAAGGGCATCCTAATCTATAGAAACATACTTTATCCTAATGAAATCTATAGCTTGTTTTATTGAGAGAGACAGAGAAAGAGATTATTGCTCATCTACCTATGTATCTCCATGAATTTACAAGAGAAATATTGATGGACATGCAATCCAAAATAGAACAAAAAGCAATTTTCTGGAAAATCAAGGCAAAAGTAAAGTTTCTTATTTTAAACTCAGCTTATCTGGGGTATGTCTTAATTGATTTAACATTTCACTTGCAAGAATGAACAAGCCATCTATCAGCTCCACTCAAGGAAAAGTGAACAGCATTAAAATGCTCAGCCAAGATAGCCAGAGGCCAACCTCTACCCTGCCTCACTGGCGGCAGAAATACAATCCAGAACCAACTCATAAGCATTTCATTTTTACCTGAACTAGAACCAGGGAGATATGTTATTGCATATATTCATTCATCAAATAATTCTTAAGCGTCCACCTCCATGGTTCATTGAATCTATATCACCATTGGTTGTTACAATGCCTTTATTTTAATACCACCAGGAAAAAAAAAAGCCACTGGCAATTAAACAATGACAGGTCATCAATTGTAATATATGACTCCCATTTCTGAGATATTAAAATGTTAGGGGGGAAAGTGCATCTCAGAATTCATGAAAAATGCTGTGAGCTAAGCATGGTTCTCAGGGATCCAGCAATGAATGAGAGAGACAAGGCTCTTGACACACAAAGCTCTTGGCCAGGGCAGACTCATCTGGAATTAAAAGAGAATGAGTACTGTACTCTGGCAAAAGTCTCAGTTCCTGGTAGCATGTAGCTCTCCAGGAAGAGACCAAAAGTGTAGGAAGTGTGCAAAAAATACAATTAGGGAAAATATTTTAAGCCAAAATGCAATGAAATACATTATTTTGAAGAATCTTGTTTTCCTGAACCTGCTCATTTGAAGCTTAACCTGGGCTGCTATCTTCCTTCTTCCCTTTTAAAATTGCCTTACCAGTCCTCCCATCTCTAATTTCTTGCCTCTCTTATTACTCACATATGTCATTCTTCTCCACTTCAAATATTTTTTATACTCTTTCCCTTTTCCTCTCAAGAGACTTTCATTAGCTTGTTCTTCTAACCATAAACTAAGCACATGACTGAATATGATTAATATTAGTTCTGGCTGGTTACTGGTGCATTTTAATATTGATAATTGATATCCTATCTGATTTCCTGGTTTTGCTTGATATATGATGTATAGTTTCCTTGAAGCCACTGGAGGTGAATTCTCTTTGGTATTTTAGGCAATTGTTCAGTTCTAGTAATTAAAACAATAAAGGAGAATATGACTGACTCCCATATGCTAATTTATTGCCAGAAATCTCAAAAGAAATAGATCCATTCACTCTAAGGAATACAACCCTAACAAACCAAAATAGTTCAAGCTTTTTTAAAATAGCCTTAGTGATCCTAAAAAAAAAAAAAAAAAAAAAAAGGATCAAAATCTATAGCAGTCAGACTTTTAAAAAGACACTCGAATGTTTGTATCATATTGAAAAATATATTTTCTATAGTCTACAGCTGATCTTTTAATGTCCCAAGTCTACCAAATTAAAAACTATATACCTTGGCTCTGTTCCCCACAATTTATTATGCACTGGGAATCCGCAAACATTGCCATGACTTTCTGAATAAATTGCCCTTCCTAACATTCCCCATAGATGTTCTTTCTGGCTTCAGAATTCTACCAAAGAATTGTTACTATAAAGAAACTAGAAAGAGTCATTCTGAATTAATTTCTTAATCCCTTCATTCCACAATCATAGACTGTACTCCTTCTCTGGCCCTGGAATGTAAAAATGTGTAAGACCTGGCCCCTACCCTGAGAAGGCAGCGGCATGTGTTGGCCTGAGCACAAGCATGGGTGTGTGGTCAGAGATGTGGGTCAAGCTCTAGCTCTGTGCCTGCTCACTGGGCCTCCTGCCCTCCCCCAGAGCAAGGAGTATCCCATCTCTGCATTTTAATTTCCCCACTTCTAAAATGGAAACAGCAATATCTACTTAGAAAAGTTACGGTGAGAATAAAGGGCCTTAAAAGGGGTCTATACAGACAGATCACAGTGCTTGTTCATTGGAGGTGCCTCACAAAGGAGGATTTCTTGTCTCCTTCCCTTAGCACGGTATCAGAGGCACATCCATTTGCTATGGCAGATATGGCTCTGTGTAAATTACACCTTTTTCCCTTGCTTTGCATTTATGTTCTTAGTTGCACATTTTAACATTAAAAATTTTACTATTAAATGGTTAGGCAGAATGAAGAGGTCTGGGACCATGTAGAGAGTTTTCCTTGAGTCTTTTTTTTTTTTAAGCTTAGTGCCAAGAATTATCTTTGTGCCGTCCCCTTCACTGTTCAAAGGGAAATTTTGTGGGGTTTTCATGCAAATGTGCACATGTAAAACTTTCAGGTACTCCATTGCTAGTAAATTTGGTCAAGTAGTAGTCTATGATGTACTGGAAAGCAAGCAACCTTGGAATAAATCATCATAATCACAGCAACACTGATTGAGTGCCAGTTGTTTACCAAATACTGTTCTAAACACCTTACAGGCAGTCATCACTTAGACCCCAGGCCAACCCTACCCAATAGCTACTATTGTCCTCATTTCACACACCAGGACGCAGACACACAGAGATTCAGTGATTTGGGCAAGGCTATACAGCCAGTGGGTGGAGTGGAGGGGATTTCTGAATCTGAACAAAATAATCTGGCTTAAGAGTCCAAGTTCTTCACTACAACACTATACTATTTTTTGGAAACTTTAGATTATCCTACAAAAAGGTATTCAGATACTGCAGTACTTCATAAGTCAGCAACATTTGCGATGCCGCCAACAAGTATCTCTAGTTCCCTAGGCATAAAAAGGCAAGTGGATAGATGTTCAACCCTTTCTCAGAAGTTCTTTTACCCAAATTAAAAATATTACATTTGAGTTTTTATCCAAACAAACTGGGAGGAGACTCAAGTTGAAGAATAAAGACAGGTACTCCCAGTATCTGCCTCAAGATTTTGTTTAAACTAATGCATCCTTCTAGCTCCATTTTGTTAGTAATAAGACTACTGGTTGTTGAGCTTTTATTAGGTGCTAGGTATACTAAATGCTTCATATACATGATCTCATTGACTGCTGAAACAACCCCATGAGGTAGGCAGGTGCTGTATTTATTCTCGTCATATTGATAAAGACGCTGAGGCTCAGGAGAGTGAGAAACTTGCCCAGAGTGCACAGCTAGCACATCTGCGGAGAAAGGATTGGGACTCCCACTCTTATCCACCAGACCACAGTGCCTCCCTTGGAGAACACACAGTCTTCCATACCTCCCTCTGGCTCCAAGAATCACTGTGATGGACTGTGTGAGAAGCCAGCATGAAAACCAAACCATTATACCTCTGACATTTGTAGGCAATGGCTCTGAAATCTGAAGGGCAAAGATCCCCCATGCTCTGGAAAGGAGAGCCTGCCAAATCAAGACTCCGTCCCCCAATAAGGCCCCTATATCAGAGCAGAAGCTGAGCAACTCTAGCCCTCCCTCATGTGGCTTTTCTCTCAAATAATAGAATTACAAAGAGAGGTAAAATAGAGTTTGCATGCACGGGAAAGGAGGGGAGATGGTCAACTGTGGTCAAGAAGGTCTTTATATAGGAAAAGTGAAAGGACCTGAACTACAAGACTATGGCAGAAATGGGAGCCAACAGGCTGAAGAGAGGAAAGTGGCAGACAAAGCTGGAGAAGAAGATGAAACACCAGCACAGATGGGAACAGAGGAATGTGCAGATGAAATATGACTCAAGTGGAATCCATCCCTTCTGCCTGTATTAAAGTCTAGATGGTCTTGCTGGAGAGCATAATTATGCCACCTCTATCAGAACTGCCTCTTGCTTAGTCTAAGATTGTGACTTTTATTTCTGGAAAGTTCTATTTTTCCAAGATAGTTTAGGAAACTACGGGAATACAGGAATAACCACAAACTAAAGGGATCTGGGAGATGGCTGGGGAAAAAAAATGGTGAGACAGGCTAAGTTTCTCTAGACAGCAGCCAGTCCCCCTGGGATTTTCTGGTTATTTTACACTTGTGGGGCTATTGCAGTGACTATTTCAGGAAACTGGTACACAGTATACAATGTATGCATACATCATATGATGTTTTGTTTGATGTGATGTGAGTTCCAGTGTGTCATCATGATTTTAATTTTCAGTGCCTGTGTTGCTCAGCTGTAAAATCAAAGCAATAGTATGTAAATTCATGTTGAGCTGGGGCGTAAATCTGGCTTTCATTAGACCAAAAGCATTAAGGGGAGGGTCTCTGGTCAATTGCACCTATTCTGAGACATCTATTAAGTTTCAAATGAAACAGGGCAGTTTCTATCACCTTTCAGGGGTTCTTGTTATATCTTCATGATCTAGCAGAAAAGTTCTAGCAATGGCTAATATATGGCAGCCATCCAGAATTTCCCCTCACTACTGTGAGAGGCTAACATGTACTGGTGAGTTGGGCTGGATTGCAAAGACATCCAATCTTGTTTTTAAATGAATACACTTAGAACCAGGGGCCTGAGAGTAAATAAAGTTCAAGTCATCACTGGCACTGTGATGTGTCTTTCACTTTAAGGGCTTTTAAAACTGGGTCTGATTGGCCAAGCTTTACCAAGGTTGTGTTGAGCAGGAAAAGAAAAGCACAATATATAACCAAGAGTCATTTGTTTTATGTATGCATTGTCCCAAAGCTCCAATTCCCAGTTTAATTAGTATCAATGGATTGTTTCTAGCCAGAGAAGAAGGATCCTAAAGATTTTACAAAAAAAAAAAAAAAAAAAAAAAACACCAAAAGACCAAATCTGTCCCTCACAAAAGCATACATACTTCAGAACAGTACAGCAAAAAAAGTGGGAGGGGGTGCGGGGAAGGAAAATGAAGCATGATTAGTCCTGAGTTGATAATTGTTGAAGCTAGGTGAAAGGAACATGGGGGTTCATTATATGATTCCCACTACTTTAATTCTGTATACTTAGAAATTTTCCATAATAATGTTTTTAATCCACAGAAGTGCTAGGAATTCCCATGAAGCAGAATTACTAAAATCCAGACTCGATAGGATAGTGTCAGTTATTGAAACCCCTGCATATGGGACTGCCTGCTGTTCACCCCTTAGCCTTCAGGTACTCTACACTTGGCCAACCTATATACTAACCTGGGTGCAGTGCACCTGGCCCATACTTTCCCACCTCCATGCCTGTGCTATTTTCCTCTGCTGGGAAAACCCCCTTCCCTTACACTTCCTGGCAACTATCTAAATCCAACCCATGAAAGGCCTGGATCAAAGGTATCTTCCCTTATTAAGTTTTTAATGACTGCATACAGAAACAATCTCTTCCTCCTCTGTACTCCAAGAACTTTGCTAGTGCTCTTTTGGGGCATAGCTCACTGTGTAATAACAATCATGACTATAAGAAGATGATAATAACAGCAGCTAATATATACTGAGCACTTACTATGTGCCTGGCTCTTTAAATATGTCATCATTTTCTATCCTTATGATATGCTCTGAGGTTATTTCCTTTTATTATCACATTTTACAAAAGATCTGAAGCTCAGAGAGGTCCAAGGGGGTGAAACAGGGATCCAAAAGTGTGATGTGATATCAGATACGTTACAATAAATGTTAAGCCTTTGCGTCTATGATCCTTAGCTATACCACCAGGATGACAGTGTATAAAGTCCAGCTGGGGCAAGACCTGAGGGCCCACATTTTTGACGACTATGATACTGTATGTGCCTTATTTCTCCTACTGAATTGCATGCTCCTTCAGGGAAGGGACTGTGTCTTTTTCTATGTTGTGTCCCTACCTGCACTGTCTAGTACAATGCCTTGTACATAGAAGATGCTCAATAATGTCATGTTTATTGAGCCCTGGATTAGCACGGGGTATTTCTACTGCCTAAGGACTACATGCAACTCTTATAATCCACCTGTCTACATCCACGAGGAAATGAAATGGAAAAATCAGCCCACAGAAAAATAGCCTAAGCATCTCTTCTCATCATCACTTCTGATCACACAGCCATAAAACTAAAGTAGTTTTCATATACTCCCTACACAGGCATTGTAAGTGACCAGGAAGAATTCTTCCCTGATGCTATTTTTATTTCACCTTCCAGCTGTGAGCTCCCTCCCTTTCCCTCTGCAAAACCCTCACCCCTAACAGCCTCAGGAAAAGCCAAAGGGATTCAGACGTTGTCTAGGTGATGGCTCAGGAATCTGGAACTGAGGGAGACAGGCTGATTTTGCCCCTCTGAGTTTCCTTTCTCTTAGTTCCCCTTTCAAACTTCCTAAGCCTGGCTTTTTTTCCAACCAAATAATACTCCATCAGTTGCTGTTGTTCTTTGGTTATATTTTGACCTTCTTCCTGAACACAGGGATGTTCTCTGGACTGGTCTTTTGAAAACCTGGGGAGTAGGCTCAGGAGTCTTCAGTTCCTTCTCAAAACCCTCTCAATGTTCCTCTTCTTCTCACTAGAGGTCTTTCCCCTCCAGTGACCCAGCTTATGCTATATTTCTGCAAGGTCTTACTCTCAGTGGGCTTTCAAAAATTGAGAAAGTCGTGGCTGAGGAGAAACAGTGAGCTCATAACACACTTATGGTCCTCCTCACTCTAGCTCTGAACCCACCTCTAGCCAGAGATACGAGCATTTGAATAGAGGAAATGAGAAGCCTTCTAGTCCCAGAAGAAAGAGGCAGTAATGATAAAGGGACCAAGAATGGACTTGGGCTAGTCTCACCCATGGCTGGCTCTAAATGTTCCCTTTTCCAGGCTCTTGTAAACCAGGCTGCTACACTGTTAACATGATAGAAATTTCCTACATTTTCTTTTATTAAAAGTTTTCTTTAGTCATAAACTTAGATATGCCAGCAAAACACCCGTGTGTGTGTGTGTGCACGTGTGTGCGCATGCCTGCAAGTGTGCATGACTATCTATGAAGAGGTAGGTGGGGCCACACTGAATTGTGACATATCAAATAGTACTCGTTTTAGCTAATGTCACTTATCTTGACAGCCTTTCATTTTCAAAATTAATAAAAAGCATAAGGAGACTGCTGCACAGTCACCAACTAAAGGATCTTGGCCACAAAGCTAAATATCTAGTCATCTGTGTTGTACATTAAGTGTGAAGGCACATATCACAGTTTGGGATTTAAATGGAAAAATCAATACCCTACAGGAAATCTACAGTTGCATAGCAGATTTTTCTATCAGCCAATGCTTTCTTTGTCAGTGCCTTCTGATTACACACACTTGTGTATTCCGGGCATCGATTTTGCTTTGCTTTTGTTTAAGTTACTTAATATTCCTCCCTCTTCCAAGAAGCAGGCATGTGGGGGTGGGGAGCGGGCAGAGACATTAGAGAGTCAGTAATAAAGTCAAGGCAATGTCCCGTCTACCTGGCCAGGGCACTTTCTGTCAGTGTCTGTGGCACAGAGGACTAGTCGTCCAGCCATGTGCTCCTGATCATCTGGGGGCCCAGAAGAACCCTGTGCCCTCAGTGCTTTCTCCAGAGCTCCCATGCTTTCTAAACTGGCTACTGCTCTTGCAGCAATCCATGCAAGAAGATGGCAGAACCACCCTTCAGCTAAAAAAGTACTTTGGAGTGGAGCTTGCAATCTTCTCTGACAGATTCTTTAAAAATCTGCTCTAAGTTGCACTAAGAAAACTCCAAGGATTTCCTATTTCTTTCTTATGAATGAACAAGTCTCTTTCATATAGAAGCATAACTTCTCAGGGCTTCATAACCAGCCAAACACCATCACTTTTCTTACAGCTGAAAAAAATTAAATTTCTCCTTGGAGAAATAAGCTTACTTATGTTTTCTTTTTATTCCTTTTCTTTTATCACAGGAAAGTATACTGACCAAAATAAAGCATTTCTAACAGTGACTGGAAGGACGAAGATTGTACCAAATTGCTCAAAACTACTGCCAACACAACAATGTGTTTAAGCACAGCAATGACAAAACATCTATTTTCTCTAAAGACAGCTAAAAACGATGTTCACATATATGTTTTGCTTCCTCCAGTATAAACTGACCACAACCAGGACTCAAGCATGTTCATTTTTCCAACAAATAGACAAAAATTAAATATGGCATGTTACTTTTGCAAATTTCTCTAAAAAGAAGTAAGCTACCCCAAAGCATTCTGATACCAAAACACAGCATAAGGGCCTCTGTGGTCTTCTGCTGAATAATCATAGTTACAGAGACACATTAAAACCGAAATGAACAAAAAGAGTTTCCTCAGAATAGGTAATGCTAGCAGTCCTGGAAGTTTAAGAGTCCTAAGATAAAACATAAGTTAAGTTAAAATTTCAGAAAAAAATTACATTTATAAGCAGCAAATTTGCCTGTGGATCTGTTGGTCAAGGGACTACACACACAGAATAAGTAGTGTAATTGTAACTGTGCAGACTGTGGA
The DNA here is from genome assembly GCF_000001405.40 of Homo sapiens. Lineage (NCBI taxonomy): Eukaryota > Metazoa > Chordata > Mammalia > Primates > Hominidae > Homo > Homo sapiens. The sequence continues at coordinate 107,588,322 of NC_000006.12, read as the reverse complement.
GGGGGAAAAGGAGGTTCTTGCTGTCAACATGTAGCTACTGCGGCTAGAATGGGTAAGAACTGAATTTTTGTCTCTTCTGCTCTTTGGACACTTTGTTTTTAATGAACAGTTGGTATCAGAGCTAAATCCAAAGACTGTTACATGTGGGATTTCCTAATGCAGAGACCTGGCAGAGCTGGTCGGCCAAAAAACTAAACAGAAATTAGACTACCTCAAAATGTAACAACTGAGCATCCTCATTCTCTTTCAGTGTTTTCACTTAGTTGGAGCAAATGTTTTGCTTTAATGCAATTGAAAAGAAAAGAACATTTAGGGACAACATAGCTAGATCCCTCATAAAGCTTCATTTTCAAAAGGAGTGTTTGAATCTCTAAATAAATGACAATTCATTCTCTGTTTACTTTAGGTAAACAGAAAATGCATTGCAGAGCACTCATTTTCAAAAGCTAATCAAGAACATTAGGTCCCAACAGATTCATTTAATAGAAATATAATAGGCATTCCTGCTTGCTTTTCATCTTGTCTGGCTGTAAATGCTAAAATGAACAGCAAATTAACCCTGCATTGGAACAGAGTCTCAATGTCACAGCTGATATCCTCCCTCTCACGACTTGTAAACATCCCCGCACCCTGTCACTGCTTTGACTCCTTCTGCATAGGAGAGACGATTAAGTTTGGCAAGAGAGTGGAGGAATACTTGAATTCTAAAGGGAGTACTGCGTGTCAACTCTGCTATCTTCCCTAGCAGAACAAAATATTACCATGTTGTCTCCTAAAATAGTGTACAATGAGGACGTAGGAGGAGGGGTGAGGGTGAGGTTCTTTTTTCCCAAGCTACATATATCAACTGTCTTTCTCTATATTTTTAACTTTACTAGCCATTCTCCAAGTGGCTGCTTATAAACTACTAAACACAACAAGCTAATAAAGACAGGGCCATTCAAGCTCTATAATCAGATATAAAAGATTTGCAAACAATTTGAGATCTTAAAATTAATATTCAGTGATATCAGAATTAGCATTTAGAACTCTATACAGAAAACTATAATATTTCATCAATTATGTAATCATGAACAAACCCTTTCAAAAACTGTTTTCACTGTGCTAAAGTAACATTCTAGACTTGTTGTAAGTATGTTATTCTTACAAGTAGTTCGCAGTTATTCTTGAAGGCAAGCCTTGGAGTTTCCTTAGCATAGTGCTGCTGGGGAAAATTTTCAGCATGTCCATCTTCATCTCTAGCCTGAAGGGAAATATAATGGCCTATTTAGGGACTTACAAATAATGGAAGAAAAAAAGCTAAAAAGCATAACAGCTCAGATCATTCAACAAACGGGAATCCAGAAATAACAACAATATTAAGAAGTTTGTTTAAATACGCAGTACGCCTTTTAGGTATCAAAATTTGGGATTTATTTTTCTTTACATTGTTTAGTTTGAACATGCAAATTCATTGTGGTGTAATATTTAAAACAATATCAAGCAAACCAAAATCAAATAATTTTGTTGGCAATTACCACCACCTTAGTTTTTCAGTGCGCATTGTTCATTGCACATTTAGGATTATATGACATACATACGTGTTTAAACTTTTTGGCATGCTTAAGCAATCTCTAGATAATGCACTTTTAAAAAATTCTAATAGCAAGGCCATAAGAAAAGCAATCTGCATAATTATATTTTGCATTGTAATACTATTAGAGATAAACTGATTCCCCTCCATTTTTAAATAAAGATCTAAAAGGAGCGATGATCTGGTAAGAACCATGATTCTTCAATCAAATGCAGTAAAAAAAAAAAAAAAGATTTAATTTAAAAGCTGCATTAAAAGTTACTGGTTATTTTGATCTACGCTGTTAATTAAGAAAGCTGAAGTTTAAATGGAGACATTAACAGAACCCATTAGCAATACCGCTTGCATACAGTCTTCTTTCTAATCTCCACTGGTTTCTGGTTTGGAGTGGGAGAGAAGGGAGAGGTAGGTGAAAGGGGGCGTGTCTGCAGCACACTCATTAAACCATTCATTTGCGTGACACTTGCACTCCGCTCTGCTCTCATCTCATCTTAGCCCTAACTGCTCTCTCTTTCCTGGCCTCCTGAAATTCACAGCTGAGCTGTCTCCCTCACATATGGCTTGCATATAATTATGCATATTCCATTTTACACTGCATTAAAATGATGAGCTCCTGGCTCCCTGCCAGCTGATTTTTAAAAGCCCTAGTGAAGTAGGAAAAAGGAGAGAAACACAGGGAGAGCCGCACAGGAAGCAGCAGGTAGTTCTGTCTGCTGTCTCTTTAGATAAAATGTATGTCTGGCACCAAGGGAACAGCTGAGAACTACCTGTTGTTATGTATGGATTGAGGGGGGAGAAAACAATGAGCATACACTGTGGCAGAGATGACAATGCTTATGTATTGTTCCTCCTTTAATGGAGCAAAATCTGCCCTGATGAGTGTCACTCAGAGCTCCCTGGCTATACTGGGGCTTGTCATTTTAGAAAGAGATCCATATTTTGTACATTTTAGAATGTATTGCTTGTGTTTAAGAAAGCTTCTGCTACCTAGTCCAGGGAGGGAACTAGATGGAACTTGGAAGTGCAATGTCATGGTCAGTAATATTTAGGTTACAAGAAGTTTGTGGGGAAAAGAGATTGCTCTCTTTTGGTTCACTTTTGAGATTTATAACATCCCTCATGCTTGGTGCCTTTTTATTGTACCTTTTTTTCCTACTAAATCAGACTAAAATAAAAATGCAGTTATAGGATTGGCTATATGCGACAGAGAAAAAAGTTTAATTGTTGTTCATGTCCAGTGGCTACAAGGCACTGAGACCAATGATGTTTCTTCTTACTGCATCGGAACAACTTTGCAGCTACGCCATGGTTTAAATTAATATAGCTCAAATGGGTCACATTTTAAATCCCAACTGGCAAAGGCAGCAGTGGCATAGATAAATGAAAGGCAGTTGTAAGAAAGTAGGAAGATGCCATTGGGCAGTGACAATATTAGATTCTTCATAACAAAATGTTAAGCCACTCTATGAGGTACAGGTCTCTTAAAGGCAGGGACCACATCAATTTCATCTTTCTTGTTCTGCCATGCCCAGTGCCTTACTTTTAGTTGATATTTAACAAACATTTAAGTGATGATGGAAAAAACCCATACGTGGATAGTAAGTAGACCCTACCATAAACAACTCTGTAGAAAATGCCACCTCAAAATATGCTAAACTTGGTAGTAGCTTTATTATATTCCTGATGCACTATGATATATATGCTTGGAAACACACTTTGCATATAATTTTCAAGGGCTACTATTTACATATGTATGTCTATATTCAATATATATGTATCTTGTATATAAATATTCATAAGGTGGAATGTGTTTATTATGCATATACTATGTATACACATTCATACACACCAGATGCCTAAGGATATTTTCAACATTAGTGGCAAAAATACATTCATTCCACTTACATGTAAGGTGCACACAATGTTTTTTTTGTGTTTAAAGGACAAAAAAAAAATCCCATTATCTAATATTTGAATATGCTTCCTCAAAGGGGCTACAGACTTCATATAAAGCTGCATAATTTATGAGGTTAAATAAAGTAGCAGTGGAAGAGAAAGGAGAGGGGGATTGAAGAGATTCGGAAGTGGAGACAGAAAGCTAGAAACTTGCTTTTTTATTGAACCATTATGTTCACCTCTGCATCAAACTTCCATGGCTCTGGGAATGGCCTGTCCTCTAACACCCACCCTGACTCCAGAGTCCAAGAAATTCTATCCTTCAGCCATTTGCTGTGTTTCCACTACATGCCACAGAAATGAAAAGCATGCAAAGTACAAGAAGTTCTTGAACCATCACCTTCACGTGTATTTGTGTGCACAAATAACTCACACACACTTCTCACCACTGTAATCCCCTTTGCATTGTGAAATTTTTAATGTGTAATTTTAAATTACTATGACAGGAATAAGTGTAATTCAGTGCATTCATCTAACACAGGAATTCGCTACCCCAGCTGCATATTAGAATCATCTGGGGTGTTTTTTTTTTTTTTTTTTAACATATTGGTGTCTGACCCCCTCCCTTTCTAAGATTGTGCTTTAACTGGGGCCTGGACACAGGTGGTTTTTAGAAAGCTCTCAGGTGATTGTAATGTACCAAAGAAGGGCGAGAACTGCCGATCTAAGGAGAGTGCCTACAGCTATCAAGGGGAGGCCCTTGGCATAGCTGCCAGAATGTTCTCTAACCAGGTCCCAGGCCCACTGGAGTGAACCATTGTGCTATGAGAGGGGGATATACAGGTTGAGCAACCCAGATTCAAAAATCTGAAATCCCACATGCCCCAAAATACAAAACTTTTTGAATCCCAACATGATGCTCAAAGTAAATGTTCATTGGAGCATTTCATGTTTTGAATTTTCAGATTTAGCATGCTCGACCAGTAAGTATATACAACGCAAATATTCCAAAATCCCAAACACTTCTGGTCCCAAGCATTTTGGATAAGGAACACTCAACCTCTAGGATGTAGTCCCTATGGTAGACCTTACCCTAAATATTCAAAAAGCCTGGGCAACACAGGGAGACCCCATCTCTACCAAAACAAAACAAAACAAAAACTAGCCAGGTGTGGTGGCATGCACCTGTAGTCCTAGCTACTTGGGAGGCTGAGGCAGGAGGATTGCTTGAGCCCAGCACTTCGAGGTTATGTTGAGCTATGATCGCGCCACCACACTCCAGCATGGGCAACAGAGCAAGACTCTGTCTCAAAAAAAGAAAAAAGATTTAAGAGATTACAGAACTAGTTGCTTGTGGGCAAAAATTATCATTATTTGTTTGTTTGTTTCTTAGTTTCTGGTATGACCAATAATCTTGGAAGAACTACCATACCACTTCCTTAAAAAGGCCTTCCCAAACCTCTCTATCCAAGGCAAATATCTCCTCTGTGGTCCTTCTTAGACTCAACATGGTTGCAACCTTGGAATTACTGGTGTGATTTTTGTCTCCCCTAGTAGCCTACAAGCTTCCTAAGGGCAAGGACAGAGTCTGATCTCCCACCACTGTATCTTCAGCCCAGCCACTGCCTGATGCCCAGTAAGTGATCTGTAAGAATGAGTTGGATCATTCACAGAACTGGTGGCAATGTTAGACAACATCCATAGGACCTTCCTTACCCTAGAGAATCAGTTCATAATGTTTTACAACCTCTTATATATTAAAGTCAGAGGTTTATTCTACATCTGCCCCCACTTGGGTGGGGTGCCAGACAATGGCTTAACAAGGAGGGTGGACATAGGACACCAACGACCCCTTCAGGGAGGAATATGTGAACACTAAAATTGTTCAGAATCACTGGCTCATGGTAACAACATAAAGCAGACCAACTTTTAGCTGGTTTTATTATTGTTCTTAAATCCTCTGCAGACAATGCATTCTCTAATTGCCTCTTGAGAGTGGACCACCCCACTGTCGGCTCTAGATATCCACTGGGGCCAGAAGAATTGTGTTCACGTCTGACTTTTTTCCAGAGTGACAAGTTCTGAAAGAAGGCACATCAAGGCACTTCATGATGAACTAACTCTCTCCTTGTGTGTTATTTTCAACAGTTTTATTCTGACTAGTGTGCTAGATATTTATGCCAACTACAGGGAAAAGCAAATGGGAGACTATTTTTTTGCATTTTACTACAAATGTGATTGTCAGAACAAAGGTGCATTTTTGACCTATTATTCTAAGGAAATTTCTTTTTTTTTTTTTTGCCATAACAGAAACAAAAATCCTTCAGTTAAACTGCAAGCGGATTTCCCTGTTTTGCTGACAGTTGTGTAACCATTTTCATGTTGTGCCTAACATTTAGATAAATATTAGATGATATGAGAAATTTACAGTAATTGCCTCTCTACTTCAAAAACCTCTGGTTTAAACAAACTTTGTATTCACCTCTCTTTCCCTCTGAATCAGCACTAATTCACTTCTCTTATTTTGATTCTTACAATACAGCAAACTTTAGTTCTTCAAATTCACTGCTTCCTCTGAGCCAAAGTCTTGGTGCCATGTGCATGTTGGAGCAAGCTAGGCATTCTTCCTCCTCTGAAGAATGCCTTTAGAAAAGGTGGAACATTCTAGAAATAGCTCCACTTGCCTACCCCAGAGAAGTGTGATGTTTCTGACTCCATGAAAAGGTTAACAATATTGCCATTTAAGTCAAAAGATAATTAGGCTTCAGAGTTAATACCTCCCTGTGATGAATGGGAGTTTACACTTCTGTGTCATTGTGATCTCAGGATTTCTTTTGAAAACAAGCAAAGATTCTGCCTGGAATCAGGGCCGGGGAGAGCACAACAGAGTTTCCAAGCTTAGCCCTCCTATGCTGCAGCAGAGGCAGCACATGTCAGCTCACACATGTGGCATTTTTACCGGACTTAAGAACACCAAAAACAGCTCAACTCAAAGTTGTGAGAATAAGTGTATAGTTGAAGAATTGGAGAGGAGAAAAAAGGGGCCATTGATTTTATATTTTATAACTAATTGTTGGAACCAGAAATAATAGAGTTTATTTTCGAATTCAAGGTAAAAGCATGGGGACACTGCTCTGAAAACGCATGGAATTTCATTTTCTGAAATCTCGTTTCTGGTTTAGCCTTCCTTTCTCAAATGCATCCACACGTTCTCTTGAGGAAGCTCAGGAATAAACAGCAGCTATCACACACTGCCTTTCAGTATGCTGTGAATGTCTTTGTGAACTTGAACTAAAGGTCAGCACTGATTCTTTGTCCTGCAGTGGACAGACACCTGGGATCTCTGTTCAGCCACTCCTGCCTCTGGTGGGAACAACATAGGGAGGTCTTCAGAGTAGCTCCCTGCCTCCCCTGGAGTTACTGCACTGTTGAGCTCATCTCAGTGGCCCAACTCCTCGGGTCTGAATTCTTAGTGCCCTTCAACTGGGTCTCCTGTCCTTCACTCCCATTCTTTCTGGTGGAGCTAGATTCCATCTCTCCTTCTGCTGGCAGATCCTTATGTGACCTTTAAGCCTTCGTTCAGACTGCAGCTCCTTTAGGAAGCCATCAGTGACTCTTCCTCCTGGTCCTTGCCTAAGCTCTGCACCCTCTGTCCCTGTATTTCCATTCCACACCAATTTATTGCATTGCATTATGACCATGTGTGTGTCTGCCTCTCCCACTAATCAAACAGGTCCTTGAGTGTGGAAACTGCGTTCTGACCAGCTTCAAATGTCCAGATCCTGGACTAGTGCCTGGCATATTATAAGGGTTCCATAAATGACCGAGTGAGCGAATGAATAAATGAATGGGTTTCTATCCTTTAACGCTATCGCTGGATATTCAGCCTTACACTCCAGTCCCTACCAGTTGAGTGTTCTGCCTCTGAACCTCAGGAGTCTTCTCCATACCCGAGTCTCAGCACGGCTCTCCTGGAGCTATCTGATCACACCTGCCTCACACCTAGACCTTCACCAACTATTCGATGCACTTCTGCCCAACACCTGCTCCTCCTACTTGGTTAGATACCATGGTCTTGGCCTCACAGAAGATCTTGCACTCAATTTGGACTTTGGCCAATCATCTTTTTGCCCCACGTTTCTCTCCTCCACGTCCCTGTTGAATTGATCCTCTGGTCTTTGCCCAACAAATTCTCATCCTCAAAAGTCCATTCCTTGATTAGATTAAGCAACTGTGCACCTTGTTCCCTGTTTCTGATATCTCACCTTCTCCTAGAGTCCCAGGTCTGTCTGAGACTCCTTGGTTACCATCCATGTCTTATTTCCTCTACCAGACTGAAACTCCTTGACGGCAGAGACCATGCATTATGTATGAAGTCCCTTATATAACAAACAATCCTGTAAATATATGTCGAATGGATTCATTAGCTCTCATTCTTCCTTAAGCCAAGGCCTGGAATGTTCTGTTTTTCTCTACTCTGAACTGCCTACCTCTATGAATGGATAACCCTTAAATACGAGTTATTTCTATGCAAATATTCAAGTCACTGAACAGATTGTAGAGAGTTGCATGGTTCTCAAACAAAATTATGTGTGCATGCAGCTTGGGTGGAGGGCTTTCTCCTGGACAGAGGGCTCCCACCTGGCATCAGATTCTCTGCTCTGGAGATATGCCAGTAACCCAGAAACATCCATCTCTGGACCCAGGCATCTGCTCCATTCACATTACTACTAATGTCTGCCTAAGGATCCCTTGCCCTCCCTTTCACCTGCTTGTCGAAGACTGTCTATGGGGATTTCTGCAGTGGTGCTGTTTTACTTTGTTCTTTTAACCAAATGTATTTAAATTCCCATTTAGTATGTAGGCTGTAGGAAAAGCTGTTTGCCCAGAGAAGGCCCTCCTAATTCTCCATCCTCCTTAACTGGCTAACTGACAGGCTTTCTCCATAGCTCTTCAGGCTCCTCTGACAGCTCACACACCTCTGATGGATGAGATGGACTTATTTGCTGCAGCTATTTTTTCACTCCATGCAAACCTTTATATATATCATAAATTTTTAACATCCAATTTGGAGTCTTCAAAGAGTAATGGTAACAAATATGCAACATGAAGATAATGGGAATCGAATCATGTTTATGGCCTCCATGAGAATCTCCTTAAATGATGTCAGGTCAGGGCCCCTCAGAGCCGCACGCATGTGAGGCTATGGGGCTGATCTCGTGCCTGATTAATGGCTGCCTTTACTCAGGGGCCCTAATGGATTGCGTGACAGTTATGGCAACAGATTCCACATCAGCCTGAAATACAGCTTCCACATGAACTAAAATATATCATGTTCATCCCAGCACATTAAAACTGTGTCTGGAATAATCAGAGCAGTTGCTTAAGCGGTTCTGAAAATGCCTGTTTTTACTTTTTATTTTTAAATCTATTTTTCCTTTATTGGACAGGTGACCCTTTTGCATTTATCTTGCAGGGCTCTTTCTCAGGTCACCTGAGTGTCTTTGTTTGGTAAGAATTGTTATTTCACAGGTAAGGCCCAGCAGCTAGGAGCATGCAGCCCCCTTCTTTTTCATTCTCTGCTAAGGCCACACCACCTCACACCCCAGGCAGCTTCTGATTATTCCGGAAGCTTAATCGACACTGGATTATCCAGGCTCCTTTCCCTTCCCCCACTTTCTTCCTCCGCCCACTGCCTGCCTTTTGGCTTTTCACTAGTCATTTGCATCTATTACCCAGGGACACAGTGAGGGGAAACAAAAGGAAGGGAAACACAAATGATTCCACTTTGCTGCTGGTTGGCACCCACAAAATCCTTAATTAATAGACCTAATCTAGGCATTTCAGGTACTCCTTTTATTCCTTTTCTCTGAAATCACTAGGCAGAAGGGGGTTGGGCTCATATGATTATATGCAGATCTCATGATGGACCTGAGAAATCAGAGAAAATGTGAAACAGGCAAGGGCTGTACTCCAGGACCCTATCTGTAAGGCTAGAAAAGGATCCAGATGTTACAGAGGAGATTCACTATCTACAGGATGCCTCCCCCAGAAATAACCCGGCCTCAAATGGGATTAAAAAACACAGTACTAACCAGATTAAGATGCTGTTCTGGTTATTATCCGGGATTAATAATAATGGCTAACATTTCTACAGCTTTTCTTGCACGTACCAGACACCATCCTAAGTGCTTTATATGTATCAACTCATTTAATGCACACACTCATACATATATCAAGGAAAGAAATGACTTATGAAGTAGGTACTATCATTATCTCCATTTTATATATGAAGAAGCTGGGGCACAGAGACATTATGGAGTTTACACAAACTCACACAGTTAACAAGTGGTAGAACCAGGATTCAAACCCAGGCAGTCTGGCTCCAGAATCCCCATGCCACACACTGATGATCTCCCACCTATGTGCTGGTGGCAAAGGTAAATTGTGTACAATAACTTGAAAATACTGGTGTCATTACATTTTAAAAACATGTTATTAAGGGAAATTTTCAAATTTTCTTTGGTTTTAGCACTCCAAGATTGAATATACCAAGAAAATTAGGAAAAGAGAGTGTTTAATGACAAATATAACAGAATGGGGGGAAGGGAGGGAGGGTGCGGGGTGGGGGAAGAGGCAGTCTGCAAAGAGCCCAAGAAAAGGGTTCCCTGCAGCTTCAGAAGCAGCGTCAGTAGGTCTCTGATACAGCCTGTGAAAGATGGTACTCCAACATCTTCAACACTTAAACGAACTTCTTCTTTTTTTTTTTTTTTTTTTTTTGAGACAGAGTCTTGCTCTGTAGCCCAGGCTGGAGCGCAGTGGCGCCATCTCGGCTCACTGCAAGCTTCGCCTCCCCGGTTCACGCCATTCTCCTGCCTCAGCCTCCCGAGTAGCTGGGACTATAGGCATCTGCCACCATGCCTGGCTAATTTTTTTCTGTTTTTAGTAGAGATGGAGTTTCACCGTGTTAGCCAGGATGGTCTTGATCTCCTGACTTCGTGATCCACCTGCCTCGGCCTCCCAAAGTGCTGGGATTACAGGCATGAGCAACCACGCCCGGCAAAACCAACTTCTTTAATCTAATTCTTACTAAATAAACTTCAGATCATCGAGTATGACACCTAGGCCTCTCAATACCAGAAAAGACACATCCTACCAAACTCACTCAGTTCTGCAGGTCCTTTAGCAATCTCCTTTGTGGACTTCTAAAAACATCATCAATATTATGATACAATTTTTTATTAATCCTGTAGGTGATGCTGTACAGACTACAAGGGGCATTCATGCTATCTTGTCTCCTGTATTCCTGGCATTCGGTATATAAATGCAGATTGTGACTTTGGTCAACATGAGTCAGTTCATCAAGGCAGTGGATATCCCTGGACCAATCAGTGAAACTGAGTCCCTGGATGTGCCTTGTTGAGAAACCTGCCCACCTTGTGGTGATTGTTTTGGGGGATGAGGGGGTGGAGCACCAAAAGCCAGTTGGCCAGCCTCTGCTCTGTCCACAACACCCTCCACTCCTAGGAATAATAGAGACAGAAGTACAATAATGTAGCTCTGAGCAGGTCGATGGCTAATTAGCTCAAGTTGGTGGGAGCACAAAGCAAGAGCTTAGGTCACTGCCCTGAGTGAGTTAGCTTGATCTATGTCACTGTCACAGAACACACCCTTCGTCATGACCTGCCATGTCACACATGTACAGGTCTTGGCAAAGGGGAGACAGACACCAGAAAACATGCGAAAGGATGCAGATGAATCAGTGCACATCTCTCACTGCTTCTGGAAGAAATAACTCACAGGGCATATGCTGGTGAGGGTAGTCATGGATAGCTATGAGTCACAAATTGAAACAAATGGTGTCCGTGAATTAGTTACTAATCCTGAGGTCAAGAACTATAAATTCTCAACTAACAGCAATACTTATCAAAGACATGATGTCACAATTGTTATTTGTGACAAGAGCTCAGCACTCAGATGAATTTAACTTTCTTTTCTTCCACCAGCAACCACAGAAATGCTATAATCAGGGTATGGGTATAACCAGGGTTGCCTACATCTGTTCTGGCCCGTCCATATGCTAAGCCTCAGTTTACCTCATCCCCCAGGTGCCCACCAACCAGCAAAGCAGGGCTGCAGATGCTTCAAAGCCATTCCCAGCCATCACCCTGCACTCTTGCCACTGATTCCCTGCAGCTTTGGCTTGAGCCCACTTCCATACCATTCCCAGCTCACCACCCTCACTCTGACTGTGGTCCTGCCCTGGCCCTTTGATCTGTGTACTCGGCCTGGCTGGAGCTGACTATCCTTCATGGGTATGGCCTTGGTCCTGCCACTCAGGTCTTTATTCTGGACAGACATAGGAAAGTATCCCACCCTGGTCACTGCTCTGGCCTGGGACAGTGTTACAGTCAGCATTGCATAATGTTGTCCAAAATATAATTTGTCTTAAAGATAAGATTTCTTTAGGAAGAAATATGAGTATTATATATGTAAAGATCTAAAATCAGCCTGAACATGAAGGAGAAAGCCTAGGACGAGGACAGAATCCTGACTTTTACTGTGCGCTAGCCACATAAATGATATGCAGCAATACTGCAACTTCTGCCAGTGGATGTAGGCAAAGGAGGAAGATGAGGCGACACATCCCTGGGTCTTTCAGACTGTGAAGTTCAAACATGATTTTGGGCAGGATGGTCCTCCTGACAGCTCCAATTATGATCCACATGCCACTTGACCTGTTAACGGAGGTGCTATCAGACTTAAGGAAGAAAAATATCTGAATTACACTGCCTCCAAAGCCAGGACCAATGAGCCTCTCTGAGGAGCCAAATGCGAAGATGGAGGTGAAGAGGCTTCATAAATAATGACCTCTGCTCCAACGACACTCTCTGGAGTCTTTGTTTCAAACCCCAGCCATTCTGCAGATGATGAATTGAGGTAATAAAAAGTAGGATTGTGGCATGCTTAAATAGGGGATAATCATTTCGGCAGAATTTGACTGGGGTTTAGGGACACGCCTGTTGAAGCCAACAGCTGAGTATCAAGTTGAAGTTCATTTCTGGATGACAATTTTAGTTAATTCTTGCTCCTCTGTCACCCTGTCTTCTTCTTCTTATTATTATTATTATTACATTTCCAGGAGGTGTATTTTGGGGTCAAAGCCCAGGTGAAGGAAGACAAAAAGTGACCTGCGTTTCCACAACCTCTCCCTTCTTAGTGTAAACTGAGAAAAATAATATGTGGTTCTGCCTTGCACAGTGAGCAGCCCCACCCCTTCTGTTTGTTCCATTCCCTCCCTCACTGAACCTTTCTAGCTACCAACATTTCCAAGCTGTCCCAGTTCCTCTGCACCTTGGTCTCTCAACCACCCAGTGTTGCTCTAGATGGCATCTCAGAGATGACTGGAAACCCCACTGTATGAAGGCTGGACCCCACTGGGGAGGGCATCACCAATTCCAGAACCTTCCAACTCAGTGACTACTTCATGGAGCTGTCATCCGGAACAAAGGAAGAAAATTCAATATAGAAGCCACTTTGACAATAATAATAAGATTTAATGATTGTCCTGTGCCAGACCCTGTGCTAAGCATTTTACAGACTTTGGCTCATTAAAGCTTCCTAAACCTTTAGGAAGTCCCTATTACTCACCACCTCCATTTTGCCAGTGTAGAAACTGAAGTGTAGAGAAGTTAAGCAACTTGCCTAAGACCAAAGAGCCCATAAAAGGCAAAGTTGGGCTCTGAATGCAGGTGTCATGACACCAGGTGCAGATCTCAACCCCCATGCCACACTGCTCGTGCGCCCCAGGAGCACAGTGGGCAGAAGCAGCATGGTGACAATGAGTGGCAGAAACCGCAGGGATTACTAGAAGGCAGAGAAGTTGTGGCTCAAACCCTCACATCCTTGCAGGTCCTTGTGGGTGAGAGGTAACTCGCCCTCTGGTCTCTCCCCTTCGTGGTAAATTATTGGTGTCCAACACAGCTGAAACGGAGGGGTGGTGAGGGAGCTGGCACCTCATGGGGGAAGCTGAGAGCCAATCTCATAGGCTGAGGAACACGGCCAAAGGCTGAGCAGACCCAAATCCTAGGCCCACCAGTATTGGCAGGGTGGACTCTCCATGTGTTCTGGACTTGGGGTATGGGACCAAGATGAGGCAAGGATGGGAGAACGAGGATGGTGGCTGCAGATGAAATAGGAGTGGTGCCAGGGGAGTCCTGTGATTCAGCGTGAGAAACCCTGCGTAGAGATGGGGAAGGAGACATCCCTGAAGCTGACAGACTTCTCACCAGAGGGCTCACTCATTTTGAAATCTCTTAAATTCCAGTTTCATGTGCACATCCCACAAATGAAAGATTATGGGATCTTTAGTGATCCCATAATCAAAGTAAGAGTCAGCTCAAATCTTTTCTCAGGCTCCTAGACAAATTGAGACATGTTCTCAAGGACATGGGATTCTAGATTCATAAACCTCTTCCTATGGTTCTTGCCTAATCACAGAATAGAAAGCTGTTATTCTTTGATGTGGAAAATAGTAAAAGGGGAATAAGAATGATCATTTCATAAGGTTATTGATATTAGCCTTCCCTTCTTAATAAAAACAGGCAATGTTTACATGCAGTCAAGTATCCTAGTATAACAAAGAAATTTCAGTCATTTCTTTGTCTTAAGGGATGAAAGACTTTTGCCTTTGAGTTAAAAAAATGTTTTGACTGGTTCCATAAACTGTAGGATGCACTATATGTGTCATTGCGGCCCCAAAGAATGTAGACAGTGGGGCAAGGGCACTTGAGTAATGTTTTCCTTAGGTCTCCATTCATTCACTTATTCATCTGTTCTCCACTTATTGAGCATCTACTGTGTGCCAGGCAGTAGTAGACAACTGAATAATGAAGCGCCTAAAATGAATGGTATTCAGCCCACATGCTCCATACATTTTAATTTTTTAAGTTCAATGATAACAGTAAAGCAAATGGTCCCTTGAAAGCTCTATTCATACACAATCTGGAGTGTCAAAGATCATATATTTATAGCCTGTTTAAAACTTAGATGTTTAAATAATTATAATTTTATGGCGGTAAATAAAAGTAAACTACAAAAGGCAGGAAGTAGAAAATACTCTTGTTAGCAGGCAAGAATTTTAAGGAAGTAAAAAGCAAGAAAAAGTGAGAGCAAATTCTTAAGGGCTGAGCACCCCATGTGCCCACTTAGTTGAGGACATTAGTACAGAAAGGGTTGAGGAGGGCCATGTGGTGCCACTCCAACCCAAGTTTGATTCCTGGTGCCACCACTGATGGAGAAAAGGAGAACCTAAACATCAGCAAAATGGGGTACACAACATCCATTTCAGAAATTTGTTGCAAGGATTAAATGAGACAATCCATCACACAATGCCTGGCGCAGTGCCCCACACAATGCCTGGCACAGAATAAGTACTCAATATATGACAGTTACTTAAATTTCACAAATCTGCTTTCTTTTCTGGAGAAAAAAAAAAACCTCAGCTGGCAAGAAGGCAATAGGGACTCACTATCTTTTCTTATCATTAAAGTCTTGATTAAAATTAAATTGCATGCAACTATAAGGGTATGCCCAGCATCCCACTGCAAATGCCAATCAGAAGACACTGCCAAAGGCTGGAGGAATTTTAGAAATGCACAAACACACCCACTAATCAGGATCCTAACCCTCTACACAATCTGGACACAATCAGTACTTAACGACCACTTCTATCTCTCTTCAGCCATCTGACTATCCATTTCGCTCCCTCAAAAAAGGCATTGTTTTGTTTCCTTTGTATGTCTTCACTCCTGGTATGTCCTGAGCAGCATCTCGGTCAACAAACTTTCCACACTTACCAAGGGGCTCCCGCGTGAGCAGCCCAGGATTCGTGGGCACTGCAGTATGGTGAATTCCATGGCCTTCACCATACCTCTGCCAAATAACTCAAACTATGATTTTAGTGTTATTTCCCTTGATTACCATTTATGTCACCTCTTTCAATTCCTTATTTTCCAGCTACTAACTTCACCCTACGTAAACTTTGTTTCTAACTCAATAACAGAGGACACCTTTATCATTTGCTGATTTACGTGCTCAGTGCTCAGCAGAGCTTGGGCACACATACATTGTAATCCACACACTGAGTAACCTCACCAAAGACAGAGAGGAGCAGAAAAGATAAACGACAGGGAGATTTTCTGAACAATCTGATATTTGGCTCACCATTTCGAGAAAGTGTGCAAATTAAGGCCAGGTGCAGTGGCTCATGCCTGTAATCCCAGCACTTTAGGGAGCTGAGGTGGGTGGATTGCTTGAGCTCAGGAGTTTGAGAACATCCTGGGCAACATGGCAAAATCCTGTCTCTACTAAAAATACAAAAACTAGTTGGGCATTGTGGTGGGCACCTGTAGTCCCAGCTACTCCGGAGGTTGAGACACAAGAATCACTTGAGCCCAGGAGGCAGAGGCTGCAGTGAGCTGAGATCGCACCACTGCACCCCAGCCTGGGCGATACAGCAAAACTCTGCCTTAAAAAAAAAAAAAAAAAGTGTGCAAATTTGCAGCTATTATTTTCTTATTCAAAAGGCTAGGGCTTTTCTTTTTAACTAAGTGTTGCCAGATTTATTAGGTCCTCCTTCATTTTAGAATTCAGTTCAAAATTGCTATCTTCAGGGTTTGGTTTTGTTTAAATGTGTCCACCCTTATCTTTCTGAAACATCATCTCTTATTTATAATCCTTAGACATGATTCTCCATCACCTGGTAATTTCTTCTGCATAAGTGAGAACTCCCCTCCCTGAGTCAGCTGTGCAACCTGAAAAAGCTTTCTTTTATTTTACCGATTTATTTCATCTTACAGTAAAATGTTCTCCTTGTACAAAACATCTTAATTGCTATTTCTCCTCGTCCCTTGCCTTGTCACAGGAAGCTGCTCCACAGGTACCACATAATGTTTATGCTCATTTGTTTCTTTATATTACATCCTGCCTTCCTGTGCACTAGAATCTGATGCTTACAAAGATATAATCAAAATGAAATTGTATTAGTTTAGATTAGCATCTGTGGCAGCGATTCCTATAAATGATATAGACAAGGCAGTAGCTATAATATGTCTTGTTTCGAGGTTAAAATGAAAAATGACATCTTTGATGGAAAAGACTCCACGGAGACCCCGGTAGAAACGAGGCCTCTTCCTCTGCTCACAGACAGCTCTCTTCCCCGTCATATGGCTGACAGGTGTGTAATCATGTTCCTTAGTCACAGTTTGTGTTGAAATAACCAATTACCAAATGAATGAGAATCAAGCTCCAGTGTGACTGTTGCCACCATTGCAAAGTGATGATGTGTCATCCAAAGCTCAGGCGTTAAGGGGAGGCTCCGACTGGGCTTCTCCTCAGCCAAGGATGCTCTCCAGGGCCGCAAGAAGCCTTGCCGCTCTACACTGAATTTGATAAAATGCAGGACATTTCTCCTTTGGCCCCTGCCCTTTAGTAATGGAGATTCCAACAGGGACACAATGGATGGTTAGCCAGGTTTCCTGGACAACTCAACATCATCCCTACCATTTCCTTTCCTTGACTCTTCCAGAACACATCATCCTCACCTGTCACCAAGCACCCACTGGCACAACTGTCTCTCTGGCCACCCAGATTTCCAAGTGAACAGGGCATTATCTGCCATATTTCTCCTATATCTTTCCTCTGTGACATACATCATCTTCTACCAGACCCCACAGTAACAAAGAACAATGCCAAAGTCCAACAGCCCTGACACTCCAAGTGTACCCTCACCAGGCAAGGAATTCCCCAGATCCACTGATCAGGAGAGGTGTGGTAGATGCAAGTGGCCTACAGAGTCTTGCGTTGTTCTAGGTTCTAGATGAATACCGTCAAGGACAGCAAATCCCTTCGCATTCACGAAAACCGTAAGCACAAAAATTGCATTTTTATTGGCCCAAAGGTTATTTGTTAATATGTTGAGGGAGAAAGCTTACAAGTAATTCAAATAAAGTCAAGGAAGAAAGTTGAGATATGGACCTATTTACAATGGATTGTGATAGCAC